>NC_000013.11:49658106-50908106 GCF_000001405.40 Homo sapiens | reverse complement strand
CTTTGCAGGACGAAGCTGGATGGTGCAAGATTTCTTCACACCACTCAGAACACTGTACAATTTAAAACTTACGAATTGTTTCTGGAATTTTTCGTGTAATATTTTTGGACCAAGTTCGACTGGGGGTAACTGACACCTTGGAAAGCGAAACTTCGAATAGGGGGAGCTACTGTACATGAGAAATGTTACCCATGATTCCCTTGCTCAGACATACATACCTGTTTCATTTTTCTCTGATCCTTTCTAGCCCTTGGCTGTATTAATGTATATTTTTGTGGTTGTTGTCACAATTTAGACTGTTTTGTCTGCTTTTCTCACTTAACATTGTCATAAGCATGTGCCCCTTCATATCGAGAAGTATCATTGTTAATGAAGGCATGATATTTAACACAGCTGGTGTACTAGGGTTAGTTATCCATTCCCTAGTGTGCAGTATTTAGGTTATTTCAAACTGTTATTATAAATAATGCTACCATGTGTATTGTATATGGGCTATGTATACAGCAGTTTGACACAGTGATTGGTGTACATATACAAACAGATGCTTTGTATCTAAAGAAAAAAATTTAGATGCAGGAAATTATTTTTAGCAGAATACCATGTAGGTAAATTTAAAAGGCACAAAGAACAACACGATGTAATTTACAAGGATACATGCATATTTAAGGCCATGTCAAGCACATAAAGAAATGGGTGTCTTTACATACATGTGGCCAACAAACATATGAAAAAAGTTCAACATCACTGATCATTAGAGAAATGGAAATCAAAACCACAATGATATACCATCTCATGGCAGTCAAAATGGTGGTTATTAAAAAGTCAAGAAACAACAGATGAGGCCGGGCACGGTGGATCACGCCTGTAATCCCAGCACTTTGGGAGGCCGAGGTGGGCGGATCACCTGAGGTCAGGAGTTCAAGACCAGCCTGACCAACATGGAGAAACCCCATCTCTACTAAAAATACAAAAAATATTAGCCAGGCGTGTTGGTGCGTGTCTGTAATCCCAGCTACTCGGGAGGCTGAGGCAGGAGAATTGCTTGAACCTGGGAGGCAGAGGTTGCAGTGAGCCAAGATCGCGCTATTGCACTCCAGCCTGGGCAACGAGAGCAAAACTCCGTCTCAAAAAAAAAAAAAAAAAAAAAGAAACAACAGATACTGGCAAGACTGGGGAGAAATAGGAACTCTTTTACACTGTTGGTGGGAATGTAAATTAGTTCAACCATTGTGGAAGACAGTGTGGTGATTCCTCAAAGATTTAGAGCTGGAAATACCATTTGACTCAGCGATCCCATTACTGGGTATATACCTAAAGGAATATAAATCATTTTATTATAAAGATACATGCATGTGTATGTTCATTGCAGCACTATTCACAATAGCAAAGACATGGAATCAACCCAAATGCCCATCGATGATAGACTGGATAAAGAAAATGTACACATACACCACAGAATACCATGCAGCCATAAAAAGGAATGAGATCATGTACTTTGCAGAGACATGGATGAAGCTGGAGGTCATTATCCTCAGCAAACGAATGCAGACGCAGAAAACCAAACACCGCATGTTCTAACTTATAAGTGGGAGCTGAACAATGAGAACACATGGACACAGGGAGGGGAACAACACACACTGGGGCCTGTAAGCGGAGGGTGGTCGGGGAGGAGATCATTAGAGAAAAGAGCTAATGCATACTGAGTTTAATGCTTAGGTGATGGGGTGATAGGTGAAGCAAACTGCCATGGCACACGTTTACCTATGGAACAAACCTGCACATCCTGCACATATACTCTGGGACTTAAATAAAATATGGGTGTCTTTAATATGGAGAGGAATGGGAGAAAGCATGGGTAAGGAATGAGGGGCAGGAGAAATTAAATGAGAGGCCCAGGCTCGTACGGGTAACGGTTGCTATACTCTGTGAATGAGAAAACAATGAACTCTGCCCTTTCTGTAAATAATTTCCTTTATCATTAAAAAAAATTATGTAAGTACCTTTTTGAAAAGGATACCATTACTGATAGGCTGACTCCAGATCCCTGTTGTCTTCAAGGTAAAGTCTAAGGTGCTAAGCTTTGAACACATGGCCCTTGAGATCCGGTCCTGGCTGGACTCCCCAGCTACAGTTCCCACCACCTATGTCGCTCTCCACCCAGTCCACAGTGTGGCCACAAGGAACTGCCTGTGGTTCTCTTCTCTGTCACATCTAGCACTTGGTATTGTGTCCCCAATGCTGAGACCATCCTGTTCTCCACAAGCATCATTCCTTCCCTTCTCCCTTACCCTTTACCACTGCCAGGACAACTCTCACTCATCCATCAGGTCTTACTAAGTGCCTTCTCTTCCTGCCTCCTAATACTCTTCCCAAGAATAAGTGAGATGCCTCCAATTTCACCAGTGAGAGGAACCAGTCAGTTCCTTGAGGGAAGAATAGCATCTAGTAATTCACCACTATCTTGTCAAAAAATAACAATGGCTTCACTGAGTATTAACTATGCTGAGCACTGCACTAAGCAGTTAACTCGAATGACCTCTTTCAGCCCTCCCACAGCATTAAGGGTAAGTATTATTTAGTCACCCACATTTTACAGAGGAAGAATGTAGAGTCGAGAGAGATCAAGTACCTGCCTATGATGACATGACTAGCAAGTGGCTGAGCAGGAATTCCAACCCAGGCCTTAGGACTCCAGAGACTGGGCTCTTCACCTTCCTTCCCTCCCTGGTGTCCCCATGCCTGGGACAAAATAATATGGAAACATAGCATGTGCTCAGCAAATATTTTTTGAGTAAATATTTATGCGGATAGCTAAGCTGTCGTGGCTTGTGGTATTCCCAATTTTATAAATCAAAACAAATTGATTACATCTAGTATATCATAAAACAGTCTGTGAATTACTTGCAGTACTAGTCTGTACTAGTTCTGTACAAAGAATAAGAAGGGAGCAGCAACTTAACACCTCTTGAGTAGAAAATTTGAGACTCTTCTAAATGCTGGAAACAATAGATGTTTGGTTTTTAGTAAAAAGAGAAAAAAGAAAAAAAAAACTGGGTGGGGCACGGGAGAAGAATTCAGTGCCAAATAACCTTCAGCAATGCTTAGTGGTAATTAGAGCAGACAGACATTGTATTAAAGGTAGTGGAAGAATATTTTCTCCTCTATATTATTAAAAATCTGTAAGATTGCTTCTTTCAAAACAAAATTAAAATTAAAATCCATGTTTATCATCATTTTTCTCAGGAGAAAAAGTTGTTCTCTTCTACCAAATTTTCCTGCCATCAAATGCTCATTGAGTGACAATAGAGAAAGCACCATCATCCTGAAGCATCAGATTGGGAGAAAAGTCCGCTCTCGAGAGCATCAACTATGTAGAAAGGGGACCAGTGAGTATGAGTAGCACTGAATCATTCTTTCTGGGAAGAATATTCCCTTTCTGTTCTCTCGTAACCAACCCAACCTAAAACTGAACTGTACTTGGCAGTGTGAAAAAAAGGCACACATAAACTTGTGAGATCTGCCCATCGTAGCATAAGAATGACTGAAGCTATTGAGGAAGGAAAAAGGGCAGCACCTGACACCCAGAAGCTGGCCTGGCTCTCATAGGCAGACCCTGCGATTCTCCCATTAGACATGAACCATCTCACAGAAAACCAGCCTCTGACCGGGCTACTTTGAGACCATGATTAAATAAGACCATTCATAATTTTGTGTGAGCACAGACAAAAGCAAGTCACTTTGCCACCCATGAAGTACCAAACATCCTATCTCTTGGCCAAAATGAGTGCTCCTTCTTTACCAATGACAACTTTATTCTCACTATAGTTTCCCCTTCCTATAAGAGTAAGTGAGATCTCCCATTACAGAAGTGCTCCACTTTCTAACAGCATCCAATCTAGAGGGAATCCCCGCTGCCTTAGACTCTACCTCAAATCACTCAATCAAAGCCCAAATCCTATAAGGTCCTTTCTAACACCCTCTTACTGAAACACCCATGATTTCCGTGATGTGTGTTCTTCCTTGCTGCAACAAGTAATGAACCAAACTTGTTCAACTACAGGTGACTTCCTGGCTTCCTTGGCTGAAGAGTATTGGTGCTATGTTTACACATTTCCATATGTGTATGTGTGTGTATATAGTTATAAGTGTTACATATATTTATATAAAATCAAGGTAGCTAGAAATTCAGGTAATTCAAGCTCCAAAGTATACTTTTCTGGCTGAAGTATCTGTAGAGATAGACTGCCAGAATTAAATAAATCAGATAATCAGATAATTACACATTTTGCTGCCTGGCACCCTAGCAACCATCACACAATTCATATAATCTTAATAACTTGATGTCCTAGTTATCATCACCTAATTTGCTTTTACATATGCTATTAATATTTTCTACAATGCAGTGTGTTTGAGATTTTTTTCAAGCTATGCATTTTTTAACATGATAATAAATGGGGAAACCAAAATTTTAAAAAATTGTTTTTTGAAGCAGGATATAAACTTTTATAGAAAATATGATCACAGTTAAAAAGAATAATAAGAATAAAAGGGTGGTTACTAAAGTCTAACCATAGTTGCACTTGAATCACTTCAACTGTGATATATTTTCTAAAATTTTTAGTATTTTTAATTTGATGGTGGAAATACTATTAATTTCTGGCTTCATTTTACCCTGTTCTTCCTCTTAGGTGCCTAAACAATGATATCCTGATTCTCTTTTGGTAAATCTTAATTACTTTTACCAACAGTCTCTACAATTAAGAGGCTTAAGGAGACACATTACTAAAATCAAAGCTGTTCATATCTGCTGCTTTCTCACTATAAGTAAAATACTCTTCAAATAGTAATAAGATATTTTATTAATTCAGTCTAACAAAACATCTGTAAAACAGGAAATGCAAGTACTAAACATGGTTTGTTGCTTGCCAAAGATTAACAAATTTTTCTGGTAATGTGAGCATTTCACCCAATGTTTTGCTTAAGAGCAAAAATAGGTAATATTGACTGAGTATTTAAAGAGAAAGTGTTGTAACTTCCACAGAATAATGTCAATTTCATGTTGACTTTTGCAATTATATTGATCATGCAAAAGCAACATTTCTGAAAACTTAGTCTTCTTCATTTGTTCACTAAATATCTCTAATTCTTTGATAATATAATTCAATTAATAAACAGATTATCCTTTAAAAGTGCTTATAATTTCTCTATTTTTAGCATAAACATGCAGCACATTCCAAAAAATACCTTTATCAAAACTTTTAGGCAGAGTAAATGAGTCTTTTGTATTTCTTATTAAGATTATACTAGAGGTGAAGATTGTAACAAAGCAAGCATCCTTTGTTCTGGATTTGGGAAGAAACTAGAGATTTAAAAAGGATTTAATATTGAGTTAAAATGTAAAAGGATTGCTCTGTACTTAAAGACTACAATATTCATTCTGTAGTAATTTCCATAGTAATGGCAGTAATTGATTAAATTGTGACTAAATTGACAAAAAAGTGGCACGCCTATAACGAAATAGACTCTGTCACCTTCTTGTGGATGGGCACTCTCCAGACATATTGCTATCTACTTAAAATGTGGATTAAGATTTAAAAGATTAAGAAGTATGAACAAGCTATGGTGCAACATTTCTGGTTTCAGAGTTAAACACTGAGTTAAAAGGAGCTTTATAGCTGAATTGATGTTCACATTGCTCAGACCATAAGTATAGATTGGGACAAAGAAGGTAAAAATTTGGGGATAGAAGAAAAAAAATACTTTTTTTGCTTTTTACATAATCTGAACAGTATTTTAAATAAATAACAGAGGTTAGGACAATGATTAAAAGGAGTGGCCAAATCTTTAGACACCCCTTGCTGAGCTTTTGTGCATTTTTTGTTTGCTTGCTTGCTATTTTATGATGTCAATGTATTTGAAGTTGCCTCCGTTTCTTATTTCTAACATCAGGTGTGTCTTCAGTGAGCAAACATCCAAATGACATTCCTGTGGTAACCATGTACAACTCAGAAGTGACTTTCTACCATTTTTTCCAGAAATGATTTATTTAATAATAATCTAACTCTTGCAAAACAGAAGCTACTTTACATATGCTTCATATAACAATGTCCAGATCAAGCTATCATTTTTGGAGTCAGTACACAAAGGCATTGTTGACT
The DNA here is from genome assembly GCF_000001405.40 of Homo sapiens. Classification (NCBI taxonomy): domain Eukaryota; kingdom Metazoa; phylum Chordata; class Mammalia; order Primates; family Hominidae; genus Homo; species Homo sapiens. The sequence continues at coordinate 50,901,948 of NC_000013.11, read as the reverse complement.
TCATTAGGTGCAAGTAGCAGCCTGTCTTTCTGGCTATGTTGGAAATTTTCAGGCGGGAAATGAATGAGATGGCCCAAGTACATAACACTCCTGCCTCAGCAGCAGAGCCAACTCCACAGTTTAGTTTATTCACTAAATGTGGTAACTCCAGCAGGGGCGGGGGAAACTGGGCCCATTGCACTGATCCTGTTACTTTTCTTCCTTAGTTTTATGTTGTAAACCAACTATCCCCAAGATTTATTTTCTGACCTTTTTTTACTATTTTATTTTCCATGTTGGATAAATAAGTTCAGCAGAAGCACATGTTTTGATGATTTTGCCTAGATTAGTTATATTAAGACTATAAATTGTAAACAGAGACTCCTTTTTTTTTTTGACTTTCAATACACTCTTCTGGATGAATTCCTAGAAGTTAGTAGAAGCTGTTGCTCTAATATCTTGTAGAGCCAGATGGGAATGGGCCCTATAAGGAGAAAATGTAAAAAGAATAGCTACTTCAAAGGAGAGTTAGAAGTTTCTCATAAAAGACAGGACATAACTTAAGAATGCACTAGAGGCCGGGCGCGGTGGCTCACGCCTGTAATCCCAGCACTTTGGGAGGCCGAGGCGGGCGAATCACGAGGTCAGGAGATCGAGACCATCCCGGCTAAAACGGTGAAACCCCGTCTCTACTAAAAATACAAAAAATTAGCCGGGCGTAGTGGCGGGCGCCTGTAGTCCCAGCTACTTGGGAGGCTGAGGCAGGAGAATGGCGTGAACCCGGGAGGCGGAGCTTGCAGTGAGCCGAGATCCCGCCACTGCACTCCAGCCTGGGCGACAGAGCGAGACTCCGTCTCAAAAAAAAAAAAAAAAAAAAAAAAAAGAATGCACTAGAATCTCCTGTAAATTTGTATCTGATGCTTGGCCACTCTCTTTTTCTCTCTCTCTCATGATCTGGACCAATCTGAATTAGCTCATCAATATTTATTGATACCTACTTTGTGCCAGACACTGTTCTAGTTGCTTGAATTAAATCCATAAATAAAACATACTAAAATACCTACCCTCCTGGACTTTATGTCTAGTAGAGGGAGACAGACAAACAATACACATAATAAATACATTCTACAATGTGATAGAAGGTGGCTGGTGCTGTGGAGGAAAGAAATATAGCAGAAAAAGGAGGTCTGTGAGAAAAAAGAGGAGGGTTGCTATTTTAAATAACGTGGTCACAGTGGGCTTCATAAAGGAGCTAACATTTGAGCAAAGACTTGAAGGAAGAAAAGGAGGTAGGCGTGTGAATACCAGAGTGAAGAGTGTTCCAGGCAGAGGGAACAGACAGTGGAAAGGCACTGCAGCTGCAGCCTGCACGGCACGTTCAAGGACAGCAAAGAAGGCTATGGACTGAACAAGAGGGAAAGGGCAGTAAGAGGTAAAGCTGGAGAAGTGAGGACCTCACATGCCATTGGCAGGGATGAAATGGGCTCCACCAAAGGGCTGGCCAAGGGGTGGTAAGAAAGCATAAGTGTGTATAAGGGAATGACTTCAATCATTACACAGCCAAGGGCCAAAGCTAGAACAACTTCAGTTGCAATAAAAACCTGAAAGAAGCCTAGGGTTTCTAAAAATGTTTTTACTGTAATCCACGGTCAGAAATACATTTTATAGGATGACTTTGCAGTCACACAAAAGATACACACATTATTAAAACAAAGGTTTCATAAACCTACACATGTTGTACTCAAGGTATGCTAATATCTTTGGTATATTCTAATCTATTAGGTTTCTTTTCTTTATTCAACCCTAATAAAATATATTAAGTTGATTTTATAACCTAGTAATGGCACTTCAAAAAGCATTGCTATAGGCAATGTGATCATTTTGGCTATACCCTAACTGGATAACATAATCACATCATTGTCAACTCTGAGCACACTTTGGCTAAAAACCACATTGGGGGCTAATTACTTTAAACAGAGAACCATCATTAGCTCATTAATCAAAATACAATGTATATATAAGATATTCTGCTTTCCTGACAGCTGTCATTATATAAAAATATTGTGTGGGCTGGGTTACCATGAGGAAATGAAAAACGTGAAATTCGGGTACATCATTTCTGACAGGCAGCCAATATTTATGGTAGTTGGCTAAAGTGATTTTACTTCAAATAAACAAATGTTTAATGTTTTCATAAACACATAGACATGACCCTAATTAGTAAATTTACTAATAGATTTTTGTTCATTATCTCCAGACCAATCTTTAGATATATTTATTTTTAGAAAACAGGGAAAACTTTACAACTGTGTCTCAAAATATTTTGAGAGTTTCTTAAAATGTTTGAAAGCAGCATGATTTTATGAGTGTATAAGCATTGGTACTTTTCCAAACTGTTAAATTGCCCTTTCAAAACTCAAAATTCATTTTTAACTAGATTCTGGTTTTAGATATTTTTTTCTGCTGCGGAAAGTTCTTAGATTTACCATAGGATGGGTTCAAGTTTTATAATACAGTCATGTACTGCGTAATGACATTTCATCAACAACAAACTTCATATATGACAGCAGTCCTGAAGAATATAATATTGTATTTTTACTGTACCTTTTCTATGTTTGATATGTTTAGATACACAAAGACCATTGTGTTTCAATTGCCTACAGTATTCAGTATAGTAACGTGCTATACAGGTTTGTAGCCTAGATGCAATAGGCTACACCATACAGCCTAGGTATGTAGTAGGCTACACTATTTGGGTGTGTGTAAGTACACTCTGTGGTAATCACACAATGGTAAAATCGCCTAATGATGCATTTCTCAGAATGTGTCCCTGTTGTTAAGTAACACATTACTGTAGATGCATAAGTGAAATCTTAAGAACATACTAAGTCTTAAGTATAAGAAAGTTCCAGAGTGATACATATACTGTGGTATGATTTACATAAAGAATATGAACACTTAAAAATGGTGCATATTGTATATGGAATTTATGTAGATATCCCATGACATAAACATGTATATGATATATATGTGTATATGAGATATGTTCGTTATATATATTTCTGTGAATATACATATATATTATTTTTAAACTTGCCAGGAAAAAAAATGTCCCTGAATAGTCATCACTCTTTGGAAGGGAAAACAGGCAGTGGTACAAAGGCATCATTCACCTACATCTATAATAGTTCAAATTTTAAAATAAAATATTTAAAGCAAATGTGACAAAATTTGTCTCTACTTTCTGTATGTTTGAAGAAGAGCTTACTTCCTTATAGCCTGTACTCTAGATGGCCATTTATTTTCAAACAGAGACCAGATATAAAACACAACACCATGTCCTTAACTTGTAAAGAAGATAAGCTGGGAATACATCTTTTTAAAAATAGCTATATGGTGTGGACACGGTTTTCAGCAAAGAAAGCCCTAGTTCCTGTTTTCACTTAGGGTTGTGATAAAGGGAAGAGACTTGAGTGGCAGACAGAGATTTAGATTAGATATTAGAAATAACTTCATATCTCTGCAAGACACCTAAGATTGCCTGGGGATTTTGAGAACAAGAACTTTGCTGAAACAGCTTATGCTCTACCCTACTTGGAACCAGAAGAGATTATCAACATCCTAGTTGTCCTTTAAAATTTGAGATTCTGTCTGCCATTTCTATAGGCGTGAAGATCTTAACTGATCTACTCAGAATCTACAGCAAGGCAGAAAGAACGCAGTGGAAGAGAACAAAAACAAACAAACAAAACTTGGTCCTCAGCCATCAAGAGCCTGTTCTAACATTGGAAGTTAATGGTACTCTAACAGGACAGTGGCAGTGAAGGCCCTGGAGAGGGGAGGAAGGCAAAGAGGGCACCACTTCACTTGTACTCTAGTTATTTCTATCCATCAATCAGTAAGCTTGTAGAGGAGCTTTCAACTTCCATATGTGCAAGATGCTCTGTAGAATGCATGTAAGAAAGAAAAACATCATTGCTTATTCTTTAACAGCTTACAATCAAATTTGAAAAAATCCACACATGAAATATTAAAAAAAAACCATAACACAACAATCGGTAGCACAGTTGTGAAAGCAAGAAAAGGTAAGGACAATCAGTATGGGCTGGACTCATCATGAATGAGAAGGCATTTATAAAGAGCCCCATAGGATGAATGGAACTTGAACTGTCATGGAAGAGTTGGTTGAGAGGGCATTTCAGGTATAGGGTAAACATAGGCTGAAACCTGAGGGAGGAATACTCCCGAATACCATAGCATGTTGTTAAATGGAAGTTTCTGGCTATAGTGCAGATGTTTCAGAGAATACAGGAGGTGATGAAGTGAAATAGCTGAATAATTGGTGGTCACGGATTGCTTTTTATTTATTTATTTTTAAATTTTTAATTTTCGTGGGTACATAAGTGTATATATTTATGGGGTATTTTGATACAGGCATGCAATGTGTAATAATCACATCAAAGTAAATGGAGTATCTATCACCTCAAGCATTTATCCTTTGTGCTACAAACAATCCAATCATCCTCTTTCAGTTGTTTTTAAATGTACAATAAAATCATTATTGACTATAGTCATGCTGTTGTGCTGTCAAAATACTAGGTTTTATTCATTCTTTCCAACCATTTTTTTTGTACCCATTAACCATCACCACTCCCTGCCACCTCCACCACTACTCTTCACAGCCTCTAGTAGCCATCCTTCTACTCTCTATCTCCATGAGTTCAATGATTTTAATTTTTAGCTCCCACAAATAAGTGAGAACATGCAAAGTTGGTCTTTCTGTGTCTGGCTTATTTCACTTAACATAATGACCTCTGGTTCCATCCATGTTGTTGCAAATGACAGGATCTCATTCTTTTTTATGGTTGAATAATGCTCCATTGTGTGCATGTACCACGTTTTCTTTATCTATTCATCTGTCTATGGACACTTAGGTTGCTTCCAAATCCTGGCTATTGTGAATTGTGTTGCAATAAATATGGGAGTGCAGATATCTCTTTGATATACTGGTTTCCTTTCTTTTGGGTCTATACTCAGCAGTGAGATTGCTGGATCATATGGCAGCTTTATTTACAGCTTTTTTTAGGAACCTCCAAGCTGTTCTCCACAGTGGTTGTACTAATTTACATTCCCACCAACAGTGTGTAAGTGTTCTCTTTTCTGCACATCCTCGCCAGCATTTGTTATTGCCTGTGTTTTGGATAAAAGCCACTTTAACTGGGGTGAAATGATATTTCATTGTAGTTTTGATTTGCATGTCTCTAATGATCATGATGTTGAGCACCTTTTCATACACCTGTTTGCCATTTGCATGTCTTCTTTGGAGAAATGTCTATTCAGATCTTTTGTCTATTTTTAAATTGGGTTATTAGATTTTTTTCCTGTAAAGTTGTTTGAGCGCCTTACATTTCCTGGTTATGAATTCCTTGTCAGTTGGGTAGTTTGCAAATATTTCTGTGGGTTTTCTCTTCATTCTGTTGATTGTTTTCTTTGCTGTGCAGAAGCTTTTTAACTTGATGTGATCTACAAAATGCTTTAAAAATCAGCCAGAGATTTCTAAATTTGAGGATGGAGAAAAGAAACAAGTGTCTGTTCTTAAGTAGGTCAAGGATATATTGAAAATGACATTTCAAAGACTTCTTTAGCAGCAACGTTCATAATTAAGCATTTAATATGGATTCTTTATAAAATAAAAGTTCATCTTGCTATTTGTGCTTTTTTATATTAAAATATAGGGTGTTTTGTTAACTGATTACTTGATTATTTTAGAACATGCTTAAGAAGCCTAAGTATAATCAGATAACCTCAACATCAGTAGGACAACTGATGCTGAACCTTAACTTGGAGCTTTAAACTCTTTTCCAAATGGTTTGTCCTTTAGATTTTCACTGCATCTAAGCACTGTGAGCTAGTTATTTCTCAGAAAACACCAATAACAGTAATAACAGCTAATATGGCAAAAATGAAAAATTCAGACGACTTAACTATACAGTGTTTATATAATGTTCATGTGCCATTGAGAAGGGGTGCTGGAAATGAGTTTTCAGCCTCAGTGTACCAGGACAGCAGGTCGAGCACAGAACTGAAGCCTTGGGCTCTGTCCTATCTCTAGGTCTAGTCTATTGCTTTCTTAGTCAAGTCATTTCCCCATTGTAGGTTTACCTAAAAAGAGGGGATTAAGCTGAATAAACTAAAAGAAAAAAAAAAAAACACAACATTTTTTCAGCTCAAACTTTATAAAACTACATTTGTTCATGTTTTGGGAGTTCCAGCATGAGCCTAGCTTGACATCGTAGGGTATAACAGGGCCTATTTTTCAGGTGGGTAGGAAAAGTCTAGTTGCATAATGATAGAATTATCTTGGGAGAATAACCCACTAAAAGAAGCTCACACCCTTGGGTCAACCACAGTGCTCTAGCACTGGAAAAAGAGGACAACATTGAGTTATATTGTTTACTACTTAGAGCTTCTTCTGGCCCAGTCCCTGGGATTAGTAGTTAAATTCTAGGAAAATTTCAGAGACATTGGAGTACAAATTACTCATAAGACCACTTAAATTAATTAAGTAGTTTCACCTACGAGGAATCAAAATACCTGACTCAAGCTTGTGTATGCAATAAGAACATTTATCTACATAACTGGATTTCAAAGGTAGGGCAGCATTAGTTTCATCCTAAGACTGGTTCTCCTTGTGCTCGCAATATGGCTGCCAGTGGCCATGGGGGATATATACTTCCTGGTATACAATGTAACATGAAATATGAGTCCTTGTTTTTATTCTGCTTATTTCATCTCGGATTATGGTGCCCATCCCTGTACTAATCTCAGGGGATGGAAGACTGCCATTGGCTTCACCTAATTAGGTTCTATCACCAGTGATCCAGATATGGTCAGTTTCCTCTGAGGTATTTGGAAAATAGGTAGTTTTCTGAAAATTACTTTGGTTCTCTAAAGTACTAATGAATATTTTGCAGAAAATGAACACCTTCCATGACTCTCACCCACTGGTGTCTGGGCTGGTGGGACAAGAGAGCATCTGCTGTTTGATGAAATAAATTTATGTTGAGGTTATCAGAGCAGGAGGTTGTTGACAAGCACGGGTGTCTATAATGGTCTTGTAAGAGCTGAAAGTGTTACTGGCGGTGAATCTGTATAGGTCTGCAGCAACAATTCTTACCTTCTCAGAAGAAAGAATTTGGCTCAGGGGCATAAGGCAGAGTGAGAGACTGAGGCAAGTTTTAGAGCAGTGGTGAAAGTGTATTAAAAAGCTTTAGAGCAGGAATGAAAGGGAGTAAAGTACACTTGGAAGAGGGCCAAGCAAGCAACTTGGGAGATCAAGTACACAGTTTGACCTTTTGACTTTGAGTTTTATATGCTGACATACTTACAGGGTCTTGGGTCCCCTCTCCCCTGATTCTTCCCTTGGGGTGGGCTGACCACTTGTGTGCTAGTGCTTGGGAGGGGCCGCATGCGCAGTGTGTTTACTGGAGTTGTACACATGCTTACTTGAAGCACTCTTCTCTTACCAGTTGATTGCTCCTAGAAGGTCATATACCAGTCAAACTCTGCCATTTTGCCTCTTAGTGTGCATGCTTGAACCCACTGGCCCAACTCCTGAGATCTTATCCGGAAGCTGCTGATCACCAGTTTCAGGTGTTTTCTATCTATTGGGAGGCTGCCTTTCCCTGGCATCTGGGTTTCTCATTCACTGCTATTGACTTGGGCCGAAATTACATGTTCCATGCAGCTGGAAGGAAGTTGCCTAAGAAAAGCTATCAAACACTTGTGAGGATTGGAGACTACAGCAAATCCACAAGTGATGAACCTGCTGGCTAGTTCAAGAAAATTCAAGAAATATATTTGGACAGACCTCTAGAGATTTGGCTAAAATAAAGAAGAGCAGACACTTAAAAAAGTATTTTTTCTTTGATTTGTGGTATAATTTTAAATCATGAATCTAACCCATTTCTTGATAGGTGGGTTTGAACTACAGAAATTCTAGTTCAACTTTTACCTCTTCTGAAGGCATCATTTTAATGTTAATGCATGTTGATATATGTCTCCTTTCTTTAGCAATAGGACTTCCTTGAGCTGATTAGAGTAGCTGTGCCATCTGCAAAAACTCTACCTTAATGCATCTACTTTAAAACCTTGAAAACCTTAATGCATCTACTTTGCATGTAAACAGGGAGCATGGCTGTGGCCTAACTGAATTTCAATGCCTGTAAGTGTGGTTTCCTGAAAAAGAAAATGAAACCCTGTCTCCATGTCTTCACAGCATGCATACTTTTTTTTTTTTTAAACTGTGCATCTGAGTCACACTGAACAACTCTCTTTCTACTCCAAAGGGGGAAAATAAGTTAAATTTATGTTTCATGCCTGTAAGGCATTTTAAAGTTAATCGGGCCCTTTGGGCCTAATTTAATTTGTGTAAGATTGCTGTTGATGATTAGAATAGCTATTTAAGATTTTTGTTAACAGTCTGTTATGTGGACTTAATGGAAGCACTCCAAAAGCAGTCTGTTCACTTTCCCCTGTCAAATTCAGGTTACAGAGCCTTCACAGATGTGAGTAGACATCAATACGAAAAGGGGATAGAACACAAATTAAAATCAGAAGTGTACTCAAACTGCCAGTGTTGAGCTTTGGTTAAAAACATCTGTCACATAAAAGCAAACACTCAGAGCCGTTACGTCTTGTAACAGTTGTCTTTATTTTTCATATCTTTGGCATTTTCATCATTTCATGTTAGTGCTGTCTTTGGAATTTTTCATACAAGTGATTGCTTTTTTTAACATCACTGATTTCTCTACACAAACATTTGTAAGGCTTTTGTCTCAACACTACAAAGAGAGAGAATATCAAGCAGAGCTGGAATTTGAATGGTCTCGTAGAATCTGAAAAATGCTAAATGACGAGTTAATGGGTGCAGCACACCAGCATGGCACATGTATACATATGTAACTCACCTGCACATTGTGCACATGTACCCTAAAACTTAAAGTATAATAATAATAAAAAAAGATTTTACTTTAAAAAAAAAAAAAAAGAAAAATCGGCTGACCAACGCAGAGCACTTTAGCGAAGTGAATGTATTTGACTCATTCTGGCCAACATTAGATCAAACTCTCCCTTTGATTCCTGCTACAAGGTTATTTTTCATCGTTTCAAAATTTACAGCTACCATTCTTATTTTACAGATGTCAGTGATCATAAGAAGCCCAGGTCTCCCTTCGGTACTATCAAGGAGATTTCAGGATGCTCTTGAGTCACTTTCCTGATATTTGTCATAAATCACATCTATTTTTTTCAGAGTTAAGATTTTATTTCTCTCATTACTTTGTTTCATAGCTTTTACAATTTCATTCCTTTATTCTGTTTTCATTTTCTGTTTTCCAGGCGTTGTATTTCAAAACCATGGCCCTTCTATTTCCTCTTTCTTATTGTTTTTCTCTTCCATGTTCACTTCTGCCTTCCTTAATTTTCTTTCCCTTCCTTTACTCTCATTTCTTTCACAGAGTGAGTGATTTCTGTGAAAGCAAGGTAAGTGTCTCATGGGGTCCAGCTAAGGATGCAACCACCAAAGGCAAGATCAAGAGACAAATGAGCTCCACCTCCCCCAGCGCCATGTTCCCCTGCCCAGGAAACACCACCTGCTTCCTATGTGGCTGGAGGGGTGGGGGCTGTGCACAGCAGTGAAGATGCTAGGAGATTACAGGCAGATATTTTGCAAATAATCTCTTCTAAAGTTATTGATTCATATAAGTGGAATATAAGATTTACGTTAATCCTATTCCTTAAATCAGAAATGTCTAATGTTATACTGTTTTATGCAGTGGGTAATTTACATTAAGAAAAAGGATTTTAAAAAAAACTAATAGGAAAGCTTGTGGATCATCCCACCCCACCCCACTTTTTTTCTGGTCACCCCTGGCTGGTCACCTCAACCTTCTGCTTTCTTATGCTGCCATTTGCACCAAGCATGACATTATATCAGCTCTCTCTTTCTCTTTGTTCAGAACAAAATCCTTTTTATAGCAAAGTGGAGAAAATTCTCGATGCCATGAATGCTGAATGAGACTTAAATACAAAGGCCCTGCAATCACATTTCACCCCATAATTAATTATGTAATTATAAAGCTTTGTCAAGCCATTGTATTCCCCCTCAAATATATTTTAAAGAATTTTAAAGCTTTTGTTTCTACACCCCTGACAATAATGATAAAACACCCTTACCTCTCCCATTTCCACGTGTCTATCACCTTTTTAATAATACTCTTGAGAAAAACATGAGATCACTGGTATTAAAGTAGAAAGGTCTTGCAGCTTTTTTTCTAGTTACTTAGATTTGTGGAGCTCTAATTTGATTGTGGGCATCCTTTATAAGGCTTGTTCCACCTTCTCCTGTGGAGCTATACCAGCTGTGACTCCTGTTTTAAGAGCTATGTTCTCTTCTCTGTTGCAGACCTATGTTATATCTGCCTTAGTGCATGGGCTGCTGGTCAATGCTAACAGCTGGCTCTCAGGGAAAAAAGAAAAACCATCTGTGGCATCTGCCAATTTCTGTGGTGTAAATACTCTGAGCTCTGCCAATTTCAAGCCATCCATCTGACATTGCTGAACCCAAAGTTGGCAAGGGATGTGCACAATTGCCTTTTGCAAGCAAGTAAGAGCTGTCTTGGGGATTATTAAGCTACTCAAGAAGCATCTGCCTACTGGCACCCACTGCTTTTTTAATGTACTCTGGGAGGAGAGGGCATATAAAATAGTGTTCTTGGCTTAAGGGGTTTACAGTCTAGCCAGAGAGAAAGAGCCCAAAGCAATGACCAGAGAAAGCAGAGTGCAACAGTGATCCACAAACTCCACTGAAGGGATTCAGAGCAAAGCCCTCAAGAAAGGCACTTTAGCAAAGAAAGTGTGTTTAAAGGATGCAGAGGGTTTCATGACATGGAGGAAAAGGGAAAACGCATTCCAGGCAAGGGAAGGCTGGAAGGTTGGAATAGGCATGGAGTGTTCTTAGAAAAGACAAAACAGAATCTCAGACTGTCTGATGACCCAAACGGGAAATTTTTGGTACTATGACAGAATATTCACTTCCCTCTTTACCAGGTACTTTTACACACGTTTCTTTTGATCCTTCCTATAACTGTAGGAGATTGGTAAAATACAATAGGTGTTATTATTACTATTATTATATTCACTTAGCAAAAAAGTATACTTAGAAAAGTCAGAAAACTAAGGGAAGTTAAGGGCCCTTGTGGACCCCTTTAAGCCAGACCCAGAATGCTCTCTCCCCAGCTTATCGTACCCCAGTGTTATTGCACCGCAGTCTGCTCTGAGGACCCTCATTAGGCAGTCCTCCCATACAGTAGCCTCTCAAACTGCAAGACTTTTCATTGCATGAGCAAGATCCATTTTTCCTTGCAACGAAACTGAAGAACTGCCTCAATGGCTTTACAAAGAAAAGCAAAGTCTATTTCTTTTTTAATGTCTGTCCTGAAAAGGACTTTGGGGGCATGGTGCAGTGGAAAAGTCACTGAGCTGGGTATCAGAAGAGCTAGATTCAGGTTTGGGATCTGATTCAGGTTTGGGATGTGATGGAGAGCTGTGTGATATTAGGCAGATGGCTTAACACTTCTGGGTTTCCGTATGTCATACAGGAACTGATGAGTTTACTTGCATGGCCTCAAATGTTCCTTTTATCTATGAAAGGCAGCACTTCTAGATATACTAAATTGCCAGTCTAGAACTATATCATTACATGGGCCTCCAGAGAATCCGGGGAGCCTAGAGGAGTTGAGTGTGTTGAAGGTTGAAGCACAATTACCTTAAAAAATAATGTAATTGAAGTTCTTGGATATTACTTCCTGAAGATGGCCAAGATGGCTTTTTTTTTTTTTTTTTTTTTTGCCTGGGCTAGAATGCAGTGACATGAACACGGCTCACTGCAGCCTCAACCTCCCAGGCTCAAGCAATCTTTCCACCTCACCCTCCTGAGTAGCTAGGACTATAGGCATGTGCCACCACACCCAGCTAATTTTTTCTTTAAATTTTTTTGTAGAGAGAGGGTCTCCCTATGTTGCCCAGGCTCAAGATGGCCTTCTAATGGAGCCAATATCTATCTATTCATTCAACATATTGCAAATAAACTTTGGAAATAAACCAGTTATATGAAATAAAGAAGTAAATAAATTATTAAATAAATGGCCTTACTTTATTCTGTCTCCTCTGCAGGCTTCTGCAAAAGACTTGAGACAGCTCACAATGAAGTACTCTGTATTAGGCAGGGTAATATTGATTGCAAGTGACAGAAACCCAATCAGAAACTCACTGGAGTCATGAGGAACACTTATTGGCTCAGGTAACCTAACCCTTGAATGGGCAGGGATGTATCTGGTTTGGGAGGAAATAGTACCAGGTGCTGAAAGTAGCTGTCTCAGACTCTGGTCTGTCTTTCTGTGTCACATTCTTTCACACCTTGGAGGTTGTGGTCATCTGGCTTATCACTGGTCAAGAAGATGCCTCCTTCATTAGTTCCTTGATTTCAATTTGAAATAATGCTGGTCAAAGACTCTGGCCTTCAGCAAAGACCATGGCAATGGTCTGAGAGTGGCAGAAGGCAGAGGTTGACTGCATTACTAAAACGACAAGGTTGGAGTTGGGACAGGTGGGGAGAAGGGTTTATCTAAAAGAAGGTGCTGCTGCTATCAGAAGAGGGAGTGTTTGGGCTGGGGGGACAAAATAAAATATGTCCACAACAGATACATCAATAGAATCATTAAATAAAGCTGGATGGGATGGAAATGAGCAGGGTTCGTTGTGTAAGAGAACCTAAATTAATTATGGTAGCTTCAGTTTAGCTCTCACGTATGTGAAAGTCAAGGTAACATAGAGAAACAGATCATTTATAAACAAAAGGAAGCAATCATTTTCCTATGTGTAAACTCTACTATGATACTTAAATAGGTTTACAGGAGTCATTCAGTGGACAACATCTTCCATAGTGATTTTCAAAAAAGATGCAAACAATTTTTATTCTGTCATATCTTATATCAAAAATTATATTTAGAGCATATTACCTCATATTTCTTTTAGGTCTTCATGGTGTATTTAGGATGATAAATAAGGTGTATCTGGGGAGATAAATCCAGGTATATAGCTTTCAGATGATCAAACCTATTAGCATAACATCCAATTAATGGACTATTAATGATACCATATTTTTATCAATGTGTAAAGGTTATGTTTGCTCCCATTTTGAACTTTTTGTTCAGTGTAGATGACTGGAATGATCATGTTATGTGACGCTGTGTTGAAGAGAGTCACTGAGAAAGAGGTAATGTCAAGTAACAGGGAAAGTAAGAAATGACTGGAACACACTGGGACTTTGCCATAAACATAAGAGACAGGCAGTCAGAACAGTAAAGAATTGTACTCAAGTTGTTTGAGTACAAACTGTTTGACACTGTGACACTGTGATAGGGAAACCAAATAGTGTATTCATTGGCAATGTCTTTTATGGATACCAGGAGATATTGTTAGTCAGCTGTAGTGCAATTATTGTTGATTGGTATATTCTTAATTCACTGAATCCTTTGAATTGTGCTACTCCAAGTTCTAGTAAATACTAGAAAGTATTTACTACTCAAGTATTCTAGTAAACACTAGAAAGCATCCAGCATATTCCAAAAGACCGAGAGTCGTTGACTTAGTAGACAATGAAAATTGTTACCTTAATTGAACTAACTTCAAACTGTATGTGCTGTATCTCTGGGGGCAGAGGAGAGAAGAGTGACTCCATCACAGTCAGGTAGTTCCAAATGTATCTGTTGTGCATATTTGACTTGTCCATAATTGCCTTTTAAAAGAAATTGTCTTTAACCCAAAACAAAACACCTTGAAAATCAGTCTTAGACTGTTGCTTTTAATTTTCTAATATCTCTTAGTATTCCTAGACTTTCAAAATTGTTCTATTAAGGAAATTCTCAAACATCCAAAAGTAGAAAGACAGTATAATGAACCCCATTGACACAATATTCAAATTCAACAATTTTTAACATTTTTCTTGGTTTTTAAAAAATATTTCACATAACTGATCCAAAGGAATTTTTTTACACATAATGTCGCCATAGAATGTTAGACTCTTTTTATTAAAAAAAAAAAACTGATTATAAATATTTGCACATTTATAAGAGGAGTTTTCAGGAATTTGACAGGGCACACCTAGAACCACCGGGGTGGTGCTCAGGACCCACCAGGTACACCAAGGACCCACCAAGCACAGGTCCAGCCCCAGTTGTCCATCTTGCTTTATCTATTATTCACCTTTTTTGATGTCATATTGTTTTATCCATAATTAAGTCAGTAGTATATAAATCGAACAGATGAGCATTTTTAAAAACCACAAACCCACCATTCCATTATCATACCTGACAAAATTAACATTAATTCTATTATTTCACCTATTACGCAGTCCGTGTTCAAATGTCCCCAATTTTCTCAAATATATTTTACAGTCCTGTTGAAATCACAGAGTAAAGTCCACAAATTGCATTTGGTTGAAATGTCTCTTAGGTATTTTCTAATCTATGAAAGTTCCCACTTCCCCATTTTTAGCCGTTTTTTTGTTTGTTGAAGACATTGGTTCATTTGTCCTGTAGAACTTCCGGCATGCCAGATTTTGCTGATCGCATTCTCATTCAACCCATTAATCTAATAACTTGTTCCTTTGTATTTTTCATGAGCTTGCTGCCTGAGTGTGAAGCTTGCTTAGATTCAGATGCATTTATTTTGGCAAATACTCCATAGGTACTATCGCGTGTTTCCGATTGCATTCCATCAGGCGGCACATGAGGTCTCGTGGTCCCATTTTTAGTACTGTTAACACTGATCAAGGGTTAAGTGTTGTCATCTAATCTACCCTTTCACTAGTGTTTTCCTGAGCCTCTGACAGATGCTTCATTGAAAATGAGGTCTGGCGTGCCCATCCAGTGGAAGCATTTTGAGTTTTTTATTGATTCTTAAATGTCCTTTCTCATGGAAGCCTTCCATGTCATCCAATTAAAATGGCAACTCCTCACTCTCTATTGGCTTTCTCTGCTTTTTTCCTTCCTCCATGGAATGTATTAGTATTTCCATCTTCTATAAACACATTACTTATTTCCCCCAACCATTGTGTATGCTCCACAAAGACAAGGATTCTTTTTTTTTAATTAGTAGACTTTATTTTTTAGATCAGTTTTAATTTTAGAGAAAAATTGAGTAGAAAGTACATAGAGTTTCCTTAATGCCCTTTCCCATCTCACCCTAACCCCCCTAAATTTCCCTTGTTATTAATATCTTGCATTAGTGTGGTACATTTGCTACAACTGATGAACTGATCTTTATGCATTATTATTAACGTAAGTTTACTCTTTGTTTCGTACAGTCTTATGGGTTTTGGCAAATGTATAATGTCATGTATCCATATTACAGGATCACATAGGTGATCCTAAAAAATCCCCTGTGCTCCACCTATTCATCCCTCTTCCCTCCATCCCTGAACCACTGGCAACTTCTGATCTTTTCACTGTCTCTATAGTTTTGCCTTTTCTAGAATGTCTTACAGTTGGAATCATACAGCACGTTGTCTTTTCAGACAGGCTTCTTTCACTTAGCAATATGCCTTTAAATTTCCTCCACATCTTTTTGTGGCTTGACAGCTAATTTCTTTTCATTACCATATCATATTGTATTGTCTGGATATATCACAATTTAGTTATTCATTCACCTACTGAAGCCATCTTGGTTGCCTCTAAGTTTTGGTAATGATGAATAAAGCTGCTATAAACATTTGTGTGCAGGGTTTTTTGTGGACACACATTTTCAACTCATTTGGATAGACACCAAAGCGTGTAATTGCTGGATTGTATGGTAAGACTACGCTTAGCTTGTAAGAAACTGCTAGACTGTTTTCCAAAGTGGCTGTACCATTTTGCACTTCTACCAGCAATGAATAAGAGTTCCTGCTGCTCCACATCCTCACCACCTTTAGTGAAGTTTCTGTTTTGATCTTTTGCCCATTTTTAAGTTGCATCGTTTGCTTTCTTAATGCTGTTTTAAGAGTTCTCTTCATATTTTTGATATAAGTCCTTTATCAGATGTGTTTTGTAAATATTGTCTTCCACTCTGTGACTTGTCTTTTCATTCTTTTAACAGGGAAAGTAGAACTTTTTAAAAATCTGTTTTGTTTTCTGTCTTATCTCGAGTGCCTAGAACAGTGCCTAGTTTATAATAGCTGGTCAATCTAGTGAATGCTTGCTGAAAGTGGTCTATATGCCTTAGGTACAGCTAAGAACAAAGTTGACACTTGATTGTAAAAACTAAAGAGCTGATCCAATTGGAGGACTATTTCACTCTTCACAGAATTAAAGCTTTCATTGACCAACAGCTGTGATTTTATCAAAACATTCATAAAATTGAAAGTCTTTCTTCCAAATTGGAGGTAGTCTTAAAATAATCTAATTTATTTTACAGTTAAGACCCTGAGCCCTATTCACAGAATGTCAATCTCTGCTCTCCCAATGACCACTTAAGGCCTAACAGAATGACTCTCAAGTTCTTATTTCTCTGAGACATATTCTCTAATATTTTCTTTTAGGGTTAAATAATGAAGTATTCAGACATAGAAAAGTACAAAAATAATCACATATTCCTATCTTCACCGTATCATAATATTGAACTGATTTTTACATTTTGTCATGTTTGTTTTAACTCTCTCTTCTCCTCCCATCTTTCTTGGAATAAATATTAAAGGAATGGCTGAAGCCTCAGATACCTCATCCCTACCTCCGTCTCTACCTCCATTTTCCCTCATTAGTACCCATGATGGTGAAATTGATGTATAATTCCCATACAAGTGTTTGCAATTTTTAATGTATTTATATATACATAACTAGCGTATTGCTTTTTGTGTGTTTGTAAAATGACACAAATATTATATTAATACTAATCAGATCATTCTGGGTGGTAGACACTGTGGCATGGCCCACCAGATCTTCAGGACAAGGCACTTGCTCCCTCATTTGGAGATGTAAGCTTAGAATAGCTTCCAGTTGAATCTCTCACCAAGAATTCCCTTTGGCCATAAGCCTTGCCCAAAGTCACACACCCTCCCTACAAGCATCCACTGACCATTGACTGGGAGAGGGGATAGGGCATTTATGACATTGGAGTAGGGAAGTATTTATTAAATAAGATTTTAAAATATAAATCACAAAACGAAAATGAACTTGAATATCTTAAAATTTAAAAAATACCTCTGCACAATAAATGAAATTATATAGTGAAAAAGCAAGATACAAACCAGTATATTTGCATAGCACATACAGTTATTAGTAAATAAACAATTCCTATTCCTTCTTCAATAGGAAGATCTGGCCTTCTTGCCTCAACTCAGGGCTACTCTAAAGGGAGATCCCAGCTCCAGAGCTCCCCACAGGCTTGACTGAAGCCTCTGCTGCAACTACACTGTGGTTTAACTTCTCCCTCTGCCAGTCTCGCTTTCCTCACTCCTTGCAGGGTTTTGTTTTGTCATTGTTCTTGTTGTTTTGTTTTGTTGTTGTTGTTGAGACAAGGTCTTTCTCTGTCACCTAGGCTGGAGTGTACTGGTGCAATCTCAACTTACTGCAACCTCCACCTCTCAGGCTCAAGCAATCCTCCCACCTCAACTTCCCAAGTAGCTGGGACCACAAGCGTTTGGCACCATGCAATGGCTAGTTTTAAATTTTTTGTAGAGATGTAGTTGCACAGTATTGCCAGGCTTGTTTCAAACTCCTGGGCTCAAGCTATTCACCCACCTCAGCCTCCTAAGGTGCTGGGATTACAGTCATGAGCCACTGTGCCCAGCTCCTCGCAGGTGTTAATCCTGAAGACACTCCCTAATAAACTTTCTGTATGCTTCTCATGGTCACAGGGTCTGTTTCCTAGGGAATCTGAGCAGTGGCATTCTGCAACTTGCTTTTAACACAGATCATTTTCTAAAGATTTTTCCATGTTGACTTGTATCCAGTACCCTTATTCTAACTGCTACATGGTATTCTATTCTATGGTAAGCCACACTTTATTTATCTAGTCACTCATCAAGTTAGGTTGTTAGTCCTTTTATATACTTACAAAAGTGGTACAATGAATGCCTGTGTCTATTTCCATTTTACACATACTGGAGACATTCTCCAGGATCTGTAACTAGAAGTGGAACAACCTAGATTGTATGTTATGTGTGTTATCATCTTTATTAAGTGATGCTAAATTGTTTGTCAAAGTGATTATAGAAATTTACTCTTTACTAATGATTTTTAAGAGCTCTTCTTCTCCCACATTCTTACCAATATTCTGTGTTGTCAGATTGAAATGTTTTCTTTGCCAAGCCAATGAGTGTAAAGTGTCAACTTAATGTTGTTTTAGTTTTATCTGACAGCTAATGAGATTAACCAATTTTTCACGTTTATTGGTTATTCAAGTTTCTCCCATAAATTGCCTACTCATATTATTTGCTCATTTAAAAAATTAGGTTATTACATTTTCTCATTAATTTGTTGGAATTGTTTATATACTAATAATTGTATGTGCTATGTAATATGCAAATATACTAGTTTGTATCTTGCTTTTTTGCTATATGATTTCATTTATTGTGCAGAGGTATGCTTTAAATTTTAAGATACTCAAGTTCCTTTTCTTTTTGTGGTTTATGTTTTAAAATCTTATGTAATAAGTACTTCCCCACTCCAATGTCATAAAGATATTATTTTCTTTCTTCCGAACTTTTACAATATTGGTTTTTTTTTTTTTTTTTTACATTTAGGTCTTTTATCTATCTGAATAGCCCATTTATCCAAGACTACTAATTTCTTTTTTTTTTTTTGAGACAGAGTCTCGCTTTGTCATCCAGGCTGGTGTTCAGTGGCGCAATCTGGGCTAACTGCAAACTCCGCCTCCTGGGTTCTAGCAATTCTCCTGCCTCAGCCTCTCAAGTAGCTGGGATTCTAGGCATGCACCACCACACTCAACTAATTTTTGTAATTTTTAGTAGAGACAAGATTTCCCTATATTGGCCAGGCTGGTCTTGAACTCCTGGCCTCAAGTAATCTGCCTGCCTTGGCCTCCCAAAGTGCCGAAATTACAGGTGTGAGCCACCACACTTGGCTAAGACTACTAATTTCTAATGCTGCTTCTGTCATATACCACATGTGTATGTATTAAAGTTGTTAAGTTTCTAGACTTGTCTTTGGTGTTCTGAAGTTTCACTATATGTCTAGCTATGATCTTTTTTTTTTTTTTGTTCAAGAGTAAAGGCAAAATAGACCTTCAGAGAAATAAAGTCTGGGAAATTGACTAGATCCTCACTGAAAGAACTACTAAAGGATGTACTTATGGAAGAAGAAAATTACAAAGTGAAAGAACTGGGATGCAAGAAGTAATGGTGAGCATGGAATTTGGCAAAGATTCAAGTAAAACAAAGCAAGGACTGAGTATATAAAATCATAATCATAACAAATTTTGACTATTATATGTAACAGCCAATCTCTTAACTGGGTCATAATAAGAAAGTGAAAGGCAGAAAAAATGACAAAAAGAATAATTAGAATGTTAATAAGAAGAGTAACAAGATTTTGAAAAATTTGTGCTGGTTGATATCAACTTTTGGCACTTTTCTCTTTTTCTATACTGTTAACATAATTAATGAAAAAATAATAATTCATACTTCAAAAAATTTAAGAAGTTGCACATATTTTCATTTGAAATAGTATAAGCATTTTACAAATGTTATTTTAAGCTTTAAAAAGTGAGTAAAATTAATAACCAAATGGTGGAAGCAACCCAAGTATCCATCAATAGATGAATGAATAAACGAAAGGTAGTATGTTTATACAATGGAATATTATTCAGCCTTAAAAAGGAAATTATGACACATGCTACAACATGGGTGAGCCTTAAGGACATTATGCTAAGTGAACTAGACCAGTCACAAAAGGGCAAATACTATAGGATCCACTTATATGAGGTAATTACAGTAATGAAATCATCGAGACAGAAGGTAGAATGGTGGTTGCCAGGAGCAGGGGTAGGGGAAAATGAGAGTTATTGTTTAGTAGGTACAGAGTTACAGTTTTGCAAGATGAAAAAGTTCTGGAAATGGATGGTTGTGATTGGTGCACAACAATGTAAATGTACTTAATGTCACTGAACTGTACACTTAAAAATGGTTAAGGCGGTTCTTTTTTTGTTATATGTATTTTAACTTTAAAAATAATACTTTTAAAATGTGAGAAAAATATCCTTGAATCTGTTTTATGTTAGTGAGTGAAAGCATCTCTAAGAAGAGAGTCAATTACTTTGTCAAGGCAGTCCCCAGCCTTTTTGGCACCAGGGACCTGTTTCGTGGAAGACAATTTTTTCATGGATTGGGTGGGGGGTGGCGGTTTTGGGATGAAACTGTTCCATGTCAGATTAGATCATCAGGCATTAGATGAGAGCACAACCTAGACCCCTCACATGAGCAGTTCACAATAGGGTTCATGCTCCTCTGAGAATTTAATGCTGCCCTTGATCTGACAGGAGGCAGAACTCAGGTGGTAATGTTCACTCACCTGCCACTCACCTCCTGCTGTGCAGTCTGGTTCCTAACAGGCTGTGAACCAGCGGTACTAGTCAATAGCCTAAGAGTTGCGGACCCCTGCTCCAAGACACCAAGCCCACAGCACATCTGGTGGGGTCAGACATGACCCTTACCCTTCCCTCCCACACCCCTGTCCCCAGCTTCTCATTTCATGGGCCCTATTCACTGGAGCCAGTTTGTCTAATAACTCCAGAATCTGTGCTGCCTCTCAATTAGCACTCCAAGTTTTGGGTCAGGCCCTCATCATTTCTTACTTTGATCAACACATTAAAATCCTGGCCAGTCTCCCTTTTACCATCTATCCTCCACTCTGCAAGCTGAATGATCATTCAAAAGCATGAATCTGTTAAAAAGAAATCAAAAGAAGGAAAGAGGAAGAGATAGTGGTTAGTGACGTGAAATGAAGCAGAATAGTCAAGGAGAAAACGTAGCCTAGAAACACTTATGGATTGGAGTCTTTCAGGAGAAAAGAGTTAGTAAAGTTGTGGAGACGGAGAAGCCAGATAACAAGGAGTGAGAAGAAAGTGAAGAAACTAATATAAAATTGCCTGTTCTCCTGGCATTATCTTCCCCATTTGTTTGCCTGGCAAACATTTAGTCTTTAAAATCCAATCCAATGTCATCTTCTCCACAGAGTCTTCTTTAATATCTGCAGGCAAAGTTAAGAGCTTCCCTTGCAATACACCAGCGTGCCTTGTTCATGCTTTTACTACGGAATTTATTACATTTCTCTAATTATTTGTTTTCATCATTTTCTGTCACTAGACTGTGAGCCACTGGGGAAATACACTATTTTCTATTTCTCTTTATACCCCCAGTTCCCAACATGATGTGAACAACATCTGTGCTGGTTGAATGAATGAATGGTGTTGAAAGCATCTACATCAGGGGTGTCCAATCTTTCAGCTTCCCTGGGCTACACTGGAAGAAGAATAATTTTCTTGCACCACATATAAAATACACTAACACTACTGATAGCTGATGAGCTAAAAAAAAAAAATCGCAAAAAAATCTCATGTTTTAAGAAAGTTTATGAATTTGTGTTGGGCCACATCCAAAGCCATCCTGGGCTGCATGCAGCCTGCAGGCCATGGGTTGGACAAGCTTGACTACAGCTTTAAAGTGATCTTAATCTAATCAATTCTTCCCCATTCAGAAGAAACCTACTACATCAGAGTCTATTGAGAATCTATCTCCCTAATCACCCTCAGGCACAGGGTTATTATGTATTGATATCATACACACTAAAAAATTCCATCATACAGGTCTAGAAATACTTCCATAATACAGTAATATTTTAATAGAGTCATAACACACAGACAGCCACCCATTCTGCCTGTAGCCAGTCATGGAGCAATACATTTTGTACATAACCTGTAATTTCTTCTGGAGAGTGTAATTACAATGCCAATATGACATTTTATTTTTATTATTATTATTTAGTTAGTTAGTTAGTTACTTTTTGAGACAGAGTCTCACTCTGTCGCCAGGCTGGAGTGCAGTGGTGTGATCTCGGCTCACTGCAACCTCTGCCTCCCGGGTTCAAGTGATTCTTCTGCCTCAGCCTCCCGAGTAGCTGGGACTATGGGTGCCCACCACCACACCTGGCTAATTTTTGTATTTTTAGTAGAGATGGGGTTTCACCATGTTAGCCAGGATGGTCTAGGGGTTGATAAACTACAGTGCACAGGCCAAATCTGGTTTACTGCCTGATTTTGTAAATAAAGTTTTATTGGAACACAGCCTTGCCCATTTATTTACTTATTGTCTCTGACTGCTTTCATGCTACAATAGAGTAGTTGCAACAGAAACTATAGTCTGCAAAGCCTAAACTATTTACAACCTGGACCTTTAGAGAAAGTTTGCTGACTCTTTTTTTAATGGATAAACTAAAAGTATGTAAGTAAACATGATTTCATGTCTTATGATATGTCAGGTGAATGGTACAATCCTTTGGTTTAAGTTCTTAGTATTATACCTAAAGTATATCTACCATGAAATGCATTTTCCACCTTTCATAGTCTCAGCTGGTTAATCAAAATAAATGGATTCTATGGCATAATTCAGGATGTTACCATTTTTGCTTTTTAGATCAGCTCTTCACCCACTGTTTTCCTGTCATACACATGGTGTTCTTAAAATTGTAAATGAAAACTCATTTGAACTTACATTAGTAACTTCTGTTAAATTATACTGGATTGCTTATTAAGTAAGCATTATTATCCACATTAAATCTGTCACAGATGAAAAAATTACACATAAAGGAGACTGCTTGAGGCCCCAGGGCATGCTGTAATATACATAGAGGCTCCTGAATACTTGGTTTTCCATGTGGATCTCTGATTTTGCTGAAAGAAGTCTGTAAACTGATGTAGTCAGACAGCTCCCCACTGGCTACACATCTCTATAGAATTTAGAAGCATTGTTTATTTCAGCAGAGGTCTGGAATGAATTTTCCTTATAATTTAACTCCTGAAATGACTGTTTCAAAAGGTCAACTGTGGTGAACTTGCATATGTGACTTGCAGTCACAGCTAAGTCACGATCCCTTAGTTTTTCCAGAAGTCCACTAGAACGTTAGCTCCATGGCACTGTTATCTTGCATCTCCAGGTCCTGAAACAGCCCTTAGTGCATACTAGGTATTCAATAACTTTTTTTTGAATAAATGTTTTATGTAAATTCCATCACAAATATGGAAGATCTTAGAGGGGATTTTTGAAAACCAAAGAAAGTTGAAACTCCTTCACATGGAGTTTGGATGTTGAACTTAGAGGCTTGACTTAGCCATTTTTAAAAAACGAAATGTGTGTGTATGTTTATTTAAGGTACCTTAGTGACAGGTACAACCTACAGCCCAAAGACAATGTACAAAACCCAATGAGGGGACAAGCCTCCACTCTTTTATAAGATGCAGAAATTTGCAGGAGTCTATCACTCTTACTCTAACCATGAGAACAGACCAGAAGCACTACAAATGACAGTTTTATTTGTTGTTGCTTTCATTTGCATGTTTCACACTCATCAGAGAACCCAGGAGCCAAAAAAAAAAAAAAAAAAAAGAAAAAAATCCCTCAAATTAACTACATTTCCAAAAGGATCAAGCTCTTCCTAGAGAGAAGAGTCCCACAGCTGCTTTTGTTCCTAGGGACATGTTGGAAGGAGCACAGAAGAGGAAGGGAGAAACCAGCCTATCTTTAAACAAATTTTGGATGATTGTATATGGGTTGGCATAACAGAGTAGAATCACAAGGTACCCCAGGAATAGAACTAGTCTGTACCCACCCAGCCTCCATTGAGTGGATGGGAGTCGTACACTGAAAGCTGGTGCCAGGGTAGGAGAACTGAGAAATACCCTCCCCAGGTACACCAGGTCTTCCCAAAGTACAAGAAAGTAGCCCACTGAGCACAGGAAGCAAGGCAGGAGAAGCAAGAGGGATTCTCCAAGGCATGTGAGGTTCATCCATTGCAAGGCAGTCCCCATTACACACTGGGGGTAAGGCAGGAAAGCTGAAAGAAATCCCCTCCTAGAAAGCACGAGGCTTTCACCAAATGCAAGGCAGCAGCCTGCAGTAGCCAGAGGCAAAGCAGGAGAACTGAGAGAAATAGATGCTCCCGAAAACCCTTTCAACTCTCCAATCCCCTCAACCCTACCCACCCACCTCACCCCTACCTCCACCCTCCCTACACAAGGTCTCTACTGAGTACATTGTAGCCACCTATTGAATGCTGGAGGAAGAGCTATCTTAAGGCTCTGAGATGTGGAGGCAGAGTTTAGGCAAAGAAAAGGCCCCAGCAACCCAAGAAGTTGGTGGCTGGGCTGTAAGGCATAAAGAGAACTCCCACAGTTTGGAAAGTTGGGGGCTGGGCTGTGTGAAGCTTGGAGAACTTTCCAGAGTCTTACTGTCTCTAGGATTCCAAGATACACTGAGAGAAAAGTACTGATTCTACTTTTCAGATATTAAAACCAGCCATGAACTGAATCACAATAAGCTGTGACAAAGCTCAGACCCAGCCCAACTACACAGAGATCAGATGGGCCCTGTCTCCAATCACAGGGGACTGACAGAACCAGGGCTTTGCCATTTTATAGGCATCAGTATTATTTGCTTCAGTCACTATCGTTGTTTCTACATGAAATGGTCAGCATACAACAAAACGTGTATATGTATCAGCAGTGTTTGATTGTTTTAACAATGTTTATA
The DNA here is from genome assembly GCF_000001405.40 of Homo sapiens. Taxonomy (NCBI): domain Eukaryota; kingdom Metazoa; phylum Chordata; class Mammalia; order Primates; family Hominidae; genus Homo; species Homo sapiens. Next base: position 50,877,110 of record NC_000013.11, on the reverse strand, counting down.
GATAGATGATAGATAAATAGTTACTAATACCATGTTCATGGGTGAAAGATTTAATATTATTAAGACATCGGTTGTCTCCAAATTGATAGATTCATCGCAGTCCAAATCAAAATCCCAACAGGCTTTTTTTGTTTGTTTGTTTTTGTAGGAAATGACAAGCTAACTCTAAAGTTCACAGGAATGAAAAGCACCTAAAATAGGCAAATTCATTTTGAAAAAGAAGAACAAAGTTGGAGGGCTAAGACGACCTGATTTCAAAGTGCAAGGCTTCAATAATCAAGACAGTTTGATATTGGCACGAAGATACACAAAGAGATAATGACACAGACATTAGGTCCAGAAGACAGTCCAGTAATAGACTTTCACATATATGGACAACAAATTTTTGACAGTGCCAAGGCAATTCAGTAGAGAAAGGATAGTTTTGCAACAATGGTGCTGGAACATTTACATATCTGTATACAAAAAAACCCCAACTTTGATCTATACCTTCCTTCATATGCAACAATTAACTAAAAATGAATCTCATATATAAATGTAAAATGTAAATCTAGGCCGGGCGCGGTGGCTCACGCCTGTAATCTCAGCACTTTGGGAGGCCGAGGTGGGTGGATCACGAGGTCAGGAGATCAAGACCATCCTGGCTAAGACGGTGAAACCCCATCTCTACTAAAAATACAAAAAAAAAAAAAAAAATTAGCCGGGCGTGGTGGCGGGCGCCTGTTACTCGGGAGGCCAGCTACTCGGGAGGCTGAGGCGGGAGAATGGCGTGAACCTGGGAGGCGGAGCTTGCAGTGAGCCGAGATCGCGCCACTGCACTCCAGCCTGGGCAACAGAGCAAGACTCCATCTCAAAAAAAAAAAAAAAAAAAAAGTAAATCTATAAAACTTCTAGACAAAACATAGGAGAACATTTTTGTTACATTGGGTTAGGCAAAAATTTCTGAGATCCAACAACAAAAGCATAGTCCATAAAAAAAAAAAAAAGACAAATTGAACTACATCAAAATCTAAAACTTCTATTCTTGGAGAGACACAATTAAGAGAATGAAACGAGAAGCTGCAAACTGGCAGAAAATATTTCTAAAGCCTATATATGATAAAGGATTTATAGCCAAAATATGTAAAGAACTTTTAAAACTCAATAATAAGAAAAGAAACAACACAATTAAAAATCAGGCAAAAAATCTGAACAGACACTTTACCAAAGGACATACACAGATAGCAAACAAATACAGGAAGATGTGCTCAACATCATTATTCATCAGGAAAATGCAAATTAAAACCACAATGAGATAACACTCCACACTTATTAGAATGACTAAAATTAAAAAGACTGACTATAGCAGGTGTTGGTAAAATGTGTAGGAAATACACCTCTCATATGCTACTGGTGGGAATGTAAAATTGTCCACGTGCTTTGGAAACATTTTTATAGTTTCTTAAAAAGGCAAACATACACCTACCACCTGACCCATCCATTCCACTCTGTGATGGTTAATTTTACGTGTTAAGCTGACCACATCTTGGGTTGCCCAGGTATTTGGCAAGGTATTATTTTGAGTGTGTCTGTGAGGGTGTTTCTGGATGAGAATAATATTTGAATCTGTAGACCGAGTAAAGCAGATTGCTGTCCCCAGTGTGGGTGAGCCCCATTCAATTTGTTTGAGGTCTGAATAGAATTAAAAGCTGAGTAATAAAGAATTCTTTCTCTGCCTGTCTTCAGACGTGGACATGGGTCTTCTCAGATTAGAACTTACACCCTTGGCTCTCCTGAGTTCCCAGCTTGGCAACTGCAGATCTTGAACTTCTCAGCCCCAGTAATCACACGAGCCAATTCCTTATAGTAAATATTAATATATATGTACATACACACATATCTATATATTTTATATTTATGTACATATGTGTTTACTATAAGAAATTAGCCTGAACATGCGCTCATGCATGCGCGCGCGTGCACACACACACCCCCACCCCCCCCAACAAGGTCCAATAAGCATTTCCTTTGAGCATGGACCTTTGAGCATTACATTAGGGCTCATAAAGTTTTGGATTTTGGAGCATTTCAGATTTTGGATTTTCAGATTAGATATACTCAATCTGCATCTCCTATTGCTTCTGTTCCTCTGGAAAGCCTAGACTATTACACACTCCTAGGTGTATATGTCCCCAAAAATGAAAACATCTGTCTACACAAATACTTATAGACAAATGATCATAGCAGATTTATTCATAATAGTAAAGAACTAGAAATAACCCAAATGTTTCAGCAGGTAAATGGATAAGCAGAATGTGGGTTATCCAGTGCATCCATACAATTAAATACAATTCAGCAATAAAAAGAAGGGAACAATTTACATATATGTATATCTCCACATGGATGAATCTCAAAACTATAATGATGGGTAAAAGAAGCTAGATAGAAAAGACTATATATATGTATATACTGTATAATTCCATTTATATAAATTTCTAGAAAAAAATTAATCTATAGTAACAAAAAATTGATTAGAGGAGGGAGCATTGGACTGCAAAGGGACATGAACACACTTTTGGGGGTAATGGGAGGGTTCTGCTTGGATTATGATGAGGTTTACTGGAATGTACATCTGCCAAACTCATGAAATTATACACTTAAAATTGATGTAGATTATTGTACTGTATTGTAGGTTATATTTCAATGAAGTCATTTTTACAAAATGGAAATATACTGTTATACATATGCAAATATGGAACAAATGGTTTGGACGATCACTTCTGTACAAGAACTTTACATTTTCCTTTATATAGTTCCAGATTTTAAAAATGTGCTACAAAGTATATCAATGTATTTCTTGAAAGAACTTAAATATAAAAAAAATCCAGTTTTATGACAAAGACTGGGGAAGTTGACAAAGATTCTCTGATTGGCCAAACTTTAGTCAGTCTCCTGAAACTTCCCCTAGCCCCATCTGGGCACTTCCTTGTAAAATCCAGTTTTAGAAAAGAGCCCTGCTCAGTTGGTTTAGCAAGTGGTCCCATCCTCAATATCTGATCACCCTTGATATCTGATCGGGTTCCTCATCCTATACCATTCCCCTAACCACCCTGGGTGATGTCTGATCACCCTGGCCTGTCTTCAGCAAAAATCACATTACATTGGGTTAGCCAGAATTCCCCTTACCCCTGATAATTCCTCCTGGTAATTTTCCATCCACTGACCCCCACCCTGCTGCTTGGCTATAAATTCCCACTTGCCCATGCCATATTTGGAATCGAGCACACATCTCTCTGTCTCACTGCAAGACTCTGTTGCCATGGTTCCTATACCTTCACAATGCTCCTGAATAAAGTCTGCCTTACTGTGCTTTAACAAGTATCATCAGATAATTTTTTCCTTAACAAAGTACGAGAACCTTTAAGAAAAATTACAGATTACTCATAATCTCATCACTCAGGAAGAGCCTTCTTAACATGTTTACTTAACTTAAATTACTTACATGTGTGTATGTGCTTGGGAACATGACTGTATAGATGCACATAAAATTGAGATCATTCTGTATGTAATTTTTGTATCATGATTTTTTATTGAAGATTATAGAATGAGCATTTCCAAATGTCTTTATTGTTTGAAAACATGATTTTTATGGAGCATATGGAATATAGTTTCCACTATATGAAAACACCATAATTTACTTAACTTATTCCTTATGGTTGGATATGTAGATTATTTTGAAAATTATAAACAATGCCCCAATAAATATATATATATGGTAATCTTTTTATGCATCCCTATTTGTTTTCTCAAAATAGATTTCTAGAGGTAGAATTTTTGGATCTAAAGCAATACAGACACTCCTCATTTTGCACAGTTCTGATATCATTGAGTTTCTGAAAAACATGGCATCATGCAAAGAAAGAGCTGCCTGCATGTAAAGGCTATTGATGCCTATGACCATATTGCTCTTCCAAAAATAGTGCCGGTTTACATTTCCACCGGCAATCTACACTATACCCCAGCCAAATCTGGATAATGTCACTTTTAAAAGTCTTTGATAACTTGAGAGGTAAAAACATGGCATTTAATTCTTAGTTTATTTTTCTTTATTATTAGAATGGTTTAACTTTTGTCATATTTATTGGTCATTTGTATTTCTCCCTTTGTGAACTGTACCCTGCTTTAAATCTTGAAGCAAAATGCTCTGCAAAGGCAAAATGGAATTTTCAAGCTTTCTATCTCTATAACAATTCCTCTACTCTTTCTGTAAAACTTTTAAATCTTTAGAATCACTAACATAAAATATTTAAGACTTATCTAGGATAATATCAGGAAGTATAGAAGCAGTGAATAAATGATCCATAGTAGACAAATGCTGCTGGAAGAGAAAAAGTGAAACAGAAATCTAAACCTATCTTCCCTTAGCTTAATTAAAAGTTTTCAACCCCATAAAGTTTGAGTGGGCTCAGTATTCTCAATAAAACCATACCTTAGATACACAATTTTCCATTTCCTGTAAAAAAAAGCTATAGTTTGTTTCAAACTGTAGTTGTTGGAAATACAAATGTTTCAGGTTCAATGTATATTTATAATATGTAACTTTCTACAATCAATGTCATAAAGACCGGTTTATTTATATTTATTTATTTTTAATTTTTTTTACTTTTTTTTTTTTTTTTTGAGATGGAGTCTAGCTCTGTTGCCCAGGCTGGAGTGCAGAGGCACGATCTTGGCTCATGGTGACCTTGCCTCCCAGGTTCAGGCGATTCTCCTGTCTCAGCCTCCCCGAGTAGCTGGGATTACAGGCACACACTGCCACACCCAGTTAATTTTTGTATTTTTAGTGGAGTTGGGGTTTCACCATGTTGGCCAGGATGGTCTCGAACTCCTGACCTCAGGTGATCTGCCCGCCTTGGCCTCCCAAAGTGCTGGGATTACAGGCGTGAGCCACCGCGCCTGGCCAGAAGACGTGTTTGAAATGATGAAGTTGATCATTAAAAGGACTATGTCTGGTCTGAAGCACATCTGTTAAGATAGGACAGAGAATGTCAAACCCAAATGGTCTTTCAGTTTCAGGGCTCAGCAAGGGCCAGGGGCACAGTAGGCACTCAACAATTAAGTGCATCAACTAGAGTAAAGGATGTCTAACTATATACTATTCCTACATTCTTAGGATTTTTGTTTTCATTTTTTAATGAGGCGATTTACAGACTACATAATTCACAGGAGTTACATATTCAGTCTAATAAGTTTCGACAATTATTTACTGCTATAAATACTGATATTGTCTCCGTGGCTCTGAATAAAATCTTCCTCACCATGCTTTCCCAGATGTCATTGAACACTTTTTACCACCAAAACCAAAATATGCTTTCATCATCTCAGAAAGTTCCTTTGTGTCCCTTTTCAATTAATTACCTACCTCCTAAACCCAGAGGCAACTGGGTTTCTGATTTCTGTCACCATGTAGTTAGGTTTTATTGTTTATTGACTTAAATAAACTGAATCAGCAGTATGTATTTTTGTGTGTGGGGGGGATTATTTTGCTGAATATGATATTTTAAAGTTTCATCTCTGTTGCTCTGGGTATCATTCCTTTTTACCACTGAGTTGTATTTAACTGTATGGATATCCTACAATTTGCTTATCCAGTCTCCTAATGATGGATATCAGGTTATTTTCCGTTTGAGGCCATTATGGACAAGGCTGCCATGATCATTGCTGCATGCTTTTTTATGGACCTAAGTTTTTGCTTTTCTTAGATAAATTCCTATGAGTGGAATTGCTGAGTTATGGCGGGAATGTATATTTACCTTTATAAAAAATTGCCAAGCACTTCTCCACACTGGTTTTATCATTCTAAACTCTCACTAGCACTGCATGAAAGTTTGAGTTTCTCTTCATCCATGTCAACATTTATTGTCAGTCTTTTTTATTTTATCCATTCTTGTGGGTGTATTGTGGTGTCTCATCATATGTGTGTGTGTTTTAATGAAGATATAAAGTTTAATGAGTTTTTGACAATTGTATAAAACCAGGTAATCACCATGTAAAACAATATACAGAGCATTTCGATTATCTCAGAAATTTCCTTCTTTTACTTGGTTTTCTTCTTTGGGAGGCAACTACTTTCTAACTTCTATCATCATAGAGTTTTATCTCTTTTAGTAATTTAAATAAATGGAAAAATACAGTGTGTTAGTTACCTATTTCTGCATAACCAATTGCCACAACCTTAGGCTTAAAACAACAGCCATTTATTTTATTTTCTTATTTATTTATTTATTTATTTATTTTTGAGACAGAGTCTCGCTCTGTCACCCAGGCTGGAGTGCAGTGGCACGATCTCGGCTCACTGCAAGCTCCGCCTCCTGGGTTTACGCCATTCTCTTGCCTCAGCCTCCTGAGTAGCTGGGACTACAGGCACTCGCCACCACACAGGGCTAATTTTTTGTATTTTTAGTAGAGACGGGGTTTCACCGTCGTAGCCAGGATAGTCTCGATCTCCTGACCTCATGATCCACCCGCCTTGGCCTCCCAAAGTGCTGGGATTACAGGCGTGAGCTTCCGCGCCCGGCCAACAACAGCCATTTATTATCTTACATTTCCATAGGTCAGAAATCCAGCAGAGCATGGCTGTATTCTCTGTTCAGGGTTTCACGAGGCCAAAACGAAGGTGCTGGCTGAGCTAAGAATCTCATCTGGTTTTCTTTCAAGCACCGATTGTCAACAGAATTCCTTTTCTTCTCATCCTTTCCACTCGGACCCCTCTTTCCTCAAGCTAGTCTGAGTTCTTCTCAAGCTCTGAATTCCTCTGCCTTCCCCTTCGGTCTCTGCTTTTAAGATTTCCTGTGATTAATTGGTTCTACTAGGAAAATCCTGAATAATCTCCCTATCTTAAGGTCAACTGATGAGTAACCATAATTACATCCACAAAGTCCCTTTGGCCACATAATGTAACATATTCATGAATATAACAGCATCATGAAGGTCATAGGAGCCCAAATTTTGAAACCTACAGTAAATACTCTTTTTTTGTTGTTCATTTGCTGCAATCAGATTAATATCTGATTGCAAGATTCAAGCATATTTTTGCAGTTATCAGTAGTAAAAAAAAAGTTTTGAGAAGTATTCTATTATGTGAATATATGATAGTTTGTTTAATCATTCTCTTCGTGGATTGATAGGTGTTTTTCCAATTTTTGGCTTTTGTAAATAAGAATGCTAGGAATATTCTTTTGCAAGTTCTTTGTTAACATATGTTTGCATTTCTCTTGGGGACTACCTAGAAATGTAACTGTTGAGTCATAAGGGATATATATGTTGAATTTTATAAGAAACTCCCAAACATTTCTCCAAATTGCTTTCACCATTTTTTTACACACCCACCAGCAATGTATAAGACTTTCAACTGCTCATATTCTCTCTACATTTGTTGTTGTCAGTTTTTTCATTTTTAAAAATCATTCTAGTGGCTGTAAAATTATATCACATTGTGGTTTTAATTTGCATTTTCCAGATGACAAATGAAATTCACCTACCATTCTTGTGCTTGTTGGCCATTCATATGTCTTCTTTTGTCAAGTTTTTTGCCCATTTAAAAAATGAAATTTTAAAATTATTATTTGTATATATCATAAGTACTTCATCAGATATGTACTGTAGATATGTTCTCCAGTTTGTGACTTGCCTATTTATTTTCTCAATGATGGCTCTTGAATAACAAAATAATAATAATTATAATTTTCATAAAGTCCAATTTATCAATATTTTTGTTAGTATGATTAGTGTTTTTGTAGTTCTAAGAATACTTACCTATCTTCCTAGAAGCTGTATATAGGTTATAGATTATTTACTTTTAAGGCTATGATACATCTCATATTAATTTTTTTGCTACAGAATGACATAGGGGTTGAAACTGCCTGATTACGGCATATAAAAAGTTTCGATATTAACTTCGCCCTTCTTCAAAGCTGTTTTGGAAGTTATAGGTCCTGTGCATTTCCATATGAGTTTTATTGCCAGCTTGTCAATTATGCAAGAAAAGCCTGCTGACATTTTGAATAAGGTTGTGTCGATTCAATTTATTCATTTAGGAAAAAATTGACATCTTGACAATATTTGATGCCTTTGATCAATGAACACAGCATATCTCTCCATCGATTTGGGACTTCTTTAATTTCTTTCAGCAATGTTTTGTCATTTTCAGTGTACAGGTCTTGCACATCTTTTGTCAAATTTATCCCTAATTATTTCTTGCTTTTTGATGTATTGTAAATGGCACTTTTTCTACAATTTCAATTTCTAATTGTTTGTTGCCAATATAGTAAAAAAAAATTGATTTTGGGTATTGACTTCTATCCTGTGAATATGCTGTACTTATTTATTAGTCCTAGTGATTTTTTTTTGTAGATTCTCATTCGATTTTCTACATAGATGGTCATGTTGTATGCAAATAAAGATAGTTTCACATCTTCCTTTCCGATCCATATACCTTTTATTTATTTTTCTTGACTTATTACACTGATTAGAATCTCCTAGAATAACGTGAATAGAAGTTTAATAGAAGGATGATAGTGGACATCCTTGCCTTGTTTCCAACCTTAGGGGAAAAAAAAATCTTTAACATTAGCATGGTGTAGCTATAAGTTTTTCATAAAGGCACTTTGTCCACCTGAGAAAGTTTCTTTCTAATTTCCAGCAAGTTTTTTTGTTTTTGTTTTTATCAGAAATATATGTAAAATTTTGTCAAATACCTTTTCTGTATTTAGTGATATGATGATAGTTTGTTTTAGGCCACTAATATAGTGTATTTCATTGAAATACTGTTCATTTTTCTTCAGCATTTTTTCTGCTTGTTTTGGCTTGGGTAGGTTCTATTTATCTACTTCCCCCTTACAATTTCCAATCTGTCATTAAGCCCTATCGGTTAAATTTAAGTTTCAGTTTTTGTAGTTTTTACTTCTAGAAATTCTATTTTTTAGAGTGTTCATTTCTATGTAGATATACCCTATTCTATTATTCACTGATACCATATTTTCCTTTAGAACTTTAAATCTCTTTATAATTGCTGTTTGTAGCCTTTGTTTGCAAATTCCAACATCTGAACCAGCTTGGAGTCAAATTCTATATAGATTGCCTTTATTTTCTTAGTATGGTCACACTTTTCTGTTTCTATGCATGTTCAGTATTTTTTGTTTAGAGACTGGACATTGTATTTAATACAGTGTGGTAACTGGATTTTGCGATGTTCTTCTGAGGATGACAGGTTTTTATTCTATGAGACAGTTGATGTGTGTGAATTCCAGCTGCTAACTTTCCTCTTTCACATGCGCTGCTGAGACTGTGCTCAGTTCTCAGGGTGCTCCTTTGCTGCTCTCTGGACTTGCCACTGCATTATTTGTCAGTCAGTCATGTCTTTGGGCATAGACAGGGCTCAGCCTCTCAGTGGTTTCTTTGTTTCTAGGTATCCCCCTCGTTTCCAGCTGCTCTGCTGTTCTTTATTCTTTATTCTGTTCTCTATTTTTCAGGGCCATAATGATTCACCTTCCTGCAGCCCAAGTTGTTGCATGGTTGGGAATGTGCTTAGAGAAAGAAAAGAAAAGGAAAGGGAAGGGAGAAGGGATGGAGGGAAGGAAGGAAGGAAGAAAGGAAGGAGGGAGAAAGGAAAGAAAGAAAGGAAGGAAGGAAGAAAGAAAGAAGCAGGAAGGAAGAAAGGAAAAGAAAAGAGAAGAGGAGAAAAGAAAAGAAAGGAAAGGAAAGGAAAAGAAAAGAAGGGAAAGGAAAGGAAAAGCAAAGAAAGGAAAAGGAAAAGAAAAGAAAAGAAAAAAGAAAAGAAGAGACAGCGAAGCCATAGATCTGGCCTCATGTAATTTTGTCTTTCAGGACTAGACTTTTTTCTGCATGCTTATTTTGTGGGCCACTAGGGTCTCCTCCATGCCTTTGGAGTTTGGCTGTTAGTCAGGGATTTGGGCAGAGTTTATGTTTAGAACTTGTGTTTCACTTTTTCCCTTACTCTTTCCCTGCCAGGATTGTCCCTTTAAATTTCCAGCTGCTTTTCCACCCCTCAACTCTTATCTCTGGCACCTTTAACTAATAAAGATGTGGTTTTCTTCCACAATTTTCTGTAGCCGTAGACACAGGGATTGGGCCATGCCCTTGGGCCAGAAAGCCACAAACTCATTTTACCCCTTCTAATTGCAGGTTTTTGTACTTAAACTCTCCTGCAGCTTCAGTCAGATCCAGTTTTAAGACAGACTCACTGTCTTAAAATTTTTTTATTTTATTTTACCCAGTTTTTATAAATGTTATTTGAAGGGTGGGTTCATGTGACCCACCCTGTTTACTCCTCTGCTATTACTAGCAGTAGCGATTGGTAACTATCTTCTTGTACCATTTAAAAAATATAATTGGAATCATTGTATACAAGTTCTGTGACTTTTAAAAAATACATTATACCTAGACAATTTTTCCATGTCAGTATGGTAAGTCCTCACTTAACATCGTGGATAGATTCTTAGAAACTGCCTGTGACTTTAAGGAAACCAATGTGTAATGAAACTAATTTTACCAGAGGCTGATTGATATAAATAAGAGTTAAGTTTCTATGGCATATTTCTGGTCAGAAAAACCAACAAACTTCTAAATAAAGACCAAAACACTTTCCATATTAAAATTTGAAATAAAGGTAAACGATATACACATTTAAGAAAGATTAATAAAAGCAAGCTAATTATATTATTTACCTGCTTATTCCATTTTACGGTCCAGACTGGCTGGAGCCTCTCCAGGCAGCGCAGAGTCAAGGCAGGAACCAGCCCTGGACAGGACACCATCCCATTGCAGGATGCACTGTCATACACCCATACTCACCCAGACCGGGACACTTCAGACACGCCAACTCACCTAATGCGCGGCTCTCTGGGAGGTGAGAGGAAACTGGAGTACCCAGGGAAAACCCGTGCAGACATGGGCAGAATGTGCAAACTCCACGTGGTCAGTGGTCCCAGCCAGGAAGTGATTTCTTTTTTTCCTCATCAACATGATAACAAAACAATGTTGAACAAAATGGCATTATTTGAGGACCTGCTGTACTTACATTGTTCTTTTTAATGGTTTCAGTGTATTTCTTAGTATGATATACTCTAAATTATTTATTCATCCCTCTAATTATGTAGATGAGGCTAAAGAAATGAGCTTAACAAAATAAATTATCAAATGACCAAGGTTTAAACCAATTAATAGTTTGGCATTTACATAATATAAAGCTGACTCTTGAGCAACATGAGTTTGAACTGCATGGGTTCACTTATGTGCGGAGTTTTCTGTCTTTTCTTTTTCTTTTTCTTATTTATGTATTTTTTTTTTTTTTTTTGAAGTCTCACTCTGTCGCTCAGGCGGGAGTGCAGTGGTGCGATCTTGGCTCACGTCAACCTCTGCCTCCCATATTCAAGCGATTCTCCTGCCTCAGCCTCCTGAGTAGCTGGGATTATAGGCGCCTGCCACCACGTCCAGCTAATTTTTGTATTTTTAGTAGAAACGGGGTTTCACCATGTTGGCCAGGCTGGTCTCGAACTCCTGACCTCAAATGATCGGCCCGCCTCAGCCTCCCAAAGTGTTGGGATTACAAGCGTGAGCCACTGCACCCGGCCATGTGTGGATTTTTCAACCAAACCTGGATCAAAAATACAGTATTCCCAAGTATATAAAGAGGGCCGGCTTTTCCTGTACTTGGATTCTGCAGGGCCCCTGCAGGACTTGAGTATGCTTGGATTTTGGCATATGTGGACGTTCTGGAACCAATCCCCTAATGATACAGAGGGACAACTGTACTGACAACAAATACACACAGCATGCCTAGATATACCCATGCCTGTGTTTGTATATGAAATATAGCTTCGTTGTCAAAAGGATGGGCTTTTTGTACCCAAATCAATTGCTTCTCAACGGATCCTGTTGTCTTTCTGTTTCCTAGGGCTGCTCCTGTGCCATGAGGAGTAAGGGAGATGGCTCACAGCTGGTCTCTACACATGTTAGCTATTTGCCTTATTACACTCACAGATAGGGCAGCTTAGAGTGCAGTAAGTTTCTCTATTCTACATCATTTCTTTGCCACATACACCTATGTCTTTTTCTTCTTTTAGCAATGACTATTACTTTTCTCTGATACCTCTTTAAGCTATATAATGCCGAACATTCTATCTTAAGCAAAATACTTAGCCACACATCTTTAAAACCGCAAAGACCTACTAAAATTTTAAGCTGTCACTAAAATTTTGTAACTAAATGCACCTCATATCCCTACAGATCCAACATGCCATAATATCAACATCCCTGAAGCTGAAATTTGTGCCATACTCCCATGGTGCTTTCAAAGTTCCTGGGGCGGTTAAAAGGCCCTGCAGCTGTTGTTTTCATTAGCACCTGAAGTGCATAGGAGGTGCTCTGACAGTATTTGTCAATCATCATCTACTGCCTCAAAATGATGCCAAACACAAACTTTCCCACAAAGGAAATTGTGTCAAAGTTAATTCTTCAACAGTAGCTCTTAATGCACCAAAGAAAATTTACTTGTATTCAGCTTATCTTCTTTTGAATGTCATGAGTGATATATAATTTGATTTAAAAAATTGCTTCTCCCCATTCTACTTTTTCTTTTTGTTTTTTTGAGGGGAGGTTTTATTATTATTATTATTATTGTGAAAAAACACATAACATAAAATTTAACATCTTAACCTTTTTTTTTGTTTTTTTGAGACGGAGTCTCACTGTGTTGCCTAGGCTGGAGTGCAGTGGCGCCATCTCTGCTCACTTCCACCTCCGACTCCTGGGTTCAAGTGATTCTCCTGCCTCAGCCTCCCAAGTAGCTGGGATTACAGGCGTGCGCCACCACGCCCAGCTAATTTTTGTATTTTTAGTAGAGATGGAGTTTTGCCATGTTGGCCAGGCTGGTCTTGAACTCCTGATCTCAAATGATCTGCCCACCTCAGCCTCCCAAAGTGCTGGGATTAAAGGCATAAGCCACCACACCCGGCCCATCTTAACCATTTTTAAGTGGCATTAAGTACATTCACATTGTCGTGAAACAGATCTCCAGAACTTTTTTATCTCGCAAAACTGAAACTCTATGCCCATTTAAAAAATCCTCATTTTCTTTTGCTTCCAGCCCCAGGTAATCACCATTCTGCTTTCTGTCTCTATGAATTTGACTACTTTAGATACCTCATGTAAGCAGAATCACAGTATTTGTCTTTTTGTTAACTGGCTTATTTTACTTAGCATAATGTCCTCATGGTTCATCTATGTTGCAGTATGTGACAGAACTTTCTTACTTTTTAAGGCTGAATAATATTCCATTTTATGAATTTACTACATTTTGTTTATCCATTCATGTCAATGGACATTTGTGTTGCTTGTAGCTCTTGACTATAGAGAATCATGCTGCTCTGAACATGAATGTACAAATATCTTTTCAATATACTGACTTCAAATTATTTGGATATATATCCAGAAGTGGAATTGCTGGATCATATGGTAGTTCTATTTTTAATATTTTGAGGAACCTCTATACTGTTTTCCATAGCAGTTGCACAATTTTACAGTCCCACCAATTGTGCATAAGGGTTCCAATTTCTCCACCTCCTCATCAACACTCGGTATTTTATGTTTATTGTTTTTTTTTTTTTTAGAGTAACCATCCTAAGAGTGTGAGATAATATCTCATTGTAGTTTTGATTTGCATTTCTCTGATAAATAGTAACATTGAGCAGCTTTTCATACGCTTGTTGACCATTTGTATCTCTTTGGAGAAAGGCTTATTTAATTCATTTGCCTATTTTTTAATTGGTTCATTTGATTTTTTGTGGTTGAGTTGTAGAAGTTTTTATGTATTCTGGATATTAACCCCTTATCACATATATGATTTGCAAATATTTTCTTCCATTCTGTAGGTTGCCTTGTCACTTTGTTGATTGCTTCCTTTGATGAACAAGAATTGTTTAAATTTGATATAATCCCATTCGTCTATTTTATCTTTTTTTGCCTGTGCTATTGGTGTTGTATTCAAGAAATCATTGCCAAGTCCAATGTCATGGAGATTTTCCCCTAGGTTTTCTTCTAGGGGTTTTATAGTTTTGGGTTTTTCATTTGGTCTTTAATCCATTTTGAGCTAGCTTTTGTGTATGGTATAAGAGAAGGGTCCAACTTTATTCTTTTGCATGTGGCTATTCAATTTTCCCAACACTATTTGTTGAAGAGGCTGCTCTTCTCTCATTAAGTGGTGTTGGTATCCTTGTTGAAGATCACTTGACCATATATGTGAGGGTTTATTTCTGAGTTCTCACCTCTGTTCCATTGGTCTGCATATCTTTCTTTATCCCAGTATGACACTGTTTTGATTACTGTAGTTTTGTAATATATTTTGAAATCAGAAAGTATGTATCCTCCAACTTTGTTCTTTTTCCAAATCGTTTTGGCTATTCAGGGTACCTTGAGATTCCATATGGATTTTAGGATAAATTTTTCTGTTTCTAAAAAAAATGCCATTGGAATTTTGATAGAAATTGCATTAAATCTGTAATCACTTTGGGTGGTATGGACATATTAACAATATTAAGTCTTCCAGTCCATGAACATGAGGTATTTTTCAATTTATTCACATCTTCTTAATTTCTTTCAGCAATGTTTTATAATTTTTAGTGTATGCGTCTTTCACATTTTTGTTTAGGTTTATTCCTAAATGTGTTATTTATTTTGATGCTAGTATAAGCAAAATTGTTTCCTTAATTTTCTTTTCAGATTGTTCATTGTTAATATACAGAAACCACTGTTTCTTCACAGTATTAAAGACATATGTGTCACATAAACACAGAACCATCAGCTCAAGGTTTTTTATAGATTATTGTAGTTTTTATTTTATAAGATAATGTTGCAATGTATAACATTAAAATTTAAAGTGTGCAATTATGTTATTGTCAAATGCCATCATTTTTTAATGACAAACTTCCCTCCATCTTTTTACATTGTATAATTATATGTAAACAGATCACCTGAGTTCAAATTAAATCTTTTTTTTCAACTTTTATTTTAAGTTCAGGGGTACATGTGCAGGATGTGCAGGTTAGTTACATAGGTAAATGTGTGCCATGGTGGTTTGCTGGATCATCCCATCACCTAGGTATTAAGCCCAGCATGTGTTAGCTGTTCTTCCTGATGCTCTCCCACCCCTTACCCACTGACAGGCCCTAATGTGTGTTGTTCCCTGCCATGTGTCCATGGGTTCTCATCATTCAGCTCCCACTTATAAATGAGAACATGTGGTGTTTAGCTTTCTGTTCCTGCATTAGTTTGCTGAGGATAATGGCTTCCAACTCCATCTGTGTCCCAAAGGACATGATCTCATTCCTTTTTATGGCTGCATAGTATTCCATGGTATATATGTACCACATTTTCTTTATCCAGTCTATCATTGATGGGCATTTATGTTGATTCCATGTCTTTGCTATTGTGTATAGTGCTGCAGTGAACATGCACATGCATGTATCTTTATAACAGGATGATTTATATTCCTTTGGGTATATACCCAGTAATGGGATTGCTGGGTCAAATGGTATTTCTGCCTCTAGGTCTTTGAGGAATCACCATACTGTCTTCCACAATGGTTGAACTAATTTACATTCCCACCAACAGTGTAAAAGGATTCCTTTTTCTCTGCAACCTCACCAGCATTTGTTGTTTTTTGACTTTTTAGTAATTGCCATTCTAACAGGTGTGAGACAGGATCTCACTGTGGTTTTGATTTGCATTTCTCTAATGATCACTGATGTTGAGCTTTTTTTGTTTGATGGCTGCATGTATGTCCTCTTTTGAGAAGTGTCTGTTCATGTCCTTTGCCCACTTTTTAATGGGGTTGTTTTCTTCTTGTAAATTTGCTTAAGTTCCTGGTAGACTCTGGATATTAGACCTTTGTTAGATAGATAGATTGGAAAAATTTTCTTCCATTCTGTAGGTTGTCTGTTCACTCTGATGATAGTTTTCTTTGCTGTGCAGAAGCTCTTTAGTTTAATTAGATCCCATTTAAATGATCCCATTTGTCAATTTTGCTTTTGTTGCAATTGCTTTTGGCATTTTTGTCATGAAATCTTTGCCCGTGCCTATGTCCTGAATGGTATTCCCTGGATTTTCTTCTAGAGTTTTTATAGTTTTGGGTTTTACATTTAAGTCTTTAATCCATCTTGAGTTAATTTTCATGTATGGTGTAAGGAAGGGGTCCAGTGTCAATTTCTGCATATAGTTAGCCAGTTCTCCCAGCACCATTTATTAAATAGGGAATCATTTCCTCATTGCTTGTTTTTGTCAGGTTGTTGAAGATCAGATGGTTGTAGGTGTGTGGTCTTGTTTCTGAGTTTTCTATTCTGTTCCATTGGTCTATGTGTCTGTTCTTGTACCATTACCATGTTGTTTTGGTTACTGTGACCTTGTAGTATAGTTTGAGGTCGGGTAGCATGGTGCCTCTAGCTTTGTTCTTTTTGCTTAGGATTGTCTTGCCTATTCAGGCTATTTTTTGATTTCATATGAATTTTAAAATAGTTTTTTTTCTAATTCTGTGAAGAAGTCAATGGTAGTTTAATAGGAATAGCATTGAATCTATAAATTACTTTGGGCAGTATGGCCATTTTCATGATATTGGTTCTTCCTATTTATGAGCATGGAATGTTTTTTCATTTGTTTGTGTCGTCTCTTCTTTTCTTGAGCAGTAGTTTGTAGTTCTCCTTGAAGAGGTCCTTCACATCCCTTGTTAGCTGTATTCCTAGGTATTTTATTCTCTTTGTAGTAATTGTGAATGAGAGTTCTTTCATGATTTGGCTGTCTGCTTGCCTGTTGTTGGTGTATAGGAATGCTACCAATTTTTGCACATTTAGTTTGTATCCTGAGACTTTGCTGAAGATGCTTATCAGCTTAAGAAACTTTTGGGCTGAGACGATAGGATTTTCTAGATATAAGAATAAAGACAATTTGACTTCCTTTCTCCATATTTGAATACGCTTTATTTCTTTCTCTTGTCTGATTGCCCTGGCCAGAATTTCCAATACTATGTTGAATAGGAGTGGCGAGAGAGGGCATCCTGTCTTGTGACTATTTTCAAGGGGAATGCTTTCGGCTTTGGCCCACTCAGTACGATACTGGTGTAGGTTTGTCATATATGGCTTATTATTTTGAGGTATGTCCCTTCAATACTTGGTTTATTGAGAGTTTTTAACATGAAGGGATGTTGAATTTTATCAAAGGCTTTTTCTGCATTTATTGAGATAATCCTGTGGTTTTTGTCTTTAGTTCCGTTTCTGTGACAAATCACATTTATTGATTCGTGTATATTCAACCTTGCATCCTAGGGATGAAGCTAACTTGATTGTGATGGATCAAGCAGATTTTTGATGTGCTGCTGCATTTGGTTTGCCAGTATTTTGTTGAAAATTTTTGCATCAATGTCCATCAAGGATACTGGCCTGAAGTTTTCTTTTTTTGTTGTATTTCTGTCAGGTTTTGGTATCAGGATGATGCTAGCCTCATAGAAAAAGTTAGGGAGGAGTCCTTTCTTTTCAAATTTTTGGAATAGTTTCAGTAGAAATGGGGGTAGCTCTTCTTTGTACCTCTGGTAGAATTCAGCTTTGAATCCATCTGGTCCTGGGCTTTTTTTTGGTTGGTAGGCTATTTATTACTGCCTGAGTTTCAGAACTCATTATTGGTCTGTTCAGGGATTCAATTTCTTCCTGGTTCAGTCTTGGAAGGGTGTGTGTGTCCAGGAATTTATCCATTTCTTCTAGATTTTCTAGATTATGTGCATAGAGGTGTTTATAGTATTCTTTGATGGTTGTTTGTATTTCTGTGGAGTCAGTGCTGATATCCCCCTTATCATTTCTGATTGTGTTTATTTGATTCTTTTCTCTTTTTTTCTTTATTAGTCTAGCTAGTGGTTTATCTATTTTATTAATTTTTTCAAAAAACCAGTTCCTGAATTCATTGATTTTTTGAAGGGTTTTTTGTGTCTCTATTTTCTTCAGTTCCACTCTGATCTTGGTTACTTCTTGTCTTCTGCTAACTTTGGTGTTTGTTTGCTCTTGGTTCTGTAGTTCTTTTAGCTGTGATTTAGGTTGTTAACTTGAGATCTTTATAGCTTTTTGATGTAGGCATTAAGTGATATAAATTTCCCTCTTAACACTGCTTTACCTGCATCCCAGAAACTCTGGTATGTCGTCTCTTTGTTCTCATTAGTTTCAAAAAACTTATGAGTTTTAAGGCATTAGTTTCTGCCTTATTTACTCAAGAGTCATTCAGGAGCAGGTTGTTCAATTTCCATGTAGTTGTGTGGTTTTGAGTGAATTTCTTAATCTTGAGTTCTAATTTGATTGCACTGTGGCCTGAGAGACTGCTATGATTTCAGTTCTTTTATATTTGTGGAGAACTGTTTTACTTTTGCTAATGTGAACAATTTTAGAGTAAGTACTGTGTGGCAATGATAAGAAGGTATATTCTGTTGTTTTTTGGTGGGGAGTTCTGTAGACATCTATCAGGTTCTCTTGATCCACAATTGAGTTCAGGTCCTGAATATCTTTGCAAATTTTCTGTTTTGATGATCTAATATTGTCAGTGGGGTGTTAAAGTCTCCCACTATTGTTATGTGGGAGTCTAAGTCTCTTTGTAGGTCTCTAAGGACTTGCTGTATGAATCTGGGTGCTCCTGTATTGGGTGGATATATATTTAGGATAGTTAGCTCTCCTTGTTGAATTTAACCATTTACCATTATGTAATGCCCTTGTCTTTTTTTTTTTTTAACCTTTGTTTGTTTAAAGTCCATTTTGTTAGAAACTAGGATTGTAACCTCTGCTTTTTTCTGTTTTCCATTTGCATGGTAAATTTTCCTCCATCCCTTTATTTTGAGCCTATATGTGTCTTTGCATGTGAGATGAGTCTCTTGAAGACAGCATACTGATGGGTCTTGGCTCATTATCCAGCTTGCCATTCTGTGCCTTTTAATTGGGGCATTTAGCCCATTTACCTTTAAGGTTACTATTGTGATATATGAATTTGATCCTGTCATCATGATGCTAGCTGGTTATTTTGCAGACTTGTTTATGTGGTTGCTTGATAGTGTCACTGGTCTGTGTACATCAGTTTGTTTTTGTCACGACTGGTAATGGTTTTTCCTTTCCATGTTTAGTGCTTACTTCACGAGCTCTTCCAAGGAAGGCCTGGTGGTTACAAATTCCCTTAGAATTTGTTTGTCTGAAAAGGATATTATTTCTTCTTTGCTTATGAAGCTTAGTTTGGCTGGATATGAAATTCTGGGTTGGAAATTCTTTTCTTTAAGAATGTTGAATATTGGCCCCCAGTCTTTTCTGCCTTGTAGGGTTTCTGCTGAGAGGTTTGCCGTTAGTCTGATTGGCTTCCCTTTGAAGAGGACCTCACCTTTCTCTCTGGCTGCTCTTAACATTTTTTCTTTCATTTCAACCTTGGAGAATCCAATGATTATGTGTTTTGGAATTGATCTTCTTGTGGAGTATCTTACTAGGGTTCTCTGCAGTTCCTGAATTTGAATGTTGGCCTGTCTTGCTGGGTTGGGGAAGTTCTCCTAGATGATAACCTGAAGTATGTTTTCTAACTTCATTCCATTTTCCCTGTCTCTTTCAGGTACCCTAATCAGTTGTAGGTTCAGTGTCTTTACACAATCCCATATTTCTTGGAGGTTTTGTTCATTTCTTTTTCTTTTTGTTCTTTTTTTATTTATTCTCATTTGCCTGTCTTATTTCAGAAAGCTAGTCTTAAGCTCTGAGATTCTTTCCTCTGCTTGGTCTATTCTGCTATTGATACTTGTGATTGCATTGTGAAGTTCTCATGTTGTGTTTTTCTGCTCCATCAGGTCAATTATGTTCCTCTCTAAACTGGCTATTCTGGCTGTCAGCTCCTGTATTGTCTTATCATGATGCTTAGCTTCTTTGCATTGGGTTACAACATGTTCCTTTAGCTCAGCGAAGTTCTTTATTATCCATCTTCTGAAGCCTACTTCTGTCAATTCAGGTATCTCAGCCTCAGCCCAGTTCTGTGCCCTGCTGGAGAGGTGTTGTGGTCATTTTGAGGAGATAAGGCACTCTGGCTTTTTGAGTTTTCAGCATTTTTGTGTTGATTCTTTCTCATCTCTGTGGGCTCATCTACCTTTGATCTTTGAGGTTGTTGGCCTTTGAATGGAGTTTTTGTGAGGTCTTTTTTGTTGATGTTTTTGTTGTTTTCTGTTTGTTCTTCTTTAAGCAGTCAGGCCACTCTTCTGTAGGGCTGCTGTGGTTTGCTGGGAGTCTGCTCCAGGCCCTAGTTGCCTTGGTATCACTAGTGAAGCCTGCAAAATGGCAAAGATGGCAGCCTGCTCCTTCCTCTGGAAGTTCTGTCCCAGGGTGGTACTGACCTGTTGCCAGCCTGAGCTGTACCTGTAGGAGGTGGCTGGAGACCCCTGTTGGGAGGTCTCACCCAGTCAGGAGGAATGAGATCAGGGGCCCACTTAAAGAAGTAGTCTGGCTGCTTTTTGGTAGCACAGCTATGCTGCATGGTGGAGGACCCTTCCTCATCCAGTCTGGACTCTCCAAAGCAAGCGGACTGGAATAGCTGAGTTGATCAAACTGCAAAGATAGTGGCCACCACTCCATCTGGGAACTCAATCCATCTTAGGCAGACTTCAACCTGTCACCACTGGCTGGCTGGAATTCCAAGCCAGCAGGTCTTAACTTGTGAGGTGCTGTGGAAGTGGGGCCCACAGAACAAGACTGCTTGGCTCCCTGGATTCAGCCCCCTTTAGGTGTACCTAGGGATGGATCTCCCACCTTGCAAGGAAACCTGCGGCTGGAGTATGCAAAACTCCTGGGTCTCTGTGTGTGGCCGACTGGCTGCTCTGCTGGGACTCCACACAGCTTATGAGGGGATCTCTGGATATGCTGATTGCAAAGACCCATGGGAGAAGCATGGTTTCCCAGGTGGGATCACATAATCACTACCTGCTTCCCTTGGCTGGGGGTAGGAGTTCCTTTGGCTCTGTGCTGCTCCTGGGTGGGCCATAGCCCCACCCTGCTTTTCTTTGTTCTCTGTGTGTTGGGCTATTTGCCTAGTCTGTCCCAATGCAAGAATCTGGATATTTCAGTTGAAGGTGCCAAATTCACTCACCCCTTTCATTCCTCTCTGAGAGTGCTGCAGACCGCAGCTGCTTCTAATCAGCCATCTTGGCCCCCTCCCCAGCATAGGTTTAAAAGAAATCAGGCAAAGCCACAGCAGTCTTATCAACCAAGTACCTTGCCTTTCTAACCTATCTTGTGTAATGCTTATGGGAATTCATACAGAAAATATGTGAGGAGCTGTAGAAGCCAGATACGCAGATGTTGGGGCTAGAGAAACAGATCTTGGATTTAAGGTAAACATTGAGAGGCTAAAAATTGAACTGGTGGATCCGGTGATATTTTAAAAGACATAATAATAACCAACGCTTATGGAGAATTGCTGTTCTCACTGTTCTCAGACTCCTAACTATCTTAACTAATTCAATTCTTACAATAATGCTGTGAGTGAGCTAGTTTCTGATTCTTGTAAATTTCCAACAGTCCATTTTTCACTGGCCATTTTATGAGAGCAGGACCCAACTAAGGCACACATATCAGAAGCTACTCATAATCAAATTTGATTGAACCAAACAAGCATATACTTTAAGCTTTGAGTCTAGAGATAATACTTCATATTTTTCCCTAGAAATGCCAGATGTTTTTAAAGTTTAACATTTTATTCTTAACTTTTAATTTTTTGTACTATTTTAAAATGTATACAAAATAAGGGAGAATAGTATAAGGAATCCCTAAATATTCCATTTCCCAGATTCTGAAATTTTTACAACTTTGTCACTCTTGCTTTATCGATTCTTTTCTTTTCCTCTCTTCCTCCTCATTACCCTCCTCTTTCTTCTTCCTTTCCTTCCTCTTCTGCCCTTCTGTCTGTCTCTCTCTCTCTCTCTACTAAAGATTTTAAAATCAAAGGACAGATAGTAAGTCAGTTTCCTTATACAGAATTCAGCATGCCCCTCTACTATGAGGATATTTAAAAATATAATCACAACAATATTATTGCACCTAACAAAATATCCATGTGTCCTTGTTATCATCTAATATCCAGTCCATACTTAGTTTTCCCAAGTTATCTGAAAAATTTATTCTTTTGTAGTCAGATTATTAGAAAAAGGAACTGAAGAAATGCTATATACAGTATTTGGATATTATATCTGTTACATCTCTTTCAATAAAATTTTGCATATTTATCAAAACCTATATGGAAATTTATTTATTATAAGGGGAAAAAAACACCTCTTAAGTCTAAACATGGTATACAACTACTCCCTCTACTTTCAAAACCTTTCCATAGATGCTAATAATAGAATAAGTGGATCTTTTACTGAGAAAGACATTTCAACAAGATTGAAAACAAAGAGAAAATATATAAAACATGTAAGAATGTAAAGTGGTTGGAGAGATTGAGAAGATGACTATCCTAGAAATCCTAGCATGAGAAAGCCCTCTGATTTTAGCAGAAAACATTATTTTGAATGTTTGACAGCAAAAGCAGAGAGGGAAAGTGATGGACAACATGACTTCATAGTAGTTGGTCAGGAGAGGCAAAGTTTTAAAGCTCTAAGCTCCATCAGAAATTTGCAGTGTGGATGAACCTCTGTATAATGAATGTTGAGGTACAACATGGATAATGTTAATAGCAGTGTATTAGTCTGTTCTTGCACCCCTATACAGAAATACCTGAGATAGATTACTGGGTAATCTATAAAGAAAAGAGGTTTAATTGGCTCACAGTTCTGCAGGCTGTACAGGAAGCACAGCATCAGCATCTGCTTCTTGGGAGCCTCAAGGAGCTTTTACTCATGGCAGAAGGCAAAGGGGTACACAGCACTTCACAAGGCCGGAGCAGGAGGAAGAGACAGGGGAGGTGCCATACACTTTCAAACAACCAGATCTCATGAGAACTCACTATCACAATGACAGCACCAAGGGGGATGGTGTTAAAGTATGGGAAACCATCCCCATGTTCCAGTCACCTCCCACCAGGCCCCACCTCTAACATTGGGGTTTACAATCGAACATGAGATTTGGGTGGGGACACAGATCCAAATCATATCAGGCAGTCTTTCTGAAACACCATGGAAATGTTCTAGATACAATCTTTGCTTAACCCCACACTCAAAGGCAGAGGAAAACTGACATTTAAGGGCCAAAGAGAAAAAGGATCTGACAAGGAAGGACCAGCCAGAGAACTGGGAGAAAAAAAAATAGACAAAGATAGCAGAAGCCACGAGAAAAGAAATGCTTTTTCAAGAAATGGTTAAGAGACTGACAAAGGGTCACTGAAGTTATAAAAATGTTGACTGGCTCTTAGGAAAGGCTCTGCTCTGGGAGTGGAGGAGGGCTGGAATGGAATTAGAAGTGAGGAAGTAAAAACAGGGCAAACAGGGAGGCCTTCCAAGGAGTTTGCTTCTGAATGGAGGATGGAAGTAAGCTGGATTGACAGAAGATGGGATTTTTAAGCAGCAAAAAATAACCAGCGTATTTAATGAAAAGAAGCCAGTGTAAAGAGTGCATTTGGAAACTTATGAGATGAATAAACTTAAAATAAAAAAGGATTTAGTGATGCTTTATGGGCTACATTAAAAAATATTTTCTTATTTAATTCATAAATATTAATATTATCCCCAGTTTACAGATAAGGAACTTGAATTTCAGAGAGTTTAAGAAAATCACTCCATTTACATAGTAATAAGGGTTGTGGGGCTGCATCTGTGTCTATCTGATTCCAGACCTTGTGTGTGTGTGTGTGTGTGTGTGTGTGTGTGTGTGTGTGTTTAAAATGCCTTTTAAAAATTACACAGACAATTCAAGGATGTACTTTTTTTTGATAAAATATCTAAACAATGTAGAAATCCACTGTTAGTCATTTGGTTTAGATCCTGCCAGACTCATGTGTAATTTCTTTAAAACATCAGAATCACACTATTACCCTCCAGTGGCTTCCACTCATTTAAAATCCAAAGTCCTTGGAACCACAGAATCAAAGTTTACTGGGGAAACTGAATATTCACACAGTCTCAAAATATCCCTCATAAATGATTTATTAGTTGCAAAGCAGCAAATGTACCTATGCAGGGGAAACCATTTTAAATGAGTGATCAAAAGTTTACACCACCACCAACGAGATATTAATAGAATGACATCTGGGGTCTCCTAAAGTATGCACTGAGGTCACAGTATTTATGTAACATTATTGCCAAAAATGCAAATGAATTTAATTGTGAGGGAATTTTTATACAAGCAGGAATTGAGGGAAAGCCTACAAAAAAACTTACCTGTACTATTAAAAAATATTAATGTTATGAAAGACAAAGGCTGAGGAATGGTTCTAGCTTAAAGGAAACAGGGAAACAAAAGACACATGACAATTAAATGCAATCCTGGATCAGAACGAAAGGAGAGAGGGGTCCTATGAAGGGCATTGTTGGGGCATTTAGTGAAATTTGAATGTATTAGACGGTAGTAGCTTGTCAACGTTCAATTTCCTGAGTTTGATAATCATACCATTATTATATAAGAGTATGCCCTTGTATTTAGGAGATTGATAAAAAGTATTTGGAGATTAAGGGTCATGATGTATGCAACTAACTCTCAAATATGTTTTAAAAAATGTTTGCTGAAAGAGATTGATGGAGAAATGAAGCAAACGTGGCAAAATGCTAACAACTGATCAGCTTCTAAAGAGTATATGGGAGTCCTTTGCTGTATTCTTACAATGTTTTCTCAAAATAAAGAGTTAAGAAAAAAGTCTATGTCCTTATAGAAGGCCCTCTGAGGTCCCAGCGCTCTTCTATTCCATCAAGTCCCCAGCATGCACTCTGTTCCATCCCTTATGGTCAGAGATTTCAGTTATTTACATTTTCCCTTTTCTTAAATTACACATACTGTACATACAACTGTGTACACATGTGAATATTTCTGTAGGACAAACACCCTTCAAAGAGGCTACATCTGTATTGTCCCCCACATGGCTAGCATATGACGCTAGCCATTACCCTGCATTGTTGGTGAACTGTGTATTAACAAACTTTTACTTCTGCCAGTGAGGGGTTGGGGGTGGGGGGATCATATCAACAATGGTGATCTCATTTGCATTTTCCTGATTACTCATGAGGTTGATGATCTTTTCATATGTTTGTCAGACCTTGAATTTTCTCTATTACCCTTCACCTATATTCAATCAAAGTCTATGCCATTAAAAAATTTGTGGTTGCTCTTTGTATATTAATTTATTAATTCTTTGTTTTTTACATTGCAAATATGTTTTCTCAGCCTTCCACTGGTTTTAAAATGTTATTTATAGTGTCTTTTATCAAATTAAGGTTTTAATATTTTATGTAATAAAATTTACCCAGTTTTTTCTTTATGACATCTTGACATCTGGCTATTGTGTCTTATTTCAAAATGTCTTCCCCATTTAATGCTTGTCAATATATCTAATAGTATATTCTTTGAAAAAAAGTTTATTTTTAACTTTTATGAATACACAATAATTGTACACATTAATGGGGTATATGTGACATTTTGATACAAGCATGCAATGTATAATGGTCAAATCAGTATAGCTGGGATATTCATCACCTCAAATATTTAACATTTCTTTGTATTGGAAACATACCAAATCTACTTCTCTAGTACACAATACATTATTGTTAACTATATTTGCTCTATTGTGCTACTAATTACTAGATCTTATCCCTTCTGTAATAACTGTAGTTTTGTACCCATTAACCAACCTGTTTTTATCCCCTTCCCCCAACACACTCTTCCCAGTCTCTGGTCTCTATCATTCTACTCTGCACCTACATTAGAGCAACATTTTTAGCTTCCACGTGAGTGAGAACACACAATAATTGTCTTTCTTGCCTTAATTCTTATTTGTCTTTCTAGCTTATTTTGCTTAAGAAATGTCCTCCAGCTCCACCTATGTTGTTACAAATAACAGGATTTTATTCTTTTTTATGGCTGAATAATATCCTGTTGTGTATATGTACCACTTTTTTTTTTTCTTTTTGAGACTGAGTCTCACTCCGTGTCCCAGGCTGGAGTGCAGTGATGTGATCTCGGCTCACCGCAACCTCCACCTCCCAGGTTCAAGCAATTCTCCTGCCTCAGCCTCCCACCACATTTTCTTTATCCATTCATCCACTAATGGACACTTAGGTTGAATCTGTATCTTGGCTATTGTGAATAGTGCTGCAATAAACATAGGAGTGCAGACATCTCTATGATATACTGATTTTCTTTCTTTTGGATATATACCCAGCCGCGAGATTGCTGGATCTTATGGTAGTTCTATTTTTAGTTGTTTTGAGGAACTTCCATACTGTTATTCCTAGTGGCTGTACTAATTTACACTCCCACTCACAGTGTATGAGGGTTCCTCTTTCTTCATATCCTCACTAGCATCCATTATTATTAGTCTTTTTGTTCTGTTTTTTTGTTTGTTTGTTTGTCTGTTTGTTTTTGCTCCTGCTTGAAGTCTCTCATGATCAAGGTAGACTATAATATACATGATGGATTCATCATATGTATTATATATTTTACCCTGTCATGGAATAATAATTACTCAAAATTCTTTAAAAATAAGCCACTGTTAAATAGATTGTACATTAAAATGAACATAGAGAAAGTATTCGATTTTTGTTCTTAGCAAAAGTGAGTAGGACATTAAGAATCACCTTCAATGCTTCTTTAACAAATTACCTATCATTAACTAGAAATGATCCATCAAGTCTATGATTTAAACTTTTGAGAAAGTTTAGATTTTTGAACAGAGGCATTTAAGATCCTTATGAATGTGGTTTCAATTTTCAAATGGAAAGTACAGATAAAATAAAATGTACATATGATTTTTTGAACAAAAGCTTGAAATTTGATTATTTCTGTGGACCATTTGCATTTTACGGTCAAATCAGCATCTTTAAGATCCACTTGCTAATTAAGAGTGAATATTAGAGAAACAGATGATGATAATTTAAAAAGAGATATACTTTATGCTAAAATATATATATTTTTATGTAAACATACTTTAAAATATTTTATATTTTTTCCTCCAAGAAAAAGAGTCAATTCAATCATGTTCAAGTATTTATTTTAAAAACATATTTTACCTATGTCAACTCTTCTGACCATTCTTAACAATATTTTGAAACAAAAGTGATCAAAATGATCAAACAAATAAAATAAACACATCTGTTGGCTTCTCTTGTTTTCCTAGCACAGACAGACAATGTGGGAAGGCTCTAGTCCAGTTTTCAAAACTAGTTTAGTTCTCCCTTGCTGCACTCAGGGTTTAAGAGTTGGAGATTACATTGAACCTCCCCAGATGAAGTTTTGACTTCATGAATATACCCATAGTGATCTTGTAACAAAAGCTAAGCAAAAGAACCATGTGGCCCCTCAACCCCCTCTCCTTGCCCCCTTTTTTCATGGTAATTACCATAGGAAAGGAAGCTTTGGAAAAACAGACGGAAGAGAGGAGCAGATGAAAGAGTAGATAAAACTCCAATGTCTGCTCGGCCATAAAGCCTGCCAGAAAAGAACTTGGAGAACAAGAGGAGAAAATTCCTTAGAGGAAAAGAAGTGTGTAAGGGAATGAGGATGAATGTAAGGAAAGGTACAGAGAAGATTTTTTAAAAAATTTAAATATAACACCGGGTGTGGTGGCTCACACCTGTAATCTCAACACTTTGGGAGGCTAAGGTGGGCATGGGCAGGTCACTTGAGGTCAGGAGTCTGAGACCAGCCTGGCCAACATGATGAAAACCCACCTCTATTAAAAATACAAAAATTAGCTGGGTGTGGTGGTACATATCCATAATCCCAGCTATCCAGGAGGCTGAGGCAGGAGAATTGCTTGAACCCGGGAGGCAGAGGTTGCGATGAGCTGAGATTGTGCCACTGCACTCCAGCCTGCCCGACAGAGCAAGACTCTGTCTCAAAAATAAATAAATAAATAAAAATAAAAAATAAAAATAAATTTAAATATATAGACCCAAGTCAAGCATTTCTTTCCATCACAGTAAAAGGGTACCTACTGAAACTTGAAAATACAGGATGATCCTGGAAAGTGATAAAGGTGGTCACATTTTTTTCATTAAGGATCCTAGAATTTAGTTGGCAAAATCACTGAAACTCACTTGACCTTTCTCTTCTCCATTTTTATCACTACTACTCTTTCTGCCACCTCATTTCAATACTATAAGCCATATCTACACAGATAATCAAAATAGTTCAGGAAACCAAGAAGCTTTCTTGGTTTTCTCTCCAAGTGAAATTTTTCCAAGTAAATTTTTCTCTCCAAGTGAAAGGATGTTCCGCAGGGGTTAGATTTTATAATCCAAAATGGAGGGGGAAATCCAGCAAGGTTGTCTTACTGAAATGTAGGCAGCATGAAAATTCATGGCATTCCGTCACTCTTAAACTTGAAATCATCCACCAAAGCTACAATAATTAGAAAAAATTATATTGACTTTTAAAAAATCCACTTTTGATTTTTTTCTGCCAATATCAATAATTCTCCTTGGAAATAAACTAACTGATTACTAAGCCGAAACCAAATAACTGATTATTAAGACAGAACCAAGCACAATGATTTATATGTCCAGAAAGAAATGCATTTTGTGTTGACAAATTGCAAAGGCGCAAATGTACATCAGATGACATCTGGACTGGCAGGTGAGAGTTAACATTTTTAACTTATTTTCTTTCCCTTTACCCACTCTTGTCTATTTTTCTTCTCTAGCTTCATTAAACTTCACCAGCTTCACAAGGTCTGGGAAGGTAGTGCATATGATGTTCTGAAAGCACACCATCCTATGTAAACAATTGTTTTTGGCAATTCAGAGACTTCAGGGCGGTATTGCGTCTTTGTTTTATCCACCAAAATCAAATGTTTAGGCCAAAGTTAGAAGGGCACGTGCATTTACTTTTATAACTTGGCATATTCAAACATTACAATGGTACGTTTAAAAAAAAGAATTTGGTCTTTTTTGCTCTTTCTTTCTTTCTTGGGCCTACACCTTGTCCTAGTTCCATTGTTTTCTCTTTGACAGTACATTTTCATATCTTGGTGTATCTCTTCAGCATCTGTTTCTCCTCAATCATAATTTTCATTCACGAATAATAACTCTTTGGTCTCTTTGGACATGTTTTGTTCTGACCTCACCTATGAACTTCACCAGGGTGCGCTGAAGGTTAACAGCTCTATTTCTGGAATTCTCTTGGATCCTTTTTGAGGAAAAATGCCAAAGAATATAAACAGGGCTCAAATGTATCTGGGCTCTGCCAAGTCCTTTGAGGACAGCTCCACAGAACTGTACCTTCTGCCAGCTCCCTTCGGTTCTCATTGTGCCCGGCTTCTCCACGATTCCACATAGGAACCTGCATCTTTTGCTCATGCAGGAAAGGAAACTTTGGATTAACAGAAGTGCCAGAATATTCATTTATCTAACAACACTCTACCTTGCCCATTAACAGGTAGAAAATTGCTTCTCACTTCACTGAGCTTTCTACCCTCTTCTCTTTTCCATCCCACAGGGTGCTGAATGTTTCCAGTGCTCATTTAAAAATGCTCCCATCAGAGTTACCCAAAGAGCTTTTCCCACAATTGTTGAGACTGTAGAAAGGTTAGGTGAATGGCATAAGCACTGCTAGAAGTAGTTGGTTGGAGGGACCTTCTGGCAGTGCCTTGCCTAAGGGGCACTGGGTCACAGGGTCACTCCATGAACATGCCATCTTTCCTATAACATATGTCAGGCTATTTGCTTCAGCTGTGACTCCTTCTGTTGCAGTAGGCAGTAAATCCAATCCAAAGAGGCTTAAGCAAAAAGAGACTTCATCGGCTCGTATAACTGAAAAGCTCAGAGGTGGGGCTGACTTCCTGTGCTGCTAAATGTGGACCTCAAATGCTGCTATACAGCCACGGTTTCTCTCTATACATCTGTTGGCTTTTGTTTCATGAACGTCTTCTCTCCATGAGTGCTGGCTCATTCATAGGCGGGCTGTCCCCATCAAACTCACAAGATGGCTGCAGAGGCTCCAGAACTTGTATCTTCTCAGCTTTACTTGCACAGGGGTCACTGAAGTCAGATATTTGACAGTAGAAAGATCAGCCTCATGAAACTGGACTTGCTGTGTATTGATAAAGAGAAGCAGCCCTGGAAATCTGATATATTCTTTACCTGGAAACCCCTGCAAAATCCTCATTGTTCTCTGTTGCCATTGCTGATGCTTGGTAACAAAACCTTGCTTCATATCAAGTAGTTTTCATCCTCCCTCCACCAATTGCTTTGAGAGAGGCTAGGCTCAGCCCCAACTCCTACACTGAATTCTAGTTCACCTTAGACTCTCATGGTAGCCTCTTTCCTCTTGACTGTGATTAATTAGGCAAGAACATGTGACACAATTCTGGTCAAGGAGATGTGAGAGGAAGCCAGCTGAAGGCTTTTGAGAAGTGTTTCCTTGCTCTTGAGAAGGAATACACAGGAAAAGATGGCCTTTTCTTCTAGTTATTGTTGTCTAGACATGATGCCAGCAGCTGCTAGTAGCCATAGGAGAACTAGCCCAAAAATTAAGGACAAAGCTGATGTGCTGGGAATGGCATGGCAGAAAGAAGGAAGGAACAAAGGGCTTTGATGACACTGAGGAGCTGCTATATTAACCAACTCTGGAGCCACTCTGCCTTTGGACTTCTTGTGATGTGAGACAATAAATTATTCTTATTGATTAAACTATGTTATGTTGAGTTTTCTGGTTTAAAGGGAATTTGATCTTTTGCTGTTTCATCTCTTGGCCTACACTTCTTTTTTGGCCTGTACTCTTTGCATCTGTTGTTTTCTCTTTTACAGTGCATTCAGCTGAAAGCATCCTAAAAGATACTGTCTCATTGGCTCTAGCTGGGTCATGTGCCCATTCCTGACCATGCATGCACTGTGGGGATGTGATGTGTGATGGGACTTAGGCTAGATGATCCAGTACTCTTCTGCAGTGAGATGGGCTCATCCCATCTGACTTCACGGGCAGAGTGTGGAGGAAAAGGCATATCTACTGAGAAATGAGGGTATGATTTCTATAAAATAGTGAAATATATGTTGTGAAACAAACATATCAGATATCTAATACTTTGTCCTTTTGAATGTGCCCTTTATTACAGAATGGCCTCAAATCGTGAGTACAGTGGGTAAGAAGTAGGCTATCTGTTACTTCGTCTGGTAGCCCAGCAAACGTAACTACGGAGGTGTTTTAGACCAAAGGTAGATCTGCTATGCTATTGACTCATCTAAATAGACTATGAAAATTTTTCCTGAGTTAGGCTCTCATATCTCTAGCTTTGGAACACAAGCCATTTTGAGATCATAGCAAAACACAGTGCGACCCACAGCCAAAACAGACAAAACACTCAGTTGCCAGATGATCCAGGGCTTCCTAAGAATACTAGAAAAAGCAGGCAGCAATTTAAGCAGCATGTGCCATCCCTCAGGCCCCAAGGTTTTCTGGCACCCTTCTGTCATGCCCCCTGAGGTTCAGTTGGTCTCATGGCTCTGACTCAGTGTGGTATGTAGAAGAGTGGGGCCTCAGGTCAGCCTGTGTCTAGTGATTTCAATTCTGCTCTTGGCTGCAATTCCAACTGTCAAGAAAGTTTTGCAGTCAGCCATTTGATAGTGGAAGGGTTAGCCCATGAAACTGAATTTCCTGTGTATCTGGAAAGAGAGGCAGCCCTAGAGATCTGACATGCTCTGTGAAAATTAGGGGTTCATTTTTGCTATTGCTGGTTAGTCTCTGCTGAACCTAATATATTTCAACATTTGAAGACTTTTTTTAAAAAGAAAATTTTTTTCTTTCTATTTTTTATTATGAACTTAAGTAACTTCATGGCAAAAAAATCTAATCAACATTAAACTATTTACTTCCCTCCAAAGTAATTTCCTCTCTGTCAATGCACAGACGTGCATTTTTACTTAGTTATAATTAGTGTGAACATACTCGTTTTTGTTTAAGAAAGGTTTTCTTTACCTTGGCATTCAGATTCGTTTTCATAGGCGAAGAAAGCACTGGGAAGGAGAAGGAACCTTTGCTGGCAAGTTGGGAGGATTATATGGGGTCATACTATCCCAGGGTTAAGGAAACCTTAAAGGACCCAACATCCCTCTCCATATCTCTTCTGATGATCCTTTTGTGCTCACAGACTAACCAGTGTGGCCTTTTCACTCAAAAGCCTCTCCAGATCTGCACAGCACCAAGGGTGCAGTCTGGCTCCCAAAGGAGTAATGCAATTCCATCCTCAGGTCTGCCAGGGCCCACCTGTCTGTCGTGGGCATGCACCATTGCCCTGGCTTTACTGGGCTGTTGGGTTGTCTAGTGGTTTTCCTTGCAGAAAGCAAGCAGGAACAATGCTGCTCCGGACTGGTTTTCCATACCACTCCTCTCAAATATCTTCTATTTTCTTAAGTGTGATCACACACCCATGGTTTCCAATCTATCAAAGCATAACATTGCTAGTCGCTTTTTTCTAAGTTAAGGAAGTAGCCATGTTGGGTTTAATTAAAAACAGCAACTATTTGTACAGCTGTCCCTAAGTTCATGGCTCATAAAAGGATTAACTTCAACCTTGCTGCCTAAGTCTTTTGGGAGTGTCACAAAAAAACATTTAGGCTTTTCTGGGCAGTGCCAGGCCTGGGCCTTGAGGCTTGCTGATGCTAGTTCAGCCACCAGGCTCTCGGTGCTCAAGTGGCACCCAGCAAAGCAGAGAAGAGCAGAACTTCCAGATACACAACTCCTCCTTCTTTTGTTTGGGGGATGCAAGGCCTTGAAGGCTGCTTCAACAAGTTTCTGAAAATTCCCCTCGGGTTGGGAAAGGCACAGTCTTCCTTTTGCAAGTTTTTCTAGAGCCCTTCGTACTTTTGCCCTAGAGTGGGTCTTTTGCACCCCCACCTCCCAGACCTCAGTGGTCATTGGCAGGCATCCTTCGAAGGAGGTGGGGGCGGGGTATCCCCGCCGATGGATGCGCCCGCACAAAGCAGCACGTTTTCTCATCAAAGCCCTGGAGAGAGGGAAGAAGCAACGCTCAGCATTTCGCTGATTTTCAAGTGCACACCGAGCAGCGCTTCAGGCAGCTTTGGGTCAGAACACGCCTGATTCGGACTTCAGGCGAAGGCAGAGGCCAGCACGGGTCACCGATTCAGAGCCGGGGGCGGGGCCGACCACACACGCTGTGAGACCCAGAGGCCGAGGAGCCGCGGGTTAGAAAATGTGACCTTGGCGACCCCAACGCCCCCGCCTCCCTCGCTGCTGCTCCACCTGCACGCGGAGCGCGCCGGGCCGCCAGCGGAGGCGATGGCCAGCCCTGCGCCCTTAGTGGCCTCCATCAGCCACCAAATGGTGGCTCTGCAGACCTTGCAGCTGCTGCAGCAGGAGTGGGGCTGGGGGGACGGTCCAGTCGCCCCCGGGAACCCGCGGGACCCAGACCACGTGTCCACCGCTCCAGCCCGTCGCTCAGGCCCGCCGCGGGCCCGGCCGGGGCCCGGGCGCGAGGAGCGGGGCGGGGGCGTGGGGACCAGGAGTCGGCGGACCGCGGCGCGGGCGAACTCCCCAGAGGAGGAGGTAGTGCGAGGCGCTGAGGGGGGCGCCGAGTTGCTGCCCTTCCCCCGGGACCGCGGGCCCTGCACCCTGGCCCAGATGGCGATGCGCAGCGCGCTGGCCCGCGTGGTGGACTCGACTTCGGAGCTGGTCAGCGTGGAGCAGACGCTGCTGGGGCCCCTCCAGCAGGAGCGGTCCTTTCCCATTCACCTGAAGGTGAGTCTGGCCCCCGCCATCCCCTCTGGCGTGCAGGGTAACCTCCCATCCTCCAAGGGTGGGGCTGCTGGGATGGCGATGGGTGGATCGCAGGATCCCAAACACTGCTGCCCACTGTGATTCAGCCCCAGTGGGAGAAGGAAGGGGGCGGGGGACACTCTGGGGACTCAGCAGGAGGGGCAGGGAGCCCCAGACCCACCTGAGGCCCGCCTGGCTGGCACAACCGAGATGTGGGGACTGCCTTGCCAAAACCTCCCCCTGGAACTCCTTCCTCTCTCACATAAATCAGCTTCCTGCGCTAGAAAGGCCCTTTCCACACGTGCAGCTTGTAGGGATAGAGGACAGCTCCCCCCACCCACTTTCCAAATTAATAACGCTTCCTCCAGAGCCTTAAATACACTTACTAAGTCCCTTCTGCCTTTTGTATGATGAAATCATCTACATTTATTTAAAGTTCCTTCACATTCATGAATCACTATTATTTTTTGCATAAATCCAATTCCCCACAGAGCTAAGGGGTCTTACAGAGTCAACCTACATTCTCATAAAGTGGGGTGAGAGCTGGGTGGGTCCCGGGTGTTAAAGCGTGAATACTAAATGCTAAACTCTTGCTAAGTCACCCAGCTCATATAGGTAGGGCACATTTCCTCTTAAGGTACCAAACTGTGTTAGCCAATTTAGCCCGGGAAGGGAGCAGCTGTCTCCCAGGCTGAGTGAGATTGCGGAAATCTGGGGGTCTGGGTTTCAGTCCTGGACTTGCCATTAACTAACCTAATTGGTTTAAGGTCACGAATCTCTCTGAGACATTCTGGCTTTCAGATTTTGACCAGGAGCATTGCTGTATTTTATTTCCCTGGGGCATCTAGCAGAAGGAGTTGGGGAGGGGTGATGAGGAGAGCTTAGAATATGTCTCAAGAGTTGCTATTCTGTACAAGCCAAGGTTTGGAAAAAGTTGCTATACATTAAGTTGCACTATACACTGTAAAAGATTTATTTAAAATCAAACATAATAAAGCCTATTATATACCCAAATAGGTATTGTTTCTCTACGTAGGGGTTTCTCAATCTCTGTACTATTCACATTTTGACCTGGCTAATTCTTTGTTGTCGGGGGTTGTCCTGTGTATTAGAGGATGTTTAGCAGCATCTCTCGCCTCTACCTGTTAGATGCCAGCAGCATATTCCTCGCCGCAAGTTGATACAGCCAAAAATGTCTCCAGACACTGCCAAAGGTGGCGGGGGCGGTGGGGTGGGAGGCAAGATGAGAAGCACTCCTACACTCACTTTAGAAAGTTAGAAAATGAAGCTGCATTTCACCAAATGCTCTCCAATGTAAGATGTACTTTTTTTTGGTATCACCAAAATTTTTTTTAATCCTGTCATTGAACTATGATACACCATTGATTATAAGTTACATGCTAATTTAAGGGATTTTTTTTTTTTTTTTTTTGAGACAAGGTCTGCCTGTGTTGCCAAGGCTGCAGTGTGGTAGCCATTCACAGGTGCGATCATAACACTACAGCCTCGAGCCCTGGGCTCAAGTGATCCTCCTGCCTCAGCCTCCTCAGTAGCTGCAACTACAAACCTGTACCACCACATCTGGCTGATTTCAGGGATTTTTAAAAAATGTGAATAAAAGTGCATTTTAAAATAGATGAAATATGAAGTGACTTGTGATGTCAGTAGCACATACAGGGCATAGGTAAGGCTGGCAAAAAGAGAGACTGACAATCAGTTTTACCTAAGGTGACCCTGGAAGGCTTCTCAGAGGAGGCAGCCTTTAAAAAAAAAATACATGTTATTTTCCAGACATTAAAGGGAAAAATATTTCAGGAGAATACTTTGGTTAAGGCCCAGCAGCACTGAAAGGGACTGAGGCTCTAGAGGAACTACAGTTAAGTTCAATATGGCAGAAGGCAAAAACTGATGCTGGAGACACAAATGGGGGCCAGTTAGGGAAAGGCCTGTGTGTCATGCTGAGGACCTTGGATTGTCTTGCAAGCAGAGGGTAGGTAAATCACAGAAGCCTGGATAAATCACAGAAGGGTAGGTTTCAGTTTGAAAGTCAGGTCAGAAGACAGCTGTCTAAGGGCTTGACCCAACTCAGTGGCAATGGACTAAACCCCGTGTCCTCTGCTCTGGAAGCAGTCCACTATAAACTATGCCATTTTAGCTTAATGCCACAGTCACTTCTACTTGGAAATCCTTTTAGCCCTTTCTAATTGACTTTTGATTCTAAACATTTTCCATCCTCCTCAAGCCTTCTTCATCCAAACCTCAACCCGCTCACACCTTTTCTGAGAAAATAGAGGCCAGTGGACAGAAATATCTTTCTACCTAAAAAATTGCATTTCTACTCATCTTCATTTTTGTTTCTAAAATTCAAGTGCTGCCCCCCCATCCCCATGTATATTCATGTTAATTCCACTGGAGCAAATCTTTCACTTGCTCCTGGACCTGTTTCTATCAATTTTCTCTCTCCTTACATTTTCTACCGCCCCCTCTTTGCTGACCCTCTTGGTCCATAACACTCTTTACTTACCCAGCCCTTGAGTCCCCATCCTTCCCTTCCTTGTCATGAGCAAACTTTGAAAACATTTAGATGTACTGCTTCCACTTTCTAGAAGTATACAACTACTGGAGTCTGCTGTTCACCCGCAGGGGGATAATGAGTTTTAGGGCCCCTGGGAACAGCGAGGGCTTTCGAGAGAAGCAGAGAGCAGTTTCTCTGCATGATTTGTTCCCTTGGGAGCACCTAGGAATTTTGCTTGGTTTGCTGTTTGCAGAATAGGTAATATCTCCACTTGGTTTGTAGAGTAATGATTACACAGCACTTAGACTTGAGGAGATGGCATTCTGTCTTTCCAGGGGGCTGGTTATGCAGACTTAGCTTCCTTAATACTAGTGTTAATTCAAATGACTTGGAAGGGTGTTTTGTATATTTTTAAATTGGGAACATACAGATTTTATACAATAGAATGGTTTCAGAAATCCTTGCAGGAGGATTTCCGGGAATGGAAATAACTATTTTGTATCACCTAGAAGTACGTGGGAACCTCCCCAACATCAGATCTCTTTGGTGGTGTTACTTACCACGGAAGGTAGGAGGAAGACTCACTTGAACTAAAGCCCATGGCGCAGATGACAGGCATTAGAGATCCTGCAGTGGAGAGAGCATAGCACAGCAGTCAAGTCCCATGGAGCATTTCAAACCTACTCTTCCACTTCCTGTCATTGGCCCTTGGGTAAGTTATTTAGCCTTTCTGTCCCTCAGTTTCCTCCCTGTATAGTGAGGACAATGGTATCTAACCTAAAGGGTTACTGAGATAATGCATTTAGTCAGTGGCTTCCCAAAGTTAATCTCCATCTATTTGAGCTATTATGATTATCATTATTATTACTGTTAACAGGTTGATGCCTCATGAATTCTTATTGACTGTTATTTTTGTGAATTCTATTCTTGATATTAATGAATATGATCCATGAACTCTGTGTCTGCTTTTCTGGAACTATTGACAAAAACAGACTTAGGATGACCCAAAGAGATTTCCAGGAAGCCTACACTATCTAGAGGTCAGCTTTAGCCTCATGCCTAGTGACAGGCTTAGAGGTGTCACCAGTGAGTGACTCACTGATCAATCCACCAGAAGGTTAAGGCAGTGAAATCTGCAGGCATGGAGGCAGAAAAATTCTCACCACAATGATAACAGACATTTAAAAATAGGATTTTACTCTTTAATTAAAGAAACCAACACAATACTCCTTTTGAACACTTAGAAATGATCATACACATGCAAACACCTATTGCAGTGAGTTTCTTCATGGTGGATGAAAAATGCTTAACAGTACTAAATCTTATTAAATTTGCTGCAGAGACTAGGTTTAACCAGCTTAACAAACATTTATAATAGGAGGAAACTGAGGCTTGGAGGAATTGAGGACTTTGCTCAAGACCCTGCAGCTAAGAAGTGATGGGTTTTATCTAACTTATTCTCCTACATTACAGTGCTTGCCCTTAGGGGCGTTATGAACATCATGCTGAAATTGTGTATGTGAGAGATCTTAGGGGCCGTAGTTGTACATGCTGTGCACTGTGTACACTGCTTGGACTACAACAGTCACATCGTAGCCTGGCAGCTCTGCTTGCCATAGCAAAATACCAAAGACGGGGTGACTTAAATAACAGACATTTATATTCTCCCTGTTCTGGAGGTTGGAAGTCCAAAATCATGGTGCCAACAAATTCCATTTCTAGTAAGAGCTTCCTTCCTGGCTTGCAGACAGCTGCCTTCTCGCTGCGTCCTCACATGGCCCGTCCGCAGTGCGTGCAAGCAGAGAGAGAAAGCTTTGCATGTCTTTGGTGTCTCTTCTTATAACAACACCAGTCCTATCAGATTCAAGCCACCTTGTAACTTCAATTTATCTTAATTACCTCGCTAAGACCATATCTCCAAATACAGTCACATTGGGGGTTGAACATATGAATGAGGGGACCACACAATTTAGTCCATAACACTGGATGATCTCTGTACCTCCTTCCATCATGGCCACCTGATATAGTGACAGAAAGCACTAGGTAAACTCAGGACATCACTATCAAACTAGTAATACTAGCAGGAATGCATTCAACATTTGCCACCCAAAGGGAGCATAGAAGTGTGCAGGACACCAGGAGGAAGCTAGTCTAGGATTTTTTAAACTGCTGAAAATGACTAATTCACATATGGACCGTTAGCCAAGCCAATTACGAAGTTACTCTGATTGAGTTTTGTCTATCTTCATTTGAGAATTAAAAACATTTATAGTTTCCAAGAGTTCTGTTCTAAAGCAAGTTTCATGGAAATTGTGGCGGAAGCTAACTTTCAGAGGCAGAAGAACGTTTTTGCCCTTGCAGATGAAACCTGCCTGTGAGCTCACCCGTTTCAATGAGCGCATTCTGGTACCAATTATTCCCTCATGTTTGATAGTCCTTGCTGGTTTTCTCATTCTGTGGTGCAAGAGCAGCAGTCATAAAACTGCTGGCTTTGGCTTCGCAGTCATTGCAAACTGCAAGTATGAATATTGACTTGTTCAGAGGAAGACATTGATGATGAGTGCTTTTTTCCCCATTGGTAAAAAAAAATAATAAGCAAATCTTTCACTTGCCCCTGGACCTGTTTCTATCAATTTTCTCTCTCCTTATATTTTCTACTGCCCCCTTTCCGCTGACCCTTTTGGTCCATAAACATGCTCAAAGCTTTCTCTCAGTACCCAGCCCCATGAGTTCGCATCCTTCCCTTCCTTGTCATTAGCAAACTTTGAAAACATTTGAATGTGTCCCTGCCATTTTCCAGAAGTATCTATATTTGTTAATATCAAGAACGGAATTCACAAAAATAACAGTCAGTACGAATTCATGAGG
The DNA here is from genome assembly GCF_000001405.40 of Homo sapiens. NCBI lineage: Eukaryota > Metazoa > Chordata > Mammalia > Primates > Hominidae > Homo > Homo sapiens. The sequence goes on along the minus strand of NC_000013.11, from coordinate 50,837,786 downwards.
CATCAGCCTTTTAACGGTAATAATAATAATCAAATCTTTTTCCTATTGGCGAAAAAAGCACTCATCATCAATGTCTTCCTCTGAACAAGTGAAGCCAGCTTCTGCAAATTTGAGATTTGTGTCTTCAAAGATTACTAACATACTATTGAAGACATAAATGCTCACGGTTATATAATCAGTAGCCATAGCCAAGGTGGTGCTCATTATCTGTGACAAAATCATGCTTTTATATTAGAAAAAAGGTGCAGTGATGAGTCACAGAATTTCGGTTATTCTCTCCCCGTAAGCCACGGATACGGTGACTGCTCTAGAAGTAGCTTATGTATAGCTTTGCAATTTCTTATAATATGAATGATATGAAAATCAGGACATAAAAGCTTTCTGAAATGAACATTTAGGGAAAGATACTTCAGGAAAGGCCTAAAACAAAACTACTTATGTTTGACATCTTGGTGAAAATGTTACCGTGTTTTATTTTACAATTTTTGGGTTTGCCTGGTGAGCATCCCTGAATCAAGTGCTTATACCCATCACAAAAGTGCTTTTCACTGGATTTTCAGCTGGAAATGGTGTGGTACCCAAAGCAAATGCATCAGGAGCCTTAGTTATTTGTGCGCATTTCCAGTAGGTACACCACAAGTAAAAATGTTTAATTTCCTGTGGATGATAGACTTTTGAATGGTGACTGGCTAATACTTTGGTTCTTCATTGGGTGTTTTATTAATACACAGTTACACATCTATTGAGACTGACCTTGGGTTCAGGTGATGGATGACTGCTCTGGGCCCTGTGATTTGTGGTTCAAAGCCAGATGTTGATGAACCAAATGAAGTTGGGGCAAATCGTAATTCATGATAGTATGTTTTCCACAACATCCTATTAAAACAGAAAACATCACTCCCCTTTTATGTAGACATCCAGTGTAGAGGGTGCTAATGGGTCTGGAGAAGGGATTTGTGTTCTTTTGTTGGGCCCAGCACTGGACTGCTTTAATGGAGAGCAACTTGCTGGCCAGGCAGAAGTTTATTAAGGACAGCCCTCAACACAGACTTCTTCCTTCCTTGCCTCCTTCCTTTCTCTCTTTCTTTTTTTCTTTCCTTTTTTTTTTCTTTTGAGATGGAGTCTTGCTCTGTCGCCCAGGCTGGAGTGCAGTGGCATGATCTCGGCTCACTGCAAGCTCTGCCTCCTGGGTTCACACCACTCTCCTGCCTCAGCCTCCCGAGTAGCTGGGACTACAGGCGCCTGCCACCACGCCTGGCTAACTTTTTGTATTTATAGTAGAGACAGGGTTTCACCATATTAGCCAGGATGGTCTCGATCTCCTGACCTCGTGATCCACCTGCCTCAGCCTCCCAAAGTGCTGGGATTACAGGGATGAGCCACCATGCCCGGCCTCTTTTTTTCTTTCCTTTTTCTCTCTTTCTTCTTCTCCTCCTCTCCTTCTCTTTCTTCTCTTCTGTTCTCTTTCTCACTGCCCTCCCACCCCCATATCTCCATCTCTTTCCTTCGTGCTCTCTGTAGAGGACATGAAGGCTTCAGGGAGAGCTAGAGGGGGAAATGTGAGAAGAAACAAGCTTGTGGAGGCCAGTGTAAGAGAATAAAGCTCAAGGTATCTCAAGAGGTGACTGTTTTCAAAAGAGCCAACTTGTTGTAGAGCTGGTGGTTAAGTGAGTATGAGCTGATTTACAATTTACGTAGATTTAGGAGTGATTTTGAAGGTGACATGGTAGGAGAAAAAAGCACAATCCTTGTGGATTGTTTAAATGTTATCTGCATTTTAGAGTCTATTAAGTCATATTGGGTTTTTGACTTTATTATCCACTGGTGTTGGTTTCAGAAAACAGGCTTTCAAATGGACTCACACTGCTAGATTCTTCTTGTCTTCAAGACTCCAGTTATGATGAGAGTGTTTATTTTCAGTACCAAGCTTTAAAAACAGGCTTAACTTGTCTTCCGTTTTAAGATTTTGCAGGTGCATTTTCAGTTGTTCAAGAATTCCAGATGTGTGCATTCCTAATAAATGCACAATGCAGAATGCAGAAAAGTACACAGTGTGGCGGTTTTTCCGAGAGACATCCCTCACAGTGGGTAGGAGAGAACAGAGCTGAGGAAAGGAAACCTCCAGCTGGGCGGTTTCTGATTAGCTCAGGGTTGGTTTTACATGGGGTGTAGAAGGTTCGATGCCTTGAATATCTTTCAAATAGCCAAGCTCTCTCAATTACGCTGCAGGGAGGAGGGATGGGCCAACAGGCCAGTCTTCCATTTGGATGTGATCCTTGCCAATTTTTGAGCTTCGTACCACTCATAACACTCAGTCAACCTTAAGAAAAATAGTGTGAAGATGGCCAAAAAAGAAACATGAAACGATTCACTTGTAGGCATTTTGTTCCATCCCCAAAACTGGTTTAGTGCTTCTCCCACTTGCTTCCAAGAAGCCCCTGTCACCCCACCGGAGCAGCTACAGCTCTATAATTCCTGCCAGTCTTGTCTCCCACACTACATGGCTGAGCTTGGCTCTGTGAGCCATTACTGCACCTGGCATCATTTGGGATCTGGGCCGAGTCTGATGAGTGAGTTCTGAAATAGAGGAGTTAATTTTTTTTATTATACTTTAAGTTCTGTGCAGAATGTGCAGGTTTGTTACATAGGTATACACGTGCCATGGTGGTTTGCTGCATCCATCAACCCATCATCTACATTAGGTATTTCTCCTAATGCTATCCCTCCCCTAGCCCCCCACCCCCCTACAGGCCCCGGTATGTGATATGCCCCTCCCTGTGTACATGTGGTCTCATTGTTCAACTCCCACTTATGAGTGAGAACATGCAGTGTTTGGTTTTCTGTTCCTGTGTTAGTTTGCTAACAATGATGGCTTCATGGCTTCATCCATGTCCCTGCAAAGGACATGAACTCATCCTTTTTTATGGCTGCATAGTATTCCATGGTGCATATGTGCCACATTTTCTTTATCCAGTCTATCATTGATGGGCATTTGGGTTGGTTCCAAGTCTTTGCTATTGTGAATAGTGCTGCAATAAACATACATGTGCATGTGTGTTTATAGTAGAATGACCTATAATCCTTTGGGTGTATAACCAGTAATGGGATTGCTGGGTCTAATGGTATTTCTGGTTCTAGATCCTTGAGGAATCACCACACTGTCTTCCACAATGGTTGAACTAATTTACACTCCCACCAACAGTGTAAAAGCATTCCTATTTCTCCACATACTCTCCCGCATATGTTGTTTCCTGACTTTTTAATGATCTCCGTTCTACCTGGCATGAGATGGTATTTCATTATGGTTTTGATTTGCGTTTCTCTAATGACCAGTGATGATGAGTTTTTTTTTTTTGCATATGTTTGTTTGCCACACAAATGTCTTCTTTTGAGAAGTGTCTGTTCATATCCTTTTCCCACTTTTTGATGGGGTTGTTTTTTTCTTGTAAATTTGTTTAAGTTCCTTGTAGATTGTGGATATTAGCCCTTTGTTGGATGGATAGATTGCAAAAATTTTCTCCCATTTGTAGGTTGCCTGTTCACTCTGATGATAGTTTCTTTTGCTGTGCAGAAGCTCTTTAGTTTAATTAGATCCTATTTATCAATTTTGGCTTTTGTTGCCATTTTTTTTGTGTGTTTTAGTCATGAAGTCTTTGCCCATGCCTATGTCCTGAATGGTATTGTCTAGGTTTTCTTCTAGGGTTTTTATGGTTTTAGGTCTTACATTTAAGTCTTTAATCCATCTTGAGGTAATTTTTGTATAAGCTGTAAGGAAGGGGTCCAGTTTCAGTTTTTGGCATATGGCTAGTCAGTTTTCCCAACACTATTTTTTAAATAGGGAATCCTTTCCCCATTGTTTGTTTTTGTCAGGTTTGTCAAAGATCAGATGGTTGTAGATGTGTGGCATTATTTCTGAGGCCTCTGTTCTGTTCCATTTGTCTATATATCTGTTTTGGTACCAGTACCATGCTGTTTTGATTACTGTAGCCTTGTAGTATAGTTTGAAGTCAGGTAGTGTGATGCCTCCAGCTTTGTTCTTTTGGCTTAGGATTGTCTTGGCTATGCAGGCTCTTTTCGGTTCCATATGAAATTTAAAGTAGATTTTTCTAATTCTGTGAAGAAAGTCAATGGTAGCTTGATGGGAATAGCATTGAATCTATAAATTACCTTGGGCAGTATGACCATTTTCACAATATTCATTCTTCCTATCCATGAGCATGGAATGTTTTTCCATTTCTTTATGTCCTCTCTTATTTCCTTGAGCAGTGGTTTGTAGTTCTCATTGAAGAGGTCCTTCACATCCCTTGTAATTTGTATTCCTTGGTATTTTATTCTCTTTGTTGCAATTGTGAATGGGAGTTCACTCATGATTTGGCTCTCTGTTATTGGTGTATAAGAATGCTTGTGATTTTTGCACATTGATTTTGTATCCTGAGACTTTGCTGAAGTTGCTTATCAGCTTAAGGAGATTTTGGGCTGAGATGATGGGGTTTTCTAAATATACAATCATGTCATCTGCAAACAGAGGCAATTTGACTTCCTCTCTTCCTGTTTGAATACGCTTTATTTCTTTCTCTTGCGTGATTGCCCTGGCCAGAACTTCCAATACTATGTTGAATAGGAGTGGTGAGAGAGGGTGTCCTTGTCTTGTGCTGGTTTTCAAAGGGAATGCTTCCAGCTTTTGCCCATTCAGCATGATATTGGCTGTGGGTTTGTCATAAATAGCTCTTATAATTTTGAGATATGTTTTATCAATACCTAGTTTCTTAAGAGTTTTTAGCATGAAGGGCTGTTGAATTTTATCGAAGGACTTTTGTGCATCTGTTGAGATAATCATGTGGTTTTTGCCATTGGTTCTGTTTGTGTATGGATTACATTTATTGATTTGCATATGTTGAACACTCCTTAGCAAAGGCAAAAGAACGGAAATCATACAAACAGTCTCTCAGACCACAGTGCAATCAAATTACAACTCAGGATTAAGAAACTCACTCAGAACCGCACAACTACATGGAAACTGAACAACTGGCTCCTGAATGACTGCTGGGTAAATAACGAAATTAAGGCAGAAATAAATAAGTTCTTTGAAACCAATGAGAACAAAGATACAATGTACCAGAATCTCTGGGACGCAGCTAAAGTAGTGTTTAGAGGGAAATTTATAGCACTAAATGCCCATAGGAGAAGGTGGGAAAGATCTAATATCGACACCCTAATATCACAATTAAAAGAACTAGAGAAGCAAGAGCAAACAACTTCAAAAGCTAGCAGAAGATAGTAAATAACTACAATTAGAGCAGAACTGAAGGAGATAGAGACATGAAAAACCTTTCAAAAAATCAATGAATCCAGGAGCTGGTTTTTTGAAAAGATTAACAAAATAGACTGCTAGCCAGATTAATAAAGGAGAAAAGAGAGAAGAATCAAATAGACACAATAAAAATGATAAAGGGGCTATCACCACTGATCCCAAAGAAATACAAACTACCATCAGAGAATACTATAAACACCTCTGTGCAAATAAGCTAGAAATTCTAGAAGAAAATTGATAAATTCCTAGACACATATACCCTCCCAAGACCAAACCATGAAGAAGTCGAATCCCTGAATAGATCAATATTAAGTTCTGAAATTGAGGCAGTAATTAATAACCTACCAACTAAAAAAAGCCCAGGACCAGATGGATTCACAGTTGAATTCCACCAGAGGTACAAAGAGGAGCTGATACCATTCCTTCTGTAACTATTCCAAATCGTAGAAAAAGAGAGACTCCTCCTAACTCATTTTATGAGGCCAGCATCATCCTGATACCAAAACCTGGCAGAGACAAAAGAAAAAAAGAAAATTTCAGGCCAATATCCCTGATGAACATCAATGCGAAAATCCTCAGTAAAATACTGGCAAACTGAATCCAGTAGCACATCAAAAAGTTTACCCACCACGATCAATTCTGCTTCAACCCTGGCAGAAGTTAATTTTAACTCTGTCACTAACTTGCTGTGTTACTTAGCTACATCACGTACTCTCCCCAAGCCACATTTCTTTTCATCTATCATGGATTGTGGTGAGCACTGAGTGAGACAAAGTATAGAATGAGTCAAGCTTGCAGTCTGGTGCTGAGTAGGTGCTCAGGCGTGTGGGCCAGACCAGTGTTCTTCAAAAGCTGGTTTGCATGTTATCCAATGATTGGAAGTGTTCAGGGACTTTACTCTGACATTCAAGGCCTTCCACACAATCATGTCCTCATATTCAACACAAAATTCTATTCTTTTCAGACTAATGTTCTCCTTCTCCCTGACCCAGCCCCTTCTGACTCCACACTTTGGCTTCTGTTATTTATTTTGGTTACAGGGGCCTATAAGCCAAATAATGCGTTCCTCCATACCACCTATCTATCTTGTAGTATCTAATGTAGTCCTTCCCACCTACCACTTCTCTGATACTTCATGCAAGCCTCCATTCCCCTCTTCTGCAAAAAGCTTACTGATGGCCTCCACTTTTGTTGTTGAACCTTAATCTTATTTTTGTGACATTCCTACTGAACAATTGCAAATAGATTTCATCTCACCAATTAGATTCTAAGTTTCTACAAGGCAGATTTTTTTCTTTTCTCTTTTCTTTTCTTTTCCCTTCCCCTTTCTTTTTCCCTCTCCCCTCCCCTCCCCTCCCCTCTCCTCCTCCTTACTGATCTCCCAACATCTAACAGAGTCCACTATAAGTTTAGTTATTAATGTAAAGGACCACTTAAAAAATACAAAGAGCTTCCATATCCATGAGCTAATTTGACTTTTGAAACCCCTCAATGTGGTAGCTATTATTGTTTCCATTTTGCAGATGAGAAAACTGAGTGTTCCATAGGCATAATAGCCATAATAGCTTGGCCAAAGGGGTAGAACCAGCATTCAGATGGCAAGTCCAGTGCTCTTGAAGGAATGAACTGTGTCTCCATCCCCTGGGTCTTTGTAATGACTTGGAGAGCTTCCCATTCTAAGTAACATCTGCAAAGTCCCTGTGCCATGTGGGGTAACATACAGGTACTGAAAGGCTATTATTCTGCCTACCTCAGGGCAGATATGTGCTAAAAATTAATAAGCCATATTGTAAAAACTAGAGCTATTTCTTTGATTGGATTGCCTCCTAAGCACACGAATTTCTCTAGTGTGTCCAAATGAATTTTGAACAATAAAAACCCAGCACTCTGTAGGAAGGAGTCACATGACAGAATGAGCTTTGCATGAACCCTGTGCTGTGCTTAAATTATGATTGTATACATGTCTATTCTTCCATAGAATTGGGGTTTTGTGTTTTTACCATAGCCCTCATCATACTGCAACGGACATTTGCTATATGATCTATGTGTCTCATTTCCCTCTAGTAGGTTATAAGCTCTTTATAGATCAAGTACCATATCTTATTGCCTTTTATCCAGTCATGTGGTGGAGGCTTGATACACATTTGAAATAAATTTAACTAATTCATTTAGCTGAGTTAAACAGGCCAAGGCCATTACCCCAATAGATCAGTTGAGTTACATGAGAGTATCTCAACTGGCTTAAAAATGTAAATGCTGGCCATCAATTTGGACTGCTGTAGTAATCAATACATTTCATATCCAGAGTCTGAAATTACACAAGGCTTTAGAAGTTTCAAAACCTGCTTTTAGATTGCTCAACCATGTAGTTCTAATTCTGGCAAAGTACTCAAAGCATCGTGTAGGATATTACATCATTTCTGGGAGCATCTGGGATTTGCTAAATAAAAGCGGCTGGGAGGATAGGCTTTGTTGTTGAATGGAAAGCATCCTAAGTGAAATCATCACCAATATTGATCATGTGAGTTTCTACTGAAAGCCCATGAGCCATTTAATATACTATTGCCTTAATGCTGTGACTTGTGACCCCTACCTTCCATTGCAGACTCAGCAGAAGTTTGGTCGAAGGCAATGATTATTGGATCCAGAGTTGGCCTTCAGACCTTCTGGAATGGTAGAGAAGCACACACCTGTTTTATTTTTCCCTACCCTGGCTTAAGAGTCCCACGGAAAGCCTATTCCTATTAATTTGTTTTCTTTGCTAATATATTTGAGAAAGGATAAAAAGGAAATACTGTACTAGAATAGTAAAATAAAGTGAGTTTGCAAAGCTTGCCAGAGATCTGAAGTTTGCCCAGGGCCTCAGGGACCAGTACAGCCCAGCAGTCGAATTTTATTGTACATGTAATTTCCCCAAGCAACACCTTCTTTGATTCTTTACAGTAAAACATGAAATTGACTTCAGGTTTTCTGCCCACAACTATATTTTTAAAGGCATTTTAGTCTTCTTTGGGTGATGAATTCCTTTGCATACTGGCTAATAGGCACATGTCAGCACACGTTTTAGTGGTTCCTTCTATTTTGAATTTCCCCTTGCATGTTTTCTTTGATCCTTATACTTTGTAGTTAGTATTGGATTACTTCTATAAAGCAATCGGACAATTTTCCTTGATGTGGATCTTGAGGAAATAGTCCAGAGTGATTTTTCTCTCCTACTTTCCCATTCCCTAGCAGTATGCTTCAGCACACAGGCCACCCCATAAGCTATGGGACAGGTCATCTACAGCAGGGATGTCCAATTTTTTGGCTTCCCTGGGCCACATTAGAAGAATTGTCTTGGGCCACACATAAAATACACTAACACTACTGATAGCTGATGAGCTAAATTTTTTTTAAAAATCACAAAAAAAATCTTACAGTGTTTTAAGAAAATTTACAAATTTGTGTTGGGCTGCATTCAATGCCATCTTGAGCCACAGGTTGGACAGGCTTGATCTTAACAGCTCTTTGACACCTTCTGGGCAGAAATGAGCAACACACAAAGGTAGGGAAGCAAGAATGCTTTAAAGAGAAAAGAACAAAAAGTATGGTAGCTTGCGAATCCTTGAGCATGGTATGGTTCTGTCCTGGCACCTAGCTCGCAGGTGGTCCTGCTGCCACTGTTTGCTAAGTTGAAATGAACATTGGTTTTGTTTCTGAGGGATGTTTTCTAATAAGCACTTTGTCAGAAACCCAGGTCCTTCTCGGTCAAAAAACAGGGTTTTTCATAGGGAGAAGAATAGTTTCCCCTTATAGACAGAATTAGGAAGGAAACTCTGGTCCCTCATCAAACTTTGGTTCAACTTTTAGTTCTTCCTTCCATTTTTTTTGAGTGACAGTATCTGTTTCTCTTTTCCTACATTATTGAGTTGAATTTTTAGCTCATGGATTTTCAGGGATTATTCTTTATTTACATAATCATTTAAGTCAAAGTGTTTCTCACTGTGGCTACATCCCACAAATTTGTGATATAGTTCAGTATAAAGTATTTGAAACTTTCAATTATTTTTTCACTGATCCATGAATTATTTAGAAGTGGGTTTTCTAAGTCACACATGTTTTGGGAAGGGTATCTATGTTATTGATTTCTCATTTATTTGCATTGTGATTTGCATGATAGAGTCTTTCTGATATTTGTTGAGATTTGCTTTGTGACATTATAATATAGACAGCTTTATAAATAGTCCACATATGTTTGACAATAATGTATATTTTCTTATTTCCATTGGCTCAAGCTTGTGATTAGTGTTTTTCAGTCTTTCTCTGTTTTGTTGTTTGATCTATCTAGTTTCAGAGGAAGCTAGGTTAAAATCAGCTTGTATGTGTGTAGACTGAATGTATGTTATGATTATCATATTAGGGACATACAGGTACAAAATTGTGACATCTGCTTGGGGAATCATTCATTTTATTAGTCATAGTTTTATTTCATCCCAAATAATGATTTTTTTTGGTTTTATTTTGGCTTCTCTTTGCTTGGCATATATTTAAATATCCATTCACTTTCAATCTTTATGTGGTTTTAGATTTAAATGTGTTTCTTGTAAACAGCATATAAAACCAATATAGTAATCATTATCTTCCAAAAGGTGAGTTTATTGCTTTGCACTTGTTGTGCTTTCTGATATGTGTAGGCTTACTACTATCTTTTTTAGTGCTTTCTGTTTACCTTGCCTTATGTTTGTATCTTTATTTCTCAAGTTTACTTTCTATATACATAAGGTCAATAATCTGTTTTTTCTTTTTCTTTGAGACAGGGTCTCGCTCTGTTGCCCAGGCTGGAGAGCAATGGCATGATCATTGCTCACTGCAGCCTTGACCTCCTGGGCTCAATGTGATCCTCCCACCTCAGCCTCCTGAGTAGCTGGGACCACAGGTGCATGCCCTCTTGCCCAGATAATTTTTGCATTTTTTTTTTTTTTTAGAGACAGGGTTTTGCCATGTAGCCCAGGCTGGTCTCGAACTCCTGGAGTCAAGCAATCTGCTTGCCTTAGCCTCCCAAAGTGTTGGGATTACAGGCATGAGCCACTGTGCCCAGCCAATAAAATTTTAATTCATCTTTTCCCTCTGCTGATTTTGAAGTTTTATGTATTATTTCTCTACTTTTAATAATAACTCTTACATTTTTCACACATGTACCTAACAAGTCTGATATTTATGAGCTTGCCACCTTTCTCTTGAATAATACAGTGCTTAGAGTGCCACTCCATTCGACATGTCACTGCTGTTCAGCATTTGAGAAACATCTTGCTCCAAAATGAACCGTCATTCATTTACCACATTTAGATGTCCTAAACTCCACGTTCGTTTTTATAATTTTTGTTTTGAACAATGAATTCTTTAGATTTATACCATGTGTTTGAGTTTCTTTGTTCACTGTTGCATCCTGAATCTCAGCCATTTTCAGTTGAATTTCCTCTCAGAATTATGTCTTCAGAAATATCTAACTGTGAGAGTCTATTAGTGGTAATTCTGCCCTTTTAAATGAGAGCATATTTATTTTTCCCTGAGTTTTAAATGATAGTTTGGTAGGAATAAAAAAAAAATTCTAGGTTGACAGTTATTTGAAGCTATTATTCCATTGTCTTCTCTATTGTTGTGGTGAGAAATCAGCTGCTGTCTTGTCATTCGTTGAAGTCCATCTGTATTTTTCTTTCTGATTGCCTTTAAGAGTAATTTTGCCTCGATGAGTTTAGATTTGGATTTCACTTAACTTGTTCTCCCTATGACATATTTTACTTCCTTAATATAAAGATTTCTGTTTTGGATCTACTCTGTATAATTCTAATCCATTGTTCTCTTTGAATATTGCCTCTTTCTCATTCTGTCTGTTGTTCTCCTAGAAGTGTTCGTTGGACTTTCTCATTCTGTCATCCATGTTGTTCAACTTCTCATTCATATTTCCCACATCTTCAACTTGTAATCTTGCATTCTAAGGTATTTTTTTCATATTTATTATCTGGTTTCCTCATCCTCACTTTATATATATTTAATCAGGTGTTTAAGCTGTCAATTAGGTTTTAAATTTCTACTATAATTATCATTTTTTAGAAGTGGATGGGCTTCTTTTGCAAGCCTGTTTTTTCTTAAAACGCTTTTCTGATTTCTTCTTCTATATCTTTAATCACTTAAGGCACAGGTCCCTAACCCCTGGGCCATGAACAGGAACTGGTCTGTGGCCTGTTAGGAACCACACCGCACAGTAGGAGATAAGCAGTAGGTTAGCAAGCATTATCACCTGAGCTCCTCCTCCTGTTGTATCAGCAGCAGCATTAGATTCTCATAGGAGCACAAACCCTATTGTGAATTGAGCATGAGAAGGATCTAGGTTGTGTGCTCCTTCTCACAGGTGGGAATTGAACAATGAGAACACCTGGACACCGGGTGGGGAACATCACACATCGGGGCCTGTCGTGGGGTCGGGGGAGGGGGGAGGGATAGCATTAGGAGATATACCTAATGTAAATGACGAGTTAATGGGTGCAGCACACCAACATGGCACATGTATACGTATGTAACAAACCTGCACGTTGTGCACATGTACCCTAGAACTTAAAGTATAATAAAAAATAATAATCTTAGTTCAATTTGTTGTTAAGAAAAGCACTAGGTGTTCCTGTTAATATCTGCAAGAATGATTGCACTTAAATATCATTGTAAAACTAGGGCTAAGAGAATGAAGATTTAACAGAGAAATTCCAGCCACTCATCATCAGATAATAGGTGGCTAATACAACAAGTAAAATATTAGAAATTTTTAGAGTAAATAAGAAGGCCTTATCGAAGCTACCAAATTCACACCACACAACTGGATATTTGGCAGTACTTTAGCAGCAAATTTTCTTTCTTCTAATTCTTGGTTTTATTAATTAAATTACAGAATATTTTCTGAAACTATACCTGACAGTATCCAGTATGATCAGGAAGTAATTATTGAGATGATTTTTTTCAAGAATAATATGTATTCATCCAATCATTCATTCAATCACTGAACACTTGTGGGCCATCTACTATATGCCAGCCAGAATAAGGTGACACATGAGTATTAAGGTGACACATAAGTATTAGAAATTAGTTTCTTTTCAAAGTACAAACGTACTGCATTTTCTCCTTTGTTCACCTTCAATTTATTATGAAATAGTCAGCATGTTGTGATCTGCCTTTCAGGAAAAAGATTGTGATTTTTTAAGGTGCATACTGGGTTTATTTTATAATTGGTAACAAGAAAATTTTGCCAATCATAAAATAATTTTTATTTGATAAAGCATGCAGAAATACTTAAGGATGACTAATTATTTGACTAAACTAAAAAAAATTATCATCTCATCTCTTAAAAAAAAAGAGAGAATCTAATGCCTGATGATCAGAGGTGAACAGTTTCACAGTTTCATCTCGACACCATTTGCCACCACCAGCCATGGAAAAAAATTGTCTTCTGCAAAACTGGTCCCTGATGCCAAAATGTTGGAGACTGCTGATTTAAAATATATTTTATAGTCTCTATTTTAAATTCTTAGAGTTTAATCTTGTCCCACATTGCATCTGCTATATCACGGTAGATTGTATTTTAAATTTCATATTTTGACTCCATCTTCAACATAGGCATTATGCAAATACTATTGTAGGGCAATGGTTGCAGACACGTTTCCCTGGAATAGGTTTTTGTTTGTTTTTGCTATGTGTTCATGGCTATTTCAGCCCAGTTCAAAATTTTAAGTTAATTTCTTAGCATGAGTGTTCCCAGGATGTTCATCTAGTACAGAGGGTAATTCCAAAGTCAAATGACTGTGTGATACAGGTCCTCTATTACACATTCTCAGGGACAACTTTACTCTCCATCCCAAACCCAGCCCAAGAGAGACTAACTTTCATTTCTTCATAGTATTGGTAGGCAGCTAAAATAATCTTTAAAAAATTTTTGGCTTCTGAGAGATTTCTCTTATTTTCTTGCAAGCTCAGAAAGGATGTTTGCCCTATTTTTATTTAGAGTTTTAGGAATTCAGTAGCAAAGAGAATTCCTTAGGAAAACTAAGTTATAGTTTTGTTGCCAGACCCAGAAGTCCAGGGGATGTCATTTCCCTATACTGAAAAGAGATCTTATATTCAGCATTATCTTTGATGTGGAATCATCCAAATGTACCATTTATTTGCAATGGATTTTAGAAAATAAACCATTTAGGGATTAAAAATATAGAATTACCTCCTTCTTTTAAACTACCTGGGAACTGTTCTTTCTAAATTGGCATTTGGGGATTTCTTGAGACCATGTCAATTAAATAACAAATTCTGTATTGGAATACTGAACTACCGAACACAGTGAGTATGGGATAATAGAAACACAGGCTATTTGTGTATTTGTCACAGTTCTTTTAGGAACAAGTAATAGAAACTCAAGTCCAACTGGGTTAAGTAAAAAAGTGATATTTATTGACCCAGATGGCCAAAAAATCTTGGGGTTTATTGTTCAAGTATAGCTAGAGCCACATACTCAGAAAGTATTAGATTAGAATCTGGCTCTTTTAATCTCTTGGTTCTCCTTTCTTCTGTGTTGGCTGCATTCTCATTTGGATGCTATCCTTATGGTGGCAAGATATTTTCCAATAGCCTCAGTTAAAGAGGATAGCAGATCCTCTTTAGGTCTTGTCTAGCAGATATTCTGGGCCTGTGGCCTATTGGCCTTGGCTTAGATCATCTGTCCATTCTGATCAGTCCACACTGTGATTGGCCTGGGCCCTGGAGTTGTGATCAGCTTTGGTCCAACTGCATAGGCTAAGAATGGGGTGTAGTTTTCCAAGAAAAAAAAAAACCAGAGTGCTGTCACCAGAAGAGAAAAGAATGGAAGCTGGGTAAGCAAAGTACAACAATTGGCCCCCATAACCTATCTAATTTCTTGTTTGTGTTTGTTGTTCATTTCAGGATAGTGTTGAGTTTAGAAACATCTGCAGTCATTTGGCTCTACAGATTGAAGGACAGCAGTTTGACAGAGACTTGAATGCTGCCCACCAGTGTTTGAAGACAATAGTCAAGAAGCTGATTCAGTCACTTGCTAATTTTCCTTCAGATGCCCACATGGTAGCCTGTGCTTCCTTGAGACAGATCTTACAGAATCTCCCAGACATATGAGTGTTAAAGGCATCGGGAGTAAAACCACAGCCAGCACTGTTAAGAGAACCAGATACCTTACCTTCCTAATTGAGTCAGCAGACAATGGATATTTTTATATCCAAAGGGGAAAGACTTGATGGTACGTGGAGCAGTCTGACCAGTGGCATCTGTAGCCTTCGGGATTATAGCATGTTAATGAAATTTTTTTAAAGCAGTAGTTCATATTTTTAAGTATATTGACCTATTTGCTGACTTTCTGATTGAAATACATTCTACTTTGTGAAGCTGATTTGATTATGTATGTATATATTTATTCATATTATTAGTTTTTATTGAATGATACCTTAATTTGTATTCATATTAATGTAGGTCTAAAGGGTTTAATGTGGTTATTTATATAATTAAAGTTCCATGGTTCTTAAAATTACCTTGAATGAATGAGATATTTGATAATTGCTTTGTTCTATTAATACTTACTGGACACTTCCTTTTATAAGAACGATCTTTGTAGGACTATATGTGTCAGTAATTATGAGCTTCAATCCTGACATTAATAACTTACTGTTGAGCAGAGAAGAGTTGCTTCTAAACCTTGTGCTTTTATATACTAATTTAAAAACTTAAAGTGATAGTGAGCTATGAAGTACCAATCATGTATGATATGTAAATACAAAGCACAGTATTATTAAAGTCTCATGTGGAAAAGTCTAGCTTTTACTGTTTCTAAATATTCTGATTGAAGTAGGAAATTCTTTAAAAAAAGGAAAGGAGTGGATCTACTGGCAGGTTTCCCAAACCGTTTAGAGCCGGGAAGAGAGAAGGTGATTTTTTTTTTTTCAACAACAGTCCACACATACTTCGGAAAAACTAAATTTCTTGTTGTTCAATGATGACTGTGTTGAGAGCCAAAGTAAAATGCTATTTTTTCCCTTAAAATTTTAATAGAAACAGCAACAGATTTAGAAAAAAAAGATTATAGTGATTATGTGCAGCTTGTTTTCTAAAAGAATCATCAACTGGGTCTGCGTGGTGGGAGTACAGTACTATTTCTAAGGTGTTAATAGTAATCAAAGCCTTTTTAATCTCACCCACTCTAATCCTAGTTGGTTCTAAATGTTTTCTTCCAGAATCTGAGAATGAAAGGTAAACATATTGCTTCTCTTTGGACGTAACTGACCATTTCCAGAGAAGGGAACTAAGTATATGATACTGAATTCTAAGGGAAAGGCAGATGCTCTGTGTGTCTGTGTGCATGCGTGTGTGTGTGTGTGTGCGCTCATGTGTGTACATGTGCATGAGTGTGTGTAGGGGTGAGGTGGGCCAGAAATAAAGGGCATTTATTTCTTCACTTGATCTTAGCCAAAAGGCTGAGAAGCGGTGGGCATTTATTTCTTGAGAATAATCTTTGCCACTCAGTTTTCCCACACCTAAGAAACGTTGTATTCTGGGGCGATGCCTTTCTTTTATGATGAGGTCTTTCTTCCCCCAGGGAAATTAGCTCTGTACTTTTCTTTCAAGACCCATCATTATTTATATGCTGCCTACCCTATTGTAATTAATGATTCCCTCAACGAATATTAAGGTTTTTTGTTTTTTTTTACCTTACCCAACGAAATAGTGAACATTTTTTATTTTCTGTCTGTGCTTGTGCTTTTTCCTCACTTTGTACCATGTTTCCTATATGCTGACAAAAATCCTATTCATCCTTCAAGATCTGACTTACCCACCACCCCCTCCATGAACCCTCATGGGCCATCCTAGCCAGAGGTGAACTCTTCCTCTTCTAAACTCCCATAGAACACATTTTGTGCTACTTTTCTGGTGTTTATCACATGATATCTTAATAGCATAGCTGTTGGTAAATCTGCTGTCAAGATTAGCTTGCTGAAGATAGGGATTATCTAGACATCTTTGTATGTTGCATAGCATCTACAGTTCTTAAAGTTCTATGATGCTACTAGAACTTTGGTTGCCCCTACCACCTTTTTACACCCCTCCCCCACCCCATGCTAACTTTGGTGTCTTATGTTCTATGGTCAGTCTGCATAATCAATTGGTGCCACATGCCACCAGTTCCCTTCCCTTTTTTCCCTTTGGTTGAATGCTGCTTGCAAAACTCAATCCCTGGTCAAGTCCAACTCTCTGCCTACTCAACGTCTGTAGAGGAGCTCTGAATATGGCTGGAGAAAAACACCCAGCCATACCAATCTCACTTCAGCTCGTGGCTCCCAGTCTCCAGGGACCCTTGGCATTCTCCATTAGCCCTACTTCATTTCCTAGACCTGCAATGTTCAGTATGGTAGCACTGGCCGCACGTGGCTACTGAGCACTTAAAATGTGGCTCATCTGAATTGAGATGTGCTGAAAATGTAAAATGCACACTGGCTTTTGAAAACTTATTACTAAAAAAAAAGAATCTAAAATATCTTGATACTGTTTATACTGATTACGTGTTGAAATGATAATATTTTGAATATGTTGGGTTAAGTAAAATATACCACTAAAATTAATTGTACCTATTTCTTTTCATGTTTTCAATATGGGTACTAGAAAACTTAATATTCCATGGATGGTTTGCATTATATTTCTATGAGATAGCGCTGTTCTGGAAAATCCACTAGATAATTCACTGCTGGCCTTAACAATTCACTCTCTGAAGGCTCTTCCACACCTTTTCAAACTTTACCCTTGTTTACTCTTCTCATTCTCAGCTGATGAGCTTGCTTCTGATTGCACAGGGACAATGGAAGCCATCAGAAGAGCATGTTCCTCGTCTCCCTAGCAGATCTACCTACCCTGAATCTGTACACAGGTACTCTGAGTTTGTTTCTGTTATAAGCAGGGCTGCCCTGCTCCTGTGCAAGGCTGGTTGGCCACTAAGGCTCTGGACTCTGTCCCTTCTCACTCACATTCATTCTCTTGCTTGCATTATCAATTTTTGCCTCTCATAATATCATTGAGTCAGCATGATATTATGTTATAGTATCTCCAATTCAAAAAAAAATTCCTCTGGCTACTGTTTTGTTTTTTTTTGCTCCTCTTAACAGCAAAACTCATTGGAATAATTGTCCAAATTAGTTACTTACAATTCTTTTTGTCCAATTCCCTTTTGAATCCACTCCAAATGGATTTGTGCCCACAACGCCATCAAAACTTCTCTTGTCAAGACTCCTGATGACTGTCTCACTGATAAATTCCATGGTAGATTCACAATCCTCATATTACTTGATCTATCATCAGCTTTTGATGCGGCTGACTATTCCCTCCTTGAGTCACTTTCTTATTTGTTTTCCAGGTCAGCAGACTTTCATGGTTTTACTTCTTCACTGGCTTACTTTCCAGACCTTTGTCCTGGTTCTTCCACATCTCTTGATTTCTTAATTGTGTAGTGCTTTGGGGCTCAGTTTTGGTCCTTTTCTCTAACTACACCTACTAGTTGGTGATTTACAATACTGGCTATTCACTAATGATGCCCAATGTATGTCTTTCACCCTGAGCTCCAGACTTCTGTGTTCAACTGACTACAGAATATCTCTACTTGGATGCCGAAAGTCATTTCAAATTCCAAAATGGAATTATGGATTCCCAAGACTGCTTCTCTGCCATCTTTCAAATTTCAGTTGGCTATGGCTCTTATACTTCCAGTCACACAGGCAAAAAACATTAGCGACATCCTTGACTTCCCTATTAGTGTCACCTAAATTCACTCAATCAGCAAATCCTGTTGGGTCAACCTTCAAAACATGTCTCAAATCAGATCACTTCTCACTACTTCCATAGCCACTATTCTGGTCCTAGGCACTATTGTCTCCTGTCTGGAATATTGCAGTACCTCTCTGAGGGGTCATAGTATTTCTCTGCTCTCTATAGTCTATTCTCCACACATCAGCCACAGTAAAAAACGTTAGATCAATTATGTCTCTGCTCTACCAATAGCTTCCCTTTTTACTCAGAATAAAATCCAAATTCTGCCTTTTGGAACCATCTCCTACTACACACCTAAGACACGAGTCTCTTTACCACTCACCTCTTCAAATATGACAACGATTAATCCTATGGCCTTTGCACTTGCTCTTCCCTCTGCCAGAACAACGTTTCTCATCTATTTCAAGGAGGTCTCTGCTCCAAAGCCTCCACATTAGGGAGGCCCTCTCTAGCTCCCTCAGCAAAAATAGCATCCCCTTTTACTCTCTTATCCCTATTCCCTGCTTTGTTTTCTTTGTTGCTCTCACAATGGCCTGAATTTGTTTATGTTTTTATTGCCTGTTGTAGTGGCTAAATGGTGGCCCCAAAAGTTATGTTTATCTTAATCAAAGGGACCTGTGAATATTATCATATATTGCAATAAAGTGAATATTACCTTAGATGGTAACAGATGTGATTACATTAGGGATATTGTGGTGAAATTGTTTGGGATTATCTGGGTGGACCCCAAATGCCATCACAAATGTGCTTATAAGAAGAAGGCAAAGGGAGAGAACACAGGCATAAGAGGAGGAAGCAATGTGCCCATGGGAACAGAGTACAGTGACGGGCCCACAGTCAGGGAATGCTGACAGCTACCAGAAGCTGAAAGAGGCCAGAAGCAAATTCTCTAGCGCCTTCAGAGGGAGTGCTGCACTGGGGCCATCTTGATTTGGGGCTTCTGGTCTTCAGAACCATAAGAGAATACATTTCCATTGTTAGAAGCCACCCAGTTTGCCGTAATCTGTTGCAGCAGCCATAAGAAATGAACATACCTGTTTTTCCTCTCTAGAACGAAAGCGACAGGGATGTTGTTCACAGCTGTATTCTCAGTACAGCAGCAGTGCCTAGAACAGGTTAACAGCTCAATAAATATTTGATGAATTAAGTCATGTGGTTAGTCACTTACGTTTTTTGGTAAATATCTAAACCCAAAAAAAGTGAAAAGAATCATTTTAAGGATTAAATTGATCAGTGCATTTTAGGCAGATGTTGAGTTAAAAACAATCATGTAGCAATCACTCAATAAATGATTAATAATTGTGATGGTCATCCTAACAATGACTGGGCCAGCCTGGGCCATTCTGAGTGGCCTTTTCTCCTCAATTTTCCCATGTAGTGCTTTTCCTTTTCTCTCTCACTTCAAAGTCAGACTGTGTTTTTTAAATTTAAGACCATGTAGTACCTTGGGTAATGTGTGACACGTGCATAAAGACAGGTTGTGGATGTCCTTTTATAACTCTGAAAAAAGTCACATCATCTGATGTTTTCTCCATTGAATTTCCTTAACTGTTTCACCCTCCTATTTCCTTTAATTCTTATTTTTAGATGATCTATAGTAATGAATTTCTGGATGGTGGAAACACATTTTCTTATAGAATAAAAGTTGGGGACATACTGGTGATCTTTTAGTTAGAGCTGGATACAGGAGTGACAAGATGGCACTTGTCCCCTTCTCTTGTCTTGAGATGCTCTCCTCACTGTATTCTGTAATTTCCTGGGAGCTCTAAGAGCTCCCAGATCAGCTTATCTTACATCCTTTTGACTGCCTGCCTTACACTGATTGAGGAACTATCTTCAGGTTTCTTTGGCTGTTTTCCATTTCTTGATTTAAATGAAGGCCTTTGGAGGGTAGGAAGCCATCTGGACACTTGCTTCTGACAGAACATAGGACTGCAAGAACCAAATCTTCCACATCTTAAAACTCCCTCCAACAGTTGGCTCCATTTTCCATTTTTCCTTCATGCTCTGGTGCCAGATCCTCATGCAGTAAATCTATCTGAGAGGAGTACAAATCTTGTAGATCCGTGAGTTTCAAGACACATTTAATTCAGCAGAACTTCAACTAGCAGTGTTCCATATCATCTGGGTGTCCTCATCAGGGATCCCAGTGTTCCATTCTACAGCCAAGAAATTACCACAGTCCTGGTTTCACTTAGCTACATACCAGAACCAAAGGTCTAGGCTGTCACAGCCCTAGTATGTGTTACCAGAGAGCTTTACCTTTGTTGGATGTGACATGTTTACTGCTTTGCTCAATAGAAATGGTATTTGAAGCTGATCCATAGTTTATAAATTTCTCTTTTTGCAGACAAGTTCATATCTGCTCCATGCATGCAGTCATAATTCAGGAGACACTTCCAAGGTTGGCAGAAATCTTTCCTGGCACAGAAGTACCAATAATTTGTTCCCCTTGACTTGGTGGAGACTTTGATAATAATCACGGCTTTATTTTCTTTTTCCTTAAAAAAAACCATTACAAAATGCCTATGGAGCATAAGGGTATCTGGCAGAAAAACCAATTCACAGGGATCCTAGAAACAAGTTGGAGAAGACAATGTTGGCTTAGATTGGTACAAAAGGGAGAGAGGAGGTTCTGCAAAGACCCCTGCCTCCCTGCACCTGTATTCCAGCTCTGAATGGAGCTCAAGAGTACAGGAGAACAGCAAAGCTTGGCGCCGTGTGTGTGTGTGGCGGGGGTAGTGCAGATGGAGGGAGGAGAGGGGAAGAGGTACACTAAGCCTGATGCTGTAATCCCAAACATGAAGAAAGCAGTGGGATAATCTGGAAAATTAATGTCCTTGGGATATCCACAGACCCACCTTAAAGAATTCCTCAAATGCACTTGGTTTGTTGATTTGCCCATATGAAAAAATATAGTTCTCCTCACAAATGACACTTTTCATAACGTCTGGGAAGTGCTGATGCTCTTTTATACACAGCCTCATTCAGTCCTCTGAGTTTGTCTTTGATACCCTCTTGTCTCTCATTCTTTAATCTTATCTCAGCCCCTCTCTGTCTTGGGCCACATTCCACAGAATTGTGGCAAAGGCATTTAGAAGGCTATTAATGGCATTATGTTTTTATGGCTAACTATTCTTTTATACATAAATAAAGTTAACAGACGTTGGTCTTTCTTTTCCTTCCATTTTTTATATATTCCCTTGCCTCTCTTCCAGTCTCAGTTTACATGATACTTGTTAGACACCTATTTCCTCTGTAACTCAGAATGGAAGTATATGAGTGTATAGCAGGATTACTGTTTACACTCACATTGCATTAATTGGCATACTCAGAGGGAATAGAAATAAGCTATTCTATCCATTTTCTTGCCTTGCAGCAAGTTTAATTGAAGGATGAAAGGGAGAGAATGAGATAAAAGTTATCTCATTCTGTTAACTTTATTTATGTATAAAAGAACAGTCATATAAACCATAATGGAATTAATAGCCTTCTAACTGCCTTTGCCACAATTACGTGGAATGTGGCCCAAGACAGAGAGGGGCTGAGATGAGATTAATGAATGAGAGACAAGAGGGTATTGAAGACAAACTCAGAACACATTTGATGTAATTGACCTCACACTTTTGCTTAATTAAATTTAAATGTTTACCATGATACCCACTTTATATTATAAAATTGTACTTTTCTGCAGCCCCCCCTCAAGAATATTTCCTGTTCTTGAAGCAAATTTTTGAATTTTTCATAAAAAAGTGGGGTAGTTTTGTTGGTTAGTAGTATCAGAAGCTCTAAAGTTAATGGGGCTGGAATTACTGCATAGTCATGAGGTTGCACTAAAAGTTGTTTTGCTCCTGTTTTCTGGGACTTGCTTCTTTAGGGAAAATGTTGTACCATTAAATCACAAAACATTCACAAATTCACATGCACCATAAGTGGGCCTGTGGGACAGTCTACTTCAAGTTCATCTAGAGCATTTAGAAGCAAACATTCCTACATTTCTTGGGCCTAGCTCAAATGCAAGCCACCCTCTAGTCTGCTTGCAGAATACAGCTAGTCCATTGTTTCCAGGTGTTTTAATGAATGAACCTGCTCAATAGTTGATCTAGTCAGTATAGAAACAATTGAAAAAGAATTGATAAGAAATCCAATAAACTCAGTAAGGCTCTGTATGTGTGCGTATATGTGTGTGTAATTTTTTGTATCAATAAACACATGATTTACAGCTGTTCCCTCTCATTTCCTTCCCCTCATTTCAGTAGACTGATATATAGGTTTAAAAGATCTTTGAGTGTAGAGATTTTTCTGTCGACAATGGTTATTCAAAGAAGTGAGAAATTTCAGAATGACGTGCAATTGTAAGTAATGATTACGTATCTAACATGCTCCCAAATGGACTTCTATGCATTAATTATCATTACATTACAATTTCCAAGATGTCTTTTAGCTACAGGTTTTAAACACTGTTGATAACAAATAAAATGAGTTCTTGGCGGGGGAAAAAGAGGGAGACTCTTAGCAAACCTGTGTCACAAGTGAAAAACAGTTTGCCAAATAAATAACTCAGACACTTTAATATTTGTCTAGATAACTATATCTCCATTTTTTACCTTTTATTTAAATAGAATTATAGATTTATAGATTCTGTTCATAAATTATTCACAGATTATAGATTCATAGTGGCAAAATCTAGTACATGGAGTCTGATGAATTCTTCACCCAACCCAAATGACGATAACTTGTATGACTGTAGTACAATAGCAAAACCAGGAAACTTACATTGGTACAGTACTGTTAACTGGATTGGTACAGTACATACACAGGATTAAATTGCATAGAACTACACACACACACACACACACACACACTCACATGAATACATGTAAAAACTGATGAAAACTGTTTTCATCAGTTTTCATGCGAGTGTGTGTGTGTGTGTGTGTGTGTGTGTAGTTCTATGTAGTGTATAGATTTGTATAACTACCACCACAATCAAGATACAGAACCTTGATTCCCCACAGCCATGTTGGTTGGCCCAATTGGGTTCTTTATGTTCTTTTTGTTTCTTTGTCTAATGTTAGACATGTAATCATTACTTACAATTGGATTGTAACTATCCAAACTATCAATATGCTAGGTATTATTGTTCATTATTATTAGTTTGTTGTTGAAACAACATAATTTATATAAATAAACTAAAACTCAACTTAGTCACAGGAACTAGACTCTTTAGTTCCTCTAAAAATATGAGTGAGTGAGTGGACGGCTGGCTGGCTGGCTGCCTGGGTGAATGGATAGATGGATGGATGGATGGATGGATGGGTGGATAGATGATTCGTCTGGGTTGCTCAGCATTTTATCAGCATTGATTCTGGCTTCCGGACTGAGACTGGATTACCTTGTAGAGGAGAGCTAAGGAATCATGGAGTCAACTTCTATTTTTTTCACTTTCTTCTTTCCAAAGTTCATTTCCTAAATAAAACTGTTTTTGTGAAATCTGTTGGCAATGTTCATACCTGAATAATGCCATGAAGTTGGTAAGCTCTATATTAAAAAATGACTATTATCAAAATCTTCATCTAAGTGGTTGAAGTGAAAGCAAGCATTCTCTCACCTTGGTCTGACAGAATGAACGTCTATATGTGGACTTCTCTTTCCCAAACCCATATCACAAATGGCATGAGCTGAATATTTCCAAGTGTGGGTCTGACTTTTAAGTTATTTCCCACATTTTCACTTCACAAGAGATCCCTTAAAATATTGTAGTGGTGACAATGACTTCACTCAAATAGACACAGAACCAGCCTTTCACGTTTCTAATGCATTTTTCTGGAGTTCAGACTAAAATATACTGCTTATTTGATCTATCAGGTGAGATTGGTAATCCCTCACTAATTTAAAAATTACCATGTTGAATTTGATCCAATTTAAAATATATATATTGCTTAAAATGCCATTTTTGTGATTTCTTTTTTGTTATTCTAGCCATGAAATACGGAAGCTCAGTCTCCTTAATATAAATGAGTTAATTATTTCAAAGATCAAAAAATGACATTTGCTCTTTATTTTTAAAGTAGATAATAATGCTTTTATGGAAAAAATCTCCTAGAATCTCTATTTCAATCTAATCAGAGGGAAATTTGTATAATTTATAAGAAATAAATACACTGTGGAAAACAGAACTATTGAAAAATAATGCATGGTATTTCCTAAGCTGAGCCATAACACATAGCACTTGTTTATTTTACCATATAATTCCAGGGTTATCACTTCGATGTTTAAAGCAAAGACCTCTATCAGTTATCTAAGTGTATATATATTGGATATAAAAAGTCTCAAACAAATTACAGAGTTTTTTAGTGATGTAAGGAAGGAAATTTAAACTCTCAGTCATCCTTCCTGAAGCTTACAGCATTTTAGTGAAACTCACATAGATCAATGTAAGTATATATTTCATATGACACAGCTCTCAAACTAGACACCAAAGAGTTCTGGTATCCATGCATTAGTCAGAAAAATCTTAGTCTACCGCCATACCACCTTGAACGTGTCTGGTTCCATCTGATCTTGAAAGCTAAGCTGGGGCGGGCCTGGTTAGTATCTGAATAAGGGATCACGTGGGAATAACGGGTGCTGTGGGCTTAAAAGAAATTTATTTGGTGTTTTATCTTTTCGGACCATTTGGGTTTTCAAAGGCAACAGCTCAAATCAAACCTTAAGCAGAAGTTTTAATTTTTAGAGGTTTTTTTCTGTCATTCTACAGTCTTTGCTACTTTCATGTTAAGAATTTCCTCCATTACTTTAAATATTTATTTACCTATGGCTTTACTGAGAAGACTTATACATATACATACATATGTATAACTGGATTTATACGTATATAGCTATATGTAACTATTTATACATATATAGCTATATGTAACTATTCACATATATCAACAAGTAACACCCTGAATCCTAATTGTGATTGATGTAAAGCTGTTTGTTTTTATAGACTGAAGTTTATGCCCCTCTGCAGACATAACTGTGGTAGGGGCTGTGCTACACCTCAGATGCATGGAGACAGGACCTTTATAACTGCTTTTCTTGGGCTTAGTTTTGAGTAAACTGTTGATCTTGTCATGGCCTTTCTTGCCTTTACCCTACATACAGACTAAAACTCCCCTTTGAAAATGTTAACCACATGTGCACACCCAAGTGGGATTTCTGTAGCACTAGCCCTGAGTCAGCAGATGTGAGGGCTGGAAGAATGTCAGTCAAACCCGAAATGCATCTTCGCCGGAGGTCTCAAGAGGAGTTTCTCAGAGCAGTTGGGATCAGCAGTGTCCACGGGGGCCCCTCAGGTCTGAGATCCAGTGTCCACTCCTGCAGCCCCTTCTACACACCATCAAGCTGCTTCTATATTTATGCATTTATATTGATTTTCAAATCGCATTTCTATTGAAAATAGGTTCTGCTACTGAAAAAAATACCGTAAATCAGTGAATAAAATAAAACAAAACACCCCACTGATATTCACCAACTTTCTTCATCTTACAGATTTTTTTTTTTTTTTTTTTTGAGATGGAATCTCGCTCTGTCACCCAGGCTGGAGTGCAATGGTATGATCTTGGCTCACTGCAGCTGCTGCCTCCTGGGTTCAAGTGATTCTCCTACCTCAGCCTCTGGAGTAGCTGGGATTATAGGAGTCTGCCACCATGCCCAGCTGATTTTTTGTATTTTTAGTAGAGATGGGGTTTCGCCATGTTGGCCAGGCTGGTCTCTAACTCCTGACCTCAAGTGATCCGCCTGCCTTGGCCTCCCGAAGTGATGTGATTACAGGCATGAGCCACCATGCCCAGACATCTTACAGGCATTTAAATATGAAGACAAGTCCAGTTCTTCTAACTCCTGATCCAGGCTTCCCTCTGTAAGGCCCTAAAGCTAAAACACATCAGGTTGTTGGGGCAGCTAGGCTTTCCTACTTAGCATCCGCAGGCCATGTGGCTAGTGCTGGAAGGCTGGCAATGGCTAGGAAGGGAGCCTCAATGCTAAACCCATTTGATGGGTCCATTTTCTTCCTGGACTGAGCCACAGAAGTTCTGCCAGGAACGTTTCACAGGTGAGCAGACTTCCCTCTCAGAAATGCCCATCATCACAATCCTTTCTGGGACAGGAGGTTTTAGCCAATTTTACGCATGTCTATTTAATAGATAGGAGTGCTATATAGAGGAGAAAGCTCTCAGTAAAGCCATGGATTGCTGGAGGCCTGAGGACTCCTTGTAAGAAGTCTGGCATATATGAGCACTCCTTCTTCTTGGTGTTCTTCCTCTCACCTCTCTGGTTACTTCTCTTTCTAAAGGCCTTCCCTCGGTTCTTAACTTTCAGTTTCTGCCTAAACTGTTCTAATTTGCACTTCCCTTTTCTGGTTAGATGTTTTCTAAAAAGGACCAAAAGTGACCTTTATAGTTTGCCAATTTAAGTCAGAGCAATAAGTTGCAGTTTTCTGGGGCCCTGACAAGCAAAAGTAGGGCTCTCCCTGGTAGGTGCTTCCAGCTGCCACGCATGCACACACATGCAAACAGATGCAGGCACACACATGCATACCCATACAAGCACACACATACACACTTTCCTGCATGGAACCCCTAGGAAGTCTGTGTATGTTCACTGGTACCACAGGTTATCCTGAAAATGTTCAGAACACTTTCTATCTCTGTAACACTACTTTTAAAAATGAATTTCTGGGGTCAAGATCATTAAAAGGAAAACATCATTAAGCTCTTTGAAATTCCACTGGGCTTTAAAGATTTAAGAATCCAGGGATGTATAATATAAATTTTGCCAAACTTTAAAATAAACTAAAAAATTCACAACAGTTGAATTCCTCCCAAGGCCCCTTTAACAACACTTATAGATTGCTGAGATACGGGTATGATGAACAGCTATGGGTATGACAGCTCTGCATGAACCACACACAACAAAACACCTCTGTGTTCTACAGCCCTTGGCACAAGACATTCCCGGTGGCCTTTCCCCTAATGCGGTGATTTCCAAATGCCCGTCTGTGGACCAGGGCCACTTACTGATATAGTCTTCAACTTTCAATAGCTAAATGAGAAGGATTGGGCTTTATCCTTTATTTTGAGGCTTTTATCCTTGCTTTTCTTGCCTTTCCCTTTTGGTATTAAAACATTCATATCTTATAGAAAGCAAAGGTAATAATAGATGGTAGAAACATATTGTTTTGTTTAGATGACCTTTCTTTGTAAAATTAAAAGATGGAAACTCTGTATTGGGTTTAAAACCAATTTTAACTCTCCATGAAATTTAAAGTCTGGAAAACATTTCTGTAAGGCTGGGCCAAATCCCAAACCTGGGGGAAAAATAGCTTCAGGAGTGAATGCCTACAACCACTGAAATTCTTAAGAGAATTTAGCTTTTTAGCTTTTTTTTTTTTTTTTTCCAGAATTTCTTTTCCGGAAAGTATAGAGAATGAGGATGGTAGAGGACTCATCACTATAGTTTCCTCTCTTTCCCCAACATCCACAGACGTATCAATGGTCTGAATGTAATGTCCTCTTAAAATATGAAGCAGAAAATGGGTTAGGTTAAAAAAAAAAAAGTGCTACCCCAAGCATCATGAGAAAGCTGCTTCTGTTGTTGATCTGTTCTTGTCCCTGCTGGCTCAAAGGATCATGTGTGACACTGTGTCACAAACAGAGTCCCTAACGTGTTTACTTTTCCCTGACAAATACTATAAATTTTCTTCTTGTGGTGAATGAACATTGTTTATGCAGCTGTGTTCCTTAAATCAATACTGACTTTCTGTCCCACTGTATCTTTTTTGCAAAGACACTTAAGGAGAACTTTCTCCTGGCATTTGGGGAGAACTTTTCAAGTCAGACCTCCTAATTAGGAACAATCATTGTGCACTGGATCCACCAAAAAGAAAAAAGTGTTTTTGGCCTGGTTAAGTGTTTCCATCTTGGGTTACAGCCTTCATCTAAAGCAGCTTCTCCCTTGGCCTGAATGGGCTTTTCCGTGGAGACAGAAGGTAAGATTGCATGCTGGCTGACCCAACAGAGATCCAGAACAAACTCTCAGGAAATCTCAACCCCTCAGGCAGTTGAATTCTCACTCCTCTGAGACCAGCTGAGGTTATTTTACTTCATTTAACTAGCCAGATGATAGGTTGACTGATGGGGCCATTATGTCCGGCGTCAAGTAATTTTAGAATGAAAATTATGCAATAGGTTAGACCACAGCTCAATTTTTATCACCCCAATTGCATACAACGTCCCTAATGTGATTGCCTTTGGGCTAAGATGGAAAGAAATGTTCAGTCCCAAAGTGGCTATATTTTCTGGAATAGATTGAGTGAAACGTCTCTTTTTTTCAACCAAAACACATGGAAATAAATTTCTTCGGTTTTACTTTCTAAATATCTGGTACAAGGTAAAAACTGCAGTGATTAATATGTCCTATGGGGCTGCCGGTTGGTGAGGAAAGGTTGTCAAACTTTAGATAACTCCACCAAGTTGCTATTATCATTTTTAGGCCTGGGTCAGTCAAGTAGGTAGACAAGCTTCTTGACATGTGGAATTGACTGGGACACTGGTAATTGATCCTATTTAAGAAAATGTCCTCAACGCAATGATTTTGCTTAAGTACCTTCTTATTTTAAATGTACCCCAGGACACCATAGTTGTTTCTCTCTGTGGCTTTTTAATTTCCCTTTTTGTTCCAACTGACCTTTCTAAGTTTTTTTTTTTCCTTCTGAAATAAAGAATTCTAAACTCATGATTTTACAGAAAAGCTCAGTTTGCAAGAATATCAGCAATTTCTTATTTAAATATCTTCTACTATACCCAATTGCTAGAGCATAACTCTTGGCTCCTAAACCCAATTTATAAATCAGTCATCCTTTCCACCCCTACTCACCCCAAATTTGTTCTTCTTCCTGGTGTTGCTGTCTTATTTCTTGGCACCCTCATCTACTCAACAGCAGCAGAAGAAAAGAAGAAACTTCATAGTTGGAGGATCTTCCTTCTATCTATTTATTCATCCATTCACTCAACACATATCTGTGTCAGATACTGCTCCAGGTACTAGAGACAAGCATGTACAGGACAGATATGGAACTCTGTTCTCACAGTGATTATACAGCGATTATATTCAAGTACATTTCTTCTAGAAACACTTGGTACTTCTTGCAGGGACCCCCAACCTCATATAAGTATATATACTTAAATATGTCTAACAGATCTTGATATATTACATATTTAAGTAAATAATGATAGAAAATGAATATTCTTACATGGATGCCCCAATTTCTTTCAGCTGCCTCAGATACTCACTGGATAGTGATAGCCAATGATATGCCAGACTTGATATTGATTGATAATGTTATGGCCCCACCAGGGAAGGTTAGAAGAATGGAAGCTGCTTATTTCAAATTTGAATGAGCAATCAAACATTCCTGTTCTGATTAATGTTTTTTTGCCTTGATGCACATATAAGAACTGGGACTAGCAGAAAGGGTTTAGCTTAGGACTGTGGAGAAATGCTTTTCTTCATTTCTGATAAAGCTCCATTTGCTGTTTGATCCTGTCTTCTTGATCTCCCAAGTTCCTGATAAGTCTACAAAGCTAAAACACTCACAGTTTGATCATTAGTAGTGTAGATCTTCCTCTCATTCAATGGAAGTCTTCTCTTGGAGGTCAGCAGTAAATGTCTCATTGCCGTGACCCACTGGTCAGTCCTTATGCCTCTTCATCTTTGCACATGCTGATCCCTTTCTCAGAAAGAAAGTCCCTTTAGCCAGGCATCATCTCCTTTGAGAAGCTTTCGCTGACCTCAGACTGGAGAACTCTATTATAGCATTTGACACTCCCCACAAAGGGGAGAACAGTAAGTTGCAGTCTGATGAAGTCATATGATGCCCGGGCTGGCTTATGAGTAAAGAGGTGAGAAGGTCTCCTACTGAAACAGATTTTCCCTCTTTCTTCCCCTTACAATAGCCTTTCAAAGTTCTTGAAATGTCCATTAAGGAATTCCTATACTTTACTTTTGATTTCACAATTTCTCAGTCAAAAGCTCAATATCATTGCATAGGATAATACATTACCTTAAAAAAAAAAACACCAAAAAAACCTCAACACTCAAAGATTAAATTTGTGTTTGGAAAAGGCTTTATAGGCAGTGGTACCTGGAAACTGGTGCTTGAGAGAAGCAGGAGGAGGGAGGGGAGATGTCAAATACCATCTTTTAAAAAATTTGTTTGTTTTTGATGACCATCTTTAAGAGATTTTTAAATGCCATGTATGAATTCAAGAAAGAGAATAAAGCAGGATTCTAAGAAATAATAGAAAGCTTCTTAAGGAAGCCGGTATAGTATCATTTTATATCTCTGATATTTCTGCTCATCTACTAAAGCTCATTAAAACCTATTAATGATTAGGAAATACTTATGTTTTATGAAATGTATAAAAAAATTTAAAGATAACAATCTAAACTCTCTTTAAAAATTAATTTTTATATATATCTTAACACCATTTAACACACTTAATTTTAGTACTTCTTTACTAAAGTTTGCGGAGGCAGACTACTCTTAAAAGTAGGAAAAAAAAAGGCAGAGGAGCAGACCGACTTTTTTTTTTTTTTTTTTTTTTGAGAGGGAGTCTAGCTCTGTCACCCAGGCTAGAGTGCAGTGAGTCTAGCTCTGTCACCCAGGCTGGAGTGCAATGGTGCGATCTCTGCTCATTGCAACCTCCACTTCCCAGGCTCAAGCAATTCTCCTGCCTCAGCCTCCCGAGTAGCTGGGATTACAGACTTCTGAAATTCTGAATAGTATAAATACAACTGGAATTACACTTTATTTTTAAATATACATTTCTAGGTAAAAACATAATTAAAGATCAAATAATTTTGGTTAAATTTTAAAATAAGCCCAATATGTAACTAAATAAGTCTTAGCAGAAAAATGTGAGGATAAAGTTGAGATTGCTCCTATTTTTTAATATTTATAGCATTTATTTATTTGTAATTACTTGTGAAGTTTCAAGTATTAAATATTACTCCGAGCTGTCTAATATGAGTCAGAATTTAGGGCAATAGAAAATATAAAACAAATTTTTCCTTACTAATACATGTTTTTTAAAAAGTTGTGTTTATGTTCTTCATTGAGAACTAAATAATCACTAAAAGAATTGCAGAAGTCATAAAATCATTAAATTAAGGAGAGAAAATCTCTATATATTCAGGATAAAGACATTTAGTATGCTAAGATCTCTATCCAATGGTCAAAAAACAACCAACCAAAGATGAAAATAAAAAATAATTTCTTGGAATATTATCTGAGGACTTCCAATTTTAACATGCAGAGCTAAGTGAGTATTTTCTTATTCATATCTCAGAAAAACCAACCAAAACATCAAGGGAATCAAGAAAAACAGTAATGCAAAGCTTATCCTTTGTAAAACTAGGAAACAACAGAGATTTTTAAATGAGAGAGAGAGAAGACTTAGTGGCATAGGACATAGGAAGTACCAGAGTGAAGATGCCTGTGGATTCTGAGCTTCAAGAAAGTCATAAAAGCACAATTCTAAGTGATACATACTGAAATGTAAATGGAGGTTTTTACAATAGAGGGCAGCAAACCACTTCTTATACAACCAAATAGTAAATATTTTAGAATTTCTGGGCCATATGGTCTCTGCCATAACTATCAAATTCTGCCACTGTAGTGCTGAAGCAACCATGTACAATAAACAAATGGGCATATCTATATTCCAATAAAACTTTACTTCCCAAAAAAGAAAGCTAGCCAATGGGCTATAGTTTGCTGATATTTGTTCTCTAGCAATAAGGGTGTGTCAGCTTGACTGAGTGCTTCCCTGGGCCTCAAAGTGGTGAGGTTTCTAGAAAAAGGAAAGGCGATAAAGCTGAATGAGAAGTGGTAGGAAACTGCACAAAGAAGACAGGGCATTGCTGAAAGCATAGCTAGACATGTGGAAGACGGAATTAGAAAAAAATGAGTAAAAAGAATAAATAAAAAAGATATTTAAAAGGGTTATATGATAGATGCAAAATATATAAAAAAATCAAACATATGCATAATTGGTGTTCTTGAAGAAGAAAATCAAAATAATAAAACAATAACTGTTAGGATTATTACACAAAAATTATGAATATAAAGCATTATTAAACAAAATCCAATTACACATTAAAAAACTAACACACCATGAGCAATTATATTTATTCTAGAATGCAAGGATGGTTCAATATTAGGAAATCTATTAATATATTTCTACCACACTAATAGATTAAAAATCATGTTTCTAGATGCTGAGAGACATTTGATAAACTCCAACATCCATTCTTACTAAACAAGCAAATAAACAACAAAACAAAACTGTCAATAAATGGCAATAGATACTTCCTTAACCTAGTGCAATATACTAATCTCAATCTAAAAGCTAGTGCTATAATCTATAAGGAAACTCAGAAATATTTATATTAATGTCAGGAACAAGACAAGAATGTCTACTACCACAACTATTCATAGACGTTGATCTAGACATCCTAAGCAATGCAGTTTTACAAGAGAGAAAGAAAATGTATACAAATTAGAAAAGAAAAAGACAAATAATAATTGCTTGTAGATTATAAAAGTAAAAATTTTATTATATAAAAAGTGAGCCAACTGAAAAAAAATATTAGAACAATAGTGGAATTCAGTTAGGTCTTTGGTTATAAAGTAAATATATACAATCATCATCCTTCCTATATTAAAATAAAAAAGGCATAATAGAAGAAAATACTTCATTTTTGATAGCAATATCACTAGAAAATATTTAGAATAAATTTGTCAGATGTGAAAACCTATGTAAAATCTTTAACTGGCTGGACGTGGTGGCTCCTACCTGCAATCCCAGCACTTTGAGAGGCCTAGGCTGGCGGATCACCTGAGGTCAGGAGTTCGAGACCAGCCTGACCAACATGGTGAAATCCCATCTCTAATAAAAATTTTTAAAAAATAGCTGGGTGTGGTGGTGCATGCCTGTGGTTGCAGCTACTCAGGAGGCTGAGGCAGGAGAATCACTTGAACCCAGGAGGCAGAGATTGCAGTGAGCTGAGATCATGCCACTGCACTCCACACTCCAGCCTGGGTGACAGAGTGAGACTCTGTCTCAAAAACAAAAACAACAACAACAGAAAAAAAAAAAACCCCATAAAACGAACAACATTACACTGTCTCTTGTGGACACAAAAGAACACTTGAACAGATATAAAAGTATATTATATTCTTGGTGAGGGAAACTCAGTATCAGACAGTTTTCAATTCTCTCTAAAAAAATATAAACATTTAATACAGGTCCTATAAGAATATCAATAAAATTTGGGAGTCTATATATGATTCTAAAGTTCATATAAAGGAAAAAAACAAGCAGGAATAACCAGGAAAATTCAGGGGAAAAAATAGAAAATACATGGTACTAGCCCTACCTGACATTAAAATATTTAGGACGTGATGACATTTCAATTAGTGGGAAAAGGGTGAAATTAATAAATGTTGTTCATTCTAGCCCTCTAAAAAATTAATATTGGATTCTAACCTCAGACCTTACATCAAAATGATTTCCTGATGAATCAAAGATTTCCACGTTAATAAAAATATAAAAATACTAGGACCCACCATGGAAAAGTTTTAAAAGTATTGTAGTAAGGAAGATCTCTTTAAGTCCATTACAAATCTCAGAAGTCATAACAAAAAACTGATGAATCTGACAATATAAAAATAAACTGGGCAAAAAATTTGCAGCTCACATAGTAGACTAGCACTGTCAATGGAAATACAATGTAAGCTACACGTGTAATTCTAAATTTTCTAGTAGTTAGTGTAAAAAGTAAAAAGAAGTCTGTTTTTTAAAGAAATGCATCACCTTTTTTCTTTAATTAAAGAAATTAATTTTAGTAATATGTTTTATTTAATTTGTCATATCAAAAATAATTTTATTTCAATAAGTAATCAATACAAAATATTATAAATAAGATATTTCTATTCCTTTTTGTTCCAAGAAATCTGGTGTGTATTTTATAATTACTGTGCATCACAATTGGAACTAGCCACATTTCAAGTGTTCAAGAGCCACATGGGGCTGGTGGCTACCATATTTGACACACTTTAATGGGTTAATTTTATTAATGTAGAATATTCTAATATAGAGAGAATTATATCAATAAGGAAATGTCTAACAACCTAATAAAAAAGGGCAAAGCATTATTAATTCACTAAAGTTGAGAGAATTTCAAGTTAAATTATCAGAAAATATTACTTCACATCAGATTGACAATGATCAACACATTCTATAACATGCTGAGTCCATGAGGAAGGGGAGAGTGAGTCGTTTCACACACTGATGGTTAAAGTATAAATTCGTACAATCTTAGTTGAGGGAAATTTGTCAATATCTATCAAAATGACAAATGCACATACCTTTGACCTAGCAATTCCAATTTGAGGAATGTTTCCTACAGATGTATTTGCAAATGTGTGAAATGATTTATGTACCAATGACCTGTTAGGCTATTGGTTATACATGTAAAAATCTGAAACTGCCTAAACGTTATCAATAGGGAACAGGTTAAATAAATTATGAAACATTACACAATGAAGTGCCGTGTGATAAAAACTAATAAGAAAATATATTATGTAATAATGTAGAAGCCTATTTAAGCTCTATTGTTATGTGGATAAAAAGACAAGGCACAGATAAGTATAAATAGCGTGGTCCCAACTGTGTAAAAAAGTACATGTACATGTATGATATACACATGTACAGACATATAAAACATATCTGGAAATATCCATATATAATTAGTAATTCAGGTCGCCTCCTGTGAGGAGAACTGGTTGTCTCAGTGACAGAGATAAGAGGGAGAGTTACTCTTTAGTGTATATCCTTTTGTGCCATCCAAGTTTAGTACCCCAAATATGTATGACCTATTCAAAATTAAATAAAATATTTAAATTAGTTTTTGAGGGCATTGAAACAAGAACAACCATGGAGAAAATTTTATTCAATTTTTGATATATATTGCATTTTCTTCATTTCTGCTTAATATTTCTCAACATAGCTGTTGACATAGGTACTGTCGCTTTCTAAATGAAGACACCAATATGAAGAACATGGGCTTGCTATCTAAGAATTTCATTTTTGGCTCCAGCTTTCTTGAGAGTCAGGAGCACTAATTAAATGGTTTTGCTTAGTTCTTTCTTTCTGACCTACTCTGTTTAGTGGAACCAAATGGGAGGTATTTCCAAATCATAATCTCTTTCACCAATTGCTCTCTTAACTTGATTGTACCTTCCTGGGTGGAGAAGCATCAGTTGGGTTTCTATTGAAATCAACAAGTGCCCAGTTCCTCAGAGGCCAGCCACTCTGGATTAAACTGCATCAGGCCTGTTCCCAGAAAACTAAACTAATGGGCTTGTGCCTTTTTTTTTTTTTTTTTTTTTTTTTTTAGTGTATAGAGGCTCCCTTGTTCATTTTGCCTTGTCTCTCTCCTGAAATCCTGGCTGGTTCCAAGTCCTGACTACCCCCATGAGGAGAATCACAGCCCACCTTTAGTGGCACTGATCCAAGCGGGCCTTCCTTGCCCACCTCCAGACAACTAAGGCATTGGCAACACAGCATCTGGCACAGATTCTCTGCAGGCAAGATTATTATACCAATTGAAAATGGGGTTACAATGGCCAATTGGAGTTTGAGGCATTTAAAAGGTAATAATAAATCTATTGGCAATTGAATAGTCATTAATAACACTACCATGGAAACAGATTGACATAGATTTCTCAGATTCTCATGAATTCAACTTTGAACTCCCTAACTTGGTGTAAACAAAATGATGTTGTGGTTTGTGGTGGTACAAGGGCGCGCTGAGGTCTCAATGTTGGATCAGAGTTTTCCAGAATCTACATATATGCTCCTTGGAAGGTAATTTAAAATCATGTAAAATCTCAACCAACAGTGCAGTGCAAGGTGCTGAGGGCTCCCTGTGCACCCCGTGAAAATGGCCAAGGCATTGAACGAAAGGGATTAGGTATTTCCATGCCAACCAGTGGAGGTCAGTGTTGAGTCGTCAATCTCTTGCCTTAACTGGATGCATTATGTTGCCACAGTAGACCGGTCTCTGCTCAGAAAAGGGATACTCAAAAATGAAAATGTGGGGCTGATGACACTTCGAAGTATGAACAACAGCTCCGTGCTGCTAAAGAATGGTCACCTGGAATAGCTGAAAACATCTGAAGCGACCTCAGGAAGGGTTGCTGCACTGGGAGCAGGTGGATGGAGGGGTGACGGTGTAGTTATGCAGCTTCAGCTACCGAGAGCTCACTTTGCCTTTCAAACCGACTCCCCTCCCAAATTCCTCTCCACTGAGAGGTACTGGGATCCAAGATGAGCATGTTGGTCTCTTTATTAGCTAAGCGAGTTTTGAAAAAGCAAGGAGAGGACAGCTAAAGTTGCTTCCCAAGAGTAAAGGGACCTTCTTGTAGACAACAACTTTTTCTGTAGAGTCACAATCCTCATTTCTATGAAATGTGAAAAGCCTCTTCAAACATTCATTCCAAATTGAGAGTCAGCCCCACTGCTGGCTTGCTAGTGGTCACTCTCAGAGTGGGCCTTCCTTATTAATCTCTAGATACTGTCCACATGGGGAAACATAAAGTGTGAGGGAAGAGCCTAGCACTGTATGCTGCAAAACTAACCACTAAAACACCAGGAAAACATAAGGAGACAGAAAAGTCCAAGAGGCCATTGAAATCTCTGTACTTTCTTCACCTCGCCTCTCTCTTCTCCCTAAGGGCTGCAAGCTTCCTCTCCATAATTCGAGGATTTAGGGTATAAAGCACCAAGCAGAGTATTTGTCCAAAGCAAATATTTAAGCTCCTGGACATTCATTCAGCACGATTATTTTGGTCTTCATCATGATTAACGTGATTTGGCTGGAGGGGAGGATGGGCAGAAGTTTTAATGTGCGGGAAAACCCCTGAGGTTCTATTTTTAGATGCTTATGTTCTTCCTCAAAGGGCAGCCTAGGAGGAGTGAAGGCAGCTCTGTTTGTTTAATGCCAGGGGGTATAGGTAGCAATTAGCAACTTAAAATTATCCTCAGTGAGGAGGCCCCTTCATTCCTCAGGGTGTGGTTCCTGTTCAAAGCTCAGATATACAAAGTGTATTTTTTGAAACTGAAGGGGAAGGGGTGCTTTCCCACTTTCTGAATTTGGTATTCTGTTTTACATTTTGTCGGTATTTTTGAATATTTTAAATCTATTTTTTACACTCAGTCAACCGGGCTGAGCATTAGCCATAGATAGGACTCTTCTGATACAAGTACTATGTGCTTTAACTTCCAGATGCCACCTCTGTCCTTTTCATACCATGAGCTTTTATTCTCTTTTGCCCTTTCTTACACTACTTTCTATTTGTCACACTCCTTTCTTTGTGCTTTCTTAATCTGCCACCCTCAGCAGAGGCATCGTACCCAAATGCTGAAATTCTATTTATTCTGCAAACTTAGTTCAAATGTCATCTCCTGCATGAAGCCTTCAATGCCCCTTGCCAATCTTTCTTCACAGGCAAAATTAATCATTCCCTTCTCCATACCCCCAGAGTTCTGTGTACAGTTTGATAGTGTCTACACACATATATGTGGACATCCAGTAGTTATGCAGCAAATCTTCAGCAACGCAGGACAGATAATCTAAAACTTCTACTGTTGCTATTGAGAGAATGAAGACAATGCAATACAGTTAGCAATCACAGAGTAAGACTCCAACATAAGCAGAGGAAAGAGAAGTATCTAAATAGAAAGTTGTAATTGCTGCCCACAAACAAGAGGGTCCTAATATAATACCACTCCCTTCCATAATAGTGAAGAGAGGAAAAGATATTTTGTAGCAGTCGTCTTGTAGAGTCCATTTTAAGGCAGCCCCACTAAGTTTCTGCATGTGCCCGAGACCTGCTACTACAGTAGCAACTAGGAATGGAAACTGCTGGTGCTACAGAAATGCTGTTA
Organism: Homo sapiens; assembly: GCF_000001405.40. NCBI lineage: Eukaryota > Metazoa > Chordata > Mammalia > Primates > Hominidae > Homo > Homo sapiens. The sequence continues at coordinate 50,799,566 of NC_000013.11, read as the reverse complement.
TTAAAGGATCTAGAGTTTAGAATCTAAACTACAATGTCAAAGCTTTTTACAATTGCAGAGACGCACAATTGTCTGTATAAAAATCACTTTGCTACAAGGCAGTTAGTTACTAATCTGACCAACCGGCTGGAGTGAAGGTGAGACATGGACCAAAGTGGAATAGAGAACAGGATCAGCAAATAGCACAAACCCGTGAAATGCAATAGAATACAAGAAATCCACATAGGAACAAGGCAAGGGTGTTTTACACGGCCATTTCTGCTGAGGATTGTATCAATGCATTAATGAAGAAGGGCTTGCAGTGAGTCCAGATTGTGATTATCTCTGTGTTATTTGAAGGTTGTAATATGCATATATGTGTGCATGTGTGTAGGAGGATAAAACTGTTACTTCTTCACCAGTCCACTGCCCTACCCCAACCAAGGCAAAGCTCATTGTTTGTGGTTAGCTGACTCAGGGAGAGGATGTATTAATCAAAAGCAGAGAATAGGGACCCTGTTCTGGCTTTTGAGGTTTCAAAAACATAACCCAGGGAAAGGCAGGGAAAATTCGGAGCAAAGATCCTCACTTCCAGGAGAAAGATAAAGCTTCTCCAGCTTGGGTGAAAGAGGAGAGTTGGAGGAGAAGCAAGAAGCCCTGGACAGTGGCATGCCTTTTCTGCAGGTGGAGTGAGGAGGGAAGGAGGCCCACACAGGTGAGTGGGTCCCAAGAGCTAGGGGGAACCAGGGTTCCAGAATACAGAAGGCTCCAGGAGCAATGGCTGTGTGCACTAGTGCTTTGACAGTCTCCTCGAGGTTCCAGCACTCTGATACAGGGAGTGACCAGCGGAATTGTCCTGCTTATCATTTCTAGAGTGGCCTGGAGGTTGACATGAGACCCGGACAGCCTCAGAGAGTTTCTCTTGCCTCACTGCATGTTGGGAGCAGCCAAATAGCTTGCATGAGCTCAAGAACAGCCCAAATATAGTACAAAGAGTCCCCAGGCTGGACAAGGCCCTGCACACATGATTTAAGGATTGTGGGTGGAGACCCAGAGAGATGGAACAATGGGAGCTGGCATCATCAGGTGAGAAAGGACTGAAGGCATTGGACTCCTAGCCCTGTCCCCATGCCACCTTGAACGTCTATGGCATCACAAATTGCCTAGGTGTCAGTGTATGTCCCACTGGACAAAGGGAACTTAACGTAAAAATTAAAGTAAATAACCAAAAATATTAAAAGTTTAATTTTTTGCACAACTGAGTTTGCAGTCAGGTTTGTGACTGCGCCACCCATATTGTGTTGTACACATATATGTGCTATTTATTTTGAATGAGTTGTAAATATACATTTCATTTCATGTGGGTTAGGTCACTTTCAATGACTTCCTTAGTTATCATATTATGAATATTAATGAGTGGTTGCAGAGCCAGGTAGAGTGAATAGACAACTGCCATCAAGGTGTCCAAAATGGCATACCACCTGCAGAATGACATGTGAACCAGGCCTATTTGGTGGTGCCACCTATTACAATGGCATTCTGAAATCTGCTCTTCTGTACAATTGCTTAATTCTTCATCTACCCATCTGTTAGACTGTGAACTTCTTAGTTAATATGTTTCCCTAAGCCAAAACAGTGTGACCCAGAAGAGGGGCTAAATCAACTTTTGCTAAATGAAGAATGTTCCTAACAATAGGGGACAATAGTACGTTCTTACAATTTCTCTGTGGCCCCCATTAAATTCTGGCAGATTTGGGAGCACAGAATCTGAGCTCTATACTTAAGTGAATGAACAAATAATAATTTTTAGGCAAGATAAAATATGTGACACCAAAGGGATATTCAGTGTACTCCGCATTTTGCAAACATAAGTGAATCTGCATCTCTGTCCATTTTCCTTAGTTATATGCCTAAAGATCTAAGCAGGAAAACACCCTTAATCTTTTCATATACTTTCCTGCCATGAGAATAAACAATTGCCATTGAGTTCAAGACCTACCAAAACACAAGAATGCTTTCAAACATTACAATGAAGAAACTAACATCTACTCTTTTTCCATTTCCTAGTCCTACTTAAAAAATGTTTTTGATTCTTCTTTAAAATGTAAGGGCTTGTAAAGAAAAAACACTTCTTGTACGTGCTGCTTGGTGATTGAAGCTTTAAAGTGCAATAGAAGGCTCCCGTGTCTGGAACCCTTATTATATTAGCACGTCCCAGAAAAAGATTAGATTTCTCTCAAGATTGACTTTGGCTGAGTTTCCTCCCTTATGTCGTACTCCCTCAGTGTCTGAGCTTCCTGCCTTGGACTCCAGGCTGTGATTCTTACCACTGGGCCCCAGTTTCCTGGAGGATGAATCCCAGCACGCTTTTTCATGCCAACTACTTCCCTTGGGTTGAATCCAGGTTCTAGACCTACTCTCTGCACTCACGTTCCTACCCTATTTGTCCCAGAACAACCAACTCCATCCAATGTACTCCACGTTCGGATCTTACATCCTCTCAAATCTGATCATGCATCAAGTCTGTTTCAAAACCTGTGATACATCTTCATTTTCAATTGCAGAATTTTCCTTCTGCTTGTCTATAGCACATTTTATTCAATGTATTAGTTAGAGTGTGTTAACTGCATTAACAAACAACCCCACATTTGTAGTGGCTTAACACAAAACATTCTACTTCTTGCTCACAACACAGTTCAGTGCAGGTCAGATGGGGTGTTGGGATCCACTCCAAGTGGTCTCTCTCAGGGATGCGTTTTCCTTCTATCTGATGCCTCTGCTCTTATTAGGGTCTTCATAAACCTCACTGTTCAGTCAGAGGGTGGTGGAAGAGCAAGGACTGGACATAAGAGGTTTTCATAAGCAGGCCTGGAAGTAGCACACCTCACTTCCTTTCACATTCCATTGGCCAGAGCTCAGTCACATGACTGAGTGGGAGTGGAGTCACATGACCACTTCTAATTGGACTATAGCAGTTCCCACTTATACCTGGTTTCAGTTTCTGAGTTTTTTGTTAACTGTGGCCAACTGCAATTCAAAAAGATTAAATGGAAAATTGCAGAAATGAACAATTCATAAATTTTAAATTGCATGCCATTCTGGTAGCATGATGAAATCTAACACCATCCTGCCCAGGCCCACCCCAAGACGTTCATCCTCCCTTGGCCTAGCAGATTTGCACTATAGATGCTCCTCACCTGTGAGTCACTTGGAGGCCTTCTTGGTAATCATATTGACTGTTGTGGGATCACAGTGCTTGTGTTCAAATAACCCTTATTTTACTTAATAATGGCCCCAAAGCATAAGACTAGTGATGCTGGCATATTGTTATAATAGTTCCATTTTATTATTAGTTATTATTAATCTGTTACTGTGCCTGATTTATAAGTTAAACTTTATCATAGGTATGTAAGTATAGGAAAAAATATAAAATATATAGAGTTCAGTACTCTAAGGGTTTCAGGCATCCACTGGTGGTCTTGGAACATAGCTCCCTCAGATAAGGGGGGAATATTATATATATCCTGGTGGTATGCTGAGAAAAAAGGGAAAACAGGTACTGGTGAGCAATGGTAAACTGAGTCACAATTGTATAACTTTTGCTATGAAAAGTACGTAGTTCCTAAAACTTTTAGGCCAAAAGTGTCTACTGATGCATAAGAAAAATCATACTCTGACTCAATTGCCCTAACATATTTGCAGTCCCATTTTTTAAACCACAAGGATAGAAAAATGAGTGGGTAGAGATCATTAATATTAATCATACTAATTATCTTTAATTTCCAGTTTATGTACCTAATCTCAATTCTGCAGTTTGCTATAAAAATAATCGCAGTGTGAGTTAACATTTTAGCTTGCTGATAAAAATAATATTAAATAACGTTTACTGTTAATTGATAAATTTAATAGAAACACAAATATGTGTAACATACATATATTATTGAATGGTTCAAGGTAGAGAATTTTAATATTTTAACAATCTGAAGTACAGTTTAAATTTAGAAATATTGAAGAAAAACAGGATAAATGTCATACTCCATATTGTGGCATACAATGTCCTTCCCAATCTAACCTCAGCCTACCTTTTTCACATCATCTCCACTGCTCTCTCAGGGAACAGAACTTGCTGGAATGAAGAGAACCAAGGTCAGGGGCTACATTTCTACTGTCTTCCCCTTTATCATCAACTGCATTTGTTGCCTGAGAGAGTAGGTGAGATACTGGACCACTCTGGAGACGTGCATGGACATGAGTTCAAGGTGAATCTGCTTCTGTCCTTTTGCTATAATCCCTGATCTCACAGGTAAAGTTGGGGAGGAGGCCACTGGAGCCCAAGAGGATCTGTTTGGCTGAAAAAAATATATGACCCCTGACCAGAGGCTACTTTTCCAGGGTTGGCCCCTTCTCTATGAAAGCACTTATAGATCTCCTATAGATAATATGAGCTAGTATACCTCTAGCTTTTGGTTAATCATGGTAATTCCCAAAACAAGCCAAGGATTTCACACCTTGGGGCCATTTTGTGTGTTTTTGAAGCCAACCCCATCAGTAATAGAATATTTAATTCTTAATTAGATGGAGATCACATGTCAGCCTAGCCGTCACCAAGTAATTTTGTTGTAATAATATATAATTATATGTATTTATATAATACATAATATATAATCACATAATTTTATTATTTTATCATGTATGATAACTACATACTTAATTTCCAACCTAGCCAGCCAGCTTCCAGATGTGGACCTTTAATCTCATGTATAAAAGTCATTTGAAGTAAATCTGGGTATAAATCCTGTATTTAACATTGATTGTGAACTTCAGCAAATTAATCATTTGAGCCTCAGTTAAAAGGAACTGCTCAATAATGCCTACATCAAGGGTTATTGTGAAGTTGGATGAGAACATGTAAAGGACACCTGCTCTTCTCTTTTGAGAACAAATCTACTACAACTACCAATGTCTTCCAACTCACAGCACAAGTACAAGTAGCAAGTCAGCCATGATTCTCATATTAAAAAACTTAAACATTTTCACCAGATGCTATTGGCAGCCTGGCAACCTGAAGTAGTAAGTGGAACACAGGAATAGGAGTCAGAAGCCCTGAATTTTATGTCCAATTTGGCTCCAATTCAACTGTGTGGCTTTGGGCAAGTTAATTTTTCAGCTTCCCCTTTTGTAAAATGGGAGGACATAATCCTGCTCTGATGACCTGGACTTGAATGTCACAATGATTGTAATGCCATCATTATTGTGACCAAACACTCCATGTTAAAAAAAAAAAAAGTCTTTTTACTCAACTTTTTTAAAAATGTAAACTCTTACGACAAGGGCCTGGGGTGTGTAACACATTCCCTCAACAAATATCTATTGACCTGTGCTTGGCTGGGCATCGTTGAGCTAGGATACAGTGGTGAATACAAAGGGAAAGTCAAAGTGTAAACAATAAGCAAGTAAATAAATCAACTAGATGATTTCAAATACTTACAAGTTGTTTAAAAACTAAACCATGTCTATCCATATGCAGAAGAATAAAACTGCACATCTACCTACCACCATATACAAAAATTAACTCAAGATGGATTAAAAACTTAAACGTAAGACCTCAACCTCTAAAAATCCTAGAAGAAACCTAGGAAATATGCTTCTCCATATCAGCCTTGGCAAAGAATTTATAACTAAGTCCTCAAAGGCAATTGCAATAAAACTAGAAATTGACAAATGGGTCCAAATTAAACTAAAGAGCTTCTGCACAGCAAGAGAAACTATCAAAGAAGTAAACAGACACCCTACAGAATGGGAGAAAATACTCACTAACTAAGCATCTGGCAAAGGCCTATTATCCAGAATCTATAAGGAACTTAAATAAGTCAATGAGCAAAAAACAAACAATCCCATTAAAAAGTGGGCAAAGCACATGAACAGACACTTCTCAAAAGAAGACCTACAAGCAGCCAGCAAACGTAAGAAAAAATGGTCATCATCACTAATCATCAGAGAAGTGCAAATTAAAACTGTAATGAGATATTTCATACCAGTCAGAATCACTTTTGTTAAAAAGTCAAAAAATAGCAGATGTTAGTGAGGCTGCAGAGAAAAGGGAACCCTAATACACTGTTGGTCAGAATGTAAATTAGTTCGGCCACTGTGGAGAGCAGTTTGGAGATTTCTCAAAGAACTGAGAGTTGAACTATCATTTGACCCAGCAATCTCACTACTGGGTATCTACCCAAAGGAAAATATGTATGTTCACTGCAGCACTATTCACAATAGCAATGGTATGGAATCAACCCAGTTGCTCATCAATAGTGAACTGAATTTTTAAAATGTGGTACATATACGCCATGGAATACTACACAGTCATTAAAAAAAAGAATGACATCATGTCCTTTGCAGCAACACGGGTGCATCTGGAAATCATTATCCTAAATGAATTAATGTGGAAGCAAAAAACCAAATATGGCATGTTCTCACTTGTAAGCGGAAGCTAAACATTGGGTACATATGGACACAAAAAACAGGAACAATAGATACTGGGAACTACTAGAAATGGGAAGAAGGGATTCAGGGAAGGGTTGAAAAAAACTACCTGTGGGGTATTATATTCAGTACTTGGATGATGAATTCATTCATATTCCAAACCTCGGCATCACACAATATAATTTGTAACGAAACTGTGCATGTACACCCTAATTCTAAAATTAAAGTTGGAAAAAAAAAAAAAGAGGAGCAAAGAATGCAAGAAAACCCAAAAACCAGAAGACAAACTAATCTATGTGAAGAGAGTAAGTAGGGAGGAAAGGGCTGGCTTAAATTGATTGGGTAAGGGAGGCCTTTCTGAGGAGGTGATATTTGAGTGCGGACCCAAAGAACATATTCAGTTCTTGCACACCTTATCAACAGTGGAATGACGTAAAAAACAGTGCGCACACCATTAACAAGTGTGAGTTAAATTTGATTGATTAAGTTCAGTTCCCGGAAGTGAATAGAGAAGTGAATAGAGAAGAAGAGATAGTAGAAGGAAAAACTAGGCCAAGAAAAATAAGACACTCAGTTAGGACTGCTGTCTCTTTCCAATCTGTCTTCCCCCAGCATACTCCTATCTGTGTGGAGTCGTGCTGGGGTGCTGGACATTTTAGGGAATAGCTAAAGGGAAGTTGCATTGGGGATTCATTTTGTTTGGGTTTATGAGGTATGTTTATGAGACTCACAGGCACTTCTCTGTAGTTATTGAGCTAATATATTTCCTATGTAAAAATATCTTCCAGGATGGAATGTTGGACAAAAGTAATGGGTAGATTCTTGAATTATTTGATAATTCAATTAAAGAGAAGACTAAATCACATGAGCCATTGCAAAGATATTCCTACTGATTTGACACAAAATACTGGCATCGATGAAGAAAACAGAAAACTCATGTTCACCATTACAATAGGATATATAATACACTGGTTCTGAGTGTTATCAATTTAAAGAATATTTAGAAGTTAATATATAAGAAAACTTGAAAAGTCCTTAAATCCTAGAGCTCATGTATGAAAGAAACTTGATAGAGTTTTCCCCAGATTTGACAACAGTCCTAAAAAAATGTAAGAGATTGCCAACAAGAAGTTGTGAAGTGGTAAGTTTTCAGCTTGGAAGGAAAGACTGAAGCTCAATTCTATTTCTTTGTGTAAAAAAATGCTGTTACCGTATCACTGTCATAGGAAAAGGTGATCAAAGAGCAGCCAAGAAAATGTGGAAAACATGTAAAGGCGTCAGGCTCTTAACTAATAAAAATACATTTCTGGATTTTGTGATTTTTTTTGGTTTTTGTCAGATCTTTAAAATTGTCATTTGCTGTGGTTTCTTTTCTCATTTTAAATAGATGTTTACATTCAGGCCAATTTGTATTCATAATTTTGGGAGGATTTTTCCTTAAAGATTGAGTCCTTCACTTGGGTAATTTTTAGGTTCCACAAAACTTGGCTCTGACCCTGCAAGCTGGCCTGGTGGAGAGGTGAGGGGAGATGGGGATGTTTCCAGAGTGATGTCCTAGGTAAGGGGAGATTCTGGATGTTCCTAGAGTGGCCCAGAACACGTACACACTGTCACCAACACATACACATGTGTCCAGTCTACCCTGTTCCGACTGCTCCCCAGACCCAGAAGGCCACCAAGGTGGCTTTTCTCACCCACCTGCAGCTGCTGAAGGCCCAAGTCTCACCACCCACATCCCTGAACCTCACATGGTCACCTCCTGTCAGGGGCATGAAGCGGGTGGGAGAGCACTGGGCAGGTGTTGGGTGTGTGAGCAGGAGAAAGCATAGGTGCCCCTGCATGTGTACAACCCTGCCTGACCCTGCACATTGCTCAGAGAAGAGCCCAGCCAAGCCCAGGGGACACATCTATGAAGCAATGGTTTCTCCTGGAACCTGATGGTATTCATAGGTTTCTTTAATGAGTGTGATTAACAGGCCCACAGGTTGGATGCATGATGGTGAATTTTGGCACTGGAACCCCAGGGCCAAAGCCCCTGGACTCTTCCTTTGTGTCCTCCCTCCCTCCCTCGCCCACTCGGTCTTCTTACAAGCCACCGTCCAGAATCACCTCATTCTGCTCTGAGAGAAGGTAGCCGTGTCCCCTTCCCTGCCACCTTTTCTGCCTTCTTTGGGTATAGCCGAAGTGAGCTTATTCAGCTTGGGCAATAACATGCTAAACTTTTTTTGAGGAAGGAACACTTTTTTCTAAAGAGCACAAAGCCTCAGCCCTGGTTGTTCTTCGGGAATGCACCAGGACCTCGAGAGAGCATCCGTGGCTAATCTCTACAGGAAGCCTGACTGGCTTCTATTGTCTCACCTGGAAAATGGAGTTATTGACAGTTTATACAGCATTGGGTTGAACAGAGTCCTCTTCCTACCCCAGCCAGCACGTTGTCCGCCCACCCCACACCCCTCGCATCCCACAGACTAACCATCCCAGCTTGGCTGTTCCAAACTTTCCCCAGACATGCCTCCTTTCCACCAGTGTGTGTGAGAGACCGAGGATTCCTCAGAGCTGTCTCTGAACAAGAATGATGGTCAGACTCCATGGAGAATGCCTCAAAGATAACATGAAAAAGCAGCGGGGGTCTCCTTAAACGGAGAGTGTTACTTTGGTTCACAGGATATCCTTGCGGGCCTGAGAGGGCACCTCAAAGTCCACATCGTGTCATGAAAAAAATATAAAAGGATTTGGGAGAAGGAAAACAAACTTCTCTCACACACAACTCCCTCCCCCTTCAGATCTTTTTATTTTTATTTTTATTTTTAACAAAAGAAAGAGATATTGATAGTAATGGACATACAAATAATCATGTGACAAGATGGCTCTGGGAGGCCGGGTGTGGTGGCTCACGCCTGTAATCTCAACATTTTGGGAGGCCGAGGAGGGTGGATCACTTGAGGCCAGGAGTTCGATACCAGCCTGACCAACATAGTGAAATCCCATCTCTACTAAAAATACAAAAATTAGCTGGCCATGGTGCCACGTGCCTGTAATCCCAGCTACTTGGGAGGCTGAGGCAGGAGAATCACTTGAACCTGGGAGGCGGAGGTTGCAGTGAGCGCCACTGCACTCCAGCCTGGGCAACAGAGCGAGACTCTGTCCCAAAAAAAAAAAAAAGAAAGAAAGAAAGAAAGAAAGAAAGAGAAAAAAGGTGGCTCTGGGAAACAAAGACTTGTGGAAAGACTTGCTGTTTAGTTTCAGTTTACCTGATCAGACCTTAACATTAAGAAAAATTCTATGCAGACATGCAGACATGTTTTGAAGTGGGCAGTAATTCACCTCACTGGGTTTTAGCTTCCTCAGATGCTATGAAAAGTTAGAACAAAACGATTTCCAGGGTCCGTTATAGGGCTAACATTCTATAATTTCATAATGATGATGTATTCTGTTTAGGTAACATGTTATTCTATATTTTAAAGGTGACTTGCAATCAAGTAGGCATTGATTAAGCACTAACAGGCCATATAACTTAGAAAAGTACTATTCTGTAGAAAACAATTGTGTTCCTGAAAATGTGCACTAAATATATGTGTGTGTATACATATATACATATTTAAATAAATCAACTTCTATTTCATACACACCATGAGTTTCCTGCTCTCAAGAATCTTGTGATGAAGATTTTATGGGGCTTAGTTATCTAGTATGTCAAGTTCCATTTTCTTAAAGAAAAAGAAACATTCACACTGAATGTTTGCATTGTGTAGGTCTCATCATCTGGAGAATGGCATTGAGGCACTGAGAGGTTACATGGGTTGTTCAGGAGCACGGGCAGCAGCAGAACCAACATAAGAACTCGGGAACTTAGGCCAACACTCTGACCCCAGTGTCCCACGCGTCCTTTCCTGGTTGCAACTGGAGAATTAACATGCTAACCTGCACGTATGCTGTCCACACTCCGCACACACCGAGCTCCGAAACACTGAGCACCCTCTAGCAATGTTTCATGCAGAAAACAGACAACCTTCTGGATGCTGTTGTTGTGTTGTGACGAGGCTCTGTTTGGCAATACGACGATGCTCCAGATGTATGTTTTCCAAAATTGAAGCCATTATTTACAGCCATACAGAGGGAAAATAAACTTCACTCGGCTGCGGACTTCCTAGAAGCTGCTCTTTCCTCGATATAACCCAGGCTCCCGCTCTGGGTTTACAGCTGAAAATAAAATGCAGTTGGTGTGGTGGCTACTTTCACAGTCCCAGGGGTGTGAGGGTGAAAGGGTGTCCGTGAGGATGCCAGCTTTTGCTCCCCGCTCCCAAACATCACTCACTGTTATGATGAAGTCTTAACCTAGCATCTCTCATCATTTCTGTGGGAGGGATTTTCCTATGAATCACTTCCACATTTGAACATCCCAGGCGAGGGCCCTTGATGCTATTTTCCTCTCAGGAAATATTTATTCCCTTGTAATATTTTCATTTCTTGGCTCCTTGAAGAGTGATAGAGTCTCACTCTGCTTGTCACTCTAGGACACAGAGGACAGAGTGGTTGCTCTGTGTTCTTTCTGAAGCCCTGGAGTTGGAGATGTAGGCAGCCATTGATGGAGGCTCAGTATTTAGAGTGTCCTCGACAATGAGGTTCTTTCTGCTAAGTGCCAGGAATTGTTCTTTTGACTTCAACCTTTTCTTTCACAGCCTTGGTATTATTCGTCAGTGTTTTCACACACACGCACAGGAGGGTCTGGGGGAATGTGTTGGGAGATGTCACAGGCCAGCCCAGAACTGGTGCCCACATTTCCACCCCCTCTCTAAGAGGAGGCTGAGGAATGTGGTCCAGCCATGAGCCCTGAGAGGTGAGGAGATTGGTTTGCTGGGTGTCTAGCCAGGCTCCAACCAGGATAAGTGTTGGAATAAGGCAAGAGAGTTGGTTAAGAGAATACTTACAAGGCTGGGGACAGAGCCTGCACACAGCTAGAGACTGAGAAATGCGAGGTCCGGTGGAACTCAGCCCCTGCCCTCAGGAGTCACAGTTGAGAGATAGAGATGCTATCAGATTATCTAACTGTGGGAGAATCCTATGGTGCTGGGGAAACGCCTGCTGTGCCACGAACAGAGCTGTGAGAGTGGAAAGGAGGGAAATGTAGGCTACTGGCTTGGGCTTAGGGGAGGTTTCACAGCAGAGGATCCATCAGAGTGAGTCAGAGAGGAGTGAATATGGGTTTGTGAAGAGGAGACGTGGACAATGGGTATGAGCAGAGGGAAGGCGCTGAGCTGGGTGGTCCAACATGAGTGGAGAGTGAGGCCACAGAGTCCATCGGGGAGATGGGGGTGGAACTGGTCTGTGGGGATAGATGGCAGGGAGTCTTGGGTGCTGCTATGTAGGTAGTAGGTCATTGTTAAAGGTGGGGGGGAGGGCAGGGGAATGACATGATTGGATCCATGTTTTAGGCAGTAGGTCTGGTGACCAGTGGAGAATGAATGGAAAGTAGGAACAGCAGGGGGCAGGGAGCTCAGTGAGGAAGCTGTTTCCACACCTGGGGCAAGAGGTGTCAGCAAAGATGCAAGGATGGCAAGTGGGAGGTGGTTCAGGTGACTTCTGCAGGGATTTGATATGGCCAGTGAGGGGTGCCGCCCTTTGATTTGCTCCATCTTTGCTATCTCCCTGCCCCCAACACATGCTGGTGTTCCATTTCCCTTTGAGAGTCATGGGATATGAAACCCCAAATGCTACTTTAAATGTTAGTAATTACAACAGAGAATGCAGACAATGTTATTCATTTCTCTTCTGATTTAACAGTGGGAGGTCCCTGTTGATTGGAGAAGTAATGCTAACAGTAACATTTCTGAGCTTTGTGTTTTAAATCCCCTCCTGGGCATTATTAAGCAGGCCTGACCTCACCAGGAAAACTCATAGTCAGTACAGCATTTACTAAGTAAACGCCAGGCACTGTTTTAAGGACTTTTTGTTATGTTAACCCATTTTATCCTCATAATAAGGAAGGTGATGCCAGAAAAATTATCCAAAACTTGAAACGAAGGCTAAAAGGTGAGAGACATGTTCTTTCAATATCATAGGAGAGAAAAGGCCACTCAAGGATTTTCTTGAATAATGTCCTTGATTTACCTCATCACTCAACTTTGATTAAAGTTCCAAGGCTTAAGGAAGTCACTTGTTAATTTGAAGACTTTGGTCCAGCAGATTTACAAATAATTTATCATCAGGGAAACCGAGAACCTCAGTGATTTATGGCATGTTGGACATTACCCAGATTATATCTAACCTGGCAATCTTATCCTAATATTTCTCTGTTAAATTTTCTGTAAATATCCTTACTCCTCAGATGCCCTTTGAGGGTCATAACATTCATTTTTAACTCACACAAAGAGTTAAAAAATAAAGGATTTTATGTTTTCTAAAAATTCCATTTTGAAAATTATCATTTGCACAGAGAAATTATGGGGTTTGCCCAAGGACAGAGAGATTCAGTTGGTAAAGCTGGGATTCTCACTCAGGAAGTCTGGTTCCAGGGAAGTCCTGTATTTACCCACCATGTATTAGTGAGCAATTTTCTCCATTCTTAACTGTTCTGGATTTCTCTTCCTGCTGAATCCTACGAGTATTTATTTCATTTAACAAATATGCACTGAGCTGCTACTATGTGGCAGGTTCTGGATTAACCTACATGGTAAATTGTATTAATGTTGTATAGTACACGTATACAAATTAGCTCTTATCTATGTGTTCAGGAACTAAAAAACAAAACAAAACAACCAAAAACCAGGCAAGGAAACTTCTGGGCAATTACATAATTTGCTGTGTCATTTCTTTAGAGTCTTGTGATTATCTATGAATATGGCATATGGTGAACCAAGTGTATTTGCCACACAGGTAGAGAGAGAAACCAGAATGGGTAAAAATCAGGCTCTTTGATGATGGGGTTCAGGCCCATGTAAAGTCCAAGAGTTAGGTATTTTCTAGAACCTTGAACCCATCAAAGTCTTATTAGTAAAACCACACAAGCAAAATGATGTCACACGAAAGTCTCCTTCTGCCAAATCTCTGCCACCATGATCTGCTTCAAAACGATGGCTGCCTGGAGTTTCTCCACCTAATTTTCATCTTAATGCTGGTCCTTTATGCTAGAGTCTGTTCAAGCAATTATGAGTAGTGGTTTCCTTCTATTCTGGCGGCCAGTATGTTCTGTCATTTTAAAGGCGTTGCTGCCTTTAGATAATGAGAGTATAGAATAAAGGGCCTGGAATATCCATGGCCACACCTGTATTTCTATCTCTCTGTTCCCTGAGAACATTTGGCAAGTGTTGGTGATAAATGCTCTATTCTTGGAGAAAACTGGTACTTCCCATGACGTTTTGAAGTGTTTATCTCCAAGTCATGAATGGCAACTTCAACTCCCAAGTCAGGAAATTCAGCTACAGCCCAGAGAAGAAGGAAGTGATGCCACAGGAGTGTTTCCCAGTTAGGTGGTTCAACATTGAGGAAGACAAAGCTTAATTTACCATTTAGCTTTGCAGCCTCTTAATCACCCAGTAGTTGGCCAAGTTGCCTTAAGTGATCTTTTTTTATAGCTGAGGATAAGGCTGTAAGGACTATTCAGCACTCAAATTTTCAGATTCCAATTTTCAATTTCCAATGGGTCATATTAACTCCAGGATCAACTACCATATTTGGCTTCTAATAGAGCAAAATTCTAGGTGAAAACTGTTCTGTACTCCCCAGGTACTCCTCTCAAAAACAAAATTTAAGAAAATTGTAGTGTTACACTGATTACTATGATTACTGTCACATCTTCTGATTTAATCTAAAATTGCTCTAAGATGTGAAATAATTGAAAGCTAGTGAATGCCTGGCCTCATTCCTGATTCCGGGTGCATCCATCTCTGTGTCTCACTTGTCCCAACCCCAGGTGCCCATTGAATATGGGTTTTCTCCAAATGATTTGATGTCACACCTGCGTAAGTTACTCCTCAGCTTAAGTCAGCAGGAAGGAACATTAACCCAGGCCATCTAGTAGATTATCCATTGGCAAACTCAGGCTTCACAGGACCAACAGTCATGGCACTTCCATAGGGCATGACGTAAGCTGAGGGGTTGTCTCTTCTCCTTATATAAGCAGCCCAAGTAAAAGCCCAATTATGTTAAATCTAGAGAAGAACAAGAAGTCCCCAGACTCTCTTCAGTAAGAAAAAACTAATTTGCACATCTGAAGACAGCTAGTTTCAGGTTGATAACTGACAGCTCTAGGGAAGAACAGTTCACTCAGAGCTGCAGGACAGGTTCCAATATGAATCGCTTACTTTTATAAAGCACTTAACTGTTCACACAGATGCAGGGAAGGAGATTGATCACTCCACTACAGATCAGAGAAAGAACCCAGATGGTCCGAGCAGCTTGTCTAAGGTCACCGCTAGGGAGAAGTGGCAGGTCAGGGATGGGAGTCCATGCTTTCAAATGCAGCGGCCATGCAATCTCTCTGTGAGTGTCTCCAGGACAGGTTGCCATTTGTGCCCATAGAAAATGCACTTGAACACTTCTCCTGAGTGTGACATGCTCTGTGGAGGGAAATGTCCATTATCTGGGGGCACAAACATCTTTCTTGGAGAATAATGTGATCGAAAATTCCCATTGCTTCTCCTCCCTTGAGATGGAAACAAGTTGGGGAGAGGTATGCAGTGAACAATTCAGAAGAACCAATAACCAAGCTAAGTTAAGGCAGATATGCAGATGGAATTCCAGTAGGTTTGATTTCCACATGAGATGCCCAGCTGCATTTTTCCATCACTTTTTATGGGCCTCTAAGGAGCTGTGAAAAATACCTGGTCTGTAGGGACCAATGTTCTGAAGTAAGCAGCTAGGAAAAAATCCTTCTTTAATATGTCTTGAAGTGAATTCATGATTGCACCAGAAATATATCTTAATACAACATGAGCACATCAATAACCCAAAAAGCAGAAGTGCTTCCAAAGCACTTCAAGTGGACGTTTGATTAACATCTCACAGCTCTAGACATTTGGAAACTCTCTGCATCCAGGTTGCACAGAAATCCATGTGCCTGGCAAAACACAGGGGGCGGGTCGCTGAACTGAAGCTAGAGCTTACGGCTTTGCAAGAGCAAGGGTTGGCAACCTCTTAAAAACAGGGAGTGGTAAGTCTGTGATCTTTGTTCTGGCAGAGCAGTCACAGCACAGGCCTAGAGGGCCTGGCCATATCTCTATATGTGTTCCTTTGGGCGTGGTATGGGCCAGCATGGGGAGAGCCTATGGCAGGGATCAGGGACTGATGGCTGGGGATGGGTGTGTAAAAAAGTGTCTGTTGCTGGAGTAAATTTCAGAGGACTCACCTCAGCTCACCAGTACGTCTCCAGCACTTTGTGTTGAATTTGTGAGCACCTATTTTCTTTATGTTTTACATTCCTGCTACCTGTTTGTGGCAGAGACGCTATTGGCCATCAATCCATCAGCTATAGCCTGTACTTTCTTTTGCTCACAGGACTTCACTGCAGTCACCCTCCTCTGAGAGGTTGTATCGGCTGGGTCCCTCCCCATACTAGGGAGGGAAGCTCCACTGGTCTAAGCTAATCATAGTGGTGTCATTCTAAGTGAATGAAACTACAGAATAATTATAACTTGGAGTGAGATGGTTTGGGGATCAACAAGGCTTCCAGTTGGCCAGAGGGTGGACTCTGTGTAAGATTATGTGTAAGATGACGTAACCTGAAAATATAGATTAGAATCAAGCTATTGGGGTACTTTGAATGATAGGCCAGGAAGTTTAGATTTTGTTCATGTCATTGTTTGGTTCAGATAGTTTATTTGGAAGGCCATCTCTGGGGGCACAAAAGGGAAGAAGTAGGGGAAGTGAGATAGGGAAGGGAGAAACCAATGAAACATTTGTTAAATGAGTGATTTGCTGCTGTGAGCAATGGGAGCTCAGCCCTGCTGGGCCCCCTGAGAAATGGAGAAACACACTTTAGAATCCATCTACCGGAGATAAGGAGACTGAGGAATTCAGCAAGTGATTCCCAACCCCTATTGGTTGAGGTTGCCCTCAGCAGTGTTGACTTTTCCCAACTTCTGGGTTATACCTTTTGTAAAACAAGCTCCCTTGATGCTGGAGAAAACTTTTAGGAAGAATAGAAAAGAGACACACGCCTTTGAAGTGGGAAACTGTCTTGGGAGCTCATGTTGTAGGTGAACGCAGGCTGAGGGGAGGTGGACCCAGGCACCAACAGCATCTGCTACATTCAGTAATTAATGGAAGACACAGAAAATGTTTGAATAGGTAAAGGACATGATTAGAAGTTATCCTGAAGAGTTTTTTTTTTTTTTTTCTGTAGACAGTGTATATGATGGGTGGGAATTCACATTTTTATTCAAAAGACAATTTTGAGTCCTGTGCAATATGCTAGGAATATGGTAAGGAATAAATCTTCTGACTTCAAGAAGCTCACTATATGGAAACTAGGGCTATTTTGTAGAAGATGAGGAGGCTGTGCTAATGGTCAAGTGTGAAATAATGAGGAAGCAAATTAAAGCCATGGCAAGGGAAGGCAGAAAGGATAAAATGGTTGGAGATAAAATTGCAGAGATCAAATGAAGAGGTCGCAATAGCTTCTTGGACAAGGAGGTTGAGAGTGAGGGAGAATTCATAGATGACTAAAGTTTTGGTTATGGCTATTTGAGAATATCACACTGCCAACAACAGAATCTTAGATGCTGAGAAAAGAGCTATATTGGAGGATGGCACAGAGGCTGGGAAAATGATTACCATGGCAAAGACACAACATATGCACATGTCTGATTTCCGTTAGCCATTTATTGGAAATGGCTTTTGTTTCAGGAACCATGCCAGTCACTGTACTAAAGTCTAGTTACAAAGACTAATGAAAAATGATTTTTATTCTCAAGGGACTTACAGACCCTTTGTGAGGGAGGTGGTTTTCTAGATATGTGAGGAGTCATGATCAGACCACTAACGGAGGGAAGAGAGTGTTAAGAAAGGCTTCTTGAAATATATGACATTTGAGCCAAGTTTTTTGGGGGTATGGGGGAAAGAGATAGATGAAATGCTTTTATTCTAGAGGGCAGCCACTATGCATATAAATAAAACCACAGTTTGAATACATATGGAGAAGGACATACTAAATGTTCAAAGATATTCATGGCTTACAGAGCCTAAAAGTGTAGTGGGCTCTTGGCATCAAATTTCAAGATTTTCTGACTTCTAACATAAAATCTTAAAATCAAAGCCATCTATTTTTTAATCTCACAAATATTTGCAAATAAAACAATTCAGTAGAATTTTTTTTTATTTGTTCTATTTCATCTAAGGCAAAATCTTGTCAAAATTATCACAACTTCCTAGTGTTCTGAGCTGAGATGCGAAGGACAGATAGGAGTCTTCCCGGCAAAGACAGGCGTGGTCTAGATCATGGTTGCTATTGATAATTTATGCCACAGATGATAAGGAGCCATAAAAAGGGCTCCAGGTAGGGGAGTGTCACCATCAAATGTGTGTTTTAGGAAGATCCACGAGGCAGTGATGTGGGGAACAAGGGACTGAGGCAGGAAGACCATTTGCAGATGCTCTAGAGCAGCCGTTTTCAAAGTGTCTAGGGATGTTGGCGGTGCTCAAGATCTTCCTGGAGGTCCAGGAGTTCAAAACTATTTTCACAGTTACTAAGATGGTATTTGCTTTTTCACTTTCATTCTCTTACTGGTATACAGTGGAGTTTTCCAGAGGCGAAGTGACATGTGATGACAGCATTTCTCTGATGGCTGGTCAAATGTGCTTCGCTATTTTTGTGTGTTTTAAACATTCCTTTCTACTTTCTAGTTAATTTCTAAAGTGGCCTATGTCCAATATGGTAAATATTGATTGGTACAACCCTCATGAACAAAAGCACTTTGAGATTCTCAACAATTACT
This sequence comes from Homo sapiens, assembly GCF_000001405.40. Taxonomy (NCBI): domain Eukaryota; kingdom Metazoa; phylum Chordata; class Mammalia; order Primates; family Hominidae; genus Homo; species Homo sapiens. The sequence goes on along the minus strand of NC_000013.11, from coordinate 50,781,177 downwards.
GAGTGTATAGAGGTTTTAGTACCAACAAGTCTGAGAACCACTGCTTTATAGATATTTACCAACTTGATTTAGAAAAATAGCCATTTAAGGAAGGCAGGCAGAAATTCTCCAGTTATTTGGGTAAGAAAATGCAGGCAGAAAATCAGAACATGTTTGATTGATTGCTTGAGCAAACCCAAGGATAGATGGACAGATGGATGGATTGGGAACTCATCTGAAGAAAGCCAGTGTTTGAGTGCTGGCTCTGGGAGGGAGGAATGGAAACCTATCTGGCAGAACAGGGGAAACGAGCGGAGACAGGAAGGCGAGATATCACACTTACTGACTCCCAGCCTGTTCTCTGCCTGGCCACAGACTCTGATTGCCCCTTCTGCATTTGCACACTCACAGATTCCATCTCTGTGAGATTGACCACAGGCCTTCTCCACCTCCCTCTGCCCTGTGCCGTACCTCGTTTCTGTGGGAACCCTTTTGGGAAAGGACCAATGATGACTTTACTTTTTGGACTGAGTTTATTTCACTTCAGCAACTATGTAGCCTGAGGATGGTATTCTCCCTCCACCCCAATTCCACATAAGGCAAATGACTGCATTCTCACAGAGGCAAAGAGCACATATATTTCTCCAGAAACGTAGTAATTGTTAAAGCTGGTTTTATGAGGGCTCCTTAGCTGTAATCTGATTCCCACATGATAATGTGTTGCAAATTACTAGTAAATGCTGTTTTCAGAAGTCTGCAAACTGATATTTGCTCTCAACAAATGAGTCGTTAGTAAAAAACAAAATGACCCTTCACATTCGTGAATGCCAATAAATCCAGGTTTTAAATCAAAAAGTCCTTGGTGAAATACATTTGGTGGACTCAATTTGCTACAACGCACAGAGCAGTAATCTGTGGCATGCAGAAACTGCTATCTAGGAATGATTCAGACAGAGGTGTTTTTACTCCTAGGGTGAACTTCTAGACCATACTATCCTGGAATGAGGGGGGCTGCAGCACTGCTCAGGGGCTCCACCATGGCTGTACTCGTAAGCCTACCACCTGAAGACCTTGATCCCTGATCCCCTCTGCCAGCTGTTCTTCCCAATTGACCACAGCCTTAAGCTTTTGCAGGGAAGAACTTGCTATTACTAACACAGAAACTCACAATCTCTTTTAAGATGATAACACATTAATCTCTGTTAAGCTGTTAACACATCTGTTAAGATGTGTTAACGGCTTAATAGGGCATTCTTCAAATGTGTTAGGTAGAGCTCTCAGTTCTGGGAGGTTAGAAAAAAAGTGTGTCATGATAAAATAATTTTTAAAAACTCTCTTTGACGAATCAGAACATATTAGCATTTTAAAGGCTCTGAAGTCCTTCAATAAAGACGCCCATTTAAATTACACTAATTTGATGAGGTGGCAGAGTCTATATGCCTGCTTCCGTTTTCTAAAAAGTTACATTTCCCAGGACTCCCCTGGGGGCTGGATGCAGGCATATGACCTAGACAGGACCAATCCGTGAGACCTGGGAGAGGAAGTCAGCACATCCAGAAGGGATTGCACCTCTTGATAAGCATGGGGCTGCAGGTATCTGGTTTTCCCGAGGTGGCTGTGATGGAGTGCCTGGCATCCACTCTCAAAGGCTATGGTTGCTCAGTCGTATGTGATAGCAGTAGTAGTGATGTCTCTGCTACAGATGTACCACAATGCAATTGGGCCTCATTTTCTGCCTGTTTTTGGCCCCAACTGTTTTATCCCTGGCTGTGTAGCACACAAGTCTGGCCTCCCAAGGAATAATAATAATAACGAATTCCCTTGCTAATTAAGCTAGATAGAGTGAATTCGGATTGCAATTCAAACTTTGGTACACTATGGCAGCTATCTAGTACTTAAGAATATCCCACAAAATTACTGGTTCATGGAACGTAAGTTTGGAAATGCTTTTCTTCAAAAATAGGACTTGGGGAGATTCCGAATCTTAATTCAAGGTAATGAAAGCTCTAAGGGTGGGAATTTCTGCTCCTGTGCTTGGCGATATCTGTCACGCTGGCTGTACAACGTGCTGTGTTTTTTGCTGTCTTTGGACTAGAAGCCTTTGAGGTACTTTCTAAATCTACAATCCCAGGAACACGTTAGCTGGACTAAGCACCTGTCCTTTATCTCACACCCTAGTAGGCCTTTGTGAGAAAATACAAATGTGTCAATAGTTTGATCGCCTATTGGGACTAACAAGAGGCTAGAGATTTATACATGGAATCATTCCACAATGCAAAAAGATAGAAAATTAAGTGCTACATTTTGAAGCTTAACATAGCTAACTTATTAAACACATAAATCAAAAGCAATTTTTTCCATTATTTAAGATTTCTTTATTTAAATTCACGGCTCATAGGCCAAATCAGCTTTATCTAAATTGAGTTCATGGACATGTTTTATTTTGCCCAGACAGGGTTTTGTTTAAAGGGAATCAGTGGACATTTGGAAAACTAGGAAATTTGACCTTCAAAGTTAAAAGAGCTGGCACTATGTGTGGAGATCATAATGCTATTCTCTGATACAAAGAATGTTTTTCTTTTTGTCTTTTGATCCCTAAAATTATTCTTCACAAAAAGACAACAGCCAACAGCTATCTGGTTCATTTTTATTTTTAAGTTCCCCAAATGTAAACATGTCCAGTAGTTCATGAGATGAATAGAAGAGCACCCACCTGATTTCTCATAGCTATGGGATGGAAAGAAGAAGGAGGAAGCAGCAGATGGAGGAAGTCAGAGATGGAGATTGAGAGTCTGGGTTTTAATCTGGTTTGGCTGTGTCCCTACCAAAATCTCACGTCAAATCGTAATCCCCACATGTCAGGGAAGGGACCTGGTAGGAGGTAACTAGATCATGAGGGTGGTTTGCCCTGTGCTGTTTTTGTGATAGTGAATGAGTTCTCACCAGATATGATGGTTAAAACTGTGTGCCAGTTCCCCCTTTGCTCTCTCTCTCCCCTGCTACCACGAGAAGACATACCTTGCTTCCCCTTCACTTTCTGCTATGATTGTATAAGTTTCCTGAGACCCCCAAGTCATGCTTCCTGTTAAGGCTGCAGAACTATGAATCAATTAAACCTCTTTTCTTCATAAACTACCCAGTCTCAGGTAGTTCCTTGTAGCAGTGTGAAAATGGACTAATCCAGGTTTGTCACTTGATCTTCCTGAGAGTGAGATATCCAGATGGTAAGAGATAGGTCTGGAAATGGAATGCATTCTGATGCCCACTGCGGTGTTCTGCTTACTTTATCATGCCCCTCCTAATGAAATATAAAGTTAGATATTTCTTAATACAGGGGAGGAAAAAGGTTAGAAAGGTGAGGGCAGGTTTATGGAAAGATGAAATTTACATAAACTAAAGCTCTCTCCTTACCTAGAACTTTGTGACATCTCAACGCTTCTTAGGGACATCTTTGATCTAATCCTGTTAAATGATGAGAGAAAGATATTACTTTAAACAATGGATTGTGGGAATGAACAAAAAAGGCTTCCCAAAAGAAGAAATTCTTCATGTAATGCCATGCATAAAAATGTGATAGAGTCTTATATTAGTGTTCTCTAAAGGGACAGAACTAATAGGATATATACATGGGTTTATTAAGGAGTATTAAACTCACATGATCACAAGGTTCCACAACAGGCTGTCTACAAGCTGAGGAGCAAGGAAGCCAGTCCGAGTCCCAAAGCTGAAGAACTCGAGGTCTGATGTTCAAGGGCAGGAAGCATACAGCATAGGAAAAAGATGTAGGTTGGGAGGCTAAGCCAGTCTAGCCTTTTCACGTTTTTCTGCCTGCTTTATCCGGGCCATGCTGGCAGCTGATTAGATGGTGCCCACCCAGATTAAGGGTGGGTCTGCCTTTCCCAGCCCACTGACTCAAATGTTAATCTCCTTTGGCAGCACCCTCACAGACACACCCAGGATCAATATTTTGCATCCTTCAATCCGATCAAGTTGACACTCAGTATTAACTGTGACAAGTCTATTAGTTCAGTGATTAGAAACTTAAATACTTTCCGTAGCCAGGAAAGTAAAGCAGGTTAGTTGTAAGTCTGTAGGGTGCTGTAGTGGCCATGGGAAGCTCTGGAGCATTTATCCCTTTTCAAAGGGGGAAGCCACTACTAAGTTCCAGCTTACTGGTGCCATGGGAGAATGTGGCCTAATATCACCCAAGATTCAACATTTTCAAGAGAAGATGGAAATCTGGATTTTCATGTGAAATGTTCAGCTTAAAAAACAAACAAACAAACAAGCAAAACCTATAAGCCACCAATAAGTAGTCTCTGTTTAAAACCATTATTTGATTAGGCTGCTTACAAACAAATGTAGAAACAGGATTTCTATTCCAGAACATGGCAAAAAAGATAATAGAAACCCTCCCTTAATAACAGATCTAGTAACTATAGATGAGATATGAAAATCAACATTTTAAATGTTTAGCCAAACTCTTTAAAGAGTGAGATAAAGCCCTGAAGTGGTGACCCTATGAGCTGATGGTATGCCTTTCCTGGATTTGGGGGTGAGGTAGTTTCCTGTCTTAGTGACCAAGAGACTTGGGTTATAATGACTATTTAGGAATAGGAATTGAGATCTGGGACCCACAAGAGGCTCACAAACCTCCTATGGAGCCATGACTCTTAAATGGTTAATCCCTTGTTAAAAGGAAGAACTATAAATAAAGCCACCCATCAATATAAGGATATGTCAGGGAATTAGCTATTTTAGCCCTGACTGTGGTTGGAAAAGAGCTCACAAAGGTGCAGGAATCCTGAAGCTAAGAAATTAGTGAAAAGTGTGCCCAGGCCAGTGACAGCACTGGGCTATCCGGCAATTCAACACAAAACCTCTTTGGAAGGCAGTACCCTTCACCAAGGACCATAGATCATTTCCACAGATAAAACTCAGCTGCAGATAAATTCAAAATCCAAAACTGAGTCAAAAACTCAAACATACAATGATACCATCTACCAAGAGTAGAAGTCAACTGACTGAATAAGTAACTTGATTTGACCCTTGAGGATATACAGGTAATACAAGTCCCAGAGAGAGATTATAAAAACAGGTATTGTAAAAATGACTAGGAGCTCAAAAAGGAATTTAAAATGTAAGAAACAAACAACATCTTCATGGGAATAAAAGGCTGATTTGAAAAAACAGATTTCCTAGAAATAAAAAACACAATTATTGAAAATAAAACTCAATTGATAGATTAAATAGTCACCAAAACAAAGCTAGAGGAAGATTTAATGCATGGAAAGATAAATGTGATGAAATTATCCCAAAGATAACAAAGGGAAAACAGATGAGAATTATAAAAAAGAGACTAATGGCAAAGTGAAAATTTGAATACTTTCCTGCCAATAGCTATTGTAAACTCTGGGAACAAACAATTCGGAGATAAACAAAAGCTAGCAGAAACTGGTGGGGATTTGACCCTTACTGAGTGAAATTCACATTTATATGTTTTTTTCCACTAAAGTTACTTCCCAGTCCATCTACGTGTAGCCCACAGAGCTGAAGCAGAAAGTGGTAGTCTTATGAGACTGAGGAATCAGAATATGGAGTTTGGGACTATATAGAAATTTCCCTCAAATAATTGGCCGATTCCTAGTCTACACATGCACAGGATGAGACTCCAAGAAACTCAAGAGAAAACAAAAGCTAGAAAGCTGTTGCGGAGATTTCAGTAGCTGCCCAATGCAGGCAGACAGTTTGGAATTCAAGTCCTGATAAGTTAGACAGACTTGAAAAATGCCTCAAACTATTAAAATTAAAACCCAGAACTTATACCTTAAGGCTCAGGACTAGGGATTCATCCTAGGCTAGTTGCAAAACTAAAATAAAACCATTCTAACAGCCTAAAACCAAGCTTCATAAATCAAGTTCATCTGCCTGTAATTTAGCTACCTTCTAAAACAAAAGTCAACGTTCTTCAGAGGAAGATAACAGAATCCAGTCTCCATAAAACATCACCCACAATATCTAGTATGAAATTAAAATTTATTAGACTTACAAAGATACAGAAAAGTGTAACACATACCCCAGAGAATAACAGAAGTAGAAAGAGACCTACAGAATAACGAGATGTTGAAATTAACCAGACGTTAACATTGACAAAAATTAATATAGTTACGATAAATATGTTAATGAATTTATAGGAAAGCATGGGTATAATGGGTGAAAAAAAGGAAATTTTCAGAAATGATATGTAAATCGTAAAAAGAAACAAATGGGAGTCAAGTCCTAGAACTGAAAAAGAAAATCTTTAAAAAATTCATTTCCTGGGATTAACAGGACATTTAACACAACAAAAGAAAGGAGTAGTGTCCATGAAGAAAGCCAATAGCAAGCATCTAAACTGAAGGACAGAGAGCAAGAGATTTTTTTTTTAACTTAGCAGACCCCCAGTGAGCTGTGCAATTGTCTCAAAAGGTCTGACACACATTTAAGAAGGAGAGGAGAGAGAATATGGAGCAAGAAAAAAAATTGCAACTATATTATATGAAAAATTTCTAAATTTGATTGAAAACAGCAACCCACACATTCATGAAACTCCGCAAATCCCAAATAGGGTAAGTGCAACTAAAAATATAACTAACTGTATCATGGTCAAACTGCTGAAAACCAAAGAATAAATCTTAAAAGCATCGAAAGAAGACATATTATGTAGAAGTGTATAAACATGACGTCTAGTTTCTATAGGACAAAATGAAGCTAGAAGACATGGAAAAATATCTTTAAAATCATGAATGGAGGATCCATTCCAAGATGGCCAAGTAAGAACAGCTCCGGTCTGTAGCTCCCAGCGTGATCGATGAAGAAGATGGGTGATTTCTGCATTTCCAACTGTAGTAGCTGGTTCATCTCACTGGGACTGGTTGGACAGTGGGTACAGCCTAAGGAGGGTGAGACGAAGCAGAGTGGGGTATCACTTCACCCAGGAAGCTCAAGGGGTTGGGGGATTTCCCTTTCCTAGCCAAGGGAAGCTGTGACAGACTGTACCTGGAAAATCAGGTCACTCCAGCCCCAATACTGTGCTTTTCCAACAGTCTTAGCAAACGGCACACCAGGAAATTACACCCCGCGCCTGGCTCGGTGGGTTCCATGCCCACAGAGCCTTGCTCACTGCTAGATCAGCAGTCCCAGATCGAACTGCGGGGCAGCAGCCTGACTGGGGGAGGGGCGTCCGCCATTGCTGAGGCTTGAGTAGGTAAACAAAGTGGCCTGGAAGCTCAAACTGGTGCAGCCCACCACAGCTCCTGCCTGCCTCTGTAGACTCCATCTCTGGGGGCAGGGCATAGCTGAACAAAAGGCAGCAGAAACTTCTGCAGACTTAAATGTCCCTGTCTGACAGCTCTGAAGAGAGCAGTCGTTCTCCCAGCACGGAGTTTGAGCTCTGAGAACAGGCAGACTGCCTCCTCAAGTGGGTCCCTGACCCCCATGTAGCCTAACTGGGAGAAACCTCCCAGTAGGTGCCCACTGACACTTCATATAGCTGGATGCCCCACTGAGATGAAGCTTCCAGAGGAAGGATCAGGCAGCAATATTTGCTGTTCTGCAGCCTCTGCTGGTGATATCCAGGCAAACAGGGTCTGGAGTGGACCTCCAGCAAACTCCAACAGACCTGCAGTTGAGGGACGTGACTCTTAGAAGGAAAACTAACATACAGAAAGGAATAGCGTCAACATCAACAAAAAGGACAACCACACTAAAACTCCATCTGTAGGTCACTATCATCAAAGACCAAAGGTAGATAAAACCACAAAGATGGGGAGAAACCAGAGCAGAAAAGCTGAAAATTCTAAAATCCAGAGAGCCTCTTCTCCTCCAAAGGATCACAGCTCTTTGCCAGCAATGGAACAAAGCTGGATAGAGAATGACTTTGATGGGTTAACAAAAGTAGGCTTCAGAAGGTCGGTAATAACAAACTTCTCCAAGCTAAAGGAGGATGTCTGAACCCATCGCAAGGAAGCTAAAAACCTTGAAAAAAGATTAGACGAATGGCTAACTAGAATAAACAGCATAGAGAAGACCTTAAATGACCTGATGGAGCTGAAAACCACGGCACGAGAACTACGTGACGCATGCACAAGTTTCAGTATCTGATTCGATCAAGTGGAAGAAAGGGTATCAGTGACTGTAGAACAAATTAATGAAATGAAGCGAGAAGAGAAGTTTAGAGAAAAAAGAGTAAAAAGAAAAGAACAAAGCCTCCAAGAAATATAGGACTATGTGAAAAGACCAAATCTACATTTGATTGGTGTACCTGAAAGTGATGGGGAGAATGGAACCAAGTTGGAAAATACTCTGCAGGATATTATCCAGGAGAACTTCCCCAACCTGGCAAGGCAGGCCAACATTCAAATTCAGGAAATACAGAGAACGCCACAAAGATACTCCTCGAGAAGAGCAACCCCAAGACACATAATTGTCAGATTCACCAAGGTTGAAATGAAGGAAAAAATGTTAAGGGCAGCCAGAGAGAAAGGTCGGGTTACCCACAAAGGGAAGCCCATCAGACTAACAGTGAATCTCTCAGCAGAAACTCTACAAGCCAGAAGAGAGTGGGGGCCAATATTCAACATTATTAAAGAAAAAAATATTCAACCCAGAATTTCATATCCAGCCAAACTAAGCTTCATAAGTGAAGGAGAAATAAAATCCTTTACAGACAAGCAAATGCTGAGAGATTTTGTCACTACCAGGCCTGCCTTACAAGAGCTCTTGAAGGAAGCACTAAACATGGAAAGGAACAACTGGTATCAGCCACTGCAAAAACATGCCAAATTGTGAAGACCATCGAGGCTAGGAAGAAACTGCATCAACTAATGGGCAAAATAACCAGCTAACATCATAAAGACAGGATTGAATTCACACATAACAATATTAACCTTAAATTTAAATGGGCTAAATGCTCCAATTAAAAGACACAGACTGGCAAATTGGATAAAGAGTCAAGACCCATCAGTGTGCTGTATTTAGGAGACCCATCTCATGTGCAGAGACACACATAGGCTCAAAATAAAGGGATGGAGGAAGATCTACCAAGCAAATGGAAAACAACAAAAAAGCAGGGGTTGCAATCCTAGTCTCTGATAAAACAGACTTTAAACCAACAAAGATCAAAAGAGACAAAGAAGGCCATTACATAATGGTAAAGGGATCAATTCAACAAGAAGCGCTAACTATCCTAAATATATATGCACCCAATACAGGAGCACCCAGATTCATAAAGCAAGTCCTTAGAGACCTACAAAGAGACTTAGACTCCCACACAATAATAATGAGAGACTTTAATACCCCACTGTCAATATTAGACAGATCAATGAGACAGCAAGTTAACAAGGATACCCAGGACTTGAACTCAGCTCTGCACCAAGCAGACCTAATAGACATCTACAGAACTCTCCACCCCAAATCAACAGAATATACATTCTTCTCAGCACCACATCAGACTTATTCCAAAATTGACCACAGAGTTGGAAGTAAAGTTCTCCTCAGCAAATGTAAAAGAATAGAAATCACAACAAACTGTCTCTCAGACCACAGTGCAATCAAACTAGAACTCAGGATTAAGAAACTCACTCAAAACTGCACAACTACATGGAAACTGAACAACCTGCTCCTGAATGACTACTGGGTACATAACGAAATGCAGGCAGAAATAAAGATGTTCTTTGAAACCAATGAGAACAACAACACAACATACCATAATCTCTGGGACAGATTTAAAGCACTGTGTAGAGGGAAATTTATAGCACTAAATGCCCACAAGAGAAAGCAGGGAAGATCTAAAATTGACACCCTAACATCACAATTAAAGTACTAGAGAAGCAAGAGCAAACAAATTCAAAATCTAGCAGAAGACAATAAATAACTAAGATCAGAGCAGAACTGAAGGAGATAGAGACACAAAAAAATCCTTCAAAAAATCAATGAATCCAGGAGCTGGTTTTTTGAAAAGATCAACAAAATTGATAGACCACTAGCAAGACTAATGAAGAAAAGAGAAGAATCAAATAGACACAATAAAAAATGATAAAGGGGGTTATCACCACCGATTCCACAGAAATACAAACTACCATCAGAGAATACTGTAAACACCTCTGCACAAATAAACTAGAAAATCTAGAAGAAATGGATAAATTCCTGGACACATACAACCTCCCAAGACTAAACCAGGAAGAAGTTGAATCCCTGAATAGACCAATAACAGGCTCGGAAATTGAGGCAATAATTAATATCCTACCAACAAAAAAAGTCCAGGACCAGACGGATTCACAGCCAAATTTTACCAGAGGTATAAAGAGGAGCTGGTACCATTCCTTCTGAAACTATTCCAATCAACAGAAAAAGAGGGGATCCTCCTTCATTTTATGAGGCCAGCATCATCCTGATACCAAAGCCAGGCAGAGACACAACAAAAAAAGAGAATTTTAGACCAATATCCCTGATGAACATCGATGCGAAAATCCTCAATAAAATACTGACAAACTGAATCCAGCAGCACATCAAAAAGCTTATCCACCACGATCAAGTTGGCTTCATCCCTGGGATGCAAGGCTGGTTTAACATATGCAAATCAATAAACATAATCTATGACATAAATAGAACCAAAGACAAAAACCACATGATTATCTCAATAGATGCAGAAAAGGCCTTTGACAAAATTCAACAGCGCTTCATGATAAAAATTCTCAATAAACTAGGTATTGATGGAACATATCTCAAAGTAATAAGAGCTATTTATGAAAAACCCACAGCCAATATCATACTGAATGGGCAAAACCTGGAAGCATTCCCTTTGAAAACTGGCACAAGACAGGGATGCCCTCTCTCACCACTCCTATTCAACATAGTGTTGGAAGTTCTGGCCAGGGCAATCAGGCAAGAGAAAGAAATTAAGGGTATTCAATTAAGAAAAGAAGAAGTCAAATTGTCCCTGTTTGCAGATGACATGATTGTATATTTAGAAAACCCCATCGTCTTGGCTCCAAATCTCCTTAAGCTGATAAGCAACTTCAGCAAAGTCTCAGGATACAAAATCAATGGGCAAAAATCACAAGCATTCCTATACACCAATAACAGACAAGCAGAGAGCCAAATCATGAGTGAACTCCCATTCACAATTGCTTCAAAGAGAATAAAATACCTAGGAATCCAACTTACAAGGGATGTGAAGGACTACAAACCACTGCTCAACGAAATAAAAGAGGACACAAACAAATGGAAGAACATTCCATGCTCATGGATAGGAAGAATCAATGTCGTGAAAATGGCCATACTGCCCAAGGTAATTTATAGATTCAATGCCATCTCCATCAAGCTACCAATGACTTTCTTCACGGAATTGGAAAAAACTACTTTAAAGTTATATGGAACCAAAAAAGAGCCCGCATTGCTAAGTCAATCCTAAGCCTAAAGAACAAAGCTGGAGGCATCACACTACCTGACTTCAAACTATACTACAAGTGTACAGTAACCAAAACAGCATGGTACTGGTACCAAAACAGAAATATAGACCAATGGAACAGAGCAGAGGCCTCAGAAATAACACCGGCATATACAACCATCTGATCTTTGACAAACCTGACAAAAATAAGAAATGGGGAAAGGACTCCCTATTTAATAAATGGTGCTGGGAAAACTGGCTAGCCATATGTAGAAAGCTGAAATTGGATCCCTTCCTTATACCTTATACAATAATTAACACAAGATGGATTAAAGACTTAAGTGTTAGACCTAAAACCACAAAAACCCTAGAAGAAAACCTAGGCAATACTATTCAGGACAGAGCCATGGGCAAGAACTTCTTGACTAAAACACCAAAAGCAATGGCAACAAAAGCTAAAATAGACAAATAGGATCTAATGAAACTAAAGAGCTTCTGCACAGCAAAAGAAACTACCATCAGAGTGAACAGGCAACCTACAGAATGGGAGAAAATTTTTGCAATCTACCCATCTGTCAAAGGGCTAATATTCAGAATCTACAAAGAACTTAAACAAATTTACAACAAAATAATCAAACAATCTCATCAAGAAAATGGGCAAAGAATATGAACAGACACTTCTCAAAAGAAGACATTTATGCAGCCAAAAAACACATGAAAAAATGCTCACCATCACTGGTCATCAGAGAAATGCAAATCAAAACCACAGTGAGATACCATCTCACACCAGTTAGAATGGCGATCATTTAAAAGTCAGGAAACAACAGGTGCTGGAGAGGATGTGGAGAAATAGGAACGCTTCTACACTGTTGGTGGGAATGTAAACTAGTTCAGCCATTGTGGAAGATGGTGTGGCAATTCCTCAAGGATCTAGAACTAGAAATACCATTTGACCGAGCCATCCCATTACTGGGTATATACCCAAAGGATTATAAATCATGCTGCTATAAAGACACATGCACACGTATGTTTATTGCGGCACTATTCACAATAGCAAAGACTTGGAACCAACCCAAATGTCCATAAATGATAGACTGGATTAAGAAAATGTAGCACATATATACTATGGACTACTATGCAGCCATAAACAGGGATGAATTTATGTCCTTTGTAAGGACATGGCTGAAGCTGGAAACCATCATTCTGAGCAAACTCTTGCAAGGACAGAAAACCAAACACCGCATATTCTCACTCATAGGTGGGAATTGAACAATGAGAACACTTGGACACAGGAAGGGGAACATCAACACCAGGGCCTGTCGTGGGGTGAGGGGAGGGGGGAGGGATAGCATTAGAAGAAATACCTAATATAAATGACGAGTTAATGGGTGCAGCACACCAACATGGCACATGTATACCTATGTAACAAACCTGCACATTGTGCACGTGTACCCTAGAACTTAAAGTATAATAAAAAAAAAATAAAATCATGAATGAAAAAAATACCAACTTGAAATTCTATATAGAGCAAATATATATATGTATATATGTGTACGTACACACACACATACATAATTTAGATAAACAAAACCTGAGAGTATTTGTTGCCAGCAGACCCATATTACCGGAAAGCCTCACAGATGTTCTTTGGCTGAAGAAAAATAATACCAAATAAAAATTCAGAGCTACAGGAAGAAAGGATAAACATTAAAAGTGGTAAATATTTGGGTACATATAAAAACATATTGGACTTGGTTAAAATTAGCATCTATTCTTCAAAACACACCACTAGGAAAACAAAAGCAAGTCACAGAATGGCAGAAGTGTTTGTCCCGTGGGACTGCTGACATGGTTCTCACTGCTGCCACCCTGGAGGGATTGGCTGGGACTAGTGCTAGAGAACAGCCAGAAGAAAGCATCACGGAGGCTTGACCTTCAGGAGCTCCCTTTCCCGCTATTCAAGCCAGGGCTAAGGGGTGTCTCCTGGAGCTTTCTGTGTGTATGCTGGTCCTGGTCTTACTTCCAGGTTTCCGGCTGCCTTGAGTCTATGCTAGGGGACACTGGAGGAAAAGTGGGAAGCTCACCACCTATTTGGTGATGCCTTGAATTCTGGTCCTATTTTCCAACTTCCAGAGTCCTACAATAGCTGTCCCAGGTGCTAGAGCTCCACTGGGGAAGACAGACAGGGTTCAGTATGCTTCTCCCTCTTGAACCATGGTCCCATGAACTAAGTCTTGAGCATGGTAAGCCTGAGCTTACCATGAACATCCAGGTGGAAATGCATGTCTGGAGTTTTTTTTTTTTTTTTTTTTTTTGAGACGGAGTCTCGCTCTGTCGCCCAGGCTGGAGTGCAGTGGCGCGATCTCGGCTCACTGCAAGCTCCGCCTCCCGGGTTCACGCCATTCTCCTGCCTCAGCCTCCCGCGTAGCTGGGACTACAGGCGCCCGCCACCACGCCCGGCTAATTTTTTGTATTTTTTAGTAGAGTCGGGGTTTCACTGTGTTAGCCAGGATGGTCTCGATCTCCTGACCTCATGATCTGCCCGCCTCGGCCTCCCAAAGTGCTGGGATTACAGGCGTGAGCCACCGCGCCCGGCCACGTCTGGAGTTTTGAAACAAGCTCTGGGCTAGAAATAAACATTTCAGCCTTCAATGTATAGATGTTGTTCTCATTTACAGAAGTGGATGAAAGCCATCAGGGATAGTGTGTAGGATAACAGAAATGGACTGTGAATAGAACCCTGGAAACTAGCAACGTCTAAGTAGTGGGCAAAGGAAAAGGAGCCAATGATGAGGGTTCAGACAGGCAGGAGAAAAACCAGGACACAGACCCAGGGGAGACAAGTCTCCACTCCAGCTGTCTTCTGGCTGTGCACACCAGTGTTGCTCTGTGTGTTTGGCCAGCATTTCCCAGGGTTCTGTATGTACAGCACCTGTATCAGAATCACTGGCAGGGGTGGGGCGTGGGGGGTGGGATGTCAAGTGTGTCGAGTCTTAGGCCATGCTCCAAACTTCTTTAATTATAGGCATAAGCAGTGGGGCCTGCCTGCCTGAGTTTAAACTGGCTGTGCAGGGATTTCTCATGAACAGTTGGAAAGCCAATTCCCTAGGCCTAGGGAATGTAGGGACTCCTGAGCCTGTCACCAGCATAAAGAGAAGGTGCTGAACAGAGGGAAAAGTAAGAGAAGAGGAGGAGAAAGGAGTGATGATGAGGGAAAGAGAGAGATTCCCGAAGTTTGGTAAGTGGTGTGGAAGGAGAAAGAAGAGGAAGGGGAGATTAAGAGGAGGAGTAGGAAGAGAAGGAAGACAAGGAAAGAGACCATTTATTCTCTTATTCTCATTATTTCAAAGCAGACATACTAGGAGTAGCTGAATCTTGGGTTCATCTTCCATGTTTGCAGTCTGCTAAGAGCCCAGCACGAGCCTGCAGGGCTCCAGGCTGGGTGAGGAGACAAGGAGACGGGTGGAGTGCAGCCGCTGCAGCTGTGCTGAACATGATGCCGAACGTGATGGGAGTGAGCAATTTGGGCTGACAGTATCCTTCTTTAAACAGCATCCAATGCTCAGTGAGCCCTGTTGCTTTTACATGACTTAATCAACATAGGTTAATTGGTACATTTTGTGCCAAATCCAGTAGTCATGTTTTATGCTGTGTTGCTCTAGCCAGACAACATCTGTTTGGAAGGGGAATGAAACTTGCTGAGGCAAAGCTACACGCATCCTTTTCTCTCCACCCCACCCCCAACCCTCCTACTAAAGAGTACATTTAAGAAATCTTCTGAAAAAGTCCAAAAGCTAATGTCAAGTAGAAACCACATTAGATGAAATGGGAATTCATCACTAAAAGTGCTTAGAGAAAAAGCATTTGACCCCTTTTGAGCCTCCAAATAATCCACGCAATGCAAGTTTTCTTGGCCTTCACTTGCTGTCTTCTCAACCTTGGTTCTTCCCTGTTGAGTGCCTCCACAACAATGGCCATGTCTCCTTCATCTTCATATTGCTGGCTCCCAGTACAGTGCCTGGCACATGTGAGGGGTTCAAAACTTTTGCTGAACTAAGCTTAACTTTCATTCTAGTGTCATTTTAACATATCTGTGTTCTCGGTGTCTTCTACATTTCTTCTTTCCTCCTTCACATTTCTCCTGGTCTTCTTCCTTTCTATCTGTTTATTTTATTCTCTTCTTTGCCCTTTCTGTCTTTTACTCTTCTCTCCCCCAGGGCCTGATTATTGCCAGAAGAGGACCAAGTTGGGAACCAGAATGTGGAGAAAACAAATTCTTCCAGCCTCTTCCAAACTTCCTTCCCTCCTCTTCTTTCTCCTTCCTCCTCTTCTTTCTCCTTCCTCCTCATTTTCTCTTCCCTTGTCTTCTTCCATTTATCTTCCTTTTTCCTTCCCCTGTCTGCACCCTTCAGGCTTCGCTTTCTAAAGTCCTCCATGTAGAAACATCTTATTAATGTGAAGGATGCAGTGCTATTTGAGTCATTGGAGTAAAAGCCATTTTTCATTTCCTAATAATACCCTGTCTTTAGTGATTCTTAATTTTGAATAAATTCTCCTCTACATCACAAACACAAATTCATTCTAAGGTGCAACATGGCAGTGGCTCATGCCTGTAATCTCAGCACTTTGGGAGGCTGAGATAGGTGGATCACCTGAGGTCAGGAGTTAGAGACCAGCCTGGCCAACAAGGTGAAACCCTGTTTCTACTAAAGATACAAAAATTTACCAGGCATGATGGTGCGTGCCTGTAATCCCAGCTACTTTGGAGGCTGTGGCAGAAGAATTGCTTGAACACAGGATGCAGAAGTTGCAGTGAGCCGAGATTGCCCCACTGCACTCCAGCCTGGGCAACAGAGTGAGACTCTGTCTCAAACAAAACAAAACAAAACAAAACAAACCCAAAAAAGGTGCAACATGACCCATTTAATATACTTCATTCTTCAGTATTCTTAATTAGTGAACACTCTAACTTTATGGATAATTGTTATATCTTCATCAGCATTTCATGGACTATCTGATGGAGTGAACACTCAAGGGATTTGACTCAAGTTCCCTGAACAAGCTAAATGGAATAGTACACTGCCCCTTCATCTCCAAGACAATCCATTGTGTTAATTTGTTCAGTCTTCTATGAATGATGATCAAATGCTTATGAATAACAACTGTGCCAGAAATGACTAAGATTAGGGGTTCATAGATAAGTGTTTTAAGAAACACTTAAAGCCTCTGAACTTATTTAATTCCATTATTCTTTTGACTCACTGCGTTCTCATTGGTAATTCACAGCTTTCTGTATAGCCTAGGTCCTTCGGCCATCCAGAGGTTTTGTTCGTTGTTAGTTAATGACTCCTGGAAATGGGAGGAAGAACACAAAACTTCAGACCAGTTCAGAAAAGATGAGCTTCTGGTGGAACTATATTATTTTTCAGGAAGAAATAATATAGGAGTGGAAGAAGGAAACCAAGACTGTTGAACTCCTTTTATGGAGTTCACAGAAGCAACTATGAATGATTATATGTTATGATGCAACTTGTAATGTGTTAACTCTTTAATTCTCACAAAACACTGTAAGGGAGGAATTCTTATATTATAGATGAAGGAATGGAGACTCAGAGGGGTGAGTGGACTTGTTCAAGATCACAGAGCGCGACAGTGCTGAAACCAGGATTCAAACCCAGGTCTGGCCAAGTCCAAAGCCCATGTGCGTTCTAGTACACTCTACCTGCAGTGCCTTAAATGCAGTGCGGGACTATAAACACAGCCTTTCCGCCTGTCTCTTCTTTAATATTGTCTCTTACTTTGTTTCATCAGTAACAGCACCTCCCATTTTATGGTGCTTTACAGACATTTATCAGGTGTTTTCACAGACACTGTCTCACTTAGTCCCCACAGCAATCCTGGGAAATACTAGTGTTGTTTGCAGTTTACAGATGTGGAAACTGGGATCTGGAGTGATGATGGGGTTGGCTTCTGGTCAGACAGCAAGTCAGTGACGGGGCTGATTCTGAAAGGAAGATGGGGCTGGGCCAGGTCACTGGGAAGCCTGCAGGGCAGATCCGGGAGCTAGGATTGGTAAAAGACATGTCAAAAGGGTCAGGGCAGGAAGGGCAGTGTGGCTGGCTGAGTATTTCATTCAGAGGTGAATTCTATTTTCTGTGAATTGCAGAATTTTCTGACAGTTCTGTTTCCCACTTTGCTGTTTAGGGCACTCACATGATCTCCCTAACTCCTGACTCTGAACATTCTTGCTTCACCCAGGGTCTTGCACTTTTCTTTCTATGTTCATCTTCTTAAAGCATGGTTCATTTTCTTCTTCCATCTGCACAGGCTTGATTTCTGATGCAGGCCCTCATCATGTCTTACTTGAATAACTGCAGAGCAGTCTTCTGATAGGGCTTCCTGTCTTCAGCCAGCTCTCCTGCCCTGCTGTTCACACTAGACTGATTTTCCTAAAATGCAAATGTGATCATAGTTCTCTGCTTAACATTTGTTAGTGGTTCCCAATCTCTTTTAGGACTAGATCCAGCCTCCTTATTACAATGAATGGGATCCTTCATAACTCGAGCCCTCCCCAGCGTCCCCAGGACATCAGTGCCACAGCAGTACCGAGCTGCTGCTTGATCTCACACCCCTCTGCATCTCACACATCATTGTCCCTCTGCGTGCAGTTGGTGATCTCTCCTGCTCTCCTTTAATTAACTGCCAGGCAGCTGCCTTCCCACCTCTCTGGTGTTGTCTCCTTTCCTAAAGACCCAAGCAGACCTAGGGCTACCATTACATATGCACTTGTGGGTCTGCAGGGCACTTTCTCTCCACCAGTTGGAGGCACACTGGTGGGAAGAACTTTATCTTTTCACCTGTGATTCTTTCTCTCCCTGCAACATCCCTTCCTGGATGCAGATCTTTCCTGGATGCAGGGGGACTTTTTGTAATCTTGGGGAGGCGGCTGTTGCTTTTTTTTTTTTTTTTTCTAGCACAATAAAGGGCAGGAGATTAACCTCTTCAGTGTGAGAGTGTGTTTTTGTTGTTTTTTTGTTTTGTTTTGTGGGGTGGCCTGGGGTAGGAAGAGTTCCATTCTTAAACCACCTTGGTGGCATCTTCTCCTTTAATCCCCGCCTTCAAGATGTATACAGCTTCTTTCTTTCTCCTCCATTTAATGTGTTGACACCCATAAAAGTTGTGAAAAGAATGCAAGCTTCCATCAAGTTCAAAGCTATTGGATTTAGATGAAAAAGACATTTGTAGGCCTTGAGAGGCAAAGAAATGCCACCCATAATAGTGAGGCAGCAGCCAGGATAGGTTCCGACCTGGGCTTTACCCTGTTCCGTGAGCACAGCAGGGATATGAGCTGTCTAGATTCTGAGAATGATAAGTCTGTATTTTAATTATAATGCTCCAGGAGTAGGCATTAATTCATGCAGTCAGCATCCTGGCTAAAATCCCTGCTTGTGATAGTCGTAATCCCCAAACATTGCATAGTCAGAAACCCTGGGAAGACACAGAACTAAACATATAAGTCTTTTAGAGAATCAAAACTGTATCACTGATATTTTCTTTTCTTTTTTTTTTTTTTTTTTTTTTGAGACGAGTCTCGCTCTGTCACCCAGGCTGGAGTGCAGTGGTGCGATCTTGGCTCACTGCAACCTCCGCCTCCCGGGCTCAAGCAATTCTCTGCCTCAGCCTCCCGAGTAGCTGGGATTACAGGTGCCCACCACCACGCCTGGCTAATTTTTTTTGTATTTTTAGTAGAGATGGGGTTTCACCATCTTGGCCAGGCAGGTCTTGAACTCCTGACCCTGTGATCCACCCACCTCGGCCTCCCAAAGTGCTGGGATTACAGGCGTGAGCCACCGTGCCCGGCCCAATATTTTCAAGTTAAGAATCTCTACTTATTTGGTATATTTCATTAATGTTTTAAAGAAATTGCCTATTAGAATAACAGGTCAGCTTTAAAATGCCCATTTAAGAGGCATAATTGAATACTTTTTGATTTAGACTTGTGGTTTTAGATAAAACTTTAATGTGTCAAAGAGAATTCAGCCTCACCAGATGCCTCTGGCAGTCAGATTGGGGCCCATGATTCATTTGGGGCAATGAAAACTTGTGGTACTTCCAAGTAGAAGCATCAAGAGCAGGCATGTCTCCTCCATCTCTCCTTTCCTTGTGAAAGCGACCTGGTTGGTGCAGGCATTGGATGGGAGAGGCCATGTGATCCACACTGTATTTGCCTGAAGGAGAAACACACCTGGATCATGTTGTGAGACAGCATGAAAGACTGAATTGTCCACTAGGGATCCCACATGTCCTTGCCCCAACAGCTGGGTTTCCTCTTCCCTCTTTTTTTTGCACATGACATTAGCCCCTAACTGTTCCACTCCACCCCTTTTGATAAAATTCAGATCACTCAAATCATCACTGCTAATTCACTAAAACAATTCGTCCCCCTTCTCAAACTCTTTTGACAAACCACTGCTGCCGATGGCTGAACTTCAGCTGACACCTTCCTGCTAAAGCTCTATAAAACATTCTGCCCTCCTTCCCCAAGTTACAACGCCCCTTTGGATCCTTCTCATGCCTGGTATTTTTGAATAAAAGCTGATATGAATGGTGCTCTGGTTGATTTTTTCTGAGCAAGGACGGGATCCCCAGTGGACAATTCAGTCTTTCATGGTCTCTCACAACACAATCCAGGTGTGTTTCTCCTTCAGGCAAATACAGTGTGGACCACATGGCCTCCCCCATCCAGTGGCTGCACCATCCAAGTCACTTTCACAAGAAAAGGAGAGATGGAGGAGACATGCTGTTCTTGACTGCTTCTACTTGGAAATACCACAAATTTTCATTGCCCCAAATGAATCATAGGCCCCACTCTGACTGCCAGGGGTATCTGATGAGGCTGAATTCTCTTTGACACATTTAAGCCATCAAGATTTCAGGCTTATTTGCTATCATACCATAGCCTAACCTATACTGGCTAATGTATTTACTAAATTTATAAACAATATATGAACATTTTCTTAAATTTAAGATTCATCACATTTAGAAATTTGCTTGATTAAATTTTCAGTAAATACTTACATGCATGGGAAGTTTTACTATTAGAAAATTGGGCCAGGCACAGTGGCTCACGCCTGTAATCCCAACACTTGGGAAGCCACGGCAGAAGGATCACTTGAGGCCAGGAGTTTGAGACCAGCCTGGTCAACATAGCAAGACCCTCATCTCTACAAAAAATACAAAAGTTAGCCAGACCTGGTGGCACATGCCTGTAATCCTAGCGACTTGTGAGGCTGAGGCAGGAGGATTGCTTGAGCCCACGAGTTTGAGGCTGCTGTGAACTATGATCATGCCAGTGAACTCCAGCCTGGGCAACAGAGTGAGACCCTGTCCCTGCCCTCCCATTGCCCCCAGCTCCCACCAAAAAAAAGAATACTGAAGTGCTTAAAAGTACTTATATTTGTAAGTGTAATTGAAAGTATTCAAAGATGTTTAATTAGCTTGCTTTATAAAATGAGACCAAATATTATTCAAGGGATCCTTAACTGTGATTGCTAAAATTTGGCAGAAGTTTTTATTTTACAAGTAAAATAGGATTTATAAGATGAACACAAAAGCCTAAATATGAATTGCATTTTTAAATATAGAGCTTGAATAAATCTAACATTGCTGTCTAAAAACCAGACCAAACCCCTGAATGATCTTTTGTATGCATAAAGTGTATACTCAAGAATACGTAAAAGACCTCATATTTAGCAATTTGCTATGGAACCAGGTAGAGCTGACACTGACTGATGAGCTACATGGGGGGTCACTATCCAAGGAATAGTAGGATCTCAGAAGGGAGGGTCCAAAGGATGGAAGGTGGCTGGCAGAGGGAAGAGAGAATTTGCAGGACTGGGCTCCAGGAGAGAAGTTCTTGCTGTGGAGGGGTGGCCAAAGAGTGTACGTGGAGATCCAGGGTAACTCAGAGAAGTCACAGAAGCCCCCTGAGTTCTTAGCACACTGAGAATCTAAAATAGGTCCAATATTTCCCTCACGGGTCACTTCTTCCACTGGGTCACTTCCTCTGCTGACTCCCTTCCTGGTGTTTTTCCACTGGGAAAGAATGGATCTAAGAGAGTGACACTGGGGGCCACCTGACTAGCTGAATAAGAAGACTACTATCACTACTGTGCCCTTCTGCCCTGATCTATTCATGATAAGGGCTAAATAAGAATAAGCCCTTACATGTGCATAGGACTTTAGAGTGTACAAAGTGCTTCATAAAACTCCCAAAACTTATTCATTTAACTTTCACTATAGACCTCTGAAGTCTTTATTTCTGCCACACATTTAGTTCCATCCCTAGTTTACACACATGGAATCAAAATCTCATAAACTTCTAAATCTGTGGGAGGCCTAAGAGATCATTGGGATCAAGCCATTCTTCCAGTAGATGAAGGAACCAAGACCCATAATAGTTAAGTGATTTTACTGAAGCCATACAGCTAGTATGTTATGTCAGTCAGATATTTTTGTGTTTGTTTCTTTGTTCCTTCCAGATATCTCTAAATGAAGCTGATAGACTAGGCTTAAAATGGAAAATATGTATATGGGGGGAGTGGAAAAGGAGGTTACAAAGATGAGGAATAAATCAACCCCTGTCTAAGGGAATGTGTTTGCAAATTGGATGAACTAGTTTGAAATGAATTTTCAAAGGAATTCCGATTTTCTTGTGGTAGCTAATGATTGAAGAATCTCAGTGACACTAGTTCAAGACATTCTCCATTGAGGATTACACATTAAAATATTTGGAAATGGGGGCTGTGGTAAGCCTAAGATGGGCTCCAATTATCCTTGCTTCCTTCTGCAATCTTCTCCCCTTGAATGTGGGCTGGACATAGTGACTCACTTCCAGTGAATAGAAAACAATAGCTAAGTAAAGGAGTGCCACTCCTGAGATTTAGTCATAAAAAGACTATGGCTTCTTTCTTGAGTATCCTCTTTCTCCTTCTCTCTCATCCCTCACTCTGGAGAAAGCCAGTTGTGTTTATAGTCAGCCCTGTGGAGAGGTTCATGTGACAAGGAACTGAGGGAGGCCTTCAGCCAACAGTGGGAAATAGAGCCCTCTGTCCAACTGCCCATGAGGCCTGGCAACCAGCAGGTAAGTGGGCTTAGAGCTGACTTCCCCCGGTGGAGTCTTCAGTGGAGACCACAGCCCCACAGCCCCAGCCCTAAGTGACTGCTTAACTGCAGCTTCATGAAAGCTACTGAGCCAGAGGCACCCAGCTGAGAAATACTGGGATTCCTGACTCACGGAAACTGTGAATACTGTGAAACTGACATAATAAATTTTTTTTACACTGCTCACTTTGGGGGCCATTTGTTATGCAGCAGTGGATAACTAATACAAGAGTGAAATAAGGACAAAAGAAACCTTAATTAACTGGTTATCTTCTCACTTTGATCAATGTGTACCACAGTCTTAAAGACACATTTTGGAGTGTTTTTAACGTTTCTTTAGCACTGTTAACAATAAGCTTCCAAATCACAAAATTCAAAAATTATCTATTTTCCCCATTAAACATGTTGCTTGCTCCAATTATGGTTAAAAATACATCTTGGGGCCAGGTGTAGTGACTCACACCTGTAATTCTACCACTTTGGGAGGCTGAGGTGGGAGGATTGCTTAAGGCCAGCAATTTGAGACCAACCTGGGCAACATAGCTAAACCTCATCTCAAAAAAAAAAAAAAAAAAAAAAAAATCTTGGTAATGAAAATAATACTGGGGACCAAGTTAGGTATAAAATATATTTCACACTTACCATATTTAGATGCAAGGTCTAGAAGAATTGTTCTGAAGATATGATGGAGTTGGTATTTTAGGTGTAAATCACTGCCTGAATCAGAGTGCTTCTCTCTTTCCTGGAGGCCACTCCTCAGCAGCTGGTTAGCCCTGGAAAGTTCTCAAGGAGCCCCTGCACTTTTGCTAACATCACATTGCTTATTTGAAGAGCTGTGGATATGCCTGAAAAAGATATAACAAATTCCTATTTTATAATCACATTTAGAAAGAGAAACATTTCCATATTCTATCCCCTACCCATCCACTCAGCCTGTGATCAAGTTCAGCCTGAAAGATGGAGGTTTAGAGGAAAATAGAAATCGATTGCAGTAACAAGCATGACGAATAGTGTGCCAGGAGAAACAAACCTAGACTGAAGGTGTGAGCGCTCGAGTTTACAAAGTCAAGTTTTGCATTGGTTTGGCTGGTGGGGAAACTCTAGAATGCCATGCAGCAGAAATGAAAAAGTAACATCTCAGAATCTCTGATCATTTTGGATGTCTATCAATAAACCTAGCATGGCAGATTAGCAGAGAATAAGTCAAGAAGAATTATGACCAGAGAAGATTAATTGAAGTCAAGGTTCCTATGACTAAATTTGTTTATATCTGGGTGCTGAGTTAGAAGCCCAACTAGTTCGTCTGCCTCACTTTTGTGTTGCTAATTTCTTTAAAAAAACAACAACAACAAAAGATCATCATTGCAGATGGGAGGCAGGACTAGATTGCAGCTCTGACTCAGATGGACAGAGCAGTGTGCAGAGGCTTGCATCATGAATTTTAGCTCCAGAATGACAAGAATAAACCAGAAATCCTGAGAGGATCCACAGACCCTCTGAAAGAAGCGGACTGCTCCTGCAGGACCTGGAAGACACTGTAAATACTGTGAGTGCCCAAACTGCAGAAGTGGGAAAGGGAAACCCTCCGCTCCT
The DNA here is from genome assembly GCF_000001405.40 of Homo sapiens. Lineage (NCBI taxonomy): Eukaryota > Metazoa > Chordata > Mammalia > Primates > Hominidae > Homo > Homo sapiens. Next base: position 50,757,014 of record NC_000013.11, on the reverse strand, counting down.
GAACACACACCCTCACTGGAGTAAATAAAAGAAGGCTTAATTTGCGGGAGAAGTTTCCAACCTTACCTGGAGCTCAGCCAATTTAGAGAGCCCAGCAAAATACAGGGGTAGAGGAAGCAGCGGGAAAGGCCCCAGGAGCTCGCTGGGTCCCCAAGCAGGCTATTCCTGCCTGGCATGACAGGGATCCTTCGGGAGGGCAGCCAGAGGTATGGGGGAAAACACCACAGGAAGAAGGAAGTCTCCAGCTGAAATTTGAAAAAATTTGAACCCAGAAAGAAGCTTCCTGGCCGGAAATCAGGGGAGGGTGCAAATCTGGTGTGTAGACTCCACAGGCAGGGGAAGAACAAAAGCTGTGTTCTTTCACAGCTGGGAGGCAGGTAGCCTGGGGCAAGTTCTCAAGCCCTGCTCGGCCCACTGCCTGGAAACAGCCTCAGGGTTGTTAGCGGGTCACAGTGAGAGGGAGACCGGCCCTCTGAATTGTGTGGGAGCTGAATGAGGCCTGTGACTGTCGGCTTTCCCCCACTTCCCTGACAACCTGCATGACTCAGCAGAGGCAGCCATAATCTTTCTAGGTACACAACTCCATTGACCTGGGAACCTCACCCTCATCTCCCACAGCAGCCACAGCAAGACCCATCGAAGGAGAGTCTGAGCTCAGACATGCCTAGTCCTGCCCCTACCTGATGGGCCTTCCCTATTCACTCTGGCAGCTGAAGACAAAGGGCGTATACTCTTGGGAGTTCTAGGGCCCCGCCCACCACCTGTTTCTCTCCATACTACCACAGCTGATGCTCTCTGGAAAGTGCCACCTCCTGGCAGGAGGCCAACCAGCACAAAAATAGAACATTAAACCACCAAAAAGCTAAGAACCCTCACAGAGTCCATTTCACCCCCCTGCAACCTCCACCAGAACAGGTGCTGGTATCCGTGGCTGAGAGACCCATAGACAGTTCACATCACAGGACTCTGTGCAGACAACCCCCAGTACCAGCCTGGAGGTGGGGAGACTTGCTGGGTGGCTAGACCCAGAAGAGAGATAACAATCATTGCAGCTTGGCTCACAAAAAGCCACATCCATAGGAAAAGGGGGAGAGTACTGCATCAAGGGAACACCCCATGGGACAAAAGAATCTGAACAACAGCCTTCAGCCCTAGACCTTGCCTCTGACGGAGCCTACCTAAATGAAAAGGAAGCAGAAAAACAACACTGGTAATATGGCAAAACAAAGTACAAAGTTCTTTAATACCGTGCCCCCCCCCTCAAAAAAAAATCACATTAGCTCACCAGCAATGGATACAAACCAAGAAGAAATCCCTGATTTACCTGGAAAAGAATTCAGGAGGTTAGTTATTAAGCTAATTGGGGAGGCACCAGAGAAAGGCGAAGCCCAATGCAAGGACATCTGAAAAGTGATACAAGAAGTGAAGGGAGAAATATTAAAGGAAATAGATAGCATAAAAAAAAGCAATAAAAACTTCAGGAAACATTGGACACATTTATAGAAATACAAAATGTTCTGGAAAGTCTCAGCAATAGAATTGAACAAGTAGAAGAACGAAATTCAGAGCTTAAAGACAAGGTCTTCAAATTAACCCAATATAACAAAGACAAAGAAAAAAGAATAAGAAAATATGAACAAAGCCTCCAAGAAGTCTGGGATTATGTTAAACAACCAAACCTAAGAATAATCGGTGTTCTTGAGGGAGAAGAGAAATCTAAGAGTTTGGAAAACATATTTGGGGGAATAATAGAGTAAAACTTTCCCAGCCTTGCTAGAGACATAGACATTCAAATACAAGAAGCACAAAGAACACCTGGGAAATTCATCACAAAAAGATCATCACCTACACACATTGTCATCAGGGTATCTAAAGTTAAGACGAAGGAAGGAATCTTAAGAGCTATGAGACAAAGGCACCAGTTAACCTATAAAGGAAAACCTATCAGACTAACAGCAGATTTCTCAACAGAAACCTTGCAAGCTAGAAGAGATTGGGGCCCTATCTTCAGCCTCCTCAAGCAAAACAATTTTCAGCCAAGAATTTTGTATCCAGTGAAGATAAGAATCACATATGAAGGAAAGATACAGTCTTTTTCAGACAAACAAATGCTGAGAGAATTCGCCACTACCAAACCACTACAACAAGAACTGCTAAAAGGAGCTCTAAATCTTGAAGCAAATCCTGGAAACACATCAAAACAGAACCTCTTTAAGGTATAAATCACACAGGACCTATAATACAAAAATACAATTTAAAAAGCAAAAACAAAAAAACCAAGGTACACAGCCAACAAATAGCACAATGAATGCAATGGTACTTCATATCTCAATACTAACACTGGATGTTAATGGCTTAAATGCTCCACTTAAAAGATACAGAACTGCAGAATAGATAAGAACTCACTGACCAACTATCTGCTGCTTTCAGGAGACTCACCTAACACATAAGGACTCACATAAACTTAAAGTAAAGGGGTGGAAAAAGGCATTTTATGCAAATGGACACCAAAAGGGAGCAGAGATAGCTATTCTTATTTCAGACAAAACAAACTTTGAAGCAGCAGCAGTTAAAAGAGACAAAGAGGGATATTATATAATGGTAAAAGGCCTTGTCCAACAGGAAAATATCACAATCCTAAACATATATGCATCTAACACTGGAGCTCCCAAATTTATAAAACAATTACTAATAGACCTAAGAAATGAGATAGACAGCAACACAATAATAGTGGGGGACTTCAATACTCCACTGATAGCACTAGACAGGTCGTCAAGACAGAAACTCAACAAGGAAACAATGGATTTAAACTACCTTGGAACAAATGGACTTAACAGATATATACAGAACATTTCATCCAATAATCGCAAATACACATTCTATTTAACAGCATATGGAACCTTCTTTAAGATAGACCATATGATAGGCCATAAAATAAGCTGGAATAAATTTAAGAAAATTGAAATTATATCAAGCACTCTCTCAGACCACAGTGGGAAAAAACTGGAAATCAACTCCAAAAGGAACCTTCAAAACCATGCAAATACATGGAAATTAAATAACCTGCTCCTGAATGAGCACTTGGTCAAAAAACGAAATCAAGATGGAAATTAAAAAATTCTTCAAACTGAACGACAATAATGACACTGAGAGGTGACAGTGTGCTGGCAGCCCTTGCAGCCCTCGCTCGCTCTTGGCACCTCTGCCTGGGCTCCCACTTTGGCGGCACTTGAGGAGCCTTTCAGCCTACCGCTGCACTGTGGGAGCCCCTTTCTGGGATGGTCAAGGCCTGAGCTGGCTCCCTCAGCTTGCAGGGAGGTGTGGAGGGAGAAGCCTGAGTGGGAACTGGGGCTGCGCACGGTGCTTGCGGGCCAGTGCGAGTTCCGGGTGGGCGTGGGCTCGGGGGACTCCACTCAGAGCAGCTGGCCTGCCCTGCTGGCCCCGGGCAATGAGGGGCTTAGCAACCGGGCCAGCGGCTGTGGAGGATGTACTGGGTCCCCCAGCAGAGCCGGCCCACCAGTGCTGTGCTCAATTTCTTGCCAGGCCTTAGCTGCCTTCCCACGGGGCAGGGCTCGGGGCCTGCAGCCCGCCATGCCTGAGCCTCCCACCCCCTCCGTGTGCTCCTGTGCAGCCCGAGCCTCCCCAACGAGCGCCGCCCCCTGCTCCAGGGCGCCCAGTCCCATTGACCACGCAAGGGCTGAGGAGTGCAGGTGCATGGCGTGGGACTGGCAGGCAGCTCCACCTGCAGCCCTGGTGCGGGATCCACTGGGTGAATCCAGCTGGGCTCCTGAGTCTGGTGGGGATGTGGAGAACCTTTATGTCTAGCTAAGGGATTGTAAATACACCAATCGGCACTCTGTATCTAGCTCAAGGTTTGTAAACACACCAATCAGCACTCTGTCTAGCTCAGGGTTTGTGAATGCACCAATCGACACTCTGTATCTAGGTACTGTGGTGGGGACTTGGAGAAACTTTGTGTCAACACTCTTTATGTAGCTAATCTGGTGGGGACGAGGAGAACCTTTGTGTCTAGCTCAGGGATTGTAAAGGCACCAATCAGTGCCCTGTCAAAACAGACCCCTTGGCTCTACCAATCAGCAGGATGTGGGTGGGGCCAGATAAGAGAATAAAAGCAGGCTGCCTGAGCCAGCAGTGGCAACCCGCTTGGGTCCCCTTCCACACTGTGGAAGCTTTGTTCTTTCACTCTTTGCAATAAATCTTGTTGCTGCTCACTCTTTGGGTCCACACTGCCTTTATGAGCTATAACACTCACCACGAAGGTCTGCAGCTTCACTCCTGAAGCCAGCGAGACCACGAACCCACTGGCAGGAATGAACAACTCCAGACGCGCCGCCTTAAGAGCTGTAACACTCACCGTGAAGGTCGGCAGCTTCACTCCTGAGCCAGCGAGACCACGAACCCCACCAGAAGGAAGAAACTCTGAACACATCCGAACATCAGAAGGAACAAACTCTGGACACGCCGCCTTTAAGAACTGTAACACTCACCGCGAGGGTCCACGGCTTCATTCTTGAAGTCAGTGAGACCAAGAACCCACCAATTCCGGACACAACACAACCTATCAAAACCTCTGGGATACAGCAAAGGTGGTGCTAAGTGGAAAGTTCATAGCCCTAAACGCCTACATCAAAAAGACTAAAAAAGGCCTGGCACGGTGGCTCACACCTGAAATCCCAGCACTTTGGGAGGCCGAGATGGGTGGATCACGAGGTCAGGAGATTGAGACCATCCTGGCTAACATGGTGAAACCCCGTCTCTACTAAAAATACAAAAAATTAGCCAGGAGTAGTGGTGGGCGCCTGTAGTCCCAGCTACTAGGGAGGCTGAGGCAGGAGAATGGCCTGAACCTGGGAGGCAGAGCTTGCAATGAGCCGAGATTGTGCCACTGCACTCCAGCCTGGGCAAAAGAGCAAGACTCCATCTCAAAAAAAAAAAAAAAAAGACTGAAAGAGCACAAACTGACACAAAGTCACACCTCAAGGAACTAGAGAAACAAGAACAAACCAAACCAAAATGCAGCAGAAGAAAGGAAGTAACCAAGATCAGAGCAGAACTAAATGAAATTGAAACAACAACAAAAAAAAATACAAAAGATAAATGAAACAAAAAGCTGGTTCTTTGAAAAGATAAATAAAATTGATAGACCATTACCAAGGTTAACCAAGAAAAGAAGAGAGAAAATCCACATAACCTCAGTAAGAAACGAAATGGGAGATATTATAACTGACATCGCTGAAATACAAAAAATCATTCAAGGCTACTATGAACACCTTTATGCATATAAACTAGCAAACCTAGAAGTGATGGATAAACTTCTGGAAAAATAGAGCCCTCCTAGCTTAATTCAGGAGGAATTAGTTACTGTGAACAGACCAATAACAAGCAGTGAGATTCAAACAGTAATTTAAAAATTACCAACAAAGAAAGTCCAGGACCAGGCGGATTCATAGCAGAATTCTACCAGACATTCAAAGAAGAATTGGTACCAATCCTTTTGATGACACTATTCCACAAGATAGAGAAAGAGGGAACCCTCTCTAATTCATTCTATGAGGCCAGCATCACCCTAATACCAAAACCAGGAAAGGACATAACCAAAAAAGAAAACTACAGACTGATACGCCTGATGAACATAGATGCTAAAATCCTTAGCAAAATACTAGCTAACTGAATCCAACAACATATCAAAAAGATAATCCACCACGATCAAGTGGGTTTCATACCAGGGATGCAGGGATGGTTTAACATATGAAAGTCAATAAATATGATACACCACATAAACAGAATTAAAAACAAAAATCACGTGATATCTCAATAGACGTGGAAAAAGCTTTTGGCAAAATCCAGCATCCCTTTGTGATTAAAGCTCTCAGCAAAATTGGCATAGAAGGGACATACCTCAATGTAATACTGTCTATGACAAACCCACAGCCAACGTAATACTGAATGGGGAAAAGTTGAAAGCATTCCCTCTGAGAGCTGAGCAAGAGTAGGATGCCCACTCTCACCACTTCTCTTCAATATGGTACTGAAAGTCCTAGCCAGAGCAATCAGACAAGAGAAAGAAGTAAAGGGCATCTAAATCAGTAAAGAGGAAGTCAGACTGTCCTGTTTGCTGATGATACGATTGTTTACCTCGAAAACCCTAAAGACTCCTCCAGAAAGCTCCTAGAACTGATAATTCAGCAAAGTTTCTGGATACAAGGTTAATATACACAAATCTGTAGCTCTTCTATACACCACAGTTACCAAGAAGAGAATCAAATCAAGAACTCAACCCCTTTTACGATAGCTGCAAACAAACAAACAAACAAACAAAAAACATAGGAATATACCTAACCAAGGAGGTGAAAGACCGCTACAAGGAAAACTACAAAATGCTTTTGAAAGAAATCATAGATAACACAAATGAGAACACATCCCATGCTCATGAATGGGTTGAATCAATATTGTGAAAATGACCATACTGCCAAAAGCAATCTACAAATTCAACACAATCTCCACCAAAATATCACCATCATTCTTCACCGAATTAGAAAAAAAAATTCTAAAATTCATATGGAACCAAAAAAGAGCCCGCATAGCCAAAGCAAGACTAAGCAAAAGGAACATATCTGGAGGCATCACACTACCTGATTTCAAACTATACTATAAGGCTATAGTCACCAAAACAGCATGGTACTGGCATAAAAATAGGCACATAGACCAATGGAATAGAATAGAGAACCTAGAAATAAATCCAAGTACTTATAGCCAATTGATCTTCAACAAAGCAAACAAAAACATAAAATGGGGAAAAGATACTCTTTTCAACAAATGGGGCTGGGATAATTGGCTAGCCACATATAGGAGAATGAAACTGGTTCCTCATCTCTCACATTATACAAAAATCAACTCAAGATGGATTAAGGACTTAAATCTAAGACCTGAAACTATAAAAATTCTAGAAGATAACACTGAAAAAACCCTTTTAGACATTGGCTTAGGCAAGCATTTCATGACCAAGAACCCAAAAGCAAATGCAATAAAAACAAAGATAAATAGTTGGGACTTAATTAAACTAAAGAGCTTTTGCATGGCAAAAGGAACAGTCAGAGTAAACAGACAACCCACAGAGTTGGAGAAAATCTTCACAATCTATACATCTGACAGAGGACTAATATCCAGAATCTACAACGAACTCAAATCAGTAAGAAATAAAACAAACAATCCCATCCAAAAGTGAGCTAAAGACATGAATAGCCAATTCTCAAAAGAAGATATACAAATGGCCAAACAAATGTATGAAAAAATGCTCAACATTACTAATGATCAGGAAAATGCAAATCAAAACCACAATGTGATACCACCTTACTCCTGCAAGAATGGCCATAATAAAAAAAAATCAAAAAACAGTAGATGTTGGCATGGATGCAGTGATCAGGGAACATGTCTACATGCTGGTAGGAATGCAAACTAGTACAGCCACTATGGAAAACAGTGTGGAGATGCCTTAAAGAAGTAAAAGTAGAACTTCCATTTGATCCAGCAATCCCCCTACTGGGTATCTACACAGAGGAAAAGAAGTCATTATACAAAAAAGATACTTGCACATGCATGTTTATAGCAACACAATTTGCAGTTGCAAAATTGTGGAAAGAACCCAAATGCCCATCAATCAAAGAGTGGATAAAGAAACTGTGAGATATATATCTACATCTATATAGATATATAAAAATAGATATATAAATATATGTATATATGATGGACTACTACTTGGCCATAAAAAGGAATGAATTAATGGCATTTGCAGATACCTAGGTGAGATTGGAGACTATTATTCTAAGTAAAGTAATTCAGGAATGGAAAATCAAACATCATATGCTCTCGCTGATATGTGGGAGCTAAGCTATGAGGACACAAAGGTATAAGAATGGTACAATGGATTTTGGGGACTTGGGGGGAAGGGTGGGAGGGGGTGAGGGATAAAAGACTACAAATAGGGTACAATGTATACTGCTCGGGTGATGGGTGCACCAAAATCTCACAAATCACCACTAAAGAACTTACTCATGTAACCAAATACCACCCGTACCCCAATAACCTATGGGGAAAAAAAAGCATGTAGATTGACTTGACTGAAGACATGAAAGAGGAGACTGCTTCAGCCTCATGAAGCATAGACAATCAGCATACTGAAGAATATCTAGATATTTCGCCTCTCTTTTCTCCAATTCTCTCTTCTTTTTCTTCTCCTTCTCCTTCCACTTCTTCTCTCTTGCTTTCTCTCTGTCTCCCTGTCTCTCATTCTCTCTTCCTCATTTTCTTCTTCAAAAACATTCAGACTCTTAGACCAGCCTCCTTGGGCTCTATAATAAGGAAGCAAACAATCCTTTAAAAAAGGTGGGACTAGGGACCCGAGGTAGGACCGTCACCTGAGGACACCCGCATGGCTTGTGACTCTTTCCATCTTTATTTGTTCCAAAAGCCATATTTATCCTTTTAAAAAAATTAGAGACTCTATTTCTAGACATGGACTTTTAAAAATTTATGTTCCTCTCTAGTAGAGTCAAACCATTAGACTCATGTCCTTTATAATCAAGGAATAGAGTATTTATATTTTTAAAAGTATAATTTACCAATGACCCAGGGTGGCTTCTAAATATAGAAGTGCTATTGGGGCCCTGTCCTGTGAAAGCAGCAGTCAAGATCCCTGTCCTGGCCAGCTGTGAAACCTGTGATTGATTTCTGAACAACCTATACAAAAAAAAAAAAAAAAAAAAAAAGTTTAAGGAGTCTGTGTAAGAAGTAAAAGAAATAAATTGAACACACATGTGTAATCATTATTCATATGAGCGTTCTCTGTATTACTTCATAACACAGCTGTGTACACACAAAAAAACTTTGCTTCTTTCTCTTGGAGTCTTATTAATTTCTGTTTAATGAAACACAAATGTTTGTGCGCTTGATTTTGAGGAGCATGGTCTAGTTGGGTGTTTGTTAAGCACTAGCCAGGATGGCTATGCCCACCTAATACAAATGTCTTTAGGCCTTTCAGAGCCCCTGACAGGGCATCTTTTGAGCATGCCAGTTGCCATGGTCACCAGTATGCCCATTTGCAAAAAAATTGGAAGCCATGCTCATTGTGTCAAAAACTACATTGGGGGATAAAAAGAGCATGTTTGCTTCAAGAGTTGGCAATTGGTTGTTTGTTAGCCTCCCCGCCCACATACTTCCATCAAACAATGTCTCATTCAACTGCATAAGTCAAAGTTTATAACTCCCATCTTTCTCGTTGGGATAGGCTGGGGGAGTGTGGATGCAAAATCATCACTTACAGAAACAACCCAGGCTCACAGGCTGACGAGGACACTAGAGGGGCATCAGATGAGTGGCGGAATGGGAAGTGGTGACAACCTGTGTTCTGTGACTGGCTCCAACTAGATGTTTGACCTGGCTGTGAAATTTTGGGCTTCTCCATCTATGAAAGGAGGTGAGGGAGAGAGAGCATCTGCACAGTCCCTCTCATCTTCCAAATTTCGTGATCCTAAAACACATTCTTTGTGCTTATTCATCCATCTTATGTGCCCCCCAAACACACACACACAAATGCGCGCACACACCCACTTTCTCCCTCTCTGTCACACACACACACACACACACACACACACACACACACACAGAGTTTTTCTTTTCTTTTTAAAATATGTATTGTTTGGAGAGCATAAATGGAATGCCTCATATTTTTACATGAGTTTTACACACAAAGTCCACTCCTTTCCCCAATATAGTTTCCCAACCTGCAGACAGATTACAGCCACAGTAACTTGAGAATTAACCTCAGAAAGCATTGATTTAATCGTCTATGATTGCTTTTACTTAACAATAACAATTCTAACCCATTCAGAAATTATCAAAATTCTATCTTTCGTGAATTCTGGTTCTTATTATCATTACCTTTTGGTTATATTGCACGAAAATTTATGTCTGTGGGTAATTTTAGGGTTTATTTTTCACAAAGATGCTTATATTCACTCTATACATGTGTGTGTGTGTGTGTACGTTCCACAAGCAGATGCTTATAATAATTACATAACAATATGTATGTATGTATGCGGAGAAAACTGTGGTTAGAAGAAGCCAGATAACTCACCCAAGGCCTTGCAGCTCAGTGACAAGGCTTGGGTTTGAATGCTGATCCTTTTTTGGTGTCAAAATTCATTTCTGTCCTATCTACTAGGCTGCCTCTCTTCATCTTTCTGTCATCTTCACCTAGAAGGCTCTGAAAAACAGTGTGGAAGTAGAAAAGTGTATTATAAGGGGATAAATCTAGGAAAAAATTCATGGGGCTGAAATAGAACTTGCCCAGAAAAAGTACAATTGCACCAATGAAAGCAGTGTATATGTGTACATGTATAATACTGAAAAGTGATTCATACTCAGAGGGGAAGGTATTAGTCAAAAATGCCCAAATGTTCAAAATGTCTTTATTTTATTGATTCAATTTAAATAAAAATGACTGAATTTTGATAGCTTACCTATTCTATCAGGAAATTAAATTTATCCATTGACACCTGTGATGGAAGAATAAGGCCACAGGATAGCTGATTCGGAAGTAAAAGAAAATAAGGCTCAGCAAGGATTAAATCACGTTGCCTTAGCTGAACTAGGCAACAGTTATTTTTTAGCATTTCTTGAGCTATTTTCCTTTCATTGTAGGACTGTTTAAGAATCAAAAGAGTTAATGGACATGAAATTAGGTTGTAAAAAATACCTAGCCAACATTAATTGCTATTAAATAAATATGTATTTGTTTGTTTTAACAAATGCTTGCACAGAACTTACTGTGTGCCAGGTACTACTCTAAGAGCTTGATTCTGCTAAAGACCTTAGGAAGTATTGATTGCTATTATCTCCATTGTGTGAATAAGGAAACCGAAGCAGACAGATCAGTAATAAGTTGATGGAGCACAGCTGTCTATGGCCTTGGTCTAGAACACAGTTATTAGGCATTACGGTTCCCTAAATATACAGTAGAGTTGGCTTCATCATGGTTTTCAAAATATTTATTAAATTGTTTCAGTTTCCATCTGAAAAATTTGCCTTGCTATGACTACAGTTAAACTTTTGGTTTCCTTTCCCTTGTTCTAATTTGAATTCCCTTTGAATATATATCCTGTCTTTCCTATTAAATAGACTGAAAGAATCAGGAAATTCACTGCCATTCAGAGAGTACCCACCAGAGGCATAAATACCCATCCCAAAGAGGATCGAAAAAAGAGACCAGGAAGATAAATTTCCTTTCAGTGCTGTCACTCGGTTTCATTTCAGCTTGTCATGACTTCTTTCAGCATTTTAAATTTGAGGCCTGGATATTTGACAAGATAATCCCTCTAACAAGGATATTATAGGAAGAACAACCACAAATGTGTATATATTTATTCTTTTTTATATTGTAAAATATACATAAAATTTACTACCTCTAAGTGTATGGCTTGATGGCATTAAGTGTATTCACATTATCACCACTATCTATCTCCAGAACTTTTTCCACCTCCCAAAACTGAAACTCTGTACCCGTTAAACACTAACTCCCCATTTCCCAAACCTCCCAGCCCCTGATAACCATCATTCTACTTTCTGTCAGCAAATCTGACTATGTTAACTTCCTCATATAAGTAGAATGAAACAGTATTTGTTTTTCTGTGACCAGTTTATTTCACTTAACATAATGTCCTCAATGTTCATCCATGGTGCAGTGTCAGAATTTTCTTCTTTCTTAAGGCTGAATAATATCACTTTTTATGTATATGCCACATTTTGTTTATTCATTCATCTGTGGACATTTGGGTAGCTTTCTTCTTTTGCCGCTTGTGAATAATGCTGCTGTGAACATAGGTGTACAAGCATCTGTAGAGTTGCTGCTTTCAATTCTGTTGGGTATACACCTAGGAGTGAAATTACTGGGTCATATGGCAATTCTATTTTTGCCTTTTTTGAGGAACCACCACATTGTTTTCCATAATGGCTGCACCATTTTACATTTCCATCATCAGTGGACAAGGGTCCCAACTTCTCCACATACTCTCCAACACTTTTTGGTCTCTATTTATGGATAATAGGCATCCTAATAGGTGTGAAGTGGTCCAACGTTGTTTTGATCTGCATTTCCGTAATGATTAGTGATGCTGAGTATCTTTTTATGTGCTTTTTGGACCTTGGCATATCTTCTTTGGAGAAATGTCTATTCAAGTACTTTGTTCATTTTTTAATTGGATTGTTTGTTGTTGCTGTTGCTGAATCGTAGGAGTTCTTTATATATTTTGCATATTAATTCATTATTAGATATATAATTTGTAAATATTTTCTCCATTTCCATGAATTGCCTCTTCACTCTGCCTTTCTATAAACTGGCTTTTTATTTTCACAGTGTTGGACCTTTAAAAGATTTCCTCTCTTGTCTAAAGCGTTCACCCACAAAAGTATGCTTACTGAGCCTATTCCTTGTGATACAGAATTTGCGAAATTGCTAATAGACCTTTGTGAGTTAACGTTTAACACTTACACGGTCAAAAGCCAGTCAGGAGTTAGAAACCACACCAATAACCTTAACAGAGTGAATTTAATATAAGGAACCATTAAGCAGGTGCTAGAGAACCGAAAAGACAAATGAAAGAAAACTTAGATAACATAGAGATAGTAACTGTAGAAAGTCGCTACCATCCTTAGGGCTGGAGGAATCAAGTTAAGAGGTTGGGATTTATAAAATTTAGAATGTGGGAGAGAGGGCTTGTGGGGTTGACTCAGACCTTTGCTCATATATCAGAGATCAGTGCTGAGTGGGTCTAAGAGTGTGGAAACACTGCAAGTAAATTGCTGCTGCCAGGGTGAAGAAGCCTTCTGGTGGTCATGCTGACATGACACAAAGCAAATGGGAACAGAAGCATATATCCCTTCTCCTTCCTCTAGCCTTCCAGTCTCCCTTATATACCCATTGGCAGAGCCTGATAGGGTACAGCTGGCAAATGAGAAAAGCGGTTTTCTGAGTATCATTCCCAGCATCACCAAGCAGTGTATGGAAGGATGAGTTTGCAGCTCAAAAAGACAATAGCTTCATAACAAGCACAGCCACCAAAGCACTTTTAACTTTCTATCCTTAGAAGTGAGGAAACTTTATTGATTTTTGTAACCCCAGCAGAGTGCCAGGAATATAATAGGTGCTTCGGAAACATTTGCTGAATGAAACAATGAACAAACCTTGAAAACAAAATTCTAGAAAGGAAGTATAATGCATGAGCTTATTGCTTTGTTCTTCACTCTCTTAGATCCTTAATCATATTTTAATTCTTAGTTGCTCTCAATACAAATTTCCTGCTCGAAGTCTAATTAATTACAGTGGTTTCCATTTACTGGGCCTCTATGTTATGTTAAAGGTTCAACATACTTTTTATTCCTTTTAAACATCCTGCAAGGTAGGGTATCCTTACTCACATTTTACAGATGAGAAAACTAAGGCTTGAAGGTTGAGCGACATGCTCAAGACCTAACAGCTGTAAAGAATAGAGCCAGGATTTAAATCTTAGGTCTGTTTGTCTCCAGAGCCTATACTCTTAACTACTAACCTCACATGCTCACAGTCCTTCCCACAGTATTGACCACTGTTTATAAAGACATTCACAGGGACACTCTAGCCTTCTCTTCTGTTTAGATGCCCTGTCAGCAAACCTGCTTGGTCCCACAGGCCTGTGCACATACAACCTGTCCACCAGAATATATTCATTTCCTTGGATAACCTAGCCAGCCAGCCAGCCAGCCTGCCTGCCTGCCTGCCTGCCTGCCTTTTTCTTTCTCTTTCATTCTCTCTCTCTCTCTCTCTCTTTTTCTTACAGATTCCATTAATGATTCAGCCACAGGGCTATTTAAAGGGAAGAAAGAATTATTCACTATGAAAAGCAACAGCACTGATCACTCAATACATAACCCTTTCAGTAAGAACTTTTTGCCACCTTTTAGGAAGAGTGACTCTCCTCTGGAGGGGTGCATCCTGTATTGCCCTGAATTCCAGACATGAGTTTTATCAGTGCTAGACTCTTTCTCATCCCACGAAGAGGGTTTTTTATACTCTATATAGGACGTCAGCAAACTTCAGCCCATGGGTCACCTGTTTTTGTAAGTTATGTTTTATTGGGAAACAGTCTCATTCTTGGATGTACTGTCTCTGGCTGCTTTCACAAAACATCAGAGTTGAGTAGTTACAACCAAGACTGTTTAACCCCAAAAGCCAAATATATTTCCTATCTGGCCCTTTACAGTTAGTTTTCTGGCCCCTGCTACCAGAACAATGACCCAGATGATCGCCCATCCACCTCATCAGTATTTGCAACTACTTCATCTTGGTGCCTTGGGGTTGAGAGTTTCTCTTCAGTCATCACCTTCATAAAGAAAACAGGGCTGCAAACCACATTAAATACAAATCATAAACCTTGAACCCTGAGTGTGGCTTCCTGTGTTAGCCTTAAAGTGGTGTTCCCTACTCCAAGAAATCTACACTCCTTGGGCAAGTGGAAGGTGTTGCCTGATTTCTAAAGAACTTGGGTCAATTACGCCATTTTAGGGTTTCTTTAAACATAAAAAAGAAGAAAGAAGCAAATGCCATAGTCTTCAATTTTGAAGAGTACACATAAGAGGACAATAAACTTTCCACCAAATGCTCTTACATAAAAAAGCAAGTAATTTTTAATTTTGCTCTTTTATTGATTCGTTGATTGCATTCCTTTTTTTCAGAAAATTGGAAAACACAAATATATCTGTATACTATTACTCTTGTTCCAAAACCTTAAAAATCTCTTGTACCTAAACTTCCCTGTCAATCTTACAGACTTGTCCCATTCTGGGACAAGCAATTTTAAGTAATATTAGAAAAATTTTTTGAATATCTTAGGGCAAAATAAATATGGCTTAAATTTATTTAACTGGGTAGAGGTACTCATGGAATTGTTGAAAGTGAACATCTATATGTGAGATCATTTCCAATTCTGAAGAAAGTAAATTTGGCTGCAATACATAATAAAATCATACTAATGTACTGAAGAGCATACTAAGTTTGACAATTTGCACGTACTGTGCATTTGGCCCTCCCATGCAAAAACTGAAAGAAAAGTCTGTAAAATGGACAAAGGCCAATGAGTTACTGTGTTTTTGGATTCTTACTTAATTCATATTTAATTTAAATATCTGATTAATGCCCACTTCATTGAATTATCATGGTTTCTAGTGAGAAATGCTATTTCTTTTATGATATTAATTGAGAAAGCTCTCCTCAAATGTAAAATTATTAAAAAGCTAAGGTAGGAACAGCTATGGGGAATTCTTAAAATATGAGATACGGTCTTGGCTTTCAGGCAGTTTATAATCTGGCTGGGAAACAGCAATAAAACAGGAAAAGTGTAAATGTTGATGTAGATAGAGGTACTGAGCCTTTACTTTGAAACAGTTGTCCTGAAATTTATTTTTGTATAAGAACTCCCCTGGTCAGAGTAGGAAAGCTTGATGAATTGCACATTCCTGGGGCCCAGCCCAAGAGATTTAGATTTTTAGTTTGAGGAAAGAGCTCAATCATCTGCATACTTCCCAAATACCCATGGCTTTCTGATTTAGGTGGTTCATGAGCCATATCTTCAGAATAGATGTTCCAGGTATTTTAATAGATGTATATAAAGCTGGCATTTGAGGAGGAGGATTAGGCATACATCTTCAGGGAATAATTTAGGGGAACTGAGAAGGCCCTTCTCCCCTGCTGCTTCTTCCAAATAACTTTCTAACTCTTCTAATTGGAAAACAAAATAATTCTACAAGTAGAAATGCATCCCTTCTGTTTGGAGCATTGTTCCTAATACAGTAGAAATACGTTGAGAAGAGAAGATTGTTTAGATGTTAGCTTTCAGCTATACCTCAGCTTGGCTGACTTTATTAGATCTTCTCTGAGACAGATTTTGATGGGGAAGCAGGTGGTGGTAGGGACACAGTTGCCCACAGTGTAGAGAGGAGAGGGGCCCAGGATGAACAAGGCTGTTCCAAGTGTTTCTATGAGTTCAGGAAGAATTGAGGATGTAAGGAGGATAATGGAAAAGAAAAGTGTGGCGTACAGAAGGCTTTTCACTTATAAGCAGGAACAGTCCAAAAAGGTTGGGGGTTTCATTTACTCATAAGATCAAAGTAATACTATTAAAATAAGGGTTTTTAATAGAATGGATGCATTTTTGCTTTGGTTCATTTGTTTGCATCTGTGAAAGTTCTTAAGTTGAGAGCTTGTAAATTTATATGTTTCTATATTTGAGACTATCGCCTCATATAGGCTTCCTTTAGAACCATAGACTTCAGAGATTAGCGATAAAAAGGCTTGGGGACCTCTTTGTTCCAGGACAGCAAATAGATTTCAGCTCATGTGTAGTCTTGAGTGGAATGGTAGTGACTGCCTGGTATACTGTTTTGTGAAGTTTTCTGTAAGTGATTAGCAATGCCTGTTCTATCTGTCATGGGAGTAGGCAGAACTCCATTAGTCTAATATCCTAATTTTATGCACACCAGGAAATTGAAATTCAGGTTTAGTCACAGAGAAACTTCAGAAAAGATTAAAAGAAATAAGCCTATGGTTTGTAAGTCTTTGTGTGGACATGGATTTAAATTGACTTGATTTTCTTATTAGGAAAGTTGCCCACAGGATTCCAGATGTTGAAAGAATGGTTTACTGTTACACTATTATGGTTTGAGGTTGTTGTGCATACCGTTTCAGTTTTCATCCTTTTCCCATTTGCCCATCATCAGGATGGAATGTACCAAGGGATCAATAAATAGAAGCCTAAATACTGCAGGAAAAAAATGTGTAAGCACCTTTTTGGAATAAAGCTTTTCAAACATTTTCAGGCTTAAAAGAACTTGAAACATTTAAATTCCTGTCAGGACTAAGGAAATGGAGCAGAAATCAATGAACTAGTGTGTGGTCTCGACAACAAGGCAGGGATCAACTCTCTACACATTCTCTCTCTATATGCCCTACCATTCATTAACCCATTTCTGATTTAATAAAAAAAAAATCTAGGCATCTAGAATCATTTCTTTGGGAAGCTTTACATGCCCCCAACAGGGAGTCTAGTGTCATTATGTATCTAAGCATTTGGCCAAAAGGGACTAGGTAGGGTTGGACTGTGCTGATAAGAAAGTGAGAATTCTCAGGGATCTGGCCACATCCCAGTTTTGGTCTCTTTGGTGTTGTGAGATGTAGCAGAAAAAGAACATTCCCTAGAAACTTTAATTAGAGATATGGCTGGTGAGAGAATTTTTGCAGATTCTCTCTCGTTCCTCTAATCCACCTATTTTTTACAAAAGGTAGTTCATATCTGGTCCCCTCCAGGATAAGCACAAAAGCCTCTTGAGAGTTAAAAAATCAGTCTCAGAAAGTACCTAACACCCATGTCTCTGTTTCTCTTCTCATTCCTTCCCCGTCTGGGTTTTGGCTCAAGGTTTGCCTGTCTCCAGATGGCATTTGCCTTCATCTCCATTCATAACTGAGTGTTAAAGGCCTGCCCTTTGTTCATTCATGGATTCACCTACTAGGCCATGAAGGTCTATTCAGTCAACAAACATTTATTGAATGCCTACTGGGTTACTGTTGGAAACAAGTCAAATTTGGTTCCAGATGATGCAGATCTTCTAATCTGGACCACAATGAAATTTACACAGAAGTGGTATAGTAACAGTTGTGTTCTGTGTCCCAAAGAAGAAAAAAAGGGAAGCAACCCAGCCTGAGAGGTCCGAGAAGAATTTACTGAGAAAGCAGTCTTGTATCTAACTGCTGAAGAATGAGTAGGATTGAGCTAGGTGGGAGGAGAGGAGGAAATAAAGGAAGAGCATTCCTGGTAGGGTAGGTCCCTGGTAAAGCCGCAAGGCAGGAAAGAACATGATAAGAAGAACAGAAATCAGGCCAGTGTGGCCAGTGTTTGTGTGTGTGTGCGTGTGTGTGTGTGTGTGTGTGTGTGTGTGTGTGTGTGTGTGTATTATTTTTTAGAGGCTGCTCACTGGGAGATGTCCAGAATGAGGATAGAGAGGTAGAAAGGGACCAGATCACCTAAGAACTTGTAGATCATGTTAAGAATTTTCAGCTTAAGCTTATGAACATCGCATGAGTTTAAGTAGCCAACACAGTACACCTCAGATACTATCTCTTTCAAGAAACTTTCCCCCATTTTCTTCCAGCATGTTATTTGAAAATACATGATATTCATCTTGTATCACAAATATATAAGTATGGATCTGTCTCCACTATACTATGATCTCATTGTAGGCAAGATTTGTATCTTTTTCATCTTTGTATGATTTGCTGTGTAGGTAGCAGGGTAATGTGGAAAGAGTTTGTTGGCATGGGAAGAACTTTGGAATCAGGCAGGTTCTTGTCATTACACTTTTTCCAATTCCATGACACTAATCATGTACCAAAAGCAGTAGGAGGGCCTACCCTGGGTGCAGGCAATAAGATGTGCATTGCCATTGAGAATTTAAAAACAAGAATAAGTCTGACTGAACGTTGGTCTGCTTTTTATTATCACCATGTACTGGCAATTCTAAACAATGTCAGTGATAAAATACTCCTCTCCCAAAAAATATCTTGTGAGTCTA
The DNA here is from genome assembly GCF_000001405.40 of Homo sapiens. Taxonomy (NCBI): domain Eukaryota; kingdom Metazoa; phylum Chordata; class Mammalia; order Primates; family Hominidae; genus Homo; species Homo sapiens. The sequence goes on along the minus strand of NC_000013.11, from coordinate 50,738,342 downwards.
GGTTTGAAACAATGGCAGTGGTTACTGCTGAGGTTTTTTTCCCAATGTTTTATTATGAAAAATTTCAGACATATAGAAAAGTTGAAATAATTTTATGTTAAGAACTCACCATCTAAATTCTACCATTAACATGTTATACTGCTTCATCTATTAAACTTCATAAACCAACCTCTGCTAGTTCCAAGCATTTCTTCTGCAGCTTTCTTAGCCTTTACAGAATTGAAAAGAGTCAGGGTCTTGCTCTGAGTTAGGCTTTGGCTTAAGGGAATGTTGTGGATGGTTTGATTTACTATCCAGACCATTCAAACTTCCTCCATATCAGCAATAAGCAATCACTTTCTTATCATTCGTGTGTTTACTGGAGTAACACTTTTAAATTGCTTCAGGAATTTTTTTCTTTGCATTCACATCTTGGTTTACAGTTTGGTGCAACTGTAGCTTTTGGCCCATCTTGGGTTTTTACAGGCCTTGCTCACTAAGTTTAATCATGGCTAGCTTTTACTTTAAAGCAAGAGACATCAATTTAAAGGAAGAGAGACATTTTCCTTTCACCTGTACACTTAGAGGCCACTGTAGGGTTACTAATTGGCTTTACTGCAATATTGTTGTGTCTCAGGGAATTAGAGGCCCAAGGAAAGGGAGAGAGATGGGGAATGGCTAGTTGGTGTGGCAGTCGGAACACGCACAACATTGATCCATCAAGTCTGTCATCTTCTATGGGCATGGCTTATGGTGCCCTAAAACAATTACAATAGTAACATCAAGGATTACTGATCACAGATCACCATAATAGATATAATAATAATTAAAAAGTTTGAATTATTGGAAGAATTACCAAAATGTGATCACAGAGACACAAAACAAGCACACGCTGTTGAGAAAATGGCTCCAATAGACTTGCTGATGCAAGGTTGACACAAACCTTAAATTTGTAAAAAGAAAAACCCTTAATATCTGTGAAACACGATGAAGTGAAGCATAATAAAATGAGGTATACCTGTAATAGGTTAAATTTCAAATGTTAAACTGATCTTGAATTCCTAGGATAAACTCCATTTGGTCATAATGTATTATCTTTTTATATTTTGACTATTTCAATTTGCTAATATTTTGTTAAATATTTTTGCTTTTATGTGCATGAGAGATATCAGTCTAGCAGTTTTTTCTTTTTAAATGTCTTTGACAGGTTTTTGTATTAAGGTTTTATTGACCTCACAAAATAAATAGGGAAGTGAGCTCTCTTTATTTTCTGAGAGATTTTGTATGAGATTGGAGTTCCCCCACCCCACAAACTCATTAAATGTTGGATAATTTTTTTCCTGTGAAACTACGTGGAAAATTATCCTGAAACATGATATTGCGCTATTCAGATTTCAGTTTTACCTTGTGTCAGATTTCACATTATGTAAGTTGTATTTTTCAAGGAATTTGTTAACCTCAAGTTGCTAAATTTTTGGTATCTACTTCTTCTCATCCATTTAATATTTGTAGGATCTGTAGTAACAATTTTTCCTTCATTCTTGGTGGTATTAATACTTTGTGTTCTCTCTCCCTCTCCATTTCTCCTTTCTCTCCAACTGAGTGCTTATCAATTTTTCTGAGTATTTTCCAAATATCGGCTCTGCTAAATTTCTTTCCTTTTAAAATTATTTCCTTTCTTTTATTTACTTTGAAATTATTGTGTTTTTCTTTTCTTCCTTCTTGAAACAGAATCTTGGCTACCAAGTTGAGATCATTCCTCTTTGGTAATCTAAACATTAAAAGCTATAACATTTTCTCTAGGGATTGCTTTTGCTACATTTCACGAATTTAAATACATCTTTCTTTTCTTTAACTTTTATTTTAGGTTCTGCGTATATGTGCAGATTTGTTATATAGGTAAACTCATGTCATGGGGGTTTGTTTTACAAATTATCTTGTCACTCAGGTACTAAGCCTGGTACCCGATAGTTATTTATTCTGCTCCTCTCCCTCCTCCCACCCTCCACCCTCAAGTAGGCCCCAGTGTCTGCTGTTCCCCTTTACGTGTCCATGTGTTCTCATTATTTAGCTGCCACTTATAAGTGAGAACACATGGTATTTGGTTTTCTGTTCCTGTGTTACTTTGCTAAGGTTGATGACCTCCATGTTCCTGAAAAGGACATTCTTTCTTTCTTTTACTATGGCTGCATAGTATTCAATATTATGATGTAAATGTACCACATTTTCTTTATCCAGTCTACCATGGATGGGTATTTAGATTGATTCTTCGTCTTTGCTATTGTTAATAGTATTGCAATTAACGTACACACGCATGTATTTTCATGATAGAACTATTTATATTCCTTTGGGTATACATACAGTGATGAGATTCCTGGGTTGAATGGCAGTCCTGTTTTTAGCTATTCGAGGAATAGCCACACTGCTTTCCACAATGGTTAAACTAATTTACACTCCCACCAACAGTGTAGAAGCATTCCTTTTTCTCTGCAACCTTGCCAGCATCTGTTATTTTTTGACGTTTTAGTAATAATCATGCCGACTGATGTGAGGCGGTATTCATTGTAGTTTTGATTTTCGTTTCTCTAACGATTGGTGATATTGAGCTTTTTTCATATGCTTGTTGACAGCATGGATGTCTTATTTTGAAAAGTGTTTGTTCATGTCCTTTGCCCACTTTTTAATGAGGTTGTTTTTTTCTTGTAAATGTGTTTAAGTTCCTTATAGATACTGGATATTAGATTTTGTTAGATGCATAGTTTATAATATTTTCATTTTTTCATATATTTTCTATTTTTTCTTGTAATTTCTTTTCTGAGACATAATTATAATATTTAGAAATTTGCTATTTAATTTCCAAATATTTGGGGGTTTTCTATCTTGTTGATTTCTAATTTAATTCCATAGTATACAAAGAGTGAATTTGGTACAATTTTATATTGTTTAATTTATTGAGACTTGCTTTATGGCCAAGTATATAGTCTCCCTTGGTGAACATGTACTCTTGAAAGGAATGTTTATTGTGCTGTTGCTTGATGAAGTACTCTATAAATATCAACTAGGGTAAGATGGTTGATAGTGTTACTCATATGTTTTATGTCTTTACTGAATTCTTGTCTAACTGCTCTACCATTGTTTGAGAGAAGGATGTTAAATTCTTTGAGTATGATTGTGGTATTGTCTATTTCTTCCTTTAATTCTTTCAATATTTGCTCCAGGTATTTTGAAACTCTGTTATTATACATACACATTTATAACTAAAAATCTTCCTGGAGAATTGGGTATTTTATCATTATGAAATGTCCCTTTTTACTTTGGCATTATTCTTTGTCCTGAGGTCTACTTCGCCTGATGTTAATATAGTCATGACAGCTCTCTTAAGATTTACTGTTTGCATGGTATGTATCCTTCTATTCATTTACTGTTAATCTACCTGTCTCTTTAAAGTTTATCTCTTATAGATAGGGGTAGGTATGCCTTATCTTTATTTTGTTTGAAGTTTATTACTCTTCCTTAAGTTGTAAAACTATATATTTCTCCAAATTTTAGACATTGTTGCATATTATTTCTTCAAATACTTTTCTACCCTATTATTTTCTTCTAGGATTCCAGTAGTATGCATGGCAGACTTTTAGATATTAACCACCAGTCCCTGGGACTTCATTGTTGTTCTTCCTTTACTTCGTCCTCATCTTCTTCCTATTTTTATCTTTTTTCTCTCTGTTCTTCAGATTGGGTATTTTTAATCTATCTTTAAGGTCATAGGTTTTTCTAAATGTTAATATTCCCTTTTTTCTCTAAATGATCACAATTTGAGTGTGCTTTGGCTCCCAAAGGAAATGAAATAACTGATCTTTATTTTTGGGGAGATGGGTGTATTAGTTGGAGATGGGATTAGCTACAGAATGGAAATAACAAAAAACTAGATCATTAAGTTTTAAAAATCTTATTTTGAGGGCCAATATGAGTAAAATTAGGTTACTCAGAGGACGATAAGGTGGAAAGCAGCCTTATTGAAGATTTTGAACATTTTCTGGAACTTCAAAGGTTAGTAGTACCAGTTCTCTATCAGGTCTAATTTCACATTAAAACATACGTTTTTTCTTTAGTTCACTGCTTTTATTCTAAGTGGTCAAGATTTGAATACACTTTTGGTTCTCAAAAGATATAGAGTGACTTGCCTTGATTTGTTTCTGGCAGGAGTAGAAGAGCAGGACTCCTAATTTGCGGAGCCTAGTGCAAAAGAAAAATGTGGAACTCCTTGTTCAAAAATTATTCAGAACTTCCAGACAGTGACAGACAGCATTACATCAAGTTTGATGTCCTCTGAGCACAGGACCCTGTGTGACTGTACAAACTGCACATCAATGAAGCCAGAGAGTGCGGTAATACAGCTTGGAGCTTTCAGCATTGGAATCAATATATCAGAGTCGGAATCCCAGACTTGCTACTTGCTACTTAGGTGATGTTAAGGAGGTTGTATTTTCTCTACGGCCTTTAGTGTCCTTATCTGCAAAATGAGTCTATCCTAGGTTTGTTGTGAGGCTTTAATGATAGTTATATAAAATGCCTACCTAGTAAATGTGTGATACTTAACAGTCAAAGCGGAAGTTACTATTATTATTTTGTTAAGTGGGCTTTATTAGAAGGAAAAACTGTGGAAGGAGAATTGTTAGATCAGAAAGAGAATGTCTCTAGTGTGATCAACTAAAGATTGAGAGATATGAGACAGGAAATGTGTGTGTGTGGGTGTGGGCAGGTAGGGGACAGAGTTGAGGAGTTGGGTGCCCCCCTTAACGAGTGGGGAGAAGCTGGTGGGGAGATAGATCCCTTGCATCAGTCTCTGGGTGGTGTTATGAGTCCAGAAGAACTTGGATGTATTCTAAACATACAGGTAAGATCCGTGAATCCACCAGGCATTCCTCTAAGCAGAATTTTTGAAAAGCTGCTGAATACTGAAAGAGTATGGATAGTAATTCTAAACTTCCTAGTAGGTGCAGGACATTCAATTCATCTAGGGAGAAATATGAGGACATTTGGTTTGTGTGCAATAATCTAAAACATTGGTTCTCAGGCTGGTTAAAAATGAGAATCACCTGAGGAGCTTTCAAATCCATTGATGCTCTGGCTCCACCAGACATAAATTCTGATGTATTTGCTCTGGGTTGAGGCTTGAGCATCATCACTGTTTTTAAAACGCTTTCTCAGATGGTTCTAATATGCAGACAAGTGCTGAGAACCACTTATCTAAAACAATGGCATGCTGTTGAGATCTTCTATTTCCCTCTGACAAAAAGAAAAGGTAGTCAACTGTGTGTGTGTGAGTGCGCATACATGCGTGTGCGTTTGATAACCAGCAGATTAAGCAGCAGTAAGGCACACACAAGTAGAAACCATCTGATGCCCTCAGGACATCACAGTGAGTGATGTTTTTTCTGGTCCACAGCCATATCTGCTCAGGGAGCCTCCTCTGCCACACTCTGGAAGCACTCTTGAGAAAGAGGCCCTTACATAAGTTACTATGCATACTGTGTTTCAACAGTGTTTGGCAGATGACAAAGGCTTGGGAAGTGTTAGTTGTTGTTACTACTGCTATTTTGTTAGGTCATCTAATAGAATTCATTTTGAATTTTAAAAAAAGGACTCAAAGAAATTTAACATAGTGTGATCATTTTTCCTTTGGGAGTTTAACTCATTCTTTCAAGTCTTGCATACCATTGAACATAAGCACATAAGCTTTTTTTTTTTTTTTTTTTTGAGATGGAGTCTCATACTGTTGCCTGGGCTGGAGTGCAGTGGCTCGATCTCGGCTCACTGCAACCTCCACCTCCTGGATTCAAGTGATTCTCCTGCCTCGACCTGAGTAGCTGGCATTACAGGTGCCTGCCACCATGCCTACCTAATTTTTTGTATTTTTATTAGACATGGGGTTTCACCATGTTGGCCAGGCTGGTCTCGAGCTCCTGACCTCATGATTAGCCCACCTCAGCCTCCCAAAGTGCTGGGATTACAGGCGTGAGCCACCATGCCCAGCTCGAACATGAGCTTTTTTTAAAAAGCAATACAGTAAGTGAGACGTGATGGAGATCACTAAAACATGGATGATGAATTATAAAAAGAAAACCTGTCCTAGCTTGTAGAAATGGATACTTGTGGTCTGGGATAAAATTTTCTGTGATAGTATTACATCTGTATTTAAAAATTGCTGTGTTATAGAAACGTGGGTGGCAGAGAAGATAGTTTTGGAAAACTGTTTTAAAAAATCAGAAAGGGTTTCCAGTGATGGCAAAGTTGCTGACAGCCAAGATGCACACGACACATGTGAACAGATTGTTTCATGAAATATCAGAGTAGAATAAAGCAATATTGCAAAGTATGAGTGTATATAATTTTCTTTTCAGTTTTATGCAATTAATATACATATGTGTAGATTAATAAATGGAATATTATAAGTAGATTTTTAACGATTTCACTTAGAGGCTTAAATATTTATATGTTCAAATTGGCAAAAAATGTTTTTAAAATTTTCTGTTTCAAAAAATAGGCATTGGCTTTGTAATTGGGAGGGACTTGTATTCAGGTGTGTAGATAATTAAGGAAAATGTAAGGAAAGGGACTAATTAGGAAGAAAGACAAAGACAAACAGCCTCCCTTTCCTTTGTTTATACTTCTTAGCAATTATCAGTGCAACATTTTAGAATAAGAAAATACTTCTAAGTCATTGAATTGTAGACTTGCCTGGGCTTGTTCTTGGGCCAGTGAGGTTTTTAGAAGAAAGCTCACTTCCTGCAGTAGCCATGGCAACTTCAACAATACAGGCCCTACCCTGCCAGCTCCAATCTGTCCAACAGATTCCCAGGGAGGAGAAATATGTTATCACAATAAGAGATGATTTCCAACTTTTAACATTTTTAAGTAGGATATTTATTGTTATTCAATTCATAAATCCACTCATCTTCAATCTCAGCTACCTACCACCTCAAAAACACATATACATGTTGCCAGTGGAGGGCCTTGACTACAAGTTGTCCAGGTTTTTGGCATTTTGAACCAAGAATTGGACAAAATGCACAAGCAAAGCAATGAAAGAATGAAGCAATGAAAGCACAGATTTATTGAAATGAAAGTACACTCCACTCAAGAGCACTGGTTACAGAATTTTCTGGGGTTTAAATACCCACTACAGGTTTCCCATTGGTTACTTGGTTACACTCTCCATAAATGAAGACTTGGCCGACGACCACTCTGGTCACAGGAGGTGACCAATCAGAGGCTGAAGTGAAGTTACAAAGTTAGACATGAAGACTTGGGCCACGACCTGTCTGATTGGTTGCAGGAGGGGACCAATCAGGGGTACTTTCCATTTTTCATCGGCTATGCAGTGTAAAAGGAGTAGCCTCTGATCCTTTTGTTATGTGGGTGTGGAGAGGTGGGGTTTTCCTTTTGATTAAGTTCTAGGAAGTCAGTGAATCAGCCATGGATTCCCTGTCTCCAGACTCTATTTATTCTCCTACCTCACACCCACACACAAACACACACACCTTCATTTGCTCCATCTTTTTTTATCTAATTCTCTCAAAGATAACCAACAGAATTTTGGTAATCTTGGGATGCAGAATTTTGGGATGCAGCCATTGAGTGAATTGCCCACAGATTTGAAGTTGTAAAATGCCTTTTCTGCCTGCCTGAAACACAACCACAGAAATTCCAGTTGCATGCCACACTCTGATTTAAAAACCAGGAGATTCCCTGGAAAGTATTTTTACTTCTATGTTCAAGGAAATATTCACCAGGATGGAGACCCCTCAGCAGAATCTAGAGGAAGCACTGCTCTCTGAGTTCACTTATCTTATATTTTTTCTACTATCTGCCCAGACAAACTCTTGAATTTGAAAGAAAAATTCTTAAACTTACTCAAAATATTTAACCAAATCAATCTGCTGGGCTTTTCTAATTGCAAGTGATAAGCAATGAGGGAAATATATTGCTCTCATTGTTTTAAATACTCTTTCTCTTACCTTTCCTCTGCTCTACCACAACCATTCTGCTTACATGGTTGACCCTTGAACAACATGGGTTTGAGTTGCTCAGATCTGCTTACTTGCAGATTTTTTTCAGTAAAAGTTACACTGAGTGTGCTGCCTCCCCTTCCACCTCTTCCAGCTCTGCCACCCCGAGACAGCAAGACCAACCCCTCCTCTGCCTCCTCCTCCGCAGCCTATTCAACATGAAGACAACAAGCATAAAGACCTTTATGATGATCCACTTCCACTTAATGAATAGTAAATATATTTTCGCTTATGATTTTCTTAATAACATTCTTTTTTTTTCTAGCTTACTCTATTGTAAGAATATGGTATATAACACATATAACATACTAAATATGTGTTAATTGAACTGTTTATGTTATCTGGAAGCCTTCTGCTCAAAAATAGACGATAAGTTAAGTTTCAGGGAGTCCAAAGTTATAGAACACACACAACCCCATTAAAAAGTGGGCACAGGACATGAACAGACACTTTTCAAAAGAAGATGTATGCGTGGCCAACAAGCATATGAAAAAATGCTCAACATCACTAATCATCAAAGAAATGCAAATCAAAACCACAATGAGATACCACCTCACAACAGTCAGAATGGTTATTATTAAAAAGTCAAAAAATAATAGATGCTGGCAAGGCTGCAGAGAAAAGAGAACACTTATACTCTGCTTACACACTGTATTATAAATTAGTTCAGCCACTGTGGAAAGCAGTTTGGTAATTTCTCAAAAAACTTAAAACAGAAGTACCATTTGATCCAGCAATCCCATTATTAGGTAAATACCTAAAGGAATAGAAATATTTCTACCATAAAGACACATGCACACAAATGATCATTGTGGCACTGTTCACAATAGCAAAGACATGGGGTCACCCTAGGTGCCCATCAATAGTAGACTGAATAAAAAAAATGTGGTACATATATATCATGGAATACTATGCAGCCATGAAAAAGAATAAGATATTGTCATTTGCAGCAACATGCATGGAGCTGGAGGTCACTATCCTAAGTGAACTGACAAAGGAACAGAAAACCAAATACTGCATGTTCTTTCTTATAAGTGGGAGCTAAGCACTTGAGTACACATAGACATAAAGGAGGGAATAACAAACACTTTAGCCTAATTGAGGGTGGAGGGTGGGAGGAGGGTGAGGATCTGAAAACTACCTATGGAGTACTATGCTTATTTTAATACATGGGTGATTAAATAATTTGTACACCAAACCCGTGAAACCAATGTACCTACGTGACAAACCTGCACATGTCTCTCTGAAACAAAAACAACAGACAAATAAATAAATAAATATATCTGATAGAATTCTGAAAAAAAAGTTATACAAAGATTTTCAACTGTGCAGGTGTGGGTGTCATTGCCCCAAACCTCACCCCTGTAAAGGGTCAACTGTATATTAAGGAGGGGAGACAGTGGTAAAGGAATACCCTTCAGTAGTGAGTATGATGTGCATATGAACAGGTGACATGATGACATAATTTTTATATTCCAGGCTTAGCATTTGAGAGAAATGTGTGCTATTTGTAAAGAAAAAAAAAGTCAATGGACACATGAACATCCTTAAAATGACTAAGTTATCACAAATGAATCTGAGAAAACAAACACTCCTGTTCTGTAATCTTTGGGGCAGGCAAAAGAAGAGCTGAGAAAGGCTGATGAAGTCAACTCTTGGTGGGTTCCTATGATGCACTTTCCCAAAGAGCTTGACCCTTCCCCATGGAGATTTAGTCCTATTAACCTCGCTGAAAAAAAAATAGGGCTTTCCTGGGAAAACACTTTTGGGGAGTGTAGCATACTTTATGTCCTTCTTGGAGATCTATAATGTACGTTCACTTATTAAAGCTTTTGAAAAGTTCTGCAGTAAAAACCTATTAAACTTTGTTTAACCTTGTGTTTAGATTTTAAATTCTAGAACTCATTTGAGCATAGAGATTCCTTTTGCACATAACTCCTATTAACATCACATAGGACCACTATTTCTTAGACTATATATATCTAGGGAACTGCAATGTTAGTCTATTATATTTCTTATTTGTCTTTAAAACAACTAGTTTCTTATCTGTAATTGGAAAAAGCTGCAGACACCCATTCCCACCCCCGACCAAAGCCCAACCTCATGTGATTACTTTACAACCTAAGGACTAGCTTCTTCCTGTCTCCTGAGAGGTGTTCCTGTGGCCAGGGCTGGAGCCAGAGGCCAAGAAGGTGACCCTGCCAGGTATGAACATCTGCAGCCTGAGGTGCACTTCAAAGTCTTGCTCTCAAAAAGTCAGGACTGCACCTTTCTCACCTGCAAGCTGTTAGAAATGCAAACTCTCAGGCACCACCCCAGATCTACTAAGAAAGAAACTTTATTTTCACCAGATTCCCAAGGTGACTTACCTGCAGTGATCCAGCACCCACAGGGGAGAAGCAGAGAGAAGGTGTCTCATTCTGGAAGAGGCTGGGGAGCCAGCTTGCCTGGCGTTGACACCGAGTGTTCATGCAGAATAACCCAAAGTCACAGCAGTGTGCAGCTCTGCACATCTTGAGGGTGTAATGGGGATCAGTGTAGGGTCCGAGAAAAGCCAGGAGGATAACTTGGAATCTCTTCAGGGAAGTGGAAGAGGACTGGCCCAGGGAACTGAGACCAACAGACACAGCAACCCTGGAGGTATTCCCAACGTGATTCCTTGGGAATCACAGGGAGCCCAGGCCTTAGGGGGATGTAGCTTCTCATGAGAGTCAGGTGAGAATGATGGGAGCAGCCCTTCACAGGTGTGGCACCTCAAACCAGCTGGTGTCAATGACCCCCACCTCCCAGATGAACAACTCGGTGGCAAAGAAAATACTGTGATTGCATGCAAATATGAAATCAGGCCTCATCCTGGATTACCTTCACATTCACTGAACAAATTAGTATTTGGTTGGAGCTTTTGTTAATTCTTCAGTCCTCACCCACTAAATGCATGCACACATGCTTACTAAAAACAGAGAAAAAAAAATACCTAGACCTCATACTTGTGAATAGCACAAGACGATTTTTCAATCTCTGCCTCTTCATACATTCGGAAACCTCCTTGCTCACACACACTCACACACACACACACACACGTATGCAAGAGCGTACAGAACTTCTTATTCTTTTTTTGGGTAACACTTAGCACATATTAAGGACAAAAAAGTCATAGACCTCGTAGAATTATAGTTTTTAGCATAGCAATGATTTTGTAGCTCAGAGGAGGTGGCTCTTCATTCCATTGCCTGCTATGAGTTTTGTCTCACATTGCTGGGCACCTCTAGCAGATATATGGTATGTGCAGTGCTTAAAACATTGCCCAGAAAAACATATAAAATTGAGGATATAAATAATTTCACCTTCCCCGTGCCCCCACTTTCCTCTTGCCTCTTGCTGATAAGAAAAAGATTAACTGGATTAATTGGCATGTGTCATCCAAGAATCTCAGTAAGTCTAGAAACATGAAGTCTCCAGGCTCAGTTATGAGTGGAGCTGGTTCCATCTTCATTTCCTGAGGCCCAGGAAGGTAGGGGGCATGGTCAAGGTCACAGCCCTAATTAGAAACTGCCACCTAGACTCATAGGTGCTCAGCCCACCCCCGAGGTGCACCCATGCCTGGAGAAATAAAAGGCATAGCCAGTGGGCTCTTAGAACGATGACACACATGAAAAGACCTCCCATGCGATCCACAAATTTCACTGCAGATGGGAAAACCTTTCAGAAAGTGTCTCAACCTATTTTTTTCAAACATTGTGAATTTTGGCAAAAACTTTTGTGATTTGAAAATGCAACGTTTACCCTTAATTTAAACCCTTGTGTATTTTCGAGGGAAATTTAAGTTAAAAAACATGTATTTCTGGTTAAATGGAAGCCTGTGTTCCGTGAAAGGAGGAGGCGGGAAAGTCAGGTGGCTGTTGCAGGCTGGTTCCCAGGGGGATTTGGGTAGAAGCTGTTGAAGTTGGAGAAGTAAACTGTCAGCTGAGGAGGGGTGGGTGGGGGAGCTAGAAAAACAGAAAAAGGAATGGGCATGTTGCCCTGGGGATGGTCAAAGGAGGCAAATCAACAAAGTGCTGAGGTGGAGAGGCCTGGCTGGGGATCTCATGAGTCTAATAGCACCCAGAGGTTGGCAAGGCCATGTTACCTAAGTGTCCTAAGGCCACAGGGCAGAAGTAGGGAAAGCAGTCATGTAGTTTGTTGACTATAATTTTCACCGTTACTTCTCCAAGACAGTGATAGGTCCCTTGAAGGCAGGAATCACACTGCATTGATCTTTGTATCCTTGAGGCCTGACATAATGCTTAGCTGCATACAAATGATGCTGCAAAAATAGATGATAAGTAAATGAGAAAAATAAGGTATTTCCAATCCAAACCACCAAAAGCTAATTAAGTCTAGACCAAGACCTTCATGATTAGAGTTATTTGTTAATAGTCATAGAATACCTCTTAAACTGGTAAAATAATTGTTTGACTTAGTGAAATAAAAAAAAAATCCACTGGTTGATGTAGTACAGAAAAATAAAATAAAATAGAAAAACTTCATCAAACTCTGTTCAGTTTAACAGTCAGATTAACCCAGCAGCTGAACCATGGCTGTAGGTGGACACGGCGTCTCCTTCCCCTCCCATGCCCCCGCTCCTGACCACTGCTTGATTTTCCTGCCTTCTCTTTGATTTTTAAAATCTACTAGCTCTTGATGAAAACATGAAATTATGCTACACGGGCTCACTTTTCATTCTGAATCTCATAGATAGCTAATTCCTTTGTAATCTCATAGATAGCTAATTCCACAAGCCCTAGGGGTGGAGCAGCTGCTGTCTGGGCTCAGACCTGAGGCAGACCTGGGCAGGAGCTCCATGCACACAGAGCCTGTCTTGACTAAAGGAGGGAAAAACCAAACCTCAGATCTTAAGCAGTGCACAGCCTCTCATCCTCCTACAATCTGGCAAAGTGGTGCACAAGTGCACATCACTAAGGATCAAAGCAGGTTAGAGCAGAAAGAGATTTCAGGGATTTCCTAATTTTGTCAATGAGCCCATTGACAAAATCACAGCCCATGACCACGTGGCTGGCTGGAGAAGATTGGGACCTGGATTCCCTTCTCTTTGGGTCAGTGGGCTTTCTTTTGCAGACACTTCATACTTGTGGCCAGTGGAGGCAAGGTAGGTCACTGCTGGCACCAGGGAGAGACTCAAGGACATTGTGAACGGGGGAGCTGGGCATTGTGTCAACTAACTTTGGCTTACATACATACAGTCAGCCCGGACCATGGGCTATTGATATTAGCGTTGTTTGGAAAGTATTTCCAGGTCTTCTGGAACACCTGCGGTAGGAAGGCCTTCTGCCCTTTGTTGTGGGAACATATAAATAGTTTGAGGCAATGTAGGTTACAAGCAGAAATGATGTCTGTCACTTTTAGACCGAAACATTTAATCGCTGGCATGGGACCCTCAGAGTCACTCTCTTTTTCCTTTTAGTGTGGCAACCAGTGACATTTGAAATGGTGGCTGCTCCTGCAGTTTGGGCTCCTGAGTGATGCTGATGAGCAGAGCTCACCCTGATGCGATGGGCCGATAGCCTGAGTGAGTGAGGCATGCGCTATAGGATTTGGAGGGCATTTGTTACTGCAGCAACACCCAACATATCCTGGTTGACAGAATCTCCTCTATCATCTCCAAGGCAATTGACTCTTTCTCTGTGCCTCTCTTCCCTTTCACTATCCCAACTTTCCCTCTAATTCACTTTCACCTTGTTTGGGGAGTCCTTTAATTTTTGTTTTTGTTGCTTTTTTTTTGCCTGCCAGATTTCATCCGTAGGAAAAGAGGAAGAGGAGCTGTGATATTGTGTGCTTCCATCAACCCTCCCACAGCATCTTTTTAATAATATCTGAGACTCACAAAAATATCTCACTCTGATGTTGCCTGGGAGCCCCAGGGATAAAAGATGAAGAAGTATGGTGTGCATTCACAAAAGAAAAAAGTAATTTTATAATATAAGTTAATAAATAGAACACTGGTAGAAAAGAGATTCAGCCTGTGATCATTATTTTGAAAGACAGTTAAGAGGAGAGTGATAGCAACTATCATCACGAACAAGGGGATTTCATTAGTTTTAGGTTAGTTTGCTTAAAGGACTGCATATTCTAAAGCTTTTTCTTCAATTAGTGATGGGCTATGTGCCATTCCAACTTTTATTATTAAATGTATTGACCATCTGTACCTCATAATTTAAAACATCTTTTTCTTTTAAAAATTTAATATTTTATAAACACAATGGTAGTACATGCTCAGTGAATAAAACTTGGAAAACACAGAGAAACAAAAAGAAAAAAGTTCTAGAATTTGCTCTCCTTCTATGACCCAGAAATAACCATTCAGCATTTTGTTCATTATCTTGGAGACTTTCAACTATACAAGTATACATGAATATAAATTATATATATATATGTGTGTGTGTACATATATATATTTTTTTTATTATTTTTTTCTGCTATAGACTGAACCATACTGCACCCCAGAAAGATTCATAGGTGGAAGCCCTAAGCTCCAATGTGATGGAATTTGGAGATGGGGCCTTTGGGAGATAAATAGGCTTAGACGAGGTTTTGAGGGTGGGGCTTTCATGATGTGATTAGTGCCCTTATAAAAAAAGACACCAGAGAGCTTTTTCTCCCTCTACTTCCCCTCACATGAGGACACAGCAAGAAGGTGACTGTCAACAAACCAAAGACGCTCTCACCAGAACCCAACCACAGTCACACCCTGGTCTCAGACTTCCAACCTCCAGAACCCTGAAAAACAAATTTCTGTTGTTTAAGCCACCCCGCCTATGGTATTTAGTTATGGAAGCCTGAGATGACCAATACGTGTGTGTGTGTGTGTGTGTGTGTGTGTGTACAATTATTGTTTAAAACTACCGAAGAATATTATGCGATGGTAGCTAATAGATATAGAGGTCCATAATGTTTGTTGTTTCTTTAAACTAGGGGATGTTATTGTATATTGGGAAGAATATACATTAATTATCAAATAAAATTGATGGCTAATTATAAAATACAATTGAAAGTCTAGTTACCAAATACAATTCTTCCTGCTAGGTTTCACTTCTTCAGTAAGAATTATTAGAAATAGGTAATTTCTTTGACTTAATATTTCCACTTGAAGAAATTTAATCTGTAAAACAGATATATGCAATAAAATTTATATTAAAATGTTTATGAAACCTTTATTGCACTGAAAATTAGAAACATACTAATGTTCAACATTAAGGGATTGCTTAAGAAAATCTGATACATTTATCAATACAATAGAATATTCCATAGCCTCTAAAGTTGTTTTGCAAATGAGTACAAGTAAAACTGGAGAGATCTGAATAAGATCAATGGAATGCTGTGATGTCAATATCCTGGTTGCCAGGTTGTACTATAGTTTTGCAAACTGCTACTATTGGGAGAAATTAGATAAAGGGTACACAGAATCTCTGTAGTATTTCCTACAACTACATGCAAATCTATAATCATCTCAAAATAAGTTTAATTTTTCAAATAATGAAAAAAATTGTGGGAATGGTTTATGAAGGACAATAGTACTTGAGGATGAATTCTTGTTCTGAAACGCTAAAGTAATAGATTAATGTTATGGTAGAGAATTCTGTGAAGGTAGCCAAGCATTTTGCTGAGTGTGCTTTAAATAGATAACATTGTATTTTAGAAAAGGAATTCCACTGCCTAACCCACTCTGCAATAGCGTATTCCTTGTTTTGTGAATTTTTTTAATTTAATGTAAATAAGCAGAAAAATAATACATAGAAAATGTAATTTGTTCATTTGTTTCCCAGAAGTGTAGTGGCAAGAATCTCCAAAAAATATATTATGGAAGAATATTTATTGACTTGAGGATTTGTTAACAAAGTCAAAATACAGATTAGAAAAGGGTATAGTGTAATAGAGAAGAAGTTTATGGCTATCTTAGTGTTCCCACTGGTTCCTCCTCCTGGAAAAGCAGGTGAACCCAGCCATGCTCTCATAATGATACAGAAACACAGGAGCCCAGGCCTACCTCTGGGCTTAAAACCAGGACATCATCCCTTCCACCTTATTCTTTACACCAAAGCATGTCACATGGCAAGCTGAGAGTCAAGGATGGGGCAGGTCACTCCAGCCATGTTGGGAGGACACTGCAAAGTTACGTGGCAAAGGGCTTCTTTATATAGATGAGTGAAGAAACGGGGCCATTCTCACAATCCACACAACCCCATGCTCTTCTCTACTTGCTCTCACCTTTCTCTGTGAAGGAAATGTAAATGGGCCTTTGCAGAAAAGCTCTTCAAAAGGGTTGTCTGGCTTCTGGCATATATTTGAAGAATGAATGAAAAAAAAATGCTGAATATTATATTTTCAGCCTTTGCAGCCTGATATAAATCTCTTTAAAATTTGCATTTCTTTTCTAGTGATTTTGAAGGTATTGGTCATACTTATTGGATGTTACGTTGTTCCTGTTGTGAAATGCACTGCCTTCCACACTAGCTAGTACTTCCCATGCCTAGACTTTCTAGTGCTGCCTTGCAAGGGTTGGCTTGCTTCTCACTGGCATTTCCTTCACAGTTACTTGATGCTTGAGTTTTCAGTTCTGTTGATCTTTTTACCTGTTCTCCATCTTTCAAAAATTTTATTTCCTTTGTCCATTGTCTCTTCTTCTGTTTATAATTTTGTATTATTTTTATTCATTTTTTTGCCATTTTGGTAGTAACATAAATAATATAACAAAAAATAACAAACATTTAATCTGTCATATATATTATGAATATTATTTCCCAGTTTATCACTTGCATTTTTTTTTAATGCTAGATGTATTAGTCAGGGTTCTCTAGAGGGACAGAATAAGATAGATGTATATGTGAAGGGGAGTTTATTAAGGAGAATTGACTCACACGATCACAAGGTGAAATCCCATGATAGGCTGTCTGCAAGCTGAGGAGGAAGGAAACCAGTCCCAGTCCCAAAACCCCAAAAGTAGGGAAGCTGACAGTGTATCCTTCAGTCTGTGGCCGAAGGCCCGAGAGCCCCTGGCAAACCACTGGTCTAAGTGCGAGAGTCCAAAAGCTGAAGAACTTGGAGTCTGATGTTCGAGGGCAGGAAGCATCCAGGAGGGGAGAAAAGATGAAAGCCGTAAGACTCAGCAAGTCGGCTTCTCCCACCTTCTTCTGCCTGCTTTAGTCTGGCCGTACTGGCAGCTGATTAGATTGTGCCCACTCACATTGCAGCTGGGTCAGCCTCTCCCAGTCCACTGACTCAGATGTTAATCTCCTTTGGCAACACCCTTAGACACACCCAGGAACAATACTTTGCATCCTTCAATCCAATCAAGTTGACATTCAATATTAACCATCACACTGGGCTTTAATATATAAATATTCTAAATTCATATATAGCCAAATCTACATTTTTTTTCCTTTAGGGCTCCTGTCTTTGATATTAAGTTACTTAGAAAGGGCTTCCCTGCCCTGATTTATACAATTATTTGCTCACCTTTTCTATAATTTTAGGGAGTTACTTTTCTTCATCTTAAAAAGTTTATCATGTCAAATTAAGTATAAAGAGGATTGTGACCATTTCTTATTCCTCTCTGTTAAGAAATAAGTGAGAAAGTGGTCCCACATGTCTACAGGATAAGTTTAGGAGGAATATTAGGATAGAATTTAGTTTGAGAATTTGTTAATCTGCTAAGTAATAAAACAATAACATGAGAATAAAACAATAACAACCACAAAACTGTCTAATAGTCTGGGATGGTGTCTGTGTGTCTTTCACACAGGTTGCATGTTGCAGTTTAGTGGTGCTCTCACATACATCATCACATTCCCCAAATGCAGGAGGCAAAGCACTAGATCTGGCTCACCTAAAGGATGTTTCAGCCTGATCTTGCCCTGATCTGGTCATTAGGCTTGCAAGAGCCCCATTTTTAAAGATCTTACCAAGTTTGGCTGACATATGAAGAAGGAAGGGAAGAAAGGAAAAATGAAAACACACGGAAACATATTTGAGGTTGTATCTATGCCCCTTGACTCTCAGCTTGCCACATGATGTGCTTTGGCCCAAAGTAGAAGGCAAAAGGGACGATGCCCTGGTTCCAAGCCTAGAGGTTGGCCTGGGCTCCTGTGTTTCTGTAGTACTGTGAGAGCATGCCCAGGATCAGCTGCCATCCCAGGAGGAGGAACCAATGAAACCACTGAGATAGCCATAAAATTGTTGTCTATTACATGATACCATTTTATAATTTGCTTGTTTTTCAACTTTGTTAGCAAATCC
Organism: Homo sapiens; assembly: GCF_000001405.40. Classification (NCBI taxonomy): domain Eukaryota; kingdom Metazoa; phylum Chordata; class Mammalia; order Primates; family Hominidae; genus Homo; species Homo sapiens. Next base: position 50,720,004 of record NC_000013.11, on the reverse strand, counting down.
CCAAGTCAACAGATATTCTTCTACAATATTTGAATTGTGCCTACTCCACAAAGTGAGAACTAGAAGAATGTGACTTTCGGGTCAGCTTGTTTTAGCATGCTTCTCTAGGCTTGCCATCAGCTCCAAAGGAATAGAGAGACTGTAAAAGATACTTTAACTCAAGTGACTATATTCAATTCATTCCATTTTTCTTATAAAACTGTCTAAAGTCATGTCTAATGTGAGACAGTTCTAACTTGCTAACTAAACCACGTATTAATTCCTACTGACATTGAATCACAGCAGCATATTCACCTGGTTGTTGTAACACATGAAAATTCACAAGCACGACTCAAATCCAAGATGACTGCACCTAAACCTACACAGAGAAAAGAGATTTTAAAACAGTTGTTTCCCGTCTGTTCAAGGTGGGACCCAAATACACATTCAAACATAACAGCTGCCGCATTATTCTCCAAAAATGTCAACACAGAGCTCAATCTTTTAGCTAGTTTAGGCACCTATTAAAGTTACCTTTGAGGTACGGAGTTTTTATGAGGAAGAGTTTTTAAATTTTTTAATTAATTGAAAACCTTACTAAAAATCTCCATGCTGAAATACTGAAGAAGAATTTGCACCTCTGCCAACTAAAAATTACTCATGGAGTTAAGACTTTTGTTCCATATAAGTATATTTCCACTCTCAAAAATGTCACCTGTTGTAACAGAATTCCTTAAATCACCAAAAACGTAACATAAAGCTGGCTAGAGTCCTGATAGTCTGGTTTACTATATAGGCACTTTCTAGAAGAAATTATTCATGGTAATGGATTATAACCCAGCCCCTGCAATTAGAATGATGAGGGCCTTCCACATTGCAAGTGACGGTTACAAATGATTTTTCTTTATTTTATTATTCCCAAATTCAAAATAAAGAGTCACCCGCTGATTGCTGATGTCTACTGTTTCTCCAGTTTGTTTCCAAGTGGGACAGGTCTGAGCATTTCCAGGTGTGTAAGTTAATTCCTAGTGACTTTAACTGAATTTGTTAATGGGAAGACCTCATTACAGAAACAGTAGGAAAACCCTTCCTATTTTATAACCCCCATTGTTGACCTTAGTCCTAAGAAATTTCACTCAGGTTAGCAAAGGATTCTTGTTCTTGTGCACAATTAGGGAAAGTCCTTGAGTTATTTTCTAACCAAAACCATATATGGAAAACTGTATACCAACCAAATTATCAAGTTTCTTTGCTTCTATGTAGAATTACAGCAAATTTAATGGTCACACATTATCTGACACTGATCAAAAGGACTTTAATGAATAAAAATGGGGAAATATTCTTATTTAGCAAAAGAGAGTGTTTGGTAGATGAAGCCTTTTAAATCAAGGGCCCATGGTGGGGAAAGCAATAAAAGCTACTTTTGGTGTCAAACAGAATGACTGATTCAGAAAACATGCAATCCCGTGAAGAAAAATCCCAGGTTTTAAATGTCCTAGTTTGGGTCTCCATTCTGTTGGTACCTCACTAGTTAGTAGATTCCTTCTCCAGCCAATAGCCCCTCATTCTAATCACCAGAGTGGGGAGCCTTTGGTCTTCACAGGACTTCACGTTCAATCAATTGCCAAGACTTGGAGTCTCCATCTTTGATCTTCTTTTTCTTCTATTTCCTTCTTTAAATTTAAATGGCACCCAAATGGTTCCACTGTCTCAAAGCCTTTTCTTTGGAAATATGTTTCCATGTTATGTTTTGGGCTGAATTTATGTATTAATTATTTATTCTCAAGGAAAAATCCAAAGTTGACCATTTCTCATTTCTGAGATAAAACGATTGTTGTCTTTTCATCAGCAACATTTTTTTTAACCTGGAGCACATTGATACATTTAAATTAGTGCTTCTTAAATTTCAATATTCATAGAAATCACTTGCAGATCTTGTAAAACAAAATATTCTGATTCTGTAGGTCTTGGGGGAGGGCCTGAGATTCTGCATTGGAAACAAGCTCCCATGTGATGCTGATGAGGCTGTTTAAGAAGCACTTTGAGCAGCAAGATTTTAAATTTTCCCATAGCTATGTCAATATTATCTATAATGTCTTGGCATTGGTGGTGATTTCTGCATGTGATAGTTTGAGTTTTTGTTCCATTTTCATTTTGCCTGCTTTGTAAATGTCATTCTAGGTGCTTGCTTTATAACAGAATAGCAGAATTGATGCAACTACATTAAAACAGAAAGGGAGACATAGTGTCTGGCTGCCTTGGGCATTGCTGTTAGCAGAAATGGAAGTCTTTCAGGGGTCTTAATTTTTAATAGCTATGCTATCAGATTCTCAGTCTTGGCATTAGGGCTAGGTGTTAGAACTTCTCATAAAGTGTTCTGATTTATGGACTCCCTGCTCCTTACCATAAAATGAAGAGAAATCCTAAATTTGAAAAAAAAAAAAACCCACAGCCTAGCTAATGAGACTTCACGCTATTTGTTAATTAATAAGCATTTAATAGCATGAAGATCAGAATAACTCCAGTTTGCAAAATGTACTTACCATTTTGGAAACATCAGCAACTGAAAAGTGGGTTACATGATACAATGAGTGTAGTTGCCTTTCTCCAGACCTGTTCTGTTTCCTTGCCCTCTCTGGCCTCTTTCTGGCTCCATTTACCTTTTCCACTAGTTTACCAGATGATTCATCAACTTTCTGGCATTTTCCACTTACCATCTGTGTCCAGCATCCTGGTAAAATCCAATAAACTTTCTAATATCCAGCATCCCATTAACTATATCCTTGTATATAGCAAATTCACTGGGAGTGGATAGTCATATGATGGCCTCAAGGCAAAGGGCTCTACCACTTTTTGAATACCCACTGTGTGCCAAGTTCTGTGCTGGTTGCATCAACTAAATCATCTCACTTAAAGCTAAAGTATTAAAGATCCTAAAAAGCCATTTTACAGAAAGATTAGATTATTTTCAATTTATTATTCAGAATAAATATATCTTTTTTCTTTAACTTCTCAAATAGTTATTGAATTGTATTGGTTTAAATTAAATGCGTCATGTGTATATATAGTATTAATTCAAGAGATACAAAAGGAAATTGAGTGAAAAATAAGTCTGCCTCCTTCCCATCACTCTCATGTCTCTACCTAGAGGCAATTATTGTCAACAGTTTTTGATGTGTCTTTCAAAAAATAGTCCATTAAGCCTGGTGTACTAGATCTCTTTTAAAAGTTTACAACCTGTTACAGAATATATATAAATGTTCAATTACTAGTAACACCTTATTACATATACAGATTACAACTTAGAAATATATTTTCATGACCATTATGTCATTTGATTCTCCCTACAATCCTATGAACAAGGCAGGGGAGACATTGTTGTTACCACCTTACACATGAAGAAACCAATGCTCAAAAATGTAAAATGATCTGCCCACGTGTATATAGTTAGTGAGAGTCCCAGTTCTAGAACAATAACTAGTCTAATGCTCTTTCCGTGACATCACGGAAAAGGTAGCCCAAGGATTAGAGATCAAAAAACATTAGCCTTCCTCGATCAGTCAAAGTACTCTTTCTGTATAGTGTCAATTAACAGAGAATTTACTATGTTCAATATGGTACCAAGAGGGCATTATTCCATGTAAATAATATAGCATATAAAAACTCAATATTCTGGCTTTGCAACTGTGGTCATTAAGCTGTAACCAAACATTTCAATGAAACAAGGGCTTGAGTTCCTGTTAATGGAGATGTTTGGCCCTTCTCTTGAGATAGCCCTTGGTGATCAGAACCTACACATTGCTAGAGAAGGGTTGGGGCATTTGTGAATCTGGTCTATTAAACAAAAAAGACCAAGCAGGAAGCAATTCTATTCTTTCTTAGAACTGCCCAGTGAACTTGTTTCCTTATTTGGTGATAAAATCCTAGGTTGATCTAACATTTATGCCACCTTTCAGTTACTAACAAATACTTTGTGTTTTGAGATCTTGAAGGTCCAGTTCAGTCTAACATCAAAGCTTCCTGTGTCCCCAGCCCAGACCTGCCTCAGCAGGGTGTGGAGGGGAAGCAGTGCATGGCCAGGTGGCAGGGAGCTGCAGGGTAGCAGCAAGGTGTGCCAGGGCATGACAGCCAAACTTACCTTTCTGCTACTCTTCTTTGGCTCTTCTGCTGCCTTTGGGTCCTCCCACATCAGAACAGCAGTAGGGAGGAAAGGCAAGGTTGTGATTTGGTAGCATTATCTGGCATAGACGTTGTCTGAAGGCCGATGATTTTCTCAAGTGGAATCTTCGGAGTTTTTCCGAAACACCTCCACTAGGGAGCTGCCATTGTAGCTTCCTAACACACGTCTCCTCCAGCTATGACTTCCCCTCCTCCATCTCCGACTTCTTCCTGCTGGGGTTCCTTGTGTCTCCTGTTGGTTCCTCCTTTTGAGTGGAGCCCCATTCTCGGCTGATAGCCCAGTTCCGTTCCCTGAGTCCTCCAGGGCAACATCCCCTTTGCTGCGCCATCGGCGGAAGTGCGACTTCTCCAGCTCTCGCCCCCTTTCTCCTTTAGCTGCCACCGGCTGCTCTGTCTAGCTTCTCACCTGCTGGCTTTTCAGGTACTAATCTCTATGTGGTAGGCTGAATAAGGCCCCCACCAAAGATGTCCTTTTCCTAATCCCCAGAACCTGTGAATAGCTTACATTACACGGCAACAGGGACTTTGCAGATGTGGTTAAGGTAACAGATTTTTAGATGAGGGGATTATCCTGGATTATCGGGTAGGCTCAAAATAATTACATGATCCTTTAAAAGCAGAGAACATTTCCCGACGAAAGTCAGAGAGATGAGGCCTCGTGAGAAGGATTCCACACACTCACACTCTCGCTGGCTCTGAGATGTAGGTGCCCTTGTGCAAGAATCAGAGAGAGGCTGCAAGGAGCCAGTGGCAGTTCCCGCCGACAGCCCGCAGGGAAGCAGGGACCTCAGTCCATCAGGCAAATTGAACTGAATTCCGCCAACAAGGCGCAGAGGCCTGGAAACAGATGCTTCATTAGAGCCTCTAGGAGGGAGTACAGCCTGGCCAACACCTTGATTTCAGCCCTGTGAGGCTTGAAGCCCACACACCAGCCGCGCCCACTGGACTTCTAACCTACAGAACTGTGAGGTAGTAATTTTGCTATTTTTAAGCTGTTAAATGTGTGCTAATTTGTTTCAGCAGCAATAGACACTAATACATTCTATGTTCCCCAAAGCCTAGGGGTCCTAGGTCAGCTCTCCAAGTAATTCTCTGAAGGCCCCCTCTTATTTGCGTAAGATGAGGGGAAAACACATGAGAAGGGAGGAGGAAGCATTTTAGCAGCCTGAAAGCTCTGTCTCATGAAATCCTTGCCGTCCTCATTAATTTACAAGTCTCCCCTTGCGTAGCTAAGATTTGAGCGATGGTTTCAGGGTTATTGGACCATTTTTTTGGTCACTCCTTAGCAGATGACATCTCCTGAGAATAGATGAGCATTTTTAACAATATTTTTTTTTCTCAGCTCAAAGATGTCAGCTAGCACTGAGAAAACAGGAAAAGTCTCATTTTAATATCCTGTTACTTAAAGGTATTCACAGAATGGCTTACCGTTTTAGGTTTAACATTCTAATGATATGCCAGATGGACTGGGGTTGCTCGGAAAAAGCTGGGTGACAGGAGAAGGAGTTGAGATCCCAGAAAGAGAATTCACCACTAGGGTGGGAAGACAGACAGGTCAGAAAATAGCCACGTTGCCCAAGACCGGAATTAATGTGGATGAAACAACGCTTCTAGCCCTAGACCTCAGGCATGGCGGGATCCAAGGCAGAGGTGAGAAGGGAGTTTGTGTTCAGTGGCTCACCAGTAAGCAGGACTCTTATGCCTTCCTACAATGATCCTGCAAGAATGGAATAAACTGAGACTACATAGCTTGAGTATGTGCAATAGTTGACCACTTCCTTTCTGTGTTTTGTGGTTTCACAACTTGAGTTTCCAACAGAGCATGGGAGTGAGGGGAGTCAGAGACAGAGCAGCAGTTCTGTAACACAGCCGACAGTCTTCATGAGGGTAGGGGCAAGGCCCTACTGCCCGGTCCGGGAGGCCACATGCGGGCAGAGTCTGGGTCGTTTTCACATCTGCGGAATGATGTGTGTCTGAGGAGGGAGGCAGGTGGGAGACAACTTCCTTACAGTCCCCATCCCGTGTTGCTGCCTTTAATGAGCTTTTAGGAGGCATGATTTCATAGCCTAGTTTATTTTATAATCAAGCCCAGCTTCCTCTGTTAGACCAATCAGTACCTATTAACTGAATGCCTACCGTATGCAGGCTTATGACGCCAGGAACAAATACGTCCATGATGCTGTTGCTGTTTAGGAATTGTAAGATCATGGATAGAACCCCTTTCCTGTCAAGAGCTCACTTTTTCCATAGAGTGAAGGGCAGCTGTAAGGTTATTTCTAGAATTCTATTTTCCTTCCCTTCTCATTTCAGGAAGAAGAAGATGAACATAAAATACAAAGAAAAAGATTAATATAAAGTATAAAGATAGCTATAGAGAAGTCTTCTTCCTGGGTTGTTTGACTCGAAATTAGGGTCCTTCTATGCATATTTTGTGTTTCTCATGTAATTATCTATAATGGGTAGCCAAGAAATGTGTGTTAGCCCATATCTCCAGTACCTAATGCCATTCCTAAAATGCAATATAGTGCTCAGTAAATAATTGTTGAATCAATGAATATAAAAAATGCAAAGCAAGCATTTGAGATATTATGCTACATTTCTTTCAGCTTCAACTCCTGGCTAATGAGTGAAGAAGGTCACTGTAGGAGTGTGAGGACCATCAGGAGCTTCATATTTCAATAACCAGTGCCAAATTCTGAATGCCAGATGGGATGAGATGGGATGTTAAACCACTTCTTATTACCACGTTGTTGGCCTCCATTGCCTTCGTATTGGTCTCCAATTGCATGGTCTCTGTGGATCTCTGACTTCTTATTACCTCCGATTGGAACGCGCCACAAATCATCCTGCTTTCTTTATCCTCTCTCACCTCCAAGTAATCCTGTCATCTTGCTCCAATTAGAGCCGCTTCCATTAAGAAGATCGTGACAAATTCCCTACCCCTGTTTGCTCTTCAGGAAAATTATCCCCTGGAAAAGTGGATGTTATAGTCGCTTTTCAGAATGTATTGTCTGAATTTCTTGTCTTCCAACATTCTCCTAAGCCAGTTACCTTTGCACTGAAGTAGAATTCAAAAGGAGATAGAGGTTCTGAATTTCTTCCTTTGACCAGATGGAAGTCGTTACATCAGAATGCTGATGACTGCAAAATCTTGGACATATTGTTTTCACAATTAGGAAATGGCAAACACAAAGTTCTTCAGTGCAAAGCCAGCATGCGAGTTCAGCTTCCATTTGCTGCTATAAATTTTGTTCTTGTTGCTGCCAGTAAACACCAACTGTTCAAGTGAAATAGTAAATCCAAATGTGCCTGTTGGATGAGAGTAAAAAAATTATATGCTGCATAAATGCTGATGCAAAAGGATTTTTCAACACACTAAACCAGGGTAGGGAAAGGAACCGAGAAAGAAAGTTGAACTGAATGCAGCTCTCACTAACAACTTCTTGGTAAAAGCACTAAAAAAGCTCTTGATAGAATGTTGATTCAACATACTGTTTAAACCTCAAGGAAAAAAACAAACGCAGAATTGGGATATTGGCCTTAGGATATCTGCTTAAAGTCCTACTTTGAGCTCTCATCAGGGTTACCAAAGAAGGCGTACATAGATTGTTACAAATCAAAGCAAAGAAAAATCCCAAAGTTCCCTCAAAACTGATGTGGGCACTTGGCCCAGAAGTTGTTTGCTAATGATCAGTCTAACAGCTGAAAGTCAAAGTCAGTGGCTAGTACCATCTGCAATAGGATTTAGGAAGTTTTGATCTCACAAATTTACTGTAAGGCTAATCAATGAATGTTTGTACTCAGGTCTCCCTACAGTTAAATTTAATGTGTAACTGGAATTACGATTCAAAGAGATAGTTTCATAAATGGTCCCTGAAATTTAATTTTGGATTACCTAAGTTTACAATGGATTTCTCTTCTCCTTTCCCCAATATTTTTCTTACGCAGAAAAAAAAAAAAAAAATCCTGTGTGACCTTGGAGCTGGCTGCCCTGAGTCCCAGGCTCTGATTTGATTCTGATGCTCCAGAGCCTGCTTTCTCATGTAGGTATAGGTAGTAATGCCCCCCGCCCCCGCCACTGGGTCATTGTGAGGGTTAAACAAGATAATACTTGTTAAATGCCTGGCACAGCCCTTGCACATAAAATGTCCTTAATAATATTAATTCCCCTTCCAGATTAGACTTTGCAAACAAATGATTGAAAAACAGAACATTCACGTGGATTGGATTCTCTAGCGTGATAAGGCTCCAGGCCAAGAACCATGCAGTAAAGATCTTCCAAACCAAAGTATTTCAGCATCTGAGAATGGCTAGGGCTTATCTTCATGGCTAAAATAAGCATTTTAATATAAAGCAGGCTTTTTTCTTCATTTTCTTATGGAAAGGAAAGCATTTTCAGAATAATGGTTAAAATCTGTCCTTTGTAGATCTGAAAATGTGAGCAAGTTTCATACCGAAGTCAAGATCTACTGAAAGTGTTAGATGAATATATAAGGACCAGACGCTGCTGTCAAAAATAAAACAGATGCTGGTGTCTTGAATGCCTCCATGTGCCAAAGCTGAGTTCTTTGACTTATTTTTGTCATTGAATTAATTGGTATATCTGGTTTAATTGGCCAAATTGTTTTTGCTTAAATGTTCACATTTTCATTGTTATATTGATATACTCAATATTTTTGAGGGTACAGAAAATACCAATATTGGCAAATTTGGTATTTTTGCCAATTTTGTGTGTTCAGAAGAAAAATTGTTCATTTCCAGATCCCAGATTTATGGAAATTTAAAAATATATAGTAAAGTGTTGGTTTCTCCTTATGGTTACATCTGAATGTATATAAATTATCAGAGTCTGTGTGCATTTATTTCCATAGAAAATAATACCAGCAGAGACACAGCCAAACCAAGTTGAACCTTGCTGAGTGGATTTGAAGAAACACAGGCCAACTCAGGGCAAGGCAAACCCAAGAGATAGAAAGTCTAAAATAGTAATAATCAGCCTTTGAAACATTTTCCCTTGAAAAAGGCATCTCAGTCCCATCCTATATTTACAGACCAGAAGAGACACACATGTGTTCTACGTATGACACAGAAAGTAAAACCAAAAGGCTCATTCTGAATGCCCAGTCCAGCTTGAATTGAAACCTTTGTGAAAAAGTAGTGCTTTTGATTCAAAGGAGCTCAGGTTTGAAAGGGAGATGTGAAGTCTAACATCCCATCTATCTGATGCCTGGTCTTCCTTTACACAGTTCTGGCAAAGATGCCAACCAATTGATACTTGAACATCTATAGAAATGAGCAACTCATGCCCTAGAGAAGAACACTCTGCCTTTGAATAATATTATTAGAAAATGTGTTCTTATTTTGGACCAAGGCCTATTTCTCTGTAACTGCCACTTATGGCTTCTATTTCTATCACTCAGGGGTCACAGGCAGGCAGAATTCCATTTCCAGTGACAATTAGTCTTACAAACATTAAGGCAAAGCTCACAAATTAGCCCACATAGTATTTTAGATAATTGTAAATTAGCTACTAACATTTGAAAATTAGAAAACTACCCACAGAAATTTGTATTTTCAACTAACGAAATTGCTGATTCTCTGAAAGCAATGGGCCACATTCCCAAATGGTAAAACTAGTACCCCCTTATCCACAGTTTCACTTTCTGCAGTTTGAGCTACCTGTGATCAACCATAGTCTGAAAATATTAAGTGGAAAGTGCCAGAAATAAACAATGTATATGGTTTAAATTGCACACTGTTCTGGGTAATGAAATCTCTGAGTCCCACTCTGTGTTGCCTGGGATGTGAATCACCCCTTTGTTCAGCATAGATGCTACCTGCCCATTGGTCACTTAGTAGCTGTCTCAGTTATTAGATGGAAAAAAAAGCCATAGTATATATAGAGTTCTGTATTACCCATGGTTTCAGGCATCCACTGGGAGGGGAGTGTCTTGGAATATATCTCGGTAGATAAAGGGATACTACTGTACTTGGCTGAGCTGAGTAGCTGCTGCCACTTTCAGACAGGGAATGTGCTGGCCTTTTTGCCACAGTCCTCACTACTCCCTATTACTGTGCACTGAGCCTGCTTTCCTCATTTTCTGATACTTAACTGGCCTCTGAGACATTTGCCCTTCTAGTTCTTACTGTGTCCTCTCTAAGGCTTCTTTGCTTCAGGAGATTTATCCTCACTTTCTCACTCTTCCCCTCTGCAAGAAAAACCTCATGCATGCCTGAAGCCTAGACCTGCTGAATGACAGTGCACCTAGAAAACTGACAACTGATTCATCCAATCTCACAATCAATCCTCAGAAATGTGCTGGGGTAAATATATAGCTATAGACCTTAGAATCATTTTAGATAGCATAAGGGTAGGATGTGGAGGTTGTAAAAAACCTGTGCACATGGAACAAAATAGCTTCTCATGCCTGCTAAAGGCCTAATTCCAGATAGTTGTTATTATTTGCAGCTGTAAATCCTCATAAGCACTCAAATCAGTACCTACAACCAAGAGCACGCTATGAGGTTTTCTGCTTTGTTTAGTTGCCTCTATGATGTTTAATGCCTTCGGTATTAAAGAAAATCTCACTCAGCCAGTGTCTGTTGGTGACTTACTACCAGTTGCATCATAGTCCTCCATATTCTGGAAAAGTGAAGAGTCCCTGATTTTGAATCCAAGCACCTCCACTGAATAGCTGAATGACCTTGGGGAAATTGTTTAACACCTCTGAGCCTCAGATTCTCCATCTGGAAAATGAGGATAGTAAATAGGTAAGCCCTATTACTATTCTCATGATGTGAGAAATACATGAGACACACATATAGCGCATAGAGCCGCCCTTGGTTCATATTAATCGCTCACTGGTATTCATATATAATTCCTGTACATTATAGCAGACCACTCCCACAGTGCCTCAGCCTTTCCCACATCTGGGCATACAGGATCAACTTCTGAGTGCCAGCACTTGTGAGTCTTGCTGAAAGTTTTCTCCTACACCCAGTTTTTTCAGTCCCTATACACTGTGGCAGGCTGGAAATGTAGGGGAGTTAATAGCCCTCCTCTCTTCCCCCAGGAGTTGCCTCTACCAATGATAAATGGGAGCTGATAAATGAATGCGCCAGCTTCCTCACCCCTCAGAAGAGATAAGTCAGGAATGTGCACTACTTGGTCTTCTAGAGTTCCCCTTAGTGCATTTAGCTCCAGTCGCCCATAGTTGCCAAAGCTTATTTGGCAATGTGCCCTTTATAGACAGCCTTGCTGTCCCTGTCTCCTTTCTTCACACTGTTATTGATATTTCCTGGGGTCAATTACACAATAAACTACTTACACGCAAAAACTTAGCTCAGCATCTGCTTCTGGTGGAACACAAGCTAAGACAGTTGGTACGAGAAGTAATCCTAGGAAGCAGATCTTTAGGATACAGTCTGGAGCTACATCACTTGCTTGACAAGTAGCAATAAGCAAATCCCATTGCTGGTGGTAAGTGGTATGGTGGCAAACCCCAACTTACTGTGGCATTGATGATAGATTTGGATGGGATATAAGTGGCAGGTAATTATGCTGTGTACTGTAATATTCACGATGGATTTGGATGGGATATTGATGGATTGGCTTCTGTAATACCACTAGCATTTGAAAGATATTTGAGCACTCACAGAGGGTCTGATTTAGCTTTTTCAGGATCCCACCTAACATTTCCTGGACCAACAGACTTGCTTTCCAGGGAAGGAAGTACTATAATTGACACACAGCGATGGTATTCACTGGTCCTACTCTATACTATATCACCCTAGAGCTAGTCTGGTAGAAAATTTGAATGCTGTTTTAAAGGCACAGCTGGGGTTCCAGCCTGAGAATGCCACTTGCAGTGTTTTGGTGGTGTCATTCAAAATGTGGCATATTGTCTAGATCAATGTTGTTGAGGGTACAATGCCCCCAGCAGGAAGAACTCACGGGTTTAGGAAACAAGGGGTAAGAGGAGGAGTGGCTCCTGACACTATCACTTCCCATGGTCTACTTGGGGAATTTGTCCCCTAGTCTGGTCTGCTGGACCAGAGATTATGGTTTCTAACTGGCAGATGGAGAGCTCTTCTGCCAGCAGACACAGGAAGCACTACATTAGCCCTAAAGCAACAGCTGCCATCTGGTTATTTTGGGTTCCTCATGCCTGTAGAGCAACAGGCAAAAAAAGAAGTTACCTGTTTATCAGGAAGAGATAGAGTAGCTATTATATTATAGAGGCTGGTTCTTAAGGGGATTTGTTGGAATCTCTCTAGGTGTTTTCTTTCCTGGTAGTAACCAAATGGGCAGTTACAGAAACTATGGACTGACAGAGATGAAGGAACTCAGAGGTCTCAGATCCTTCAGACTTTAAGGTCTGGGATCATAAATATTAATTATGACCTAGGAACCAGCTTCTGTGTAGGGACTGTACCCTGGCCCACTAACCTTTCTGCAGTAATTATTTTCCTTTTTTTTTTTTTTTTTGAGATGGAGTCTTGCTCTGGCACGATCTTGGCTCACTGCAACTTCTGCCTCCTGGGTTCAAGTGATTCTCCTGCCTTAGTCTCCGAAGTAGCTGGGACTACAGGCGTGCACCACCGTGCCCGGCTAATTTTTGTATTTTTAATAGAGATGGGGTTTCACCATGTTAGCCAGGCTGATCGTGAACTCCTGACCTCAGGCAATCCGCCCGCCTTGGCCTCCCAAAGTGCTGGGATTACAAGCATGAGCCACTGCACCCAGCCTATTTTCCTTTAAAAAAGTATTGACAGTCACCCCCATTAAGAATCAATGACAAGACAGACTAAACTTAAGTGGGATGTAAGTGGATGAGAACGGACCCATCAGGGACTGTGGCAGATGCTATCAGTGCCTTATTCACATCCCCTCAGCTCCTACTGGCCCAACTTCCAGCACCTTCCAGAATGCACCACCCTAAGGCACTGCCAGAGAGAAACCATAAATATATCACAGTTTTCCCTTTTGCTCACCCTGAGCTCTGGCTGCTATAGTGAAAAATTATCTAGAAGTCATAAACTCAAGTGCTTACTATCCAAACCAGGCCAACAACTTTAGTGAAGCCCATGGAGTCAGATGTAAACCCTGGGTAATGGTCAGAACTGGCTTCTCCAATGGCTCCAGCCCATTGGACACTCAGCCAATACTGCTACAGGAATGATCCAGCCTTCTGATTGCCTTGATATTTCCAGCAACAACCTGATGCCAGCCCTTCACACTCTTGGAGGGGACAGCAGGAAGCTGAATGTCATTGATTGAAGGAAAATACAACCGGGTGAGGTGGCTCAGGCCTGTAATCCCAGCACTTTGGGAAGCCGAGGTGGGAGGATCGCTTAAGCCTAGGAGTTTGAGACCAGCCTAGGCAACACAGCGAGACCTTATCTCTGCAAAAATTAAAAAAAAAAAAAAATTAACCGGGCATGGTGATGCATGTCTGTAGTCTCAGCTACTCAGGACGCTCAGGTGGGAGGATTGCTTGAGCCCAGGACATCGAAGCTGCAGTGAGCCATGATCATGCCATTGCACCCCAGCGTGGATAACAGAGTGAGACCCTATGTCAAAAAAAAAAAAAGGAAGGAAGGAAGAAAGGAAGGAAGAAAGAAAGAGAAAGAAAGAAAGAGAGAAAGAAAGAAAGAAAAGAAAGAAAGAAAGAAAGAAAGAAAAAGAAAATACCCTGAGGTAGCATGGCTCCAAACACCCTAGGGCCACGTCTGGGAGAGTCGGCCTAGGCAGGGTAGATTCTTGCGTGTTTGAAGACAGCTGTTGAGAAGCTGTGAACCAAGCCCAAGGACCCAAACAGACAGGGAGCTGAATCTCATACCAGAACAACCACCACATTTATATGAGAAAAGTTAAATATGGTTATTCTGAATGAAATTTGCAGGTACTTAAAAAAATTATAGCACCAACCTTGCACAGAACATATGGGAAGCTATTCGAGGTAAAGAACCAGTTTTCTCTAACATGAACATGATCTTTTGCTGCACTATCTGGTGCTACTTTGATCTAAAGAGAAGAGCCACAAAGAAGGTAGCTGTACCAGGAATGGGGACTATGGTATGTGAACAGCTGTAATTGTAAAGCTGCCAGCTTCAGTCCAATGGAGAGAGTAATAGTGAATTTCCACTGATGTGTCAGGCTTTATTCTAAGCATTTTACATATAGCAACCAGTTAAATATTTATAACAACCTTATGGTAGAGGTATTATCATCATCCATTTTGTACAAATAAGGAAACTGAGGCACAGAATACTTTAGATTATTTTGCATCCCAATAGCCCACTCCAGAGCCTGGACTCTTAAGACTTCTTTCTGTTCTGCTATTCTCTTTTAATAACAACCCCAATAGAAGAAGGATTGGGCCGGGCATGGTGGCTCATGCCTGTAATCCCAGCACTTTGGGAGGCCAAGGCGGGCGGATTACCTGAAGTCAGGAGTTCAAGACCAGCCTGGCCAACATGGTGAAGCCCCATCTCTACTAAAAATACCAAAAATTAGCCAGGCGTAGTGGCGGGCACCTATAATCCCAGATACTCGGGAGGCTGAGACAGGAGAATCGCTGAGCCCGGGAGGCTGTGATTGCAGTGAGCCGAGATTGTGCCATTGCACTCCAGCCTGGGCAACAAGAGTGAAACTCCGTCTCAAAAAATAATAACAATAAAATAAATAAATAAATAATAAAAAAAGAAGAAGAATTGATTTGGATTCCTTAGTATTGGATGTGTACATGATGCATGGTAGTTGTATTTTTCTCTGTCGTGTGTGTGTGTTTGTGTGTGTGTGTGTGTTGTATCTGCGTTTCTTAGGCAAATTATTAAGCAAAAGACTCAGTTTAGTCTGAAGCTAGCTGATCAGACACATAACCGAATATCAGGAGGCTTAATCAGTGGCACCACTTGCTACTAACTGGCTTTATAGTTAGATCTCAAGTGCTCATTTCCTCATCTATGTAAGAGGGGGTTGGACCAATCACCTTCTCATTTTCAAGATGGGTAAAACTACAGCTGTGTCACCTTCCAATAGGACTGAAAGTTTGGGAAGTGAGGCAATTACCTCCCCTGCCCCTAGTACTATCACCAATCAGCTGCCATAAAGCCAAATCTTAACTGAGGGTGAATTCTTTGGTGGTTTAAGTGAGTTTGAGAGTTAGACTAGACACTCTGACCTCTCTCCATAGGAACCTAGGAGAGACCCTGGTTTCTTCCAGGCTGTATGGTGAGTGAGCAACCATTCAGGGTGGCTTCTATTCAATAGAAGGATCTGTTTCAGCAATTTCTAAAAGTTAGCCACTTTCTTCTCTTTAGGATGTGACTTGATTTGACCAAAGTTTCTACAAGGCAGCCCTCTAAGCTGCCATGGGCCTCCTGCAGGTATGGCCTGAGATATAGTCTATGATATAGACCAAGGCAGTCTGTAGAATCTGGAGTTAAGCATCTTATTATCATCTCCTCAGTAATCAATTTTATCAACCCAGAGATTTGACTAAAGAGAGTATGGAATGCTCAGGTGTGGCAGACCAACCTGACTCAAGCACACATTCTTTCTAAAGGGAAACAGAAGAAGTTAGACACATGACCTCAAAGCTCAGAAAGTGAGCACTTCTTACATCTATTGCTGTAGAGAGCTGCACAAGAGGCATCATCAGCGCTTAAGTAATTTAAGGTTCATTCTGTAGGACACATTTCTAGAAAAGGAATCTGGGTAAAAGAGTACTAAAATGTCTAAGCTTTTGGTTCAAGATGTCTTTTCTAACAATAGCTGTTGACTGAAAAGACTAAGAAAAGGTGGCACGTGGCTCAGCACATGCTTAGCGGCTGGAACAGAAGCTTCAGCTACACACCTAGTTAGTGATGTATGATGTATCTGGCTCTGTCTTTTGCTTCCCTGGCTTCCCTTTTTTTAAAGTCAGGTTTTTCAAGGTATAATTTATATACAGTAAAATTTACCCTTTTTAAGTGTGCAGTTTGATGGATCTTGAAAAACACATACAGTTGTGTAAGCACCACCACAATCAAGACCTAGAGCATTCTCTCTGCACCTTTGTGATCAGTCCTCTCTCTCCATTCTCAGCCCCTGGCAATTACTGTCCCTATAGTTTGCCTTTTGTGGCATGTGATTCATATGAAAGGACAGAGCAGGTGGTCTTTTAAGTCTGGCTTTTTTTCACTTAGCATTATGCATTTGAGTTCATCCGTGTTGTTACATATAGCACAAGTTATTCTCTTTAATTGCTGTCATATTCCATTGTATCAATGTAACAGAGTCTGTTCATTTATTTACTGGGCGGTGGTTATTTGGGTTGTTCGTAATTTTTTGGAGGTTGTGAATAATGCCTCGCAACATGAAGATGTTTTATATCTCTCGGGTAGATACTCCAATGCTTTATGTTTTCATTTCTCTTGGGTAAATATCCAAATGCTCAGTTGTATAAGTGACATTCAACTTTATAAGAAATTGTCAGACTGACTTCTTAAGTGGCACTTAGCATTACCACCAGCAATACCTGAGAGTTCCAATTACTCTGCATCCTTATCAGCTCTTGACCTTGCCGTTTTAAAGTTTCTATTGTTAAAAAGAGGTATGGCAGTATTTCACTGTTTTTAATTTGCATATCCTTAATGACGAATACTGTTGAGTGTCTTTTCATTTGTTCATTTGCCTTCCACATACCTTCTTTGCTGAAATGTCCAAGTCTTTTGGCCATTTTTTATTAGGTTGTTAGTTTACTTTTATTATTATTTGTCAGAGTTCTTTATATATTCTGAAAACAAGTCTTTCATAACATACGTATTTTGTAAATATTTTGTCCCAGTCTGTGGCTTGTCTATTTATTTTTTTTCTTAACAGTATATTTCAAAGAACAGCACTTTTTATTTCAATGAAGTCCTACTTAATTTTTGTGTGTGGCCTAGCTAAGAAAGCAGCACTTATCGATGGTTGCAAAAATCTCTTCCCTATCTTTTCCTCTAGAAATTTCTTATTGTTAGGTTTTACATGTAGGCCTATGTTCCAATTTGAGTTGATTTTGTATTTGAGGCAAGGGATGGGTTGAGAATCATGTTTTTGCATATAGGTATCTGTTTCGCTGACATCTGTTGAAAAAAACTATCCTCCATTGAATTTCCTTTGTTCCTTAGTTGAAAATCAATTATCCTTATATTTGTGGATTTATTTTGGATTCAGTTTAATTTCATTGACTTGTGGTGACTCTTTCACCAACATGCATACTTTTGACACTGTAGCTTTAGAGTTAATTCTTTAGATTAACTTTGTTTTTTCTCCAAATTCTTTTCACTAATCTGTTTACTTTGCTTTTCCATAAAAATTTTAGAATCTGCTTGTTGATTTCTACAACAGATCTTGCTAGGATTTGTATTGAGGCTGCATTGAATCTACAGATCACTTTAGGAAGGATTTACATTTCTGGCCACCTTTTTTTTTTTTTTTTTTTTTTTTCTGACAGGGTCTTGGTCTTGCTCTGTTGCCCAGGCTGGAGTGCAGCAGCACAACTACTGCTCACTGCAGCCTTGATCTCCTGGGTTCAAGCACACCACCCACCTCAGCTTCCCAAGCTGCTGGGACTACAGGCACATGCCATCATGCCTAATTTTTTTTTTGGTAGTGACAGAGTTTCTCCATGTTGCCCAGGCTGGTCTTGAACTCCTGGGCTCAAGCAACCCACCTGCCTTGGCCTCCCAAAGTGCTGGGATTACAGGAGTAAGCCACCACCCAGCCCTGGTCACTTTTTGATCCTAACTTATTTCTTCTACCTTGGCTTATGAAACCAGCCACCAACGTGCCTGTTGTTATTGCACAGCTTGTCCTCATGATTGGATCTGCACTGGATGTTAGCTGTTGGTAAACAATTCATACTGACTTTAACCCTACACGACATAGTATCACCTGGTATACGGACCCAGGTTTTTACCATCCCTTTAACGAGGTCTTTGCAGGTAACTTTGTAATGTCCTCCTACTGTGGATAAGGTAACCTGCTCCACCACTTGAAATTGGGCTCAAAATTAGCTTTGTCCCATGGAATTTAGGAGATATGACACAACAAAAGACTTGAAATGGTCTTGTGCATTGAGGCTTGCTTTCTTGTGCCTCTGTCATTGCCTCAAGAATATGTCTGCTGGAGAATGAAAGATAATTGGAACTGAGCCAAATTGCCCCAATCATCCCAGTCAAGGGAAGCCTTGATCAGCTGACAGCCAATTTACCCCCAGATATGTGAACGTGCACAGCCAAGATCAGCATACTGCCTAGCTAAGCACTCCAAATGCAGGAGTTATAAATATCTATTATCATATGCTACTGAACGTTTGTGTTTATTTTTTATGAAGCATCATGATAGCAATAGATAACTGACACATGTCGGTAACAACAGGCTCTTTAAATGCATTACAGATAGCATCGCAAAATAACTTATAGGGCTAGGGCAGTCTGTAACCAAATATAGCTAGTTTCATGGGTTAATCACATCTCTTGATTTTTTCCCATCATTCTCAATACCAAATACTAAAGAAAATTATTATAATAGAAACTTTTCTAGGTCCTCATCACCACCTCCAACCCCTGAGTCAAGTAAAACTGTAAAACTGTGAAGGACTCCATTCCACTTCATTTTTATTCTTAATCACAAGGAGGTTATATTGCCTTAACCCTTTTAGTAAATGATTGAGCATCCCAGATGTGTAATGGTTTTGGAAAAGGTCAGAAAAATGTCAAAAGAAAGGCAAGCAACAAGAAAATGATTAATCAGCTTTTCTTCTCATCAAAGTCTTGAACTATTTGCTGAATTGGGGTTTTTAATTTTTTATATATTTAAATTTTTAGGTAGCTATCCTTTGGAGTAGGAATGCCATGGCATAAAGAGTCATAACATTTAAAACATGTTTATGAAGTCTAAACCACTAACTTGGCTGCGGTTGAAATGCATTAGGCTCCTTTGTGCTGTGCTCACACCCCTCCCAAAGGTTGTGCTGGCAAAGCTTTCTCCTACTGCTGCTGCCTCCTCCCTGGATGGCACCATGAGCTGTAAGACAAATGTAGGCATATAACCCACATTAAAGGGCATTGAGAAGTATTAGAAGTTGTGCTTCTTCAGGCTTTGACATCTGACACATTTCTAATCACTGGGGTGTGCTTGGGTCAGAGGCCCTTTACATCAGGATCATTTTGCACAGCTTAAATTTCAGGGTCTCCTATTAGAGCCGAAGAGAAGAGAGATCCCCAATCCACAGCCATGCCGCTGTCAGGGGCAATACCTCCTCGAAGAGGGGCCTCTGGGGCCCAGGGACAGAAACCTGCCACCACCACCCATGGTGGTGGAATTTAAGCCTGGAATGCTTAAGACTTTGGCCCTGGCAGTAGTCTCACTTGATTGATTTTATTCACCCACCCCTGACCCAGTCTTTTTGATGACTTTGTTGCATTGCCTCCTTGAGAAATAAAAATAGACTGGGTAAACCAAATTTGGTTAAGATTTAAGTTCTTAGGCAAAAAATAGCACTAGTCTCTGAAGCCAGTGCAGGGCTTTGCTCATAAGCTGAAGGGGCAGTCCAAAGAAAAAGTTAGGGTTTGTCAAATATGCTAAAGCAGCAGGGCAGGCCTAAGCTGATAAGAGCTACTAGTGTGTTTACATGAAATGAACAGGTCAAAGCACATTCAATAGAAATTATAGGAGACAGATAGTGGGATAGAATCACATTCATCTGGTTTCAAATTTCTTCCTTACCCATTACCAGCTGTGGTATCAGAGTCTCAGTTTTCTCAATTCTAAAACAGGGATATTAATAGAACTTATTTCATACGGCTGTAATGAACTTTAAAATAAATAAATAAATATAGTTTGCCTGATACTGCTTCTGACTCATTAAGTACTCAATAAATGGCAGTTAATATTGTTAGTATTGATGCCATTACTTACAGTGAAACTGCTTAGGATGTGATATTACATAAAAATCCACCAGAATACAAAGTTGGATTGGCAATATAATTAAAACTATGCTAAAAAGAATAATAAGGAAAAGGCTGGAAATGCATTGGAATGCTATCGTGTGAGTCAGGTCAGTGGGATTATTGGTGGCTTCTCTTTCTTTTCTACTTTCCAAGTTTTCTGCTACAGTACTATACTATATTTATGATTAAAATAATGTTTTAAAAATGTAAATTATGTGCAATATCTTACCAAATAGGCTAACCTGAATCTAATCATGAGAAAACTATCATATAAAACCAGACAATGGGACATTCAGGAAGACAATTCC
Source organism: Homo sapiens (assembly GCF_000001405.40). Classification (NCBI taxonomy): domain Eukaryota; kingdom Metazoa; phylum Chordata; class Mammalia; order Primates; family Hominidae; genus Homo; species Homo sapiens. The sequence goes on along the minus strand of NC_000013.11, from coordinate 50,699,554 downwards.
CTTGAATTCATAAAAATGTCATTAAAAAAAAAAAGTACAAAGGATCCCAACTTTGGGAGGACAAGGCGGGAGGATTACTTGAAGCCAAGAGTTTGAGACCAGCCTGGGTAGCAAAGTGAGACCCTTGTCTCTACAAAAAACTTTTAAAAAGTGCAAAGACAGGAGAACTGAGAACTATACTATAGTTAAAGAGATCAAAGAGATAATAGCAACCAAATATAATGTGTGAATCTTGACGGGATCCTGGATCAGAGAAAAAAATATATGAAAGTCAATTTTGGGAAAATTGGGGAATTCAAATCTGGCCTGTATATTAGATATGTTATATGTTATTTTTTCTTGGCTATAATAATGAAAATGTTATGTAGTAGAATGTCCTTATTCTTAGAAAATGCAAGCTGAAGTACTTATGAGTGACATGTCACAATATTGATTATATAGATACAGCTGTATCTGTCTATTAATTATCAGTAACGTATTATCTATCGCTAAAAAGCATTATGTTTTCAAAGTGATTTTTATGTCTGTGAAGTTTTTTGAGTCTCATAAGAAGCCAGTTGGAAAATGATCATTAGTTTTATGGTAAATTTTGACTTTGATTTATCTTACACGGATATATGTCTTCTACAAATAATTCCCAGAGGACTAAAACTATGCCATTCCAACACATCCAATGTATGTATGTACATGTGTATACATACACACATATATGTATATACATGATAGATGTACATATATATGATAGATACACACACACATATTTTTATATATATATATATATATATTTTTTTTTTTTTTACATATTTTATTTCCTGATTCCCTAAAATGCTTGGCATCAAATTTTGATTTTGGTCACTTCTCACTGTTGCTGATTTGATTCAGCTGGTCATAAAGTGATGCTAAAATACAACCCCCGCCCTAAGGAGTTTACAGCCTCTTGGGAGACTGATGTGTAAACAAGCAATTAGAGTGATGCCTTATGAGGGAGATCAGCACAGAGTGCTACAGAATAGATGAGAGGTATTCAGTCACAGGTTAGGGACAGCAGACTGGGGGTAACCTCTTCCACAGAGCTGCCTGGGCTCTTGAAAAATGGCTGCCATCTCCCCCACAGGTGACATCTGTGGGGAAATGTCCTTTCCTCATTACCTTGTAGTGTCTCAGCAAGGAGATAATGTGCAGACTGGCAATCACCAGACTCTGAGTCGGCTTCATTTTTCCTGTCAGCCCCAAGGTCATTTGTGCAGACAGGAAGGGTGTGCCAATATACATCTCTGAGCACTAATTAATGTTTTCAAAGGAATGACAGGGCAGGAAATTTCTTCAGGTACAAGAATGAGAGGAGAAGGATTGGGGAGACTTCCTCTCCACTCCCCCCCCCCAAGAGCTAATATAGAGTAAAGAATTAAAATGAAACTGCTCAAACATCCTGCCAGGCATCTCCAACCTCATAGCATACCATACTAGGGGAATGACTGAAGAATTTCAAAGGATCAATGTGGGCATTCTGAACAATTCAATGATTTTATCACTTCAAAGCAAAGTGCCCCTTTTGAATATCCTTATTATGAATTGTTTATAGACCATTTCCAGCAATTGTGCTTCACTGGGCTCTTAGCTCTACAGCCGTGTACATAGTGAACACTCCAGCATGCCCTGAACATTTGTCTGTGCAACCCCAGGCTTTAACGAGATGAACGTTGCTGACCCAGAGCTGCTTTGTTCAGTTTCTTTACAAGAGCCAGAATCATTATAAACTCACCTGAACTGAGAGAGTCACTTGGCAGACTTCTGATGTTTGAACCTTACTAATGAAAGCAGTGATATATAGGGACAACTACCATTTAATTGTAGGAATTCACACTGAGAAAAGTGATTGCTTGCAACTCACATGTATTCACGTAGTTTATAATTCCCCCAAACAAGTCTCTGCCAGAGACGCTGCTGCACCATTTGCAGGGCAAGAACAGAAAAAGCACAAAAAAGTCTGTCCCACATGTGTGTCAAAGAAATGAGAACACACCATCTACTTTGCCAGTGATAGAGGGTCTGCTCTCCCCACTCTGGCATGCACACTGGAAGTGTCCCCCATCTGAGGAAGGACATGGTGGAGAATGAACTTAGGGAGTATTTGGGACAAAGTAAAATTTATTAAATGTTTGCTTATATTCTCCAGTATTGCAAAATGCAAAGAGAGGTAGAGTCTGTGACAAGTCTCCTCTCAAACAGATAGAAAAACCTTGAGTCACTCTTTGGAATAGCATTTTGGTAAAGAACAAACTCTTGCAGGGAATTGGGTTAATCAGGGAAATGATTAGAAGTTATTTTGGAGACAAGGCTGGTGAATAAGATTAATAATGCCACTGGCAGAGGGCATATTCTAGGCCAGAAATGAAATGTACAGGGGAGCAGGGATTGTTACTATGTTAGAGAGAGAGAGGGGGGAGAATGATTGAAAATGTGAAAGCATCAGATGAAGAGTAAACTCACTACACAATTCCATATTGGCTCTAAATTCAATGCTAAAAAGAAAACTGCCAAAAATATTTTGAGAAATGATGGTGATAGCAACAGGAGACAGACAAATTCCTAGGCAGACAGGGATGAGTCCCTGGTGAAACCTGATCTTCAAGCCAAGAACAGTTTAAAATCTGAAAACCAAGCTGCCAGTTCCAGATAGAGTCCATGACCAGAGTGAGAACTTCCATCCCCATCTTACCCTCTCTCTCTCTATTGATTCCTTCTGAATGATGCCTTTTAACCAATCGAATGGTGCTTTCCGAGACCACCCATGGGCCAATCAGCATGCACTCCCCCATTGTAAGCCCATAAAAACCCTGGACTCAGTCTCACAGAGGGCTACCCACTTCCAGGTCTCCTCTCACATCTGAGAGCTTTCTTTCTGTCACTCGATAAAATTCTACTCTGCCTTACTCACTCTCTGTTGTCTGTGTACCTTATTCCTTTTGGTTGCAGGACAAGAACCTGGAACTCACCAACCTGTGGGAGTGAAAGAGCTGTAATGCTTCCGTTTGCCAAGCTGCAGGCAGCAGGAATAAAAGAGCTGTAACCCTCTCTCCTGCTCAATGAACAACAGGAGAGAAGAAGCTGCTGGGTGCCACTCCCTCCTGCTTGCCAAACTACAGGAGTTAAAAAGCCCCAACAATGGTATCCTTGGAGTATATTTTAATTCTTCCAAGAGACTACTTGAAAAGGATGGCACTATTTAGATGTGTGGGTTCTTGGGATATTTGTTTAAATAATGAATCTTCATATGTCTATTATAGATCTAGATCTTCTGGAAATGAAGACTATCCAAATGAGAACACACAGGTCTACAGTAAGGGAGTCAGCTGCATCGCTTGTATTAATATTTAGCAGACTCATAGACAGGTGGAGGAGTGGGCATCCTCCATGGTAAAAAGAGAAGCTTCAGGTATGCCCTGATTGGAGGTCACTGGCATAGGCCATTCAGAGTCAGGCTAAATAGAAGTGGCGCATCTTATATGATTGTTTTGGGGGACCATATTTGACCTTCTCTGAGTAGTTCAGAGTTACAAGGGGAGGCAAAAAATAGTGAAGCTGACCACCATTGATCAAGTCCTTATTGTTCTGGGTCAATTGCTGCAGAGGTTGTGGGTATAAACCAAAAATAAAATTCTAAGGCCCCCCAGTCATCTGAGTGGACCTCCTCCTGAGTCAGTGCACTCTAAAATTTAACCTGAAAGACTGGTTCAGGCCATGAGGGGAAGGAGAGTCAGACTTGCCTCACTATATCCTCCAGCATCAACATCAACACAGACCTTAAGTCTGATAAGAAACCTTACAATCTATTATCTCTGAAGCCTGCTACCTGTAGGCTTCGTCTGCATAATAAAACCTTCATCTCCACAAACTCTTATGGTAACCCAGATATTTCTTTCTACTAATAATAACGCCTTCAACCAATTGCCAATCAGAAAATTTTAAAATCTACCTATAACCTGGAAGCCCCCACGACCTCCTTCAAGTTGCCCCACCTTTCTGGACCAAACCAGTGTATATCTTCAATGTATTTGATTGATGTCTTATGACTCCCTAAAATGTATAAAACCAAGCTGCACCCCGACCACCTTGGGCATATGTTCTTAGGACCTCCTGAGGGCTGTGTCACGGTCATGGTCACTCATATATGGCTCAGAATAAATCTTTTCAAATATCTTACAGAGTTTGACTCTTTTCATTGATGGGTCAGAGCCCTACAGGCATGTACGGGTTGACCATTGTCCATTTGTGTATTTTCCTGGGCTGGGACAGGTCCTCAAAATTGGTATTGGGTACCTGGAGATGTTTGCTTTTCTTAGCTCTTTTCATCAGTCCACCCATTCAGGCTCAAGGCACTGGGTGCCACATTAAAAGCCTCTGCAACGACACACTGTGATCTAGGGAGCTTCCCCAGGTCTCAACCTGACCTTCTGTTCTGACCATTTGCCTCATACTCTGACCATGTGGCTCCCGATCCTGAGCTGATTCTCTTGGGCTGCCTCCTGATTCTAGGCCTTGATTCTGATCATGAAAACTCATGGGAAACGACGTCTGGCAGATCATTCCACCCCACCTCTGACTATGCTCAGACTAGCCCTCCAGGACCTCATCCACTAGACTTCCCAGTGCATTCATCCAAGGAGAATATCAGGTAGGCCTATTTTATAAAGTTAGATGAAAACCAGAAGGCCATCTGGGCTATCACTTAAGACATTAAGACACAGCGCAAGCTTAAAAATCAAGTTTTTAAGTATGGAGTCCGTGGAGATAAAAGTTGGGAGTCCTACGCTCAAAGAGGGAAAGAAAATGAGCCAGAGACTAGGGGATCTATGGTATGCGGGCCTCCACACAATTGCCCTCTGGCTATGATATAATCAGAAACACCAAGTACATCTTTGGTCTTGTAGGTGAAAAATAATAACTCTATTAATTTTTCAGCTGGCCACCCAGCCAGCTTGTTACAAAACACAGATTAATAAGAGAAAAACAAGTTTATTAGCATGTATATTTTATATATACATAAGAGACACACAGGGAATGAGTCCATCCCAAAGAGACGGCTTTGAAGTACAGCTTATATAGCATCTTCAACAAAGAACAGTACATCTTTAGAGAAATGATAAAACAGAGGGAAAGGACTCTGAGTTTGTATGGGCTGGTGGCAATTTGGAGGAAGGGTTAGTTAGTAAAGCTTGTCTTCAGTGGTTAGCCTTTGTTTTCCATGGGAGAAGAGTGGGGAAGAGAGGGAAAAGAATACCTTTTTGTCTCTGTAAAAGTATTTTCCTGAGGGAAGAGAGCTTTCTTGTAATTGCTCTTTCTTAAATGCCATCAGCTCAGCAATCCTTCATATTTCGGGGTAGTGCATTCTGGTCTCTCACTGTCCATTTTTTCTAACACCAGCAAACTTAAATTTTTAAATTTTATGCAAATTTTCTAGTGGAAAGCCAGCCTGCCAAACCCAGGAGGAGGAATTCCCAAGGCTGGCCTCAGGAAGAAGGAATGTGGTTAGTGAGGCCACTCTGTTCTGGGGCCTGGCCAGCCTCACTGCACTGTGCGCTGGGATGTTGTATTGCTTTCCTGTGAAATGTCACATGGGTTTTTAAAATGCTATCACTTACAAGCCAGTCCCCATGCAGTCTAGGGCCCAGCTACTCTCAAGACTTGTTGACATTTTATTCCCCGTGATAAACTCTCCACTGGGTATGGAAAGCTAGTTTTGCTTTTCCTTTCAAAAGGAATAAACAGAACATGGAGAAAAGAAAAAGGAACTAAGCTTAGTGGGACCTCCTCATAGAGTATTTAATCGTCAGGATGCCTAGGGCCGGATGACTCCATTCTTTATGGGCGCTGAATTCCTGGTTTCCGCAGGAGTCACTTTACAACTGAATTTTGTCGCCTCTCTCTTTGCAAAAATCAAAGCACTCAATGGCTGTGCAATTACCAGCAATATTAATACCTATTCCAGGCTCTTCCTGACAGTTTACAGAGAGGGAGGGTGGACAAATCAGGCTTGCAAAGCTCCCTCCTCAGCAGTGGCTTCTGGACTATTGGTCCGCTGTAGGATAAGCATGACGAGGTATAAGGGGGCTAGATGAGACCACTGAAATTGGTAACTGGTTGCTTTTTTTAAAAACTTAAATAGAATTTGAATCAAATTGTCTAATAATGAAAGGAAACGTGAAGCAAAAATAGAATAAATGGGGAAATATAGCTCAGTATTTCACTGCTTTCATTAGCTAATATAATTCATTCATAAGCTCCATTGCTAAGTTTAAAGATTGCAAGTTGCTCTAAACACACACCAGTGGGGGAACGCTCTGGGCCATATGTCATGTGTCAGGAGCCCTGTCCTGAAAAAATTTCAGGGTCTCTGCTTGTGGCTCTAGGATGGGTGGAAGTGGGTTTCCAGGAGCCCCTCCTCCTTGCCTCCCTCTTATCTCCTGGGGCTCCCGATGCTGCAAAGGAAGGCAATAGGATACTTGGTTTTTTTCTTCAATATTTTAACCTATGTGGCTAGTGAGAAATCAGTGGATTGATATTTTAGCCTCACTCAGCTTTCCACTTTTTCATCCATCTTTCATCTTATGGTTTTAGCATCTATTGTTGACCTGTACCAGAATCAATGACTTCACTAGGGATTATAAAATGGTGATTCTTAATGATAGAATTAAGATTCTATCATTCCTTCTGTATTTATCAGATGGTGTTCTTCTGTAAAGAAGCATTTTCTTTAAAACAAAACAAAAAAACATCTTTCACATGTGTTCCTTTTGTGACTAGCAAATAACTGGGCTGATTCTTTAACACTTGCAACAAGTCATGGGAATAAAATGTGGAACATGCTACATATTCAAGTGCCTCTTCTATTACCTCCTCCCACCATTTTTTTAACCAAAGGCACAGTGCTATGTGCTTTAATTTTGTTATTATTTAATATCCATTCATCTAACACATACTTACTGAATGCCATGTGCCAGACAGTATTCCAGGTGCTTGGGATATAGCAGTGAACAGAAAGAAATCCCTACCCTCACTGGCTTTCATTCAAGAAGAGAAAGGCAGATAATAAACATAATAAATGAGTAAAATAAACATGTTATCTGGTGACAAGTGCTCTGGAGAAAAATGAAGCAGAAAAGGAGGAAAGGGGTTGGGGAAAGAGTTTGCAATTGTGAATAGTGTTGATAGGATCCCTGAGAAGGTGATATATGGGTAGAGGTCCTCAGAGCTCAGGATCTAAGCCATGCAAACACTTAGGGGAGAAGAGCTCGAGGCAGAAGGAATAGTATGTGTCAAGGCCCTGAGGCAGAACCATGAGCAGGGACCTGCCTGAGTAATAAGGCAGCCAACACGGCTGGAGGTAAAGAGGTCAGAGAAAAGGTCAGAGAGGATGGGGCTCCATATCCTGCTGGGTCTTGCTGGTGGACCACTGTCTGGATTTTAGCTTTTACTCAGAGTGACACAGGCAGCCATTCAAGGGTTCTGAGTAAAGGAGTGACATTACGTGACTCATATTTTATCAAGATCTTTTTAGCTGCCAATTATCCCAACTCTCAGAGAGAAGGCCGTTACTACCCTCTTTTTATACTAGAAGGAATGGGGACTCACAGAAAGTAATGTGATGTATTCCAGGTCACCATCTATGAGGGAGGGAAGCCGTGATTCAATCTAGGCCATGATATATCAGTTTATAAAGCAGAGCAGACTAACAGACCTTGCTATTAAGGAACGAAGTGGGGTTAGGGGTTGTCTGTGCTGACAGATGGCACAGCCCCGCAGCACACTTGCTCTCCATTTTCTTCCCTGTTTGGCAACAAATGCTAAGATGCTTAGCACTGGGCAAAAGCTATGCTATTAATCTTGTCTTTTCTCATTGAGGCTTCTCATCTTTCCAAAAGATGACATTTCTAGAATCGTAAGTGCAATAAACTTAAGGTCATAGAGCACAGCTCTTAAAAAGACAGTTTCATGAGCTGTAAAAAGTAATCATGGTTTGTCAAGTCAGCAGATCTCTCCCCTTCCGCCTTCTAACTGTCACTAATGCTTTTTGGAGAGAGCACAGTTTTGTTCTTTTACTTTTCAGAGTTGTTGAAGGGGGAGAACTATTTCTTTACACAGAGGGCCCTGCATGGCAGCTTTAACCACTTGAGACTGATAAGATAATTTTACTCAAGAGTTTTGTTTTTTTTGTTTGTTTTCCTGCCCTCTCTGTTGAGACAGGCCACCAGCTGACCAAATAATTGCAATAGCGGTTGGGAGATGGTAAATTCCACAGAATAATCCAAGGAAATTCCAGTTTTTCTAATAATTGAATGATAAGAATATTTATGTGATCTTTTCTGCATTGCACTGGTCTCTGTGAGGAAAATCAGGTGATAGCATAATTCATATGGAAATAATCAAGCTCCCTTTTCAAAAAAGAATGACACTTTGGGAGGCCAAGGCAGGAAGACTGCTTGAGTCCTAGAGTTCAAGACCAGCCTGAGCAAGGCCTGTCTCTACAAAACAACAAAAAATAAAGAAATTAGCCTAGTGTGGTGGTGCCCACCTGCAGTCCCAGCTACTTGGGAGAATGAGGCGGGAGGATCACTTGAACCCAGGAGTTCAAGCTATGATGACACCACTGCATTCAAGCCTGGGCAACAGAGTGAGACCCTGTCTCTAAACAAAAAAAAAAAAGAAGAAGAATGACATATAAGCAATGTCATATTTGAAAGTGTACTGGGAATATAAGCATACTTTTTGTACCCAAATTACATAAATCTGAACATTATTTGTACCTATTATTGAATCCTCAATGCTGAGTGTTTTGGCTGGAGTAGGAATCCTTTGTAAGTAGCAGAAGAGCCATGTTCTGTCATTTAGATGTAAGAAGACAATGTGGATCCCAGCTTCCTCCATTGCCAAAATACCCCTTTAGATGAGGGGTATTAACCACGTGGCCCATGCCAGTGTGGCCTGCTCGGTAGTCAGAGCCAAAACTGCAAAGCACCCTCACACGCAAGATCCCTTCTGAGCCTCATAACGAACCCATGGAGCGGCTATAATCTCCTCTTTCTTATAGACAGGGCAATAGGCTCAGAGAAGTCAGCAATTCATCTGAGGATGCTCAGCAAATAAGGGGTAGAGTTCAGGTTTTAACCCAGGCCTTCTGAGTCTAAAATCCAAGAGCTTTGGGTACCCCACACTGTTGGCATGGTGTTAGCTACAGCTCTGATTTAACAAAGCAAAATCCCCATCACCCTCTGGGATCCTTCTCAGGCATCCTTTGGTTGCTGAGGATGACTGAGCACCAGCTGTGCATTTGATGGGCTGTCCAAGCATTTAATATGCCTGGAAAAGAATCCAGGCTACACCCCACACTGGGGAGACTAGTAGTGAATTAAAAGTATCAGATGGACTCTAGCTAAGGAATGTAATAGGTTTGAGTCCTAATGACTTAGCCCATTATCCAGCAATAAAGGCTTTCTACCAAGCTATTTTCTTTCAACAGAGCTTTAGTCATTTTCATGAAATATTCTATGGGAATAAAAAAGTATTTATGGGAATAAAAAATGGTTTATTTCCCATTGCCTGTGATATTCTAGTCTTGGAAATTCATAGTGCACTTAGCATTTTTAAAACTCTGGAAATCCTGCAACAATAAACAAATAAACAAACAAAACTTTAATTTTGTGTAACACTCAATTTCCTAAACTTATGTGAGCACAGTCTGTGTTTGCCCGTGTAGTCTCTTCTAATGTCTTGAAAAATTCTCATTTTGGAACATGCTTTGGAAACTCTACAGGAGACTCTCTAGAATAGAAGCACCTTTGGAACAGAACTTTCTGTCTCTTGTTTATTGCTGAGTGCTCACCATTAGAACAGTGCCTTCCATATAGAAGCCTGCCATTAAAAAGTATTCAAATGAATATATAGATCTTTCTCCTTCATTTTAGCCCTAGTCTTCTACTGTTATAGAAAAACTCCTCAAATTAAAGTATTCTATAATTAATCATTTAACATCAACTGAACAAAGCCCATCCTGGTGGAAACATTTATGCCAAAACTTTCAAATCAAATAACTAATTTTTTTCTATATTGCTCGTAATATTGATGAGTCAAGGTAATAGTTTTTTAGCTAACAATCAGACACAAATACTAAACTAAGTATTTTTCACATGGTAAGTCTACAAGACACCCAAACTTTTGGGAAAAAAAGTGAAAACTTTGATCACTCTGATACCCTGCACACATGCCAATAATCTTTATATTGAAAACAGCTGCTTGGCTGGCAATTTTTCACGCGCCTTCCAACTGTTGGGTACAGGGAAGGCTCCATTGCAGCAAAAGGAAAATGGTAATAAGTTTCCCCTTCCTTGAACAGGTGTTGTGAGAATTTAGAGTGTTTTCAAAGAAAACATCACAGACTACACAGTACCAAAATCTGCTTGACCCAATATCATCAGCAAGGAGTATTTTAAAAATGACATTCTAGAATTTTATTGTAAATCAGGCCTTGGAAATTGTTCAGCAGAGTCCGTTCATTAGATAAATGGGCAAAAAACTCAAAGTAATTGAGTGACTTTTCCAGAATTATATAGCTTGCATTGAAGGGCTGGGACTACATTCAAATCCTCTAAGTTCCAAGAAGTTTTCACCAGGTCACCAGTGCCTTTTCTCACCACAGGGGCTTTCTGAGAGTTGTACATGGCCCCCAGGTATCAGGAAAGTGCTTGGGATGAGAATCTCAGAAGTGGGAGGATCCTAGAGACTTGGTGATCTCATCTACTTATTTCCCAGATGAGAAAATGCAGAGATCAAGCTAGAGTAATTACTCAGTGAATTTAGGATTTTTCAGAGCAGCGCCTTCTAATAGAACTTTCTGCAATGGTGAAAATGTCTAATACGGTAGCTTTGAAGCACTAGTGCAACTGAAGAACTGAATTTTCAACTTTAATTTAAATTAAAGTTAACTTAAATCAAAGTAGTCACTTGTGGCTAGTGACCACCATATTGGATAGCACAGCTCTAGAGAGCTAATCTAGTTATACCATTAACTGGCCTTGTTGTACTAACCCTCTGTTAGGATTTGGGCATGACAAAACTACCAAAATATACCACTTGTTACAACATTGCAGTATGTATGTTTTACAAATACCAGGAGTTCAATATAACAAAGCAAAGAGAAAAATCATCTGCATTTGTGATTAAATGAGTAACGGTAAATCCAACATTAAGAGTCAAGCCATCACAAATAGTTATTTTGCTCCTACTAAATCTATGATTTCTGTAATCCTGGTAAAGAAGTAAAAATATGGAAATGTGTAGTAGCTATATTTAACCCTCTTGCATCTTTTTATTTTTTAGCTATTCGGATGATCTATAAAATGAATACTGGTTATCTATTCCAAATATAACCTCTAAGTAATTAGTCAAGGCCAATCTTTCACCCTTTTGGCAGTGAAATAATCCTTTGTAGAGACATACACTAAGTTAATCACCTCATTAAATCCTAGGCCAGGCAGTTTTGCTTTCTTTAGCTATATGTTGCCTTAGAAGCTAACTAAAACATCTTCACTTGCCCACCAGTGAGCTGTGTCCTGTATTCAATTAGTTTCAGCAAATTATTAGAAAAAGAGGAGCATTGTTGAACCAAGAGCTGCATGCAATATTTAGATTTACAAACTAATACAGTATAAAGGCTCCCTAAGAAGTTCACATGCCTCTGTCTAAAAGACCGGCTCCTTCAAACGATACCATTGATTCCTGACATCAGACAGTCTGTCATAGAGAAGTCAGGCAGTGGACATTCTGAAAACTAATTCAAAGCGGGGCACTTGCTCCATGGCATGTTTCTCCTTAATGGGCTCAAAAGGCCAATGTTCTCTCAGACAATTAGGCCTTCTCATCCTGGCGAAATCTGGCCTTCAAGACTTGTTTTTCAATGTCTATCTTCCAAGACAAAACAAAGTTTTAACCAGACAAAATCTGCCAATGTGACTATTTCCCCCCTTCTGGGGCGACTGAATCACCTTTTTAAAAAATGTCTTGGATGTCCTTTTGCACAAGCCAAGAAAGGCCTACCCATAGGATGCTCTGTTTGCATTTGTAGCAAGAGAAAGTCAGTGTAGTTTGAAATTGGAAGTTCAAGATCTATTAAAATAGATCATTCTACCAAAAAGACATATGCACTCGTATATTCATTGCCATGCTATTCACAATAGCAAAGACATGGAATCAACCTAGTTGCCCATCAGTGGTGGATTGACTAAAGCAATTGCGGTACACATATTCCATGGAATACTATGCAACCATAAAAAAAGAATGAAATCATGTTCTTTGCAGCAACATGGATGGAGTTGGAGGCCATAATCCTAAGTGAATTAATGCAGGAACAGAAAACCAATACCCCAGTTCTCACTTATAGGAGAGAGCGCAACATTGAGCACCCACAGACATAAACATGGGAACAATAGACACTATGGACTACTAGAGGGAGGAGGAATTGAGGGTGGTATGGGTAGAAAAAGTACCTACTGGGTACTATGCTGACTACCTGAGCGCAATATACCCGTCTAAGAAAACTGCACATGTATCCACTGTATCTAAAGTAAAAGTTGGAAAAAAAGATTTGGGGGTGAAAATGAAAAAGATGTGTTCTATTACGGAATTTTGTTTAAGACTCTTTGCTTAATAACGGAGAGGTTAAAAGCAGGGAACCAAAAAGAAGCTGCAGACTTTATCTCTGAGAATCTGTGGTGAGAACTGTCTCAGAAAGTACTCTAACCACAGAGAAGATGAGGAGACCAGATGAGTCTCACGGGCCCATGAACACTGAAGTGCTTATGAACATTTTTGGGACACACATGAAAGAGGCAAAAGCAAGTTGTAATGTAGCTAAAAGTTGAGGCACTCATTTATTTAAAAGAGAGGGGAAAATCATACAGAAATCATTTTTAAAAACCTTTGTCACTTTTTGAACCTTTTTTGGCTCAAAATCAAGATTCCTAATATTAAAGTAAATAGTGATTTGTTTTTGGTGGGAGCTGTATTTTGAATCAGTAGATTAATACAGAGATCCTAAAACCAGCATGTCCAATCATGTGGTCCCAACCTCAAGGTGTTCAAGCTGGGAGTATTATTTTTCCCAATCAAGCAACAGAGAAGATACACATTTGAGTATTTTACTGACTTGTGAATACAGATTGTTACTTCTAACAATCAGGCAGAAAATTGTATCTTGGTTCAATGTAATGCCACATGGTATATAATGACAAGCTGCTTTGAAATGTAATTACTTTTATAGAAATAAAACCCTTTCACATTTTGTTTTGTTGACAAATAGACCAGGCAGCCGCCAAAGAAGTGTCGATGGAACACTTTTCTCAGAAGCATATGCTTCACTTTAGCCAAGAAAGAAGAAAACACTTGATCAACATGTATGTGTGTATCCTGAGACGCTTAATCAGAAAGATACACAGATCTTTCTTTTCCATAATCATGAGACCTGAGATTTTTCTCGAGGGAAGTGTTCCAACATGAGAAAGAAAATACATAGTTCAAAAAGCCCGTGTGTTCAATTTGCTGCCACATGGTTTAAATTATCTATGTATTTATTAAGGGCGCTAAATAGGCAGCTTAATTTAGGGAGAGGGGTCATTTAAGTTGAGAAAAATCATGTTTAATCCCTCAACTCACTACAGGTTGATTGTGCTTTTTAAACGCATATAGCCTCAGCTAACAAAATTCCCCATGATAAGAAGTTCCCCTGTCTGCTTCTAAATTTGTCAGCTGCCAATAACAATGGAAACTTGTTAAGCTCCTGGCTTCAGGCCCAGCTGCTCTGGGCGTCTTCCAGAATTAGAGATTTGTCAGTTACTTTCTCTTTATGTTGCCAGTGTGCTTGCCTGCAATTTGGGGGTCAGCTCTCTGTTCCTGGCATATCATGTGTTTGTTACATTACTATAGAGTGGAAACCAAAGGGCCAGGGTATCAGAGCTTCTTTGCTTGTATAAGTCTGCTTTGGTTTTTTTCTCTGGATGGGCGTAAAGCAGGTCTGAAGGGAACCATGAGGAAGACATGATTAGATGTAAAAGGCTGGAAATTTGAACATTTACTGGCTATTTGATGGCAAGACAGAATTCTAACTTTCTAAGCTTCAGAATGGATAGTTATGTTTCTATAAAGAGTCCTTATTTTTTAAAAATACAATATGAAACATTTTAGATAAAATTACATATTATCTGTAATTTGTTTCCAAATAATATGGGAGTGAGACAGTGGGTCCAGATGAAGTAAGATTGGCTGTGAGTTGATCATTGTTGAAGGTGATTGGTGGGTACACAGGGATACATTCAACTACTACGCATATTTTTGTATTCATAGTTGATATTTTCCAAGATACAATTTTTTTTTAACTGGAAGAAAAAAAGTGCCTGAGAAGAATGCAAGATCCCTTAATAGCCCTCTCTGGACTATCAACAAATCTTAGGGAAATAGGGTAAGAGTTTGAGAATCTTTTAGAAACATGGCTTTCCATTTTTTGCCAGCATTTATGAAAGAGTATTTGATAGTGCCCCCATGCTTTGCCCCGTGTCTTCTACCACACTATTTTTATTATATGGTTCTCAGGCTGAGAACCTGAGACCCATGGACTGTGAAACTCTTCTCCAGATGTCTTAGAGCATGCTTAGGGTTTAATCCGCCCACCTCCTTGGGTCTTTGACTTGTACATGGCTTCTTAAGTCCCATTTTCACTGGGCCAAAATGCCCTGAATTATTTCTTTATGGCCTCCAGCCCCAGTGGATTCTCTGTGTGAGTCTGGCTCAAGATGTACACATGCATATCTTCAATGTCCACCTATTTTTATTTTCATCTGAGCCTGTATAGCCAGACAATGGAAGGAAGTGTTTCTCTTGGTGACCCACAGTAGCCTTCCTTCCTCCCGGCCCATTGCGGTGGCTGTGGTTGTCTCATTCCCTTCTGTGTGCTAAAATCAGCCCCACTCAGAACCTCCCCAGACTCTGGTCTGTGCCTTTTACTTGCCTTGTGTGGTTATTTTGATTGCTATAGCAAGAACCCTATTTGTAAGCAGGCTGAGCAGTGTCAAGCATAGATGACCTGGGCGACAGCCCCAGGCACTTGCCTCTTGGTGCCTTGTGTCTAATTCAGAGGCATGAGGTGCTCTGCCTTATTTATGGCAGCATGTGAGGGTTCCATCTTGGAGAGCAGATGTTAGCCTTCATCTAAGATAGTGGACATCTTGGGCTTTTGATATTGGCATCAAAGCTCCTACAAAGTGCTCTGGGACCCATTGCAATATAGTCTTCCTTGGACCACTCTAAGCAGAGGTTCTTGAGAGAGAAAGAAGACAAACATGTTATGAGAATAAATCATCATTAAGGACAAAGAGACTGAAAAAGCAGAACAATCTTGAGCAAAGGATGAGGACACCAGTCATCTCTTTCTGCACCAGCATCTCTAGTGCCCAAGAACTTCTGGCACATGGTATTACACTTTATCTTTATCTTTATCTTTATTTTTAAGGGAAGGGAGAGGTCAAGCATGAGAAAGACTGATGTGGAAGTAAAGAAACCTGAATTCTTGACCCCGCCCTGCTACTAGCCAGCCTTCTGATATCAGGTACACTTTTATTTCATGTATTTATCAAGCATCCAGTACCTAGCCAAGCATAGTACTGGCACTTCAGGAACAACACAGATGAATAAGAAATAGGATCTGTTTTTAAGAAGCCCATGGGGAAGCAGACCCATACATAAAATCTAAGCCACAAAATATTGTAGGATCTACTATGTAGGGTGCTTGAGGGTAGGTCCCAGGGGTCTCCAAGAAATGCATGATTGATGGTAACTGGTTTGCGGAGGAAAGGATTGGCATAGGCTCACCTCAGTCTTCCTGTTACCATAACAAAGGCAGACTGCAGTATCTATAGCATCATTCTTCTAGAACTGTAAGTATCTCTGAATTTATGTAATTGGGGAACCACAGCACAGAAATGATGGGTATTTTCCCATAGTCCTATGAAGATTTTGTGGCAAGGCCAAGGCTGGGACAGAAGTATTGGGACTCCTGAAACAGTGCTCCTTCCATCAGCACTAATTCAGTCTCGGTGCTGAGTTGCCTTACAAAGTTAATTAATTCAAACACGTCTGCTTATTTTATCCAAAACAGAACTTGAAATATCCACAGTGGTTCTCAGCTTGAACCTAATTTTGAACAAAGAGAAAGAACTGTTCTGCAAACCCTCTCCATTTTTCTCACAGCACATGATGAGCACTGGGGCTCTTTGCAGAAGTCCCTTATGGTAAAAACAAAACAAAACATAGTGCTCACTCCAATAAACTTGCAGTCAACCCTAGCCCAGAAGCAAAATCCCGTGCAGAGAATACAATCCCTTGTTCCTCACAAATCTAAAAGGGAAAGAGATTTGTGAGTAGAGCTTTCAGCTATGCGAATAGACCATTGTTCATCAGGCATCTCATTGTAAATTCTACTTTAAAACTTGTTTGTTTCCACTGAACCCCTGAATTTTTTACTTGTGTACCTATTTGTAACAAAAAGGAGAATTCCAAAAGCACAAAGGAAATGTAGAGGATGAGAAAGAGAGAGGGAGAGGGGAAGTGAGGTGGGGGGCGGGAATTGAACTGTGGAGTTCAAATGAACCTGTAGCTAGTGACATCTGCACTTATCTAACTCGGGTTTGGCCACACCCTATAAAAATGCACATTGAAGAGTTTAATGAACATTGGTTCCTTGTCAGATTAGCAAACTTTTCACTATCTGACTGTAATGTTTCCAATGCTTACATCTCAGAGGCTCAACGTTGAGGGAGACAGAAATCATAGGAAAAAAGAGCAATTACACAGTGTCTCAGTTGCTCACCCTCTGGGTTCCAAGAACTCAGCTAGAAGCTGAGGCAGATCCATTCATTGTGCTCCCAGATCTCTTCTCCCGGTTTTAGTTGAGCCCATGGCTGTCCAGGTAACTACTTCATTTTCTATCAGCTCTGTAGCTAGATAAAACCAATGACTAGATTCTGACCAATGAGATGTGACCTGCAATGATGTACTCCACTTGTGGGTCTTGCCCTTCAAACAATTGGGCATACATTCTCCAGATCATTTATCCCTTCCCAGTGTCTGTAAAACAGCAAGAACAAGCATTGTCACTTTGGATACAGAAATGGAAGCCATTTGTTGAGGATGTCAGTAGTGCCTCCCCATCAGCTCTGAACCATTCACACCTGAGTGGTAAAGTGAGAAAGAAAAAAGTTTCCAACTTATTTAAGCCACTATACCCTAGGGTCTCTTTGTTATAGCAGCTTACTTCAACCCAAACTAACTACCCCCATGGTGTGGGGTCAGAGTCTGGCCAAAAGATGCATTCATGCTTTTCTAGTGACATAGACTCACCCTTTCTCTTTGTCATTGACAGTGGGAAAAGCAGAGCTAAGCCAACTTTCAATACCACATGTAGTATTCATTTCTAGATGTCTGTCCTAAGGAATGTTGAAATTAGAAAAAAAATCATGGTATTATTTATAAAACTAAAAATTGGACTCAATCAACTTGACTAATAGTGGGATAATAAATTATAATATGGGCTATCTATTTACATTTTATATTATTCCACAGAAGAATTAAAGTGTGCCCATTGGGGGAAAAATCATGTTTCTGGAGAGAGAGAGAGAGTGTGTGTCTGCATGCTCCCCACTGGCTTTATTTAGTTTGCAACCAGATGACTCTTTTATTTAAAAGTCTTTTGGCCTTTGTTGTTTTGATCACAGCCAGGCACCATTATTTAATGGTGTACATTTGAAACCATGACTCTCAGTTCATTGACAATGTCAGTAAGATGACAGATAAAAATAAGAAGGCCCACTGGGGCTATTGCATGAATACTGATAAAAAATGTAGAATCATAATCCCTACAGCTAAATTTCCCCACTAAATCATAATAGATTATAATTTTTTGATTTGCTAGTTTTCTAAGTATTTAAAAACTATCTTTAGTTCCAGACTTTAACCACATGATGTTTAGAGTAATCCACCCTGTTGCTTGTCTACTTCTTGCACTGAATAGATTTCTCCTATTTTTTTGAAAATTTCAAATTTTTAAAAAAACTTTTTATTTTGAAAATTTCAAACCTACCAAGAAGCTGAAATAATATAATGTACCCTTTTCACCTAGTCTTATTAATTGTTAAAATCTTACAAATCTGCTTTATCTCATTCTTTCTATCTTTCTCTGCTGAATCATTTGAAAGTAATTTTCAGGCATCATGTTTAATAAAATGAAAATGATCACAGTATAACATCAATTGAGAAAAAATGGTTATCTATGAAAATGCTAATTATAATCATTTCTGAATGGTAAGACTGGGTGATTTTTCCCCGTGTGTTCCAAAGTTTCTAGAAAAAAAGCTTGAAACTTATATTTCACTGAACCAATAATTCTATTTGGAAGTTTGATTAAAATTTGCTACCATTATATCTGTTGCAATTATTTCCATTTTGTGAACACAGATAGTACTACATATAGTGGCAGAAGTACAATGAATATTATTAAATCACGAGGATGGTAGTATTTTTACACCAACCAAAACATGACAATTTGTATCTCTTCCATCTAACTAAATAGATATTCCCATTGTCTTTCAAACATGCCTCAATAGGCCCTTTGGGGCTCATGGTGGCCCCTCTTGAAATGATTCACCCACCTTCTCTCTAACACCCTCGCTACTTAGTTTTGTGTAAGACCAATATTATCTGCAAGGAAGCTATAATTGATTTTGCTCAAGATGAAGTCATGTGCCACATGCTTTTCCCACAATTATAGGAAAGTCTTTCTCTAAAAAAGTCTGTTCACTTGGTATTTTGGTGCACAGAGAGTTTCTCTAATAAAATGTTTCCTTAATGCTGACTGCATATCAGAATCACCATCTCAAATATGTAGTGGTCTCATCCCAGACCTGCAAAGGCACTGTGTGTGTGTGTGTGTGTGTGTGTGTGTGTGTGTGTGTGTGAGAGAGAGAGAGAGAGAGAGAGAGAGAGAGAGAGAGGGAGTTGTATTTGTTTGTTTTAGAGAGAGACTATTTATTCTTATAAAGCTCCCCACGATGCTGACGTATACACAAGTTTGAGAACCACTATCCTAGACACACACTTGTCTTCTCCTTTCAAGACTGAATATCAGAAAGTATTCAATAAAGATTTGCAAAATGAATGAGTAGATGAATGCCAGTTCTCAGGACATCTGAACCTTTCCTAATCACTAATGTTGACTATGCAGAACTACAAAAGTGTTGCTTAAGTCACCTTAAGTCTAAACCAGTAGTTTTTTACTTCAGTATGCCCAAGAATCACTTTCAGGGCTTTTAAAAAAATACATATCCCTGGGCCCATCTGCAGAGGGTCATATTGAGTAGGTTTAGAGTAGGGACCAGGAATCTGCATTTTTATTAGCACTCTAAATGTCTCCTGCAATGACATTTTTTGAAAAACACCACATTCAAATCATGGGTAGAAGATGCTGTAGCACAGTTTGAAACAAGTCCTACTATCCAATCCAAATAGATCACTGGCATTCATAGATGTGGTCACATTACTAGTTAACATTTCGTCTAAAATTTTATCGAGAGTAAAGAGCCTGGGATGCTGGCTCAATTGATGCTCTGACTGGTACTGTGGAGTTCCAGTGGCCATTTATGCCTCCATCCCTTACTATCTGGTGCCTGTCCCTGGGGCTGTCTTCAAGTCAGGTGACATCAAAAAGAATGGAGGTCAAATCAGGTAGTTCTAGCCAGAACATTTTAGTGAAAAGAAATAATTACAAAATCATTTTTCTTTTATAAGGTATACATGGATTCCTGCCCCATCCCCAAAGTAGAATAAAGATAGGAAAATACTGATGCAATGTGGTGTGAGATTATTATGGGTCAAAATGACTAATGCTGGATCAAAAATCAGAACAGGAAGGAGACAGGAATTTCAAAAATGAGCAACTCCAAAATAATAGGAATGAAAAAAATAAAAGTTAGTGTCACAGGTCAAATGTTTAGATCCCACATTGTCACTCCATTCTGGTTTTCTTTAACACCCCTGCTTGAACATTTTTACAAATTTCTCAGACAGGATCATAGTCTTGCTTTTTGTTTCTTGGTGTCTACTGGTGTGAAAGACAGCTTTTCCATGTTGTAAGAAAACAAGCTGCTCAATCTGATTTCAGGTCTTGTCTGACACCATATCGCAGACCACACACAAGGGGCTGGTGGTGTCAGCACTCTGCAGAAAACTTGTCATCATGTCCTCAAGTGTTGTGCACAGGGTTATTCCATAGGAGTCGGGAAAAGCCTGACAGCCATCTGAACCAAGGACTAAGGACCCCAAGGGCAGCATAGCCATGGCCAAATGTGAGCCCCAAGTGCCCCACATTGGCATGAGGACCCTCTTAAAAGGTGAGGGAACTTCTTCACAAGGATCAAAGCAGTAACACTTCTAGGAGACATTCACAGTTTTCCATGTTGGCTGAATCTCTCATTGTATCTTATGCACTAGCCAACTTGTGCCTCGAAGCTGAAGTGACGTCACGGAAAAGAACCCTCCCCAACCAAAATTGCTGAGATTGGCACCATGATTTGTAACCCAGAAGGAAAAAGCCACAGTCTCTTTCACTGTCTCTTTCGTTTGTTAGCCTGCCTGCCCACCATCCCTCCCACCCCCGGGCCTGGGGGTCACTCTGTAGTAGGCAGCCTGAAGGGGGGTGTCCTCTGTCACTCCCTCTACTTTCCTCTCTTAACAGTGAGCCCTTCCTCCCACACACACCACAAAGCCAAAAGAAAGGGATTAAAGCTGATGACACACAAGGCGGATGTGTGACCAGCTCAGGTTCTAGGGCCAGACAGCCCTGGATTCCAGTTCCACTGGGTCACTCACCACAGTGTGACCTCAAACTGGTTATTTCAACCCCCTGAACCTCAGTTTTTTCATCAACTTTGATGTTTAAATGAGGCAACACATTCAAGGCATTTAGCATGGATCTAGCAAGCTCTCCACCCCAACATCTCAGTCAAAGGGAGGCAACTAACAATCGCAGGGGTAGCAGTGACAATGGAGGCTGAGAAAAGCTTTCATCCTGTGGTCTCTCAGGCTTGCCACAAGAAAAAGAACACAGAAAATTCTTATTACCTGGAGATGTACATCCATCCACTACTTGGTAAGCAGGAGTCTAGCTATTTATAGACCTGACAGGCCTACAGAACAAATCCCTGATTGATTTGTAGCGCCTTGTTCTCATCCAAACTCTTCCACTGCAACGATGCTTCTCTGAAGAATAAACCGTCATTTGGTTTATGACATTGTCTATGTAGCCACTCATTAAAGGAAGCAAAGACCAGCCAACAATCCTGGATTCTCTTTCAAGGCCTCGTGAGTCTCCTCTGCCCTCTGGCT
Source organism: Homo sapiens (assembly GCF_000001405.40). NCBI lineage: Eukaryota > Metazoa > Chordata > Mammalia > Primates > Hominidae > Homo > Homo sapiens. The sequence goes on along the minus strand of NC_000013.11, from coordinate 50,678,077 downwards.
GGCTGAGGAGTCACCAATGACATCAGCCAGATGGCTGACACCACACATAACCCCCAGGCTGCTAAAGTTTAAAGGGTCCCTGCTTTCTCCTCCTTGGCTGTAGATGGAAAATTGGAGTCTCTGGGGGTGGGGAGTTTGAGGGAGAATCCAGCCAAGAAAGGGAGTCGGCAGAGAGAGGAGGGAGTAGTGCCAGCTATTCATGTTTCTGCGACTCGCCACGCACAGTATGGGCATTGTTTGAAATCACACAGACATTGTCCTATCCAGCCCTCAATCATATTAGCTGCCCAGCCATTTTTCCACATTAATCATTCAAACTGACATGAGTAAATAATACCACATGTGGTCGTGATGACAGTTGTCTCCATAATGTATTCATCTCAAGGTACTCATGGTTTTTACTAAAATAAAAGTGCAAGTGAATGACTTTAGAAAAATCTGCAGTCAGGATAGCAGCAGCTATCTTTATGAGGAGCGGTATAAACACTCAAATACATGCTGAAGAGGTTGAGGACAGTCAAGAGTGGTGAATTGCACTCTTAGCACTGGGAGGCCTTACGATTTTGGAGAGACATAGAAACAAATTAGTAACACTCAGTCCCCATTTCACATGCACAAGTACAGAACCACTCCCAACCCGCTCTGTCCCTTGCATTTTTTGCACAGGACTCAAGCAATCTTTGTTGAAACTGACATGATCCTTTGGACAAGCATATCCTGCCTTCCCATCTTCGCTTCTGCTTTCCTCAAATATTGAACACTTGGTTTATGCCTAGTTTTGTGCTGGATGCAGGAAATGCCGAGAAGAAAGACATAGCTCTGGCCCTGGCAGAGCTAGAGCATTGTAGGGGCTGGGACAGGAGGGAAGGAGGATGTACAAACAAACAATGACCATCCAGTGAAACATGTACATTAGTTTCAAATCCCAGGTGAACATTGTGTAGAAAGAATTGAAAAAATTTAGCCATCCTTATGGGGCATAGTGCCTGTTGATTCGAGCTTGATAAAATAAGGCCAAAATAATTCTTCCCAGTGGATCTTTAGGGATTTGGTTGAGGAAAAGCTTAGGAAAGTGTTCTCAAACATGACTATGAGAATCACTTGGGAGCACTTTTACAACTCTACCCCAGACCTGCTGAATCAACATTCCATCGGAGATATCAGAAATCTGTTTTGTAAGAGCTAGAGAACTTGTCCTGAAACCAGCCTGCTGAGCAAGTAACTATACTGGCTTTACTGAGACTATCAACTAATCTGTAAGAGTTGACTGAGATAGGAGTGAGCTGAAGCTCAGCCAAGTTCCCCTGAGTCACTGCCACTGTCACAGAAGAAAAAATTTTGAAGCATTCACACTGTGGTGAGAATTGTTAATGTTTGTTCCCTCAAAGGGCAATGTGTGAAAGAGGAAGAGATCTGCCATCTGCAGTGATAGACACTGAGCCCTGGGTCACATGCAGGTGGGCAAAGGGGATATCACACCTTTAAGGAATCTCAAGGCTGGAAGAGGACATCCAGCCTTTGCCTCCACCAAATGAGAGTCCACTCAGCAACATGCCTGCTAGATAAGGCTCTGCTCGGACACATCCAGAGTCAGGAAACTCACTACCTTCAGGGGAAATCTGTCCCATTGTCTTACAGCTCTTGCTGATTAAAAGAAAAGAAAGAAAACACCTGTGCAACTTCTTGTAACAACTTCTTTGCTTTTCCTGCTGATACTTTGAAGAATATGCCTAATTTTTCTTTCAAATATTTGGAGTCCCTTATTAGATGCCCTCAATCTTCTCTCATGTCAAACTCTCAGGCCTTTCCACCAACCCTTTTATGACAGGTTTTGAGACCTTTCTCAAGGCTTCTAGATGTTACAATCACAGCATGTAGGTCCCCACCTTTCCTTTTCCCCACAAACCAACACACAAGCTGGGCTTCTGTTGCCCATAACTGGCTTGGAGTTGCAAAGACAAGGATGTCTCCCAGGGCAGCCTGAGAAGTGGTCTCTGAAGAGGTGAATAAACTGGGGTCCCTTCCTCCATCCTCAGCATAGTGGGAACACTGGGGGAGGAGGCCGAAGTTCTTGGCTTCCTGTCATTATAATTATAGCAAACACAGGGCACAGATCTCCTCCTCTCTGAAGAAGGGCTGTAGGCCCCTCATACAAGAGTCCCAAAGGGAACAGACTTTGTCTCTAAGTCTTGGATTCCGGCCTTTCAGCAAAGAAAAAGGAACTGAATAAAGAAGTCCAGTGACTGCTTTCCCACCCAGGGCTCTGTGGCAAGCATTAATGTTTTGGGCTAGCAAAGCTCTGAGTCTGCACACAGCCCATTCCTGGGTGGCCTCTGCAGCTTGCAAACGTGTTCGCCTTTGTCTTGGGACAGGATGGTGGCTGGGAGGTGCAGGTCTACAGTCACACCATAAGTGGGCCAAGTCCTTGTTCCTGACACTGATAGTTACTAGAGGCTTGGAAGGATGGAGTAGGGCGGTGGGAGGGTGGCAGGCAGGTGATGAGATATTGGTTAGTGGGTACTATGTACAGTTAAATAGAAACAGTAAGTTCTCATGTTTGATAGTATAGAAGGGTGACTATAGATAACAGTAATATATATTTCAAAATAACTAGAAGTGAGGACTTAAAATGTTCTCAACACATTGAAATGATAAATGCTCGAGGTGATGGATATCCTAAATGTCCTGACTTGATAATTACATACTCTATGCATATAACAAAATATCACATGTAGCCCCAAAATATGTAAAAATATTATGTATCAATAAAAAAGAAAAAAATGTAACAGGGCCACCCCCTGTCACCTTGCTCCTTGACACTGAAACTTCTGGGTTGAGAACAGAGGGGCCTCCTCTCCAGAGGAGATACTCCTCTCTGAGTATCAGAATTGCTTGGGGAGATGTTGAAAATATTCTTCCCTTGAGGCAAAAGGGAGTGGGTTTGCACGGAGACGCTCTATGCTCTCTATGTGTTATTGTAGTTGGGGGCAGGTGGAAGCTGTCAAATCTCCAAGCTGATCTTGCCTTGTTGAGAACCACTGGTTCAGAGGGTACAGTGAGCCAAGTCTAAACTCAGGTGTCTCTCCTGTATGTCAAGGCATGCAATAAAAGCATCATTGTCACCACAGCTAGAATAATTTGCAGTGGGACCTCCAAAACACCTGGAAGCAAAGAAGTGAAGGCTGCTGGGACTGTCTCTTAGGACAACGTGAGCCTTTTCTGGACATTTTCATGATCCTCTGGGTCACCTTCATTCCTACACTGGGAACATGGCTGCCAAAGTGTTGTAGGTGTCCGATTCCACAGCTCTTCTGCCAGAGCAGGACTCAGGTTTTCTCTCCAGCAACGGTTACATCTAAGGCTTCCCCAAACTCATTCCCTTGACTTGGGGTCTCATAAGCTCCTCCTTATCCCAAGCAGAGAAGCATGAGCTGAAGTTGAAGGGTGACAGAGACTTATGCTCTATGACACATACTGGGAACCACCTGCCCTGTGTCCATTCCTCACTAACAAAATTCAGTTTTTGTTTAGTGTTATAGCAAGGGGTAGCCATGCCAAAAGGTTCTGATTAATGAGATATAAGTTGAGAGTTTCTGGGAAAGCTTTTGCTTTCCTAATACAAATGCTGCCATTTCCTATTTTGCATTCCATTTCTTCCCTCTGCTTTGGAAAGATCATGTGTTGTCTGGTGGGGCAGCAGCCATTTTGCAGTCATGAGGCAAAAACTTACTTAAGTATGATGAAATGAAAAAACTGAAACAAAAAAAAAAAAACTGGGCCTCTGATGGCATCGTTGTAGAGCCCTAGACTGCCTAATCTGAAACTTCTAGTTGTGTTAAATTTCTATTCTCTGTTTAAACTACTGTAGTCAAGGGCCCGTGGTGGCTCATGCCTGTAATCCCAGCAGTTTGGGAGGTCGAGGCTGGAGGATTGCTTGAGGCCAGGATTTGAAATCAGTATGGGTAACACAGTGAGACTACATCTCTACATAAAAGTTAGCCAGGTGTGGTGGTGCATGCCTGTAGCCCCAGCAACTTTGGAGGCTGAGGTGGGGGCAGGAATCACAGGAGCCTCAGGAATCAAGGCTGCAATGAGCTATGATTGCACTCTAGCTTAGGTAACAGAGTGAGATACTGTCTCCAAAAAAAGAAAAAAGAAAAACTGTGGTCAGGGTTTTTATTTTTGTTTAGTCATTTCAATCATTCATCTGTTAAAAATTGTTTATTAAGTACTTACTTTGTGTTAGGCACTGTCCTGGACAAAATGTAAGCTTCCTACTCTCATAGAGCTTATATTTTTATAGGGAAGAAAAATAAAACAATAAGTCAAATATATAGCATATCAGATAATCCTAAATGCTAATAACAAATGAAGCAGAAAACAGTTATAGAAAGAATATGTGGAAGAGCGAGAGTGGAGAGCAGGTTACTATTTTAGGCCATGTGGTCAAGAAAGGCTTCACTGAGAAAGTAACATTTGAATCCAGACCGAAAGGAGATGATGAGGGAGCCAGCCTTGCAGGTGTCTGGGGGAAGAACATTCCAAGAAAGAGAACAGCAACTGCAAAGGCCCCGAGGCAACAGGTTACCTTGTACGTTTAAGGAACAGTGAAGAGGCCAGAAAAGAGTTAAGAGAGGCCAGGGGTAGGGGAGGGGATTAAGGCGAGGCACAGAAAAAACAAGGGGCCGCAGTGTGGAGAATCTTGCAGATCATCGTAAGGATTTTTGCTTCTAAAGTGGGGAAGCTCTTGGAGAGTTTGAACAGAGGACTGACTTGATCTGATACACACTTCAGCAGGATCGCTCTCGGTACCCTGTTGAGAATAAACTCAAGAGGAATGGGAAGGTTGGGGGCAGAGTAAGGAGATCCATTTTGAGGCTATTGAACCAATCCATGGAGAAAGGATGGCAGCTTGGATGGAGTGGGGCAGTGAAGTGGAGAGGAGTAGTGGGATTCTCAGTTTGACATCAACGTAAAGCCCAAGACTGTGCTGATGAAGCAAACGTGAAGGGTGTGACAGAAGAGCCCAGGAGGGCTCCCGAGGCCTTCACTGGAGCTATCGGAAGAGGGAACTGCCATTGACTGAATCAGAGAGAACTAGGAGAGGAGCAGGCTTGAAGGGATTGGGCACTCAGCGCCGTCCTAACTGGGTGTGCACAGACACATGATGAGTCTACAGGATGTGTCTTGGTCTCCCTGGACCCGAGTGTCTTCTCTGCCTCCTTCCCAGTGCAACCTCCTCTTCCCTGTTCCTGTCTCTGGTGTTGATCAGCAAGCCTGGAACTCCTGAAAGTGCTGAAATCAATACTCTGTTCTGTCCCTTATGTTTAACTTAATAAGGCCAGAAAATGGGCCAAATGAATATTTTAGAAATGTTTTGAATTAAAAGAGTGGGAAAGCTTCTGTTTGTTCAAGATTTCCCAATGAGCTCATGTTTCATAAATTTTAAAAAATCAGTACAAGGACTCCTTGGTTTTTCATGGGAAAGAGCTGGCCCCTGAGGAGTGGTCAGCCACAAGCTGGGCGTTGATGATGACCCTTTCATGTGCACTGCCCTTCACAGCTATTAAGCATCCTGTTGTGCTTTCATTTGTCACTATTTGATTTTCAACTAAATCTCATAAAGTTCCTCTCATTTGTGAATAAGGAAACTGAGGCTTGAAATGTTCAGGCCACTTACAGTCTATCTGATTAGAAATCAACAGGGGCAGAATTTTAATTCTAATATTTGGACTCCAAATGTGCTTCCTTATTTTCTATTATATGCTCTACCCCATGCAACATGAATTAGCTTGGATTTATGAAGCAGCAATGAGACCTTAAGAGGGAACATTATGCAACTCTTTGTGTGTGTGTGGGGGGGTGCCTTTGCTTGTGTCAACTGTGCCTCAAGGCCACAGTTACCCTATGACCCAGCCAGCAATTGTGACTCACTTGTTTCAAAGGAATGTGGATTGATTTGAGATTTTGAAAAGATAGATTAAAAATTTGACCTAAAGTATCTCCTTCATAAAGGGGCCACTGTGCTAAATAATAGGAAGATTCACCAAACTCTTGGTGAAGAATTGTGGCTTGAAGCCCTCTTCTTCATCTGCTGGGTTTCCTTCCATTTCCATTTGACTGACACAGAACAAATTCTCCCTTCTCTCCTTCTGCCCTCCTTAAAGCAGTGGGATACAGGGGAATTTATTCTAGATCATCTTTGAAGGACTTTCATTTTACTTGTTAATTTTGGCCCTAACCCCAAACACCTTAATAGCACTTCTTTTGTCTCTTCTCACAGTCTCTTTATAAAAAATAGAAGACAGAGAGGAAGAAGTTGGCAAAGTGTGAAAAGGAAAGGGAATAAGATTCTCACCTTTGTCCCCACCTAATCCTGTAAGATCACCTCCTTCCACAGATTGCCTGGTTTACTCTTTCTTTTTCTTAATTCCCAGAGATCTTTGGTCCCACCTTTTGGTCAAAGTCCGTATGTAGCCTCAGGAAGCATCCTGCCCTATGGGTGCTTATAAACCCATGGGTGTATTGGAAATGACGAGAAGCTGGGAGATATGAGCTTTTCACCAAGGGTATGACGGTGCCCGAGCCTGCCAGGCGTTTTTGTCAAGGGAGTTTTACTCAAAATGTACTACAAATATTTCAAAAACAATGAGGGATAGAAATAACAAAAGGCAGATGTTGGCTTGTTTTGTGAGAAATGGAATTAGAAAATGAGATGTTCATGAACCCTGCAAATGTAATTTGATACAGAAATATTAAATGTTGGCTTTCAGCCCTCTTGCTGCCCAAGAAACTCCCTGGAATTGGGTTAGGAGCCATGCAATACAACATACTGCACCATCCAATCCATTTCAGGACACTAGAGAGAGTGAATTAACATTTCTCCAAATTTGCTCCAAAATAGTCACAACTCCATGAATCCCAGGCAACAGGAACAATGTTGAAGGTGATGTCAGTGTAACCATTGTTTTGAATGTTATCTTAAGGTGGATCACTCCTGTAGGAAAAGGTCCAGGCTTCCTTTTAACTCTCTCTAATATTTTCCCTCTGGGCAGGGTAATGTAGTGGTGTGTATGCTGGACATGGGGTCAGAAAACATAGGGGGCTCCTTCCTGCCAGCTGTGGACCTGGAGCCTTTGTGGGCAGTGTTTCTGGGCCTCTCGTGTCTTTATTTGTAAAATATGGGAAATGATCATTAAAAATTCATCTCCCGCAACTCTATGGCTCTCACTCTTCATTGGCCATTGTATCTACATTTATTTACCTTGCTCAGATTTTTCCTCTCCTCTATGAAAAGGAAAGACAAAAGAAAACAAAAGTAAAACCCTGTAATGATTCAGTTTTGAATTGAGCATCTCACAGTAAGCACTTGGATTTTCAGAACATTTCTATTAAGAATAACTGGAAAACTCAAGATGTCATCATGGTTGTCTTTGTTTGGGTTGCGATAAAGCAGAGGTCCCCAATTCCTGCCACTCACCTCCTGCTGTATGGCCCAGTTCCAAAAAGGCCACAACTGACCAGTCAGTCCATGGTCTGTTAGGAACAGGGTCACACAGCAGGAGGTGACTGGTGGGCCAGCGAGCAAAGCTTCAGGTGTATTTACAGCTGCTCCCCATTGCTCGCATTACTGCCTGAGCTCCGCCTCCTGTGAGATCAGGAGTGGCATTAGATTCTCCTAGGAGCGTGAACCCTATTGTGAACTGCACATGCGAGGGATCTAGGTTGCGTGCTCTTTATGAGGATCTAAAGCCTAATGATCTGTCACTGTCTTTTATCACCCCCGGATGGGACAGTCTAGTTGCAGAAAAACAAGCTCTCCACTTGTTCTACATTATGGTGAGTTGTAAAATTATTTCATTATATTTTATAATGTAGTAATAATAGAAATAAAGTGCACAATAAATATAATGTACTTGAATCATCCTGAAACCATTCCTAGGCCCTCACCTACCCCATCTGTAGAAAAATTGTTTTCCATGAAACCAGTCTCTGGTGCCAAAAAGGTTAGGGACTGCTGCTATAAAGGAATACTTGAAGCTGGGTAGTTTATAAATAAAAGAGGTTTACTTGGCTCACAGTTCTGCAGGTTATGCAAGAAGAATGGTACCAGCATGTGCTTGGCTTCTGGTGAGGGTCTCAGTCTGCTTCTGCTCAAGGCTGAAGGCAAAGGAGAGTTGGCATGTGCAGAAATCACATGGAGACAGAGAAGGCTGCAGGAAGCCAGGTGGGCTGGAGTGGTGTGGGGAGGAGAGGTACCAGGCTCTTTTTAACAGCCATCTCATGGGAACTAACAGAGCAAGAACTCGCTCACCACCTCAAGGACCCCAAGCCATTCATAAATGATTTGTCCTTAGGAGCCAAACACCTTCCATTAGGCCCCACCTCTAACAATGGGGATCAAATTTCAACATGAGGTTTGAAAGAGGTAAACAAACCAAACCCAAACTAGCTATGGTGTTTTCCATTCAGTGAGATAGTTTAAAATATACACGTGTATATATATATATACACGTGTATATATATATATGTGTATATATATATATTTACTGCCAAGTTGTACATTACAGATACATATAGTTTTGCTAGGATTATAATTGTAATATTATATGAACTGGTACCAAATTTACATCTTCTCTTGATTGTCAGCAAAGGAACATCACAATTTCCCTCAATATTTTGAAATATGCTGCATCATATTCAGTTCCTCTAGCAACTGACATTTCCAGGCACTGCCTTCCTCTGCCACTGACTGGACAATCCTAGGGGTCCACTTTCCTCTGTTAAAATTGGAAATGAACTGCAATTGGCAAGAACACTGGGACAGGTTGGCACTGCATCCCTTTACTTCATCTTTACCCCAAGGGAAAATGGAAAAATTCATGAGACATGTTATATTATTTACTTGCTTAAGAACTTCCCTTCTGCCGTTCTCTCCATCTGGTTTATGTTTTCCTTCTGAATTGGTACTTTCACAGCACAAGCCTGCCTTTGTTGAGAGGCAGCAACAGGTGTGTTGTGAGAGAGAAAGCTCAAGAGAGAATGGAAGAAAATGTACATCTGTGCGTGAGACCATGCAGGGCAGAGTGTGAGTCTTCTGTGTGCAGGTGTCTGTGTAGTCTACTGCTTGAAGACCCAATGTACTTGGTGAATTCCTCAGGAGAATATATTCACAGCATATTTAAGAGCCCTTGGCAGAGAAATCTATGCACCATCTGTGAGTGCATCTCCTCCATAAAGACTCTGCAAAGTCACCTTCGATTCCTGAGATAGACAAGGCAAGTGCATTTCAGCAAAGGAGTTCTGAGGGAATGTGAGCTCCACAGATGACACTGGCTCAGCCATATTCACCTTGTTTGGCTTGTCTTCTTAAATTGTGTATTAGACAAAGTGTGGGTTTCAGATCAGGCAGACTGCATTAGAAATTCTGCCTGGTATTCCTTAGTGTGGGAACCTTGGGTGATTTACTAAATTTCCCCAAGTTCTTGATCTCCTTATCCATAAGTGCCAGCTAACAATGCCCAACTCACAGGGTGATGGAGAGAATTCATTTGTAGAGCTGCCTTGCTTGGAATCTAGTGTGCAGTAAGCACTCAGTAAATGTCCTGTCCCATAAATGCAATTCTCATTTAATTAAACAGATTAAACAGAGATTAAAAAAATCATTTCCATATGTTCAGGTAAATAATTGAAAAGGTTTAAGTTGCCTTCTAATTTGCCAACAGAGGTTTCCACCTCGTGTCCTTTGGCATGAGGAACTTGCTTAAGATGTTGCAGCTGCACGTGTTAGCTGTGAGCTTGCCATCTCGGCAGAACATGGGAAGGACAGTGCACCGCTTTCAAGATACAGAGGCTCTCTTCCTGCCTTGCTTTCAGCAGGTCCTGACCTCCAAGCTGTTCTTACTGGAATGGTGTTGGAGCTGTGTCCAGCCTTCCAAGTCTATCTGAACTGATTCTCATTGTTTCTGGTGGCACATGGGACGGACTGCTGCCCGGGATGTGCTCCATGGCAGTGAGACCACACACATCAGAAGCATCTTTGGGGGAAATGTAAAACCAAGACCCTTTGTTTCATCAGACCCACAGAGCAATCAGCTCAACTGGACTCTGGTGGGAAAGGAAGACTTGCTCTGCTTTTCAAGGTCCATTGCAGTATGGTGGAAAGAGACTTGGCTCAGGAGTTAGAGGCAAGTTCAAATGCCACGATGATTTTTTTTAAAAGATGAACTCCTGAATCTCTGTTCCCATTTTTCTAGATGTTTATACCAAAAATATAAAGTCACTGTGATAATTTTTCAGGAAATCACACTATGCCTGGCATTGAGTAAACCATCAGTAAATGTCAGTGTCCATCACAAAGCCCCAAAGTGTGCATGAATGAGAGTTATTCAAAGCACACAATTTGAAGAATATGCTACTTGGCCTGTTGGCCATGCTTAGTCAACTCCAAAGGAGAAACCACTTTGTGCTGACAACTAGGGGAACAAAGACATTGAAGTGGAGGCAAGCATTCTCCCCACTCCGAGAGATGGCAATTAATAGCCAGCATTTCCTAATTTAAGAAGTCAATCAGCACCCTGGACTTCTTAGCTGTATCTTTATGGGCTGGCTTAGTTGATAATCTGATTCACTTCCTTTGCATGTAGTCTGTCCCTATTCTGGCATGCTTTCCATTAATTCAGAGTTTTCAAGGCAAATTACTACATTTCTTAGACCTCTTCCAGCTAACATTTCATATGCCATGTAGACTGCACTCAGAGGCCCTACATGAAAGCTAGATTAGAAATCAAGTTACATTGTGTCTTAGGTTGGGTTCCTTGGAAACAGATTCTGAGGCAAAGTTTGGTATACCGAAGGTTTATCATAGGCTGCTCTCAGGAACAACACCCAGAAGAAACAGGGGAAGCAGGATTGGACAGAGGGAAAAGTTGGACTTCAGTGTAGTTGCAAGAGAGATCTCAACCAATCCCCACAGCAGCCGGGAAGGCCATTCAGAGTTGTCTACAACTGAGGCAAATGACACCAATGTGATATTCCCCACATCTCTTAGTCATTGTATATCCCCAGACCAGGACATACTTTGGGCAACGTGGCTCTTATCGGGCAAGGTGGCTCTTATCAGTCAAGGGCAATTTTCAGATATGGACACAGCCATCAGAGGTCAACTCTCCTGGCAGTTGGGCGAATCAGTCCCTGGGCCCTGAAGGGCGAATGTGGGTGGCACGCTGCAGATCCCTAAAGCCCAGTAATGAGCACCCAGTTTCTCAGACCCATTTACTTACACTATTTACCCCATCTGCAGTTTCTCCAGGATTCTGGTTGGTCTCATCTCTTGAGAAAATATATAAAAGAAAGGTTTGGCATATGAACTTCAGCCCCTACTGATATAGATGGTCTTAGGCTGCAACTGATACTCATGGTCTCCCTTCTCTACTGCCCATTCTAGATTCCCTTCACTCTTACCCATTACGTCTGCTGTTCTAGGTGGTTCACAGATGGAATGACCAAACCATCATTCCTGAAGGTCTGAATCCTTTGTCAGCAAGTTCTTCTCAGGATGTGGCTACTGTACTTGCTTACTTATTGCCAAAATTGCATACAGTCATACTAAAACACACTAGTCCAGTGGTTCCCCAGTGTATTAGTCTGTTCTTACACTGCTATAAAGAACTGCCTGATACTTACTGATTTATAAAAGAAAGAGGTTTAATTGACTCACAGTTCTGCAGAGCTGGGGAGGCCTCAGGAAACTTACAATTATGGAGAAAGGGGAAGCAAACATGTCCTTCTTCACATGGTGGCAGGAAGGAAAAGTGTCAAGCAAAGGGGGAAAAGCCCCTTATAAAACCATCAGATCTTATAATAACTTATCCACTATCACAAGAACAGCATGGGGGTAGACACCCCCATGATTCAATTATCTCCTACTGAGTCCCTCCCACGACACGTCGGGATTATGGAAACTATGATTCCAGATGAGATTTCGGTGGGGACACAGTCAAATTTTATCAACCAGTATGCCAGACTTTCAGATTGTTGCATCTTTTGTGTAACATGTCCCTACCTCCTACTGGTGATCAGGGTCAGTTATTCCTACCTGTATAGTGACTCTTTTCCTTTAATGCTGGTCTTTTGGCATGATAACCCATACAGCCTAAAGTTGCAGGGAAAGGAAGCACAAATTCCCATGAGAACAGACTTGTGCTCATGCTGCTAATAAAGACATACCCGAGACTGGGTAATTTATAAAGGAAAGAGGTTTAGTTGACTCACAGTTCCATATGGTTGAAGAGGCCTCACAGTCATCGTGGAAGGTGATTGAGGAGCTAAGTCTTACATGGCAGCAGGCAAGAGAGCTTCTGCAGGGAAACTTTTGTCTGTAAAACCATCAGATCTCATGAGACTTATTCAATACCACGAGAACAGCACGGGGGAAACCACCCCTGTGATTCGATTATCTCCACCCGGCCCCATCCTTGACATGGGGATTATTACAATTCAAGGTCAGATTTGGGTGGGGACACAGCCAAATTGTATCTATCATTCCCCAAGTGGGTCACTGGGAATGATGGTAAATTGGGCTACTCCTACTTCTACCCCTTAGTTCCTAGGCACATTTAGTCTACCTATTGGAGTCACAGCACCATATATAATGTTGTTGGTTTCCAGTGTACAGTATTGTGTCCTAGAGAATAGCATTCCATCTTTGAATGAAGCTTAGCCTTTTGCTTCCTCTATCAGTTGGTAATAAGGGATTCACCAAGTGGCCACATGTTTGTGCTGAGAGAGACACCAGTGTAAGAGTGGAGGGTGACATGGGGATTGGGGTAAGGATCACCTGTTTGTGCAGCTTATTTGTGCCCAATCCCAGACACACCATGTCCATCTTACAATAGATTGCTGCTGGCCACCCAACCATAAGACTTGGTGGATCTGACAGATGGGCAGCTCTGACCAGATGGTCGCTTGATACCCCACGGTCAGGGCCCAGTGGCATGCTAGGAACTGCTTGCCAAACAGAGCACAAGAGGATAAATGGCATCCATTTTCTCAAATAAAAAGGTACTTTTATTTTTATAAATGTATAACCTTGATAACAGTGCTTTCCAAACTTACCTGAAGATAAGTTTGAAAAGTTACCTGGGCTTCTTGTTAAGCCCTAAATGCCCAAGCCCACTGAATCAGGATGTCTAGTGGGAAAGACCCGGGAAGCCATATGCTTAACAAGTGCTCAAGATGATTCTTATCAGAAAAGTTAGGAAACTAAGCCCTTCTCTGTAGCCCTTTCTCTGGCCAGTATTGTAAGGTGACAAGTCCTGCAAATGACCTGCAGGTAGCAGGTATCTTCACCCACACCAGTGGCACAGATGGGCTCCCTGCCTGGGTGAACAAAAGTGGTTGTTAAACAGACCTCAATATTTAAACAAACCAAGGAAACTTATATCAGCAATGTATTTCTATCAAGGGGATAGGATAAAGCTAGATGAACAGGCTAAAAGCAAGTATGCTAAAATATGATTACCTTTCAGGCCAGTTTATAAATAACATATCAGACAGTACTGATGCATTGCTTTTACATTTAGTCCAGGATTCTTAGAACTCTCTCTGACTTTTCTTCCCTAATGAGAAATAATTCTGTAGAACATGAACTTAATGCTAGGCTATTTTCTTTGTCATAAAGGCAGAGAGAAGTGTGGCTTGACAGTAATGAATGTCTGTTCCACAATTACTTAAATATGAGTCTTCAGCAAAAATGAAATGACTTGAGGATTTTCAGCAAACACCAGCTTTAAGCTCAGTAAATAATGGCTTGTGTCAATTTTGTTTATTAGCATGTGTGATTTGCTCTTAACTAGACATATTTTACACTTGAAGTAACATTTTACTAGAACTACATAAAGCAATTGTGCAATTGATAATAAATATGTAACCACTGGTAAGCAGTTAATTCACAAGCCCTGACTAGAGTGTAGAAAAATAATGTATAAATGAATAAAGTAGATAGAGTTAAATAACAGACGGTATGAAATAGGCAACAATAAGAGAAATAAAAATATGGACAAAGTATGCGCATATGTGTGTGTGTGTGTGTGATCATATTTATCAGACACCTATAACACTACTGACATCTTACCAGACCCTTTTCTCAGAGTTTTTCAGAAAAGAATTGAATTCAGTTATTATAGATGAGGAAACTAAAGATCTCAAAGGTTAAGCAGCTTGCCCTATGACATACTATTAATTAGTGATGGGACTGAGATATTAACTCAAGTATAGCTGATCCTACAGAACCATGCTTTTCTTACCAGTGTTTAATATAGAGTCAAATAAGCATGGGTTTTAGGGTCATATTTACCATAACTGGTCCCGCATTAGGCACCACCAGATACATGGTCTTGATAAAGAAACTTAATATCTCAGCCCGAGTAATAGCAACATCTAAAAATGTTGTGAGGGTTAAATGGGAAAATATATGGGAAGTGCTTAGCATAATGCCTGGCACGTATTGAGAGCCAAGTAAGGTTAACTAATATTATCTCCAGGAAAGTTAGTAAAGAGTGAATAATTGATCAGTATACTAAGAATTGAGCATAATTTTCATACATAGTAAGAAAGGTAGTATTTTTCTCTGTACTAATTCAGGTAGATATGGACGGAATGTAACCAAGGCTTCGGTTAAACATAGGCTGCAGATTTCTGGGATAGTCTTGCTTTCATGAAATTTTATTAACTTTGAAAAATATGTTCCATTTAATTCAAGTCAATAATTATTATCTAAGCACCTTTGTCAGTCCTTCCATCCAGTAGATTATGGCCTTAATAACTGAGTTTAGAGTGCTGGTAAGGGGACAGAATAGGAAGAAACAGGAAGCATCTTAAAGGAAAATAAATATTACTTCAGATTGAAAGAACATCCAGAAGACCTCATGTTGCCCTATAAGATAGGCAGCAAACAGCTCCTGGTAAGCTGGGAATCCTGTCTCACAAACGAATGGAAAGGACACATAACAGTTCAGTACAGTACAGGAAGAAGTGACACATAAAAAGAAATGTAAGGGATGAGTAAGAGTGGGCCAGGCAGAGAAGCAAAAGGTTAAAGACAAGAGATAGCCTTGCGGCCTACCATGTCAGAAATGAGAAGTAGTTCCATAAGGCTGGAAGGCATATGGGCTTTGGTGGCAGTGAGTGGAGAAGGTGCTTTGGTCAAACATCAGGCTACATAGGTTTGAAAGAGTCAACTCATGAAGAATCTTGCTTGCCCTTCATGCTGGATGTCCATGGTTTATTACTTTAGCTGCCCATTAGAATCACCTAGAAATTTTTTAGAAATCTGGTGGAGTACTGAAGCCAAAAACAACCATCTAGACTGTTTTAGGCCCACTATCCCAGTGAGAAAATTGAAAATTAGTCAAAATATATTTTAAAAATCTGTTTGAAACATCTGAGAGCCACAAAGAGGGTGAAAATTTGGAGAGCCAAGATCCTCAAAGAGGGAGAAAGCCAGGAGTAATGAGCTGACATTTCGGAAAAATTTTTCACTTGAGGATTCACTGCCAGTTTCAAAACCAGTGCCTGAGAGATTGAGAATGGAAGGGTTTTCCATAGTCTTATAAAACTGGGGCTAAGGAGGTGGTGAAAATTGGAGTGGAAATCCCACCAAGGTGGAGTGGACCTGGTAAATACCGACTGGATTTCATTTGGGACTCCAAAGATTGACATACTAGGAGTAAGGATGGCCTGGAAATAAACCAGACCTCAGAAGAACTGAAGCTTAGATTTGATCATCTCATTCTCTGATTGGATTAAGATAATCTTATTCTAGTTTAGCTGCCTTTCAGAAGCAAAAGTAAATTCTTCGCTGAGTGCAGTGGCTCATATCTGTAATTCCAGCACTTTGGGAGGCCAAAGTGGGCGGATCACTTGAGGTCAGCAGTTCAAAACCAGCCTGGCTAACATGGTTAAACCCTATCTCTACTAAAAATACAACAATTAGCCAGGTGTGGCGGCACACACCTGTAGTCCCCAGCTATTCAGAGACTGAGGCATGAGAATCACTTGAACCCAGGAGGCGGAGATTGCAGTGAGTTGAGATTGTGTCACTGTACTCCAGCCTGGATGACAGAGCGAGACTCCATCTCAAGAAAAAAAAAAGTAAATTCTCTCTGGGGAAAAGTAATAATTGCTTTATGTAATTCCAGTAAAATGTTACTTCAACTGTAAAATATGTCTAGTTAAGAACAAATCACGCATGCTAATAAAGAAACTTGACACAAGCCATTATTTTAAGGGCTTTAAATTTTTTCCATAATGTTTCATAAACAATGACCAGCACTGAATCAAAATGAATAAGACATACACAAAAATATAAATCTTGACTGAAAATCAGGAAAAAAATCAGACAATATAAACAATTTATATTGTTTATAAAATTTTATTTTATAAACAATTTATATTGTTTATAAAATTTTATTTTATAAACAATTTATATTGTTTATAAAATTTTATTTTATAAACAATATAAACTCATATAATAGTTACTATAAAGTCTATGTCTGGCATTACATGTCTGGATAATTCCAGACATAGACTTTTACTAACCATGTTAATATGTTTGAGGAGTTAAATGACAAGAGGGAGTATTTCAGAAATAATGAAAATCATAACAAATAAGCAAATGGGAATAATGGAATGAAACATAGAATAAATGTGATTAACAAATCAATGAGTATGTTTAACAGCACAGCTAAAACACAGTGAACTGAAAAATTTTTTTAAATCTAGATAGAGATATAGAGACACAGAAGTAGATAAAAATAGAGAGGAAAGAACCCAATAGAAAAGATGAACAGGTCTGACATTTATATAATTGGAGTCCCAGAAGTAGGAAAAAAAAAAGAATCTGGGAAGAGTATTATTTGAAGAGATAATGGCTATGAATTCTTTTTTAAATGATGAAAGACACTAAGCCATTGATACAAGAAATTTCACAAGCTCCAAATAGGATAAATACACAGAGTATCACACTTAAGCATATAACAGTAAAGCATCTGAAAACTTAAGACAAAAAAAAAATCCACAAAAAATTTAGAGAGATACAAAAAATTAGACATATTACCCTCAATGAAACAACAAGAATGGCAGTTGCCTTCTTGAGAGAAAAAGTTGAAAGCTAAAAGCTAAAGTAATAGTAATGTCTTCAAAGTGCTTAAAGGAAATAATAGCCAAACAATAAATTATGTATTTTGTGCGCATGTTCTCCAGGAATAAAGGGAAAGGATTTCACTTCCAAGAATTTGTAATAGATTACAGCAGACCAGTGCTCTTGCTGCAACAGTGAGATTCCACTATATACCTGTAAGAATGTCTAACAATTAAAAACTGACCAAATTAAGTGTTAGCAAGGATGTAAAGCAACTCAACTAGAACTCTTATACATTACTTGTCAAAATGCAAAACCATGCAGTCACTTTGGAAAACGGACAGTTTCTTATAAGGTTAAATATACACTTATCACACAACCTAACACTCCTAGGTATTTACTCAAGCAAATTAAAACTAATAGTCACATAAAAACATCTATGTTAATATTTATAATAGTTTAATTCATAGTCACCAAGAGCTGGAAACCACCCAAGTGTCAATCAACAGGTGAATGGACACACGGTGTACATCCATACAATGGAACATTACTTAGCAATAAGAAGGAACAACTGATACTCACAACAGCATGGATGGCCTCAAATCAATTATGTTAAGTGAAAGAAGCAGATTCAAAAGGCTACATTGTGTATGATTTCATTTATTCAGGAAAAGGTAATACTACAAAGGCAGAAGACAGATGAGTCGTTGCTAGGGCCTGGGGTTGGGCGAAAGGGTTGACTATAAAAAGGTATGAACGGCCGGGCGCGGTGGCTCACGCCTGTAATCCCAGCACTTTGGGAGGCCGAGGCGGGCGGATCACGAGGTCAGGAGATCGAGACCATCCCGGCTAAAGACGGTGAAACCCCGTCTCTACTAAAAATACAAAAATTAGCCGGGCGTAGTGGCGGGCGCCTGTAGTCCCAGCTACTTGGGAGGCTGAGGCAGGAGAATGGCGTGAACCCGGGAGGCGGAGCTTGCAGTGAGCCGAGATCCCGCCACTGCACTCCAGCCTGGGCGACAGAGCGAGACTCCGTCTCAAAAAAAAAAAAAAAAAAAAAAAAAAGGTATGAACATTGGTATCCTGGTACATGTCTAACAAGTTCTCTAAATCAAAACTCACTGGTTTGTAGCACTGCCAATTACCATAGTGTAAATATCCTCAACGTAGCCAATTTAAAGCTACTAAAGTGATGACACTGAATGTAGAGTTGGGAAGAGATGCACAGTAGCACAGTATTGTACGGTATTTTCACAATACAGATACAATAGATATAAACAGATTCATGACTATAGATAATAGCAAAGTATAAAATAATTAGAAGTAATGAGTTTTTAGTATGTAACACTTTTGTTTTTGGTATAATATATTGATATAGTACCATATTTGTTTTAGGACAATATATTAATTTGAAGTTTATATAATTTAATTTTAAATTAAGTTTTTACTAACAGGCTTCGAAAATTCCTGAAACTTTAACAATCAGCTCTCTCAAGCTAGTACATACTGGCTATAATACATCTCTAGACATGGGGGAAGTTTTTGAGATGATGGAAGTGTTTCATATCTTGATTGTGTTGGTGTTATGTAACTGTATGCACTAGTCAAAACCTGTAGATCTATACACTGAAAGGGTGAATTTTACTGTATGTAAATTATAGCTGAAAAAACCTAACTGCAAAATATGCTGTTATCCTTTGACCTGCCAATATTAATTCTGGAAATCTATCCTCAGTTATATCCAAACATGTTCACTGTTGATTTTAATAATAAAGTAGGAAATAACCTGATATTTTCAAATAGGAAAATGAATAAATTATTGTACATCCGTACAATAGAACACAGTAAGTCCTGACTTAACATTGCTGATAAGTTCTTGGAAACTGTGATTTTTAAGCAAAACAACATACAGCAGGTCCTGAAATAATATTGTTTCCTTGTTTCGTTATAACATTGATAAGAAAAAAATTGGTTTCATTATACATCATTTTGCTTAAAGCTGCAGTTTCCAAGAACTTACGGATGATGTTAAGTGAGGACTTACCATCTTACTTAGCAATCAGAAAGAGTGAGGTCCAAAAAATTGGTTGCTTCTGGAAGGTTGATTGAACAATAAAGATTAATAGAGACTTACTTTTCACACATACCCTGTTGTACATTTTGAAATTTTACATGTACATCTATTACCTATTCAAAAGATAATGGAAAACTAAATTCATTTTAATCAAAACAAAATAAAAACATTTTTCTAACAAACAAATGCTCCTAATATCACTTAGGGCCAGCACATTTTTGCTAGTATTGAAATGGCTTCAGGTACTGTCTCATGCACTGCTCACTATTCTATGGATGAGGAAACTGAGACCCAGAGGCTGAAAATCTCTCCGAAAGGCACATGGCAATGAGATGTAGCTCTGGGCTTGAAAATGCACAATCTTCATAGCTTTGCTAGATTGCCTTTCAGGAAAGTTCAGGGAGGATCTGGGAATCCTCAACAGAGCAATAACTGAAGACAAGGAGAGATGGAACATTCCTGAGAGGGAATTTTTAAAAAAGAAAGATGAAGCAAGGATAGAACCCTGGAAATACGGATACTTCAGGTAGGAGGGGGAAGAGAAGGCTGGGAAGAAAACTCTAATGTTTGGAGAAAATACATTTGTAGAAAATACTTTCTGTTATTTGTGTTTTGTTTTACAGTTTTTTTTTAATTTATATAAACATATAGAGTACAAGTGCAATTTTCTTACATGCATACGTTGCGTAGTGGTCAACTCAGGGCTTTAAGGGTATCCATCACTCAAATAACATACATTGAGCCCATTAAGTAATTACTCTCTGTTGTTTGAACTGTGTTATGAATAACACAGCACTTCACAGAATAAATCAGCACTTCATTCTGATTTTTTAAGAGAAAACATGGTGGCCACATCTGTGAGTGCATGTACAATGGAGCACACTAGGCCAACACCATGCCGAGGAGTCTGGCTTTTCTGCATTCTAATAGTCAACAGTTAGAAAAGCGATGTTCTCCACATCAGTCAGCAATATGACATCAGAAGTTGAACAACTCTATTGTGTGAGAGCCTAATTTCTTGGGACAATTTAGGATGAAGTTACGAAGAAATGGGTTAAACTCATTGCTTCATATGTTTTGTTTTTACATTTGACAGTGGGAAAGAAAGAAGAATGATAGTGCCTCCCTGCCCCACAAATAAATGAACCATGTAACACTCTGTGTGGAAGTAAGCCGGGGCAAGGAACTTGGGAACACCCGGGCCTAACATAGGGCAGTTATAGACGTCCCTTTTGAAAGGCAAATTGGAACAACTTAAGAAGAAGGTAGCAGCAACACACAAACTTCTAAAACTCTGAACTCACCAGCTGGAGAAAGGGATTGTGCTGGGAGAACTTAAGAGTCACTGGAGGGTTATTTAGTTTTCCAAGTGAGTAGCAAAACTGTGCTAATGAGGTCTTTAACACCTGTACTCCAACCAGCAGCTGAGTCTAAGCAGAACCAGGTGGGGGTGTGCCAAAAGCTTGGAGGTGGCTGGAGGGAGCTCAGAAACAGAAAGAGAAATCGCTCTTCCTGGTTGGTAGGATACAAATGACATTTGTTAGCCTTTTTATGCTGTTCTCTCCTTTCCACATTTGCACATATGAGTGTATATTTACTTATAAAATCGGGAAAAAAAATGTTATTTTGAAAAACAAAAGATTGCATTCAGTTTACTTTTCCCAGATATTCATTCTTTGGTCACTTGTTTTTTATCTCTGAGCAAAATTTAATTGGGTCAGGCACTAGAGGCAGCTGTGATTCTGTCAATTGCCACCTCCAGAAAGAGTATTCTCACAGATGGCAGAGACGGAGAGATGGGAGGAGAGAGGAGAAAAGATCTCTCCAGGCCCAGCCGCCTTGGCATGCTCTGGCCTTGCTTTCCTTACGTTTCCTTTCCTTCGAGAATTAAGTAAGTCTTTCTATAGCCCTTCTCCCTCAAAATACGTCCTGGCAATTACTTGGTCCTCTTCCCCCATCAGGTTCTGGCGGAGCAAATCATGATGACTAGATAGATGAGAAATGAGATAATGTACTAATCTAGGTAAGTAGCTGAAAACTAGAAAAGGCAAGACTTCAGGTAAACCTGGTAGGAGATGACTTAGAACCTAGGCAAATGTGAGACTTCATATCTTGAATCTAAATTTTGAATTCTTTATGGGGAGGTGTACTATGGAAAGGAGAGAAACTATGTCTGCATCTGTAGGGCTCCTGGGCACAGGTAGAACAACAGGTAGTTTGCCCTGCTCCCTGCAATTGTGGTTCCATAAATTTCTCTGACCAATCAGATTAGCGACTCTGTATTAGAGGGGATGAAGGGAGTCCCCACCTGGGGGAGAGAGTTCCTTTATGGGCTGGGGAATAAAAGTTGGACATGAAGGACAGAGGTCAAGGATGTTTTTCCTTGTCTTCTCTTTCTGACAAAGACTCCAACCCATTTTAGAGTCCCCCATGACTGGATTCTTCAGCCCAAGTGGTTCAATTTTTTCCTGAACAAAATCTTCATTTCAATAAAAATGTAAATGTCACAAATTGTACCCTTATAACAAACATAAAGCTAGAATTTACCACAGCCCCTTCAGCTCCAAATCTAGCTTCTATAGAGTTATCTGCAATAAACTGTATTCTACCTACCATTTTTTGAGAATAGGAAAGGTACTCTTATGCTATGACTGTATTTGGGAAGAGCTGTGCATTATGAGCAAGACAAAAGCCCAGAATTAGGATGGTCAAATTAAGTGTAACAGGTTATCATTGTTTGAATAACTGGAATTTTAATCAGGACTCCTAGGTGCTACAGTAATTAATAGCTCATGATTAAGTTTCTGTTGGCAATTAATGTTAGCTTTTAAATCAGTGTATGTTACCTACATTATGCATTACATTTACATTTTTAAAGCAATAAAATATTTATGTTTATTGCACAATGTTCTTATGAATGTTTACAAGCATCCCAATTAATTATAAAGCAGTGCTATGGCAAATAGTTTTTGTGAAAACATTAATATTTAGATACTTGTCTCATAGTATAAGTTTGCAATGCCTGTCTTGTCTAATGTTTGCACATTGTGTTTGATAGAAAAACAGGTCTAAGTAAAGGCAGTATCTCAAGTAGCCTCATGAACAGAGGCAGCTTACACCTTCAATTGAATTGAATCAATGAACTCACAGGAAACATTCATTAGTTGGAACTGAAAACAATTTTTTTCTAATTATTTTTGGGATTTGGTTCATGAAGATATTTTTGGGAATTGACAAGAAAGCAAATTTATATACAAATATATGTCCTTTCTTTAACTGAAAGAAGTAGGGATGTTCTAAGTGCTTATTAAAAACAAAAAAGCAATAAAAAGATATTCTGCTTCTTCTACTCTGACCTAATTAATTTTAGCTATGTTTTGAGATTGGGCCATCAAAGTAATTATGATATTGAGATAATTTAAATCAAAACTACAATAAAAAGTCTGTTGGGGACAAAATGAACTTGGTCTCTAATGATGTCTATGATGTATATATTGCTTTAGGCCTTTAAAATATTCTTTCATGCCCTAAGGTGTATTTTCTTTTTCTTTTTCTGATGCTGAAGAAACTAACACAGAGCAGTAGTGTCCCACAGCAAATTAGTGGCAGAACGCAGGGTAGACCCAGGGCAGTACACCCTTTACTCTCAGACTCCATACAGCTCTCTTGTAGTATGCTGCTAATTTGCAAATTCTTTGGCGTCACAGAAATCTTTTTTTCAATGAAATTGCATGAGGAAGCCTAATATTTAAAACACACTGGAGCTGCTTGATAATTCCAAGCCAATTTCAATGCTTCCTTCAATTTTCAAAATACCTGCCAAATGGCAAGAGTTTCCAAGCAAACCGATTTTTCCCTACTTCATCTCCAAAAGAAATGGAACTCAAAGATCTTCTAAAAGATGCTTCCACTGCTACGGGCTCCATCACTGCTGATGGGCAGTGTCATCACCCAGGCAGGTTAACACCCAGGGACCTCACACACTTCAGCAGAACCAGAAGATGGGAAGTTCAAATTGTTGTTAGTGAACAGGTAATACTGGGATCAACGGCCTGATGCAGCCCCTATCATCAGTATTCCATCTGGGAATGCCCAAGCACTCTCCAGATATTAGCCTTGCATTCTGGACCATGCAGAAAAATACGAAAAGGGAGACTTGCTGAATCTTCAAGATTCCTAACCTTAACCACTGGATAAGTTAACACATCCTTTCTTAATCTGCCTGTAAGAAGAGGAGGAAAGAAGTTAACCTCATATATTTGAGTGTCTGCTGTACGCAAGGCATCAAGTCTCAACTTGATGATTTCCCTATTTCATTTGACGTTATGAGATGAGGAGTTTTGTTCTCACTTAACAAATGAGGAAATAAGACTTATGAAATATTGGCTTCATACCTTACCAAGATGACTCTGTTACGAGTTGGGATTTGAATCTAGACTAGTCAAATTCCAAAATCCATGTTCCTTCTGCCATTCCTCTGAGCCTTTTACCACTGGTGCCTCTCCTAATCACCAGAAATAAGGCTATTGAGCACGGGTTTTATAACATAAGGTACCTTTTTTATTGTAAAAGCCAGATACCCTTAGTAGACTATATGCACTTTGAGGAGTTCAGATCGTGGTAGACTTTGCTTCAACAAGTGTCTAGTATAGAGAAGGGAATTACTTAGTTTCATCCCCTCTTTTCTAAAGGATAATACTGCCTGCCATTATAATCTGTATTTATAATTACATGCTATACCATGTACCTGCTTGAAAGATATTAATGGACACTAACAATCAAGTTTTCAAAACCTCTTTCCATTTTATTACAGGATAGTTTGTTCTGATAAGACATATGGGCCTGTTCATTTGAGTTTCTTTTGATTAGGAAAAAGAGTTACTCAAATCAAGGACACAGCTATCATTCATATACAGGGAGATTCCTTGACAGGAGAGGAATACAGATTTATAAATATACTAATTGACTTCCCTGTTCTTGAGTTTTCATAACTATGGATGATCCTTTGCATCCGGCCACCCAGAAAACATATCAGAGCTATAATTTCTGAATGTGCTAATGATGAATGTCTCCTCACTGAGTAGCTCTTGCTGGAAGAGTTCCTGAAGGTGCATATCATTTGATCTCTCAATAGCCAGTGCAGTTACCCATACCTAGAAAAAAAGTTTTATTACTTTCAATTTTTAAATAATCTAGACTTTGCTCCATTCTCTGTAGTAACAGTAATATTAGGAGATAGGAGAATGGTCATTTTGCCAATTTCTTAGAAATGCAATTGATTTTTCTCAAAAACTTTACATTGCATTTGGTGTTAGATGACAATATTTAGAGCACTGATATCAAATAATGAGCCTGGAAAATATCTATACACCTATACACCTATACACACAGTTGTTTGAATAAAATGAAATAATTCGTGTTTTCCTGAAAGTGGAGTTTCTCTGGTCGGGAGAGGGATGCTGAAGTTGCCCCAGTCAACCTTTTCTTGCCCCCCTTCTCCTCTCTTCCCCATCTCCACTTCTTGTCCCCAAAGGGGACTCTGCAAAACCAGGTTTGGAAGCCCTTGTCCCAGACCTCCCCATGACTTATTTTTCTTGAAGACACTTCATGGACAATGAAATCATTTTTCTTTTCCCTTTGTTCAAATAGACACATAGCTTTGCTGTACCAAAGCAGCCCCCTGCCCCCCACCCCACACTCCATGTTCCAGAATAGTTTCCATTCAAGGAGCCTGAATTCTGTAGGTGGCCCCAGAAGCCAGGGGAGGGGAGAGGAGTAAAGCTGGAATATCAGCAGATTTTTAATCTTTCAAGACCCCCTTTTTTGTTGCTACAATATTTTCTTTTCTTCTTAAGGAAAATAATTCTTTAGTGAATAATTTTGGTCAATTTAAAAATAATTCTCAATATTACAAAAGAATTTGTGCTTATTGTAACTTAGTACAAATAAAGAATATGCCCACAAATTAAAATTTGGGTTTTAAAAACTTGCAAAAGTCTAGCTATTTTGGAGATATATAGAAGAAGCTGCAACTCCTTGTGGTCAAATATTGCTAATTAGAAGGTTCTGTGATGTTTCAGAAATATGAAAACTCTTATGCTTTGAAGACCATTGGCAGCAGAATAAATTAAAAAAAAACAGACAAAAACAAAACCTGGTAGGGTGGGAGTGGTGGGTGTCTACCTACACAAGGGCAGCCTGAGGCAAGAGGATCTAGCTCAAAAAATATGAAAGCTGAGAGCAGTTTTCCAGATTCTGCAACAATCTTCCCTGCATATTCCCTCCCGCAGCTCCCATCCTCCCTGGAAGCCTGCTGGGACCTGAAACCGTCCAGAGGGAAGGCTACCCCTGCCTAGCTCACTCTGGATGAGAGGGGACAGGGAAATGCCTCCATGGTCCCCATCCCATACTCTTACAATAACAGGTTGCACCAGCAGATCTCAGGAAGTGGAGGGAGTTTGGAACGAGTAAGTTATCACTACAAACAGTTAGAGTATACCAAAGTTTTTAGGTAACATATATAAAAACTCTGAGTGTAGATTCCAATAAGAGGACATCCCTATGATAACAGCTCTTTTGTTCACTAGCATTCTAATTCACTTTCCTGAGCAGGGGAGAAAGTGGTGGGCTTTCAGCTAGCACCTGCAGAATCAGACTTCACTCATGGTCTATTTTATTCATGCAGCAGCCTGCAGTCTTGGCCCGCAGGACTAAGTCACCCGGGGGCACCCCCCACCACATAAGGTTGAGAACTGCAAGGTGATGAGACACCCAGCTGCTGCCCTCTCTGCACACAGGGACTCTGCACTCTCTGAGGTTTTGCTCCCTCCACTTCCAGAGGCCACAAAGTGTTCACTAAGAAGTAGCAAAACCCGGAGAAAACTTGACCCTTTAACCCCATCATTGAATTCCCCTAGAGAATTTTAGTGGAAATTTAATAAGATTAAGCTGAGGTTCCAAAGGAAATTAGAGGTGTCCACATTCCCAAATGAGAATGTATATACCGCTTTGGGCAGCTCCTTGGCTCTGTTCCTGATCTATTTTTCTACTATTTTCATAATGGGAATAGTTCAACTTATTTGAATAAAGAAATTGTAGTATTTTATTTCTCTACTAGAGTATACATATTTAAAGTGTCTTACGGCCACTTTTTTTATAAAGCAAGTAATTGTGTTGTACATTGCCTTAACTATGAATTTGGTATTTCATGTATTTTATCAGCTTAAAGTAGGGTGTCTCTATGTTGTAATCCAGCCCATGAAATCTATGGTCTATTGAACATTTCATAAGAAATAAAATATTTGTGTCTTTTATTCAATGAGATGAGTGTGTCAGTGTCTTATATAAACACAGATTCTGAGAAAAGGATGAGGCTGAACAATAGAGATCTGAACTCCTACCCTGGCCTTTGTTCTGTGGCATAGGAGTGGCTGGGGGAAGTTCTCACGGGGGTAGATTCAGAGAGCTTTCTTCAGTAGCGTGCCTGCAGCTCAGATGTAAATCAATTTTAGGATAGAATCCTGCTTTTATTCTACAAAGACAGCTTTATCTCTGCACCAGTGCAGCTGTTTCCCTATGGTGGTCATGAAGGCTTCACAAAACACATGTGGAAGTCACCAGCTTGAATTTTGTCCTTCAGGGTGCAGTTCAGTCCTCTCAAGGCTTCTGAGCCCTGGGATGCACTCCTCAGGCAGGAAGGTCCATCACGAGGTAGTTTATTTAGTTAAGGGATCATGAGTCAGGAGACAGGGAAATTCAGAAACCAAAGTCAAAAGTGATTGCATGTAGAAGAGGAAACCAGCTGCACCTGGCAGCCTGCTATCAAGTCAGAAAGGGCTGTAATGGAAAACGGATGCGTTTATAGAAAGTCTACCTCCCTGTCCCTGCTGCCCTCCTCACAGGGAGTCAACGCATTAAGTTTGGCAGTTCTTGCAGCACTTGCCATGCCAGGGAGGTTATTAAAACTGAACTGAAATGGTTTCATAACTCAAACTGGAAACAAGAGTGAGGAAAATGCTAACACTAAAGTGACAGACCAGAACGAAATGGAGCTAGATCTGTAGGCTCTCTGGCTCAGGTTTCAGGAGGTTCCACGTGTTAAAACGGGCTGAAAAGTTAGTTAAATAAAACAAAGTGCCAAGCCAGACATTTAACACCCTTGAAAGGGGGCTGACCAACGAGAGTATTCTGTGATTCACGCTGTTTACTAAGCTTCACTTTCAGGAGTCTGAAAGCAAGATTAATTATAGCTACATGCCCTAAAATGCCTGTCACATGCAAGGGACACCCCCAACCCCAATCTGTTTTTCATTTATTTGAAGGACTTCAAGGCTATTTCTTGATTCTCAAGGATAACCCCTAAATAAAGCCCAGGTACCAAGACCGCAGATGGGAAAAGCAGATGCATCAATGCTTTCACCATCACAGGCTTGAAGGTGTAGGTCAAATCCTTTTTGGAAAGACATACTCATTGCAGAATAACACAATTTAAAACACTGAAACACTTACTAAAATTTTGGAGGCTCTGATGCTAGCAGAGTAGTTCAGGAGAGCCACCAAAGGACAAGGGGCAGAACTTGGTCTTCTTAGTGGTATTGTGCATGTCCAGAGAATGCCATTGCTGCAAAACATCTCTAACATCACAGAGAGGCTCTCAGTTGAGAAGCAGCACATGGCTTTCATCTTCAGAGACAAAGTGGAAGTTTCTAGGCCCACTGAAAAAGGTGGTTTCAGGCTTTACCTGCTGGTAAGACAAAATCATGCCAATGCAGCCCAGAGGAGAGGAAGGGCTGAGTCTGCAACACCAGTGGCCATGGCCAAAAATGGTGGTGAGAATTCTCATCATAAAGAAGACAGGGAACATCAGAGCCAATGGTCAAAAGCTAATGCTCTTTGTGGCTTCTTGGGATATTTCAGAGAGTATTTTTTGTTCATTTCAAAAATAAACATTTTCTATGTTCACTTTTTTCATAAACTTTTTGCTTTTTGTTTTCTCAGTCAGCAGTAAATCCTGGTGGCTTCACCTTCACAGATATGTCCAGATTGCAATATTTATCGCCACTACAACGGATAAAAACTGAGGTGTTTGAGCCATAGCGATTCCATCTTGAATAAGGGCTGGGTAAAATAAGGCTGAGACCTACTGGGCTGCATTCCCAGGAGGTCAGGCATTCTTAGTCACAGGATAAGATAGGAAATTGGTACAACTTACAGGTCACAAAGACCCTACTGATGAAACAGGAGGCAGTAAAGAAACGGGCCAAAACCCAATAAAAACAAGATGGTGATGAAAGTGACCTCTGGTCATCCTCACTGCTCATTATATGCTAGTTACAATGAATTAGCATGTTAAAAGACACTTCCATCAGCACGATGACAGCTTATAAATGCCATACCAACATCAGGAATTTACCCTATATGGTCTAAAAAGGGAAGAAACCCTCAGTTCCGGAATTACCCAACCCTTCCCCAGAAACCTCGTGAATAATCCACCCCTTGTTTAGCGTATAATCAAGAAATAACTATAAGTATACTCAGTTGAGCAGCCTAAGCCACTGCTCTGCCTATGGAGTAGCCATTCTTTATTCCTTTACTTTCCTAATAAACTTGCTTTACTTTATTCCTTTACTTTCCTAATAAACTTGCTTTCACTTTAATCTGTGGGCTTGCCCCAAATTCTTTCTTGCATGAGATTCAAGAACTCTCTCTTGGGGTATGGATTGGGACCCCTTTCCAGTAACACAACCCTATGGCAATGAAGCACATCAAGTCTTACTTGGATTATTGGAGCAGCCTCCTATCAGGAGAGCCTCCTATCCTGCACCCATCCTTGCCTCCCTGAGGTCAGTTCTCAAGGTTGCATCCACAGTGATCCATAACCTTGGTGAAGATCTGTTCAAAAATTCACTGATGCTGAGTTCTAATGTTCAACAGCAGAGTGGGGTGGCTATAATTAGCAACAACATATTGTATATTTCAAAGTAATTAGAAGACAGAACTTGAAATTTTCCTAACACATAGAAATGATAATCAGGGTGATGAATACCCCAAATACCCTGCCTTGATCATTACACACTCTATATATGTAACAAAATATCACATTTATCCCATAAATATGTAAAATATTATGTATATATGTGTATTAGTTTGTTTTCACACTGCTAATAAAGACATACCCAAGACTAGGCAATTTACAAAAGAAAAAGGTTTAATGGACTTACAGTTCCACGTAGCTAGCGAAGCCTCACAATCATGGCAGAAGGTGAAAGGCACTTCTTACATACCGGTGGCAAGAGAGAAAATGAGAACCAAATGAAAGGTGTTGCTCCTTATAAAACCATCAGGTCTCGTAAGGTTTATTCACTACTATGAGAACAGCATGGGAGAAACCGCCCCCATGATTCAATTATCTCCCACCAGGTCCCTCTCCCAACACATGGGAATTATGAGAGTACAATTCAACATGAGATTGGGTAGGGACACAGAACCAAACCATATCAGTATTATATAATTTTAATCCATGATTAGAATTCACAATGTATTTAATACATGGTAAAGGAGATTTGAAACTAACCCAGATATAATCTTGTTTTTAATCTCAACTCACCCTAAAACTGTGACATATTATTTGCAATACAAATGTACTAGTGAGGTCCCAGTGAACACATTCTGTGTGTTTCCCCACACTAACTCAGTTTACAAACAGTTACCAAGTCAGATATGACCCAGCAATTCTACTCCTAGGTACATGTCCAAAAGATTTGAAAGCAAGGACTGAAAGCGGTATATGTACACCCAAGTTCATAGCAACATTATTCACAACAGCCAAAAGGTAGAAGTAGCCCAAGTGTTCAACTGACTGAAAAATGGATAAACAAATCGTGGTCTATCAATACAGTGGAACATTATTCAGCCTTAAAAAGTGAATGTTCTGACACATGCAATGTCATGAATGGATCTTGAGACATTGTGCTAAGTGAAATAGGCCAGTCACAAAGGGACCAATTTGTACAAGTTCACTTATACGAGGTAGCTAAAGGAGTCAAATTCCTAGAGTCACAGAGTTGAATGCTGCTAACCAGGAGCCAGGGGAGGGGGAAATGGGAAGCTGTGGTTTAATAGGACAGAGTTTCAGTTTGGGAAGATGAAATAGTTCTGGAGATGAATGGTGGTGATGGTTACACAAGCATGTGAATGTATTTATTACCATTCATCTATGCACTTAAAACTAGTTATGATGGTAAATTGTATGTGATGGGTATTTTATCACAATAAAAAATGGAGAAAAAAATTACTGATGGCTTTCTACCTCACTCAGAGTAAGACCCAATCAGGCTCCACATCAGTGCTTCACAGTTCCCACTGGGCATCAAGGTCATCTAGAAGCTTTAAATAACACATACGCCTGGGCCCAGCCCCACCATTTAGGTTTGGGTCAGCCAGGCTGGGGCCCAGGCAAGCTCTTCTCCCTGTGCAGCAACGTCTCCTACTGCCCTCCCCTCTCACCACAGGTGCCATGGTCTCCCTCCCAACCCCTTCAGGCTTCACTCTGGTCTCTCACACGCCTTTTCTCTTACATCCTTCCTCTTTGAGCTGATGCTTGTAAATATCTATTAAATAAATGAATTATCTTGAGTTGAACAATGAGAACACATGGACACAGGGAGGGCAACAACACACATCAGGGCCTGTCAGGGGGTGGGGGGCAAGGGGAGGGAGAGCATTAGGACGAATACCTAACACATGCAGGGCTTAAAACCTAGATGATGGGTTGATAGGTGCAGCAAACCACCATAACACATGTATACCTATGTAACAAACCTGCACATCCTGCACATGTATCCCGGAGCTTAAAGTAAAAACAAAGAAAACCTTAAGAAAATGAATGAATTATTCTAAATAATACATTATGGTGGGGGAAAGAACATCATTGTTTTTGGGGTCTGACCTACTAAAAAATATACTCATTGACTTGCATAATTTGAACTTCTGACTCCTTTTGAGAAACATAGCTACTGTCTCACTTGAGAGTCAGATGCATTTGGAATGAATACTGTCCTGGCCTCATCATTTTTGGAGCTAGAAGGACCTAGTAGGATGTTTCTGCTCAGTGCTTTGTAAATAATGATGAGAGAAAAAAAAAAAAAACAAGCATCACAATCCCTCTCTCCATGACTGGAGATTTTCTTTGGGTTCTCATATCTTAGTTTTATTTATATAGATTTTTCATTGTATGTCATAATATGTCCATGAATGTTTAAATGTTTAAAAGTTTATGAAATTACATGTCATAGAAATATGCTCCCTGTTTCTTGTAGCCCAAGAATCCTTAGCTGCTGTGTACCCAGGAGCATAGTTTCCCTAAACTGGAAAGTTTTATCTTACCCAACTCCCTAATCAAAT
The DNA here is from genome assembly GCF_000001405.40 of Homo sapiens. Classification (NCBI taxonomy): domain Eukaryota; kingdom Metazoa; phylum Chordata; class Mammalia; order Primates; family Hominidae; genus Homo; species Homo sapiens. Next base: position 50,646,461 of record NC_000013.11, on the reverse strand, counting down.
CTGAAGCAACTTAGGCCCTAAAAGGGAAAATTACTTAACCAAGATCATACAGTTAATTGGAAACACAGCTGGAATTTGCCTGCAGCCATTGGACGCCAGGCTTTTGCTGTGTGCCTATTTTCTGCTCACGACACATGGGATGTCTGTGTCCCATGGAATGCACGGCACACCACCTCACACTGCCTAACCACATTATTTCATGAGACCAAAGGCAAGGGAGAGGGAAGCTCAGGGCATTAGGGAAAAGCACAGAAAACCTTTTCAAGCAAATCTCCATGTTCTGATGATGAGTCAGAATTTCTGCAAAAACACTCAACAGCAAATCAAGTTATCTGAAATGCTCAATAGGACTACAGTCATGGAATGGGGCTTGTCAACCAACAGTGAACAGAGAGCGAAATTCTGTCTTTCCATAGAAGAATGGGTGAATAAACTGTAGCAACATGTGTATGATTGAATCTCATGCTACTTTTAAAAACAGTAACAGAGCTCTTACCTGTTTTCACTACAGGGTTATCCATAAGGTAACATAAATTGAGAAAAGCAAGGTAGAGTCATATATGTAGGATGATATGAAGTTTTCTAAAAATTAATCAAACAACAATCCTATATTTAAGTATTCTTGTATGGGTATGGAGAAAATCCTAAGGGACAAATGCCAGTTTGTTTTCATAGGAGTATGGAAATGGAAGGAAGCCCAAAAGGGGTCATTCACTTTCTCTTAAGGCAAGAACTGCATTATTTTCCCCTCATGCAAGATTTTCTCTTTTGAATTCCAGAAAGTTGGGTGAAAATCAACTATTAGAAAAAAAAAATCAAAGCATCCTAACTGCCTCTTCAGAGGAATAGTAATCTGATTTGGTGGTTAAAGATACTTATGCAAAGTCAACAGGGTGTTAATTGTCACAGGTGAATGTCTCTAACTCTCTACCTGCTGGCGGGTTCAGCCCCTCATTGAGAGAGACCAATGGGGGAAAAAAGGACAGCGTGGAGACCATGAAGTCATCAACAATATTCTATCAGAAAGAAAATTAGTTCAGGTAGAATAAAATGAGAACTCCAACTGTAAGTTAAGGATGGCAACTCGATAGGGCATCTGTCTTAAGTCAAGGACTAGACTGGATGATCTTGTGTGAAGGTATTAGTCTAGGATCCCCACAATTTTCCGCAGACAACAGTGACTCATAAGATCCTCAGAGAACAAAATCTGACAATTATGACAAGTATGCAGCCGAGGAGGAATAGTCTTATTTCCTTAAAGGTTAAATGCAGGTCACTGTGATGTCTCAAAAGAAATGTTGAAGTCAAGGCTCATTCATTCTTTTACAAATATTATTAAATTCTGACTTTTGGTCAGGCACTGTCCTGAGAGCAGAGTGGTGACCAAAGAAAAATTCCTGCCTTCCAGGTGTGTCCATTCTAGTTTGTAATACAATAATAAGCAAACAATCTAACGACGGGAAGGAATAGATGTTATAGAGGTACGAGCCAAGCTAAAGGAATAGTGGTGGACAGGTGTTATTTTAAATAAAGTGGCCAGGAGCAATCCCCTGAAGCGCTGACATAGAGCAGAGGCATGAATGGGATGAGGAAACAAGTTACGTGAAGATGTGGGAACACTGGAGAAGGCAGAGGAAACAGCAAGCAGCAAGGCCTGGGCAGGACCAGACTGGTGTGCAGAAAGCACAGCCGGAAGGCAGGTGTGGCTGAGGTAGCCTGAGCAAGCTGCAGTTTACAGGAGATTGTTACCAGCCTGCAGGCCACTAGAAGGAAGTCAGATTTTATTCTGGAGGCCTTTGGCAGCATAGTGACTTGATGTGACTAACATTTTTAAAAGATTATGCTGGTTGCAGGGTCAAGGTTAAATTGCAGAGGAACAAACATGGAAGCAGACAGACTGGTATGAAGGCTCTCACATTGCTTGGGGCAAGACAAGTTATTGCCTCATTAATCTAAAGCAATGTTGACTTAGATTGGGGTGGTGATGATGAAGATGGTGAGAAATTGTCAGATTCGGGGTATGTGTTTTTCTCTGTCCCGGTCTCCCCTACTCCCATCCGGTTATCTTGGTTTATTTCTTCCCTCTACATCATCACTTCCTTAAATATGTTTACATATTTATTTAGTTCACAATCTCACACTCTCCACTAGGATGTATGTTCCACTTGGCTTGTTAACTCATTGCTATTTACTCTGGTGCCCAGAGCAGTGTCTGGCACATAGGTATTCAATAAATATTTGCTGAATAAATTGATTGCCAAGCTATGGAGCATTATTTTGGCTCACAGGATATATTTTGAAAATAAAACCAACACAACAGTCTAGTGCATTGGATGTGAGATGTAAGAAAAAAAGGAACAAGGATGAATTCTAGGATTTTGGCTGGAGCAATTGGATGCAATTTACTAATTGAGACAGGAGCAGGTTTTGGGAGTGGGAATCAAGAGTTTGGGTTTGAACAGATGCCTTGGTTTGAATGTTTGTTTCCTCTGGAACTTGTGTTGAAACTTAATCCCCAATGTGGCAGTATTGAGAGGAGGAGCTTTTAAGAGGTCTTTGGGTCAGAGGGTTAATGGATTAATGAATTAATGGATTAATGAATTAGTGTGTTATCACAGGAGTGGGACTCTGGCTTTATAAGAGGAAGTGAGATCTGAGTTCGGACCCTCAGCCCCCTCGCCATGTGATGCCCTGTGTTGCCCCAGAACTCTGTAGAGAGTCCCCACCAGCAGGAAGGCCCTCACCAGATGTGGTGCCTCAGCCTTAGACTACTCAGTCTCCATAACTATAAGAAACAGATTTCTTTTCCTTATAACTTATCCAGTTTCAGGTATTCTGTTGCAAGCTACAGAAAATGGACTAAGACAGCAGGTTAAATGTTCATGTTTCTCTCAGACATTCAAGAGGAAATATCACATCAATAGAAATACATGCACTGGAGTTCAGTGGAGAGGCTCTGACTAGAGACATAAATTGTGCAGTTCTTGACCTCAGACAGCATGTAAAGCCGCAAAACTGCAAAATAAAGTGCAAATAGGAAAGACAAGTATGAGGACTAATTTTGGGGCCACTCAAACTTTTAGAAGCTGAGCAATGGAGAAAAAGCTGGCAATGCAGCCTGAGAAGACGAGGACAGTGAGGTAGGAGGGATACCAGGCCAATGGAGAGTTCCAGGATACAAGAGAACAGCGTCAAGGAGGAAGTGGTCAGCTGTTTCAACTTCTGCTAAGAGGTCCGTAAGATAAGATATTAGAAGTGATCATTTGATTTGGTTACATGAAGATCCTTGGTGTCTTGCATATGTATGCACAGTGCATTTGTTTCCTAGGGCTGTTGTAACAAAGTACCACAAATTGGGTGACTTAAAACAACAGAAATTCGTTCTCTCACAGCTGTGGAGGCCAGAATTCCAAAATCAAGGTGTCAGCAGGGCCATGCTCTCTCTGAAGGATCTAGGGAAGAACCCTGCCTTGCTTCTTCTTAGTTTCTGGTGTGGGCTGCCAATGCTAGGGGCTCTTTGGCTTGTAGACATGTCACTCCAATCTCTGCCTCCATTGTCACATGGCACTCTCCCCTCATGTATTTCTCTCCTCTCCCAATGAGGACACAAGTCATAATGAATTAAAGGCCCACCCTGCTCCAGTGTGACCTCATCTTCACTATTTACAACTGTGATAACTCCATTCCCAAATAAGGTCCAACATGTCTTTTCGGCGGACACAACTCGACCCGCAACACACAGTTGCAGAGAACCAGTGGGTGAGGGCAGAATGTGAGATGAAAGCAGTGAGTAGAGATGACTTTTGAAGATTTTGGTTACTAAGAAGACCATAACAATGGAATGGTTGTTGGTGTGGGGTACGTAATATCTAAGAGAGTTTTGGTTTTTTTATTTAAAAATGGGAAATATTACACTGGGATTGGATACTGATAAGAATAATTCAGTATAGAGGGAGAAATTATGATGCAAAGAAAAAGGGAAGAATTGCAGGATCAAAGTTCTTGTACAGGACAGGGACGATGAGATCCAGTGTGCCAACTGAGCTATCTAGAGATAGGGGCAGGATCAGTTCATCCACTGGTAGCAGGAAGAAGGGCAGAATACCGACACAGGTGAGTTGGGACATGTACACTTAAATGTATATTGAGCATTGTGGATACTACAGGGAATAAGACAGATGTGTTCTCTCTGCCCTCATAGTAGATAAATCAATAGGTTGGAGGCAGATAATTCAATAACTCAATGTATTAAACCCTGGTGAGTTCCATGATGAGCAAATGCAGGTAGCTGTTCTTGGGTTTATAGGCAATCATCTCCATTGACATCTCTACCACCATCCTCTGGAATCTGCATGGAGGCTCAAAATTCCTGCACCAACAGCCAGTGTTGACTTCCTCTGTTCCTCCTCACTCTCTTCTTGGTTTCCGGGGCAGAGCCAGTTGCCTGGAGTTGCATTTCCTGGGATCTACATTTCTATAATTTTGGCAGGCCTGATATCTGGGACTTTCTACCCAGGAGTTCTGTTGGAAAGTTGGCCTAACACTTTTTTTCATAATGGAATTCAGTGATGTGGACAAGTTCATCCGTAATTAGTCAGCTCAGAGCCTCCTCCTTCCTACCTGGGAAAGCTTAGCTTATAAAGGAAGCTGAGCTCCTTAGAGAAAGGAGGCATTTGAATTTCAGATGAGTATTTTATAGAATGCAAGATAATGCTGTTATTACCCCAGCCCACCCAAGCTTTCCCCTGCAAATACCCATATTCACCCATACCCAGCACCACCACCCTCTGCCACCCTCACCTCACCACACACACACACACACACACACACACACACACACACACACACACACACACGTGGCCTTTGGACTTTGCAGATTTTTTTCCACAAAGGATTCTTAATAATCATTTGAAAAACAAACTTTTCTCAAAAACAACAGTTGTTGCAAGTCTGCAGAGGAAATGGAACAGTTACACACTGTTGGTGGGACTGTAGATTAGTTCAGCTACTATAGAAAGCAGTTTGGAGACTTCTCAAATAACTTAAACAAAACTAATATTCGACGCAGCAATCCCATTAGGATATATATCCAGAAGAAAACAAATTGTTTTACCAAAAAGACACATGCACTTGAATGGTCATTGCAGCACTACTCACAATAGCAAAGTCATGGAGTCAACACCTGAGTTGCCCATCAGTGGTGAATTCGATACAGAAAATGTGGTACATATACACCATGGAATGTTACACAGCAATAAAAAAGAATGAAATCATGCCCTTTGCCACAACATGAGTGCAGCTGGAGGCCATTATCCTATGAAAATTAATGCAGGAACAGAAAACAAATACCACGTGTTCTTACTTATAGCTGGGAGCTAAACATTGGGTACCCACAAGACAGCAACAATAGACACTGGGGACTTCTAGAGGGAGAAGGGAGGGAGATAGGCAAGGGCTGAAAAACCAACTATTGGGTACTATGCTCAGTACCTGGGTGATGAGATGATTCATACTCCAAACCTCAGCATCATGCAATATACCCAGGAAACAAAGCTACCCATGTACCTGCTAAATCTAAAGTAAAAGTTGAAAAAGAAAATAAAGACATTAAAATACCTTCTTCAGAATTAGTTATTCCCCATTTTTCTACTTTGAGTCTATTTATTATGGAAAAAAACATCACTAGGACCATTCTTTTTTTTGGAAGGTATTTGTCATCTGTCATAAATCTGTATGGCTGGCTTTCAATAGGGACATTAATTTTAAAAACATGAATTATCTATTTGATATTCTTCCTATTCACCATTCTCTGCATTTGGAATACAAATTATGATGATTTAGTCATCCGTATTCTTTTTTTTTTTTTACCACAACCAGACAAGTTTGCCTAGAATTTTTTCTCTTCATTGGAAAATATTTTAATTTAGTACAACATAAAAATATTTGTCAAGTTGTATTTCAGAAAATCTTGAGGCAATTTTCTCTTGTTTGTCTCAATTCTGCCTGACATTCATTGTGCCCTTCAAGCAACAAGATAAAAGAACAATAGATTTTTAAAATAAATAAAAAGCTTTTCATTGTTGATGTTGATTTCTGTTGTCTTATAGAAATAGGAGGTCATAGAAGGCATAGTAAGTGGGGAAGTCAAAAGATCTTGGTCAAGTCTGCGTTCTATAATTGACTGTGTGACCTGGACAATTTGGTAAATTGAGCTTCACGTTTCTTGTCTGAAAATTAGATAACTGGTCTAGAATCAGTAACCCTCAAACTGTCTATTATTGTGAAATTTTATTTTAAGAAAAAAAAGATTAAGTATTGGAGGAAAGGAATCTCCAAATTTAAGGCAGATAAAACCAGAACTGCCCTGTAAGAGGTAAAAAGAAGCCTATTCAACTGCCTTTTTTCATTCTGTGGTGGCCTCTGCTTTCTCTGAGGAGACCTGTTGTTTGAAATGCAGCCAGGAGACCACTGGCCTAGAAGATATCCATGTTTCTTTCAGCTTCAAAGGTTGAGATTCCACTCGAACTGAGCTAACAGAGCTTAGATATGTGTTTACCTGTGAAATAGAATCTGACCTCAAGAAGCTCCTCCACCCAGCTAATAGGTGGTTTGGAAAGAAAAGAAATCACATAGGTTAAGAAGGAAGGTATTAAAAAAATAAGTTCTAATTTCAAGAGAAAAAATAATTTTAGATAAAAGAATATAGGATCAGGAAAAGAAGGTGTGATTTGAGGACAAGGGAGGTAGAGAACATTTTAAAAAGTAAGCACAAAGCTAGCAGCCATTATTAATAAATTGTAAAGGCAAGTCATCCTATATTTTTTTCTGCCACAAATGACACCATGGATGACTGACGCTACAGGTTCTAACTATGTTCATAAGGTCAGGGCTGCCTGAACTCCAAGACAGCAATAAACAGACCAAGAAAAGCTTCCAGGAAAGTTGAGGGCAGGAAAGATACACTTTCTTCTTCTTGTCTGCCCTTCTCCCACCCAGCCCCTATCAAACTCGACGCAAGATTCCAAATTCAAGATGTTTCCAAATGACAGGAAAAAGGAGATCTTCTGAATCAATTTGAAAATGAAAGATAATTTAAATTATTCAGAAATGCTTTCAAGTTATTCCAGAAATATGTTAGAGCACTATGTGATGAAGCAGTCCTGATAGCCCACTGCGTATGTCTCCTAACTGAGGGATATTAAGTGCTATGTCATAAAGGACTGAAAGCTGCACCTCAAACATGATGCAGCTTCCTGTTGTGCCCATTTTTGTGATGGCAAGTTATTTAAAAAGCAATTTTTTATCTTTATATAATATGCATATTATTATGGAGCAGAATGCAGTATTTACTTTTTTTAAAATATTCAATTGTGAGACTTTAATGATATCTAGCACACATGACAGGTTCTCACCACTGTGTGCCCTCATTCACTCTCTTCCCCATTAGGCATATGTCTTTTGATGGCACAACATCAATGATACCCTACCCCTTCAAGGGATCTGGTATGTCTGTTATAGAAAGCAAACCTCTCTAATGTAAAACAGTTTGAGGGCAATCAGGGCAACATCATATACACAAAGAGAAATAATCAATTGGATCTTTGCATCTATCACATGTTCAACATGTGTTCTCAAAATAGGAAGAATTTTCCAGCATGTAATCATCCTTTTGGGCATTATCAGACTTTTAGATATCACAGGAGTAACTTAGCATTTCTACATGTAAAGATTTTTATCCATTAATTTCTCATAATTCTATAAAGCAAAATAAAAAATTTATAAAAAGCAATCCCAAAGCATAGAAAATAAAATGGAGCCTCTGAGCTTAAATCTAAATGTTGTCACTTGGAATAATTCTTTTCTTTGTGGTCAAGCCTACCTTGGTTGCCAACTTGACTCAAAATAAAAGAACTATTTCAAGTGATTTTAAAATTCAGTAACTGGTATGTTCTTGCCACTGCACTCCAGCTTGGATGACAGTGAGCCTCTGTCTCTGAAAAAAAAAAAAAAAATCGGTAATTGGGATATATCCTACAGTCAAAACAACTACAAAAAAAAAAAAAGAAAAGAAAATCTTAAACTGTTTTCAGAAATCATAGTGTTGGTAGTAGTTTTGGTATTGTTATTCTAAAACTGTTTCAGAGACATGGTAAGATAGAAAAAATGGGTGGGTAATTATATGATATTCTAATTCCATCAATCCCACTGTCATAGAAAACTTAGATACTTAGCACAGAGAAAGGAGATATAGATGGAAGATAAAAAAAATAAGACTCTACAGAACTAAATTTGCACTGGAAGTCTCAATATGAACTCTCAATATATTTCATGCTAAAAAAAATCCCAAGAAACAATGAACAACCTAGTAACAATGAATGCTCCCAGTTTCTAGACTGTGGCCCACATACCATTTTTCAGTAAAAGAAACCAAGATTCTCAAGAGAAATATGATTCTAGATCTGAAATACACAAGATGAATCAAATGATTCAAAAGCCAACTCAAATAGGCTCCCACTGGCCAAAGATGTGACATTTATGCATTCAAAAGAACAAAGACGGCCGGGCGCAGTGGCTCACGCCTGTAATCCCAGCACTTTGGGAGGCCGAGGTGGGTGGATCACGAGGTCAGGAGATCGAGATCATCCTGGCTAACACAGTGAAACCCCGTCTCTACTAAAAATACAAAAAAATTAGCCTGGCGTGGTGGCGGGTGCCTGTGGTCCCAGCTATTCGGGAGGCTGAGGCAGGAGAATGGCGTGAACCTGGCAGGCGGAGCTTGCAGTGAGCCGAGATCATGCCACTGCACTCCAGCCTGGGCAACAGAGCAAGACTCCATCTCAAAAAAAAAAAAAAAATAGCACAAAGACTGCAATTAGCTAAAAGATGCAAAATATATTTAAATTCATGACTTCATAATTTTTTTAAAAAAACTCAGTAGTTATCTTCAAATATTTTTCATTATTGAAAACAGACAAATTAAGGGAGAGAATCAAGCACCTATCCTGTCTTCCCCATTAGAAACAGCTCTGAATAACATAACGGTCAATCAGGGAAAGTTTCTCTTTATAGAAGTTATTATTCTGGCTAATAAATGAAGAAGTAACATAGACTAACACCATTTAAAAAATCCCTAATGAATTAACAGAGAACCATATTAATTAATGCCACAAGGATACAATTGACAAAATCCAAACTGTGGGAAACCTTGGCTTATTCAACAGATAAATTGAAAGGACTACATAACAAGAGGTGGAAATAGAACTTATTAATTAATAAAGACTTAGGAACATATCCACTAGTCACAAGATTTCCAGTGATCTCACAAATATAATTTTTAAAGTTTGGTTTATTTGAATCCCGTTTCAAAGAAACTGAACTTTAAAAATTGTATTTATGAGACCACTGGAAATTTGAATACCGAGTTCTCTAATCAGCAGAAACAGATCTAATCAGCAGAAATGGATACTGAAGATTATTCTGAAAATACAGCCCATAAGGAGTTTGCAGAAATCCTTGGGAGGGTAATAGACTTCCCATGATCTATGGGAGGGCTATTGCAGTTCCAAAAGCTTATGTCTAGGTCCTTCCACCCCATAAGCCCTAATACATGCATTAATCACCCTTTTTCACCCTAAGTGACCAAATAACTGATCTGAGGAAGCACCCAGGAGGCTTGGGATATACTCCTGATTGTCATTAGTTACCACATGACTTACGACCGGCACTCAATTTATTTGGTCCTCAGTTACCACATTGGTACAATGAGAATAGCTTCAGGTTCTAAACATGACAATGATTCTATTCTAACTCGTGGTGTTGTGAATTGGTGCAAGGGGTGGGTAACCAGCAGCGAGCAGACTGAAACTCACAAATAGGTCCGCAGGTGATGTGTCCTTTCTTGTGTTGGCATCCCCAGAGAGGCGGACTATGGCCAGAGCAGCGACAAACACACTGAGGGGCCTTGCGGCAAGGGAGACATCCCACTTCCTGTTGTTTTCCATCGTTATAGGAGTGGGGTCTGTCTCTGAATTACAGCCTCTTGGTGTGAGAGCAGTCTGAGAAAATCAATATTTTGGGCTCAGCTACTAAGCTGCCTGAGCTTAGGTTCTAGCTGTTTAGGGGATTGCTAGGAAATGCCAGAGGCTCAGCACCTGGAGGCTTTAGGGGTCCTAAACCTGTGGGAAGTTAGTTTGAGACAGCCACTCCCACTGGAGAAAGGAATGTCCCTGGTCCTATGAGAACTTGTAGCCTCTCCTAGGAGAGGTGGGGCTTTCAGGCTACCTTGGTTGCCAGGCAACCCAGAGAAAGCTCTCAGGCCAGGGTAATTTACATACTCATTCTGCTTGTCTCCACAATTAGGTATCTATGTGGGTAATTTACTTAAACAAAGTTTGACATTTATTCATATTGTTACCAAGCAAAAGGCCTTGCTGCCTGAAGTGCTAGAAACCAATACTATGACACTGGGGTTTTGAGAAAATAAAAGCTTTTTATTGTAGGTCGACCAACAAGGGGACAGAAGTTCAGCTCAAATCTGTCTCCTTGTGCTGACTTTAAGGCAGTATTTTTATTAGAAAAGGGTTAGGGGTGGATTCTGAGATTAACTGGTGATTGGTGGAAGGAAAGGGGAGATCCAGAAAATCCTTGGCACACACAGTTATCTCTGCACGCTTCCTCATGGGTCACATGTTGCAAATTTGGGGGAAGTTAGTGTGAAACATGCAGTGGAAATTTGGGTTGTGACATCAGCAAGCTCGTTCTGCACTGACTCCATTTGGCCATATTGGTTCCAACTGATTTCAGCTAGGTTTGTTATGTTGCAAGCAGAGGGAGTTTCCGCATTTCAGCAAGTTTTTTCTTTTCTTATCTAGTCACTGGTTTCTTTAACTGTTTGGGTCACAGTTTCAATAATACAAAATGTCTTGAGTTTCTAGCATGAGAGAGGAACAAGAGACACAGCAATGAAGAGGCCAGATGGCTCATGGAATTTTCATTCTAGACTATGACATCTCCAAAGTGTCTATAATTTTCTATTCATTTCCCTATGTTTGCTGTAATGCTTTGCCCTAAAGATACAAAAGGGTATGGATTCTTCACTGCATTTTCTCTTATCTCTATCTCTCTGTAACATTTCTTCTTCTGTAAAGGGAACAGATTGGAATTGACAGACTCTAAGGATCTTTTCAGGGCAGAAGTCTTGTTATATGAACGTTACGGTAATTAAAAAGACACCTGGGAAAGAGTCATATGAAAACTGAACTCAGAAGGAGAGCCCTAGGTGGAGGACAATGGGGAACTGGAATTTCTTTGCCCTGATTTCAGAAGCTTCCAGTTGTTTCTGAGATAGCTCTTGAAAAATTGCTGTTAACCTGGTACTCTCTAGTCATAAACATGCTCAGACTTAGGAAGTAGAGTCACAGATGAGGTTCCACAAAATTATAGCGATGCGGGATAGGATACAGGCATGTCAAGACAATGTGACTTTGAAAAGATGATAAGGCCTTTAAGGCCTGGAAGCACCTGATGTGACCAGATCAGAAGGTAATCTTTGGAAATTGAATCCTATCTTATATATCTGTGTTTCTCCCCCATTGATTTTCCTTGAGAATTAATTAAATTCTGAGAGTGCTCTCAGCCTATCACAGCTATGCTAAAGGGAGCCAATGATATTATTCCTACTCAGATTAACTGGGGCATACAATTTTATATTTTGAGGTAAAAGCAAGGCTCTCCACCCCACAGCATCCCAAAGTGCCATGGTCAGCCTCTGCACTCCTGTTAGAGTTTACTCTATACTCTCCAGACCAGGAGCCCCCAACCCCAGGGCCACAGACTGGTACTGGTCTGTGGCCTGTTAGGAACTGGGCCACACAGCAGGAGGTGAGTGACAGGTGAGTGAGAGAAGCTTCATCTGTATTTACAGCTGCTCCTCATAGCTTGCATTACCACCTGAGCCCTGACTCCTGTCAGATCAGCAGGCAGCATTAGATTCTCATAGGAGTGCAAACCCTATTGTGAACTGTGTATGCGAGGGATCTCGGTTGCATGCTCCTCATGAGAGTCTAATGCCTGATGATCTGTCACTGTCTCCCATCACCCCGACATGGGACCACCTAGTTGCAGGAAAACAAGCTCAGGGCTCCCACTGATTCTACATTATGTCAGATTGTATAATTGTTTCATTATATATCACAATGTAATAATAATGGAAATAAAGTGTACAATAAACCAGAATGCACTTGAATCATCCTGAAACCATCTCCCCACCCCGGGTCCATGGAAAAATTGCCTTCCACGAAACTGGCCCCTGGTGCCAAAAAGGCTGGAGACTGCTGCTCTAGATACTCTCTCACTTGAACATATAGAATTATCAGATGGGGCAACTCTGCTCTACCAGGACAGGTTTCCCAAACTCCAAATGCAGAGAAGGAATGGCTGGGGGTCTAGAATCTTTTCCCTCACAAGACTTCAGAACTCTTTCTGCAAACTTCTTCACTTCGTCTCTGAGCTTTGTGTACTAACAGAAAACTAAGGTGATGGAAAAGGGCAAGGAACTAAGACAGGTGACAGAAAAGGGCAAACAGCGTGTGCTCACCTTGCACTTGCTCAACTGAGAAGGTTCAGCCAAGGGACTCATGAAGAACAGAAGGTATCTAACCCAAAGTGGCTTTTGACTTTTCCTAGACTGAAAGGAGCTGGCAACTCCACCAGCTAAACATGGATTTAGGCACAGACTCATCATCCAGCATTCTGTCACCCACTCCAGGGCCTGACCAGCACACTTAAGGAGGTTCCATGGAAGTGACCAGGGTGTGGAGAAAAAGCAGAGTGGAAGGCAGAGTGGGTGCTGGACCAGCTGGTCTCTAGACTGCAGAGCTATGAGACTTCCTGGCAGTCTTAAGTCTTAGAGCATTGGCGTTTCATTTCATTTAGAGGCCGACTTCTTCCACATCATCTTCAGAAACAGGAAAGGAAGCTGGGCACTGTGGCTTATACCTGTAATCCCAGATGCTCAGGAGGTTGAGGCAGGAGGATCACTTGAGGCCAGGAGTTTGAGACCACCCTGAGCACATAGCAAGACCCCATCTCTATTTTACACACACACACACACACACACACACACACACACACTAAAAATAAACTTCAAATATTAAAAATGGGAAAGGATTGTGTTCTCTTTACTCTCTCTGTCATCTCTGACTACATTATACTTTTATAATTAGTGAACCACAAAATAATCACATAGCTTCAACAGGAAGTTGAAGATGTAAAGGAATTCTTTAGAAAACAATGAGTTTTGCAACATGAATAATTTTCTCCAAATTCTTCTGATTCTAAGTCCCCATTTTCCCTACATATCTGTAGTTGGACTGTTTTAATGAGGCAATGGAAACCTATTGCAGGTGTTTGATCTGGGGGTAGACCTAGGATCTGTCTTCTTTTAAGTAGAACATTGTGCTAATGCCTACAAGGTTAAAGGCTCAGAAGTGTAATCTCCATAAAGGGACCTCTGAGCTGGGAATGTGGTTGTGAACTTACTTGGACAACCTTGGATAACCTTGAAAGACGTATTCTAAACTTGCCCACTTAGGAAGTTGCCTACTTGAAGCACTCGCCCATCTGTAAGTTGGGATAATTCTTGTCCTATTTATTACACAGAGATGTATATATTGTTCCAGCTGTAAATCAAAATGGATGCTCTCATATGAGGAAGGGGAAAGACAGCACCAATGGGAAGCTGACTGCAACTTCAGAAAATGAAGGAGAGTAAGTTTGTAAAGCATTGAAGGGAAGTGATGAAGACACAAGATACTGCTGGGTGGAAAAGCAGGAACAGCCATGTGCAGGGCAACAAGAGATTGATTAAAAAGATAGAATATGCCTCTTTTTGGTACTAGCTGTCTGGTGGGATGAATAATACCTTATACAAAATATAAAACGAAAATTCTTCCTTCATAACCTTTATCTCACGTGGATCTACATCCCTCCCCAGAGGCAACCTCTGGTATCTGTTAGGGGCTATCCTTCAAGACTATTCCTATGCAGTAGTGATGGTAAATGTACACGGATACCTAAATTAAAATTTTAAACCTGTATTTCAGAAAACTAGGCTTTAAAACTAAATTACTTTAATAACTTGTAACTGCACTGACTTTCAGGACATGCAATATCTCTTTATACAATTTTAACTCAGAATTTTTATTAATTCTATCATTTTAATTATAAGGATATATTAGGTACATGTTATGACCACCATTTTCACTAGGATTTTATGCACATTGATTAATTTTTCCAAGTGAATTTTACTACCCATACTTTAATTATATGGCCCATTTTCTATACGATGTGGTTATGTTTTTTGTTTTTTGTTTTTTTATCTAGATGGAGTCTCACTCTGTCGCTCAGGCTGCAGTGCAGTGGCACAATCTTGGCTCACTGCAACCTCTGCCTCCTGGGTTCAGGTTATTCTCTTGCCTCAGCCTCCCAAGCAGCTGGGATTACAGGCAATTACCACCACGCCTGGCTAATTTTTGCATTTTTAGTAAAGATAGGGTTTCACCATGTTGGCCAGGCTGGTCTTGAACTCCTGACCTCAGGTGATCTGCCTGCCTTGGCCTTCCAAAGTGCTGGGATTACAGGCCTGAGCCACCACATCTGGCCTGGTTATGTTTTTCTGTCTTGTATTTGTGTTTGAAAAGTTATTTGAATTAGTATGATTTGTCATTTTATCTTTTCACCTTTTCAAGATTTAGATTACTGATTTGTCATATTTTGTAGTTTTGTCAGTGTGAATTTTGTTCTGTATCTTTTTATTTTACTCTTACAAAATCCAACTTTCTTGTATCAAATTTTGCAGATCTAAAATTCTCCAGGATTTTATTTTTTCCTGTTTACATTAATGCATGAGCAAATCTCACTTTGTGTAGTTTTAGCTTTTGTCAGTTCTCTGTTCTTTTCACTGGTGACATTTGTTATGAATTGAATACATTACTGATTGTTTTCATTCAATTCTCAGATAATCCATGAGGGAAGTATGAGTAAGTCCTTTTTCCTTGTGTTTCAGAATTGCTCTGTTGCTTGAGTTATTCTGTTGTGTTGCTCATCCTAGCCTTCTTCTTGCTTTCACATCTTTGAATACCAGTGTGGAACACAGAACAAGCAGTGGGTTGACAAGTCCTAAGCTGCTACAAGAAATAAGAAAAAAAACTGCCATGAATACATGTCTACAAAAAAAAAATTTGGCATCTCTAATGCCAGCTGGTCAGCATATGATGCCACAGCGAATTCAGAGCTCTGCCCGTCTACTGCCTTCTCTAGTGGAGGTGTCACTTTGACAGTGAGGCTTAAGTGGCATCTGGGACCAATTCATCCATGAGGCACCACAAGCATAGTACTAGGGCCACCGTCCTTTAGGGGCCTACAAAAATGTCCTAACTTCTTTTAAAATCAGAAGGAAAAAATGAACTATTAGGTCAAAGAAAAGGTTTTTATATTTAATATGAATATATTCATCTATACACCAATACTGTCATAAAATACAATTCTAAAAAGTAAATTTTTGAAATATTTTGAAATTTAATTTTTAATTTTTTAAAGGGGTCCGCAAAGGTAAAACTGCCTAAGGCCCACGAAAATCAAAATGCAGGCTTCTTGGCATGAGGGCATCAAATTGGTGCAGCAGCAGCGCATACCACGCACCTAAAGAATGATGGAGAATTCTTGGGGACAAGCATTTCATAACATGATAAAAATAAAGCTGACCAATGTAAAAATACTCAACATTAACATGGCTAGTATTTTCCCATTTTTCTTCCAGGGAAAATTAGCTCAAATACCAGACTGTCTGGTCCAAGGCCAGACACCTGGCTACTCTGGCCCCTGGTTGGCCCTGGTACATCCAGTCTCTATATCCCAAGTGACTGGTCCTGGCCTTGAACAGATGAGGTCCTGGCAGACCCATCCCTGGCCAGCTTGCATATGCTCAGAGAAACCATATTTTATAGGGGCCTTGCTGCTGGTCCTCTGTGTGGGTTTGTCATTTGTATCCTTGCACCTCAGCACCCGACGTAGGGAACTCAGTAAAAAGTGAATGAATTGCTTTCGCTACTCTGATGTGCAATCACACATCATTAAAAGTTGTATATATATTGTTTTGGAAAAATAAATAGTCTCCAATAAAATTTTGGTGAGAACTGCAATAACATGATATCTTCTGAGGAAGTATAAAGTGCTTTCCCCCATGAATTTCTGTTGCTGTCACTCCCTATGTTTCCTTCCTGCTTTCCTCTTCCCCCTTCCATGAAGTCAGGCATCTAGAAAGAATTTTGCAGGCCATCAGAGCCAGTGGCAATATGTTCTTCGCCTCCTGGGTTAGGTCACTTCAGCTTTTTATAATTTCGCTCCTAAAACCAAGCATCAGAATTTGGCGGTTTCTGCCCATGTCTTCCAAAAACAACAGATCCATTCTTCTACCTCCCCCTCTTTTTTCTTTTCTTAAATGGCACCAGATCTGAGTTCCTATCGATTTCAGGCCTGTTTGGACCCTCTGAGGTGATGGCCAAAAGCAGCCCCTGTACAGTGAACTTTGCCAATATGCTTACATTCTTTCCATCTCAATGTCATCAAAGGCATTCTAACTGCTTAACACTCCACTGTTCTTCCAAATAGTGCTATACCGTAGACATGACCTCCAAGTTATTTACCATTAGCCCTTTAATTACATCACGGCTTGGCAATTTGACCTTTTTTCCCACCAGCTGGAAGCAAGAGTTTTGTTTTGTTCAGTAAATAAATACGTAACTTTCCTTACAGGCAGGCAATAGAGAGATAGGGTGAGAAGGGGTTACACTATGATTAATGAACTGTTTGCTTTGGAGTCAAGATAAACTGGCCAATTTGGATGTACTTTGGGACTGCAACCTGATTCTGGGCAACCCATGGAAGCCCTCTAAAATTGTGACATCTGCACTCCTCACCAGATGCTGCCACTGATATTCCTGGGAGCCAAGCAATATTTTAAAAATAAGGCCAGGCACAGAGTTTCATGCCTGTAATCCAGCACTTTGGGAGGCTGATACTGGAGGATCACTTGAGCCCAGGAGTTTCAGACCATCCTGGACAACATAGCAAGACCCCATCTCTAAAAACAATAAAAGATTAATTAGCTGGGCATGGTGGTGCCTATAGTCCCAGCTCCTTGGGAGGCTGAGGTGGGAGGATCACTTAAGCCTGGGAATTTGAGGCTGCAGTGAGCCATGATCATGCCACTGCATTCCAGCCTGCTGGTATGTGGGAGTCCTCTGTCTCAATAATAAATAAACAATAAAAATTAAAATACACAGTTATACTGTGAGTGCCAGTCTTTCCCCTCAAATCCTTTAGAATACTAGGAAAGGCGATCATTAAAAAGTCAGGAAACAACAGGTGCTGGAGAGGATGTGGAGAAATAGGAACACTTTTATACTGTTGGTGGGACTGTAAACTAGTTCAACCATTGTGGAAGACAGTGTGGCAATTCCTCAAGGATCTAGAACTAGAAATACCATTAAACCCAGCCATCCCATTATTGGGTATATACCCAAAGGATTATAAATCATGCTGCTATAAAGACACATGGACATGTATGTTTATTGTGGCACTATTCACAATAACAAAGATTTGGAACCAACCCAAATGTCCATCAATGATAGACTGGATTAAGAAAATGCAGCACATATACACCATGGAATACTACGCAGCCGTAAAAAAGGATGAGTTCAGGTCCTTTGTAGGGACATGCATGAAGCTGAAAACCATCATTCTGAGCAAACTATTGCAAGGACAGAAAACCAAACACGGCATGTTCTCACTCATAGGTGGGAACTGAACAATGAGAACACTTAGACACAGGATGGGGAACATCACACACCAGGGCCTGTCATGGGGTGGGGGAGGGGGGAGGGATAGCATTAGGAGATATACCTTACTTAAATGACAAGTTAATGGGTGCAGCACACCATCATGGCACATGTATACATATGTTAAAAACCTGCACGTTGTGCACATGTACCCTAGAACTTAAAGTATAATAAATAAATAAATATATATATATATATATAAAAAGAATAGTAGGAAAGGGAAATTAGTCCAATACTTCCTCATACTACTGAGCTACCTGAAAAAGGTTGATACACTGCTTTGCAAAATTCTCTTTCCACTGAATAATCTCACAGGAGAGACCTTGTTTCTGTTACTTAACAACCTGTTTTTGGAGATGTTCCATGTTACTACACAAAAAGATTTCTCATACTTTTTTAAAAAAATAGACTGTATATTTTAGAACAGTTTTAGGTTCACAACAAAATTGAGCAGAAAGCCCAGATGCCCCTGCTCCCTCACGGGAACAACCCCTCCCACCATCAACATCCCCCACGAGGGTGGTACATTTGTAACAACTTATGAACCTACATGGACTCTTCCTTATCATCCACAGTCCATAGTTTGCATTAGCGTTGTCTCTTGGTGTACACGTGTGGGTTGGGACTAATGTATAATGGCATTTGTCCACCATTATGGTATCATGCAAGACAGCTTCACTGCCCTAAAACTTTTCTGTGGTCTGCCTATTCGTCCCTTCCTCTCCTTTAATTCCTGGCAACCACCGATCTTTTTGCTGTGTCCATAGTTTTACCTTTTCCAGAATGTCATATAGTTGGAGTCATACAGTATATGGCCTTTCCAAATTGGCTTCTTTCACTTAGCAATATGCATTTAGGTTTCCTCTGTGTTTTGATAGCTCATTTCTTTTTGGTGCTGAATAATATCATCTGATGTACCACAGTTTATTGACCTGTTCACCTACTGTTAAACATTTTGGTTCTTCCAAGTTGTGGCAATTATGAATAAAGCTGTTATAAATATTTGTGTGCAGGTTTTTGTGTGGACAGCTTCATACATTTTTATAGCTGTATAATTTTATATTATGAAGATACACCATAATTTTTGTACCATTCCTCCACTGATATTTAGATTATTCCAAGTCTTTTGCCACTACAAGTAGTGTTGCATTGAATAACTTTATGCATACAACCTTTCACATGTGTGAAAATGAATTCTTAAGATAAATTCCTACAAGTGGAATGTTTGGGTCAAAGGGTGAAAGCATGTTGTAATTTTTATGTATATTGCCAAATTGACCTCCATGGAGGTTGTAAATGTACCCTCCTACCAGCAATGCGTGAGAGTGCCTGTTCTTTCCCAATGGGAAACTTTATTTACCATTCCTTCCCAAGGCCCTTGCAGGTAAGGCAGACCTGCTGCCCACTGACCCTGCATAGTACCAGCCACATGTATTTCCTTTTTTGTGCATTGTTGGTTTTGGTCATGAATTTAAAGACTTCAGAAGGCAGAAGTGTTCTTTTCAAAATATCTTCTGTTACTGGTCTTACAATAAATATAAGTACTACTGTAGAGATAGTTTGAGAAGGCTATAAAGTTTTAAAAACAAAATCGTTTTCACGTATTTACTAACAAATTCCCAGTGAATGCAGAGGCAGCTGACCACAGTATGATGCAGGTCCTTTGAATATTTTCTGTGATAGCTGTCTCTCTGTGAGAAATCCATAAAACATGGAAACATGGATAGTCTCTAAGGACACCCCACCTCATTGTCTTTTGGGGTGGGGCTGTTTTCTAAACAAAAGCATCTGAAAATTTAGCATCATTTGCTGAGTGATCACTGAGTTTAAACAAGCCAGAGCTACGCTGCTCATGGGCATTAAGTATAGCCCCCTTTCTAACTTTTTCTGCTCATTATCTGTGTCAGACTGATTATAGCAATTTGGTGTTAGATCTGCTTCTTATGGTTCTCTTTTTGAAATGTACTCTCTTTACTGGAACTCTCCATGTCATCAGAAAACTCCCCAGGCAGCCCTGTCATGGAGCAAGGGTTTCAGGCCCAGCCTTTTTTTTTTTTTGGCCCAGGCAGTGTTGGGCATATCCATGTGTAGTAGGTACCAAGATGGTACTGAGTGATCCCCACTTCCTGGTATTCATTCCCTTATGTAATGCCCCTTGAGTAGGACTGGATCTCATGACTCCCTTCTAACAACAACAACAACAAAAAAAAAAAAAAAAAAAAAAGAAAGAGAGAAGTGATGGGATGACATGTTCAAGATTAGATTATAAACAACCTCAGCACTGTCTCAGATCACTGCCTCTCATTCATTCTTGCGTCACTCAGTCTGCGGGAAGCCAGCTTCCATGCCTGAAGTTCTGACCAAAATCTTGATTGTAACCTCCTTATAGACCATGAGTCAGACCTACCCAGCTAAACGGCTTCTGGATTCCTGAACCTCAAAAATTATGAGCTAAAATGGGTTTGTTTTTTGTAATTTTAAGAAAAATGATGTTGGTATTTTTACAGGAATTGCATTGAATCTGTAGATTGCTTTGGGCAATGTGGTCATTTTCAGGATATTGATTCATCCAATCCTTGAGCTTGGGATGTGTTTCCATTTGTGTGTGTCATCTATGATTTCTTTCAGCAGTGTTTTGTAGTTCTCCTTGTAGCAATCCTTCACCTCCTTGGTTAAGTATATTCCTAGATATTTTATTTTTAGGATTTTCTGGATATATGATCATATAATCAGTGAACAATGATAGTTTGACTTCCTCTTTTCCAATTTGGATGCCCTTTATTTATTTCTCTTGCCTGATTGCTCTTGCTAGAACTTCCAGTACTATGTTGAATAGAAGTGGACATCCCTGTCTTGTTCTAGTTCTCAGGGGGAATGCTTTCAACTTTTCCCTATTCAGTATGATGTTGGCCGTGGGTTTGTCATATATGGCTTTTATTATTTTGAGGTATGTTCTTTCTATGCCTAGTTTGTTGAGAGTTTTTATCATAAAGCGATGTTGGATTTTATCAGATGCTTTTTCTGCATCTATGGAGATGATCATATGGTTTTTATTTTTAATTCTCTTTATGTCATGTATCACATTTATTGACTCACATATGTTAAATCATCTCTGCATCCCTGGGATGAAACACACTTGTATTATCTTTTTGATGTGCTATTGGATCCAGTTTGCTAGTATTTTATTGAGGATATTGACAACCTAAAATTCATATGGAACCAAAAAAGGACCCAAACAGCCAAAGCAATCTTAAGCAAAAAGAATACATCTGGAGGCATCACATTGCCTGACTTCAAGTTATACTACACAGCTGTGGTCACCAAGACAGCATGGTAGATACACAGACCAGTGGAACAGAATAGGGAACCCAGAAATAAAACCAAATACTTAAAACCAACTGATCTTTGACAAAGCATACAAAAACATAAACTGGAGAGAGGGTACCCTATTTAATTAA
This sequence comes from Homo sapiens, assembly GCF_000001405.40. Classification (NCBI taxonomy): domain Eukaryota; kingdom Metazoa; phylum Chordata; class Mammalia; order Primates; family Hominidae; genus Homo; species Homo sapiens. The sequence goes on along the minus strand of NC_000013.11, from coordinate 50,625,106 downwards.
TGGTACTAGGAAACCTGGATAGCCACATGTAGAAGAATAAAACTTATACAAAAATCAACTTAAGATGAATCAAAGACCTTATAAATAAGACCTGAAACCCTAAAAATTCTAGAAGAAAACCAGGAAAAACTATTCTGGATGTTGGCCTAAGCAAAAAAAATTATAACTAAGACCCCAAAAGCAAATGCAATAAAAACAAAAATAAATAAATGAGACCTAATTAAACTAAAAAGCTTCTGCACAGCAAAAGAAATAATCATCAGGGTAAATACACAACCCACAGAATGGGAGAAAATATTTGTAAACTATGCATTTGACAAAGGGCTAATTCTGGAATCTACAAAGAACTCAAACAAATCAGCAAGAAAAAAACAAATAATTCTACCAAAAAGTGGGCAGATGACATGAATAGACATTTATCAAAATAAGATATACAAATGGCCAAGAAACATGAAGAAATGCTCAACATCACTAATTATCAGGGAAATGCAAATTAAAACCATAGTGAGATACCACTTTACCACTGCAGGAATGGCCATTATTAAAAAGTCAAAAAACAACAGATGTTGGTGTGGATGTTGTGAAAAAGGAACGCTTATACACTGCTGATGGGAATGTAAAATAATACAACCTCTACAGAAAACAGTATAAAGATTTCTTAGAGAATTAAAAGTAGATCTACCATTCAATCCAGCAATCCCACTACTGGGTATCTGCCCAAAGGAAAATAAGTCACTGTATCAACAAGATACCTGCACATGCATGTTTATTGCTGCACAATTCAACATTGCAAAGGTAATGACCTACCTAAATCCCCATTGACCCATGAGTAGATAAACAAAATGTGGTATGTATACACCATGGAATACTACTCATCCATAAAAAAGAACAAAATAATGTCTTTTGCAGCAACTTGGATGGAGCTGGAGGCTATTATTCTAAGTGAAGTAGCTCAGGAATGGACAACCAATTACCATATGTTCTCACTTACAAGTGGGAGCTATACGTATAGGTATGCTTATAATGGACTCTGGAAACTCAGAAAGGAGAGGGTGGGAGAAAAGAAAATAAAGAGGCATTATTGCAGTTCAACCAGAGCCTGCAGAGCAAACTCAGTTTTCTAAAAGTCAATTCACTGTATCTGCCATCTTGGACTCTGAAATAACCAGCACTGGAGAGGTGAGAAGTGGGAAGTTGCTTTTGTTCAGCTCTTCTGTCAGTGTTTAATATCCACATTTCAATATTTTTTTTGAGGTAGTATAGAAAATCTAGAATATCAATTATAGACTAAAATTGTCTTTGTTTAAATCCTGGCTCAGCCATTTTCTAGCAATGTGACATTTAAAACTTAGTCTAATTCTCTCTCTCTTTTACTATGAAGAATTTTTTTAATGAACATGAATAGTCACAATAGTACAGGGTTTCCATGTACCTATCACCCAACTTCAACAATTATTAACTCAGCCAATCTTGTTTTACTTATCTTAACCCACTCCCCAACCTCCACCATATACTATTTTGAAGCACATCCCATATTTATTTTGAAGTGCAATATATCATTTTATTCATAAAATTTCAGTATATATCTTTAAAACACAAGGATTCTCTTCAAACGAATGAAACTACAGTACCATTATCACACTTAAAAAATTAAAATAATTGTTTAACATCATAAAATATACAATCAGTGTTTAAACTTACAATTATCATAAATTTCCGATTTTTTATCGTTTGTTTGAATCATTTTGCAAATAATGTTCACAAACTGCAATTGGTTGATATATCTTGTCTCTTTTAATCCGTACATTCTACTTTCATCTTTTTTCTATGCAATTATTGGCTGAAGAAATAATTCATCCTATAGAGCTTTCTGCAGACTCTATTTTGCTGATTGCATTCCTGGGTGTTTAATATGTCCCTCTGTCTTTTGGGTTTCTTGTATTTGGATCAAAAGTTAACCAGATGCAGATTCAGGGTGGTTTTTTGCTTTTTCGGGGGGGCTTTCTTGGACCAGAATTCTTCATAAATTACATGACATTAGTTCTTCCAACAGGTAATGCACATTCATTTGTCTCTCTTGGTGAAATTAGCAGCTGTTTATGTTCAATGTTCACATTCATTAGGGGCTACAAAATGGTGATATTCTAATTTTGTATTCCTTCTTCATGTTTTAGCTGGAATATATAAAAACAAACTTCCTCTGTCTCTACTAAAAATACAAAAAATTAGCGGGGCGTGGTGGCGGGCGCCTGTAGTCCCAGCTACTCGGGAGGCTGAGGCAGGAGAATGGCGTGAACCCAGGAGGCAGAGCTTGCAGTGAGCTGAGATCGCGCCACCGCACTCCAGCCTGGGCGACAGAGCGAGACTCCATCTCAAACAAACAAACAAACAAACAAAAAACTTCCCCTCACCTACACTCTGGATACCCAATAGTACTGTTTATTTAGGAAAGGCTAGAAGAATGATCAATTTTCAAAATAGAGTTCGTTCTCTCCGGCGGTGACCAATTAGTCATGATTTGTTTTGTTTTTTAGTATCATCACGAACTCATGGATGTCTACATATTTGATGTATTTCAATTTATTTTCATCCCATGGGAGCCTATTGAAGAGTTGGCTCCTGTGTCCTTTTGAAATGAGCTTATTATTATTTGACATGACCACTGTCTCAGTTTGCCTGGGAATGAGGGGGTTCCTGTGACATGGGACTTCCCATTTTAAAAGAGGGAAAGTACTGGACAAATTGGGACAAGTTGGTCATCCTAAGCTTATTAGTCTTTACTAGCTCCACTGCCATCTTGTAAGATAAGGTATTATATGCTCATCATGTACATTTTCTGCTCCAGACTTGAAATTAGACATTTCTCCAAGAATAGATGGTTCCTTTTAGTGGGAAGTAAGATTTGAAGAACCCAATCTTCTAACCTCTTCTAGGCATCAATTTCTGCTTCTGTAAAATGATGGTAGTAATAATCCATACACACTGGCTTGTTGTGAGGGTTTATATGCAAAAACACTTGCAAAGCTCTTAGCACAGTGCCTGGAACAAAGAAACTGCTAATTAAAGTTTAGCTGCTATTACAAAATTCCCACAGGCAATATGGCCAGTGCCAGGGCTCATTCACACAGCAAAACTCCATCATCTCAGGGAAATATTCATATATTTGGGGGTAAGCCATGTTAAAGAAACACAAATGGGAGCAGGAATGTATTCTTTAGGAGTTGCTGTACAATGGCTACAGACTGCAATGTGTTCTGTGCCATTCATTATTTTCAAACTTCAAAATTCAAACCATCAAAGCTGTCCAACCTTCAACTACAAAGGCTATGCAGCTGGACATAAGACTGTTTCTAGAAATGCCTTGAAATGTTTGGGTTTGACACCTGAGATGTCCGTGTTTGTTGTAAGTTTCTTTGTCTTGCGTGGCAAGGGAAAGAAGTCTCTTCTAATAGTTGAAAAATTAGTGAAAACTCATGCATTGAAAGGGATTCTCAAAAAATAACATTGGGAGATTCAGAAAAGAACCTTCAGTAAATTATTGAGAAAATGACGTGATCCACACCAGCCCTCTCAACGTGGGCATTCAGCGGAATCATCTGAGGTTGATGGCTATGGTGATCATCCCATGTTTATGATGTACTTAAAGGAGAAATAGATCAAAGAATTCTTATTCTGTGAACCATCGCAAACAACTACAAAGGAACTGATGAGTTCAGTCCTGTACTGACTGCTTTTTTTTTTGGAAGTGTAAGTTAATGCTTGACATATGTGAATCAATTTGCACTGATACTGCCCCTGATACACTAAGTTCAAGATCAATGGCTTTATAAGAAAGTAGACCCTCTTACCATTATCACACATGATATTCTACCAGGATGCTTCTGTAGCAAAGAACTTCCCCAAAATATTGATACCTGTTTTGAATATTGTAGTGAACACAGTAAATTGTGTCAGAGGATGTGTTTTTTTGACAAAGAAATCAGGATCAACCACATTATACAGAAACAAGGTGGTTTTCAATGGCCATGTGCTTTTTTCTCAATTAAATGTTATGTTTTAAACAACTATTTACATATAAATGAAGGTGAAAGATACTAATATAATATAAAAACTGAGTAGTACATGCACAAACCAGGCTGCAGGAGGAGAGAGGATAATTATTAAATGTTAGATGACAGTCCCTGGAGAAAATTATCTCAGCAATGTTTCTGGGTCATAGACTTTAGCTCTGCCCACAATTTACAAGAGCCCCTTCCAGGGAGTGAGTGGGCAAGGCCTCGAGTAAATCAGAAAAACACAGACTCATCACACCTGGCTCCTCTCAGGGGGCTGTGGTGTGGGCCAGCTGCTATGTATCCAGCCCAAATGTGGGAGTGGGCTGTTACGTATTTTCAAAGCACCCAAGGCCTCCACATCGCAGGAATGGGCAAAGCAGAATGCACCTTAGAGGTGAAAAGAATGTCCTTGCAGTTATAGGGCATGGAAAGGAGAGCAGAAATTTCATCAGCACACCACCAAGGCAAGCCAAGTACAAACAAGAATGGTGGCAGGCTAGCCCAGGAGCTTTATCCTCAGGTTCCAAAGACAGTACAATGGCAGGACCACCTTGATGATGATAGCCTTACCTTGTCTACCTCTCAGTCAGCCTGCTCCTATCGGCTCCCTGTAGTACATGAATATGTGGTTTCAAATAAACCAATACATAAATTCAAATAAAGAATTTTAAAATAGCTTATTCTCTTATACTACATGGCAAATGGAATTCAATCCCAAATAAATTTTACACATCTATATATATAAAGAATTGAGATGAACACAGTAGAGGAGTTGTACATGTGTATTAGGAAATTCCCAGTTTAGATATAGCATGCTGAAGAAATGAATTTCGGGCTGAGGGAATCTTAGAAAATAAAGTAGAGAGCCCGGCAAGAGATGTGAAAACTCACTGGCATGAGATGAATAACACCTTCCTTCCATGCTTTTTCCACAGGACATTACGCTGTTTGTGTTTGGCTTTCTAATTTCTGAGTGTAGAGCTTTTTTTTTTCGGTCTATTTTTGTCATTAACTTACAGGTTTTCTTTTTTTCATCAGTCTCAGAGAATATGTTTGGCATCTTTTCAACTTGTGAGAGCTATTGAGGATTCTTTTGTTGCCGTTTTTAAATGTTGCATAGTTTAAAAAGAAGATGTTTTCTTCATTTTAGTGACATAATTAGAAAAAATAGATTGTGTGTGTGTGTGTGTGTGTGTGTGTGTGTGTGTGTGTGTGTTGTGTGTTTCAGGTAGATCTATCTTATTAATGATGTTATTTAGGGTTAGTTTATTCTTACTTTTTTTTTCTTAATATCATGGGATGAGAGAAGTGAATTAAAGACATTTCAACCAGCAAGTTCCTCCTTAGTCTTCTTTATATTTCCAATAACTTTAGCTTTGATATTTGACACATAAAGATTCATGAAAATTAGTTTCATTATGTATTATATCCTTTTTATTATAAAAATATCCTTCTTTCTCTTTAATACTTTGTCTTTAATTCACCTTGAACTAATGTCCCAATCTGTTCCAGCTACTATAACAAAATACCTTAGACTGGGTAATTTATAAACAACAGAAATGTATTCTGCCCAGTCCTGGAGCCTGAGAAGGCCAAGATCAAAGCGTCAGTGGATTTGGTGTCTACTGAGGGCCTGTTCCTCATAGATGGCAACTTCTATGTATCCTCAGGTGGCAGAGGACAAAAAGCTCCTACAAGTCACTTACATAAGCACATTAGTTCCATTCATGCGGGTGGATCCCTCATGACCTAATCACCTCCTAAAGGCTCCACCTCTTAATACCCTCACCTTGGAGGTTCGGTTTAAACATGCATTCTGTGGAGACACAAGCATTCAAGCATAGCAACTAATATGAATATCAGGAGAACTACTTCTTTTTGCTGCATTTTCCTGGCATGCTTTTAGCCATGTGTGCCAGTGTATAGCATATATTTGGATTGTGTTTGGCAATACAAGCTTAGAATCTTTTTCTTTCAATAAATTTACATTTCTGGATATAGGAGAAATATTTAATCATACGGATTATGTTTAGTTATATTTTTCCTTTATAATGTTATACACACATAAATTAAAGACACTCACAAACAAATTAAAGACACAAATACACACAATTATTTTCCCATATGGTATTTGTTTTCTTTATTGTGTGTTTTTATTCTGATAGTTCCAAAGGTTTATAGTCTATTCTAGGATCTTTTGGTGGTTATCTTTGTAATTTTATGTACTATTTTACCGTATTTTAAAATTTCTTATATAGTAAGTGATGACTTGTCATAATGAAAGATGAGAAAATTACTACACTTGCACTTATTCCATCTTGCTTATCCTACACTGACCAATTTTGGCTTACTATATTATCATTAATGCTTCTAGCTTTTACCTTTATACTTTTGAATAATACACTAACACTTCTATTCCTTGGTTTTTCATTTAAACAGTAGATTTGAAAATCTAAGACATTACTACAAAAGACGAGGAACTCATGCTTACATTGCCTTCTTTCCTTTTCTCTACCTCTCATTTTTGGCTCCTTTTTCTATGATTATTTCTATGTTATATTCTATTCTGTAATCATAATTCCTCCATTTACTTCACCTATTTGCAAATCCAGTACTTATTCTCATTACTCCATGGCTCCTCCCTTGATCGCTTGATTGGCAGCTTCAAGTTTTGTTTGTTTTTAAAGAAAGAACGCATAAGTTATTTTTCCCTGGAGTTATTACATGCTTGGAAATATCAAACAATAATTTGGCTAGGTAGAAAATTCTTGGGCCACACATTTTCTGAGGACATGACAACATTTTTCTCCATCTTCTAGCAGTTAATATTGCTGTAAAAAAGTCTGAGACCAAACAAATTTTTCCTCTTATAACTGTTTGATATTGTTTTTAAGCTCAGATTTTTACTCTAAGTCCAGTAACTTTACTAGGCCATGTTTCAGTGTTGATTTTTTTTTTTCTGAAACAGCTGGGTTCATTTCAAACTATGGTCTTATTTATTTGAGGAAATATTGTATGTGTTATTTCTGAATATTTGTGATGTTTCCTCTACTAGGAATGCCATTCATAAGGGAGCTGCAATTCCTTTTCTTGTCTTCAATATCTATCCTTTTCTCGTTCATTTTAAATATCTGGTTATTTTCTATTTATTTTCCTTCTTATTTTCAAATATATTCTCTTTATCCCTGCCCTATTTTAAGCAGTATCTCTTTTTCTTCTTCTAATGTTAACTTTCACTTCTGTAATTACCTTTTACTTGAGCCAATATAGCCCTTCTTTGAATTATTGCTTCAGAAAAGCCATTTTTATACCTTCTTAATGGAAAAAATGTTTCTCTACAATTTTTATCTATATTATGGCATAATTCTCTGGAATGTTAGTCTGCCTTTTGTCATGTTTCTCATTTATTTTTCTTGCAATATATTTTCAGTGTGTCCCATGCAAACTTCTTTTGTATTATTACTCATCTTTTTTATGAGATTACTCATTGTTTTATGTGGACTGTTCTTTATGGGTGAGATATATTTTATGGCAGAGAGGGCAGGGAAGTGAGCTGGGTCAACCATCAGTTTGGCTTTCTCTCTATCCTGTGGTTTTTTTCCCCATCTCAGCAGGAAGTAGAGTTGGCCAGCCATGATGATAAACAAAGAAGGATTCAGCATTTTACTTTTCTTCAACTGCAAGGCCAGTTGCCTGCCCATCCCTGCTGCCTTTTAGCAAAGATGGCATGTCTTTATCTTTCTTCATTCAGCTCTGTATCCTCTCACAAGGCTCAGGGATGTCCCCAAAGCTCACCTTCCCACTCAAACCTGGCTGTTCCACAAGGATAATAGCTTCCCTCCTTTGAATGACAGGCCTACTTCCGGCAGGCTCCATGTTACCTGAGCTCTGCAGAGGCACGGATCTGCTTCCAGCCGCCTCCCTTAACCAAGTTTGACCCGACTGCACTTACCAGGAGCTGGGCTATTTTCAAGTTTGATGTATATTTTCATTTCTAATTTTCAAAAGGTATTTTAGTTGTTTTCAGCCAGTTTCACAGGGAAGAGTGAGGCCAGATGTCTTGACTCTGCCACTCGACTGAAGACCCTGATGTGGCCAAGAAATGCTTCTGGATCCATTTCTTCTAAAAGTGGATTTCATAAATAATGTGATCTAATGAGAGATGATCTCATGGAAACATGGGTCTTGGCTGAATGCAAATGGAGTTTTAGACAATAAAGTTTGAGAATCTTTGGTGTGGTCCAAAAAGTGCCATCTCCATAGCTGAGACAGTATCAGAGAGCCCTGAAACAGCAGCAGTCATCTGCTGGTGTGAGCTGGGATCTTCATCACACCTTCTTACTTCACCTCAAAACAAGCCAGGCGGCCACTTCAGAAAAAGTTCCTCACTGTTCAGTATCACTGAACAAAGGATGCCTCAGAAGAGTCAATGAGCCCCCAAACCTTTTAAAGTTTATAATTGTGTATGTGTTATTATAAGATTTTTGTTAAATTGAGTTGTAATTCTCTCTTGGCCTATTGTTCCTATAGTTTTTAAGATGAAAGAACTAAAGTGAACAACTGTTTCTTGTGCATTACTCTTTTAAAATATTCTTTTCAGAGATAATATTGAGAAGTGGTGGGAGAATATATTTTGAAAATAAAAGAGACTCAGGCTTTAGTCAACATGAAGAATTGCTGTGCTTGTTGCAAAGAGGCAATGACCTCATGCCGGGAGGATGCACAGCTAACTCTTACAGAGCACTTCCTATGTGTGCCTCACTCAGTCTCCTCAACAGTGCCTCCTAGAGAGGTTCTATTACATTATCCCCATTTTACAGATGAAGAAACTGAGTCACAGTAAGCTTAGGTAATTTGTCCAAAGTTGTAATAATAGCATGCCGAAGACTGGAACCCAGGCAGTGGAATCACAAAACTAAAGCCCACATAAAACAAGCAAAGAGCATTCAAGTACTAAATAGAATGGCACTAAATTTAAGTCTAGTTTTCCCCCACTCATTTTTAGAAACTCCTCTCTTGAAGATTACTCCATAATCTTCTAGTCACTAAATACACAGGCATTTCTAAGATCTTATTTTCTTCTGTCTCTCTGAAGCTTTTGTTACTCTTGAACAAAACTTTCTTTATGAGGTGAAAGGCATCACTGCAGCAGAGAAACTTGCACTTGACCCTAGAGTAGTCAATAGGGAGCTATTGAAGATCCTTGAGCAAGGGAGCAATGGGCTTAAAGTGGTCCCTTAGGAGGATCAGCATGGCAGGGTGATTCAGGAGAGTCCGACTGGACTGGGTGAGCTGGAGAGCTTCTCTAGGTAAGATCAGCCAACAGCTGCTACAGGAAATGGCATGGATTCATGACTGAACTCTAAGAAATATTCATGCTAAGAAATATTCATGTTAATCATACTTGATTAACAGAAGTAACATTAAAATACTCAGAATGATTTTTTAAAATGTCCTTATGAAACTTATTTTCTTAGAGTTCAAGGCTACCATGGAGAACATGGTATGGTCAATTACTCAGTGTTTCCTTTGTCAGGATCCACGGGAAAATATCTCTCAGGTTGTGCTGCTCCTGAGCAGTTTTATGGTGTGTTATCAACTCTGAGTCCCACAGGTGCACATGGGCCCTCTTTGTAGTTCCTGCTAGGAAGCTCAGAAGGAAATGCATGACTTCTAGGGAAAAGGGACATGCAATTTTATAGCTGGCCTTTGTGTCCTCACCACAATCTTGGCTCCATCTGTGTTTTCTTCTTGTACTCACCTTTTGCCATATTTTCTCATTTACTTTGGAATTAACTCGTTTTACCATGCCATATGTATTTTTTTAAAGACAGGGTCTCCCTCTGTCACCCGGGCTGGAGTGCAGTGGTGTGATCATAGCTCACGGCAGTCTTGAGCTCTTAGGCTCAAGCAATCCTCCTGCCTCCATCTCCCAAGTAGCTAGGACTACAAGCAGGCACCATCACATCTAGCTAATTTATTAGGTTTTCAGTAGAGATGAGGTTTCACTACGTCGCTCAGGCTGGTCTCAAACTCCTGAGCTCAAGCGATCTTCCTGCCTCAGCCTCCCAAAGTGCTGGGATTATAGGCATGAGCCACTGCACCCAGCTCCCATATGTATCTTTGAAAGATACGGTAAATATTTGTAGAAGACAGAAGGGAGAGAGAGAAAGGAGAAGAGAAATGAAACTTTAAAACAAGAAACATGATTCAAGCAAACCAACTCTAAGAAGACGTGTATTTATTTATTTGTTTGTTTCAGAGACAGGGTCTTGCGCTGTTGCCCAGGCTGGAATGCAGTGGTGCCATTAGCTCACTGCAGCCTCAAACTCCTGGGCTCAAGGAATCTCCTCCCTCAGTCCCCTGAGTAGCTCCCTGATGGCACTACAGGCATGTGCCACCACACCTGGCTGATTTTCCTTTTTTTTTTTAGAGATAGGATCTCACTATGTTGCCCAGGCTGGCCTCTAACTCCGGGCCTCAAACAAGCTTCATGCCTCAGGCTTCCCAAAGCACTGGGATTATAGACAGGAGCCACCATACCCAGCCAAAGAAGATATTTTTTAAGACAATTGAGAAAACTGGAAAATGAGTATTATAATTGATTATAGTAAGGAATTGTTATTAATTTTCTAGGTGGGATAATGGTACTGTGGTTATTTTTTTAACTTCTTATCTGTTAGCAATACACAGCGAACTATTTATAAGTGAAATTATATATGTCTGAGATGTTCTTTAAATTACTCCAGAAAAAAATAGGAGGTAGAAATTAGGGGAGAAAAACATAAAAATAATTTTTAATATGACAAACTGTGAAGATGATGGCATTTCTCACAGCAATAATGTATTTGAGAAAAGGCACGGAAATTCTAAGAGAGTCAGAGTGCATGGCTCCTTACCTGATTCTGTAGACATTTGGCTACATTTTTAGCACATGCCTAAATGGTCTGTTTGCATTTGAGAATGGATGCATTTGAGTCATGCAATGTTTAACAAAGTTAATAGCTGATCCTAAACTTTAGATTTTAGTGAGGAAAACAGGGAGGAAAAGAACAGATATTCATTAAACCCTTAATTTATTTCAGGCACCATACTCAGGGCCTTCCTTCACATGCATTATCTAAGTTTTTCCAACAACCTGGTTGGAGAAATATCCCCTTTCTCCTCTCCATTTTTCTCTCCTCCCCTCTTTCCTGAGTGATGGGTGGGAACTGGACCTGGGTAAATGCCTGGCTCCTTCTCTGACCTGTTGGAAGCTGTTATAGTTGGCCCTGACGTCAATGATATTAACAGTGAACATTGACTTTTCTCATCTGTGAGCCAGAAAAGCTTTGTGGGCCAGCCAGAATGATGTCACACAAGACAAATCCTACTTCAGAGTGAGAGTCTCTGTCACCAGCTATGTTTTCAGAGCCATGTGAGCCACAGGGTGAGTCCCAGAAAGAAAACCACCAGGGGGGTGAAGGATCTGGACTATGGAGCCAAATGACGACGTTGGTGTGAATCTTAGTTCTTCCACACCCTGTGCGGTAACTTATCATTTCTGCCTGTATGTCAGTTTCTTTGTCTGTATAACGGAGATAACTGCAGTACTCATTCCATAGGCTGCCATAAATGTTAAACATGTTCATACACACAGTGTTTGATGCAATGAGAGGTGCCAAGAAGCTCTCAGTAAGTGTTGGCCGTTGTTATTATTAATATCATCATTATGATTATTTTCTAACTTATAGCCTTTTTGTCCTCTAAAATTAGATACGATCATATTTTGGAGAATAAGTTTGTTGCTTCTAAAAGTAAGAATAAGCCTGCTTACGTTGAATACTGTAAAGCAGCATTGTTCCAATAAAATAGGATGTGAGTCACATTTGCCATATTAAATTTTCTAGGATTCACATCAAAAAAGCAAAAAAGGTGAAGCAAACTTTAATAATGTATTTTATTTAATCGAATACATCCAGAACATTGTCATTTAATGTATAAAAATATAAAAATACCAAAGAGCTATTTTACACTCGTTTTATATACTAAGTTTTCAAAATCTGGTGTGTATTTTACACTTGCAGTTCATTTGGACTACACACATTTCAAGTGCTAGACAGTGCAGTCAGAAAATGTGCACCTACACTTCACAACAGGGGGCAGCAAGCCTTTAGAAGGAAGACCTCTGAGGCAGGCAGGGTCAGGTGGCAACCCCTGGTCGGCTACAACTCCCTGGGAGTTAGTGAGTACCTCAAGTACCTGGCTGAGCTTGTGCAAAGTGACACAAGCTCACTTTGCACAAGTGAGCACAAGTGGCAGGTGAAACCATATTGTTGAACCTTAGCTTCTTCTAGAAAGCCAAAGAAGGGGGATAAAAAGGCTCATAGAAAGACCTGTTAAACAAATTATCCTAGTTTTTAAATTTGCACAGGGGTCCAAGCGTGGCAACAGGCCCCTAGGCCAGTGAAAATCATCTCCCAATCAATATGCTGAGGCTGCCTGTGTTCAGAGCAGGCAGGAAATCTCAATACCAGTATTAGTAATAATTTCTGCTTTTCATGGGCTTCTGTTGAGTACTTGCTCTGTGCCAGCACTGTCCTGGGCACTGTGGAAATAGGCATGAATATAACCCTGACCCCAGGGAGTCTGTGTTCTTGTGGAGGGGGCCATGTGAGAAGTGCTGTAACTAAGGTCCAGACTCCACATCACCACGTGGAAATAGGAGGCAGCAGCGAAGCCTGCACTGGATGATCAGTGCACGAAAAAGTCACCAAATGAGCCACCTCATGGCTCACCTTTCGGCTTGGCTTGTAAAGAATGGGAAGTCAGAGGCCACTTGAAAGAATGGATATGGGTAGGAAAGAACATTCTTGGCAGAAGGAAGAGCAGGAACCCAGGTCCAGAGGAATGAGGGGTGCCCTAGGCATTGGCACACAATGACAGGGATCTAATGGTTCTTTCTCTTGTTTGGGACATAGGGGGACAAGTGATGGAGAGCCCCACTGCTCATTAAGTTGATGGATGTTAGAAGGTGGCAGCACACAGGACAGGCATAGGTGACCCTGGAAGAGCCAGGGCCAGTTTCTGACCCCTCTCCTTTCCCTCAAGGTCTATTTCATGGGTCAGTTTCTGAGGAAGGCTTTCCCTGAACCCCTCAGGCAGCTCTGGCCACTCCCTCCTGGATGATAATGATCGCACAGCCTTGACCATCCTGTGGGCAGCCCCCATGTGACAGGGAGCCCATGGAAGGTATTGTGTCCCAGGCACTGAAAGTGTCTTTCACAAAGGAGATGTCCAATAAATATTTTTGAATTGACTTCACAATTTCAAAAAACATTTGTTGAATATTGAATTCATAAAAATAGCCAGCATGTACACTTGGTATATTCATGTTTGCATTTAAATCATCCATTTGGTGGCTTATCTGCTGAATGGAACATCTAGTTCCTCAATCTCATTTTCAACTCTGAGCTATTTTATGATAGCTGTGCCAATTTTCAACCTACAGGATGACTTAGCAGTATTTACCAAGGCCTTCAGCACTGTGGATAGAATTCCACTTATTCTTACCCCTTTTTTGTCTTCATCGGGTGGGCATACTGTCACCTGCCTGACGTGCACAGGTTTGCTTTGACCATAAAATGAGATGCTGTGTTGGAAAATGCTTTGCGAAAGAAAATGTGCTCTTTGAAGGCAAGATGCTGTTGTTGCTGGTATCTTAGGATCCGGGGCTGCCACAGGACATGTGATGGCTTTGGGGCTTCCATTTGATGTGGGTTTTCTTAGGAACTTATTTTCAGTGGTTGTCTCAGAGACGCCACAATTTCTCTCTAGTATGCTGTCCCACATAGCCATATGCCCAAGAACCAGGGTTATGTTCAATGGATTGGAAGAGGAAATAGGGATCCTGCTTTCCTTCCAACACAGGAAGAAGATAACACTGCAGCTTTGGGGCACAAAGAACAAGCCCACTATGTGCCTGACACTGAGACAGTGGCTTCATATTCATGATATCTAATGCTCACAAAAGTCTTGTAGGAAGGTATTAATATTATTCCTTTACATATGGAACAATAAGCCCCAGCAAGAGTACAAGACTTCCCCAAGGTACCACAGCTAAGAAATGGTGGAGCCAGTATGGGAATAGAGGTCTGAATTACTCCAAAGCAATTTTGATTAACCAAAAGCCTCTGGAAGGTTCACTTTCATCATTTGTAAAATAGACTGAATAATATCTAATAGGAGTGAAATGTTTCAAGACAAAGAAAGTAGTTTTCCTAACAGTAGAAGGACATGCATGGGGTAACAACACTAACAGCAATAATAGTTATCTAATGCTTCACCCTTTTCACAGTATGTCTGCATATATCTTCTGTAAGCAAGATGACGCTTTGCATTCTGAAAAAGATATCCTAATGGTTACAGCCATTGGAATCCTTACATGCATTTATATGGGGAAAGAAAATCCCCTCCTGGACTTTCCTGGAGGGCAATGTAATGCGAAGGTGAAGGGCACAATCCCCAGAGTCAGACTCTGCCCTTACTGACTGAATGACCCTGGGCAAGCTATCTAACCTCTCTGTGCCTTAGCGGTAGATAAATACACAGCCTCCCTTGTGGGCTGATTTGAGATTAAATGAGATAATATGTGTGAAGCACATAGTAAGTCCTAGATGTTGTTGTCAGCAATGATTAGAGATATGCTAAACAGGACTGCTGGGCTTTTTGTACAGGTGAGATTTCTCCCCTCATTTTAATTTCCTCCTCTTTCCTCTCCTCCCAAACTCCAGCAACTGTTTACAGAGCTTGTCTTTATTCCTTTCCATTTTGGTGATAATAGCAGGCCAATAGATCATTTCCAAAAGCAATAACTTCATGACTACATGTAAGATTTGCTGTTTCATGTGTTAACCAGATTGAATAATTCACCTCCCCTACATCTATTAAAAAGTGATGTATTTTTATGTATTATTTTGCTAGATAGCAGAAATGCATGTTTCCTCTCCAACTTCATCAATCATTTTGAAACCCAACTGATGAGATCCCCGACTGAGGAACTGAGGGGTGATTTACTCCACATTAGTGTTTCCAACTCAGTCTCCAATGTATCTGCTGAAGATAACTTGCACCTAGAAATCTGGAAAGACATTTTGGCGCAATTTTTAAAGAAATTATTATCTATGAGGGACTAAACTAATGGAAGAGCAAGGTGGCAGAGGAGGAGGGATGGAGACAGGAATTCTGAAAAGCAACACAAAATTTGTGGGGAGAATGCCTAGTAGGTCTTCAATGTGATTCTCATGAAATGTGAGAGTCACATTCCTGATTGAGATTAGAGCTTCCATCCTTGTAATCAATACTCACTCCTTTCTCCAGAGAACATGGGGACAAGATGAACATTATCTAGAAACTGTTGTACAAGAAATATCAAAGTTTTAGTAAAATCCTTGAATGGGCAGAGAAATGCACCTGGCCCAGTGCTGTTCAGGGGAAGAATTGGAGGCAGCTGATTGCTCTGCATAAGAAAATGGCAGAAGTTGGTGAGCAGGAGTAGGGGGGATGTTCCTGAGAAATAAAGAGAGAGCAAAAGAACCAGAGCTCTTTTAACACCAGGAATTCCAGGCACTGTTGCAATATAAACCCCCTCCAGTTCCCCAAACCCTCAGTAAAGTCTGGCATAAATACGTTCTTTTGTGGGTTTTGTTGTTGTTGTTAGTATTTGAGAAAATCATGGAAAAGGGCTATATTCCATGAACCAGTGGCAAAGGCAAAAGACTAAGCAACTGCCCTGAGACAGAGCAGAGAAGCAGATGCAATGAAGACTGGAAGACGGAGCCAAATGTGACCACGAGGATATAGGAGCTTCTGACATTTGTAGAAATCATGATGCAGCTGTCAGAGTTCACAGGGTTTGGAATGGGGATTATCTACTCTTAAGAACAGCATGTCACCTACAAACATTTAATTTGGACACCTTAGGTGGAAAAAACATGCCCACTGAAAGCTCTACTAAGGCTTTGACATTTCTTGTCCACCAATTTCTAGATAATGTTCATCTTTGTCCCTCTTCACTAGTGGACACCTAAGTCAGCTTGTGCTCTTCCAAATGGGGAAGAAAACCATTTGGAAGGGTGTCCATCCAGAAGTAGTAGAAAACTAATAATAATCAGGGAGATTATTTAACTAAATTGTCAAATGATTCCAGCACTGTTGATTTTGCCATAAATCTTCTTAATTATAAATAATAAAACCAAGATGCAAAAAATAAAACAAGTATCATCAAACTGACTCTGAAGAAAAGCAAAGACACTTAAATAAAAGGGAACGACAAGATTTTTAAAGCAACCTCAGAAACTCTCAAAACTGCCCTAGAAGTCCGTGATGAATTATTCAAGTTGGATGTGAGTTCTGTGTGGGGAAAGGTCAAAAGGATAGTTTTTGTTAAAGCCTATCCCCAGACTGACTTTGACAGCTGCTGGCAAAGCTCCGCTGTCGGCTGGGAGTTAACTCACCAGGACCCACCTGCTGCTGTGGCCCATTTAGCAATGAGGAATAAGGCGGGCTGGATGCAGCCTCAAACATCAAAGGTGTGAAAAGACTTGACTCCCTTACCTGGACACTAGGGTTGGGCATGTGATGTGGAGATAACAGATGTTATGATGCTGTGCCGCCGTAAGGAATACAGAAGATATTCAAACCCTTGAAAATGAAAAGGTCTATGCAATTCTAAGTATTCCTTTAATTAGATTATTATAACTTGTTAAAGTTATTTTCCATGTGGTAATCTTACTAGTAAAAAAAGAAAATCTGGAAAAGTTGTCTTGGGTTTCCTTACATGTTATACAGCTTATATTTTATGGCTGTGAGGTCATAGCTGTGAAATATCCCCCTTTGACAACTTGACTATGATGTATGTATGCTCTTATATTTCAGTAGCTCAGGGTGATTTTTCAGCTGTATAAAAAGTTCATTTCATTCCATCACTGCTGATATCATCTGCATTTCCATTTCACCCATGAAATGCAAAATGCCAGAGAGTTGGGGATACCATTTGGGACAAGTTGTGAAACAGTACAGATTAATAAGAAGGTAACAGAAATAACATAGGCATCTTAATATACCAATACTAATAATTTAAATGCCTCGCATTTCATTGGCATCAGACTTTTTCAATGTGCTTTCTCATTTGTGGGTGGCTCAACTTTTTGATAAAGTGAGATAGAAGTCTCTTTGTTGGGAGAAGTTGAAGCAACTGCTGCTGCTATCTAAAATACAAATAGTGGCTCAGAACCTTCCTTCTTCTTCGCCTTCCATTGGCTGCAGTGGCCCCAGCACCACCATGGCTGGCCTCCAGTCCTAATTCACTGAGATGTCCAGAAAGAATAATGGTAGAGCATGCTGGCAGCAGTGAACATCTCAGGAATATATAAAAAATAAGAATTCAAGAAAAAATGGCAGCTGGCAAATGCCACTGGAAAAATCTGATCATGTCTGTATGCCTGGTGACATCTATGCTAATGTTATTCTTTTAAACCAAAGACAA
Source organism: Homo sapiens (assembly GCF_000001405.40). Classification (NCBI taxonomy): domain Eukaryota; kingdom Metazoa; phylum Chordata; class Mammalia; order Primates; family Hominidae; genus Homo; species Homo sapiens. Next base: position 50,607,526 of record NC_000013.11, on the reverse strand, counting down.
AGAAATACACAGAGAGAGAGTCATTATGGCTTTCTTTATAATAGCAAAACAGCAAGAATCCAATGAGGATTGAGTTAAATAAATTATTACACACATTGTGCTCTAGCTACACAATAAAATGTTGCACAGCCATAAAATTCACACCTTAGCAGAATATTTACTGAAAGAGGGAAATATTCATTATAAAACATTTTGTAATACACTTAGAAATTCATATAATTATAATCCAAATTTGAGGTACATATGAACATAGCTGTATTAAAAATAATAATTTTTGTAATTATCAAAATTTCTGCAATGAACATCTAAGAAAATGTAAAATTTCTTTTCCTGGTATTTTATTATCCCTCTTGGCTGATTTGGTCAATCTCAACAGTTAAGGTTTTTAAAATATATATATAAATTTATTTATATATAAATACATATATATATTTATATATATAAATATATATAAATTTATTTACATATAAATATATATATTTATTTATATATAAATATATATATAATTTCAACTTTTATTTTAGATTCAGGAGGCACACGTGAAGGTTGCTTATATGGGTATATTATGTGATGCTGAGGTTTGAGGTATGATTGATCCTGTCACCCAGGTAAGGAGTATCACATCCAATAGTTAGTTTTTCAACGTTTGACCCCACGCAGTATTCCCCAGTGTCTATTGTTTCCATCTTTAAGTCTATGAGTACCCAATGTTTAGCTCCCAGTTACAAATGAGAACATATGGTATTTGGTTTTCTGTTTCTGTGTTATTAATAATTCGCTTAGGATAACAGACTCCTGCTGCATCCATGTTGCTGCAAGGGACAAGATTTCATTCTTTTTTTATGGCTGCATAGTATTTCATGGTGTGTAGGTACCACATTTTCTTTATCCAATCTACCATTGATGGGCACCTAGGTTGATTCCATGTCTTTGCTATTGTGAGTAGTGCTGTAGTGAACACATGAATGTACATGTCTTTTTGGCAGAATGATGTGTTTTCTTTTGGATATATATCCAGTAATGAGATTGCTGAGTCGAATGGTAGTTCTGGTTTTAAGTTCTTTGAGAAATTTCTCAGCTGCTTTTGACAGTAGTTGAATGAATTTACATTCCCATCAATAGTATATAAGTGTTCTCCAGAAAATGTAAAATATTAAAAGCATAATTTTACTTCACTGTTTGATGAATTTTTAAATGTATACCAAGACTGAACTTTCAAGTTTTAGGAAACTGAGAATGCAAGCTGGACTTTTCCTTTAATAAAGATTATCAGAATATCACCATCATAAGAGAAATACCAACAGATGACCATAGCCTGCCACACTATTAGCCTCCTTAGCCTCCTCATCATTAGCCTCCTTTCTAGTAATATCAAAGGATGAATATCTGGGCCCTCTTTTTAATATGGCATAGGTGTTTGTTTCTTATTTCCCCCCTCCTTCGAATACAGGGAATTAAACTCTTTTAAGAAGTCAAAACTTTTAGAATACTTTCTATAAATATAAAGGTCTATATCCAGCCAGGCGTGGTGGCTCACACCTGTAATCCCAGCACTTTGGGAGGCCAAGGTGGACGGATCATGATGTCAGGAGTTCAAGACCATCCTGGCCAACATAGTGAAACCCTGTCTCTACTAAAAATACAAAATTTAGCTGGGCATGGTGACATGTGTCTGTAATCCCAGCTATTCAGGAGGCTGAGGTAGGAGAATCACTTGAACCAGGGAGCTGGAGGTTGCAGTGAGCCAAGATCATGCCATTGCACTCCAGCCTGGGCAACAGAGCAAGACTCCGTCTCAAAAAAAAAAAAAAAAAAGTCTATATCCAACAAGAAGGAAATGGATAATCTATCTGGTCTGGGAAGGGCCCGCATTGGCCCAAACCACTCATTGATAATCTTATGTTTCTTAGGAGACTCTGATTCTCTGGGTAAAAATGTGTTTAACTCGAGAACATGAGAATGCAGCTAAGACAGGCAATTCTTCATTAATTGGAGGCTAATTATGTACTTTCTCCATCATCTCAAGTCTGACTGTCCCCTTTCCCTCCCCTTCAAGCTGCTGGCAACCTTAACTCTACCATAGGATGGGGCCCAACTAGCCCCAGTGACCATGCTAAACAGCAGGTACAAGGGACCTGTATAGGCCTGAATCAGTCTTTGTGTGCTTGGGAAGTATAGACTCTCCTAAGGAATAGATTGGAAAATGACAAGGTAAGAAAGTCCTGGACTAAAGAACAAAGGATGCTTTGGAAAAACAGGATCAGGAGTGTCCTGAGAGAGGACATTCACCAAACAGTGAGGTACAATTATGCCAGAGAGAAGAGAGAAACCTCATCAACGTTCCCTTAACTTATGAGTGCATGAAGCATGGGTTTGATCCATGTTCTCCAATCCTATAGTCAGGCTCTGGGTGCAATTACTATGGGGAAGTCTAATAAATTTAAGTTTTTTTTTTGTTTTTTTTTAGATGGAGTCTTGCTGTGTTGCCAGGCTGGAGTGCAGTGGCGTAATCTCGGCTCACTGAAAGCTCCGCCTCCTGGGTTCAAGTGATTCTCATGCCTCATCCTCCTAAGTAGATGGGATTACAGGCATGCACCACCACACGCAGCTAATTTTTGTATTTTTAGTAGAGATGGGTTTCACCATGTTGGCCAGGATGGTCTTGATCTCCTGACCTCGTGATCTGCCCACCTTGGCCTCCCAAAGTGCCAGGATTACAGGCGTGACCCACAGCACCCAGCCTGGACGTTTGTTAAGTGCAAACTTTGTTAGGTAGTAAGAGGAGGAAATGAGAAGGCAGTCTGCCTGTCTTCATGGTAAAAAGTGCAAAACAACATGATCCAATCAGCATTTCCATGTGGGGCCCTCCCATCTCTCCTGGACCCCCAGCTTTGAGGGCTGCCCTCTCCAATCTCCCACCTGAATCTGCATCCAGTGAAGAGTAGCTCATGCTTCAGAGCTCTCCTTTTAATTTCCCCTGTTAAAACATCCAAAGCCCCTTTCTTCTGTAGTAGCTAGACTGAAAGAAAAATCTCATGAATTAATTCTCACTTACAGGCTGATAACTAAGAAGTAGTTACAAGTTTTGACAGATGACAAAACAGACCCGAAGAGTTTAAACTACTTGCTCGATTGCACATAATGGGCCAGAGGAGACTCCATGACCCTTATTACTTGTCCAGTGATTCTCCTATGTATCCTTAACATAAAGAACTCTATGAAACCAAGAATTTTCACCCAAAGGAATGAGTTGTTTCCTAAGGCAAATTTTCAGGCATTTAGTTTCACACATGAAAAAAATATTTTGGATCAATGGAATTTTGGGGCTTTTATTACACCACATAATTCTATCCTACCTATGTTTAGGACTACACTTGGCACCCCAAAATTCAAAGTTTGCTTTCAGGCACAAAATCCACATATCGGAAACTGAATGACTTAAAAGAGGGGAGCATGTGTTGGTGGAAAGCAGTAGAGAACTAGGAGTTGAGAAGCTTTGTTTGGGGGCCAACTCTATTAGCTCCCGACTATGTGACTTTAGGCAGGAAACCCAGGCAGAATTGCCTTGAGATGGAAAAGGGAGAGCTAGTGCAGATCACAACTGGCACAGAACATGGATTTCTCCAGTTACATCTTAATTTACACTCAACCAGATATGAGTGCCCATTGATGCATGGATGGGGCCAGCCCTGTGCCTGAGGAGGTGGAGGGGAGTTTGGATCATAATCCCAAAAGACATAATCCCTAACACCATCATCCTGAATGTCGAAATACCCAAAGATCAAAATCCCTAAACAGAAGATGGGAAAATGCAATATGGGATGCCCAAGTCGGTATATAACAAATCATAGAAGAATTTCAAAAAGAGCAGTGCCACAGAGAAAATGAATGTGAACATATTCTCCAAAGAACAGCCATATCCCTAAAGAAAGAAAGCAGCTACTCATCATGATGCAAGCCTTCAAAATGTAGTTAATCAGACTGTGTGTGGTGGCTCATGTCTGTAATCCCAGCACTTTGGGAGGCTAAGGTGGGAGGATCACTTGACGCCGGGAGTTTGAAACCAGCCTGGGCAACATAGTAAGACCCTGTCTCTACAAAAAATAAAAAACAAAAATTAACCAAGCATGGTGGCACATGCCTATAGTTCCAGCTACTCAGGAGGCTGAGGTGGGAGGATCACTTGAGCCCAGGAGTTCAAGGCTGCTGTGAGTCTTGATCATGCCACTGCACTCCAGCTGGGGTGACAGAGCAAGACTTAGTCTCAAAAACTAACAAACAAAAAAGGTAATGATCGCGAAAGCTGGCCAGCTGCTATGTACCATCTCCTTGAAATTGCCCATAATCTATCCCTGTAATATACTTTTTCATATGTCAAACTTTTAAAAATTTTTTTAGGGCTTTTTTGTTTTTTCTTTTTGCTTTTCCTTTGTTTAATTTTTTTTTGACTTTTTAAAATTATCGGCACTATGTTTTACAATTCACTGTGTAGCGTATTACATCTCTGCATAATTTCCAACAATAGAGGTAAAGATGTTTAGAGACTTTAGAGTTTTAATTTGTTTCATGCATATTTTGCAAATTCAACTTTACAAAAGTGCATTATCGCAATATTGACTTTGTATGTAAGACTTGTGTGGCATGTAAAAACATGCACAATGTTTTTACATTAATTATCTCCTCAGTAAATGAAGAGACATCCTTTTAGTACATCTGTGTTTGTGAAAGATAAAACGTCTCAAGATCTTGGCTCTTTGAGCGATTGCATATGCAGTGGTGACCATCTCAGCTTTTGATTTCAGATGAACTCAGTTATGAAGCTGGGTACACGCCATTACCAACCATAATGATATGCATTTACACATTTTGCTTTTTGACCTATTTCTTTATGAATATGGCTCATCTACTAGTAACTGTTATATCCATGCTGCTATTGTTAGTGTACCTGTGCTTATGCTGGCAAAAATATGTATGTTATTATTGCGTATCTTATTGTGCAAAGTGGCCTATGAAGTTTTCTGTGGTGTTTCTACGTGTTTCTCAAGTTAGTTCCCCTTTAAAGTGTGAATAAATATATTTTAAGGAATATTTTAATATTTTTTTCCAGAACGATATTTTTAAGATTTCGATATTTTTGGGATTTCAACATTTGAGATTACAATGTTGGAGATTGTGTCTTTTGGGATTGTGATTGGCTCTCAGTGGAGAGAAGTCCTGCAGCTCTTAGCACCTTCATAGAGGCATCTTACAATGCCACCCTCATCTTCAGGGAGTTTGTCCTCCCTCACCTTTTATATTTTGAGCCTTAAAGTCTCTGTTTTTGCAGAATATTTGAGTAGCTTGATCACCTGGTTAAAACCCTCTCCCAGGCCAGGTGCAGTGGCTCATACCTGTAATCCCAGGGCTTTGGGAGGCCTAGGTGGGTGGATCACTTGAGGTCAGGAATTCGAGACCAGCCCAGTCCTGACCAACATGATGAAACCCCGTCTCTACTTAAAATACAAAAATTAGCCGGGCGTGGTGGTGGGCTCCTGTAATCCCACCTACTCTGGAGGCTGAGGCAGGAGAATCGCTTGAACTCGGGAGGTGGAGGTTGCAGTGAGCAGAGATTGCACCACTGCCCTCCAGCCTGGGCGACAGAGTAAGACCTTGTCTCAATAAAACAAAACAAAACAAAAAATAAAACCCTCTCCTAGCAGGCCTGGACACCTTCAGACAAATACATGAAAATAGTCTGTGTCTATTCCTCTGGGAGGCATTGGTTTTTACTGATTCTTACACAGCTTCCATAGCCTCGTTTGACTGTCTTCCACCATTTTGGGTTGATAATATTTATGTACAATTTTATTCTTTTATAAAACTTACAACTTGCTAATGTTTATTTTTCCAATTTAAAAAAGTAACACATATTCACTTTGGAAAATTTGGAAAACAGAGAACAAAGAAAAATAATAGTTTCCTGTAATCCCACTCTCACAGAGCACCACTTTTAATGTTTTGGTGTTATTTCTTTTCAGTCTTTATTCTCTGGATATAATATATGTTTAACTTAGTTGGAATCAATTTTATATCCAACTTATTTTTTTCATTTGACATGTTGTCATACATAGATGTATGGATATTCATTAACACAATGTTCTTGATCACTCTAGGTCAATATCTAGACCTATTGTAGCAATTCTATTGCTGCAATATGCAAAGAGATGTTCAAATAATACCTTGAAAACAGCATAACCTCTCTAGCTCTCAGGCTCTTCATCAATAAAATATAAAATACACAATGTTGATCTACAGGGTCCCCAATAAAATTCTTTAAAAATAGGATATGAATTTGGAGGGACATCCTTTCTACCAGGACTCTGCCACAGGGACCCTAACCATAAGCACCAAGGACTTGCCTAAAGAGTCCAAGAACAAAGCTCTTTGGTCCATCGTAGATATAGACCCAGCTGACATAAGAAACCAAGACTGGCATAATTTTGTTCTTGGTGAGTAAAGCCTGAGACAAGTGAACTATTTTCACCATGGAAACTCCAACTCCTGCCATTTCAGATGCCATATATTACATCTTTCTGGGATACTAGTTTCATGTTGTCATGAAAGGACAGTCAGGATAGTGTAGCATAGCTTGGAGTTTTCCTCTAAAAGGCTCATTTCCATATTGTTAGCTGTTTGTTGTTGTTTGGCTGGTTTCAGCAAGTCCCCCTGATTGTTTTGACTGTCCTTGTTTCATTTGGTTCCTGACTTTCAGCTCTATTTACTTAGCATTATATCCTCTTTATTTAGGCCACCTCCTACCCTAACCTTGTTTTGTCTTTTTGTCTTATTCCAAAAAGGCTTCAGAATCCTGACAAAACAATCATCTCTCACCAGGCCCTTTGCTCTGTGTAAGGCTGGAAAACAACTTCTGAGCAATCTCCTTTTCCTCTTTAGTAACAATAGACCTTTTCTGATTTTATGCAGAACTTGGGAAAATGTTTAATTTCAGAAATGCCTCAAAAGGAGTGGAGGAAGTGAATTTGGGACTTAACTCTTTCTTCCAAGGCTTAGAATCTTCAAGTTGTACCTACAAACCCCTGGAAATAATTTTACCTGAAAGCACACCATTTCTCCAGTAGTATAGTTAAACGTGGTGTCACTTTTATAAAAGCGCCCCAATATGAATTTTCAGTATAATTACTCAGTTTCGCTTTTGTGTTCACTCTTTCCTAGCAGGTTGAGAACAGATGACTTGAAAGAAAATGGTAGATACATAAGAACATATCTAGTTTCCAGGGGTGGTACTGGACCTTGGTAGATCAGATGGGGCCAAAATCTTTCCTCCACTAAAAGTGCTCTTTGGAATTAAACCGTCTCACCAGAAGGCCTTATTACAAAGCACACATGCTTGTCAGCAATCTGGTGAACTACATTCCTTCACCTGGGAGGCACAGATAACCATATGGCAAAGGACGAGGATAGATAGTATTTCTACTAGGAAAGAGACACAAACTTGGGAGAAATAATACCATCTATCAAAATTGCTTTTATAACAGTAGTAATTTAATGGTACATTTTCTTAGCTCCAGTTTACTTTGATGTATTGAAGATATCAATAATCATTGCACAGATTGTTTTTAAGATTAAAGGAACACATGTATTTAAAAAGACTGCCTCAGCACCTGATACATTATAGAAGTTTAATAAATAGTGGTTAATTAAAAAAAAAAAAAAAAGCACACATGCTGCAGGAGACAAGTAACAGGTGAGCACCTGGCATAGTTTGAGAGCAAACCAAGGTAAAAATGAAGACAGAGGAGAAGTGGGAGGGAGTCAGAGTACAGGAGCCAGCCTCAGGAGGATGAGCCCAGACTGGGCATCCCAGGAGTATGCATGTCCAGGGTGCAAAACAAGAACTAAGTTCCAAGGGTGGTACTAGAAGGGCATGAGTCTGCAAGAGAGAAGGAGGAAGGGAGACCACTTCAGAAAGAAAGCCTCTCCAAATTCTGCTGGACAGATCCTGTTCTCTGAAATGACCTTTCCCTGCTAGACTCCATCTCTAATTATCAAAAGACTGAAAACATTGAGCTCTTTCAAGGAAAATTACTACATTCACTTTTTCTTGGAAAAATGTGTTTAGATTCTTTGCTTTCTGAGCCAGAATATTGTTTAAACGACAGGATGGGATGTACTCTCACCCCATTCTCTACATTTCTATCCCTTGGGAGCCAGATGCTAAATTGTTTCCAGCCAGTTAATAATGGTGTGGTCTTGAAGCTCCCAGGGGACCCAGAGGAAACCTGCCTCCATTTCTAAGGCTCTGTTCTATGTGTTGGTTGCTGGGTAGATTCAGGTTAGTCAAATAAAGGGAGGAAATAAAGCATAGAAGTGAATTCGTCCACCGTACACCCCAACAGGGCAAAGCCACGAAGTTACCACCTGTCGACAACATACTTTCTGCTCCCACCCACCTGCATGTAAATGCCTGAAATGTGCAGTCACCTTAGTGGAAATGTAAAGGCCAGGCTGAGCCAAATGATAGGACACTTGCTTTAAGAGAGCATTCCACATGGTGCCATTGATAATTTTTCTGTTAATTTGGTCACTGATGCCATTAACAGACACTGTCTGAGGACCTACTTGATGTAGGCAACATAGTAGGTGTTTCAGAAGACACAAGGATGAGTCGTCCAAGAGCTATGCCTTGAAGGAATGCCCAACATAAGGCTTAAGGCAAGGCATGAACACAAATACAATAACCTAAAATATGTTATTTTTGGTTAGTAAGTATGTAATAATAATAGCTGTCATATATCAGCCCCTCCCCCTGTGCCATGCAGCTCAGGAGCATTATTGCTGATCATTAACAGCCACCTTGCCAAGCACATCACACATGTTTCATCAAGCGTGTCACACGTTTTGCAGACAGGGAGGCTTAAGGTCAGAGAGATTAACTTACTTGCTCAAGGTCACATGGTTAGTGTGTGACAGAGCCAGGCTCTGAACTCTAAAGCATGGGCTCTTAACACACAACACAGTGACTCTGACCCATTTTTTCTCTGTGAGATGGTCGGAACAGGTGCCCATATCATGGCAGCTCAGAGCAAGGAGAGAGAGCCTCAAGCTAGAGGAACTGAGAAAGGCTTTGTGCTCTTGAGCTGAGTCTTGAAAGATTAATAGGCTTTAGATGTGAGGAGATGAGAGAGAGAGATGGGGTGGGATGGAGAGACCTGGGAGGAAAAGGAAGCATGGAAAAAAGATATCCATGGGGAAAGCCTGTGTGGGTAGAGAGGAATGATCACAAGGTACAGGAGGTGGAATGATTCGGAAGCTGCAGGGGCAGAAGGGCAAGGGATGGGAGCCTGGAACAGCGGACCAGGATTTGAGAATACATTTTTTAAAAGCAATTGAAAGTTTCTGAGAAGGGGAATGACCCAGTCAAAGCCCACATTGAGAATGGTGGTGGGCAGATGGAAGGCGGAGAGAGGGGGAGCAGGGATGAAGGCACTGCATCTCCTGGGGTGAAGACAGCCAGTGGCAGTGGGACTTGTAAGAAGGGGACAGCTGTGAAGGTATTGAAGGAAGTAGAATCCACCAGATCAACAGCCAACGTGAGAGGTAAAGAGAAGGGACAGAGGCCAAGGATCTTTTTGTGCCTGTCTAACAGGGAGGATAACTACTAAAGTAGCCTCTAAATACATTTAAGAAATTAGTAAATTAATTAATAAATTACTAAATTAGCCTCTAAATTGGCTCTTTTTAATCACTGGCAGCGTTGTTTCTCAGAATGTTTTGACCTGTGGGCAATTTAAGTGGACCCAAGACCCTATTTAATCTCTATACTCTTGCTTATTACAAAAAAAAAAAAAAAAAAAAAGAATGAAGCTGTATTTATGAGACAATGAAATACATAAAATTCTAAAAGTAACTCGTGTCAAAAGCAAAAGACTAGGCACTGGGAAAGCATTAAAAACACGTACAATATGGCAGCTCAGGACCACCTGGAGAAACCTAGAATCACTAGTGGGCCCACGCTCCCATTGGAGAGGCCCCAATATTTACTCTGAGGCGAGTTGAGGTTGGTGGCAGTTAACACAAATTGAGTGCCACCATGTGCCACGTTTCGTTCTAAATGCAAATTCCTTTCCTGACCTATGTCCCCATCACCTACATCAGCTCCCCAGCCTCCTCTCTGAAGCCTCCCTACCCCACCTCATCCCAGAGGATCTTGCATGTAAGGCAAAGTGTTCTTTCCCACTTTATTTAAGCCAAGAGAGACACAGGCCCACACCAATCAGTGACCTCCCTGCTATTAGCTCTTGCCTGTGTTCCTCTGTGCATTGGTGAAGGAAGAAGCCCTGGGTCCCTATCTTATGATGTCCCAGCCTTTCCTTTGCCTGCACCAGCTCACAGTGGAGCCAAGCAGGGCTGTAAGTCTAGCAGACCCCTCACTGGAGTTGAGTAATTTGCAACCTTGCCCTGATTTAATCTGCAATCCAATTTGCTACTTACTCTCCCCAAGCTCTTATCAACGGTTTACATTTCCATGTGCCTTTTCTGTGCTGTATATCTGTGTTTTCAATTATGTCAGCCCAGGTGAATTAGCCTTCCATTGTTCAAGGTCAAACCTCAAGTTGTTATTTCCTGCCTATACAGCTAGTCCCTTTCCCCTCTATCCCTCTGGGGCAGTTTCTCAATTGTCGCTGGTGTTCCCAGATCCTATCTCCATCAGGTTTCATCTGTGAATTTAATTATGAAGCTATGCCCTATTTGGCTTATTTCACTCCATGGTCCAAACGTTTATTATGCATCCATTCTCCACAGGCACCCTGGTTCCACAGATATGCTAGGCATGCCCTCCGCAGCCATATGAAAATGAAAAGTTAGGAGTCCCAAAAAGGAACTAAATGCGCCTAATTTTGTTCATATTGTTGAGTCCCTTCACCTGACCAGCAAACCCTTTGATCCTGCACTTAGGCGCTTCCATGGCCACAGAGGGCTCTTCTAGCACAGGGATTGTACAGTTGTTAAAGCAAAAAGAAGGCAGAAAAGGCTAATCCAGAGCAACTCTTGAAAGCAGCCCCAAGGAGTCTTCCAGAAAAGCCTTGGTCTGCCTTCCTCCCAGGGGCTCAGCTCCAGCTGCACTTTACCTCTGCAGGTGGAGGCTCCCAGCAAGGCTCTGCTGAGGGCACTGCTGTGGCTCCCCTGCTCACACTTGGGGTCCTGTGGCTGAGTCTAGCCTTTCTTCCTCCTGCACACTGCCTGCCCCATCGCTTTGACAGAGGGGAGCCCCTCAAGTGCATCTTTGGAGGGGACAAGACACTGCTTGATATCCTGAAACATAAAGAGGCAGCATGCATCACTCAGCCACATAGCCCACATGTCACTTCTATCAGTGAAGCCTTTCAGTTTCCACCCTTGTGCTCCTGGCAAATGTGATGGCCCCGATGGCTCTTTGCTCAGTGTGATGGCCCCAGGCACCCTTTGCTCATCTTATGTTCACTTAAGTGGCTGACTGTCCCACGAGTAGAAGCCGGGAGCAGGAGCCACAGTATCTCAGTGATCTTTGTGTCCTCCACCTCTTACCTAGAACATAAGAGGTCCTCGGTAAGTTTATCAAATGACTCCCTGAACAAATGCACATTAGGGAATGTAAATCTTCTTTTCAGATACTGCTCTTGTCTCATCCACCAGTTGCCTTTAAGCAAGTCATTGGTTTTCAATTTGTGTGTGTGTGTGTGAACAAAAAGCTTCTTCACACCAAGTCTTACTTGGAAGACCCTGGCCCCCCAATATATAACATGATAATAGTGAAGTTCATCTTGTTCACATAAAATGGGGAGGCCGTGGGAGCCTCAGTACCACCCACTTGCCATCCCCTCAGCTAAAATCCTCCACATATATAAGTTCTTTTACTTTTCTCTGACTCAAGCCAAATCTTTCTCCCCTCGTGGCAGCTTCTCTCTGATCATCCCAGCCACGGGGGCCCTGCCCGTTTCTGAACTCCTAGGAGTCCTACTGTGTACTCTTGTAACATATACAGAGTTTGTACCAATGAACACTCACATTCACTAAGTCTTGCTGAAGGCCAAGTCCAGTGACATGCACTTTACATACTTATCTCATTTAATCCTCAGGGCAATCCTAGGAGGTATATACTCTCACTATCTCCACTTTACTCATGAGAAAATAGAGGCTCAGAGAGGTTAAGCAATTTGCCAGGGTCATATAGCTATGAACTAGCAGCACTAGGATTTAAACCCCGAGCTAACCCATTTACTGTTTCTACTTTTGATGTGCCATTATTTGATCTTTTCAAGTATATTGTGAACTGAATTGTAGAAACTGCATCTCTACTTCTTTCTCTTGTTGCCCGATTTTTAATACAATGCCTTTAGCAAGAGTATAATTAATAATTTCAGATTAACAAATTCCCCAAAGTATATTGTATCTTTCCTCACTTCTGCCTCCTCTAACATCTGTCTGGCTAGAGGCTGTCAGCTGCTGCATTGGCTATGGTCTCACTTTCTTTCTTCCCCGAAGAAAATTGTCTTTCTGAAGCCTGCAAAGGAAGTCTCCACTGCTGAAAATATTAAGCACTTTCTCCAAAGGCTGGAAGCTAAGCAGGAGTTTCACAGGAGGGAAAAAACAACAGTGACCCCCTCAAATGGAGAGGGGAGGCTCAAGACAGGAAATCGAAGGTAAGGTCAGAGCAGCTCCAGGGAGCAGGGAGATGGACTGAAAGTGAGACTATTTAGATTTTTACCATTTGGGACTCTCCCTGCAGTTTAACTTGACTACATTTTAAAAACAGCCAAGTAGTGAAAGCCCTGCTCTCTGTGAACTCTGGCCTCTCTGCCTGTTTGGGATGTCAGAGAAAGGCTGCACTTTGTGTGAGGCAGCCCCAAGGGGCCACCCGGTGGCCTAGGTGGGGTGATTGATTGGGAGAAGTCCCAGGGGCACCGCCTTCCCGCCACTGCCTTGCACCTGCACTGCGGATAAACAGAGGCTGTGGTCTGCAGGCCCCCCCCCACCCGCCCCCGCCTGACCTACCCCCAGCCTTCGCCTCCTCTGGGCCTCACCCCATGGGGCCCTCTTACTTGAAAATTAACCACAGGCTTAAAGTGAAAAGAGAAGAGGCCTACACTGGCCCAAAGCATAGGCAAGTGAAATAGACAGCAAATAGAGCCACAATAATGCAGGCACCTCTGCACTCGAATAATGCAGGCACCTCTGCACTCGAATCTTAGAATCTGTTCCCTCTCATGAAACTCAATTCCAGTTTTTTTGGCCTTTACTACGGTATATGTCACAAGATTGCCAAAATGTCAGATGGTTAACCACCTTTCATTCTGATTGCTGATTTGAAAAGTTTAAAGTTAATTGGGGATTTCAACAGAAGTCTTCTTTATCTTAAAGTATTTGAAACATTTATCTTTTCTTTGGAAATATAATAAATAGTCTTCAATACCAATATATTTACAACATACTTAATAACTAATCAAATTTTCTCTTTAATGACCTTTGCACTATGCACATGAGCAATGTCTTTAAAAACAAAACACACGCACAGGCATGCACACCCACAGAGCAAAACATGCTTTGAAAAAGGAAAGCAAGAGACAGGGAATAGACATGGTTAGGTGACTGTGCACACGGTTGTGCTTTCTGACTGAGACAAAAAACAAAATTGTTTTTAAGATATATATATTCTATTATTGTACTATGCACTAATGAAAGTTGCTATTGTTATAGATAGATACAAAAACTTAACACAAAACCCTTAGTAAGTGCTGAATTTAAAATGTTCAATGTTGCCTATCAATTTCCTGAGTCTCCTAAGACCTAAATCATATGGATAGCTTTTTGCCCTGCATCCTTTACTTCTTTCTCTTTCTTTAGAAAAATCAGAATAGATTATGCCACATATGGAGTTAAAAAAACACATAGTCTGAAGGAAAGTTGTCTGCAGAGAGAGAAAACAAATAAATAAATAAGTCTACAAATAAACCCAACAGCAAAAGCCACCACAAGTAAGTTGAAAGCAAGTCAACTAGAAAAAAATTGCAGATTGTATCACAAGGGATTCATTTCCTTTATACATAAAGAACTCTGACAAATCACTAAAAAAAACTTCAACAATCCAATGTAAAAAATGAGCAAAATAAATAAACGAACAGCTCACAGAAAATGAACTGAATGTAGCCATTTAAAGTATGAAAAGATGCTTACTCCTCTCAAATGGAAAGACTGAAAAAGAAGAATGTTGGGGGAATAAGCTTATGAGGGGTGAGAAGATATAAAACCTTTACAGAGGATAATTTAGCCAAATATGTCAAAATTGCAAATGCATTTACTCTTTGACCTAGAAATCCCAATTCTAGAAATTAATCCTATGTATGTTATTTTACAGGTGTGAAGTGACATACAACATTATTTACTACCACACTGTAATAGCAAAAAGTACTTTTAGAAATCCAAATGCCAGTCAACAAGGGTCTAGTTAAATGAATTACAGTTCAGCTCCACAATTTTTTATTTGAAACCCTGGGTTTTGATGTGGTTTGCATGTCAGAATGTTTTGAAATTTAGAAAGCTCATATGGGGCATTGAACCTTATATATCAGTCCTTGTATCAGTCTAAGTCACGTTTTGCCACCAAATGAGTTTGCTATTTGGTTCACAGAGGTTTGTTTTGTTTTGTTTTTAATTTTAGGAATTACAGACAGGAGATTGTAGGCATGCACATCCATACTACAGAATACCATACAGCTATAAATAAATGAAACCACAGTTTCTGCAGTGAACAATCTTTAAGATATACTGCTAAGTTACATTTTTTTAAAAAGATGTAAGCATTTATGTATAAATTGCATCACATAATAACGTCTTGGTCAATGATGAACTACATATATAATGATGCTCCCACAAGATTATAATGGAGCTGAAAAATTCCTATCTAGTGACATCATAGCCATTATGACATTGTAGTACAATGCATTACTCAGGTTTTTGTGGTAATGCTGGTGTATACCAACCTACTATGCTGGCCTTCTATAAAATATAACAAATGTGATTATGTACAGCATGTAATATCTGATAATGATAATAAATAACTATGTTACTGGCTTATGTATTTACTATACTACACTTTTTATCATTAGTCTACAGTGTAATTTTTCTATTTAAAAATAAAGCTACTATAAAACAGACTCAGACAGGTCCTGCAGGAGGTATGCAGAAGAAGGCCTTGTTATCATGGGAGATGACAGCTCCGTGTGTGTTATTGCCCCTGAAGACCTTCCAGTGGGACAAGATGTGGAGGTGGAAGAAATGTCCACCAGAAATGAAAAGGAAAAAAAATGTCCTTAAGAAATGAAAAAGTTTAAAAATTTTAAAAGTTGTAGTAAGTTAAGGTTAATTTATTATTGAAGATAATTTTTTAAAATAAATTTAGTGTAGCCTAAGTGTATAGTGTGTATACAAACTACAGTAGTACAATGTCCTAAGCCCTCAAAATCACTCACCACTCACTCATTGACTCACCTAGAGTAACTCCTAGTCCTGCAGGAGGGGGCTCTTTCTGCAGCTAGTCCTGCAGGTTCCATTCATGGTAAGGGTCCTGTATAGGTGTACTATGTTTTTATCTTTTATACTGTATTTATACTGTGCCTTTTCTATGTTTGATGTATAGAGATATGCAAGTACTTACCACTATGTTACAGTTGCCTACCATATTCAGTACAGTCACATGCTGTACAGTTTGTAACCTGGAAGCAACAAGCTACATCATATAGCCTGGATATGTAGTAGGCTACACCATCTAGGTCTGTGTAAGCACACTTTATGAGCTTACTGTAATTTTTCAAATTTATAAACTTTTTCATTTCTTAAAGACTTTTTGCTCAAGGAAATAGCCTAACAATGCATTTCTCAGGACATATTCCTATTATTAAGTGATGCATGACTATATGTGTTTGCTCATATAGGCTGGAAATGGCTCCAAAAAAAAACTGTATTTATTATTTCAGGAAATAGGAACTAGGAGTCATCTATGGACTATTGGTGGGAGGGAGACTTTTCACTATACATGCTTGCATATCCACACTATAAATAGATTACCTATTCAGAGTAAATGAATCACATTTACGCTTTCAGTTGCTAAATAAAGTATGTATATGGATTTCCAGTGGGATGATTAGGCATTATCCTCATAGGGATGTTCTGAGAGCCTTCATGGCATCCTATTAAGTACCAACTATGGGCCAGGCACTGAGCTAGGTGCATTGCCCAGATTACAGCTGGTCATGTGAGGTAAGCATTAATATGCCCATTTTACAGATAGGAAAACCAAGGTTCAGATAGAACCACACAGTAATAAGTGGTAGAGCTGATATTCATACCCAAGTCTGCCTGAGCCTGAATTCTATGACATTAAAGAACATTTCAAAAATAAGAAATAGGTGATTCTCTCTAGAGAATGTGTACAAGGTGTGACTAGAAAGTGAGCCTTTTATGGAACACAATTCTTGGGATGTTTGAGCTTCTGCTCTTCTCTGACTTCGCTGGCATGGCTCAGGCTATGGCTCCAGGGAAGCCCACAGAGCAAGAGCTCTGTGCCCCGGGCGAGGGCTGGAGAGGCAAACTCCTCCATGACAAAGAGTAGACGCCAGCCGGGGCATGGAGTCCAATGTGGGCTCCTGCTGTAGACAAGCAGTGTGGTTGGAGAATGCACTGTCCTCTTCTCCAGATTGTTCATAAGCACTGGCTGGAGAGGAAGTGGTGGGAAGGGTACAAATGGGTTTCTCTATTGAGGGAAATCTAGCTGCAGAAAGAGTCCCCTTCTGGTCTCAAGTACTGTATATTTGAAACTATAGTTTGAAATTCATCAGAATCCACAAATATCAATTCCATTTGACTTTTCAGTCTTTATTCACTTTGTTCCATGATGGGGAGAAACAAAGGGGGACAGTTCAGCCACTCTTCTCAGAATTGAGTACCTAGTAGAGGTCTGAACCCATTCATTTGGGAAAGACTGATGGAGTCAGTGTCTGCTCTAAAACTTATGGGATCGATCCCTTCCCAGAACCCCAAGAGCCCACACATCTCCCAGTCATTCTCCCGTTCTCACCCACCAGGAATGAACGCCAGGTGGGAGTTTTTGAGTTAAGCTGATCTTTAGCCAATGACCCCAGAAGAATTAAGGAAGAAGTAGTGAGTTCTAACAATACACATAGACTTTGAAGCTAGAGTTCTAGGGTGACCAGTTGTCTCCATTTGTCCTGGAACTGTCTTGATTTTAGTACTGAAAGTCCCACAGCCCAGAAAACCCAACAATCCTGGACAAATCAGGACTGTTGATCGCCTTGTCTAGGTTTCGATTCTAGCTCCACCACTTATCAGCTATGTAACCTTGAACAAGTTACTTGACCATATCTCCATTTCTCCATGTGTAAGATAGGGAGAAAAATAGTACCTGTCTCATAGGGTTGTTATGAAGATTAATGAATATTTGCAAAGTGCTTAGAACAGTGCTTACGAAGAGCTCTATAAGTGTTGGTTAAAATAAATTATGTTAAACTTTGTTGAGTCTCATTGTCATTATTTATAACCAGTCTGTAACACAAAGCAATGAACACTCTTAAACTGTATGACTGTGCCGGTTGAGACACAAGACAGTTATCTGGTAACTCAATATGCTATGAAATCAGGGCTGGAGGCCAGCAATCCTTTTGCCCCAGTTCAGCCCACCCTGCCCTGTGTAACTCAGCCAAGCTTCTGATCCTTGCTGGTTCACACCTCTTGCCCTAACTGACTGACACATAGTAGGCTCCCAATAAACATTTATTAAATGAATGCATAACTTTTTCTCACACAGGCCTATCCAGGATTGGTGGAAGCAGTTTGTATTTTTTTGCTTTCTGTTATTCTTTGCAAAGGAATGTGGCTAAGTTTTCGAGGTACTACTTACCTATGATGAGATTTCCTGAGACTATAAAATGAAGCAACAGCAGAGAAGAGAGAAGGCTTCTCTTCTTTGGCAGTTATTTATGGCCCTGGATCTGTGGGTAGCCTGAACACAGAAATGCATATCTTAGTCATAAATTGGTCAGCATTCTGGAAATCTGAAGCCTTGAGATATTAGTAGGTTGGCTTTCAAGCTGCTTCTGCAGAGGTCTGCACAGAAATTCACATGTACACACTCAGTCACTTCCCTGCCTGCCTGTGCACCCTGGCCTGTATTCTGGGAACCTGCCAGGACACACAGGCCTGTCTGCCTGCAGGGTTCCACCCCAGCTGAGTCCTGAGTCAATGGTGGGGCTGGTAGCTGAACCACAGACCTCAAGATGCTCAGGCAAGCCCTGCAAAAGTCTCTGTTCCTGCACTGCATAACAAGCTTCATAGGTTTTTTTGGCTAAAAGGTATTTAAATGGAATCATTTTTTTCCATATTACTTTGAAAAGTTTATTTCATCAACCATGAAAATGTTTAATCATATTATTGGAGGTTTTAAGAAAACTCACCATGTTGAAGACGTTTCTTTTTTACTCATTTGAGGTAAAGAACACAATGATATTTAACTTTCCTCAAGGGGCACAGCAACTTAGACTTGAGATGAGCAATGCTTTAGGAATCACAGGGCATGAATGAGCCAAACAAGGAAAGAAAAGTCTACCCCTGACAGACTCAGGGGTCTACCCACTGAGTACCCCCGCGCCAGTGTAAAGTAATGTGTTGGGTTCAGTTTGAGTGATGGGTCTAATAAAATAGATTGGGGCCCACTGCCTAGCCAGCTTGCAAAGCCACTGATGCTCCACTAGGAGAGCACGTACCATGTTTGCTCCCCAAAGCTGACTCGTTCTAGAACTAGCACAGCCCTTCCCCCAGAGAGCCACATTCCCTTTAGGGGGCAGACATTTGGATAGAAAAGCCGTAGGAACACCTAGAAGGCTGGGTCTGGGGAGCTGGCCTCCAGCCTCTCCTTTCATCCAGCAGAAAGCACCTCTCTCTGACAGTTTTCACCCCCATCAACAAAATCAGACTGCTCTAAGCTGCAGTCCCGGGCAGGCCTGCCCTAACACCTTCTAGCAGGCCTAGGGAAGAGTATAAATGGAGGTCTGCCTAGCACAGGTCTAGATTTGTAAAAGTTACACAGAAGCTCACAAATCATTAAATATGCTTGCTCCTCTATATTGATAAATATATCCAGAAGGCTGAGGACCCATTTAGAATTCAGACTCCTCACAGTTCTGCAGCAGAACGTCAGAGCTTCTGGAAAACTGGATGCTATCACTTAGGTCCCAGCCTATGACCCATCCTCCTGTCCTTTCCTCCCTGGCTCTGTCCAACATCAGTTCTCACTTCCATGAACTGCCCACACAGTTCCTCCCACGCACTGCCCACACAGACTGCCTTGGCCACCCCTTGATGGAATACACTAGATTGCACCTGGGTGTGGGAGGGCCTTGGCTGTTTGGGTAGCCACCGAGGGGCAGTCTAGGGGGCAGTGCAGGCAGGCCGAGGGAAGCCGAGCTGAATCCCCTAAAGAACAGGGCCCAGGCTGGGACTCATGCCTGGGCCGTTAGCACCAAAAAGCAGATCCAAGGCAAACAACCAGCAAAGGCGAGGAAAAGGTCAGGACTGCTGAGTTTCTTGGTGATGGGGCAACTTTTGTTTGCGTGAACTGGGAGGAGGTAGGGAGAGGATGGGAAAGGGGAACCAAAAGGTCTGAGTGATGCGCCACCCAAGGGGTGAGAGTGAAAGAAGCCGAGCATTTGCCTTCAAGATGAATCAGGGTCAACTATTTGGGAGTTGGCGTGGACTGAAAATGGTGGATCAAAATTTATCTCTGGAGATATCCCCTGCCTTTCCCAAACACAATGTCAAAGAAAGGTCAGACATTAAAGTAACCACAAGGAACCTAAAAATATGGTCTTCATAGCTGTAAGACTTTGAAGAGCTTTTCTTTTTAAATGAAGGGGGATGGGAGTGGCATCTTAATCAAGCAGCCTTTCGAAGTCCTAACGGTTTTCAGGTTTTCTCAAGACCTTCCTATAAAACCAAAAGACACAGATGAATTTATTTTACAAATTTAAGCACATATGGGAGAAAAACAGCACAAAAAGCCTGAGGTTTGGTGACAAAAAGAAATCAAGAACAAAGTAGCAGGAGAGAAGTCTTTTAGAGTTTTTCAGACAAAGAGGAACTGGCCGAACATGATGCAGAGAGGAAGGCGGTCTCAGAGCAGCCTCTTGAGACTCTATAATGCAAACATTCTGTTTATTTAACAACTTTGTTCCCAGAAGTTCAAATTCTCACTCTGCCTACATTCAATTCTGTCCGTATTCTACAAGGCAACTGGTATTTCTTCACACCTCTTGCCCTGCTGGGAGAATCACAAAAGACCCGTCCTCTCTCTTCTCTGTGCCCTGGATCTTGTAGCCATATCCAGTAGGGTTTTGAGACCTGGGGAGGATAGACGACTATGAGAATGAGATCAATAAAGCAGCCAGGCTTGGGTGTGGAGGTTAACAGAGTGTGAGGGGATTGAAGGAAGAGACAAAAATTACTTTTGTCACCAATGAGAAGTTTTAGACTCCAAGAGGTTTAATAACTTGTCCTAAAGCAAGCGTGGAAGCCAGAAAGTCTGCAGACCCCCAAATGCCAAACCCTGCTCCACGCAGCAGGATCCAAGCACAGCCCAGTTACCCTCATCCCCGCACAGGGCAGAGAACCAGAGCACAGAAGATGACAATACCCAGAGGAAATCTGAAAAGCAGCATGAAGGTAATTACAGATTGGAAGGAAACTTATTCCAAAGACTTAGAGCTATATAACCTGGCCCAGCGACTGCATTGCTAAAAGGAAACACAATAGTGGTGGATATGAAATGAACATTCAAAAGGCATAAACAAAGGCTTAGGCTACTCCAAGGGAAACATAAATTCAGTGATGTGATGGAAAATATAGGCTTGATTTGAGGAGAATTACTATATTGGGAAGATCTATTAATCTGTTGATAGTCTCTCAAAGAAAGTGATGGCAGCTTGCTAGCTTGCTTCATTTAAAGTCAGTCTGTATGAGGAGCTGGAAAATACATTTCGGGGAGCGGGACTGAGCAGCGGGAGAGGGATGGGTTGCCCTCATAAATCTTGTTCATTTTTCATCTTGATGATTTTTCTCTCCCGTTTCCTCCCATTCTCTTTGTATTCTCATCCAAATGCCCCTCAGAACAACAAAATCCTCTCCCATGGAAATTTCTTCCTAGGCTAAGGGAAGGGAGGTGCTGCCCCATGGACTGGGATTGTGAGTGGGGTGGATAATTGGTCTGTTTCACTCAGGTCCTGCAAGGCCAACAAAAGGGGGGTTTGCCCCATGGGTTATCTTCCTCTGCTGGCCTGGCTTCTCTGTGCTCAAGTGGGGCCTGTGTCTCCCCTGCTTGGTACCCAAGGACTAAACCTTTAAGATGCCAGCTCTTAAAATCAGGAGTCGAAACCCCAGTACAGAGGGCTGAGATGATCCAGGTGAGCTAAGACACCTTTTCAGCTCTGGTCAGGAGACTGAGCGACAGCCTTTCACACCCTTACAGCAGGAGTGTGACAATTTCCCTAATGCTTTTTCAAGGGCTTTCATTTTTATCCAAATAGCTTCTAGCATTGCCAAGTAAAAGGAGAGGTGTTGCTATTGTCCAAACTATAAGCGAACAGCACAGTCTTATGTGAATCCAATTGAACGAGAGTTTTGCTGGAAGGTCCAAATAGCAAACCACTTTTTCCAGATGTCACAAAGCCTGAGGTCTGTGTGAAGGAAAACGCAGTGCTCTGGACTTTTCATCTGGTATATCTGTGGAAAGACCCCTTAAAGAAAATGTTTACTTCACACTCAAGCTGCTCTGAGCTCTGAGGGTGCCCCAACAGCCCCTTGATTTAGTATTTCAGAAACACACTCTTGTGTGAGAGGCGAAATTATCCTGGGAAAAAATGGGACTTGGACCCTAGGTTTTATTTGCTGAAATAAAGATTGCAGAAATAGATAGGGACAGAGAAAATGGTTTTGAAATATGTTCCTTGTTATAACCCTGTTGCCAGCACTTAAATAAAAGGGGGTTTAAAGAAGTAAATCCCTGCTCGGCATCCCAGGGGAGCAATTCTGTCTTAGGGATCTTTGCTGACACAGCTGATGCATACTCAAGACATCTGCAGGATGAAGTGCTCTGTGGCTAAAAGTAGAAGAGAATCCACTAAGAAATAGCCACACCGTGTGGAAGCGAAACCTCATCAAGCTGTGCAAATGTGGCTCGTGGAGAACCTAGCCTGATTTCCTGGATTTACACAGTACGCAGTATAAATCATAAAACCCAAAGAACGAATTAGACTTTTAATCATAAAATATTAGCATAAAAAGGCCGAAAGCTGACACCAGCTTTGTTCTCCGAGGCACACAAAGGGCTCCCTTAGCCTTCCCACCTTGACTCACTCACATTCCTTGTCTACCACTCTGTCCCAAGTCCCTGTCCTCTGCCTGTCTCCCAAGCCCAGTTTATCAGACTAAACGTGTGTCCATTGTCAGAAAGCTAGCTTTGTTCCATTCCTTCTAAGTGGGTACATACACTTACCATCCACTGGGGTTCCTACATGTTCCAACGGGTTAGGGGCACCTTGTTCATGGATAAGTAAATTGGCTTCTGGGAAGCTCAGCTTATTATGCAGTATCTCTGGCATTTCAGAGGTTGGGGAGCTTGGGTTCTTACTGTCACTTCTGGCTCTTATTCCTGCTCCTGAATTCCCTAGTGTCACTTCTGGCTCTTATTCCTGCTTCTGAATTCCCTTTCTCTTGTCTATTTCTTACCTCTGGAATGTGCCATCTCTTCTCTGTACTACATGACCTTACACTGAATATCCTACCCATCTACCCCAAAGCTACAGACTTTTACTGAAGGTTGGGGATTGCTATGGTGTGAACGTATGTATCCCCCACAAATTCATATGTTGGAACCTAAGACGCAGCGTGATAGTATTAGGAGGTAAGGCCTTTGACAGGTGATTAGGCCATGAGGGCTCTGTCCTCATGGATGGGATTAGTGCCTTATAAAGGGCCCTAGCCAGGCCCTCTTGCCCTTCCACCATGTTCTGTGTAAGGACACAGCATTTGTTCCCTCCAGAGGATGCAGCGACAAGGCACCACCTCGAAAGTGAAAAGTGATCCTTCATCAGACAGAATCTGAAGATGCCTGGATCTTGGACTTCCCAGCCACCAGAATTGTGAAAAATAAGTTTCCATCATTTATAAATTTCACAGTTTAAGGTATTTTGTTATAGCAGCAGGAATGAACTAAGACAGGCTTTATGAAGTCAGACAAGCAACTGCAATGCAAAACAGCACAGAAAACAATGAAAATTAGGCACGAGATGCCTAAATTTCCATTCTCACAGCTGACATAATCATTATCCATCCCAGACTGTTTCTGCCTCTTTCCTTTGTTTCTCTCTATTCACTTGCTCTCATCTTCTCTATTTGCACCCATTCTCAAATTTCCAATCTTCTCCCTCTTGGTTTCAACAAGGAAATTTTAAAATATTCTAACCTTAGTATACACAGCGAGATACTGTTTTAGGCAATAGAGCTAGACTGCCTAAGTTGAAACCCCAGCTTCATCACTTCCTTGCTGTCCAGCCTTGGGCAAATCACCTAACCTTTCTGTGCCTCGGTTTCTCATTTGGAATAAGAAGAGTACCTACTTCAGAGAGCTTTTGTGAGGATTAAATGAGTTAATATTTTTAAAGCACTGGAATCATATCTGAAATCAGATTTCAATAAGTGTTAGTTACTATTATATCATTTATTTCACCTCAATATCTTCCTGACTACACTCTTGTTGCTTTTTTGCAATCAAATGGTCAAAACAAAAATAATAGTTTATTCTCTAGGAAGAATTTGTTTAATAATTTTGATATAAATTTTTCTGCTTCCTGGATGGGTAGCCACAAACTTTTAGGAAGCCAGAGAAGAGGTGGGCACTTCTGGGAGACTTCCTGAATAATCATGCTGAGCACCCAGGCCCTACTGCTGCTACCATTTATCCATGTATTCATTCACTAATCCACAAACATTTATTGTGCACTATATTAGTTTGGTAGGGCTGCTATAACAAAGCACCACAGACAAGGTGGCTTAGAACAACAGAAATTTATTGTCTTAAACACTAGGTTCAGCATTGCTATCAGTGACGTCATTTTCGAAAAGAGTAAACAATTCTTGGTAAAGCGCTGAATAAAACAAAGCACTATCTTCCCTCAATATACACAGTAGGACCATTCTTGAAAAGTCTTATATGTACTAAAATTGTGAAGAAATAGATGTGTGTATACCTATATCTGAGTTTACATTCTAAATTTAGATAATTATACATATTTGACTGAGGTCCTAAGCTCAGATCATTAAAAAAAGAGTTTCCACCTGGACGATGTGTATGGTAAGAGACCATTCTTCACTATGCAGGACTGTTCTGGGAATAGCAAGTCATGTAACATCTCTGGCCAGCCCCCACCCCCGCACCCAGCATGAGCCATGGTTCACTCTAATCACTGCAACAACCAAAAACACCCCCCACATTTCCAATGCCCATCATAGTGGGTATTGTCCCCATAGAGAACCACAGAGTTGGTCCAAAGCACTTTTGGTTCTCGAATCTCCTCTATAACATCCTAAGCACACGCTCAATAAACATTTGTTGAATGAAGAAAAGTTCAGACTTGAATTGTTGAATAGTACAGACTCAGAAAAGTAATTAACTATCAGTAAACCATAACTGTAATAGGTATACAAAGTTTTTGAGGCAACCATACACTCAGGATGCCTTTAAAAAAAAGAAAAAGAAAAAGAAAATGTATTTTTTTAGCAGTGGGGTCTCACTCTGTCACCCAGGCTGGAGTGCCGTAGCGTGATTATAACTCACTGCAGCCTCGAACTCCTAGGCTCAAGGGATCATCCTGCCTCAGTCTCCCAAGTGGCTAGGACTACAGGCACCTGCCACCACACCTGGCTAATTTATTTTTTTAAGAGACAGGGTCTCACTATGTTGCCCAGGCTCATCTCAAACTGTTGGCCTCAAGCAATTCTCCTGCCTTGGCCTTCCAAAGTGCTGGGATTACAGGCATGAGCCACCATGCTTGGCATCAGAATGATTCTTTATGGATACTTAGAATATTCAATCCTTTCTTGAATTAGCAAAAACTTTAAGTTAGGTAGAGAAGTGTTAATAAGTTATAACCACATACCTAAACTTTGTGGGAATCTTATTTATACCCATCTTCTGCCTCTTTCTTTTCAAACCCCTAGGTCATATCCTGTATTATAACAACTTCTGTGTTTTTGGCTTTCTCTCCTCCAAACAGCAATAAACATCATTGAGTCCCCTTTCTAAGAGCCTACAAAAGCTCCCAGCTGTCCTTCATAAAACATGAAAACTGTAGTTAATGCTTTCAAGGTTCTCAGTCAGTGATTTCTTCTTCCTACAGGCCCTGGCTCCTAATCTCTGTCCTATTCTAGCAACACTGCTCACTCCTCTGCCTCTCTCTGCCCTCATGGCAAAATCTTGCTCCTTCCCATTTTCCATTTGCTCTTTTCTATTTTAAGAATCACCATCTCTATGAATTCTTTCTAGATTCACTCAGTTAATGCTATTCACACAATTCTTAAATTTGCCTGTGCATTGGAGTCACCTGGAGAGTTTTTAAAAGTCCTGAGACTAGGCTCCACCCAGGACAAATTAAACCAGAATCTCTAGGGAATGGAACCCAGGCACTGGAATTTTACAGCTCTCCAAGATCCTCAGTGTCAGCCACATTGGAAAACCACTGCACTAGTGCTACATACAGCACCTGTATCTTATTAAGCTTGAATACTATCCGTTGCACCTGTAAAGGGTTTTCTGGCATGGACCTACCCTCTTTCCCTTCACAGTAAGACAGGAAACTCTCAATACCTTTCAACCTTAAATGTGGTTAGGATTTACCTAGAGATCTTATTTGGATATAAATTCTGATTCTGGAGGTCCAGGGTGAGGTTCTACATTTCTAACTAGCTACCAGTGTCCCAAAATATGCTTTCCCAATGTGACACTATATATTTAATACTCCTACCTATATTATCTATATATGAATCCTCTCAAGCTAAGAATTTCAAGACATGACGAAGGGGAAGCCTATCTCCTGACTGATTCTCTGAGGAGTTCTTTTAAACTGTTTCTAGGATATGTGGCATGTTGGGCAAATATTTTTTTACCAGGTCATGTCTAAATAAATGATTTGATTAAAAATATACTCCAGTAAGTAAAAACCACAATGAGATACCACTTCACACCCACTAGGATGACTATAATAAAACCTAATGGAAAATAACAAGTGTTGGTGAGGACGTAAAGAGATTGAAACCCTTGTGCACTGCTGGTAGGAATGTGAGATAGTGCAGCTGCTTTGGGAAACAGTCTGGCAGGGCCTCAAATGATTCAACATAGAATTAACATATGACTTCACAATTCCACTCCTAAGTATATATCCAAAAGAAGTGAAAACACGTATTCAAAATAACAAAAACTTGTGTAGGAATGTTCACAGCAGCACTATTCACAATAGACAAAAGGTGGAAACAACCCAAATGTCCGTCAACTGATGAATGCATAAAGAAAACATAGTATATCCATACGATGAAATATCATTCAGCTATAAACAGGAAAGGGAGTCCTGATACATGCCACAACATAGATGACCCTCAAAAACAATACACTAAGTGAAGGAAGCCAGACATGAAAGACCATGTACTGCATGATTCCATTTATATAAAATTTCCACAATAGGTAAATCCATAGAGACTGGAAGCAGAGTGGTGTTTGCCAGGGGCTGGGGAAAAGAGAGAGTGGGGAGTGACTGCTTGGTGGGTACAGGGTTTCCTTTGGGAATGATAGAAATATTTTGGAATTAGATAGAGGTGATGATGCACAACATTGTAAATATACTACATGCCACTGAATTGTATACTTTGAAATCATTAATTTTATGTTGTATGAATTTAACCTCAATAAAAATTGTATTACAAAATCATAGGTCCCTGTGAATATAGTAATTTCTGTAATGGGTGCAGAAGCGTTACTTATGTGTTATTTTGTTGTCCAATCAGTGGAGGTGGTATACAGGCACCCCCTCTTTCTGTTCAAGTCCAGGAACTATCTCTTTAGGTTCTTTATTTCAGTAATGCCCTGAATAATTTCATGTCTTTCACCATGAGGAAAAATGTAGCCACACTGTTATTACTTACAAGGCCATGGATCTTCAGAGCCTATTTATATGGAAATATTCTAGATCTTCTGGCCCCTGCATTTATTTGATGCTGATGATACCATAACCAGGAGGCTGCACCATCCATGTGAATACTGGCTTCCAATGTCTCTTTCCAAGATTGCTACTGTGCTTGGTTCATGGATGATGACAACAAATGTAAATCTTACCCAGAGTATGTATGCAAATGTAGACAACAATTTGTTTTCTGGTCATGTTAAATTTACTGTTCAGAACCTTATAGGGTAAATGTAGAACAACACATCTTCCAGCCATATCTTCTGCATTCTTTAGGCTGTAATCCCTGCATTCCTGCAATGTGATCTCTTTCAGTGCCGGCTGTATGGATGCTTTCCACACATGACACCAACAGGGAGGTTAGGAGGGTCCTATGGTCAGAGTGATAAGAGTGGTCCCACTCACGCACGGATCATCCTTCCCTCACCCTCGGCAGCTTAAAACTGACCTGAGAGAGCCTGATGTCACTACATCGGGTGGACCCTACAAGAGAGGGCATGGATTGATAGGGTCACTTGTAATTTAGGAGTGATTGTCTTGAAAGCCCTTGAGGGAGACAGGCACAGCCTTGCTCAGGTCTAAGAATGGTACTGGTCGGGGGGCAAGTTGGCCCTCTCTCCTGTCTGTAACGCAGCCTTCTGTGCTTGTGGGGAGGAGCGATGGGCACATATCCACCTCTGTAGAGTTAACAGCTCTTTCCCTCTCATTAAATTGCAAATCTGCCAAGCAAATCTACCATGTTCTGAGTCTTCAGAAACACAATCTCGGGGCTACACAAAATTTGAGTTTGGTTTTTCAAATGAACGCAAATTGTTGCAAATAACAGAAGTGAGCATTTAGAAAGCAAGAGATACTGATGGCTAAAGATTGGCTCTGTGGATTTATAAATGCTTTTTGAGAAAACATCGAGTTAAACTCAGACCACATATGGAAGGTCAAATTTCACGCTCTCACCTGATTTTAACAACTTGCCTTCACAACCTTGTTTTCAATGTTGTGGGAGAGAGCAGGGAGGAAAGTCACATTTTTCTTCCGTTTGTCAGTTTTATGTCTTTTTCTTCTTTGTTGACTTATGGTTCTTTGATGTTTATTCTGGAGATTTATCCTTAAATTAGCAAAATCTGGTACCAGCATTGTTGCTTACAGGAAGACAGTACATGGATATGGCCTGAACCTTGAACTACAGTGAAGACTCTTTAGTTATGACCCACAAAGCAGACTCAATGACCATCATTCTTTGGTTTTCCCCAGTGGTATTTTTATAAATCTTCATTATGAGAAAATATGGAGGCTTGTTGACAGGTTCGAGAAAAGAGGAATCTAATTTTGATATAATTCTCTTCCTAAAATATAAATCTGGTATAATTGAGTTGATCAATGCTATAAAATAGACACTATCATCTAGAAATCCAAAATTGTCTTCAGAAAAATACGTATCCTTAGTTTCAACAATTCATCTAGAGAAATTTATAGCCTTTAAAAGACATTAAATTGATCAGAACAATATATCTCTCTGAACACCTCAAACACTCATAAGACATAAAAAACAAAATTTAATACGTGCTGTGTGCCAGACATGGTGTTAGGAGCTAAAAATGTAGAGGAGAAGACAACAGACATGGTCCTTGTCTTCATGAGAGAGGGAGATCAAACAAATAATTATACGAGTGACTGCAGAATTACAATTGTGATGAGTATTGCAAAGAAAAGTCCCAAGGGCTACGGAATTAGAAGAGGAGAGACTAACATTTTCCAGAGGTCAAGAAAGGCCTGCTGGCTGGGGGGGAGTGGTTATTTATAGTCATTTAAGCTGAAATCTGAAAGGACAAGAAAGAAGTAGCTGTAGTCCTCTTGAATAATGGATTTTTATTCCCCAGAAGTCTTCAACACTTATTTTTGTGCTATTTTCTCTTATCCCTTCCAAATTTTCACTCAATTAAGATACCTCTAAGTTGGCACATAGTTGAAGAAGAGGATACAACTCTTAGTGGGGCTCCATTATCAAGATTAATTATGATAAATTATAAATTATCCAGACCCTAATCCTACTTCCTAAATCTAAGCTTGTCCCCATTTCTTGCTCACCAGCATTAAGGAAAAGTAATGGGACTCACAGCTTCTGCCTTACTGTTGGCTCCCACATTGCTCATTAATCACACTAAGCTGTTGAACTGTTTAGACACCTTTCCAGGTGACTTACAACAGCACGTCCCTTACGTCTGTCAGTAATGTTTCAGCTCCACAGTAATTGCAGTGTTCTCTGTAAGACAGTTTGAGAAATAATTTACTCAAGTGTGATTATTGTGTTTGGGTAGAGATCAACAGGGAGTAGAAAAAGAGACTATGTTAAAAATCAATGATGCAGGTCTCAAGTTCCAAAGTTGCTTCTCCTTTGGAACATTTTTAGGAGAAATACATTCCCATATGCCTATTATACATGGCCTTATCCTCTTTGTCTCTTGCTTGTTACTTTTATGAAAACCCAATGGCACTTGATTACTCCACCAGCCATCTTGAATCTCCAAATGCCTTGTTCAGTCAAAGAAAATCATTTTGATACATTCAGCCAAAAATCATTTACTGTATCAGAGACATTTTTCAAGGTCAATTTTGGGATCTCCTGCAAGTTTTCATATGTGCATAGATTATAAAAATTAGATTAGATTTTTATAATCTATGCACATATGATAGGTTAGATCTCTATAATTGATACACATATGACTAATGAAAAAATACTATGAATTAGGCCGGGCACGGTGGCTCATGCCTGTAATCCTAGCACTTTGGGAGGCTGAGGCAGGTGGATCACCTGAGGTAAGGAGTTCGAGACCAACCTGGCCAACATAGCGAAACTCTGTCTCTACTAAAAATACAAAAATTAGCCAGGCATGGTGGCAGGTGCTTGTAATCCCAGCTACTCAGGAGGCTGAGGCAGGAGAATCACTTGAACCCCAGTGGGGCAGAGGTTGCAGTGAGCTGAGATCATGCCACTT
Organism: Homo sapiens; assembly: GCF_000001405.40. Lineage (NCBI taxonomy): Eukaryota > Metazoa > Chordata > Mammalia > Primates > Hominidae > Homo > Homo sapiens. The sequence continues at coordinate 50,577,204 of NC_000013.11, read as the reverse complement.
CTTCACTCCAGCCTGGGTGACAGAGTGAGACTCCATCTTAAAAAAAAAAAAAAATACTATGAATTAGTCTCTGATGGCCACACTCTAAGTTTGAATAATTTGCAGCAGAGATGCCTTAACTTCCTCCATATCATGAGCTGGTTTTGCCCATTGGGAACACTGCCTGTCCATGTGTCTCCAACATCAACATAGCAGGATTCAAACTCCATTTTTGATTCCTTTTGTTCTACATTTTGTGGGCTCGTGGTCATATCAGTCATGCCCTTCTGAGATCCCACGTCAGATCCTAGCCAGGGAAGGGACTCCTCAGTGTAAGCTATCAGCCTTCACTTCCCAAAGCCTCTCTCCCAGCCCCTGAGGTGATAAAAAGTGACAGTTCTTCCAACAGGCCAGCTACAAGGGTGTCCAAGAATACAGAAAGAATTTCCTTCATCTGTGCCCAGGGTTGTCCATCTCTATCACCCTCCCAGGTGGGACGTTCTCAAGAAGCCTCTTCCATTTTGGCTGCATGTAGTTTATTTTGTCCAGCATTTCAGAGGTGTCTCCTGCCTCTGTCCTCAGCCTGGAGAACAGACTCAGCAGAAATTACACGGTTTTTGTTTTTGTTTTTTTTTTTTTTGTCCTCAGTTGACCTCCAGGGAAACTAGGACAGCGTGAGGCAAAGAAGGCAAGGTCTCTCAATAATGCACCAGTGGTCAAGGCTGGCTTTCAGTGGCGCCTCTCCAAACAGCCAAAATCGGTGTCAAACCACCAGCCTGTGCAGCCTTTCCAAGATGCTCCAGCTGTTTATTCAGCCACTAAGTGTTCTGCCCAAAGTGGACTCCACCCAATGGTGAGCTAAGACAAATCAAACATTCATTCACACAGTCGGGAGTGACATGCCCACCCAGCCCGGCCCTCTGATGCCTGCAGAGTCTAGCTGCAGCTGGCTCCATGCTCACAGGTGCCAGGCACCTGGCCAAGCATGGCAGTGATCTCTGGGGTGGGGCGGGAGGAGATGTTTGCACAGGGCACAAGCACCCCTGCCAGAAGCAACAGTGAAGGCCACTGTTTGTTGTGGAAAGAGGATAGTTTTTGAGCCCCGCTGATCAAGGTTTGGATCCTAGCTCAGTCTCTTTCCACCTGTGCAACCTTGAGAAAGTACCATAACAGCAATGGAACTCAGCTTACCCATCTATGAAGCGAATGTAATGATAACACAACCTCAAGGGGTTGTTGTGAGGGTTAGCTATCACAGAAGTAAATAGCCTGAAAACAGAGTCTGGTTGTAGCAGGGGTCAAATAAATGACAGCTAAGAGAGAAAAGCCCTTTCCAAAGGAGGGACCAGGCTCTGTTCATGCTGCAGCTGATGTGGTAGGGGTTCCCTTTGTCCCAAGTCTGCTCTTGAGACCCTACTGGGTTGCCTATGGCCCACTGTATATATAGTATAGTGGCAAGACACCAGCCTGGGAGAGAGAGTCCTGGCCTATTTCTGCTTCTAGGCTATTCTGTTGACTTGAACAATTCACCGCACTTCTCTAGGTCACTTTATGCATGTATAGGATGGGACTGTTTTGAGCTGTTAATCTTTAAGGCTTTGGGTTTGAACCATTCCCCTGTCACTTACTTATTAGGTAACTTTACAAGTAACCTCTCTCAGAATTTCTTCCCAAGGAGTTCATGGCAGAACGAGCACACAGCTACCCAAAACCTGAATTATTAGCACCCCTAAAAGGCAGTGAGCAAGGCTTTATGAGGGATTTGATCCAAAATCCAACATCTATAGACTGTCCTGTGCTATCCATTTAGACCACATTGTCAAGATCTCCATTGCTCACATACAGGAGGCTGTGCGCACATCCAGCGGTGCAAGATCTTTGACCTTCAACAAAGGCTCCATCATAGTTTCTAAACAGTATTTCCTGGTAAATACTGTAGGTAAACAGACTTCCTGGAAATATTTTTAACTCCATACATGGAAACAAATAAGAGTTTTCTATTAACAGAGTTAATCAGAAATTCAAGTGTCTCAGAACCTCCCTTTCCACATCCACAGCCTTGACTGGAGGCCCCACAGGCCCCAGTTATGCAGCCAATGGAGGAGCAAATAAATCTCTTCCAAAAACCAAGTCTTCCTGCTACTGGAACCACCGCCCCAATCTTGATTTAAAAGAATTTGGGAAATACTGAGTAACAATAACTTTCCTACAGTACTGTGGTTTCTTCCTACCCACTCTCTACCACAGAACTCAGCTAAAAACAATACATTATGTCATCTCAATAATTTGCTGATTAAAACTCCTCTATAAAAAGATACCCTTCTTCCCCAGGGGGCCACCTACTCAGCTGGCCTCTGAAGCACTGTTTACGTTTCCAACTTTAGCCATCAAGAGAGGCTGAAAATTTTCTACACAATGTTGGAATAACCTTTCCTACATCTCAGGGTCAGGCTTCTCTGCCTGAGGAAGAAAGGCTAATAAAATACATTAGCGTGTCCCTGTGTGGTGTTTATGCATATGTCATGAAGAAACATCTGGTCCTGGCTTCTTCCAAGACATTCTTCTCTGGTGCTAGAATTGGTAGTTATTTTGATAGACAACCATTGGCATACATACCTCCAGATACATCTTACAGTAACATTTTCCACAGAAACACCAGGATTAAATGCCTATCTTCTGCAGGAAAGGAACACCATGTGTTTACTTTTTCTCAACATATTACTTTGTTGGAGTTTTCAACCATACCTGTAAAAATTCTCCTTGGAGCTTACTCAGCTCATAGAAAGTGCTCCAAAAGCTTTCTCTGTTGTTCTGCTGTGTGTCCCTGCTGCCTGCAACTAGTAGGCACTCAATAAATATTTTCTGGATAAATGAGAACGCCTTAAAAATTTAAATTATAAAACAGAGAGAAAAGCACAGTTGGGAGACATTAAGTCATAGATGGGGAAGAAAGCATGGATTTGGGTTAATCAAAACCCTGTACATAGATGGTGAATTCATGTTTTTTCCTTCAGGTTGTAAGAAAAGAAGAAAATGCAAATAGAGAACTGGGAATAAATAGGAATTAGGCAGATTTGCCAAGCAACAAAATGAAATATATCTTAGTTGTTTGGGAAATACACACATACATGTACACACACACACACACATACACACAGGTACACGCACACACATACATATGCATATACATACATGTTCACACACGTGCAGACATGTACACACATATGTGCACACATGTACACAACACACACATTCATATATACATGTAAGTGCACGTGCATACGCATATAAGTGAACACATGTACTCACATACATATATGAGTGTGCACATGTACTCAGATACACATGCATACACATATACTCATAAGTACACACATACACACATGTATGCATGTGCATGCACATATACACAGGTATATGCATACACATGTACATACATACACACATACCCATGTAAGTGCACATTCATACACACATACACATATAAGTGCACACATGTACACACAGGCATATGCATACGTGCATACACACATGCACATGCACACGTAAGTGCACATACAATATGCATGTACACACATAAGTGTACACACAAGTGCATGATACACACATACATGTGTATGCACATACACACTTAAGTGCACACACATGTACACACATAAGTGCACACACACAGCTACACCCACATGTATGTACACCCATATATCACAGAGGCCAGGCTGGTGACAGATAAGTGCACAGAGTTTCCGAGGAACCCTCACTCCCTCTAGTATTTCTTCCTAAGAGTGTGAGACTCGCTGAATGACATTCATCTTTCCATGTTTGTATCACTTGCTGAGGGCACAGTGAGGACAGGGGGATTATGAGAGCTTATTTTTACATTGTGGTAAAACTTATCTGGACTCAAAATATTCCCTCGCCCATTTCCTTCTCATCTATCCTGTCAAAAGTTTCATAGATTCTTTTGCCTGACATTCCTGACAAATTTTTACTTCCAATGCGGAGCTCTACAAGAAATATGAGAATTTAGAAACCAAAAGCCATGAGAAGAGTTATTTTCTACCTCTTTTTCCCCACCTCCCTCCCCATAACTTTGTGGTTTTAATATGACTTGAACTAAAACTGCACAATAGGTTGGTAGGCGAGTGACACATTGAAGGGGTTATGAAGAAACAACAAGATGCTCAGACGTTCAGCTTGGTCCAAATGGATTTGCAAATCCCAAATCACGTGAATTCATAGCACACGGTCAAGCAGATTCTTTATTCACTATTCAGGTAATATGAATAGTTATCATGACCATACCATATATAATGCAGACTTTTTAATTTGTGTATATGGTTTAGGGGTGATTGTATAACACATATGTGTTGTGTATACAACATTACAGATAAAATTTTAATGATTCAAACTATATTACTCTTCAGTCTTGGCTGTAGGAGCCAGGGCAAAACAGAGGTCCATTTACTCTGATCCCCATCTCCACCACGCTCAGGAATTGAATAAAACTGCAAGAGCAACATTCACTCAACACATATTTATTGAGTGCTTGTTTTACGTGACACACTGTAGTAGGTGGGAGGAATACCATGGTAAACAAAACAGATAAGGATCCTGCTCTCATGAAGTGTGTATTCCATCAGAGGGGCATATTTAATACATAAGTAATGCATTAAAAATACATAATATGCCACACGGTGGTAAGTGCCTGGAAGTAAAGGGACAGTGATGAGATCAATCTGTCCTTGTAGATAGGGAAGTCAGGGCAGCCTCTACAAGGAGATGACTTCTAACCAGAGACCAGAATGAAATGAGGGATTGAGCCATACTTGGGGGAAGAAGGTTCCAGGCTGGAGATCAGCAAGTGCAAAGGTGCTGAAGTGGAGCCTGCCAGGGGTTTCAGGCAGAGCAAGTAGGCCAGTGTGGGAAGCAGTTTGGCCGGTCGTGAAATTGAGAGCACTTGCTCTGTTTCAGGCAGGCAGGTAGGTTCTACTCATCTCCAGGACTGCTGTCCTATACAGAAGCAGGACTAATGTTTACCAAATCTTTAACATTTTTTCAAGAGAAACTGGGGAATTTTGACTTCCGTGTGAAATCTCTTAATGTTTTCATCTTGGCTCAAATTTTTAAAAAATTTTGTAAGCCAAAATAAACACATTTGCAAGCCAAATCTAGTCTACAGACACCAATTTGTGAACTCTGCTCTAAATAAATAGAAAAAAATTAATGTGTTTAAATGTCAGATCTTTTCACCCTATCTTTAGCCATCTTTTTTTTTTTTTTTTAATGCACATCGGTGTCTAACAGAAGCTAGAACACTCTACTCTATGTAGAGCACTACTACCGGTAACTCCTGTCACATTTTTTTTTTTTTTGAGACAGATTCTCGCTCTGTCGCTCTGTCACCCAGGCTGGAGTGCAGTGGCATGATCTTGGCTCACTGCAAGCTCTGACCCCCAGGTTCACACCATTCTCCTGCCTCAGCCTCCCAAGTAGCTGGGACTACAGGCGCCAGCCACCATGCCCGGCTAATTTCTTTGTATTTTTAGTAGAGACGGGGTTTCACCATGTTAACCAGGATGGTCTCAATCTCCTGACCTCATGATCCTCCTGTCTCGGCCTCCCAAAGTGCTGGGATTACAGGTGTGAGCCACTCTGCCTGGCCACTCCTGTCACATTCTATCAGAGTTTGTTGTATGAGTCTCCACTTTCCTGGTTTGATTATAAGTTGCCTGAAGACTCCTTCTTATTTGATTTAGTATTCTCAGTGCCCAGTAGTTACCTGTGCTACATGTTTCCATAATGAAGCTACTAAGATTATTAATTGAAATAAACCTTCTGAATGACACTGTATCTGAAATAATTGATATGCATATTCAAAGTAATCACAAATATATAAATAAAATCAGAAGAGAAAAGGCATTTTAAATACTTCAGAAATCAGCATAAGAAATTACATTGTACTGGTAACAATCACATTATCAACTGATGGTAACAACACATTACCATCATATTGGTAGAAACACGTTACCATTGTATTGATAACAATCACATTTCCAATTGATTACCATGATACATGGTAACTTCAAGATGATATACCAGCATTTGAAGGAGTGCCAGAATTATAAGCAAGAATTTGAGAATTTCCAAAATATCACTCCATGGAAGCAAAGAGAGAAGACACGAAATGAACATGACATAGCTATGACGATGCTATCTTCCACAGTATAGAACTGGGGCATGTCTTGACTAATTCTAAATGGACATCAGATGGAAAGAATTTTCTTTAAGAAAGGGACCCTTCTTTCATGAATTCTTCCCATGATCCCTTCCTGGGTGGGCAGCTAAAGCTTTATTTGCACTTAGACCTGAAGCACACACAAAGCTCACACAAGCCATTACAGTGCATTGCATTTGGAGATTCCCAAAGCATCTTCATTATATATTGTCTCATTTTTTATTCTCTCAACTACTTTTTGAGGTTATAAACAAGCTGAAAAAATAAGCTCAGAAAAACCGAGAATCCAGCCCAATGTCTCCGTTAGCCCATGCTACAGCCAGGCCTTCCAAACCAACAGCCAGCAATCTTTCTAGTGTATCATATTTCTCTTTTTAGATTCATGAAGCCTAAGAAATAGACATCTCTTCTAATAAAACAAAACACAACAAAAAAAAAACTGAGTATGAAACACTTTTTTTAAGCTTAAAGCTGAATCCCATATTCCTGATTCCTTCCATATTATTAGGGATTTTTAAAATTTGTGACACTTCAAATATAAATTTTTTGAGCCAGATTAAGTGAAATACATTCTAATATTTCTCAGAGGAGAAAACGAGGACCATACCATCAGAGCTGGTATGATAAAACAGGAACTATTTCCAAGGTATTAATTTAGTCCTTGCTATTTTGAGTTTGGCTAGAATCCTCTAATGAGAAAACAAAATAATTCTGGTCATGGTGTTAAGCTGAAACTTGAGCATCAAATCTTGAATCTTCATTTGTTATGAATGATTTGTAGTTTTACACTAACTCCAAAACACCATTTCTGAAGCTACTAGAAATTCCAACTACCATATATGACAATGTATCCAAGTGCAAGAAATAAAATAAAGGCCTAAAGAAAAGAGTTGACAAATCTATTCTTTAATGAAAATTGTGTTACTACTGTAACATCAAAGTATCGAAAAACAAGCATATATCTTGCTTAAAAGGTTCAATCTAAAAATGTTTTGCTTCTGCTAAAAGGGAGAAATCTAGGAAGTCATAATGTTAAGCGATTGATATTGTTCCCAAATTGTGAGATTACAGAAAGCACTACTAGCTAATCTGAATGCAACCTACATGAATTGGTTAATAAGATGGTAAGATTTTAAACCATTGAAACTACAAAATAGAGAATAACACAAAAGAAAAATTATACACAATGCAACAGCATTTTCAAATATAGTATTGAAAAGAATATCACAGTATTTACCCACATCAGCCTAACCAGAATTATGAGGTTAGGGCTATATATAATTTAACCCTAAGAAAAAGCAAGCATATGTTGAAAATAATAGGTTTTCTTTGTTGGCAATTCAAAATAGGGTAATTGGCACCAAAAATTATGTGGCAATTTTAAAATGAGAAAAATTTGTTAAGAGTATAGGTAAAGAAGACAAATGGTGTTTAGTTGACTTTGCAGTGAAAAATATTCTGTCTTGGCCAGCCCTAGAGATAGTTCCCAAGCATGCTAAATGTGGAGCATTGGAGAAGTTATTTCATTTCTATGAGCCTCAGTTTCCATATCTGCAAGATGAAAACAATATATAAGTCCTAATTATTTCATGAATGGTATGGTCAAATAAGAAAATGAGTTTGAAGACTAAATTAATAGGCAAATATAAGATTATTTTTGTCATTAACTTCTGTATCGTTAGTAGTTTTTGTTGAGATAATGTAGCAGCCCTTAGCTCTTCATTATGACATTCTTAATAAAATAAAAAAGGAAAATAGATGTTTACTCTAGTGGACATTTCTGGTTAGGATCCAGAATCCATTCCTTTCTTTCTCCATTGAAACCACACTTGAAACAGTCTTTGGGAAACTATGCATCCACCATTATCAATCATATGTTTTATGCTGAGCTGGATTGTCTTATCTCTCATCACGCTGACCAGAATAATTGGCACAGAGATAAGTACATATCATAGATGAGCACAAACTCAATCAGAATCAATGAGATATTTTCTGAGACTTCCAGGAAGAAAAGCCAAAAAGCTTTTTAGGGATTACAGAGCCCTCTCATTTCCTCTTTGACTTAATAGCTAAACTACCATTAAAAATAATTTAGAAAACAATTGAAGAAATAGTCTTAGATATCAAAACTGGAATACAAGACAAATTAATGTGGCATTTCCTATTTCAATATGTCCCTTCCATTATTCAGGTGTTGCTAATGTGACAGTATTAAGAGGTGAGGCCCTTAAGAGGTGATGAGGCTATAAGGGCTCCTCCTTTATAAATGGGGTAAGAGGTCCTTATAAAAAAAACTTGAGGAAGACAATTTGTCATATTTGCCTTTTTGCCTTCTGCCATGTGAGGACAGAGCATTTCTCCCCTCCAGAGGATGCACCATCACGATGCCATCTTGGAAACAGAGAGCAGCTTCACCAGACAATGAACCTGCCAGCACCTTGATCTCGGACTTCCCAGCTCCGGAGCTTTGAGAAAATATATTTTTGTTCTTTATAAATTAGCCAGTCTGTGATATTTTATTATAGCAGCACAAATGAGCTAAGACAGTAAATAAAACAGAACTTTAAAAATGAAGTAGAGAATAAGAAAACAAATATTAGAAGATAAAATAATCAGAAAGTGGAAAATTTACAAATTAACAACTATAAAAGTTGGTTATTTGAAATCAACAATGTGGAACATAAAATTCTTGCAAAGTTTACTAAGAAAACAGAGAAGTAACCAAAAAATAAATATGAAGGAGAGATAAAAATACAGAAGAGATTCAAATATTAATCATGAAATGACAGACAAAAATTAAGAAAATTTTAATAACCACTCCAGAAAACAAAACAAAACAAAACAAAAATCAGTAGAACAAATTTGTTCAGAAATCTTTTAAAGATAGAAAGCAGAGAGGAATTAATTGATGGAAGTAAACAGCACTCTGTAATTATACATGAGAAGACATTTGTATAAGTTGGAAGTAGGTTTTGCAGACTCTAAATGCAGAAGCAATGTATATGAGAAACAGGTTCTGGAAATGAGTTACCTGATCACTGTACTCAGAGCATCTACAAGGGTGACTTTTTCTATCCATCCACTCATTCCTAACTTGAGAGAAGACAGAAGCAGCAGACTTTTGCTTCTGAGTTTGGAGTAAGAAATTTGAGTGTTTCAGTCTAAAGACAGGAAAGTCCCATTAGAATCTAGTTATACCCTGAAGAAAGAAGCAATTCCACTCATCCAAAAGATGGGCTGCCCAGCTGAACAACCTATCACTCCTCTACAATAACTGGAAATAACTACAGTAAAAAAACAACAGCATACATATAAAAATAAAAAGCAAATGCAAAAAAATATAAGCCCAGAATCAATGAGCACACTGATAAAAGCAGCAAGCTCAAAAAATAAAAGAGCTAACTCTTGTGAATACACAGTTTATAAGAACAAATAAACAAAAAACATTCACAAAGGATAATTAATATTCTCAAAGGATAAGAGAGCATATCACATCTATGAAATAAAAGAAGCTATTATGTAAAAGAACTAGTTCAAGGTCTTAAAAATGAAAAAGATATGATCTTTGAAACAAACTCAAGAGACTGGCTGAATACCAGAATAAATACTGATGAAGAGCAAATTAGCAACCTCAAAGACTAAACTAAGGAGTTCTCCCAGAACACAATGTAAACAGAAATGTGATGAAAAATGTGAAATAAAAGTTTAGAGTATAAAGGAAAGATCCAAAGTTTCAATGTTTATACAATAAGCATTTAGGAAGGAGAGAACAGAAAAAATAGGAGGAGGGGTGGAAGATAAAAATTAATTTAACTATAATAAAAAACCATTTAACAGAGCTAAAATAAAACACATCTATATCATGAAAGAGCCCACTGAACAATAAGCAACTCATATTTTGATGTAAACAAAATCCAAAAACATTTAGTAGCAGTACCAGAGAAAGTATGCCTTAGTGATGGAGGTGAGCCATCCCTGGAGTGAAGTCTACTCCACCCTAGCCTAAGTGAAGTTTAAAAACAGGCTTCAGTGGGAGCAAAGTGACTTGAAAGAACCTTAACTGCTTGCTAAAACAAAGCTCAACAGTCTTTGGAGGAAGACAACAAAATCCAAACACTCAATAAGATAGCATCACAATGCCTGTCATTCAATTAAAAATTACTAGACATGCCAAAGGACAGAAAATGTGCAGATAATCAGGAGAGAATCTATGAACTGACATCAGTGCAGAAGTAACAGAGATGATGGAGTTAGTAGACAAAAACATTAAAGCAAATATTATGACTACATACAAATATTTATAGAAAAACATGAACATAATAAAGAGAGAAATGGAAGAAATTTAGATGAACCCAGTGGAATTCCAGGGATAAAAAAATATAATATTTGAAGTAAAAATTTTACTGAATGGGATGAACGTCAGATTCTATATTGTACAAAAAAGACCTAAGAATAGAATTTGTCTAAAATAAAACACAAAGAGTTGTGAGGCTAAAAAAAAAATCAGAGCCTCAGAGACCTCTGAGGTGATATCGAGCAGTCTAATATCTATGTAACTGGAGTCTCAAAAGGGGATGAGAGCAATAAGGGCTAAAATGTTTCCAAATGTGACTAAAACTCTAAACCCATTATTTCAGAAGCTCAACAAATCTCAAGCAGAATAAATACATGTAATGCACACATATACCACATACACCACACACGAAAGCATATAATAATTAAATTGCTAAAAATAAGTGAAAAAGAAACATCTTAAATGCAGCCATAGGGAAAAAAAGACATTATGCACTGAGGAACAAAGAAAATCAACGTACAAATCCTCATCAGAAACTATGCAAGCCAGAAGACAATGGAATTATATTGTTAAAAGAATAAGGGGAAAATGATTTCTATAGTTCTCTATGCAGTAAAATAGCCTTAAAAATGAAGGTGAAATAAGAACTTTTTCAGAGAAGCTTGAGAAAATTCATCAATAGTAGCCCTACATTATAAAAAATAAAAGGAAATCTTTATGCAAAAGTCAATAATAACAAATGGCAAAATGATCAATTCACCATGAAAACATCTCGATCCTAAATGAATATACACCCAATAACAGAACTTCAAGCTATCTGAAGCAAAATTTGGCAGAACTAAAAGGAAAGATTTATAAGCCCACAGATATAACTGGAGATTTCATCATTGCTATCGTAGTAATAGATAGGAAAAGTAGAGAGAAAATCAGTAAGGATATAAAAGACTTGAACAACAATACTAAAAATTTGATCTAATTGACATTTATAGAAGACTTTTTCCAACCACAGCAGAACACACGTTTGTTTTTTAAGGACACATTCATTAAGATATATGCTGGGCTATAATAAAGTTTCAATAAATTTTAAAAGACTGAGATAATAACAGAATATGTTCCCTGAACATAATGGCATTGATGAAAATCAATGACAGAAAAAAAACCTGGAAAATGTGTACATTAACAAACACACATACTTTTAAATAACATAGGAGTCAAAGAAAAAAATCACAATGGAAATTAGACTTTTTTAAATTGAATGAAAATGAAAACAATATGTCAAAACTCATGGAATGCAGTTGAAACAGTATATAGAGTGAAATCTATAAATTTAAATGCTTACATTAGGAAAGAAAATCTTAAAAAATCAATTATTTAACTTCCACATTAGTAAGCTAGAGAAAGAAGACCAATTAAGTGCACAGTAAATGGAAGGAATAAAATAACAAATATGAGGACAAAACCAACAAAATAAAAAACCAACAAAAAAATAAGGAAAATGAACAAAGTCTAAAGTTATATCTTTGAAAACACTAAATTTGATAAAGCCCTAGCTAAACTAATCATAATCAACAATAACAAAGATTGAAGTCACAAATCTATATCAGAAATGATAACAAGGGCACCATGACAGACCATACAGGCACAAAAAGGAGAGTAAAGGAATATTATAAATAACTTTAGAACAATAAACTGGACAACTTAGATGAAGTGAACAAATTCCTTGCAAATTTCATATTACAAAACTGCTTTAAGAAGAAACAGAAAATCACAATGAGATACCAACTACACACCCACTAGGCTAGCTAAAGTTAAAAAGATTGACAATAGCGAATGTTAGAGGAATCTGGAGCAACTGGAACACTCATATACTTTTGACATGAAAAGTGTATGATTGCTATAGTAAACAATTTGGTGGTTTCTTACAAAGTTATATGGGCACTTACTATTTCATCCAGAAAATCAGTTCTGAAAGTATTTACTCAATAGAAATACAAATACAGGTCCACACAAAGGCTCACACATGAAATGTTCATAGCACCTTAGTTCATAATGGCCCCAACTGGAAACAACATAAATGTACATCATCAGGTGAATAGATACACAAATTGTGGTGTATCCAGACAAAATAATTCTACCTGTAAATTCAAGGAATAAACTATGATACACTAAAAGCATGGATAAAACCAAAGCATGGATAAAACAACAAAAAAATGCTGAATGAAAAAATCCTGACACAAAAGAGTACATACTGTGTGATTCCTTTTAAACAAAATTCTTTCAAAGGCAAATATAATCTATAGTGACAGAAAGCAGATTAGTGGTTGCCTGAGTCTGCAGTGGAGGAATTGGCTGGGAAGGACAAGGAAATTTTTGGAGATGATGTAAATATTCTCTGTCCCAATTATGGTGGTGGTTTCACGGACATATACATTTGTCAAAACTCATCTAAATGGACACTCAAAATGAATTCATTTTGAATCAGTATAGCCACTATGCAAAACAGTATGGAGGTAAAAAAAATCCTCAAAAAAATAAAAAATAAAACCATCATATGATCCAGCAATTCCACCTCTCGTTATACACCCAGATGAAATAAAATCAGTATATTGAAGAAATATCTGCACTCCCATGTTCGCTGCAGCACTATTCACAACAGCCAAGATATGGAAGCAACCTCAGTGTCTATCAACAGACAAATGGAAAAGAAAATATGGTTTATATACACAATGGAAGGCACTATTCGGCCATTTTTTTAAAAAAAGGAAATTCTGTCATCTGTGACAGCATGGATTATTAACCTGTAAGACATTATGTTAAGTGAAATAAGCCAGGCACAGATAGACAAATACCACATAATCTGGCTTATATGTGGAATCTAAAAAAGTCAAACTCATGGAAGCAGAGAATAGAATGGTGGTCACCAGGGGTGAGGGAGATGGTTGGGTAGATGTTGGTCAAAGAATACAAAATTTCAGTTAGATAGGAGAAAGAAGTTCAAGAGATCTATTGTACATCATGGTAACTATAGTTAATTACAATGCGTTGTACTTCTGAAGATCTCTGAGAGTAGATTTTTAAGTGTTCTCAATATAAAAAATAAGTATGTGAGGTAATGTTCATGTTAATTAGCTCAACTGATCTGTTCCACCAGGTGTACATGTTTCAAAACATCATGTTGTACATGATAAATATATGCAATATTAATTTGTCAATTAAAAAATGAACATTTAAAAAAATTGATACACTCTATCCCATACAAATTATACCTCAGTAAGGTTGACTTTTATATACTTCTTTAAAAAAAAAATCCCTCTTCGGACTACATTTCCCCTTTCAATTACTGCTCTATTTCTTTTGCCAAACTCTTTTAAAGAATTGCTCATAATATTTTTCTCTAATTCCCCTCATCCTATTCCCTCTTAAATACGTTACAGTCAGGCTTTCCCTCATACCACTCTAATAAAACTACTCTGGTCAAAGTCACTAATGGCTTCCCCTTTGCTAAATCCCTTTGTGAAACCAATCATCAACTCAACTGAAAGTCAAGGAGAGAGGTCTCTGAAGACACTAAACCTGCAGGCACCTTGATCTTTGATTTCCAATCTCCAGAGCTGTAAGAAAATAAATTTTTACTGTTTTAGCCTACAGTTTGTAGTATTTTATTATGGCAGCTTTAGCAAATTAATACAACTAGCAATAACCAGTTAGAATATAAAATGGGGGACATATTCCATTTATTATAGCCACACAACAATAAAATACCTAGGAGTAAACCTAACCAGGCAAAAACAATGTTTTATTTAATTATTCTTAGCATCTATCATCTCCATGAGACTCTAGGCTAGATAGCGCAGGGACCAGATTTTTTTTTTTAATCCACCATTGTATCCCCAAGCGCCCGGCATAAACAGTAGTGGGATTATCTGCTCATGGCTGCTAGAGAGGTCTTGGTTTGACATAAGTTTTAGGTGTTAAGGGTGTTAAGAGATTAGATTGGGGCCTTAATTTTGATCCATTTCCATACCTCCAGATCAAGCAGGCTTGCTTTCCCTCATAGAGGCTTACCTAAAGCAAAAGTGATCACTTCAATGACGTATTCCTTTAACGAGTGGAGATTTAAGCCAAAGGTTCTTGTTGCAATGGAAATACCATGCCTGATCACAGTGAGCCCCAGCCTCTGAGGGCCTTGGCAATCTGTCAGAGGACCCTGCAAATCTCCTCTCTGCACCGTTGCTGCCAGTTCAAAAGGGAGGTTCAGGAGAGCACTGTGGTCGGTCCTGCAGCTTCTCCCCCTGGCACACAACCTCCAGCTGTCATCCACATTCCTAAGACAGTCCAAGATCGTACTTACCTTGAGGACTCAGCTGCTACATATTCCAGGAGCCCTATCCTTCCAGAGCTTCACATGGCTGATTTTTTCTCCTCATTCTTTAAGCCTCAGTTTAATGTCACCTCCTCGGAGGCTTATCCAGACTCAAGCCCCACCCCTATGCCCCATCTCCTTCTATCATCCTATTGTATTTTTCTTGGCTTAACATTTCTCTTTGCTTTCTCCATTGTGGTCTGCATTTCCCCCTCTAGACTGCAAGCTCCAAGGGACTTTCAGTCTTGTCTTCAGTCTTCAGAGTTAACTGCCCCTCCCCTGACAGTGCCTGGAACTATCCCTGGTGCAGGGTAGGCACATAAATACTTGATGAACACATAAGTCATCAGCCCAATAAAGTCAAGCCTAATTCTCAGGGTGAGATTACATGCAGAGCTGTAGTTCCTGACCCTAACCTTGACTACTGAGAGGGATTGCCTCTTTTCCCTCCTGGTTTTCACAAGGAAGGAAATATTTTTCACTGAATGCCTTCTTTACTCCTCCCACCAAGGGAAATAAATTAACTTGGGTGTAAAGTAATAGCCATTCTCCCACTTTTCTAGGTTGAGATAATCTATCAAAATTCCCAGGGAAAAAAAGACATTTCCTTTCTCCCTCCTTCCTTCTGTAGCTGAACTATAGGGGGCTGAGGCTGAGGCTGAGGCTAAGGCTGAGGGGCTCATTATGGCTCTCATACTGGGCTATACCCTCAATTTAGCCTGATAAAGTTGTCCTTCTGCTTACTTATATTTTATCAGTTGGCTTATAAATCAGGCAGGGAATAAGGGTGGATTTATTAGGCCCCCTCAAAGATCCCAGTAATGATTATTTACTAGTGTTTTTGTCTCAGTCCATTATATTGTTTCAGCAGAGTGAGAAGGCTGAGACTCTTCAAATGGGCACCTGACCATTTAACCCTTAGTTGAACCATAGAAGGCATAGTGAAGTCAGCTATTGGGAAAGTTTGGTATTCACTGTTGCCATTGCCATCTTGGAATCAATACAGTGGTGAAAGGCATTGAGATTAAAATGTCATCTACAAAAAGATACTGGAAGGATGCTCTCATTGAATTGAGGAGAGTCATTTATCTGCCTACAAAGGCCAAATCTCAGAAGGTTTATTTCAGATGCCAAGCTTTCTCTCTGTCTGTGTGTGTGTGTGTGTGTGTGTGTGTGTGTATGTGGATCCACACATGTGTGTGTGTGTGTGTGTGGATGTGGATCCACACACACACACTTGCACATGCACATGCACAAAAGTGAAATAGCCTTGCAGACTCTCACAGCAGACACTAGTTAAATATTTGTTGACTGATTAATCTTGAAATGTGCATGACCTATAAAATAAAATTTAACTTTAATAACATATGGTAAGAAAGAGGAAAGATCATGTCTTTGTATGGGAGACTGAATACTTTAAAATTATTTCTTTGTTCAATAGAGATTTATTTAGAAATAAAATAATCTGAAGTTCATTTGAATATATAAACAAGCAGAAACAGGTAAGAAGATTTTGAAAAGGAAAAGTAATCCAGAAGACTTACATGACCAAGTATTAAAATATATTATAGCACTATTTTAATTAATCAATGTGATATTGGCAAGAATCATAAGGCTAAAAACAGATTATATTATATATTAGAATTTAATGTTTGATAAAGAACCACCAACTAATAGAGAAATAATGAATTATTCAACTATTCTAAGTAAATTTTAAAAAACTACTTAGAACTTTATACACTATATAAAAATAATCTCTAAATGGATTACAAAGTTAAATGTAAAAATGATCCTATAAAGTTGGCATACAAGTGTTTCTACTGGGATGGAGAAAACTTGCTAGGCAAAAAGTAATTCTATAAATCTAAAAGTAAAGTTGATTACATAAAGAATTAAAATGTCTATATATCGAAAATGTCATTAACAAATAACTAAGTGGCAGAAAACCCTGCCTCTGGAAGACAATATATTAGTATTCTTAATAGACAAATAATTCTCACGAGTCAACTAGAAATACTTCAAAACCTACACACACACACACACACACACACACACACACGCACGCACCTTTAACACAGGCCATTTTGAAAAGGAGGGGACTGAGACCAAGGAAAGCTGTGTAACTTACACAAGGCCACACGGTCAGCAGGCAGCAGAATCCAGATTGGTTCCAGAATCCATGCATGAAACCACCATACCTTGATATATTCATAGACAAAAGATGGGAAGGGGAGAGCAACAGCGGATGCTAGCAGTGTTTTCTTCTGACTTGCAAACCAATATATAGTTTGTATTAACTTCTTTGGAACATGAGGGTTGTCTCTCTACCCACAATAGATCCCATGCTGGTGGCTCTGCTCTTTCAGACAAAAGCATTTTCTGGTGAGTCCAGGACCATGTTCTAAGCAAAGGATCCCATGCCCGGGTCAATACAGCTCTGGGTTGAGTGCTGGCCCTGGCCCAAAACATAGGAACCTTATAAGCCACAAAGGCCCTGTTGGGGCCCTAAGGCATGGCTTTGTCTCCTTCTGAAGCTGTACCCTGAAACTCTGTCTTTCCTAAAGCTATCCGTTCATATGAGACATTCCTCTAAGCAATAAATCTCTTAACATTATTATTCCTGCAGGAGTCGGGGGTGCCTAGACTGTCAGAGTTTTCTTGGGATATAAAATTGTTCTGGAAATGATATGTTGGTACATTTATCTTCATTTTCTACCCTATCCCCCCAACCACTATGTAGATCTGGAAAGTCCTCTCCTGCAGCAGAAAGGGCTGTGTCTTGGCATATGAAGCAAAGCAGATGTCTACCTTTCATCTTTTCTCCACCATTCCACCATGACTTAAAAAAAACCAAATTTTTGTTGCACTTCCTATAAATTTTCAGATAAGTCACCTTCTGAAATTGGTATCCCAGCCCCGGCATAAATGCTTTTTTTTCCCCCTATACTTGGGCTTCTCCTACTATATACCAGTTACTGAAATTCATCTCATACTTGGCTACAAATGTCACTGTTTTCTTCTTCTGATCTTGTTCCCTGTTGAGTCTGGGACATCCCAGACCACAAAAAGCAAATACCAGGAGTATTTTGGGGAGACATGGCCAGCTGACTTCACAATTACTTAGTCTGCTCCAGGCTCTCCCAAAGTCAAGGTCTGCTTGAATTTTGCCAGGGCTTTTGTTCCATGTCCTAACTTTGACCTCTCTTTCAACATCTTTCTGCATGTAGGTTGCACATAGCATCATCTCCTACCTAGAAGCATCCTCTAGCTATAAGCAAGTCTCTCTAAGCCTATTTTCACAAAAGAGGCTTTCATGCTTACCTTATTCCCTGGAAGCCAAGCCATCATCCATCACTGTGCTACAGGGTGGTCTCTAGAGCTATCACATCCTCCACTTTACTGCTTCTCTGATTTCTGCTCCCAGACCCTGGGAAATCCCTCTCAGTCTTACGGGTGAGATGAAATTTTAAAACATCAGCTCTCAGTTGGACCCTTGTGGGTAAAAGCCACCTCCCTTCAATCCACACTCAACACTTTCCCATTCCCCATTGCAATTTTTCTTTGTTTACTTTTTTATTATGTGTGCAGATGTCATCCTCACTCTTAGAATGAAACCCCATAAAAGCAAGAATTATTTAATTCATTTTTAATATCCCCTAGGCACTTTTTCATCAGCATCTGGTACAAGGTTTTATTCATAGCAGGCGTTCTGCAAATATTTTATTTACTTACTTTCTTTCTTTCTTTGTTTGCTTGCTTGCTTGCTTCCTTGCTTTAAAGAGCACCTAGATTTTCAGGCCAGGGTAGAGTGCTCATGGCCATCTTAAACTTTCTTCAATATTTTGATTACTAAAGCCAACTGACATGGAGGATATAGGGCTAGAAAGA
The DNA here is from genome assembly GCF_000001405.40 of Homo sapiens. Taxonomy (NCBI): domain Eukaryota; kingdom Metazoa; phylum Chordata; class Mammalia; order Primates; family Hominidae; genus Homo; species Homo sapiens. The sequence continues at coordinate 50,558,445 of NC_000013.11, read as the reverse complement.
GAGGGAGCATCGAGCAAGTCTGGAATTCTTTCTTTTGATCTGTAATTAACTTGCTCTGTGAATATGGTACTTTCCCTCCCAAGGCTGCAGCAGATCCCCGTTCTGACCACTACTTCAACATGCATCACTCTTCCTGCTCTGCCCAACCTTGTCCTTGCGACAAGCTGCCATTCCTTCTTCAGGACTCATTCAAGGATTTCCTTCTCTGGAGAGACTTTCCTGCCTCCTGCTGAGGCCCCTCTGCTCTCAACTCCTATAGGACCTGATGAGAATCCCTAACATATCCTGTATCTGTTTGACTATAGTTTGGCTGCATGGAATAAACAACTCCAAAATAACAGTGGCTTAAACAAGATAGAAATTTTCTTCTCATGTTAAGAGAAAAAACCCAACAAATTATGAGTAAGCAGTTCAAGGTTGGTGAAGCTACTCCACAGTACCATCAGAGACCTAGGCTTCTAAACTTCAACACTCTAGTACTTGGCCCCCATACTCAAGGTCACTTCATGTTTCGAAAAGGCTGCTGGAGTTTCAGGCCAGAAGAAGGAAGAAAGGCAACTAGGAAAGAGCAGCCCCTTCTTCTCCATTAGCTTCCTTTAAAGAACTCCTGGGAAGTCCACATAACACATTTCTATTTACATTTCCTTACACAGACAATATTTTTGCTTCTTTATGATTTGCTTAATAATATTTTCTTTTCTCTAGCTTGCGCTTTCTTATAAAAATACAGTATAAAATACAGTACATATGTATTATAAGGAAGAAAAAACATGTTTACTATTGATTAAGTGGAAGTAGTCCACTTAAGTGGATTAAGATCTCCAACCTCATCATCTTCATCTTCATTTTAAGTAGGTTGAAGAGAAAGATGAGGGGTTAGTCTTGCTGCCACAGGGGTGACAGCGACAGGAGAGATAGGCACACTTGGTGTAACTTTACAGAAAGACATCATAATTTCTGCCTGACTTTTTTTGCTTTTCCATTTCTTGAAAAATGATGTTTCTCTATGGTACCAATTTTTCTTTCACCATTTGCTTTAGTTTTAGTGCCCATATCATGGAAGGGTCCATGCGTAAAAGAAGTCAAAAGCAGTCTTGAATAATCACCCTTCTGCCTGACTGTCAACTGTCAATTTGTCTTCTGGTACTGCTTCTGTGTCATCTTCCTCATCACCTGGCAGTGGTTCAGAACCACTCATCTCCATCAAGTTATCCTCTGTTAATTTCTCTGGTGTGGTGTCTATTAGCTATAGAATTGGATAATTGGAGAAACAAGATCCATATCTTGAAACCCTTCATCTTCCACCTTTTTTGCCTTATCCACAGTCTCTTTTACGATTTCCTGGGTTGGTTCCATCATAAATCCTGTGAAGTCATGCACAACATCTGGACACAGTTTTCTCCAGCAGAAACTTATTGTTTCAAGCTTGATGGCTTTCATGGCTTCTTCTATAACAACAATGGCATCTGCAACGTTGTAATCCTTCCAGACCTTCATGATGTTCTCTTGGGCTCTCTTCCACAGTATTGACAGTCCTTTGCAAAGGGTACCATGTGTAATGAGGCTTAAAGGTCCTATGACTCCTTGATCTAGAGACTGAATTAGAGACATTGTGCTTCGGGGCAAGTAGACCACTCAACACCTTCAATGGTGAAGGCATGAGGCTCTGAGTGGCCAGGGGCATTGTCCATTATCAAAGGAACTTTGAAAGGCACTCCCTTACTGGCAAGGTATTTCCTGACTTCAGGAACAAAGCATCGTTGGAACTAATCCAGACAAAGAGTTCTCGTTGTCCAGGCCTTCTTGTTGTACAACCGAAAGACTGGCAGCTGGTGTTTATCTTTTCCCTTCAAGGCTTGGAGATTGGCAACTTTCTGGATAAGAGCAGCCCGGTCATAAACTTGACTACATATGCACAAAACAGTAGAGTTAGCCTAACCCTTCTGGCCTTAAATCCTGGTGCTCACTTCTCTTCCTTACTAATAAATGTCCTTTGTGGCTTTTTTTTCTTTTTTCCCAGAATAGGGCACTTTTGTCTGTATTAAAAGCCTACTTGGGCAGATATCCTTTCTCTTCAATGATTTTCTTTTTTTTTTTTTTCCTTTTCAGATAACTTTTTTTAAAGTTTTATTTTTATTTATTTTATTTATTTATTTTTATTTTTTTTTACTATTATTATACTTTAAGTTTTTGGGTACATGTGCACAATGTGCAGGTTAGTTACATATGTATACATGTGCCATGCTGGTGTGCTGCACCCATTAACTTGTCATTTAGCATTAGGTATATCTCCTAATGCTATCCCTCCCCCCTCCCCCCACCCCACAACAGTCCCCAGAATGTGATGTTCCCCTTCCTGTGTCCATGTGTTCTCATTGTTCAGTTCCCATCTATGAGTGAGAACATGCGGTGTTTGGTTTTTTGTCCTTGCGATAGTTTACTGAGAATGATGATTTCCAATTTCATCCATGTCCCTACAAAGGACATGAACTCATCATTTTTTATGGCTGCCTAGTATTCTATGGTGTATATGTGCCACATTTTCTTAATCCAGTCTATCATTGTTGGACATTTGGCTTGGTTCCAAGTCTTTGCTATTGTGAATAGTGCCGCAATAAACATACGTGTGCATGTGTCTTTATAGCAGCATGATTTATAGTCCTTTGGGTATATACCCAGCAATGGGATGGCTGGGTCAAATGGTATTTCTAGTTCTAGATCCCTGAGGAATCGCCACACCGACTTCCACAATGGTTGAACTAGTTTACAGTCCCACCAACAGTGTAAAAGTGTTCCTATTTCTCCACATCCTCTCCAGCACCTGTTGTTTCCTGACTTTTTAATGATTGCCATTCTAACTGGTGTGAGATGGTATCTCATTGTGGTTTTGATTTGCATTTCTCTGATGGCCAGTGATGATGAGCATTTTTTCATGTGTCTTTTGGCTGCATAAATGTCTTCTTTTGAGAAGTGTCTGTTCATATCCTTTGCCCACTTTTTGATGGGGTTGTTTGTTTTTTTCTTGTAAATTTGAACAGAAATTATAACAAACTGTCTCTCAGACCACAGTGCAATCGAACTAGAACTCAGGATTAAGAAACTCACTGAAAACCGCTCAACTACATGGAAACTGAACAACCTGCTCCTGAATGACTACTGGGTACATAACGAAATGAAGGCAGAAATAAAGATGTTCTTTGAAACCAATGAGAACAAAGACACAACATACCAGAATCTCTGGGACACATTCAAAGCAGTGTGTAGAGGGAAATTTATAGCACTAAATGCCCACAGGAGAAAGCAGGAAAGATCCAAAATTGACACCCTAACATCACAATTAAAAGAACTAGAGAAGCAAGAGCAAACACATTCAAAAGCTAGCAGAAGGCAAGAAATAACTAAAATCAGAGCAGAACTGAAGGAAATAGAGACACAAAAAACCCTTCATAAATTAATGAATCTAGGATCTGGTTTTTTGAAAGGATCAACAAAATTGATAGACCGCTAGCAAGAATAATAAAGAAAAAAAGAGAGAAGAATCAAATAGACACAATAAAAAATGATAAAGGGGATATCACCACCGATCCCACAGAAATACAAACTACCATCAGAGAATACTACAAACACCTCTACGCAAATAAACTAGAAAATCTAGAAGAAATGGATACATTCCTCAACACATACACTCTCCCAAGACTAAACCAGGAAGAAGTTGAATCTCTGAATAGAACAATAACAGGATATGAAATTGTGGCAATAATCAATAGCTTACCAACCAAAAAGAGTCCAGGACCAGATGGATTCACAGCCGAATTCTACCAGAGGTACAAGGAGGAACTGGTACCATTCCTTCTGAAACTATTCCAATCAATAGAAAAAGAGGGAATCCTCCCTAACTCATTTTATGAGGCCAGCATCATCCTGATACCAAAGCCTGGCAGAGACACAACCAAAAAAGAGAATTTTAGACCAATATCCTTGATGAACATTGATGCAAAAATCCTCAATAAAATACTGGCAAACCGAATCCAGCAGCACATCAAAAAGCTTATCCACCATGATCAAGTGGGATTTTCTTAATACCATACGGGAACTGGTCTCCTGTCTCTTGGTTGGCAGAAATTGCTTCTACTATCTTGATATTTTTCAAGCCAAACCTCTCTCTAAAATTATCAAACTATCCTTTGCTGGCATTAAATTCTCCAGCTTTAGATCCTTTACCTTCCTTTTGCTTTAAGTTGTCACATGATGACATTGCTTTTTCTCTAAACATATTAGAGTCTATAGGTATGACTTTCTTATAGCAATCCTGCACCCACACTAAAGCTACATTTTTCAATACAAGATTAAAAGTATTTCACAAAAGTGCAAGATTTCCACACCTGCTGGTGTCACTGCAGCAACAGCTTCACAAATTTCCTTTTCTTTTTTTACTATGGCCCTTACATGGGGTTTACTTATCTTGAAATGGTGGGCAACTGCAGCTGCAGACCTCAATCTATGGTATGTGTCAGGCAATTCAACTTTTTCTTGTACTGTCATTACTTTTCTCTGCTTCTTGGGAGCACTTCCAGCATCACTATGGTGTGATTCAAGGTTTACTGTATTGTACCAAACATGATGAAATGTACAGGAGAACCCAAAGAGATCACTTTTTACTTTGATACACAATTCCTTAGCATCACACAGCATTTAAGCGAATACTCACAGCAGGGGAACTCACTGCAATAGCAACTGTAGGTGGCTACAAAATTATTATAATAGAACAGTATGTACTACAGTTAATTTTATGCAGCTATGATTTAACACTGCATCATTACTTTTAAATATTTCTACTGTAAATGGTGCCATGTATGGTCTCTTTGCATAAGTTTTAATAAATTTTAGCTTTCTATAATAGATTTGTGTATATTTTATGGTAGCAAATCACAAAATAGACTAGTACCTACATATATTTTATGGATTCATGACATACCCCTTTTTCTAGGCTACACAGTTTGTCTGCAACTTTTTTCAAGCTGTTGCAAATCATCAACAAATTTTCCAATATATTTATTGAAAAAAATCCATGTATAAGTAGACTCACACAGTTCAAACTCATGTTGCTTAAGGGTCAATTGTACCATCTATTTTTAAGACCCTGGAAGGAAATAAGATCAGGCTTCAAACAAAAGACTCTGCATATAGTTTATAAAGATTCGATAGAAGTAGCAGAAACCTGATCAAGCCAAGGTAATATTAGAGAATCTAAACTGACACGTAAATATGGAAGAATTGTACCTTGTCAGCATCCTATCTCTCTTTGCTCTGCGAATCCAGTGTCAGTCGCTCTTTCTCTCTGATTCACTAGAATCAAACAGAGCTTTCACAGACCAGGGGAAGAGGCTAAATGATTTGCCTGCTACTAACATGTTTAGAGAGAAATTCAAATCTTCTGGCTTTAAGTGTATTAAATTACTCAACATTAAATTACTGACCACATTGTCAGTTCATGGCAAGTTTCAGTTGATAGGTTCTTTTTGATCAGTGACTATCTTTCAATGGTCATTTCCCAGTTTTGGTTTCTACCTAAACTTCACTACTGGTCAGCCAGAAATTCAATTCACTCTTGGTGGCTGGATTTATTCCCATCAAATGGAAAACACTTCTGGTTAAATAGGAGCTTGCTAAGAAAATGCAAGGACAGCACAAATTAATGAACAAGAACTAATCAACCCAATTTGGTGAATCTCCCACGAATAAAACCAAATCTAAGTTCCACAAAATATCTTGATGACTCATTTTTATGGGAGAATGTGTTGTAGTCCCACAGCTCTCTCTGAGGACATAAACACTCTTAGACTTCTGAAATAATTTGCCCTTTGTACAAGATAGACTCAGCTAAAAGAAACTATAAAAATGTTATTAAATTGTTTGACTAGTTATTCTACTTTGACACCATAAAAAGTCTAGTTCATAAGAGATTTTCAAAATTTGAATAATTCTTAAAAGAGTTAATGGTTTTGAAAGTGTACTGTGTAAAAAGTAAGGACAGGCTTTTTCAACTTTTGATTACCAAATGTGAGATCCTGTGAAATGGAACCCAATATGACCCTGTTTTAAATGTCTATATTTATTGTCTATTTTATCCTGGGAACAAGGCCTAATCCAGAGACATTTTGAGCTCATCAAATATGTAAATTGTTTTTCAAACACTTTGGGGTTACCACAAAACCTAAATTGTTTTTAGCTAACCAAGCACTTTCTCTCTTTGGTTTCAAAAGCCAATTGTATTTTTTTTTTTGAAGAAAATTTAATTCAGATGTTTCTGATTCACTTGCACTTAAATAATTAAAATGCTATTTTGCAAGAACTGATTGGTGTGCAAGAAAGCTCATGAGTCTCTTGTCTAAGCTTCTTTAAATCTGTTTTCTGAAAAACATGAAGTCTTGCTTTGCCAAAAGTAAACCAACTCCAGTGGCACATTTGGGTCGAAAGTCTGATTTCAGAGTAAATCCAAAGCTATCCATTTGGAGAAGGGTGAATCAGGCCAAGACATCTCTTCCAGAGGCTTTGCTGAAAACCTGCTTCTAGGCCCAGGTAGATTTCCAACACAACATGCTGGGAGGGAGTGATAAAGACACAGAAGGTTTTATCACAAACACAGCTGGAGCGTCTCAGGCTGGTAATATTTATTTTTAAAGATAATCTTGCTTTAGTTCATTTCCAAGCATCACTAATGCTTCAAGCTGTGATTTTTTTTGAACCGTGAAAGTTCACATGCCTATTCCCAGGAATCTACAGTTCTCTATCAGAATTTAAGTGTTTGGGACTGAGGGCAGGTGTTACTTCTATCAATAGCTTCTGAAAATTACTATAAGGATATTCTAGATCATCTGAATGACAATCTTGGAGCCAATAACCATCGCACAAACACATTTTTGTTTGAGACTACTGTCTGACTACACCAACTAGTTAGATTTCAACCACCCCCTACTAATGAGTAAGGCATTGATTGCCTCCTCTCCTTCCAATCCAACACTATCATTGTGAGGACTCAATGGAATAACACAGGGAATGAGAATCTAGCACATTGGAAGCATTCCATAAATAATAGGTACCATTATTTTGCAGGCTTTCCTCCAACACATGACACTCAACAGCATATAGTTTTTGCCACTTCTTAAGGTGAACCCATTAAAAATAGTCTGTATCAAGTTAGTGCATCTAAGTGCAATATCATCAGCCCAGGTCATATCAGTTTCCTGGGTTTCCCTAGCAGATTCTAAGACTGTCTCCCCTTAACCTCTTAGCTATGGGATTCAGAAAGTATCCTGTGGCCCTTAACAAATTCTCACCTGCAGCCAGATTTATAGCTGTTTTAAGGGAAATTTAAACCACCAGCCATTAGCAATGAATATTCCTGGTGTCCATGAGGAAGGGGTGTCATAATACATATGCCATAATCCAGAATACTTCATGCTAACAAAAGAAACTCTTCTTAAAATTCTGTGGTTAATAATGTGAGTTTTCCTGTCTTCAAGGGAAAAAAAAATCCTCCACGTCTCTGAAAATTTTCTCTCTGGCTTCCAGATGAACACCCAACCTCGACGGAGTCTCAGGGTTTTGTCCTTAGTTACACCAAGATCACACCATTGACAAAGGCAACTGGACATAGACAATAAAAAGCCATTAATGAGGATTCTACTGGTTGATGCAATTGAACAAATATGTATTGAGCACCTATTGTCAGTCACCATGCTTGTTGCCATTGAAGACAGAAAACAACGAGACCCAATGTGGCACCTGTCCTCAAGTTAACATGGCTTGAGAAAAGCAGATTAGATAGGAATATAAATAACTAACAACGCAAGCCAGAATGTGAAAAATTTCATTAGATGCACATAAAAAGGTCTAAGGTAGCATAAAGGGAAATGAAAGCATGTGACAGACATGACATCTGAAATGCCTCTAGAAAGAGTGGTAATATTTAGAAGGACAATACCATAAGTGATTAATTCATTTTCTACTCTCCACAGTTTCCCCATTAAGGGGTTCAGGCAGTATCTTTGTATACCCAGCTGTTAGTGCCTAGAGCACAAAAAATGCTGATTAATGTTGAATTAAGTAATGAGATCATCAATAAAGTTTGTAAACTTAATTTATACTTGGAAGGTACAAATAAAGGTTGAATAACTGAATAAGTAAATGGGTCGAGTACTCCAAATAAATAAACTTTTTGGGAAGATCACATCACCTACCTCCTCATTTACCAGGGAAGAAAACTGAAGTGCAGAGAACTGACTGATGGGACTGGCCTTGCTCACAGGGCTGGAGAGTAGCAGAGCCAAGACTAGAACCTCAGACCTTTAATTCTCAGTGACCTTTCCACTCATTCCAGGAGCTAATCACTTTTTATTCTCGGAATTCAACTGAATTCTGCTAAATAATCTCTAATTCAAATTTGTATGATTTTATGGCAAAATGGAGCTTAACTATGTCAATTCCTTTATCTCACAGCTGAAGCCAGATTGATTTCTCCACATCACCACGGCGATAGCTGGCTACTCTCTACAGGAACCCAACTCCAAACAAAAGGACTTCATAACTGGCTGTGGGTCCTGCTGATCAGGCCTGGCTGGGAGAAGCTGGCATGGAGTCTGGGGCACCCCCCCACCAACAACAGGGCCACAGTATCAAGGGTGCATGTCCCCCACAGAGCCACATTGTTGAGGGTGCAGAGATGAGTGGAGAGGGAGCAGAGGGAAGCTCAGGGTCACTGAAAGGATTGTTTTATTTTATTGCTTTTTGTTTCATTTTTTTACAACTGATATCCACATTTCAAAACAAAAGAATAAGACTTCTGGTAGATTTCCTCAAAGGCAACTACTGAGAGATTTGCCAAAGCCATTGCCCCAGGGGTTGGTTTACAAAAACAAGGGCATTGGAAAGCCATGTAATCTGAACTTTTCTCTCTGGCCTATGCCAGCATTTTAGCTGCCAATAAGTAGACTTGCTTTTTGTTTCCAAAAATAAAAAGTTATTATACTCTTGCTACCCAAGTCTACCCTTGGCCACTCCACGGACAATCACTAAGAGAAGAGGGATGCACTTTGTGGTGTTGTTTTTGGAAAGCTCCTATTTAGAAAACTCTTGATGGTATGCTGTCATGAAGGGGCTGGCGGCTGTGGACAGGCAGTGATCATCTAATGGAGCCCCTGGAAGTACCTCTCCTGCCAGGGACACATAGCTTCCATTAGTCAAGAGCTTGCTGGCTTTCTGACCTGGAATTCTCTCCCATTGTTATACATATCCAGTGCTTCTCTAGCCTGGACATGAAGGTAAAGAAGGAAAAACATGGAAAATGGTACATCTTCTGTAACTCTGAAAGAGAAAAAATATCCTAGGTTACTGCCAGGAAGGACTCAGAAATGTCAGCTTTCTCTTGAAATTATGGAAAACATGGGAAGTTCCAAAATCGCCATTTCAAACCGTTTTTCTCTGCTCCTCACAGAAGTCCTCTCCTCACACTCTGCCTTCTACTCAGGGTGACCAACTTGTCCCAGTTTGCCTGAGACTTTCCTGGTTTTGGTCCTGGAAGTCCCTTAATGGCGCACATACAAGGAATGCCATCTTACAATTAACATAGAAAAACAGGAAATAAGAAAGAGGAACATCAGGCCAGCCTCCACTCCTGCAGGCACCATTCAGAATTCTCCATGGAGGGAAGAATATTGTCTTCTAGGCTGGAAGTTAGAAAATCAGCATAAATATCAAGGGTTCTAATAATAGTCTATTGTGAAAGATTTTGAGACCCTTGCACTTAATATGACTTGTGCAAGAAATTTCATCATTACTTTTACATTTCCAAAGTTAATTTTCTTCTAAATGAGTAGTACCAGTGAAATGCTCATTCTACATTACTCCTATCTCTGCTTCTCTTGTCACACTGCCTTCTCCCCGTATGACCTTCCTGCATTCCTCTTACAAGTACTTTGTGATGACATTGGGCCCCCTGGATAATCTAGGATAATGGCCCTATTTCAATATCCTTAACTTAATAACATCTGCAAAATTCCTTTTACCTTGTAAGGTAACACATTCATGGGTTCTGGGGATTAGGACCTGGACAGCTTTGAGGGGGCCATTAGTCCTCCTACCACAGGAGAAGAGAGGCTAGAGGTGGGAAGGGAGGTGGGACATAAAATGGTAAATCAAGATGACCTGGCCTCCTCAATAGCAATAGGCAAGATTTCTCCCTGAGACCTCTACCAGCTAGCTATTCTCCCTGTATAACAGGAGTTAATGCTCCTCACAGGCACATTTCCGTGAAGAATGCTAGACATTCCCTCCATGTCTTAAAGGTAGGGCCAAAAGCTTCACCAAAACTCCAGCAGGCAGCTAAACTTTTTTTTCTAACGTGGATATTAGAAACAAAAGTCACAAAGCAGAGAAGTGTAGGAAAGAAGAGATTTAATTTGGGGGTTTAGAATATGAGTGGGTCACAGCTCCTCTTTTCACCAGTGTTTTAGCTATGCTTATGCAGAAACGTTGTAGATTTAGAACAACTATTTTATTTTGTTAAGGATAAACACTGAAGAAGAAAATATGTATACAAATGTACACACAAATTACAGAGTGGGACTTGCACCACTCAGCATGTTGAATGGTATGGATAAAATGAACCACAGCTATTTTATTTATTTTTTATTTATTTATTTATTTATTTTTATTATTATACTTTAAGTTTTAGGGTACATGTGCACAACGTGCAGGTTTGTTACATATGTATACATGTGCCATGTTAGTGTGCTGCACCCATTAACTCGTCATTTAGCATTAGGTATATCTCCTACAGCTATCCCTCCCCCCTTCCCCCACCCCACAAAAGGTCCCAGTGTGTGATGTTCCCCTTCCTGTGTCCATGTGTTCTCATTGTTCAATTCCCACCTATGAGTGAGAACATGTGGTGTTTGGTTTTTTGTCCTGGCGATAGTTTGCTGAGAATGATGGTTTCCAGCTTCATCCATGTCCCTACAAAGGACATGAACTCATCATTTTTTATGGCTGCATAGTATTCCATGGTGTTTATGTGCCACATTTTCTTAATCCAGTCTATCATTGTTGGACATTTGGCTTGGTTCCAAGTCTTTGCTATTGTGAATAGTGCCACAATAAACATACGTGTGCATGTGTCTTTATAGCAGCATGATTTATAATCCTTTGGGTATATACCCAGTAATGGGATGGCTGGGTCAAATGGCATTTCTAGTTCTAGATCCCTGAGGAATCACCACACTGACTTCCACAATGGTTGAACTAGTTTACAGTTCCACCAACAGTGTAAAAGTGTTCCTATTTCTCCACATCCTCTCCAGCACCTGTTGTTTCCTGACTTTTTAATGATCGCCATTCTAACTGGTGTGAGATGGTATCTCACTGTGGTTTTGATTTGCATTTCTCTGATGGCCAGTGATGATGAGCATTTTTTCATGTGTCTTTTGGCTGCATAAAAGTCTTCTTTTGAGAAGTGTCTGTTCATATCCTTTGCCCACTTTTTGATGGGGTTGTTTGTTTTTTTCTTGTAAATTTGTTTGAGTTCATTGTAGATTCTGGATATTAGCCCTTTGTCAGATGAGTAGGTTGCAAAAATTTTCTCCCATTCTGTAGGTTGCCTGTTCACTCTGATGGTGGTTTCTTTTGCTGTGCAGAAGCTCTTTAGTTTAATTAGATCCCATTTGTCAATTTTGTCTTTTGTTGCCATTGCTTTTGGTGTTTTAGATGTGAAGTCCTTGCCCATGCCTATGTCCTGAATGGTATTGCCTAGGTTTTCTTCTAGGGCTTTTATGGTTTTAGGTCTAACATTTAAGTCTTTAATCCATCTTGAATTAATTTTTGTATAAGGTGTAAGGAAGGGATCCAGTTTCAGCTTTCTACATATGGCTAGCCAGTTTTCCCAGCACCATTTATTAAATAGGGAATCATATCCCCATTTCTTCTTTTTGTCAGGTTTGTCAAAGATCAGATAGTTGTAGATATGCGGCATTATTTCTGAGGGCTCTGTTCTGTTCCATTGGTCTAGATCTCTGTTTTGGTACCAGTACCATGCTGTTTTGGTTACTGTATCCTTGTAGTATAGTTTGAAGTCAGGTAGCATGATGCCTCCAGCTTTGTTCTTTTGGCTTAGGATTGACTTGGCAATGCGGGCTCTTTTTTGGTTCCATATGAACTTTAAAGTAGTTTTTTCCAATTCTGTGAAGAAAGTCATTGGTAGCTTGATGGGGATGGCATTGAATCTATAAATTACCTTGGGCAGTATGGCCATTTTCACGATATTGATTCTTCCTACCCATAAGCATGGAATGTTCTTCCATTTGTTTGTATCCTCTTTTATTTCATTGAGCAGTGGTTTGTAGTTCTCCTTGAAGAGGTCCTTCACATCCCTTGTAAGTTGGATTCCTAGGTGTTTTATTCTCTTTGAAGCAATTGTGAATGGGAGTTCACTCATGATTTGGCTCTCTGTTTGTCTGTTATTGGTGTATAAGAATGCTTGTGATTTTTGCACATTGATTTTGTATCCTGAGACTTTACCGAAGTCGCTTATCAGCTTACGGAGATTTTGGTCTGAGACGATGGGGTTTTCTAGATATAACCAGACCTATTTTATATCAGAGACCAATAAAAGGAGAGAGTCCCCAAAGTCGGTTTGCATGAGGGTTTTGTTGATATCTTAGCAGAGGTTCAAGGATGCACTTAGTCATCCAGTCACCTGGCAGTCTGAGGCTTCCTTACCCTCCGTTATACCCGATGAGCTAAGCAACAGTAGACAGTGTCTTCATGCAAGGGGCACTGAGCACAGGCCTCCGGTCTTACAAGCCTACATCCTTGACCAGAAAGGAAGGAATCCTGCAGATTTGTTATAAAGATCTCCATACAGGGAATTTGGTGTGGAGATAAACATAAACCACACTTTTTCCCCTATAATTATATTTACAATCTTTTAAAAATTCAACTTCTGCAGTAAATCTAAGTGCCAGTGTGAGAAGAGCTAAGCTGTCCATTTTCACTTTGCCAATTTCCACAAAGAGAAACAAAGATTTTTTTCATGTGTGCAAGAATTCCCAAATTTAGTCAAGACTGGAATTTCACTGTTTTTATTTTTATAGCAGCAGTGTTTTGCCCATGGGGTGGGAGGAATAAAGAAATGGGAAAAAGAAACAATTTGCCATTAACTTAACAGGAATTGAGGGTGAGGAGTGAAAATCAAAGTATTTTTGATTTTCTTCATGAGTGATTGGGTCAGTTATTTGGTCAAGCCCATAGGAGGATGTCAAATAATGCTGATATAGGGACCTTGAAAAATCACCTTTTGTTTCTGTGGAAAAAGGAGAGAGGAAATTGAGGTGAAACTGTAAAATGTTTCATTTTTTTATGAAACCAGCAATAGAGAAGGTCCTCTTCAGCCGCCAGTGCAAATGTTTTTGCAAAGTTCAACTGCCAAGTGTCCTTTGATGCCTGCCAGTTTTCATAATTGAAAGATACCTTTTTAAATGAACTTGCTGGTTTTCTATTGGGCTAGAGCAACCTTCCCACATCTCGGTCATTCTCTTCCCTCCAGCAAGACCCAGTTCCTTCAAGGACTTCAGTGAAGATATGTGACATTGGAAGGCATATTGCCATGAGAACGCAATACTCAGTGGCACTATTTTACACCAAAGGGATTTTTCATCATAGTTTAACACTTTTTACTACAAATTACATGGTGAAATGCAAACCAATAATCTCCAAGCAGTGTCAGACAATCAGTTCATACATGAGAACCCTATTGGTCTGCTAGGAATAAAACCAACTCTCGCCTTGTTATTGAACAACTTTGCATAAAACCTGAACTGGGAGAATAACCAAAGAAGTAGAGTGAAGGCAAACACTAATGTCTATAAGAAAACTATTATTTTTGTAGCGGGAAAGGCTGCAAAAAGACACCAAAAGTGTGTTTTCATTGCACTTCATCAAGTCATTTAATAAACCTGCCATTCCTAACACACTACTGGCTACTTTGGAATTGTTTTCGCAGTTACTCAGCAGGAAACTAACATTTGAACTTACCAGTCTTTTGAGTTGCAAATTCAATTTTAAACTTTTTATTTACAAAGCCTCAAGAATATCTATCACTCCAGGCAGAGGAACGATAATAACATCAAGTTTTATGAATTATTACTTTCCAATCAAGGGTGACAGACTTGCTTATAAGAACAGGGTGAGACTTTTCATAAGCAGTAGAGTTCCATCCAAGTTCTCCTGATTCTATTTTGCCAAAGAAAGGAAAAGGATATTACATTTTAAAATAAAATTCCTCCAAATAAAATCCTACCAATGCTTAATGTCTGTGAGTTCTTGTGGTGGCTTTATGTTGTAAATGCTAAGGTTTCATATTACTTATATAAGCTTTAGTCTCCAATAGAGCTGGCAAACAAAACCCAAGAATGCTGAAACAGCTGTAGTACTGTATCTGAGTCATTTGGACGAAAACAGGCAGCGGGGCACGACGCCGGAGCAGTGTTCTCTCAGCCCACTACAACTCTTAGCTTTTCATTTCAGCTTCCAGACAAAGAACTAGTGATGGCTGCGAATCTCATGAAAACTCAGTGAGGCATACAAGTTGGATATTAAGGCAGGAACTTGCTAATATTTTTAAAGGGTCACTTCAAAGGAAAATTCCACGTTCTCAGAATTAAATCCAATTCCTTAGAGGCTTTGATTCTATTCTTGCAAAGGGTGAATCTTACAGATATCCAAACAGCCAGTGCCAGTCAAGAAGAGATGTATTTTAAATAAGAAAGCCACACAAGGATGGCTACAAATCCTCTACATTAAACTGCATTAGTTTTCACTTCCATTAATTCAGAGTCAGTTACAGAACTGGCCTGAAGTTTGGTAATCAAATCAAGGATAAAAAGAATTATAATTTAAATAGTTTAAAACAGTTTATTAGTCTTTTAAAAATAGGAGGATTTCTTCAATTATAAATCACTGACATGTTAATTATAAATAATGCTTAAAGAGTGGCACTCTAATTATAAATAAGGCTCATCTGTAGGTCTTCCAAGACCCCCCCCCCGCAAGGCAGCTGTTCTTTGCATACATAGTTCAAGTTACTCAGTGTGTGAGAAGGTGGTAAACTCTAGCTTTAAACACAGTTTATTAAAATGTGTGTCTCACAAATTGAGTTTGCCTCATTTCCATAAGCCTAAAATAGTAAAATGTTTGCTGTAGTCCTTTAGTGCACATTTATTCTCAGAACACCAACTCATCGTGGAACCTTAGGTAAGTTACTTAACCTCTCTGAGCCTAAATGTATTCCTCCAGAGAAATGTTAGTTTCCATTCGATTAATGAGTTAATGTATATAATGCACTTAGTAGAATACATGGAACAAGGTAGGCCCTTAGAAAATGATAGCTATTATTGATAGTAGTTGTAATCATAAAAATGGAATATGATAGATTCAGCTGATGTTTTAAGCCACTAATTTAGAATTTCTCCGATTTTTTGAGCCATAAATCTATAATAATTAAAAACGATTTTGACAAGAGTTCAAGAGGAAATGGGTCCCTTGTTTGCCAAAGGGACTTGGTAAATAAGGGCTGGGTATCAGTGAGGAAAGACATGTGAGTGAGGAGATCCACAAAGACTCAGACTGACCACCGAGATAAAATCACATTTCACCATGTCCCTGGCTGCCTTCTCGTCTACACTCCAAGTCTCCAGAAAATGATGGTCAACGTGCTGATTTTAATATGACAGCTTTGAAAGGCTTGTGCCCCTTCACCTCAATTTTCTGGAAACCTCATTTTTCTTAACTCTCCAAGGCAGCTTTCCAGCCAAGGAATCTATGAGCTAGTTGGGTAGAGCTAGTTAGGTTCTTAATCCAAAAGAATGTCAGGTTTCAGTGTCAAAAAGGAAGGGAATCTGAAGCCATTCTCACATGCATCGCTGTCTTTCATACGGGAAAGAAGGCTTTGGTGGTGGGTGCTATGAGTGTGTGTCTCTACTCAAAGGATTAGTGAGGGTCTTTTCCCCTTAAGTAATTAGAGAACAGACCTTTTTTATTAAAACATATCTCCTAGAAAGATATGTTTGGATATCTTTATTGAGCTCCTTCTACATGCCAGTTATTGCTCTACATTCTACTGAGGAAAGAGGAGTGATAAGATGTGGTTTTTGTCCTCCACTTACAAATGCAGGTACCATGTGCAGGACCTGTTGCTATTTGCAGCTCCAAGTCTTAGACCTATGGTTCTGCCCCTAACCTTCACCTAGAAAGAGATATCACAACCCAACATAGATCTCTGTTTTATGTTTTTCCTTGCTTAGGAGGAGCTGTATGATACAAATTTCCTTTGCAATAAAGATATTCATCTGACAGGCAGAGGTTTTATTTCTTAAAAGTGAGTTCAAACAAGCCTCCAGAGATCGGTCAAAAAGAAAGTTTACTTCTTCTCAATTATGGTATATATTTTAAAAGGGATTTTTCAAAATATAATTTTCCTTTCCTAAAAGTTCTTCCTCAGCTCTGCCACTTATCTGCTGTGAGAGATCCTGGCCAATTTGCTTACCCTCTTGTGCCTCAGTTCCTGCATCTGTAACATGGGAAAACAATAGCCCCTGCCTATAGGGCTGTTGTGGAGGCATAAATGACAAAAGACAGAAGTCTCTTGGAACAGTGCTTGGCATGCAGTAAGCATCCAATAAAGGTCAGTCATCATTATGATTGTTAATTTTCTTTTTCTTTCTTTTTTTTTTTTTTAAGACAGAGTTTTCCTCTGTCGCCCAGGCTAGAGCGGAGTGGCACGATCTTGGTTCACTGCAACCTCCGCCTCACGGGTTCAAGCGATTCTCCTGCCTCAGCCTCTCAAGTAGCTGGGATTACAGGCGCCCACCACCACACCCAGCTAATTTTTGTAATTTTAGTGAAGACGGGGTTTCACCATCTTGGCCATGCTGGTCTCGAACTCCTGACCTTGTGATCCACCCACCTTGGCCTCCCAAAGTGCTGTGATTACAGGCATGAGCCACCGTACCTGGCCATCATTGTTATTTTTCAATTACATTAATATTGGTTGTAGTATTCTCCTGCTAGGTTGTTAGGCAGACACTGTGATAGAGGGTCACAGAAGAGTGAAGCGGTTCTATATGTATTATAGTATCTCCTTAGTAGGCCACAGTGCCATTAAACCCTTAACCATGCTATGTAGCTTAGAAAATAAAACCACTAAGTAAGAGTATAAAAACTTTATTTTAGCCCCAGTTCTTCTATGCATTTGCTATGTCATTTTGGATAAGCCAATTGCTAGGATCACCAGACAAAAATACAGAATGCTCAGCTAAATGTAAATTTCATATAAGTAATATATTTTTAGTACAGTATAAGTATGCCTTATGCAAATGATAAAAAGTTATTCATTATTTACATGAAATTCAAATTTTGCTAGAAGACTTGCATTGTAATTTGTTAAATCTGGCAGTCCTGAGCTTCAATCTCTTTATAGATAAAATAATGATACTGAATTAGGTCAGTGTTTTCCTAACCCTACAGAACATTTTCTAGGAGACATGTTTTAATAAAAAGAATTCATTCTCCAATTAATTAGGGAAATGCAACAAGTTGTTGCCCCCTTTTAGAAATTTAGAGTATAAAGTAGTATATTGAATGTTACAAAAACCCCAGCAGTAAATAAACCTGCTTGACTTTGTTTAAGCCACATTCACTCAAAGTATTTCTTCTGTCCCTTTGCATTTATAAACATCTCTAGAACACCTTTTGGGAAATGAAAGACTAGATGATACCTAAGGATGTTTCCAATTCTAAAAGTTTAGGATTCTAAGGATCCAAGATTGAATTATGCAGTCTTAAAGTACCCCCCAAGAAACAAAATGTAAGCATTAATAATCTACTTAGTACAAGGTGTCATCCATACAGACAAAATTTCTGAGTAGAATTCAATACCTGGTCTTGACTAGAGCAGGTGGTGCTACCAGAAACTGAGAATAATAATCTTTTCACTCCACCTATTCAGCACTCAACATAGTATCAAATACAGACAACTAAATAGTGTTGAGCATTTGTTTGACTGTAATGTCTATCAAAGTGACATTGCATTCAGTCAGCATTGTTTAGAGAAGGAGTAATGGCTCAGCTGACTCCACTTTTCATCAAGGTTGCCAGGTGAGTTAAACTAAATTCTGTTCTTATTAGTTCAATATAAGTTCAATAAACAGTGGCTCATTTAGGTGTGATTAAGAGGGAATTTCAGAATTCTTTAAAAAATTCATTAAAAAAATAGAACTTGAAGTGATGTCAGTGAAAATGATGAAGTAATGACTTCTGAAAATCCTCTCCCCCATAAAAGCAATGAGAAAACCAGCAAAAATTGTCAGAGTTAACTTTTTCAGAAGTCTGGAAAGGAACCAAAAGCTTGCAGCAATCCAGAGAGTGTTTATTCAGAAAAATGGCTGAATCTCAGTAAGTACAGAGAGTTTTGTGGCATTTTAACTTGTCCTATTCCAATCCACTCTACCTTCTCCAGCTCTACAGTAGATATAAAATAAACAACCCACAATCACAATGAAAAGCAAAAGCATTGTAGTCACTGGAAAGGGCAAAACAAGGTTGGAGCTTCTTTGAATCCCCATTCCCAGAAAATTAAAATTATTTGACCTTTCTGGAAGTTCCCTGGAAGACCCTACTTAAAAGGTTGTCCTTATAAGATCTGCTTCAAAAGTCATCTAATGCAAACAGCCTTTTCCTCTGGAGCATTTGTTGAAAACAATCTGTTGAATATTGCAGCTCCCTGAAGAAGTGAGACACAGTTGATACAAACAATAGACTAACCAAAAGGCTTCAAAGGAAAATCTGAGATGTTCATGGGGAACTTTGAAAAGCTGACATATTCCTGGGAATCTAAAAGGCTACATGCATATGTGGAGCCATGTGCAAGTTCAGGACTATGCGTATTGTCAGGAAAAACAGACAATGCCCTGTGCTCTCAGTTCTGGCTAAACTTGAAGCTTTGTATAAGCAGGAAGTAAAGGCTAAGACAGAATTGTCAAGTTCTTGACTTAGTGTCAAAGCCATGCTCCAAAATGTACACAGAACCTCTCAGCAAAAACTTTAGTACTTATTTCTTCCAGGCATGTAAAATACTTTCTCTCTGATCATTAGCTGACCACTGAGCAGAAATTTCAGTGGCTACTCATAACAATAACAACAACAAATACAGGCTTTGTATTTAGTTCAGAAACCACTACCACCAGCAAGAATTAGTTCAGAAAACCACTACCACCAGAAACCCTAGAAGAAGGAAAGTCTGATTTTCAGTGCCACATCAAATTATTTTAAATACCCAGGAAAAAAATAGGACATGCAAAGACAGATAATAGTCTATATACAGAAAAAATAGAGTAAGCAACAGAAATTATCCACAAGAAAATACAGCCGTTGGACTTACTAGACATAGACTTTAAGTCAGAAATTTAAAAAACGGTCAAAGAACCAAGGAAACTATATCTAAATAATTATGGTAAGTATGAGAATGATATTTCAGCAAATGGAGGATATCAATAAAGAGATAATTATAAAAATGAACTGAATAGAAATTCTGGAGTTGAAAAATAAATAATTGAAATAAAAATTTACTATAAGGGCTCAACAGCAGATTTCAGCAAGCAGACAAAAGAATCAGTAAATTTTAAGACAGGTCCATTGAGATTATCCACTCTAGGTAATAGAAATAAAGAGAATTAAAAAAAATAAGCAGAGACTCAGAGATAATCAAGCCTAAAAACATGCATAAATGTAGTCTCAGACGTCAAGGATAAAGAGAAAGGGGGAAAAAATTAAAAATAATGACTGAAAACTTTCCAAATTGGAAGGAAAATGTTATACTATATATCCAAGAAGCTCAACGAACTCCAAGTATGATAAAGTCAAAGAGATCTACAACTAGATACATCATAATAAAACTGTTGAAGGACAAAGAAAGAATCTTGAAACCTGAAAGAAAGAAACTACTCATCAGGTCAATGGATTCTCAATAAAAATAACAAATAATTTCTCATCAGAAACCATGGAAGCCAGAAGCAATGGAATTATATACTCTAAGTGTTAAAAAAAAAAAATGTCAACCAAGATGTCGACCTAGAATTTTATATCCAGCAAAAGTATTCTTCAAAATAGTGAAGTTAAGACATTCCTAATAAACAGCTGAGAGGATTTATCACTAGCAGGCTGCTCTACAAGAAATACTCAAGATAGGCCAGTCATAGTGGCTCATGTCTGTGATCGCAGCACTTTGGGAGGCCGAGGCGCGTGGATCACCCGAGGTCAGGAGTTCAAGACCAGCCTGACCAACATGGAGAAACCCCATCCTACTAAAAATACAAAAATTAGCCAGGCATGGTGGCACATGCCTGTAATTCTAGCTACTGAGGAAGCTGAGGCAGGAGAATCGCTTCAACCCTGGAGGCAGAGGTTGTAGTGAGCTGAGATCACACCATTGCACTCCAGCCTGGGTGACAAGAGTGAAACTCCATCTCAAAAAAAAATAAAATAAAATAAATACTAAAGATAGTCCTTCACACTAAAGTCAAAGAACACTAGACAGTGACTCAAATTCAAATAAAGAAAATAAAGAGCATTAGAAAAAGTAACTACATATACAAGACAGTATAAATGTATTTTTTTATTTGTAACTCTGATTTTTCTAACTTATTATTTCAAACCCTCTTAAAGCAATAATTATGAATTTGTGTTGTGAGTATATGTTATATAAATCTAATTTGTATTACAGTAACAGCACAAAATTTTGCTGCTGAAATTTTAAATATAGTAAAAAAACTAAGGAAAATGAAGTTAAGATATTTCTAATAAACAACTGAAAGGATATATCACTAGCAGACTGCTCTACAAGAAATACTAAAGATAATCCTTCAGACTAAAGTAAATTTAGTAAATAATAGCACAAAGGAGGCAGAAGGAAATAGAGCTATACAAATGCAAAATTTTTATATACTATTGAAATTAAGTTTATTTTAATCTGAACAAGATTGTTACAAATTAAGACAACTGAAAAAACTTGTGGACTGGCATGTCAGCAAGATAGCTGTCTAGACTTGCCTGGTATTCATCTTCCCCAGCAAAAAGGGACCAAAACAATGAATAAACAACTGTATTTTCACTAGCATGAATGAGGAAGTACACTGGAGAGCACCAGGAAAATTGCAAAATCCTTGTGGAACACAGAAACCCAGGATAGCACCATAGACAAGAGAGTGAAGAACCCTATTTCAGCCATACTGTTTTCCCTGTTGAGATCAGCTCAAAGCCAGGATGAACTTCTTATGGGGAGAGGGTAAGCTACAACTGCCCAGCAGTCCTCGTTACTGCTGCAGATGCCTGTGTTCTTTGCTACAGGAGAGGTAGATAGTCCTCACATGTCCTAAACCAGTTAGGAGAGTTGCCTAGAGTTCATGTAACTGCATTGCCTCAAAACAGGAGCCCATTTTGTGCACACACACACACCCCACTCCCCACACCAAAGCTGTATGACACAGTGCCATCTCGAAACTGGACCCACTACTAGAGTGAGTCCTGCCCTGGGATCCAGTAGCCACTATTTTTCTGTATCCCTGAAGTCATGCCATCATTCCAGTATGCTCGCTTGAGTGGCTGCATCACCACTATCCTAGCTGCTTGGAGCCTATTGCTGTGTGGAATGGCTAAGATTTTGGTGTTCAAACACATAGAGCACCCCACCCACAAGGGAATAGGTGGACTTGCACAATATGGAAGATGACACACAGCTGGACAGTCTGATATACCTACACACTTGGCCTGCCAGCCAGCCCAGCAACCCCTACCCCCACCCCACCTCGCCCAGCAAAACCATATCACTGCCATCACAAACCAACAGCCTAGGCCACTGAAACAATTGCAGACACTATAAATGAGGATTGCAGCTGAATAAAATGCAGAGACCATGCTACTGAGTCCATCTAAAACCAAAGCCAACACACCACACTTAAACAACATCCTATGACTCATGTGCAGGAAACAGTCTCTCCCTCTGAAAACTACTCCACCAAATTTGAAAAGATGACTGTTCCACTGGTATGCACAGATATCAACAAAGGAACACACACACACACACACACACACACACACACACACACACAGAAAAAGTAAGGAAACACGACACGTCTAAAGGAGCAAAATAATTCTCCAGTAACAGAATCCAAAGAAAAGAACAAAATTCCAGAAAGGGAATTTAAAATAATGATCTTAAGAAACTCAGTGAGATACAAGAGAATACAGCCAATATTCAATACAATTCAATGAAATTAGGAAAACAACAGAGATTGATATCATGAGAAGAACCAAACGAAAATCTTGACACTGATGAGTGCCTTGAATGAAATAAAAATACAATTGAGAGTTTCAACAACAGACTAAATCAAACAGAATAAAGAATTTCTGAACTTTAAGATAGTTCTTTTGAAATAACTCAGAGGTAAGACAAATAAGAATAAAAAGAATGAAGAAATCCTATGGGACCTACAGGACATCATTAAGCCAACAAATATTCATATTGTAACAATGCCAGAGGGAGAAGAGATGAAGATAGGCACAGAAAACCTATTTAATTAAATAATAGCTGAAAACTTCCCAAGTCTTAGGAGAGATATAAACACCCAGATTCAGGAAACTCAAAGGTCCCTAATTAGATTCAACCCCCAAAAAATTCTCTTTGAGGCACATTATAAACAAACTGCCAGACTCTAAATAAACCTATAACAAATACAGAAATTGAATTCATAATCAAAAAACTTCCCACAAAGAAAAGCCTATGACCAGATGTACTCACTGGCAAATTCTACCAAATGTTTCAAAAACAAGTAAGTGCAATCTTTTGCAAACTCTTTCAAAAATAGAAGAGGTGGGACTATTTCCCATCTTATTCTATAAGATCAGTGTTGCTCTGATATCAGACCCAGACAAAAATATCCCAAGTAAGGATACTTCCAGAACAATATCCCTTATAAATATAAATGCCAAAAAAAACCTCAAAAAATACTAGAACACTTAATTCAGTGTGCAACATTTTAAAAAGAATTGTACCAAATGATCAAATGGAATTTATCAATGGAATGCAAGGTTGGTTTGATATACCAAAATTTTTCTATGTCATATACCATGTTAATAAAGAAAGACTAAAATTACAGAATCATCTCAAAAGATGCAGAAAAATAATTTGTCTGAATCTATAATAAAAATGATTTCATGATGAAACACTCAATAAATGGGATGAAAGGGAACTTCCTCTACTTGGTAAACAACATCAGAGTAAAATGCACAGCTAATATCATGCTTAATGCCGAAATCCTGGAATCTTTCCCACTAAGACCAGGAAATGAATGTTCTTTCTAGCCTCTCCTATTCAACACTGTATTGGAGTCTCTAGCCAGAGCAATTAGTGAAGAAAAATAAATAAAGGCAGCCAAATTGAAAAGGAAGAAGTAAATCTATCTCTTTGCCAATGACATTATATAGAAAATTTTAAGGAATTCACGAAAGTCTAATAAGCCAGTTTAGCAAGGTTAAAGGATACAGGAGAAATACAGAATACTCAATTGTATTTTCATACACCAGCAATGAACAACCAGTAAATAAAATTAAAATAATTTCATTTATAACAGCTTTAAGAATAAAATAATTAGGAATAAATTTAACAAAATAATTCCAAGACTAGCATACTAAAAACTATAAAATGTTATTGAAAGAAACTAAAGAAGACTTAAATAACTGGAAATACATCTTGGGTTCACGGATTGGAACACTTAATATTGTTAAGATAACAAACTCCTTGAATTCGTCTAGAGTTTTTGCACTGTCTCCATCAAAATTCCAGCTGCCTTTTTTGTATAAATGTATAAGCTAATACTGAACCTCATGTGGAAATGCAAGGGGTCCAGAATAACAAAAATAATCTGAAAAAAAAAACCCAAAGTTAAAGAACTAACACTTACTGATTTTGATATCTACAGCACAAAGCTACAGCAATAAAGATTGTACAGTAGTGGCATAGGATAGTCATATTTATCAATGGAATAGGATTGAGAGTCTGAAAATAAACTCATACATTTATGGTCAACTGATTTTTGACAAGAATGTCCGAACAGTTCAAAGGAGGAAACAATAGTCTTTTAAACAAATGGTGCTGCAAAAATGGGAGATACACATATACACATATAAAAGAATGAAATTGGATTCCTATCTCTTACCCTATACAAAAACTAACACAGAATGTATCAAAGACCTAAATGTGAAAGCTAAAAGCATAAAACTCTTAGAAGAAATCACAGCTGTAAAATTTGTGACCTCAGATTTAGGCAATGGTTTGTTAGATACGACACCAAAAGACAAGCAAAAAAAGAAAAAAATAGATAAACTGGACTTTATCAAAATAAAAAACTTGTACTTCAAAAGATAATATAAAGAAGTGAAAAGCCAACCCACAGAATGGGAGAAAATATTTACAAATCATGTACTGTTAAAGGTCTAGGATCCAGAATATATTTAAAAACTATTACAACTCAACAATAAAAACATAAATTATCCAATTAAAACATAGGCACAGGATTTGAGTAGACATTTCTCTAAAGAAGATATACAAATATCTTGTATACACATGAAAAGATGCTTGATATTATTAGTCATTAGAGAATGCAAATCAAAACCATAATGAGATAACACTTCATATCTACTAGGATAGCTACAATAAAAGGCAACAATTAAGTATTAGTTTAAATAAGGAAAGACCAGAACTGTCATACAATGCTGGTGAAATATTAAAATGATAGTTACTTTGGAAAACAGTTGGGCAGTTTCTAAACATAAAGTTACAATCTAATTCAGCAATTTTATCCCTAAGTATCTACCCAGGAGAATTAAAAACATATAACAAAAACTTACAAGTAAATATTCCTAACAGCGTTAATTATTATAGCCTAAAAGTGAAAACAACCCAAAGATTTATTAATTGATGAACAGATAAACAAAATATAGTATATTAAAACCATGTAATATTATTCAATCATAAAAGAAATGAAGTTCTGGTATATGCCATGACGTGGATAAATCTTGAAAACATGTCTAAAGTAGGCAAATCCATTGTAGAGGCAGAAGTAAACTTCCTTTCTGCCCTTTCTGAAGGTTCACTGAAATAAAGTGACAATAGACAGATTAACATGAGAAAAAGTTTACACATTAATTAATATGCATAATCATGGGAGCCATACAAAACATGAGACTCAAAAAAGGGCCATATGGTTAAGGTTTAAATGTCCTCCTCATAGGGGAGAGAAAACTTGGGAGCTGTAACAAATTTTAGAAGGGTAGTAAGTGATTTTCAGAGGAAATGAATGCACCCAGGAGGCAAATATTATTTTGTAAATAATTATCTTAGGAAACTGAATGGGACTGGCAAGTTAAGGGAAGGAGAGGGGTGGAACTGCCTTGTGAACAAAGGTTGTCTTAGTATGTAGAAAAAGTCTCCTAGGTAATCTCTCCAACCTGCCCTCAAAAGAATAGATGAAAAGTCTAACTGCATGTAGTGATGACTTTTATAGTCTTTTCTTCTCTCAGGTGGGTAATCTTTCTGGATTATTTCATGAGATTCCTGGAGAGTGAGTCTTCAGACAATTGCATGTCTTTTGAGAAGTTTCCTTAGTTAGATAAGGAAATTCCAGACAGAGTCCCTCCTTGCTCTTGGAGTCAGGGGAGAAGAAACAAAAGAGGGTTAAAATGTTTTGGGTTCTGAGACAGCTTCTAAGGTACTCCATCTTCATTTAATTCAAAGTGTTCAGTATGCCAAAGCACCATTGTGTGGGGTATCATTTTCTTAGACCCAACACCATAAATACTAAGAGTAGTTTAGTGGTTACCAGGGATGGCGGAAAGAAGTAATCAAGGGTTACTGATAATGAGCATAGGTTTTCTTTTGGGGGTGACAGAAATATTCTGGTATTAGATCATGGTGACATTTGCACAACTCTGTGAATATACTTAAAAGCCACTGAATTGTACCCTTTAAACGGACGACTAGTGTATGTCAGTTATATCTCAATTAAAAACAAAGTCTAGAACTTGACATATCATTCCAAATACTCAAATTAGACGAGTCTGCTTCTAAGGTAAATAAGTGGAAAGTGGTCACAAGATAAGAACAGAGGCTATTAGGAGATGAGGAAAATCAGGAATGAGAAGTAGGAAGCCAACTCTTCATAATTTTTTAGGTGAGCAGCAGAGGGAGCCCTTGATAGCAAAGAAAATTACAAAACTAATGTTTATACTTCTGATCATAAAGTTAATACAGCCTTTTTACAGAAAATTTGAAAAAGTGCCACATAAAGGTAATAAAAACCCACTAATCATTCCACCATCCTAAGAACCACTATTAACATTTCATCGACACAAATCCTTCCAGTCTTTTTTCTGTATGTGTACATATATGCATGTACGTACATATATAGCCAAGCCCACCCACAGCTCTCCTGTACATGCAACTTTGCCGTTACATTTTTCACTTCATGTTACCTTTTATATTTTTTCTAAAGCCTTAAATATTCCTGAGAATGTGGTTTGCCATGCCTACAGATGAGCTGTCAGTAATTAAACCTATTTTTAGAATTTTTCAGTCACAAGTAACCCTGCAATAAACATCCTTATACCTAAATCCTTGTATTTCCTAAAAATATATCCGAAGTAAGGATAGATTCCTTAAGAAGGAATTATTAGGTCAAATATTGTTTACAGCTTTAAGTCTTTGAATACATACATATTGCCAACATTTCTAACCAGAAAATTTAAAAGATTGTTATACTTCCACCAGCAGTGGATGAGATTTTCCTTTATCTTGAACTTTTACCCAACTATGTAATTATCAAAGTTTTTTGAAATTTAAAATATTTGCTAATTTAATGGACAGAAATTTGTGTCTTTTAAAATTATTTTTAAATAAATAGTGAGCCTGAAATTTTTTCATGATTTATTGTCTAATTTTTTTCTGCTCGTACAAATTCCTTTTTTGTGAATATTGAAAATTTTTCTGCTTAGGATATTTATCTTCTAATCATTGACTTCGGAAGCTCTTCACATATTAACCATGTTAACCTTTGTCTTCTATTTTGCCCTTTTTTCAAGTTATTCTTTGCCTTATGTTTCTTTATCATGAGTTTTGATGTATATGTTTATAATTTTTATGTAAAAACATTCTGTTTTCTCTTTTATAGATTCTTCCTCTACCTTTTTGTTTAAAAAGTGCTTCCATACATTGAGAGTTGATAGATACTTATCATAATTTCTTTTACTCATTTGTGTTTTCATATTTTAAAATTTATTTAATTCATCCAGAATTTATTTAGGGATATGATTTGGGTCTCCTCCTTCCCTTAAAAACTGAATTAATTTCCCCAGCACTATTCACTGGCATAATCTTTCATTTCCTTCCCTAATTTGAAGTGTCTTCATCAAATACTAAATTCTTATATGTATTTGAGTGTGTTTGGGGACTCTATTCTCTTCTCTCTGTCTAGTTGTATACCAATATCATGTTATTAAAGCTTTATAACAGGTTTTTAACACCTGAAGTACAGTTTACCTTATTTGTTTATAAATCTTTCTTGGTTATTTTTATCCACAAATTATTCTAGATAAACCTTACAGTCACATTTTCATTCAAAAATATTCCAATTGGGATTTTGATTAGAATCATATTGGACCTAACCATCAATTTGAGGAACAGTGACATCATCCAATAATATAAAATATGTCTCAATTTATTCAAGCCTGATTTCATATTAACTAAAGTTTTACAACTAAATTGATAGAAGCCCTATATAAACAAACAAGTTTGTTTCCAGGTTTTATTGTTCTTATTCTTGCTTGTTTTGCTTTGTTTTTCCCCTGTTGTAAAAGAGCTCTTTTCCCTCTTTACGATTATTATCTGATTATGGATATTTTTTATATTTTGTAACCAGGTATCATAATGAAGCATTAGTTGTAATAGTTGATTTCTTAGGTTTTCCTAAATAGGTTATCCTTAAGAATTTAGAAATTCTCTACATAGTCATGACTTTGGGGTCTCAAAACCAATTCAACTTTTGGAATTACAGCTTTTATGCTTCATAAGCATAACTTCTTTTTCTAAATAAAATTGAAAATTAAGTGTGTAAAGTGACCAACTAAAAAGAACAAACAACTCTAAAACATACAGATTCCACTCCTCCACTTGGCTCTTAAAGGGTTAATTAATATTTACCATGAAGAATTTTTTTAATCTAATAAAAAAAATCAATCCAAAATATTCTTAAAGAGGCATTAATGACTCAAAATGTTATTTGGTTTTATATGGCCTCCCAAACTACAGTGTTTTTAAAAATCAGGTTTATCGAGTTATAATTTACATACAGTAGAATTCACCCTTTTCAGGCACACAGTTCTACAAATTTTTACAAGCATATACAGTCGAGTAATCACCACCTCAATCAAGACAGAATATTTCCGACACCCTGAGAAATTATCTGTGCCCCTTTGAAGTCAATCTCCTTCCTCTCACCCTCAGCCCCTGGCAATCTCTGATTTATTTCTGTCACTGGATATTCTGCATAGCTTCCAATCTATGTTTTTCAAGCTTCCAATCGGAGTCAAAGCTGGCCAGTAGCAACTAGCACAGAGTCCTCTGCTGCTCTTTTGAAACCACCTTTTCTTTGCTGACAACCAACAGATCAGTCTCCATAGTCAGCAAAGCTG
The DNA here is from genome assembly GCF_000001405.40 of Homo sapiens. Lineage (NCBI taxonomy): Eukaryota > Metazoa > Chordata > Mammalia > Primates > Hominidae > Homo > Homo sapiens. The sequence goes on along the minus strand of NC_000013.11, from coordinate 50,529,600 downwards.
AACTCCAGCTTTAGACACAGGCCAATTCCTCCCGTAAAACTTGGCCTGGCGTCAACTGGGCGGACATGCCCGGACAAGCCTGCTGGGGTAGCCGCGCCCGCAGGAGGGGAGGTCCTTACAACATGGAGCACCAGTTGCACACTGTCCCCTTTTGAGCTCTGTTCTCCTTTTTAGTTTGGAAGTCTGTGCGTATGTGTACATGTGTGTGGGTGCATGCATTGCAGAGCCCCAGTATACTTTGACATGTTTTCTGCATCTACAGTGTGAGTAATACAGTGGAGGGTAGATGAGCCAGCCCCTTCTGAGAAATACAGTAGTCCTCTTTGAACCTCTCCTCCTCCTGTCATCTGATTGCTGGATGGCGTTAGCCTGTGGTGTACTGGTGAGAGCCGGAAGGTCTGGGACTGGATCCCTCCTACTGAGTCAAAATACAACATAAAAACCTTGGGGGAGGATCTGAGGCTGAGAACCAGCTTCAGAAAATTATAAGTTGCCAAAGAAACACAATTTTAAGCATCATGTCTGAAGGAGTTAGGAAGGTTTTTCACTTTTGTCATTTCTGCTAAGGTCCTCTTTCTCCTCTGATACTTCTTTCCCCAGCTTTCTCCACATGATTTGGGCTGCTTTCCTAGTTCCCTTAAATACCGGTGTAAAGAAACCTGTCTGTGGTTTTATGTTACCCCATTGGAGTGTTGCATGTGAATATAGGGCATAAAAGGGGATAAATTGCCTAACTCAATCCACCCTCGAGGCCTGCCACATTAAAAAGATATACCACGGAACTTTCGTCTGCCCTGAAATGATTGGAAATACTGTGAGACTGCAGAGTTTAATGAAAACTCTGAGTCTCAACTTGAAGTAGATAGATAACTCTCTGATCTACTCTTGGGCCTATATATAACATTTTATATTTGTCAAGGCCGCTCAACATTCACGGTTAATAATTAGTCCTGGAAGAATATTTATAGCTTATGTTAATTCTTATCCCGGAGACATGCAAGGTTCAAAATAGGTGGGATAAAAGCACATTTGGGTAGGCTTAAATTCAAACCCACAGGCACTATGTACAGAAAAAGGCACTAGGTGTTTTTTAAATTGACTCAGAAAAAGTTAAAATGGAGAAACTTCTATCTGCTCACTTGGTCCTTCATGGGGAATTCTACCACTTCCCTTGGTCCAGCTCACTCAAGGCCAGTGCCATGACAACTCCTGGGTTGAGAATCACTGATTTAAATGGCATTTGACCACATCTGTCCCCACTTGTGGCTCTCTGCTCTGTAGATTTGCTGACTCACAGAGTCCACCGGCAGAGATGCTGACAGGCATGAACTGGTTGCATGACACTTGGAAGGCATAGCGGGACATCTGCCTCACCAGCTTCCTTCAGGTGTTCCACTGAGCCCCAGCATTCAAATTTCCATCTGTGGGAGAGGAAGGGAAGGGAAGGCTCTGGTCTGTGGTACCGTAGGATTCCAGTGATGCCTCTTAAGCATCCCCCACCATTCTCTGATCGTTTCCCACATGCAAAGTGCCAACCTGGTCGTGCAACAGTGTACACATGTGGTGAACACCAGGCGCCCTCCCATGAGACTTCTGCAGCATTCCAGCACTCCATCCTCCCCCAGCTTCCAGTTTAGGACAGGTCCAGGAGAGGAATGGTGAGGACAGAGTTAAACGCAACTTTTGCTTCATTGTGGGTTCCTTCTTCCTGTCCTCCCGGCCATCAGACCTCCTCCTATAAACAGATGTGTGCTCAGATTAACTACTTTTTGGAAAAAACAAGGAAATGATAATACTAGAAAAACTTTATTGAACTAATGTTTGTCTATGTACCAGGAACTGTGCTAAATACATCACATTTATCTCATTCAATTCTGACAAGAACCCTACACAGACAGGTGTTGCTGCTGTAGATGGGAAAACTGTGGCACAGAGGTGAAAAAGTCTTACCTATACAGATACATTGCATCAAAATTCAAGCCGAGGTTCTGACCCCAAAGCCTGTGCTCCAAACTAGAGTCCTCCTGTGCACATTTCACGTCTGGAATTATTATAAAGCATTTTGCAATGACTAAAATAGGCACATGAATGAAGACGTATCCAGGTCTGCCTGAGAGGAGACTCGAAGCCAAAGCCCAGCTCAGCAAGGCCAGAGAATTTCAGTGTATCCCCGCGGGGCGCTGGAACTTCGTCTGGGTGCATTTGTTTTTATAAGCCTGGGTACTGCAGAGTCATTTAAAAACATGTGCTTGCCAGGGCAGAACATCATCTGATGGCAGCAACCACCTGGTGCTGGCCACGACTGAGGAGGGAACACATCAGGTGAGTGTGGGCCAACCCTTCCTGCACAGAACAGGAGGGCGGGGAGGGGGGGGGATGCTTGATTTTTAGTGGGAAGGATGAGGAAAGCAGTTCTGAAATGTTTTTCACAGAAATAGAAACTAGTGAAATAGAAGCTGGCATTTGACTACTTTAGAAAAAAGAGAGGAGGGTAATAGGGAGGAAAGTGATTGGCTGCTGCTGTCAAACTCAGGAACTTTTAAAATTTTGTTTGTTCCCCCAAAGAAGTGCATGCCCAAACCACCAAGAGAGGGTAAGTGATGACAAGCAGATCTGCAAGGCGGGGCCCCAGTCACAGTAGCAAGCACCCTATCTCACAACAGCCCTGCAACCGGCAAAGTTGCAGCTTCTGCTACAGTGCGCATGTGTGCGGGTCCCCTTCTCCCCTCTTCCCTCTCCCCTCTCCCCTCTCAGCCCATCCTCCTCAGCCCAGATCCCTCCCTGTACCAAGACCATTCCAGCTGCACGCAATAATCAGGCAAGCAACTTCTAACCCAGCCTAGGGGACTCAGACGAGATAATGCTTAATTTTTCTGCAACGCCTTCTTAAGACTCCAGGGATCTGTACCCCAGGATGGAGAATGCTTTCCCAGAAGCACAGCCTGTTTCTCCAGCCTGAGAGTGTGTGCTGCAGAGCTGGGACCCCACCCTGTATCTAAAGTAATTGCTGTATCTAATGGTGTGGTGCTGCTGACTTCCTTACCAGCTGTAGCTTTCTGTTGCCCGACCCTGTTATTGCTGGCTCCTGCTTTATTTTAGGGATGTTAACCTGCTCGTATGTGTCTGCTAGTACCTTGCTGGTAAACTCCATCTTAAAAGCTCTTCAGAGAAGGGCTTTGTGAGTTTTCCTTTTACAGGCCTTTATTGCATTTTTTTTCTCCAGGTTCCTCTCTCTTCCTCCTCTCACTCCTTTCTGCCTGATTAGAGCAGAGGATGTTAGCTTTTCTTAGGGACACCTTACAGCCAGCCAGTCACATTATATGAGAATATGTTGTTCTAAGAGCCTGCCCCTAGGTCACAGATTCAGACCTGTGGAAATGGCCTAGGCTATTCTGAAATGCTCTGATGGGGTTCCAGCATTCAGCCTCCAGCTAAGCTCCATCCTTGTGAGCTATAAGTTGGAATGAGTAAGTAGGTCAAACATCTAATCCTCCCTGTGCCAGCATCCCACCTGAAGGGCATGGCAGAGAAAGGGGAGCATGGGGACCCAACTCATTCACTATCAACAGGTCTTGTTCATTTCTTTTCTCTAGGAAAAAGCAACACTTCTCTCCATCGGGAAGAGGTGGACGCCAAGGCCCCGTTCATTGTAAGCACACCTTCTCCTCTTCACAGAGTACTGTCATTGCTCCCCTATCTGTGCTATGGACCTACACAGTTTAACAGAAGCCCACCAGGGGCTTAGGTGTTCTTTCATCTAAGTAGTTCCAATATCCTCAACCACTACAGTAAGATGTCTACATGGCAAATAAATTCAGGCATAAAATACAGCGTGGGCAGCATATGTGGGTGCTCTCCAGCCACTTCTGGTGGCTGCTTGGACCACTTCATAGAGACTTGTTCCAAGGAACAAGGAGAGGGTTTTGTGAAGTGTTTTGACTCCCACTGAAATGGCTGCTACAAGAGGTTATTTCTCACTGCAGGAGGATTTGGGAATAGGGATAGGGGATAGGAGATTATAAAGCCAGGGGTTTTTTTTGTTTTGTTTTTTGTTTGTTTGTTTTTGTTTTTGTTTTTGAGATGGAGCCTCGCTCTGTGGCCCAGGCTGGAGTGCAGTGGCGCGATCTCGGCTCACTGCAAGCTCCGCCTCCCGGGTTCACGCCATTCTCCTGCCTCACCCTCCCAAGTAGGCGGAACTACAGGTGCCCGCCACCACGCCCAGCTAATTTTTTGTATTTTTAGTAGAGACGGGGTTTCACCATGTTAGCCAGGATGGTCTCAATCTCCTGACCTCATGATCCACCCACCTTGGCCTCTCAAAGTGCTGGGATAACAGGCTTGAGCCACCGCGTCCAGCTATAAAGCCAGGTTTTAAGTCCAGCCCGTTTTGACCAATTTTGTGGCTTTGGGTGTTTCTGAACTACAGTTTCCTTATCAATACAATGAAGACTGAATACACCCTACAGAACCATAGTGAGGTTCACATCACCTAGTGTGAGAAATCGCTTTGTACGCTGGAAAACACCACAAATAAAAAGAGGCTATTGTTATTGGGCTTATTATTCTGAGGCAGGAGAACCAAGGTATAGAAAAGAGAAGTAAGAGTTAGATATCACAGTCTGAGATGCTGGGAGAACAACACAAGCCACTGTAGATCCTCCTAGGACCTTTCTTCTGGAATGTTCTGCGATGACAATGGCAGAAACGGGGGGGCAGCACTGCTCTTGTTAATGATAAAATGGCCAATTCTGCAATTCCATCAGCTGTGATAGAACTCAGTCCAAATCATTTTATTGCTAACCCTCAAATCACCTGACTAGTTATCAACTCATTGGAAAGATAGCGTAGCATTAAGAGCATGGACTATGGGACCTGGCTACCTGGACGTGAGCCCATCTCTGTGTCCCTTTGACTAGACAATTTTAAGTAACTGACATGACTCATCTGTGTTTCAGTATACCCATCTATAACATGGAGATGATAATACTGTCTACTTCATAGTGTGAGAATAAAATGAAAAAGAAATGGAAAGTACTTTGAAAAATTTCTGACATGTATTAATAGTAAGCTAAGTGTAGCTACCACTGTTTTCCAATAAAATAGTCCAATCTTAAAAAACAAAATGTGTGTTCTAAATTGTAGGAGGAGATGGATTCTTCAGGCACGATGGAGAATAAATCCAGTCCCTCTTCCTCCACTCTAGCATGAAGGGTCTACCATGCCAAAATAAGTTAGATTACAGAGTCCGGTGGAGCTAATATAGTGTACATATGCAGTTTGATCCTGGAAAGGAAGAGTGGTGACATTTCCTCTCGCTGGCAGAGCCCAAAACTAGATAAAAACAGGCAGTGTGGCTGAATCTGCGCTCCTGCATCAACTGCTGTGTGACTGTGGATGCCTGACATCTCTCTGTGCCTCACTTCCTAAACTTGCAATGGAATAACAATAGTACCTGCCCTCTAGGGTTGTTGTTTAGAGCAGTCACTGAATAGCTACACAATAAAATCCAGTTATTATTGTTGTTATTAGGATACCATTTGCCATTACCCAACTTTGTGACTCGGGATCTTGAGAAATTGCATAAATTTCATCTTTCAAGTTAAAGTAGAAGAACCAAAAGCCAGACAAATGTAACCTAAAGCCATATGTTTTGTTAAAGACAAGGAAAGGAAATGCCACATCATTATAATCATGTTATTTGGTCATACAGTATGACAGTATCTACAATCATCAATTCATGTCACTTTAAAAAAAATTACAGTGGGTTATTTGAATTAGAAAGCATTTCCATACATGAAAGCTTAATCCCCTTTAGACATTCCTCAATGTTCACAAATAAACTGACCTGGCAGGCATGGGTGCTCCTAGTCTTTGTTTTTAACATCAGGTGTGGAGGATAAGGGTAATAAACAATGTCTACTGATTCTGGTCATTCTGAAATGACACTTTTTTTTTCAGTTTTGCTAGAGCTTGGCACACCTTCATATTTCGAGGCAATGTATCTTCAAGGATCACTCATCAGAATAGTTGCACAAACTCATAAGTGGCAAGAACTGAAAATGCCTTGTGATTTTCAAAGTTTTAAAATAGCCCTATGGGGCTGGTGACCTCAGTCAGGTCAGCCATCAAGTTTGGGATCCGACAATAAAAGTCATAAAGTGAGTCAACTGAGTCAGAGAGGATGCAACAGCATTATTTTTCTCTTCTGGCTTCTCTAGTAAAGCAAAAGTTTTGGTGTTAGGGCTGTCTCTGCAGACAGGGAGTTTGGTTTCCAACACGCTGGGAGCATCCCTGGAGAATGCTGAAAAGCAGAATAGGCTGCCAGAGTCCAAGAGACGATATCAGTAAAGTTAGCACAAGATTTAATAGACTAGAATATACCCGCCCAATCCATTTCTCCAGCCTGATAATCCAGAGCAATTAACAGAAATTGCCCTGGTATTTTTAGCATTTTTAAAGTTTCATCTGGGCAAACGCAGAAATGGATAACTATGTTATCCAGACCTTACCACTGTTTGTTTTTGAGACTCTAAGATTAAACTAAAGACTGGCCTAGCAAAGCAGATATGTTTGCCCTTGCCTGAAAGGAGACAGAAACTTGGGAAGAAACAAGGGTCTTTGGAGTTACTGGGCTTCCACGAGGATCCTCAAGGTTTGCAAACACCAAATGGACAGGACTTCATCCCTGAAGTGCAGGCCAGTCCTACCTCCTTCACAATGACGTGCTGACATCATGGTGCAAATTTGCAAACATTTTTTGCCTTATTAAGAAAATTATTCAAACCTAGAAAAATGCAAGGGTTAAAGCCTTGCTTTCATAAACATAGCCTGTGTGTGTCGCAGGGTGACTTTTAGATATTATATGGAAAAATGCAGTAAAAAGTGCTGAAGTAGCCCATTCCGTTGCATTGAATTGTTAGGCAATTATGGTCATCCCAGCCTTAGTAAATTAAAATACATGATGAAAACCCAATCTAAGGACATCAACTGCTATGTACTAAACAAACTACACATCCCATTTAAAAAGCATTTAAAATTGTGTCAAGAGAGGTTATGTTGGAGGGACTATAATTTTAAAATCATTTACTGTACAACCATATATTTAAATTTTAACTTGAAGCTAAATGTTGCAAAATTAAATTAATCTTATTTGATAACACGAGGCAGTTTATACTCTTTCATTTGGGGTCGATGGAGCCCCTGGCACAGTCTTGAATTTAAGACCCCTACCCCATAGGAATAGTTAACTCTTGATCCTAGCATGCTCTCTCCTCCTGGAAGAGTTATTTAAAGTTAGATGTGTTTCTTTCTGTTTTTTTCTTAGCCACTTTTCTATCCCAAGCCCAGCAAAGACATTCAATTCATTCCCCCTACACCTCTCTCTCTCTTTCTGTCTTTCCTCCCTCCCCTCTCTCCCTCTCTTTTTCTCTCTCTCCCTCTGAAGTTTCTAAATCAGTTCCTACAGCTTTAGTTTTCTTTTTCTAAAATTAAAAACGTGGCTTCTGGCTATAAAACGAATCTCCCACCTTCAGCAGCCCCAGTCCCCTGGGGCTGTTACTGGCGTGATCTATAAATTAACTGGAATCACTTAGAGCCCTCAGTTAGCTTTTAGTCAAACATTAGCAGCAGTGTTTACCCTTGTGTAATCTGCAGTTGTTACTTAATTTAATGCCTGTCAGCATTTTTTTAAAGAACATGTTCAGCAAATCCTTGGCACAGGCTGTTTGAATTCCTTACTCTTCCCTTCCCCCACCTTGACCCAAATCAAGCTAAATGTATCTGAGTAGAAGCTTGCTAATATTTTTAATTTGCTAGTGTAGTTTTCCTTCTTCTTGAGGAAAGAAAGAAGAGTTTGCTTTCTGTGCCAATCCAACTACATCCTACTCAGAGGCCTGGGCTTCGTGTCCCCACTGCACCTTACATCAAAGAGGGTGAACTGTAAATTGTTAGGGTTTTTGTTTCTTGTTGCTCTGGCAGTGATCTGTGAGTGATGTAAGATGGGAGGCATCCTCAGACTCCCATTTGGAGGATGCTGGTGTGGCCCCCTGAAGAAAATCCATTGAAACAAACTTTGAAGTGCTGCCCAGTAGAGAGCTAAAAGCTGAACATATCACATCATAATTCATACATAACTTTGTGTGTTTTGAATCTTCCTCCTCCACAGCCACCACCTCAAATGTAAATAAATAGAGCCCTGGCCTTCCTACAGGGTTCTGTTGCTCCTTTCATAATGTGAGATCCATCTAGATCCGGCAGGAGAACTTCTCTAAGGCCATCATAAAGGCAGTAGGAAGTACTGATCTCAAACAGCACAGAGGAGGCTCCCCTCCAAAGAAGAGTGAAGCACATCGTTAGAGAATAAGAACACGGGGAAATTAAGAGGTGATCTTCAAAGGCTACAATGAACAGCTCCTCTCTGCTTTCACACACTATACAAGAAAAGACCTCCTTCAGTTCAGGAGGCTTTGGTTAACAGCCACATTCTCAATATTCTGGGTTTCAAGGCCAAGAAAATAAATGTCACAGTGGAAACCTCATGCTTTTTCAGGTGATATAATCCAAAAAATGTGTACATCTCAATAGTATAAAGGACTCTGAATCAGCCAGGGCTCAACTTGCTATTCTCTTCCTTGCCTGCAAGACTTGACCTTGAGTTTCAGTGTCTCTCAGCCGTACTTCTGCTTCCTGGTGACTAGAATTCAGGATTCTCTCCCATTTACCACTAGGGAAAACCCTACTGCTAAGGACCGTAAATGTCGGAGGATCCCCCTGAGTCTCACAGATGGCACTTGAAGAGAAGCAGTATGGAGACACAGGACACGAAGAAGGAAACAGAGACCCTGAGGACAGAGGCTCATGCAACTACTGCAAATGAACAAACACCAGAACAGGCATTTTTGCACTTTCAGACAGGGAGTTCCAGGACTGAGTGCACATACAGTCCATGGTTAGATTTCCAGGAAAGCCTCAGTGAGGGGCTGAATTATGTGCCATTAACTCAAGATACAGCCATCTTGGGAGTCAGCATATCTGTCTGAGCCCAGGTTATAAGTGCACACTGGTGGTCTATGGTTGCAGGCCGGTGTCACTGTCCTGTCACAGTCCTGAGATCTCCAAAGCAGCCCAGGTGACACATATGTCCCTGTCTTTGACTCTCCTCCAGCCCAACTCTGTGATACTACTATCAAGGCTCCAAAATGCAGCTGTTTTGCTACACAAATTATGAATAAGTTCTACAAACTTCTTGAACCATCTGGAAAGTGCTCAAAACACAGGGCTGCACAGACAAGGACTTTAAGGCTCAACTCACTCCCAGGTAATATTAGTGGCTCTTCTCAGCAAGAACATGAGCCCAGGTCCCAATAGCACTATTGAAAAAGGCAGTTCTGCTGTAGAATGGGTCCCTCTTTTTGCTGTTTCCACTGCTGAGTGCCCCCATCATGGGCATGCAAGATTTTTTCTGCAATTTTCCTTTCACAACTTTCATCAACTGCCTCTTCAATTTCCTGGTCTTGCACAATCTCAACCCAACTTACTTAACAGCACTGATTGTTCAGTTCTTATGGACAGTGTGTGCCTTTAGTCTTCCTCCAAGGAGAGTGCTTGACAAACATAAAATGGAAATCTTAGGAACACTTTTACACCATTGGTGGGAATGTAAATTACTTTAACCATTGTGGAAGATGGTGTGGCGATTCTTCAAAGATCTAGAACCAGAAATACCATTTGACCCAGCAATCCCATTACTGGGTATATACCCAAAGGAATATAAATCATTTTATTACAAAGATACATGCACACATACGTTCATTGCTGCACTTTTCACAATAGCAAAGACATGGAATCAATTCAAATGCCCATCAGTGATACACTGGATAAAGAAAATGTGGTACATATACACCATGGAATCCTATGCAGCCATTAAAAGGACACAGATCATGTTCTTTGCAGGGACACAGATGAAGCTGGAAGCCATTATCCTCAGCAAACTAATGCAGGAATAGAAAATCAAACACTGCATGTTCTCACTTGTAAGTGGGAGCTGAACAATGAGAACACATGGACACAAGGAAGGGAACAACATACACTGGGGCCTGTTGGCAGATGTGGTTGGGGAGGGGGAGCATTAGGACAAATAGCTAATGCATGCTGGGCTTAATACCTAGGTGATGGGTTGATAGGTGCAGGAAATCACCATGGCACATGTTTACCTATGTAACAAACCTGCACATCCTGTACACATACCCAGAACTAAAACTAAAAATAAAACAAAAACAAAAGAATGGAAATCTTTTCAGAAAAATGTGTCATTGAATTGGAGGTGGAATCCATAATGATCAACAACAATAAATTCTTTTCTTCTCCATTAGATCATCTCCCTCAGTCTGTGTGTGTGTTCATGCGTGTGTGCCATGCCGGGTCCCCACTTTCCTCAGCACATTTGTGCATGTGTTTGTTTACTGAGCAGTGCCCAGTTTGCGAGGCTCCCCCAAAGGCAGCCTCATTCTGCTAGTGCCTGCCCAGGACCCTGTACCAGTCAATGAGAAACCAAACAAACTGGCTGCAATAAGCCGTTTACACCAGTTCCCAAAGAGAAAACTTTGGGCCCATTCCCAGAAGGCCAGGCATGTGAGTGAAAGGAGCCTGACTTGCAAAGCTTCCCCCACACTCAGGGTTTATTCTGTTTATTCTGTCATCCCTGTTTATTCTTTCAACTGTGGTTTCTCCGTGGAGCAACACATCACACCGCACCCAGATTGTGGAGACACACAGAAGATATCCAGAAACGGCCAGAGAGAACACAATCCCTCCGATTCATTCGCTAAGCCATTTGTTAACACGCTGGTTTGGGGTTTTTCTTTTCCACAATTTTTCAACACTTGAGGAATTGAAACTGCCAGCTGTTCTCATCTTTAAATGAAATAGCCTGAATAATTGGGAATTTAAGCTAGTTTTCATTATTATAGTCCCCTTCAGAAATACATATGACCAAAATAATGAGCTAATGAAATAATTTGGACATCCTGACCATGCAAAACGGACGTGTAAAACATTAAATGCAGAGCCAGTCAATACTTAGTAAATGTTGATGCAGACTTGGTTTCCTAAGGTTTAAAATGTGTAACTAAATGACATATAACTTCTGAAATATCAGGGCACCAAGGAGGAATTAACAAAAGGCCATCAAAAAGCAGACTGCACATGATGTAGCAGAGAGGCTGTGGAGTCAGACATGCCCACATTTAAACTGGATTCCATGCTGGCTGTGTCACTGGAGCTGATGGCATGTTCTCAGCAAGCCTCAGTGCTCTCACCTCTAAAACGGGATTCAGAAGAATAGGGCGCCAATTTAGTAGATTGGTATGGAGATTAAAATTTAAAAATGCATGTAAAACACTTGACTAACTACAGTTTCTAGCTCACAATAAGCTCCTAGTAAATGAAAACTACTGGGCACTCCTGTCTTACAGATAATGGCTTTAAAAACTGGGAACTTAGAATAATTTTAAAACTCAGGAAACAAGGAATACCTCTTTGAGGGAAATATCTGACTCCTAAACCAGGTAATGGAACATCTTGGAAACCCAGACCTCTCAGAGCAGACTTGTTAAAGTGCCAGGGACAGGGCTCATACCCAGTTGACACTCAATCAACATTTATTGATACTGACCATGGTTTCCTCAGGTTTAAAGTTTAAAATAAAATGTCTAGAAGAATTACAGAATTAACCACTTGTGGTTATTCCTGAAATATGATAGCATCAGTGTGAAAATTGAAAACACTACCCCACATAAAAAGCTGTATACCAATTTTGTTTAAAAGACTGGAATGACCCTAAATACAAAGATTGCATGAAAAGCAGAGATTCGTTAAATTGTAAGAACAAAATTAAGGATTTCCTAGAAATGGAGGGGGCCTCACTAACTTCAGCAGAGAAATTTTCTTCATCTGTCATCCCCTGACTCCACAGGGTAATGTAACAATGCCAGGGAGATGTCTGCATATACCCAGGGTGAGACCACCAACCCTTTGCATTTAGCCAAAGGGCTACCAAATTATGGTGCAACACTGGCTGATTGAATCATTCAGAGTCAAATTCAAACAGATGAACTCACAGAGGAGAGCTCCCACACATAGATGGAGAAAATTAAGGGAGGTCATAGTTTAAAATTTTTCTTTTTATCAAGGTAGAGTTTGCAATGTGACAATCATTAAGCTGTAGGGGAGGCTTTTAACAGAATTCCCTCTGGCCTTCTACTAACTCACTGAAATACATCATTTGCTTTTCTCAACTTCCTTTAATTTTAGTCCAGAAATAACCATTTATCTTAACATTCACTCTCACGTGGGACAAAAGAAAAAACAAATTTTGCAGAATTCAGAGAGGCATTGATTAATTTATGCTGGTCTGTCTTTGAGGAATACCTGGGAATTAGAAGGCAACCAAGATATATTACCTCCATTCTTGAGAATCAGTTCCTAATCTTTAGGGACTAACCCTTTAAATGAGCTACCTCTCGTCACTAAATGTTGAATAAATTGATCTCTGGGACACTTAAAACGGCAGGCTGTGTGTCTGTATGGTATAGTAACACCCCCCACACAGACAGGCATGCACACACACACACACAAATGTGCACACACACATGCCCCTGAGTTGAAAAGAATCAGCAGGGACTGTTTTTTGGCATGCTGTCCATAGTCATTTGCACTTTTCCAGCACAGAGCAGAACCATAATAGTAAACCCTTTGCAAGAAACAGGCACATCTCCACATTAAGAAGGTTTGGCTGCAGGTGGGTATGAAAATGCAGAGTTTATGGAAACTTTGCCTTTTATTTATTTTTTTATATCCTCTGTTGCAACTGCAGATCTATGTGAGTGTAGCTAGCCTCTCTACTATGCCTTTTGGGAAACACACCTTGAGGTCTCTGCAGCCTCCTGGCCTGATGTTTGCATAGTTGAGTTGAGGAGGCTGGTAGTTTTCGGCCCAAACATCAACACAGAGGTTTACTTTGCCCTTGTATTAGATTAAAATGCTGGAACATATTTATAAGCTAAATTTGTTGTTGTGTTGTTGGTCAGTCTTCTTTCAAAAAAAAAAAGAACTTATTCTATAATTACATTTAGCAGAAAGCCATTTCCTACTTTTTCCTAGTGTAGGTCTCATGCTTAACTGTTCTGACATCACCTGGCCCCTCTATGGCTTAGCAACAAAAACTTCACTGAAATGAAGAATGCAGTTATTTATGCTGGCTGCTCTGGCAGGAAAGAAATTCAAAACATAATTTTTTAAAGTTATAACTATGGCTTGCATATAAACATAAGCATGTGGCAAATATTTACGTAATTCATTAATGAGGTAACGAGCAGAATGATAAAACCAGTGCAAAGAGTATTTGAGAAACTAAATATATGCGGGCATCTGAGAATGAATGTTGGAATAAGATTGCTGGGTTAGACAGAACACTAGTTAATACTATACTTGGCAATAAAAGTATAACCTTTAAAGTCATCCTTTTTTTTTTTTACCAGACCAAAATCACTTGCATCACTACTGAATAAAATCCTACAAATTAGCATGTCATCTCATAGAGTCTGAGCCTTAATTAGTAACAAATAATATGTCAAATAAGATACATTCCCCTAGAGAATCAGGTCATCTTTGGGTAGGTCTTTTAGAAAATGCTCTTACAAGACCGTGAAAACTGAGGCTATTCTACTGCCTTATTTCAAGTTTGATACTCTGTCTTAACATTAGTAAAGGGATTTTGGGAGGGCAAAGATGCCTCATATCAACAGTTATTAACAATTGAGGTCATGGGACAAATAGTTATAGAAATATTAATAGAACAATATCACCCCTCAGATTATGTTGAATACTAAAATATAGAGTTGGATGTAGAAGCAACCAAGTATCCCTCAAGGAATGAATGAACAACATGTGGCCTATCCATACAATGGAATATTGTCCAGGCTTTCAAAGGAAGGAAATTCTGACACATGCTACAACATGGATGAATCTTGATGACATTATGCAAAGTGAAATAAACCAGTTACAAAAAGAAAAATACTGTATAATTCCACTTAAAAGTTATCTAGAGTGGTCAAATTCACAGAAACAGAACATAAAAAGGTAGTTGCCAGGGCTTGGGGAAGGGGAGAATGGAGAATTGTAGTTTAAGAGGTATATAGTTTTAGATTTGCAAGATGAAAAAGTTTTGGAGATTGGCTGCACAACAATATGAACATACTTAACACTACTGAACTGTACACTTAGAAATGGTTAAGATGGTAAATTTTATGTTATGTGTTTTTTACCACAAAAATTTAAAACATTTACAAAGTTGGTATCATCAGTTCAGATGCCAGTTATAAGGCAAGGGAATGATTCCCACCAGAGTAAGATCAAAGTATGCATGGCAAGGAACCATCTTTTTACTGTCTGAAGTACCAGTTTATGACTTAACTTACAATGGGACATGAAGGAAATGAATGCAAAGATGCCAACCTAGCTGTGGTGGACTTCAGCTCACATCATGGAAACCATGAAGCAATTTAGCAAAGTTGGCTGCCTAAGCAGCCAAGGGTCCTGTGGTGCCTGTTAAAATCCAGCAAAAGCAGGGATGAGGTGCATTGGCCAGGGCCCAGTGCGTAGCCCCACAGCTGCAAAATGCTATCTGGCCTTTGAATCAGCACTCAGTGCTCCCCTTACCACTCTTAACTCTTAACTGCAAGAGTTAAACGCTGGAAAAGCTCAATCTAATATTCACTAAACAAACACTGAGAACCAGCTTTCTAATCATCACGTCTGCATCTTTTCTCATTACCTCCAGACTTTTGTCATAGGCCCTTGAAAAACTGGGCCTCTTGAAAAAAATGCAAAGAAAATCTTCTTGTTGTCCAAGGGCAAAGTTCTCACCCTTTCCTGATGTGACTACCTTAAGTGGTCTATACACTCCAGCAGAAAGTGGGAAACCCTCACAAAAGAATCTTTACCACGTCCCTATGAAATATTTTTATTCCTTTATAAAGTTGATTAATCTTCACAATAGAGCAATTATGTCTCTTTTCTCTCTCCTTCCTTCCTCCCTTCCTCCCTTTCTTTTCTTTCTTTCTTTCCTTCTTTCTTTCTTCCTTTCTTTCTCTCTTTTCTTTCTTTCTTTCTTCCCTTTTCTTTCTTCCTTTTCTTTTTTCTTTCTTTCTCTTTCTTTCTCTCTTTCTTTCTTCTTTCTTGATCAATAGAAACTTTCTCTAATTTTTATGGTGAACCGACATGATGCCATGGAATGCAGATTTAGATGGAACATTAAGCCCAGTTGGATTTTAAAATCCTTTATGGAGTCAAGGAAAACTACGCCCACCTCCATTAGGTAATGTCCTTCGATGCCTTGCATTCCACCCACAGTCAGAGTATTTTACCATATGGTCATTAATTTTTCAGCATTATAAAAATTGAGAAAATTTATTTATTTTCAAAAAATGTTTAACACTAACACTTAACCCTACACTAAAAATAAAAAGCAACAATGTCTAGAAATATGTTTTGTTCCATCATAGCTTCCATTGTTAAAATGTAGAACAAGCTGTCAAAATTCAAACACCCCTTAGCGCCAAAAAAAAAATCATTCTGTTTGACTTAGGAGCCTCCTCTTGGTATGATTTGCTTCACCCTAACTGAATTTATTGAGGATTACAGAGGTTGTGCATTGAAGTGTCCCTTCCAAAACCCAAACAAATCTCTCACACAAAGAGGACAACAGTAAAAGAAGCATGCAATTTACCAGGGCAGGCTGCTTACTGTCTTTTTTTTCTGATTTGCTTTACTTGTTTTAGTTTATGTTTTCATAAATCCTGTTTTGTTTAGCAACAGGTGTAACCCAGCTGCACCCACCCTAAAGTTGCTGTCTTTCTATTTCAGACTGTCTCCTGACATGGAATGACTCCAGAAGGCTCAGCCAAGAAAATAATTATGACAAGCTCAGAGAAATCTATAAAATGTTTAAATAGCTAACTAGCATGTTAACTACTGGAGGAAGCAGGTAGAATTAAATGGAAATATTAACTTTGAGATTAAAAAAATAAGAAGACAGAAAGAAAGCAAGCCCCAGGAAAAGTAAGGGAAAGGAGCAGTGAGCCAGGAGCGAGAGGAGGCTGGCCTTGGAAGCAGCGACAGTCTGAAAATATAGGTGCTGTAAAATATTTACTTGTCCTAAGTGCTTTCTCCTCCCCTGCCTGGTTGTGCCAACTCACAACCTCTTGTAAACTCTTCCATTTTTTATGGTTTTCTAGGGGCAGATGCTTATCAGCTGAAAGGTGAACTGCAACTATTTCACAGAAAATAAACTCAGAGTATGTTTATGTGATTGTTACTCTAAGACAGCAAGAAAAAAAAAATGAATTCAGCACACGAGCCATTTTAAAAATCTTGATCCTCGCCAAACCCCAAACCAAATTTGTGTCTTACACTGTTCTCTTCAGCCCCCTTTCACGTTCCTCCCCACAAGAATATAATCATTTGGACAACCCTAAGAGTCGCAAGCTAAGTCACTATTGTCACAGCTTGGCTTGTCTGGCAGTTTGGACACTGCCCAGTGTCCCCTCCAGGGAGCAGAGGAATCCGTGTAAAGATTTTACTTAATCATTATTTTTAACCTTTGGGGGTTGCAGCTAATGATATGAAAAAAGCCTTCAAAACCACACAATATACTGGGGCATAAAAATGGCCTATATTTGAAAATAACTCCAAGTTTAGCTGTTTTGGAATAAAGCAAATGTTTAAAGTAGCCTGAAGTGAAACTTGAATGTTTCAATAGGCCCAGCTGCCTCTGAGGCTGGCGTGGGGCTCGGGGAGGAAGCGGTGGTTTCTCTTTGAAGCCTGGCTGCAACAAGTCCAGGAGCGGCCAAATTGCAGAGAGAAGCTGCCTCCCCAGCCTGCAGGTCCCCCCGAGAGCTGCTGAGACAGAGCCATCATCATCTCACTTCTTTCCTGAAGGCAGAAAAAGAGGAGGAAAACAAGAAACACAAAAGGAGGACTTGGAAGATTTAGGGCTCTGAGTGCAAACGTTTTTGTGGCAATTAAAGTTTAAAGAAACCAAGCTGGCCCGCAGCAGGAGGAACTATGTTGAACACCAAGCAAACTGAGGAGGAGAGAATTGGAGTTTTTATTTTCTGCTTTGATAAAACAAACAAATAAACAGACAGACAAAAAAACTGGGATCCAAGAAACGAAGGAGACAAGATGACCGAGTGGGAACATGTCTCCAATGGGTTGTTTCATTTTTTGTTTCCGGTAATGAACCACCAGCAAATCCGAAGTACCCTACACCCTACATTGTCCCCTCCTTGTCTTCTAAGTGACCTAGTAGCAAGCTTTTTTTTTTTTTTTCCAAATTCTGTGGTCTATAGTGTATGTCAGAAGAGAACCTCCTCCCCCATCCTCTTTTCTCAGCTGAAGACTGGCTCCCTATGTCACTAAGATTACAAAAGAGGAACTTCCAAGCACTCCCATGTCCATAAATACTCACCTTTGTTTGCAAACCTCACATTCTGCTTCCTCTCCTGTCACTCTGTATGAACAGTCCATAACCCTTCGGCCACCCTCCACCTATGCGCTGGAACCCAAATGCACTCACCTACTCCAGGACATCATTTGTCCCCTGTCTCTTCTGCTGCATCATCAACTTCTACTTTTGACTATATTATTCCCACATACAAACATGCTGCAATTCTCCCATTTCAGGGGAAAAAAGTTTCTCTTTACCCCACTTCACCACCAGCTACCATCCCATCTTCTGGTCCCCTTTATGATAAAACTATGAAAAGCATAATTTATATCAGTGCTGTCCAGTAGCCATATAATGTGAGCCACATCTGTCATTTTAATTTTTCTAGTAGCCACATGAAAAAAATTTAAAAAGAAACAAATGAAATTAATTTTAATAATAAATTTTTGGAGTTATTTTCAGATATAGGCCATTTTTATGCCCCAGTTCTGTACAGCCCCAATTTCTCCTCCTTCCATCCTCTTTTGAACCCATGTCTCAGGGTTTTGCCTTCACCACTCAACTGACACTGCTCTTATCAAAGTCTCCAATAATTTGCTCTATCTAGAGGTCAATTCTCAGCCTATCACTTGCTTGACCTGTCACACTGTATTAGTCAATGTTCTCTAAAGGGACAGAACTAATTGGACAGATGAATGTATGAAGGGGAGTTTGTTAGGAGAACTGACTCACATGATCACAAGGTTAAGTCTCACAATAGGCCATCTGCAAGCTAAGAAGCCAGGAAGCCAGTCTGAGTCCCAAAACCTCAAAAGCAGGAAAGCTGACAGTGTAGCCTTCAGTCTGTGGCCAAAGGCCCAAGAGCCCCTGGCAAACCACTGGTGTAAGTCCAAGAGTCCAAGAACTTGGAGTCTGATGTTTGAGGGCAGGAAGCATTCAGCACAAGAGAAAGATGGAGACCAGAAGACTCAGCCAGTCTAGTCCTTCCACATTCTTCTGCCTGCTTTTATCCTAGCTGTGCTGGCAGCTGATTAGATTGTGCCCACCAAGACTGATGGTGGGGTCTGTGCCTCCCAGTCCACTGACTCAAATGTTAATCTCCTTTGGCAACATCCCCACAGACACACCCAGGAACAATACTTTGCATCCTTCAATCCTATCAAGTTGACACTCAATATTTACCATTAAGCGGCATTTAACCCAGCAGATCACTCTTTCCTGCTTGATAAACTTTCTTCCCTTGGCTTCCAGGATACCACCACACTCTCCTGGCTTTCCCCTTACCTCACTGGTTGCTGCTCCCCCGTCACCTTTGCTGGTTTATTCTCGTCTTTTCGCCCTCTAAATTATGTGCCAGTGGAAAGTCCCAGCACTCATTCTTCCATCCTCTTTACTTTTCTAGTCACTCTGTCTCCTGGATGCTGTCATCCACCTATTTGTTGACAAATCTCCACCCTGGATCTCCCTTCTGAACTCCAGCCCCATAATCTCCCTTCAGGCCCATGTATCTCCATTTGGACATCGCAAGGCCTATCAAACCTAATGTGTGCAGAAATTGATCTCCTGATTACCACCCTTGAAACTTTCTTCTCCTGCTACTTATCTCATCTCAGGATATGGCAACTTCTTGCTCCGGTCTTGAGAACATCCTTGTTCATCTTTCTCATACACTACCTCCAATCCTTCAACAAATCCTCTCAAGTATACCCTCAAAATATATCCCCAATCTGCCCATTTCTTTCCTTCTTGTCTGTTTTGCTTCTCACGGTAGGTGGCTGGTACTAAGTGGTCGATGATAAATGAAAGACCACTTCCTGAACCCATGAGAAGCAGAGACAGGCTGGTGTTGCATCATTTTATGCCCAGCTACAGCTGATGTTACAGACACTATAGTAATACTACAGAGCTGGGGGTGGGAACCAGAGAGGGCTGGAGATTTCCCTGAGTAGGGAAGAAGAGACACAGCAGAGTAGCTCAGGTGTGATCATTTGCAGCCTAACTAGGTGGAATGCCATGGCTGGGCCACTCCACTTTGCCATTCCTTATCCATCCAGTGCAATTAACCTAAGTGTTCTAATTGCCTCCTCCCACTCCCTTCAAGAATACCATCAATCTCTCTGGCATTGGTTGCTCTGATTTTAAAGGCCCTCATACCAGTCCCATGTGTCATCTTCCCTTCTCTCTCAACTTGATAAAAGAGAGGGAAAACCCTTGTAGGCTCCTACTCTAAGGTCTAGAAATCAGCTTTGTGCTCAAGGAATTTTTTCTATGTCATTGAATCTAACATTTTAAAATCAAGTTGGAGAAATCACAAACTAGAAGATTTATAGATTTTGTATATAAAAATAAAAAATTACTCCATTCATAAGAGACTAAACAATCTTAAAAATTACTCAACAAATGGGAAAAAAATAGTCACAGAAACTAAGTCACATAATTAATATTTAAATAAAGCTGTAGGATCCAAAAGATAAATACATATGTAAATGATATGAACATATAGTCCTCAAGAGACAATACAAGTGGTTAGCAAATATTGAAAACTGAGTTGGGCAAGGTGGTTAAGGCCTGTAATCCCAACAATTTGGGGGGCTGAAGAGGAAAGATGGCTTGAGCTCAGGAGCTTGAGACCAGCCAGGGAAACATAGGGAGACCTCATCTCTGAAAATATGTTTAAAAATTAGCCAGGCATAATGGCACACACTTGTGGTCCCAGCTACTCAGCAGGCTGTGTGGGAGGATTGCTTGAGCCCAAGAGGTCAAGGCTACAGTGAGCCATGACTGCTCTATTGCATTCCAGCCTGGGCAACAGTGAGACCCTGTATCAAAAAAAAAAAAAAAAGGATTTGGACTTTGCTAAGGAAATAAGAAATAAGAAATCTGAAATAAGAAAAATAAAACTTGTATTCAAAAGGTTTTATAGTGAAGATGGCCAAATAGGAACAGCTCCAGTCTAGAGCTCCCAGCGTGAGCGATGCAGAAGACAGGTGATTTCTGCATTTCCAACTGAGGTACTGGGCTCATCTCACTGGCGAGTGCTGGAAAGTGGGTGCAGGACAGTGGGTGCAGTGCACCCAGTGTGAGCCAAAGCAGGGCAAGGCATCGCCTCAACCGGGAAGCACAAGGGGTCAGGGAATTCCCTTTCCTAGTCAAAGAAAGGGGTGACAGATGGCACCTGGAAAATTGGGTCACTCCCACCCTAATACTGTGCTTTTCCAATGGTCTTAGCAAATGGCACACCAGGAGATTATATCCTGTGCCTGGCTCGGAGGATCCTACGCCCACAGAGCCTCGCTCATGCTAGCACAGCGGTCTGAGATCAAACTGCAAGGTGGCAGTGAGGCTGGGGGAGGGGCGCCCACCATTGCTGAGGCTTGAGTAGGTAAACAAAGCAACCGGGAAGCTCGAACTAGGTGGAGCCCACCGCAGCTCAAGGAGGCCTGCCTGCCTCTGTAGACCTCACCTCTGGGGGCAGGGCATAGCTGAACAAAAGGCAGCAGAAACCTCTGCAGACTTAAATGTCCCTGTCTGACAGCTTTGAAGAGAGTAGTGGTTCTCCCAGCAGGCAGCTTGAGATCTGAGAACGGACAGACTGCCTCCTCAAGTGGGTCCCTGACCCCCAAGTAGCCTAACTGGGAGGCACCCCCCAGTAGGGGCAGACTGACACCTCACATGGCCGGGTACTCCCCTGAGACAAAACTTCCAGAGGAACGATCAGGCAGAAACATTTGCTGCTCACCAATATCCACTGTTCTGTAGCCTCTGCTGCTGATACTCAGGCAAACAGGGTCTCAAGTGGACCTCCAGCAAACTCCAACAGACCTTCAGCTGAGGGTCCTGACTCTTAGAAGGAAAACTAACAAACAGAAAGGACATCCACACCAAAACCCCATCTGTACGTCACCATCATCAAAGACCAAAGGTAGATAAAACCATGAAGATGGGGAAAAAACAGAGCAGAAAAACTGGAAACTCTAAAAATCAGAGCACCTCTCCTCCTCCAAAGGAACGCAGCTCCTCACCAGCAACAGAACAAAGCTGGACGGAGAATGACTTTGACAAGTTGAGAGAAGAAGGCTTCAGACGATCAAACTACTCCAAGCTAAAGGATGAAGTTCCAACCCACGGCAAAGAAGTTAAAAACCTTGAAAAAAAAATTAGACGAATGGCTAACTAGAAGAACCAATGCAGAGAAGTCCTTAAAGGACCTGATGGAGCTGAAAACCAAGGCACGAGAACTGCGTGATGAATGCACAAGCCTCAGTAGCCGATTTGATCAACTGGAAGAAAGGGTATCAGTGATGGAAGATCAAATGAATGAAATGAAGCAAGAAGAGAAGTTTAGAGAAAAAAGAATAAAAAGAAAAGAACAAAGCCTCCAAGAAATATGGGACTATGTGAAAAGACCAAATCTACGTCTGATTGGTGTACCTGAAAGTGACGGGGAGAATGGAACCAAGTTGGAAAACACTCTGCAGGATATTATCCAGGAGAACTTCCCCAATCTAGCAAGGCAGGCCAACATTCAAATTCAGGAAATACAGAGAACGCCACAAAGATACTCCTCGAGAAGAGCAACTCCAAGACACATAACTGTCAGATTCACCAAAGTTGAAATGAAGGAAAAAATGTTAAGGGCAGCCAGAGAGAAAGGTTGGGTTACCCACAAAGGGAAGCCCATCAGAGTAACAGCTGATCTCTCGGCAGAAACTCTATAAGCCAGATGAGAGTGGGGGCCAATATTCAACATTCTTAAAGAAAAGAATTTTCAACCCAGAATTTCATATCCAGCCAAACTAAGCTTCATAAGTGAAGGAGAAATAAAATCCTTTACAGACAAGCAAATGCTGAGAGATTTTGTCACCACCAGGCCTGCCCTAAAAGAGCTCCTGAAGGAAGCACTAAACATGGAAAGGAACAGCTGGTACGAGCCACTGCAAAAACATGCCAAATTGTAAAGACCATCGAGGCTAGGAAGAAACTGCATCAACTAACGAGCAAAATAACCAGCTAACATCATAATGACAGGATCAAATTCACATATAATAATATTAACCTTAAATGTAAAAGGGCTGAATGCTCCAATTAAAAGACACAGACTGGCAAATTGGATAGTCAAGACCCATCAGTGTGCTGTATTCAGGAAACCCATCTCACGTGCAGAGACACACATAGGCTCAAAATAAAGGGATGGAGGAAGAGCTACCAAGCAAATGGAAAACAAAACAAGGCAGGGGTTGCAATCCTAGTCTCTGGTAAAACAGACTTTAAACCAACAAAGATCAAAAGAGACAAAGAAGGCCATTATATAATGGTAAAGGGATCAATTCAACAAGAAGAGCTAACTATCCTAAATATATATGCACCCAATACAGGAGCACCCGGATTCATAAAGCAAGTCCTTAGAGACCTAGAAAGAGACTTAGACTCCTACACAATAATAATGGGAGACTTTAACACCCCACTGTCAACATTAGAAGGATCAACAAGACAGAAAGTTAACAAGGATATCCAGGAGTTGAACTCAGCTCTGCACCAAGCAGACCTAATAGACATCTACAGAACTCTCCACCCCAAATCACCAGAATGTACATCCTTCTCAGCACCACATCGCACTTATTCCAAAATTGACCACATAGTTGGAAGTAAAGCACTCCTCAGCAAATGTAAAAGAACAGAAATTATAACAAACTATCTCTCAGACCACAGTGCAATCAAACTAGAACTCAGGATTAACAAACTCACTCAAAACCGCTCAACTACATGGAAACTGAACAACCTGCTCCTGAATGACTACTAGGTACATAATGAAATGAAGGCAGAAATAAAGATGTTCTTTGAAACCAACGAGAACAAAGACACAACATACCAGAATCTCTGGGACACATTCAAAGCAGTGTGTAGAGGGAAATTTATAGCACTAAATGCCCACAAGAGAAAGCAGGAAAGATCTAAAATTGACACCCTAACATCACAATTAAAAGAACTAGAGAAGCAAGAGCAAACGCATTCAAAAGCTAGCAGAAGGCAAGAAATAACTAAGATCAGAGCAGAACTGAAGGAAATAGAGACACAAACAACCCTTCAAAAAATCAATGAATCCAGGAGCTGGTTTTTTGAAAAGATCAACAAAATTGATAGACCGCTAGCAAGACTAATAAAGAAGAAAAGAGAGAAGAATCAAATAGACACAATAAAAAATGATAAAGATATCACCACTGATCCCACAGAAATACAAACTACCATCAGAGAATACTATAAACACCTCTATGAAAATAAACTAGAAAATCTAGAAGAAATGGATAAATTCCTCGACACATACACCCTCCCAAGACTAAACCAGGAAGAAGTTGAATCTCTGAATAGACCAATAACAGGATCTGAAATTGAGGCAATAATTAATAGCTTACCAACCAAAAAAAGTGCAGGACCAGATGGATTCGCAGCCGAATTCTACCAGAGGTACAAGGAGGAGCTGGTACCATTCCTTCTGAAACTATGCCAATCAATAGAAAAAGAGGGAATCCTCCCTAATTTCATGAGGCCAGCATCATCCTGATACCAAAGCCTGGTAGAGACACAACAAAAAAAAAGAGAATTTTAGACCAATATACCTGATGAACATCAATGCAAAAATCCTCAATAAAATACTGGCAAAACGAATCCAGCAGCACATCAAAAAGCTTATCCACCATGATCAAGTGGGCTTCATCACTGGGATGCAAGGCTGGTTCAATATATGCAAATCAATAAACGTAATCCAGCATATAAACAGAACCAAAGACAAAAACCATATGATTATCTCAACAGATGCAGAAAAGGCCTTTGACAAAATTCAACAACTCTTCATGCTAAAAACTCTCAATAAATTAGGTATTGATGGGACATATCTCAAAATAAAAAGAGCTATCTATGACAAACCCACAGCCAATATCATACTGAATGGGCAAAAACTGGAAGCATACCCTTTGAAAACTGGCACAAGACAGGGATGCCCTCTCTCACCACTCCTATTCAACATAGTGTTGGAAGTTCTGGCCAGGGCAATCAGGCAGGAGAAGGAAATAAAGGGTATTCAATTAGGAAAAGAGGAAGTCAAATTGTCCTTGTTTGCAGATGACGTGATTGTATATCTAGAAAACCCCATCATCTCAGCCCAAAATCTCCTTAAGCTGATAAGCAACTTCAGCAAAGTCTCAGGATACAAAATCAATGTGCAAAAATCACAAGCATTCTTATACACCAATAACAGACAAACAGAGAGCCAAATCATGAGTGAACTCCCATTCACAATTGCTTCAAAGAGAATAAAATACCTAGGAATCCAACTTACAAGGGATGTGAAGGACCTCTTCAAGGAGAACAACAAATCACTGCTCAATGAAATAAAACAGGATACAAACAAATGGAAGAACCTTCCATGCTCATGGGTAGGAAGAATCAATATCGTGAAAATGGCCATACTGCCCAAGGTAATTTATAGATTCAATGCCATCCCCATCAAGCTACCAATGACTTTCTTCACAGAATTGGAAAAAGCTACTTTAAAGTTCATATGGAACCAAAAAAGAGCCCGCATTGCCAAGTCAATCCTAAGCCAAAAGAACAAAGCTGGAGGCATCACGATACCTGACTTCAAACTATACTACAAGGATACAGTAACCAAAACAGCATGGTACTGGTACCAAAACAGAGATCTAGACCAATGGAACAGAACAGAGCCCTCGGAAATAATGCCACATATCTACAACCATCTGATCTTTGACAAACCTGACAAAAGCAAGAAATGGGGATATGATTCCCTATTTAATAAATGGTGCTGGGAAAACTGGCCAGCCATATGTAGAAAGCTGAAACTGGATCCCTTCCTTACACTTTATACAAAAATTAATTCAAGATGGATTAAAGACTTAAATGTTAGACATAAAACCATAAAAGCCCTAGAAGAAAACCTAGGCAATACCATTCAGGACATAGACATGGGCAAGGACTTCATGTCTAAAACACCAAAAGCAATGGCAGCAAAAGCCAAAATTGACAAATGGGATCTAATTAAACTAAAGAGCTTCTGCACAGCAAAAGAAACTACCATCAGAGTGAATAGGCAACCTACAGAATGGGAGAAAATTTTTGCAATCTACTCATCTGACAAAGGGCTAATATCCAGAATCTACAATGAACTCAAACAAATTTACAAGAAAAAAACAAACAACCCCATCAAAAAGTGGACGAAGGATATGAACAGACACTTCTCAAAAGAAGACTTTTACGCAGCCCAAAGACACATGAAAAAATGTTCATCATCACTGGCCATCAGAGAAATGCAAATCAAAACCACAGTGAGATACCATCTCACACCAGTTAGAATGGCGATCATTAAAAAGTCAGGAAACAACAGGTGCTGGAGAGGATGTGGAAAATAGGAACACTTTTACACTGTTGGTGGGACTGTAAACTAGTTCAACCATTGTGGAAGTCAGTGTGGCGATTCCTCAGGGATCTAGGACTAGAAATACCATTTGACCCAGCAATCCCATTACTGGGTATATACCCAAAGGATTATAAATCATGCTGCTATAAAGACACATGCACATGTATGTTTATTGTGGTGCTATTCACAATAGCAAAGACTTGGAACCATGCCAAATGTCCAACAATGTTAGACTGGATTAAGAAAATGTGGCATATATACACCATGGAATACTATGCAGCCATAAAAAAGGATGAGTTCATGTCCTGTGTAGGGACATGGATGAAGCTGGAAACCATCATTCTCAGCAAACTATGGCAAGGACAAAAAACCAAACACCACATGTTCTCACTCATAGGTGGGAATTGAACAATGAGAACACATGGACACAGGAAGGGGAACATCACACACCAGGGCCTGTTGTGGAGTGGGGGGAGGGGGGGAGGGATAGCATGAGACGATATACCTAATGTTAAATGACGAGTTAATGGGTGCAGCACACCAACATGGCACATGTATACATATGTAACTAACCTGCACGTTGTGCACATGTACCCTAACACTTAAAGTATTAAAAAAAGTTTTATAGTAAATATATTATTTTTCTGATAATAGTAAGATAGTTAAACTATTATATATGTAATACTATTATATGTAGTAATATATATATACTTGGTAGAATATTATGGAGTCATTAAAAAGAATGTTATACAAGAATTTATGATAATATTAAGAAATACTTACGTTAAAAGAGTAGATGTTAAATTATATATATGGTAGGATGCCAAATTATAAATTGAATAATAACTACACCTGGAAAAAGACAGGATGAAAAGACACTAAAATATTAGTATCTTTGAATAGTGATAGTACGGACATTATTGATATTACCTATAATAAACATGTACTATTTATAATGCAAAGAATGACCTTATTTTCACACTAAAAGAAATGAGAAAAAATATACTTCTCATTCCATTGACCCAATTCTCACCTAAGCCTCAATTGTTCACTAGTTGGTTTGTATTTAATAAACACAATTTTTTTGTTCATTTAAGGGCATTATTTTAGAACTTAAATTATTGGCAAACATGTCTCCCAAAAACTGTAGCAAGGAGACCAGGTTAACAAATAAGCAATCCTAATTTCTTACTGGCTTAACAGAATAAGAAAGAATTTTAAAGAATGTATCCCCCCATCCCTTCCCGTTCCCCAAGGAGCTAAATAGGGCTTTAGATCCCTGGGGTTTCCCTCCCTTGGAAAGGGACAATCAAAATGTGACTTCTTCTTCTTATCATTCTTGAAAATGCAGGATATAGAGGTAAACAATTGAATTCTCCAAGCAAAGAGTAGAGAGATCGATGTGACACCAATCCAAGAAAGCCAATATAACACAAAACAAATTAATACTAATTTTGTATCATTGAACACCCTTTAAATATTCAAAATTTCCAGGTAATCTTGAAAATGCCTTTGTACTATTTGTTTCAATCAGGATCTAAACAATACTCATTATCTGATTTGGTTATATGTCTCTTAAACCTAAAAGCAGAATATTCAAAATGACACAAATGCCCAATAATAGGAAAATACTTAAAGAAATTATGTCATCACCATGGAAAGAAGAAATACACAATTGGTAGAAAAAAATAATAATTGTTTTAAAAACTATTTACTAGTATGGGGAAATGCTCCTGAGATGAAATTAAATAATAAAAACGTCGTGCTGTTATTTCCATGGGATAAGTTTCTAGATATGAAATTTCTGTGTCAAAATTTATATATGCAATTCCAGCAAAAGTGTATGAAAGTTCTCACTTCTCCTCATTCTCACCAGCACAGGATATTGCAGGTTTTAAAGCAATTTGATAAGGGAAAAAGTATACCTGGATACTTTAATTTGGGTTGTGATACAGTTTGGGTATTTGTCCCCTCCAAATC
This sequence comes from Homo sapiens, assembly GCF_000001405.40. NCBI lineage: Eukaryota > Metazoa > Chordata > Mammalia > Primates > Hominidae > Homo > Homo sapiens. Next base: position 50,501,683 of record NC_000013.11, on the reverse strand, counting down.
TCATGCTGAAATGTAATCCCCATTGTTGGAGGTGGGGCCTGGTGGAAGGTGTTTGGGTTGTGTGGGCAGAGCCCTCAGGAATGACTCTATGCCCTCCCCATGGTAATGAGTGAGTTCTCACTTTATGAGTTCACATGAGAGCTGGTTGCTTCAAAAAGCTTAGCATTTATCTCTTTCTCCCTCTCACCATGTGACATGCCTGCTTCCCTTTTGCCTTCTGCCATGAGTTAAAGCTTCTTGAGACCTCACCAGAAGCCAAGAAGATGCTAGCACCATCCACAATCGTGAGCCAAATAAACCTATTTTCTTCATAAATTACCCAGCCTCAGGTATGCCTTTATAGCAATGCAAAATGGACTAATACAGAAAATTGATACCAAGAATGAGTGGTGCTATAAAGATACCTGAAAATGTGGAATTGGCTTTGGGAACTGGGTAATGTGCAGAGATTAGAAGACTTTGGAGAGCCTAGAAGAAGACAAGTGGACAAGGGAAAGTTTGGAATTTCTTAGAGACTGGTTAAGTGGTATTGAGCAAAATGTCGATAGAGATATGCACAGTAAAGGCCAGGCTGATGAGGTCTCAGAAATGAGGAACTTCTTGGGAACTGGAGCAAAGGTTACCCTCGTTACATCCTAGCAAAGAACTTGCCAGCATTGTGCCCATACCCTAGGGATTTATGGAAGGTTGAACTTAAGAGTGATGACCTAGGGAATCTGGTGGAAGAAATTTCTAAGGAGCAAAGCATTTAAGAAGTGGCATGCTTACTTCTAACAATCTATGATCAGATATGGGAGTAAAGGAATGACTTTGAATTAGAACTTATAATTAAAAGAAAAGCAGAGTATAAAAGTTTGAAAAATTCACAGCCTGGCCATGTGGTAAAGAAAGAAAGAACTTGCCTTGAGTCTCAGAAGAGACTTTGGACTTTGAACTTTTGAGTTAATTCTAGAACGAGTTAAGACTTTGGGGGACTATTGGCAAGGGATTATTGTATTTTACAATGTGAGAAGGACATGAGATTTGGGGGGCCAAGGGCAGAATGATATAGTTTGGATATTTGTACCCTCCAAATTTCATGTTGGAATTTGATCCCCAATGTTGGAGATGAGGCCTAGTGGGCAGATCCCTCATGAATGGCTTGGTGCCCTCCCTACGGTAATGTGTCCTCACTCTATTAGTTCATATGAGAGCTGATTGCTTAAAAGAACCTGGCATCTCTCTCTCTTTCTCCTTCGCTCACCATGTGACACACCTGCACCCACTTCATCTTCTTCCATGAGTAAAAGCTTCCTGAGACTTCACCAGAAGCCAAACAGATGCTGGCACCAAGCAGAACTTTGAGTCAAATAAACCTCTTTTTAAAATAAATTACCGAGCCTCAGGTATTCCTTTATAGCAATGCAAAATGGACTAATACAGACTGTTTTTATGTTGAGGTGAAGGTAAAAATTATCCACATATTTATTGGTCATTGTATTTCTTTGAAGGATTGCTTGTTTCTGGATTTTACCTAGTCTTGTTTGTCTTTCCTTTCTTTTAAAAATATTTATATTAATTTATAGAAGCTCTTTGTGTGATAAAGCTATTTTTTGTTTTCTATATGTGTTACAAATATATTCGCACATTTTATTGTTTGCCTTTTAATGATAAAAATTTTTAATTAATATAATATGTTTTGACATATAAAAGTTTTGAATTTTTATGTAGTTAAATAAAATTTTCTTTTGCTTCAAAATTTCTTCTAAACTTTTTATAGGTTTACATTTTATATCTAGGTCTTTAGTTTATCTCTATTTTTGTATACATTAGGAGAGGAAATCTAAGAATTTTTTTCTAAAAAACATTGATATCCTAATATAATTTCTTAATGATACATGGTTATCTCATTGATTTGAAATGACATCATTATTAAATCTTAAACTGACGTGTATATATACTTGAGTCTGTTTCTAGATTCTACTCTTTTCCAATAATTTGCTTGTCTTTCTCTGCAAGTACCACATTATTTTTATTATAGTAGCTTTAGTGTATGCTGAAATATCTGGGCAAATCTCTTTTCACTATTCTTTTCCAAAATGTGTTGGCAAGCCTTACACACTTTTTCTTCTACAAAATTTTACAATACATAAATAAATTATATACATTTATCCCTCAATATCTGTGGGGGATTGGTTGCTAGACCTCCTGTGGATACCAAAATCTGCAGATGTTCAAGTGCCTGATATAAAATGGTATAGTATTTGCATATAACCTATGTACATCCTCCCATATGCTTTAAATCATCCCTAGATTACCTATAATACCTACTACAATGTAAATGCTATATGAAGAGTACTTATACTGTATTGTTTAGAGAATAATGACAAGAAAAAGTCTTACATGTTTAATACAGATGCAATTTTTTTTTTTTTTGATAGGGATTCTCGCTCTGTCTCCCAGGCTGGAGGGCAGTGGTGCGATCTCAGCTCACTGCAAGCTCTGCCTCCCAGGTTCATGCCATTCTTCTGCCTCAGCCTCCTGAGTAGCTGGGACTACAGGCACCTGCCACCACGCCCAGCTAATTTTTTTGTATTTTTAGTAGAGACAGGGTTTCACCATGTTAACCAGGATAGTCTCGATCTCCCGACCTCGTGATCTGCCCGCCTCGGCCTCCCAAAGTGCTAGGATTAGAGGCGTGAGCCACAGTGCCCGGTTACAGATGCAATTTTTTCCAAATATTTTCCATTCACAGTTGAATCCATGAATGTGGAACCCATGGACATGGAGGGCCGACTATATATACATATATATATATATATATATATATACACATGTATGTATATATGTATATATTTATATTTATAACTAAGTAAAATAAATAAAAGTTATCAGTTTCTTTTTTCCTTTGTTTTGTTTTGTTTTATTTGAGATGGAGTCTCGCTCTGTTGCTGGACAGGCTGGAGTGCAATGGCGTGATCTCGGCCCACCGCAACCTCCCCCTCCCAGGTTCAAGTGATTCTCCTGTCTCAGCCTCCCAAGTAGCTGGGATTACAGCCACATGCCACCAAGCTTGGCTAATTTTTTTGTATTTTAGTAGAGATAGGGTTTCACCGTGTTGCCCAGGCTGGCCTTGAACTCCTTGGCTCAGGTGATCCACCCACCTTGGCCTCCCCAAGTGCTGGGATTACAGGCGTGAACCACCGCACCTGGCCCTCAGTTTCTTAAAAATGTATATTCAATTGCAATAGCATTAGATTTGTGCATACATTTAAAGACTGACAAAAGCACATGAAAATTATGTTCTCTGCATTAAAGTTTACAACTTTAAATAATTTAATATTACTTAAATAATATTTAATTTAATAATTTAAATACTCCAAATTATTATAACCCAATAGGGGAATGGTTAAATAAGTTATGGTATATCCACACATGGTAACTAGTCTCCAACACTGGCCCCCTACTGAACCACACCTCCAAAGATGAAGGTATGGCTCTTGTCTATTTCCCTCCCACATTAAACCAAGGCTGGCATGTGTGCCTAATAGAATATAGAAAAAGTATATACAACATCCAAGATTGGTCTTAAGCATTTCAGATTTCACCCTGGTCACTGGGAACACATGCTCTGGGGGAAGCCAGCTGCCATGTGAGAAGTCCAGATAAACTGAGACCTTCCTGTTATGAGAAAGCCCAAGCTAGTCCTGTGAGAAGTCACATGGAGAGGGAGAAACTACCTGCTATTCTCAGACTGTTGCAGCCATTCTAGCTGAGCCACCAACAATATGTAAATGAAGAAGTCACCTTGGATATCCAACTCAGTCAAACCTTGAACTCCAGTCCTGCAGTCCTGCCACCATTTGACAGCAACCTCATTAGTAACTTAAAATGAAAAGTACACAACTGAGCTTAGTCAACCCACAGAACAGTGAGAGACAAAATAGCTGTTTTCAGTCACTAACTTTTGGAGTGAGGGGTTATCTGGCCATTGATAGCCATGACAGAAATTGATACCTGGAAGTGAAGTGCTACCTTAACAAAATCTAAATCTAAAACATGTGACATTGGCTTTGGATGAGGCAGTGGGCAAAGGCCGGAAGGCCTTGAAACGACGATGAGGATAATATTATTGGAGGCTAAAAGAAGTAGAACTAGTGTTATGTAATGGTGAAAAGTTTGGTAATATCTTACCCATGACAATGTGGAAAATACAAAATATTTCTAATGAATTGGTGAATTTGACTGGAGAGTTCCAGACAGAACATTCAAAGTTCTGCCAAAAAGTTTCTTTTAGCTACATATAAGGTAGATAAAAAGAGATGAGCAGGAGACAGAACTGTTCCCTTTTAAAATATAGTTTGGAGAAAATATAGAGGTCCTAGAATCCTCTGTGTAGCCAACAGAAGGGTCTCAAAGTAAGAAAGAGCCTTAGGGTTATGATAAAGTAAAAGATGTGGCTGTAAGACATTTTATGAAACCTTAGAAAGATTTAAGGTTACCTATAAGAGATTTATAAATATTGCTTTTGTCCAATTGAATGAGCCCCAATAAGATTCATAGGCGATGCACAAAATTGTTAACAGACTAGTACTTAGAAAAACACCATCAGCTTAGACTGAGACAGAAACAGTTCAAAATAAAAAGAGCCACAACATTCTACAGTCAGCAAGCCAACTGAGATAACCACTCAGTAACAATTACAACCCATTTCTTATGGATAAGAAGAAATGACTCAGAAAGCAGAGATAAGAGCTATGAAGAACCATTTCTAGGTAACAGGACTGGGCCCTAATTTGGCACCTGGCACTATTGTGCCAATCTGAGATTCAGAATTGCTGTGAAATAGTAACTGCTGCATGCTGCAGCTCTCCCCTTTTTTGTATTATCCTATGTCAGTTTTACCATTGTTTTTTGGGTCTGGGGGCCATATAACTTGTCTCTTTAGTTAATGGACCTTCAGATGGTAAGGAACCACACTCAACAAGTTGCACCTGAGAAACAGTACATGCAGCGTACTGAACCTGGTCCTGATTTCAATAGTGAGATTCTGGATCTTGAGACTGAGCCTACTTCTATGATGGGATGAGAACTTCAGGGCAGTTTTAGGAGGAAATTAGTGTACTTTTCACATGAGAGATAAACTGTGGTGGCCAGAAGGTAGAGTAGGGTACTTGTCACCAAGTGGCTACGATCAATTCCTTTTCTCCTGTATGCATATGGCACTCCCCTGTCAAAAAGTGGAGTCAGGGAGATCTGTTGTGCAGTGATAACCAGTACACCACACAAGGAACACTATGGGACATTCAAAGAATGTGATAGACTTACATGCACCTGGAAGTAAGCCTGTAATATAGCATTAAGAAAAATAAGTATTTAATATATGTAGCATGATTCTATCATTAAAAGAAATACATATATATATATACACATACACATATACATATTTTCTATGTTTATCAGCAGGGACCTAGACACATAGATACATACATTGAAATGTAGACAGATATAGACTTGGTATATGTATAAATATATCTGTATAAGCATAGAAAAAAAAGTCAAACTATACCTCAAACTGCTATAGAAGTTATCGGAAGATTAAATTAGATGGACAGAGGGAAGTAAAACTTTGGTTTACTTAAATACATTTTTAAATGTGCTGGAATTGTAAGTAATTTATATGCTTTGGGGGATTTTCAGGATATTTTTAAATAAAATTTTAGTTTATTATGCTTAAATGAGTGCTAGTATGTAGAAGGCAGTGTGTTCCTTGTCATTTAAGTTACAGTAACAATATCAACCATCCTTTAAAATTAAAAAAAAATTTTAGAAAAACTGATGTATTTTTATGATCAAAGAAAAACTATGTACTTAATGCAAAAGATGGAAAGAAATACAGCAGATTCTCCCATAAAGCTACGTTGTTTTCAAAAACCTAGAACTCTGCAAAGTCAGGCATTGTCAATAATAGGACTTATCAGTAAAAACAGAGTCTATACAGCCCAGAAAACTTATAAAACTGTGTAATGAAAACAATCAAGACAATAGCAGAGTTAAATCTTCTGTGGCATTTGCCCAGCATCACAGTCGGATGATCTTTTTCAGCTTTAAATACTGGAACTTAGAATTCCTTCTTCAAGAGGAAAGTCTTTGAGGGCATTTGCTTCTAATAGAGACCAGTTTCATCTCAACTTTAAAATCTATTTAAAGTCTATAGGAATTCAAAAACATGTGCTGGGATAATAATTTTTATTATACATCAGCTTTGTTTCTTGAGGCATATTGATTGGGCTTTTTCATGAATTGTAAGAAAGCTTGCTTCTTGCTTTTATCTCTTCAAAACATTAAGGTGCTTGGAAGAAAGATCTCATATGAACCTACATGACTTCTACCACGATACAGCAGAACAGATGGTGCAAAAAAATACAAATATTAGTTCTTTCTAGCAAAGCTGCATCACAGGAGAGGATCCCCGAAATGATGAGACTTAGAGCTTACATAGGGCAGCTAGTGCATTTGCCCCTCATTTCTTCTGGAAAGAAAGAGAGAGAGACTTTCACTCTGGAATGTAAGAAACCCTCTCTGAGGATGTGAGGGAAAGGTCCCTAGGTTTTTGCTACCCAGAAATGTAATGCAAATGACTCTATGGCAGCGAATTCTCTAAATCTGTCTGGAACAATACACTATTTCTAGCTTCTCAGGCATATTTGCTATTCAATTATTGTTTAACCATTTTTGCCAATTTTCTTTGCTCAGAAAGCCAAGACTGTGCAGAAACGTAAAAATATTCATGGAAAATTGTCTCCCAACACTACCCTGGAACTTGTCATCACCCCAAACCTCTCTACCACCCAAGTCACTAAATCAGTTTCCTACTAACTCCTTTCTATCCAGCTAGCTAGTTCGACTCCTCAGATTACAAGTGTTCTTCAACTTCTTCAGGGCCCCTTCCATTGACTCTTCTACTCTCTTCCAATCTATCAGCCTTCTTTTTCAAATTCCCCCTTTCTAAGCTTGAATTTCATTATATGTCATTTCAATAACATATTTGCCAGGGCCCCAAACTCCATTCCTTTCTGTCTTTATATTAGCAGCTGCTAACAAGATCCCAGTGTTGCCTGAACCCAACTGTCTTTTTTTCCTTTTTTCCCTTAATCTTTCTAAACCCAAATACGGAAGTATTGCTGATGAAAGCCACACACAGAGTGGATCTGCACTGTTGTGAAGTCATGAACATCAAAACCAGCACGTCCTCAACACATATCAGCAAGATTTCCACAAGCACCTGTCAGTTCTCTCTCCCACCTCTCTAGTGAATTTCTCAAACTTTCTCCAGTCTCCTCAGATCTCTGACTTGCTTTTTTATCTTGCACCTTTCCTTCCACTCTTAACAAATGACCTCACTTCCTACTTTACACAGAAAACAAAAGCCACAAGACAGGAACTCCCACAAAAATGGGCCCTTATATCTGCACCCATCCCATTTTTTCTCCTTTCTGTAGAATAAAATTAGCCCTTCTCCTTTCTAAGGCCAATTGCTCCAATCATTACACTGGCTTTCAGGAAGCTTTCACTAGCTCTTTTTTCTTTTTTTCATTCAGCATTTCTCTCTTGCTTGGATCTTTCCCACTGACATTTACTTACTCAAGTTTCTCCCATCTACAAAGGAAAAAAACAAAATAAAACCTCCTTATACCTTCTAACCAGTCTTCCTACATTGATACTTGCTGCCTTCCCAATCTGTTCTCCACCCTGCAATCTTTGTGTTCTTTACAAATTACACAGTCACCACCCCCCTCCACAACCGTGCCCCACTTAAATCTCTTCAGTGGTTTCCCTAACCCTTCAACTGACAACCCAAACCCTTCACACGCCTTACAAAGTCCTGAATGACCTGACATATGCCCATATTTTCAGCTTTATTTTGCACCACTCTCTTCCCTCACTCTCTATACTACAGCCTGACTGTTCTGTTCACAGTCCATCAAACGTACCACAGCCCTCTGTCCCCAAGGCCCTTGCACATGCTGCCCAAGAAGTTACCTGTGGCCTCATTCTGTTAACCTCTCCCAAGCCCTAAGTGGCCAGCTCACCCACTTCAAAAATTATCTCATTTAGGCAAGACTTCCCAGAAAAACCAAGTCAGATAACTTTCCTTTAGAATAATTACCTCTGAAATACATATTTGTGATTATTTGATTAGTTATCATGTCCTTCCACCAGATCATAAGTTCTATTAAGGAAAAAAAAATACAAAATTATTTAACTGAAGCCCAGCTAATAGTAGGTAAAGTACTAAAAATACTTTTGATGAATGGATGAACAAGTAAAAAAATGAATGAAAGAATGAATGAATAAATAAACCAATGAATTAATTAAGACTGACACATTACTGGTCCTGTAATCTAGTTAGGATTTATAAGGGGTCATCCACCCAATTCTAACTAGATTACAGGACCAGTAGAAGTTGTCACAAACACATCACTGGTGTTCTATTTCTAAAATAACCTGGATTATATACTGAAGGAAGGAAGGGTTAAGAGACCCATTGCAGTCTTCTGCACATCCCCTACCATCTTGCTAATCCCCAAAGGAGGGCACTCACCACAAGGCATGGTAGTCGTTTCAGTGTCCATTATTCCTGGCATGACTGTTGAGTGATATTTCAGTTACAGCCCTCTTACCTTTGATTGTGGGGGTCATCTGAGCCTAAGAGAGCTCACTCTTAATCCTGCCCAGGAAATGCAATATCGTATTCCAGTTTGGTGGTTGAATGTACCACATGGGTACACATGGCCAAGACATTGCAAGCTTATGGACTCTATGGGGCCTATATGCTTGCTGGAGAAAATTCTGAGGTTTAAATACTTGAAAGAGATGACCACAGGAGTTGAGTTTTTAGATATATTTTTAGGGGGTCTGATCTGGAAGCTACTTTCTCACCATTAGCATAGAGTCGGCATTCTGAGAAGAACTACTATAGGAAGGACAGATGGTTCTCATTTCCAGGTAGACTCCTCAGAAAACACTGGGGTGAACTTGTCATTAGGGTACCTAAAGAATTAAAAACAATTCAATTTAGTGGCTGCAAATAACAACAACAATAATAGTAACTACTTATTATGGATCTTCTAGAAGCTGATGTTTCACATAATGTTTACAGCAATCCAATGGGACAGAAAACATCTTTGTCATTTTATATATGAGAAAAGTGAACGTTGGGAAAGTAATTTTCCTAAGATTCCTCAACTTGTAGGTGAGAAATCCAGATTTCAAATTTCAGATTTCAGATTTGTCTGAAACAAAAAAAAACCCTTGATTTTTCTAGAGATAGCACTATGAAGATACCTGAAGTAATGTTGAGAGTATGACCTTCAGAGGGCACTGTATTTCTCCATAGTTTCCTCACCTCCTGTATCCTTACTTCAAATACTTAGGTCTTTCTCTCTCTCATCTCAAACCATTGCCTTTTGTCTGATGGAGCACAAAATCAGATGTCCTAGAGAGATGGTGGTCTGGATGGAGTCCATCTAGGAAAGATTCCCTGACCATCACCCTCATCTGCACTGAGCAAAAAAGCCCTCTGTTGGGTTTCAAAGTACCTTGAGTCTACACCTATTTACCAGTTTATGGTTCTCTGATACAGAGCTTCTGAATTGGAAGAACCACGTCATTGTCCATTTGCATTTAGAGCATCTGGCCCAGGATCTGGCACATAGAACATGCTAAAATATGGTTTTTGGATTAAAGTACATCCAGATATCTCCTTACTGCCCCCGCCAGCATCCTTATGAATGGACTCCATACTTTTTAAAGTAAAAAATACAGAAAAAGGTCTCCAGAGACACACAGTGCCTGCCTAAAAACAAGCTTCATGAAAAGAATGAAGAATGGACTCCTGACCCCACGCCACCACTCTAACAAGCATTAAGTAACAAGTAACAGTTAGTAATGGTGGAAGAATTAAATGAGTATGGAAAGAGACCATCTCTAAGGCATAGTGTAAAATAAAGACCTAAAGCTGAGAATGGATATTAAGAAAAAGCCTTCTGGCGAACCAGCCTCCACCCAACACACAAAGTGTCACTACAGGAATTTGAAGTCTGTAGTACACTGTAGTTAACCAGAGCAACAGCAATCTCTATTCCAATTAAATCCCTAAGTAGATTGGTTCAATAATCCACATTAGAGTCCTAGCAGAAGGAAATGTGCTCATTTCCAGGAATAAAAATCATTTACCTGGCCATCACGGTGGCTCACACCTGTAATCCCGGCATTTTGGGAGGCCGAGGCGGGCGGATCACCTGAGGTCAGGAGTTTGAGACTAGCCTAGCCAACATGGCAAAACCTTGCCTCTACTAGAAATAATAATTTTAAAAAATTAGCCGGGTGTGGCAGCGCACACCTGTAATCCCAGCTACTTGGAAGGGTGAAGCAGGAGAATCACTTGAACCTGGGAGGTGGAGGTTGCAGTGAGCCTGGATTGTGCCACTGCACTCCAGCCTGGGTGACAAAGTAAGACTCTGTCTCAAAAAAAAAAAAAAATCACTTACTTTAGTATATATTGTCCTACAGAAAGTATACAGCTTTCAACCAAAAAAGTACAAAGCATACAAAAATAAAGCAAGAAAAACAACACAGTGGCATGAGTAAATCGACAGAAGCAGACTCAGATATAATACAAATATCAAAACCATAAATAGGAAATTCAAAATAACTATAATTAATATGTTGAAAGTTCTAATGGGAAAAGGAGACAACACACAGGATCAGATAAGTAATTTCAGCAGAGAGAGAGAGTACTAAGGAAGATTTAAGTAGGAATGCTACAAATAATAATAATAAAAAAGTAACAGATATGAAGAATGCCTTTGAGTGTATCATCAATACATTTGACTAGTCAAAGAAAGAATCAGTAAGCCTCATATAGGTCAATATAAGTTATTTGAATTAAAAGAAAAACAAGAATGAAAAAAGTAGAATAGAATATCAAAGGAATGTAGAACAATGACATATACCTAAGATGTGTTTAATTGAAATTCTACAAGAAGAGAGAGGGAATAGGGCAGAATAAACATTTGAACATATAATAACCAAGATTTTTCCAAAATTAACATTAGACACCAAACCACAGATCCAAGAAACACAAAGAACACCAGTGAGGATACACACAATACAAACAAACAAATTAAAAAACAAACCTGAGATATGTCTTATCCAAATGATAAAAAACAAAGAGAGGAGAAAGAGAAAATTTCTGAAGGCAGCCAAAAATAAAAGACATTAATATTGATATAAATAAATAACGGGGAAGAAGAGACAAGTCTCACTTGTAGAAGATCCTAAATGATTTATGTAGTTACTCTACCCTTAAGGAGAATAAACCTAACTCCCCATTGTTTAATCATGGGCTGTTTATATGGACTTCCTTCCAAAGATTTCAAAAGTAAAAGAGAGAGGAGTAATTTTACAGTGGAGAAATCTGACAAATACTATCTTAGCCACGTGATCAAGGTCAACATCAAGAGTGAAAAGTTATGTTAACAGTAAGTCTCCTTAATATGATTATTACAAAAATGGCACTTTACCTCTGTGGTCTTCCTCCCCAAAAACCCATAACCCCAGTCGAATCTTGAGAAAATCATCAGACAAATCCAAATTGAGGGACATTCTACAAAACACATGACCAGTACTCCTCAATCTATCATAGTCATCAAAAATAAAGAAATCCTGAAAAACTGTCGCAGCCTAGAGGAGTTAAGGAGACATGATCACAACATAATGTGGTAGATGGGATCCTAGAGCACAAAAATGCCATTAGGTAAAAACTAAGGAAATCTGAATAAAGTACAGACTTTAGTTAATAATAATTTTTCAATATTGGGTCAGATGTACCATACTAACATAAGATATTAATAATGGGTAAACCGGATATGAGATATACTGGAACTCTCTGTACTACTGTTGCAGTTTCTCTGTAAACCTAAAACTCTTCTAAAAATAAAATTTATTAAAACAAAACTAAACTAAAGATACATTCTATACAGAGGAACAAAAATAAGAACAAACTTCTCGTGGGAAATCATGTAAGCCAGGAGAAAATGGAGTGACATCATTAAGATTTTTTAAAAACTGTCAGCCAGAGTTCTGTACCCAGGAAAACATCTTTTAAAACTAAAGGTGAAATAAAATCTTTCTCGAAAAGAAAAATGGAGAATTAATTGGTAATAGGCCTGCATTATAAGAAATGTTTGAGAAGGCTATCCAGGTAGAAGTAATATAGCACCAGAGAGAAAGTTGGATCTGCACAAACAAATAAAGAGTTGTGGGAAAGGAAATAAATAAAGATTTAAAAATGCATTTTCTTACTCCTAAGTGCCTAAATGATAATTGATTATGCAAAGAAAAAAAATAGTAGCAATATACTATGTGCTTGCAGCATATGTAAAATTAAATGTATAGCATAAAGTAAAAGATGAAGGAATTTGAATATACTGTTGCAAGGTCCATACACTACATGTGAAGTGATTTAATATTATTTGAAGGTAAACTCAGATTAATTAAAGATAAATATTGTAACTCTAGGGCAACCACTAAAAGTAAAAATATAAAAGAGGTATAAATAATAAGCCAATAGTATTTTCAAGAGCTATCTGCATTTCCATATTCACTGCAGCATTATTCACAATCACCGAGGCATCAAAGCAACAACCTAAATGTCCACTGACTCCTAAATGGATAAAGAAAATGTAATATATACATACAAGGGAATATTATTCATCCTTAAAAAAGAAGAAAATCCTGCCTCTTACAGCAACATGGATGAACCTGGGATACATTATGCTAAGTAAAATAAGCCAGACACAGAAGGACAAATACTACATGATATTACTTATGTAATGAATCTAAAGTAGTCAAACTCATAGAAGCAGAGAATAGAAGGATAGTGGTCAGAGATTGTGGGGAGGGAGAAATGGAAGGTATGAGTCAAAGTGTACAAAGTTTTGATTATATAAAATGGATAATCTTAGAGATCTACTGTAAAGCACAGGGACTGTAATTACCAATAATATATTGTATCCTTAAAATTTTGCTTTAAAAGCAGATCTAATGTTGAGTGCTTTTATCACAAATAATAATAATAATTATTATTATAATAAAGAAAGAAAGCAGGAGGAAATTTTTGGAAGTGAAGTATAGGTTTATGGCATGATTTATGGTGAAGTATAGGTTTATGGTGATGATTTGATGAGTGCATACTTATCTCCTAACTCATCAAGTTGTATAAATTAAATAAGGACAGATTTTGTATGTCAATTATACTTCAATAAGATGGTTTAAAAATATAATAATTAAAGCCAAAAATTGGAAATAGTACAAATTTCCTTCCATGGGTGAATGGATAAACAAACTGATACATCCATACAATGGAATACTCTTTTACAATAAAAAGAAGTAAATTACTCATGCATGAAACAATACGAATGAATCTCAAATGCATTTTGCTAATGAAATAGGTCAGACTCAAGAGACTACATGCTATAGTTTCCCTTTATATGTTATTCAAAACAAGACAAAACTATGGGGATGGAGAACAGATCAGCAGTTAGCAGAGGCTGGAGGTAGAAAAAAGACTGATGACAACCAGGCAGCATGAGAAATTTTTTGGAAGTGATGGAACTCTTGGCATGTTGATTGTGGTAGTAGATACCTTAGTCCAAACTATACACTACATACTTATACATAATGGAGTACTATTCAGTTATAAAAAAGGATGAGATCCTGTCATTTGCAATAACATGGATGGAACTGGAGGTCACTATGTTAAATGAAATAAGCCAAGCACAGAAAGACAAACATCACACGTACTCACTTATTTCTAGGGGGTAAAAATCAAAATAATTGAACTTATGTAGAAGGATGGTTACCAGAGGCTGGGAAGGGTACTGGGATGCTGGGAGGAGGTGGGAATGGTTAATGGGTACAAAAAACAGAAAGAATGAATAATATCTTGTGTTTGATAGCACAACAGGGTGACTATAGTCAAAATAATTTAATTGTACATTTTTAAATAACTAACAGAGTATAACTGGATGGTCTGTAACACAAAGGATAAATGCTTGTGGGGATGAACACCCCACTTTCCACAATGTGATTATTATGCATTATATGCCTGTATCAAACTATCTAATGCACCCCATCAATATATACACTTACTATGTACCCACAAAAATTAAACATTAAAAAAAACTACATACCACAATGAATCAATTTTATAAAATGCAGATTTAAAAAAATGAAGCTTCTCTTATACAAAGAGAAGATAGAAATGAAGAAAAACAGTCTACCCTCTACACCTGGTCACTCTACAGAGGAGGTCTTGACACCAAGAAAAATCACTGCCCTACTAAGCAACCAAGGCCTTGGGCAAACCATTTAGCTCTGTACTTCACAAAAGCTTTCAGGAAAACAAAAATGCAAGTTAAGATATAATAATCAAATCAGATATGTCCTGACACCCCCCGCCCCTCCACTAAGCCCCTGATTATAGGCCAACACTGCAGAATGTTTGAGCAAATATAACAACTTTTTTCCCCTTCAACAAATTGAGGACTGGAAAGCCTATAAATGTGCTATTTCAGCTGTTTTTCGCAGCTTATCATGATTTTGTGAAAGTCTGGCCCCAAGACTTTGGATCCCTTCTTAATAACATTTAATGCTACCATTATGTAACTGAATCCATTTTGTCAGTGTAGTGGGAATATCATTAAACTGTAACTCATTTCACTGTCTTCTAGCTTTCAGACCCTCAAGTGCCTGAGTCCAGAACACCAGGAACTTGAAGCAGGGAGTGGTCCTAAACCTTCCCCCACCCACCACCCTCCTGGGTCGGGCTGTTTTTCACACTGTGACGTTACCCATTTTGTTATCATCAAGACCTTGTGATGGATGCTTGAGGCTCACAGAGTGCATGCCTGGAATCTGCAGGGCTCCTCCTTATCTGTCAATGCCTTAAACTTCCTGATGCTGACTGACATTCCTCATTTTGCCGAGTTTCAGTCCAGGTGCAGAGTATTTTTGGAAATGCAATCATATCAGGAGATGGTACTTTTTACATCAGTTGCCCCCTCAACATTAAGTACGTACCTGGCACCTTGCCACCTAATATGCAAGTAGCCACATTATTATGGAAACCACATGTTCATTAGCAAGGTTGGCACCAACACAACCTCCACTGTCCGAAGTTAATGTTATGTTCCATTATAGTCCAGACAACAGGACAGTGTAGGATACAGTTTGGGCATGAGAACAAGCAGTCCTGTTTGATGAAATCTGAGTCTTCAACTGTTAGAAATATGATCCAGTTTCTATCTTGACATACGTCTGCACTGATGTTTCAGAAAAGGACATGTTTTGAAAGAAAATACCATTCTTTTAGTGTTATCTTTGCAAAATTGTATTTAATTCTTTCTACCACTTTCACGGACAACCAGAATCCGCTGGCTTCTTGCTGGGCTAATCACTTCATCCCTAGAGATTCATGCAAGAGTATTTCACTTAATATAAAGGAGTGACTCAGAATCATTGCTTTCAATTGAGAAAGGCTGAGAGAGTCCTGAGAACAGTATTCTCTTCTTTTAGAAGCAGGGAGGAGGGGTGCTAAGATAAGGAGGGAGAGAAGGAAAAAAGAGAGGGGGAAAGAATATAAGAAGAAAAAGACTTGTGTATTCAAAATGAAAGCATCAATTCCATGCATTTTGTTTCATAAAATTTAATTCAGATTGCACAAGTTCTCAGGCTTTCAGACATTATGATGTACAATGTGTAATTAATCTCTTGCTCCATCCTGATAGAAAGGCATACTAGATTTTTTAAAACTTATTATTATCATTAATTATTATCCTGTGTGTGTCACATGTAGGTCAGAGAGCTTGGATTTTTCTGTATCCCTTACTGGTGAAGCAAACCCACTTTTTGCATGTATGCTTAACAAAGCTGCCAAAAGTATTTGTTTAAACCCATGAGTTGCATTGCTTTACAAAAGTTTCTTATAGCTCACATATGTTCAAGTCCTTTCTTATTTATATGTGGCAATCATAAGCAGAATTTCATGAATTAAGAAACCTAAGCGTGGGACATGGATTAAAGGATTTTTATGTTTGCTGCTGGAAATAGTGGCCTTGAAGGCCAGGTATTTTCCCCAGATGATCCATGAGGTATTATAATCTTCCCATGAATAGCTAGGTCTATTATAATAAAATATTTTGCAGAAATCTGAGGATGACCTAACCTCACCAGTTTCTCCCAAAATAAGCCATATTCCAACCAAAAATAAAGAGTATTTTTAGATCAGTGTAAAAGCAGCAGTCAATAAACTACGTTGGTGAGCAGACCATCCTACCAAGTTTCCTGACAAGTAATTTCTTGGACTTCTGAGGAGATGGATCTGAGCCAGTACTAGATTACCCAAAAGCAACACAAGTGTTTAGGCCCCCAACAAGGTGAGAACACTAAATGATGAGAAAATAACCTTTGTGAGAATTTGATACTTAATTTTTTATAAAAACTATTAAAATAATAACACGGAAAAAGAATAAAAGTTAAAGTATTTTTTACTATCTTGTACTTATCTGTACTTTCTATGCTTATTTCTAGTTTGTTATTATTTTTCTTTTAACTGGTGTTGGAGGGGAATATTCCTTATGGTGCTAGAGGCATTGCATAGTCATCTGGCAGCTCTGATCTGCTTACAGTCGTGAGACCTGAGAGGAAAATCCCTGACCTCTTGTTTCATAAACGTCCTCTTTCTTCCTGGACTCAGACGCCACCTCCATTTTGGGTCTTCCCAAGCCCTAACAGAGCAAGCAAAAATTTCAGTGATTCACTCCTGTTTTCTACTTCACATAAATTCAGTCCAAAACCATCTGAAGATAGAAACACAGCCTCCTTTTCTTGGTATAAGCAAAGGGTTAATGCTGACAAACGACGCGGTGAATGTGTCCCGTTCTGTGTGTGCTTGCACGTCTAGTCAGAACTGCTCTGCTCATGCTTGTTTCTCATATGACCTTTACAAGCAGCGAAGAAAGGCGTCCATTGTTTCCTTGCATCTCGTGGATTTAAAAACATAGTCCCCACAACAACTAAAAAGGCAAGTCAGGGAAGGAATGCCGAAAGCAAAAACAAAGTATTTCACCCCAGGAAAAGCCATATATAGTCAGTTATGAGATAGTGTTTGACTTAGAAATTGCACCCATATCTGTGAGATAGGTGGTGGACTGGATAGTTGTAAAATAAAGTTTGTATGCTCTCTTAGTCCCCACTCAGCTCCCTACAGTCTTCCTACAGTACTATGTAATTTTTATTTTTAAGCAAAAGATGGGGCTAAAAGTCAATCATGTGAGCCCACCTGACTGAATTGGTACCAAGGCGTAATTCTTTTCTATGATAAATAGACAGACAGATAGTAGAGAGAGATAATAGGTAAATAATAGATGACAGAGAAAATTAGATTAATATATATTATCTATAGTACTTATAGAGCTATATACATATGTAATATATAATTATATATTAAATATTAAATTATACATATGCTAATATATATTAAATTAATATAGCATATATTATAATATAAATTAGTATTATACATTAAGTTATATACATATATTGGCAACCACTGATGATAATTGCCTGGATCTGTTAATCCATTAAATGTTGCAAAGTGATAATACTTTAATTCTCATCTCTTTCCCATGTATTACCTAGACTCTGTCTCTAAGAGAAATTTCCCTTCATCAATTGTTTATTCTGAAGTACTTTTAGTATAGGGAAGGCAGGATAAATGCTTACTATTTCTTTTCTATTTACTATTCTTTAAAATAATGAATTGGTTCTTCAAGTCTTTCTAAGGTGACCAATGTGATGTTTTTTAGTACCATTAAAAGTCATGCATTTAAATATATTTCATGTATCATGATTCATTGACATCTTTTGTCCTTATTGTTGCTCAAAACTTAGCCAGTGGGAGCAACTTCAAAACGTTTCCTTTTCAGCATATCCTCTTACGTAGTCTTATAACTTCCTTGAGCGTCATTGCTTTCTGGTGTGACAAGATGCTCCAGACTATCCCTGTACATTTTCTATCCCAGAGTTAGAATCACCCATTTCTCTGGAGTCCTGGTTCTTTCTATGGGGAAATGGGACTTAAAGAACACAATCTGAATCCTACAGCTACTCATTGTCACTGGACTGGTGATGGGTTTTATTTCTTTGCATTAAAAAGATGGATTTTTTTAGTATGTAGGATATTTTTTGAGATAAAATATATCTCAGTTTACACTGCTGCCTTTTTACTCAACCTCCTTCATCTCATATTTGAATTTTCTTTTTTGCATGCCAAAAACTCTAGCTCTAAATGACACTCAGAATGTTTTTAAACTTGGGGTTTTATCAATCTGATAGTTAAGTACTATGTCAACATAATTTTAACTTGCACTTCTCTTACTATGCACGAGATTGTGTATCTGTTCACATGTCCAAGGGTATTTGCATTTCATTTTTTTGTGACTTGTGTCTATCTCTAGGTGATTTTTCTATAGAGTCATTGGTCTCTAAAAACCTCTCTGTCTTTAGAAGCTGTATTATATAAAAATATAACATTCTGTCCATTATAGAAATTGCAAATAATTTTTCCCATATTTGTCTCTCTTTTTGTTTTTTGCTTTTCTTATGATAGTTTTTTCAGTCATGTAAAATTTGTTTGTATACATATATTATCAAGTGTATCAACCTTTCCCATTGTTGCTTCTGCATTTTCAGTCATAGTTAGGAAAGTGCTTCACTATGTTTTTTCTGTTACTTATACAGTGTCATTGCTTACATTTAAATCTCTAATATATTTAAAGTTTATTTTGATGTGCAGTGTGAGGAATGGATCCAATTTTATCTTTGCAAAAGGTCATCCAGTTTTCCCAAAAACACTTTTCAAAAGTCCATCTCCTTTCTCCAGTAATTTGCATATGTAATTGAATCCATTTCTGGATTTTCTATCTTGATCCATTGGTCTGTTTATTCGTGTATGCAAACCATACTTTTTAAATTATAAGGCTTTATAATGTTTGCATTATCAATTTCCATTAGTATATTCTCCATTTTTGTTCTTTACCTGGCTATTCTTTCTTGTTTCTTATTCCAAATAAACTTTTTAGTCAACCTGTCTACTTGATTATAAAAAAAAATGGAATTTTTACTGGGATTGCATTACATTTATAAATTAATTTAAAGAGGATTGACAACTTTATTATGTTGAATTTTCCGATCCAAGAAGTATGCCTTTTCATGTGTTCAAGTTTGCTTTTGCAAACTAACACTTATTTTTCAGTAGAATATTCATGAATTCTCAAGGGAAGAATATTTTGAGTTTTTTTGCATAGTTATTACAGTTTATCTCTAACCTTTATAATGAAATAAGTTTGTCAGTTTGACAAGGTATGATATCTTTGACTGTTTCAACTCCTGACTTTGTTAAATGCATTATTGTATGGTCTGCTGCAGTAAAGTTGAAAAGTCTTATGTAATCTGATTCCCTTTCCTTTATCAGTGACTTCATTTTTTTGCCTGGTTGACCAAAGGATTGTTTCCTTTTCTTTAAAGTTCATAGTTTTAGTGAAAATATCTCTTGAGTCTTTTTTCCCAGGTTTGCAGTACTATCTTTCAATAGTTTCAAGTCAGGACATTTTTTTGTGAATCATAATTTCAAATACTTGTTCTATACCATGGCTTTGGTTCCTTTTTGGGGGACTCCCAATACACATGTGTTAATGTCCCTGCCTATTTTTATAGCTGTCACCTTCTCTTCCATCCTTTTAGTGTCTTCATTCACTTTATTTTTAAAAGTTTTTTCTTTGTTCTTTCTTCTATTTCTCTGAAGGTATCAATTTGCTCTTGGGTTTCCTCTAATTTAGAATTCAACACTGAACTTGATTTTTTTTTATTTTAAAATTATTTCCTAAGTTCTGCCATCTTTCTAAATCGTATTTTTCTCCAATCACCTCATTTATGACTTTTTCTAATTCTTATTCGTGTTGTTCTTTCATATCTATTATTTGCTTCTCAACTTCTTTTGGCCTGTTTTGAAATATTAGGTTGCAGTTTTTATTTGCCTTGTGGACTTATCTTTCTGGTGTGCCTTCATTGTAGGGACATTATTTTATTCATTTTCTCTTTTTGCTTATAATAACTTTACATGGTATTTTTAACTGTAATCCTTTTCTGTTGCTCATGTTAGGGTAAAATGAATATTCTTACACTTTTACAATGGTAGCAAGGACCTAACTTTATACTGGAAACACCTGCATCTGTTTGTTTTTTTAATGAAGGATTCAAAAACATGGCTTCATGCTCTCTGAGATCTGCTTTCTCTTCTCCTATACCTCATTCTTGGCTGGATTTTCTCTTTCCTTTGCTCCTGTTGTTCTCCTCCTCCTCAATATGAGTTCTAAATGAAGTCTCTCCTCAGTGCAGAGCTTTGTTCTGAAAGTGATCTGTAGTTGGTTAGTTTCAAGAGTTTCGACTCAGACAGCCACAGCATCATCAAACCTAATGATGGCCTCCTTGCAGTTACCTATGAATTGAGTCCTGTAAAGCGTCCTCAAAGAATCAGTTGTTCCTCTCAGAACACACCACAGAGCTTTCCAGTGAGTATCACTGATGATTTGGGGGTTCTCCACCACTCAAATCCATCGTAAGTCTCAGTTCCTTCTCTCTGCTTCTTGCAAAGTTTTAGTGATACCACACAAGTCTTTTTGCTATCAGAGTTTCATCCCCATATACACATGCATTAGGGTGTATGTTTTGTTGCTTTGTTGTAGATTTCATCTGTGCAGTTTTGGTTTTGCTACTCTGACTGTGTTCATTAGAGGATTCAGGAATAGTCGTAAGCTATAATGCCATTGTTGCCATCTTCCCAGAATTCTTATTTCCCTAATTTCTTAAGGAATAGAACTTGAAATAATTGTCATTTTCCTTCTATAAAGATTATATCTTATCATACATCTCTAGGACAGCCAAGGAATAATAAAAGCTTAGACGATAATAAACATTTAAATAAGACATGCTTTGCACCAGTACCTGCAAGAGCTGTGAGCTAATTTTCTAAATGTAATTTTTAACATTGTAGGTACTAAGACCTTCATGCTGTAAAGGTACAATGCATGCTACTGATACTAAATTCTTTAGTTCTCTGTATGCCCATTCTTTTTAATTGCTTTAGGTTTTCTCTAACTTTGCCAGCTCACCATTTTGTCATAGAATAGCAATTTCTTCTAGTATACAATGTGTGATAGTCTATTCAATCATTGGTAACAATTTTCCATCAATATAATAGATGGCCCAGATTCATTGTAGGATTAAATGAGTTCCTGTATATAATGTACTTAGAATAGTTAGTAGAAGTTATACCTCACATATGGTAAATACTACATAAACATTAGCTACTATGACTATGATTGTGTTTATCATTTGTATTGTTTTTACCAAGGGAATACATATTCTGTCCCTTTCCCATTTGACCTTCTATTATAGTTTTGATTAAGAGAGTGCATTATGTGTTACACAGAATATTACTTCTGTGGCCTATTAGGAGGCATTGCATTCCAAATGTGTTCTATTGTCAAAAAAAAAAAAAATAGAAAAACTCTAGATTAGAGGAAGGTAGGATTTCCGCAGTCCACTAGAGTTCTCAAACAGTGGATCTAAAGCACTTCTTCTCTGTCACCATGTTTATCCCACTTCTTCCTTTCTCCTCCTCCCCTGCCATGCTGCCCCAAGAATTATCAGCACTTGAAGTTTACTCTCAGATATAACACACCCAAGCATAGCATTCACCTCAGATGCAAATTCACACATAATGCTTTTTGCCTCAAAGGAAACAATGGATAGAAGGGACACAAAAGTAGATTTCTGGGTTGAGTTGTTTCTTAAAAAAATAGAATTTGGCTGGGCGTGGTGGCTCACGCCTATAATCCCAGCACTGTGGGAGGCCAAGGCAGGCGGATCGCCTGAGCTCAGGAGTTCGAGACCACTCTGGGCAACATGGTGAAATCCTGTCTCTAGTAAAATCCAAAAAAAAAAAAAAAAAAAAAAAAAAAAAATTAGCCAGGCATGGTGACATTTGCCTGTAGTTCCAGCTAATTGGGAGGCTGGGACATGAGAATCGCTTGATCCCTGGAGGCAGAGGTTACAGTGAGCCAAGATCGCACCACTGCACTCCAGCTTGGGCTACAGAGTAAGACTCCGTCTCAAAAAATAATAATAAAAATAAAAATAGAACTCACTTGTACCAATGTCTGTAATTTACTTCATATAATCAATGTACTATGATGTTTGACCAGTTAAAGCTTTAATTCTAAGGATGGTTAGCTGACATGATATCAAGAATGCATAGTTCATGGGTGGTCACCTATATTACATCAGAAAAGGCCATGCTCTGAAGTATGTATTACAAGTCCTTCAGATACCAGTACCTCAATCAACAAGCTTTGCTAATTAGCATCCTGAATGCTTTAAAAAAATGGGTTTTATTCATTAAACTAGTGACCAGCATGATGAATACTAAACTTGGCTTCAATGGTGACATTAGAAGTACCAAGACAGGGAAATGGGCCAAAACAGTTTAGAAGCACTCTTGAATGAATACAGTCGGAAAATCCAACAAATCCTGCACTTTGAATGATTAGGAATGATGCTTGATTTCAATCATTGGTTTAAGAGGAATTCTGATTTTATGGTGCCTATTGTAGGGTACAAAATCCTGACTCGAATATCACATCTGCTTGGAGTCAATCTTTCATATGAAATGTGGTTAGTATGCCAAAAAGAAAAGAGAGCTTAGACTTTATCAGACCTACAAACTATATGAACTATTTTGTACCCATTTGCTAATGAAAGGTAGTAAAATAAGTGCATGGGGGCAGAATCTCTTCTGAGATGTGTATTTTTACAGCTTAGTAGGATGTTTGTTGGGGAGTAGCTAATCCTAGCCACCTCAAATTTCTTTGGTAGCTACTGCTATCTACCAAAAAAAATAAACAAATAGGACTAAACACTAAGAGTTGTGCATTAATCGAAGTATCACTTTTGGAAATGGTTAATTGCCTGTCATTCAAGGAATTCAAGAAGACACCAAATATTGGCAGAGTTTTGATCACTAGAAGGGTATCAGCTGGACAGTTGCCAAAGTGCCTTTTTAAAATAAAACGGACATTATATTTTAGAGCAGTTTTAGATTTACAGAGTAATTGAAGGATAGTACAGAGAATTCCCATATAACCCACACCCGGTGTCATAGTCCATTTTGTGCTGCTGTCACAGAATAGCTGAGACTGAGTAATTTATAAAGAACATTTGGTAAAGGCCTTTTTGCTGCTTCATCACCTAGCAGATGGTGAGAAGGTGAGAGAGGGAGGGCGAGAGAGAGAGGGACCAAACGTACCCTTTTTTTCCACAAACCCACTCCCTCAATAACAAATTAATCCATTCATGAGGACAGACCCCTTACAGCCTAATCACCTCTCATTAAGCCCTACCTCCCAACACAGTTGGACTGAAAATTAAGTTTCCAACATGTGCTTTTTGGGGGATGCATTCAAACCATAGCACCCCGTTTCCTCTAGTGTTAACATTTTACATTAGCATGATATCTTTATTACAATTAATGAGCCAATATTAATATAGTACTATTACCCAAAGCCCATGGTTTATTTAGATTTCCTTAGTTTTTATCTACTGCCCTTCATCTGCATCAACATCCCAAACAGAATACCACATTACATTGAGTTATCTTGCCTCTTTGACTCACTCCTCTTTGCTATGGCAGTTTCTCAGAGATTTTCCTTGTTTTTGATGACCTTGACAATACTGAGGACTACTCATGAGTTATTTTGTAGAATACACCTCTACTGAAATTTGTATATTGTTTTCCTCAAGGTCAGACTGGGGTTACGGATTATTAGGAGGAAGTCCCCAGAAGTAAAAAGCTATTTTCATCCCATTATACCAATGGTACATACTGTCAACATGCATTATAACTGTCAACATTGGCCTCAACCACCTGACTGTTATAGTCTGACAGGTTTCTTAATTGTAAAATTACTCTTCCTTCCCCTTTCCTCATTTCCATACTGTACACTTTGGAAGGAAGTCACTACATTCAACTGAGAGCTAAGGAATGGAAGTTACACTACCCTCTTTGGGTAGGGGGAGTATCTACATAAATTATTTGGAATTATTCTCCATAAGGCCACAGCACATTTTAACTTGAGCTTTTATAATCTCATGAGCTAGCTTAGGAATCCCATCACCTCCACAGATATTCTTCCTGTTTTAAAATGACTTGCAATATTTTCTAATTTTCCTAAGTACTTTTCAGCACAAATCTAGATTCTGTATTTCACCAATTATCTCAACTGTCAGAAAATATATTACAAGGTCGAAGAAATGGCTAACATTTTAACATGCTTATCTGTTCTATTAGTGATTTTTTGAGTTTGAGAACAGCATCATTGCTAAAACATATACATGGAGTACCCCCTAAAGGCAATTCGATTCTGGGGAAAACAATTCTGTAACACTCTTATTTGCTACTGCAAAGCAATAGAAGCCATCCAAAAATATAAAAATAGAAAGAAATTAGCAAGTAGTATTTTCTTTTGTTTTTGTTTTAGGAATAAGAATTTAACTATGATAACTCTGTACATTTTCAGTACTTAAGAAGACAATAAACTACTCATTTGGAGGCAGAAACCCAGTATTTAACCCTAGAGACACAATCCTGTACAATAACGGGATGTTCTATAAATATCTTATCCTTCTTGCAACTACTGTGAGATGAAGGCTCTCCATGAGAGCAGTATGGGGGAGGTCAAATGTCAAAAGTCCAATCACAAATTCCCAAGGGAGAAGACAAGATCCCGTAGGGTTAGGAGTTTCCAGATGTTTGTTTCATGCCAAAATGACGCCAGAAGCAATGGAAGGAAGTCTGAATAAGCAAAAGAATGCTCATTTCAGAGAAATTATTATTTCAGACCTGAACATTAAATGTTCCCATTCCTTACTAGGAACCATAAGAAGGAAAGAGATCATGTCCTTTGTAGGGACATGGATGGAGTTGGAAGACATTATCCTCAGTAAACTAATGCAGAAGCAGAAAATCAAACACTGCATGTTCTCACAAGTGGGAGCTGAACGATGAGAACACATGGACACATGGTGGGGTTGGGGGACAACACACACTAGGGCCTGTCAGGGGAAGTAAGGAGGGGAAAGCATCAGGAAGAATAGCTAATGGATGCTGGGCTTAATACTTAGGTGATGGGTTGATCTGTGCACCAAACCACATGACACACGTTTACCCATGTAACAAAACTGCATGTCCTACACATGTACCTTGGAACTTAAAATAAAAGTTGAAGAAAAAAAACTTCCCATTTATCTGGAGAAGAGGCTAACAAAAAGTTAAAATAATTCTTTATATTTATATTCATGCGCAGATCAGGCATGCTAGCAGGCAGGGGGGAGTTGGATAAAGCTAGGTTAAAAAAGATAGTTATTGTGCTTTCCTTCACCATTGATTTAAGCACTTCTGGTCACCCTCTCTTCTAAAGTGAAGATAGGACAAACATTTGTAAAATAAATATTGAACAGCCTAGCCAAAAATGCAAAAAATTATGGTGTACTTGAACAATACTCAAGTGTGTGTGTGTGTGTGTGTGTGTGTGTGTTTATATTGGCAGTGAGTCTTTGCTGTCTGCTTTAAGTTCAGGTATGGCAGTTATGGTATTATAGTATCTTTATTTGTTAGCACTTCACAATTGAAAAAATTTTGACATTTATATATGTACATTGTTATCCTATGGATCATAAAAGGATGTTATTATTATTCCCCTTTCACAGATGAGAAGACATGCTCACTGAGTTGAAGTGATTGGCTCAAGGTTTCAGAATTAAAACCCCAGCTGAATAGGAACCCAGCTCTTTGAATTTCTGTCCCTGTAACTTTGCTACTATACTGCCCTGCTTTTCCTTGGTATGAGAATAAACTGAGCTTATCCTAGGCAAAAAGTATGGTCTTCATATGTTGAGATGCTGAACCTAGTTTATTAAAAGATGAATGGATATATTTGTATGTATTACGTACCCACACACACACACACACACACCTTCCTTTAATATATTATAAAATCTGCTTCCCAAAAACCATTAAAAATCATTGCCTTGGCCGGCGCGGTGGCTCACGCCTGTAATCCCAGCATTTTAGGAGGCTGAGGTGGTCGGATCACGAGGTCAGGAGCTCGAGACCAGCCTGAACAACACGGTGAAACCCTGTCTCTACTAAAAATACAAAAATTAGCCAGGCGTGGTGGTGGGTGCCTGTAATCCCAGCTACTCAGGAGGCTGAGGCAGGAGAATTGCTTGAAACCGGAAGGCAGAGGTTGCAGTGAGCCGAGATCACGCCATTGCACTCCAGCCTGGGCAAAAGAGCAAAACTCTGTCTCAAAAATAATAATAATAATAATAATTGCCTCTTCTTTATACCATCCCAATTTTGACAATGTTTACTTTAAGTAACTTATATTAAGAAAATGAAAGTTGTTATTTATTTTCAAATATAAATAATATAATATTAAAAATACTTTTTGAAAGACACACTATCCTCATATAGGTATTCTCATATAAACTAGGTATCCTCATATAATGTTATGACTTTTTGGAGGATGCTAAATTTCCTTTTCATTATTTCTACCAATGCACATAAATTTCCCTCTCCTGGCTAAGGAAAAATAAAATTGGAAGTAAGGCTACTTATCTGAACATGTACCTGGCATCTGTATTTAGTGTGAGACATTAAAAATAATGCCAAGAAATAAAAAACATTGCAAACCTTCTTTATTAAGGCTGATGAAAAGATCCTTAATCCACACACTTGCCTTCCAAAATATCTACAGTAAGAAATGTTTATAACATACAAAATTATGTTGGAAATTGAAGTCATTTTCCAGATAATTTAAATTCAAAGGCTTCCTTTCCCTCATTTTGTAGCATTTTGGCCCAAATTAGCCAGGTGTTTTGCCTTCATTCCGCACCTGACTTTGGAACCTGAAGAGCTCCTACCTCTGTAAGTGATGATGCATGTTGACACTGCACTCAGAACTACATTTCTGACTAAATCTACACAGACTTGCCTAGCATAGTTCCCTCCCTGAAAAGAACAATCTGTCAGTTTCTCCAGCTTTCTAACCCAGTCATCAGACAACTTCAAGGTGAAAAATACCTTATTAGATCATCTTGTCCCTAAACTTACAAGCATGAGAACACTTCCTATGGCCTATTCTCTGGTACTTTGTCTGACCCTACATGACTCAAACAGCAGATTTCATCTTGTCCTTGGGGACTCTGTTCTACAGCTTAATATACCTCACTGTCAACATTTGCTGTGCACCGCTGACATTTTTCACCATTTCTCATCCAGACTTTCTGTCCTACTCTCCTGATCATTTTTACATTTTCATTGTCCTCAGAGAGAAAATAATAACAGCTAGCAATCAATGACCACTCACTATGGAGCTAGCATTTTCAAAGTGCTTTAAATAAATTAATGTCTTTCATTCTCACAACAACTGTACTGGGTGGGTGAGTATAATTATTATACCCAGTTTATAGATAGTGAAGTTGAGACATAGGAGGATTAAGGCAGTACAACTGGCAAGAGACTGAGTCAGGACTTGGAGTCCACAGCCCAGCTCCAGAGGGTATGCTGAAACCACCATTCTGAACTGCTCCAGCAGGCTCCATTGTCTGTTTGGCTCAAGTGAACCCCAAAGGTGTAGGTTTCCTCATAAATGAATTATTTTATCATCTTCTATTGCAGGGAAGCTGAGGATCACCCTCCAGTTCATTCTACTATCCCATAATTAAAAGACTGGTCTTGTTAACTGAATCCTCTTTATCCACGCCATAAGTTTATTTATTATTATTATTATTATTATTATTATTATTATACTTTAAGTTTTAGGGTACATGTGTACAATGTGCAGGTTAGTTACATATGTATACATGTGCCATGCTGGTGTGCTGCACCCATTAACTCGTCATTTAACATTAGGTGTATCGTCTCATGCTATCCCTCCCCCCTCCCCCCACCCCACAACAGGCCCTGGTGTGTGATGTTCCCCTTCCTGTGTCCATGTGTTCTCATTGTTCAATTCCCACCTATGAGTGAGAATATGCGGTGTTTGGTTTTTTGTCCTTGCCATAGTTTGCTGAGAATGATGGTTTCCAGCTTCATCCATGTCCCTACAAAGGACATGAACTCATCATTTTTTATGGCTGCATAGTATTCCATGGTGTATATGTGCCACATTTTCTTAATCCAGTCTGTCATTGTTGGACATTTGGCATGGTTCCAAGTCTTTGCTATTGTGAATAGTGCCGCAATAAACATATGTGAGCATGTGTCTTTATAGCAGCATGATTTATAGTCCTTTGGGTATATACCCAGTAATGGGATGGCTGGGTCAAATGGTATTTCTAGTCCTAGATCCCTGAGGAATCGCCACACTGACTTCCACAATGGTTGAACTAGTTTACAGTCCCACCAACAGTGTAAAAGTGTTCCTATTTCTCCACATCCTCTCCAGCACCTGTTGTTTCCTGACTTTTTAATGAGCACCATTCTAACTGGTGTGAGATGGTATCTCATTGTGGTTTTGATTTGCATTTCTCTGATGGCCAGTGATGATGAGCATTTTTTCATGTGTCTTTTGGCTGCATAAAAGTCTTCTTTTGAGAAGTGTCTGTTCATATCCTTTGCCCACTTTTTGATGGGGTTGTTTGTTTTTTTCTTGTAAATTTGTTTGAGTTCATTGTAGATTCTGGATATTAGCCCTTTGTCAGATGAGTATGAGTAGGTTGCGAAAATTTTCTCCCATTTTGTAGGTTGCCTGTTCACTCTGATGGTAGTTTCTTTTGCTGTGCAGAAGCTCTTTAGTTTGATTAGATCCCATTTGTCCATTTTGTCTTTTGTTGCCATTGCTTTTGGTGTTTAGACATGAAGTCCTTGCCCATGCCTATGTCCTGAATGGTAATGCCTAGGTTTTCTTCTAGGGTTTTTATGGTTTTAGGTCTAACGTTTAAGTCTTTAATCCATCTTGAATTAATTTTTGTATCAGGTGTAAGGAAGGGATCCAGTTTCAGCTTTCTACATATGGCTAGCCAGTTTTCCCAGCACCATTTATTAAATAGGGAATCCCTTCCCCATTGCTTGTTTTTCTCAGGTTTGTCAAAGATCAGATAGTTGTAGATATATGGCATTATTTCTGAGGGCTCTGTTCTGTTCCATTGATCTATATTTCTGTTTTGGTACCAGTACCATGCTGGACCAGATGGATTTACAGCCGAATTCTACCAGAGGTACAAGGAGGAACTGGTACCATTCCTTCTGAAACTATTCCAATCAATAGAAAAAGAGGGAATCCTCCCTAACTCATTTTATGAGGCCAGCATCATCCTGATACCAAAGCCTGGTAGAGACACAACCAAAAAAGAGAATTTTAGACCAATATCCTTGATGAACATTGATGCAAAAATCCTCAATAAAATACTGGCAAAACGAATCCAGCAGCACATCAAAAAGCTTATCCACCATGATCAAGTGGGTTTCATCCCTGGGATGCAAGGCTGGTTCAATATATGCAAATCAATAAACGTAATCCAGCATATAAACAGAACCAAAGACAAAAACCACATGATTATCTCAATAGATGCAGAAAAGGCCTTTGACAAAATTCAACAACTCTTCATGCTAAAAACTCTCAATAAATTAGGTATTGATGGGACGTATCTCAAAATAATAAGAGCTATCTATGACAAACCCACAGCCAATATCATACTGAATGGGCAAAAACTGGAAGCATTCCCTTTGAAAACTGGCACAAGACAGGGATGCCCTCTCTCACCACTCCTATTCAACATAGTGTGGGAAGTTCTGGCCAGGGCAATGAGGCAGGAGAAGGAAATAAAGGGTATTCAATTAGGAAAAGAGGAAGTCAAATTGTCCCTGTTTGCAGACGACATGATTGTGTATCTAGAAAACCCCATTGTCTCAGCCCAAAATCTCCTTAAGCTGATAAGCAACTTCAGCAAAGTCTCAGGATACAAAATCAATGTACAAAAATCACAAGCATTCTTATACACCAATAACAGACAAACAGAGAGCCAAATCATGAGTGAACTCCCATTCACAACTGCTCCAAAGAGAATAAAATACCTAGGAATCCAACTTACAAGGGATGAGAAGGACCTCTTCAAGGAGAACTACAAACCACTGCTCAATGAAATAAGAGGATACAAACAAATGGAAGAACATTCCATGCTCACGGGTAGGAAGAATCAATATCGTGAAAATGCTCATACTGCCCAAGGTAATTTATAGATTCAATGCCATCCCCATCAAGCTACCAATGACTTTCTTCACAGAATTGGAAAAAACTACTTTAAAGTTCATATGGAACCAAAAAAGAGCCCGCATCGCCAAGTCAACCCTAAGCCAAAAGAACAAAAGAACAAAACTGGAGGCATCACGCTACCTGACTTCAAACTATACTACAAGGCTATAGTAACCATAAGTTTAAAATCTGGTCTTCTGAGCCTAATTTTCAGAAAGAGCACTTTAAAAACAATAATAATAAAATAACTATATTTCTTTATCTGAATTCCTCAAGAAAATAACCTGATAGACCCCTTGGCCACTGTGATTGTTTTACCGAAGCCTATCAAAGCCAAAACAGACCTTTAGTTTTCATACTAAGCCTTATTTTTAATAATTTTATTTCAAATTAATTTTACTTCAGTGGTCTCCATTGTCTCTCATTCCTAGTTTCTCATATTAATAATAATAATAGCTATCATCAAGTGAAACTTAAAATAATCCAGGCATCCTTCCAAATGTTTTGCAGGGATTTTAAACTCTACCTATGAAGTAGCTACTATTATCATAAAAATATGCAGTTATATCTATAAACTGAGGCACAGAAGGGTCAAACAACCTGACAGAGCTAGTAAGAGGCAGACCATCATCTTCTGTATTAATACTTGGGATTCCACCATCATACTTCTCACTAACTCTATTTTCTAAAGCAGAGATAGTAGGACTCACCAAATGTTCCATATGCTCCTCTGTACTTCTCAGGTGCCTTGCAGTAGGCAGGGCCATGTGACTGGTTCTGATCAATAACATATGAGTGAAAGTGATATGTGAAAATAAGCACTGTTATGCCAAAGCATCCCTGTGTTGAGAGGGTGACATCATATGCTGGAGGGAGCCTGGATCCCAGAGTCTCTGCCTAGAGAAGAATTGCTCTAGAAGATTGCCTGACCTGCATTGGACTTTGTGTAGCAAGAAATTAGCTTTTATCGTATTAAATCATGGAACGTGGGCATTTATCTTATTAGTGTTAAGTGAGGTATATTAGCTGTATATTGTACACTATACATTGACTCTAATACATTGATCTTCTTCTTCCTCCTATTTCCCTGCTGGCTATAATCATGTATCAGGACTTTTGATTATCATAATCTAATTTTATTAGGAAGAAAGTGATTTAAAGGATTTCTAAATTTACTAGTAATCAATAGGACCATTGATTTCAGGCAAATAGAAGAAAATTTTTAAAATATTGTTCTTATACACGGATAGTAATACTTCTAGGGATAATTAATCTCTAACTCTTGTTAATATTATTTTATTAACCAACCCATAAAAACCTTCCAAAAATTAACACATCATGTTCAAAATTTCAATATACTTATTCAACAATCACAGTTTAAGCACTGGCCATAGACAAAAATGAATGAACTTATTAGCACTGTTTTGAACTGAACTGAATGAACTTATTAGCACTAGTAAGTTCTGATTTGAACTTAGTCAAAACAGAAAGAACAGTCAAGGACAGAGAAAAACATGGGGTAGAATTTTGCTTAACTGAATTACAGAGTGCAGAAGTACTATACAGCCAAATGAAGAGGCGCTTGCATGTTGACTAGGGAATTTGGACCTTTTCCTATAAACAGTGAAGGTTTTTGAGTAGAAGAGTATAAGAGTCGTGCTTCAAAAAAGCCCTAATCCGACAGCTAAGCGTAAAATGAATCAGGCAGAAAGACTGGAGGCCGAGATCACAGTGATTGACAGTCTGAGATCAGGGACAGCGGAGTGGTGAGAGGAGCAGAGGGCTTGGAGAAATATTACAGAATGAAATCAACAGGGTTTCCATGTACATTTGGACTCGGGTGACAGAGTGAAAGAGAAGAAGCAAAGAGATTTTCCTTTGAGATTTAGAACCTGGAAAACTGACAGGATGTTGGTTCCATGAATACACAAAGGAAACACGTGTGTATTCCATGAATACACAAAGGAAGCAAACCGGAAAGAAAAAAAATGATGTATTCAGTTTTATCAAGTTATTTGATGTATATTTTAACACTGTGTCTCTCCAGAAAGTTAAAAAGCTTCTTTCAGAGATGTCAGAGATGTTGTGTCTGTCGATTTTCTCTCTTCCTGGAATTGTCCTTATCTTCTGCTCTGAAAAGCCCTTTCATCAGGAAAGGCCTAACTCCAGTGACAACTCCTCCTCTGCAAGCCCTTTCCTCCCCAGTACTTACTGTCAGGACCCCTCCTACTGGCTCGTAACCATACACACACCACTGTTGTTAATATTATTTTATTAACCAACTCATAAAAACCTTCCAAAAATTAACACGTCATGTTCAAAACTTCAATATACTTATTCAACAATCGTGGTTTAGGCACTGACCATAGGCGATAATGAATGAACTTATTAGCACTGTTTTGAACTGAACTGAATGAACTCATTAGCACTAATAGGTTCTGTTTTGAACTTAGTCGAAACAGAAAGAAGAGTCAAGGACAGAGGAAAACATGGGGTAGAATTTTGCTTAACTGAATTACAGAGTGCAATTAGATTGCAAATCTCTAGAAAACAGAAAGACGTATGCTTCCCTATGTGCTTTGGCATCATCATAATTGTATAATGAATGTGTTCATTAAGAGAGAACTAGCCTGTTGCTATATGGGGAAGGCATTGCTTATTATTCATATGTTTGTACTATGGCATTCTCATGCTTGTTAAAATACATACTCAATATTTGACAAATATTAAAGTTTAAGCACTGTTAGCATAGTTCTACCATATGTAATTTGTTCCAATTATTGGAAAATACCATGAGAAGAAATGTAAAAGATTAATACAAAACAGGTGGCCGCTCCCTTGTTGACCAAGATGCCGCCATGAACTCTACTCATGGATTTCAATAACTGAGAGTAAGGAATGGCCATCAAACACTAGGTTTTACAGATTGCAAGACAGACACTCAGAGAGAACTTTCTTTAAAGCTTCAGCAGTACCAGAAAGAAAACTTTTCTGCTTCTCACACCCAGATCTGTGGTCCCTTCCTTCTGAACTTTCTAAAATGCATGCATTACCCAAGAGATCATATGAAGCATATCTCATGTAATCTGAAACTTGAGGTAGATAAATTTATCTTCCCTCTCCTCAGCTATAAAACTGAAATACAAAAGTGAAATAAGCAATCTGAATAAGTATTAAAAGCAAAGTTGCTTTGGGACCCCATGCCAATTTTTCTCTGAGACAGGGCTCAGATTCACCACTTCTTTCCCAAACCATCAGGCTCAGAGCCCATTTTTAAATTCACTCAGAAGAGCCAAAGGGTTAAGAGATGATCCAGAAAGCATAATGTGGCATGTCAAATCACTCTATTTCCAATTGAAACGCAGTGTTTATTATTTAGACTTCCTTTCCCCTTCCTGCCCTCTTTCCCCCAACCAGAAAGGCACTCCTTTTTTTTATTAAAAAGCAATACATTCCGATCCTAATTTAATCATGCAACTAACATGAAAATGAACTCAATGAATAAAATTGTCACGAGGGGTAAATGATAGGATTCTCTCTTAGCCAAGTGTTCTGCCTAAAATTAGACTGCCTTTCACGATTTACTGCTGTTACTAAGTGAACGTCCTTTTGACAATAAAGCAGTGCTTCTTGGATGGAGAGTGCTCCGGAGCCCAAGCTAAAGTACTCAGTGATGGACGACTTTGATGGGCTCCAGGGACCTCACCATTTCAATGCTATAACCTGTTCTTTGTTCGCCAGATGAAGACACTCAAGAAGGGATATGCAGTTCAAGACCAGCACTTGGAGAAGGGCGCGTGTAAGGACGTAGAGTACCTTGTTTCTGCCATGCTAACATGATGAATTACAGTGTATTAAGAAAGTGTTGACACATGTGGGAATAAGTTCTTGACAGGCTTGCCAGTAATTAAGGCACATTGTATGTAAAAGTCACTACAAAACACTGCAGTCTGGTTCTTTGTTCAGGGTCCTCTGCCAAGTGGTGTTATTCATAAGCTTGATGGAAAATACTTGTATCTACAAAATCTCTGTGGTTCACAGGATGATGAGGGCAAAAAGGAGAAAGCTTGGGCTTTATGACAGCTTTCAGTGTTCCTGCCGCTAGATAGATACGGTAATGATTTTCCTACTGCTCCAGAGGGCTGTCGATTTGAAAAGATAAATCACCAGAGAAGTATGGGGGCATAACAGGACATAGGAGATGTTCGGGAGAGGCAGAACTGTTTCTGCTCCCATGCAATGCCTGATCATTTATCCTTAATACTGCCACCTTTAAAGTTCGATGGAAAAACCAAGAAGTGCATAATAAAGCAGTATTTGTGTCACATTCCTTAAGCCCACCTGGCCCCTCATCCTTGGCTACTGCCAAGAGACTGGGCTTCCTATTTGTGATAATAACAAAGTGGACCCAGAGCTGACAAGCCCACAGCCCACGCCAGGCTTCAGACTGGAGCCAGCAGACGTTGTCCAAGGCCGTCCCGCTTTGCTTCCAACTATCTGCATAGTCTCATTCTTTAGCCCAGCGCAGACCTCAGGACCAAGCTCCCAGCCAGGAGCCCTAAGGAAAGACGTATCTGAGTTACCTCTCCTGCTGTCCAACAAGATTTAGGACATATATGATTTACAAGGGCTGTACTATATGTCATCTGGCACTTTTAAACCTTATTTTCCTAATAAATTGTTTTATTGAGTGATAAGAAACAGAATTGACATCCAAGCCAGGTGTAATGGAAATTCTTGGAGTTGCACATCACTAGGAACCAAACTAAACCTCTTGTTCCCTAAGAAGAGTTGAACTGAAAAGTTCTTGTAAACAACAGCCTCATACTGAGTAATTTTCACTGGAGAGCTATTATCCCAAATTGCATCTCAGTGAAGGACAGATATTCAGACTGGACACCCTACACTCAAACGGCCAAAAAGACAGACTGAAGGTAGGGATGAGCTTTCACTGGTCTCAGCTTATCCTGCCAAAGGGACCGATGGCTTCCACTTCATTTATTTGCTGCTGAAATGAG
Source organism: Homo sapiens (assembly GCF_000001405.40). Taxonomy (NCBI): domain Eukaryota; kingdom Metazoa; phylum Chordata; class Mammalia; order Primates; family Hominidae; genus Homo; species Homo sapiens. The sequence continues at coordinate 50,466,186 of NC_000013.11, read as the reverse complement.
TCAAAATGTCAGAACTCTCTAAGACATACACGGTGAGCCTCTGACAATGGTTCTGGACCACACTGCACTTTAGAATCACCTGCAGAGCGTTCAAAATGTATACCAGTACCAAGGAGATAATTTTAAAGCTTCCTGGATGATTCTAACATCCAGGCAGAGTGGAGGGCCACTGGCCTAGGGGAATCTAAAGGTCCTATAAACGACAGTGACAACAGATACTCCACAAAGAGGCCTTTCCAATGCAAAGTGGACGTTTGTCACAGAATTGCCACACTGTGCTCAAGTGACCTGCCATTCACTGTATTCACAACCACTTTCTTCTCTTCAAGAAAAAATGATTCATTGATTTTGTATATAAAATTATAAAAATAAATTAATAAAAATATTTCATGTTCAATATAATTTGGAAAATAAAATGTAAAGAAAAATATAAAACCCCCAATCCCACCAATCAGATATGTGACTTTAACTATTTAAAGTATTTGTTTTGAATGTTGTTTTTTTCCCTATATATGATAGTCTGCACATGCATTTTGTTGATAAAATATTGGTATCATACGGGGTCATACAGGAACAGCTTACTTATATCATTGGGATTAATTTGTTCCTTGAAAGTTAAAAAGAATTTATCCATAGAACTATATAGTTTTGAAGCCTTTTGGGTATAAATCTTTGACATTAATTATTTTCATGATTCTATTTGTGGATAATTTTTTTTACTTTTAGAATCAATCTTGATAATTTATAATTTTCTACGTAGAAGGTCCATTTATTTGAAAATTTCCATTTTTATTGACCAGGAATTAAACACAGTATTTCCTTATAACCCTTGCTATGTTCTCATATGAGTTATTCTCAACAGGAGGAGGCAGGCAGTATTGAGAGAAATGGTAGCTCATCATTTCCTGGAGGGTATTTTTAGAGCACATACCCCGACATTCTGCTAATGTCCCCGGTTCACCCCACTCCCACCACCATCTGCCCCTGCAATTGTTGAAAATCACTGAAGTGGAATGAGAGCAACTACTGAGGGGCACACATTACACATGTGAATGGCATAAAGTCATTAAGAAAATGTTGAGAACCACCACACAAGGGTCTCCTACTCCAGCCCCTCTTCTAATGGGAGAGCCTCAACATCACTGGGATAGTATGACTGTCATCTGCTTTACCCAATAAGAAGCATGACTTGAACAAACACACATTATGCACATGGTCATTTGGGGCTAACGGTGCTTAGATTCAGTGTGGAATAGACCATCCAAACTCATCAATCCTACACATGTTCCTGCTATAAACAATTGGGCTTCACAATTAGATCCAATTACTTTTCAATTCCAAGAACTCAATCACCTCTGTCATAAGATGTTCATTACATCTGAATTTTTATTTTTGCTTTCTTGGCAATTTACAATCCTTTTTAACGTTGGCCCTGCGGAACACATGGAGAGCTTCCAGACCTGTAAAAAGAACTAGGCGTCTTTCTGGACAGCTCGATGAAGATGTATGCTCAATGTGCAGCGGTAGTCCAAGAAAAAAACCAATAGAAGTTAGAGGGATTTGGGAAAATATGGGATATATTATTCTGTTTCATAAATCATTCATGGTTTATCTTTATCATTTAGGGTCACTCTCTCCCAAAAGGAAAAAATTCCACAAAAGAGCCATAAAAAGGGAGCAAGACATGGTACAGATTTTCACATACAGAGAGATGGGAAAGCGCAGGACTTTGTTTTATGAAAAAGAGGGCAATAACTCAGAGTAGTTACAGAATGTGAAATAATGTGCCGAAGTGTAAGAAAATGAATTAAACAAATGAATGAATGAAAGTTCGGCATGCTATACAAAGTAACCAACTCACTTAAAACCTACATAGCCACAATTATAACAATGATTCAGAAACTAACCCAATTTTTATGAACTGACCCAGATTACTACAGCATTTATTTAAATTGAATTCAAGACAACAATTTTTGATATAAAATCATATAAAACTCCAAGTCCTAAAAGACTAGCAAAACAAATTGCTGTCTGACTTTTTTTCTGTACTACAAAAACTACCAACCTCTAATTTAAATGTTATCAGCTATACTTTAAGAAATTATGCAAATAGACCAAATTAAGTAGTTTCGGATGAAATACGGTCCTACATAAACAAAGGACCACCATGAAAATGTCATTTTCCTGGAGGACTCAACTCAGTACATTAAATGAAATCTAAAAATCATACAATAAAAAAGCAGCTTTGTTAAAACAAGACTCTCTGGGAAACACTTAATAAAGATGATTAACTTCCTACTTGGAACAACTGAAGAATGAAAGCTTTGGCACATTTATGAGGGTAATGATGAGCGGCCTCACATAAATGCAGTACACACAGCACTGGGGATAATGTACCCTTCCTTATTTTTACATTCCACTTAGCCTATAAATGAGTTAAGAACATAACTACATGTGTCACAGACACAAAGATTAAAAAGTTAAGACTAAGTCTTTATGAGAAATGCACCAGCAACAGACAACCATCCCTACCGCTATCCTTTAAAAGCAAGCTGAAAACTTCTTGGGGGAGAAAACAGTATGAAGACTTAGGCCCTAAGAGCGAGAGGACCAACGGAAAGACTGATTTGAGTTAATAATGCTTCCAGAAGTATCAAACCAAGACCATAGGTCTTCCAAGGTTCCAGTATTATTCAAACAGTAATTTTTTCCTATCTCTTTACAGTATCCTCTTAATCCTTAGATTGCATACCTAGCAACTAACAAGTAGTCTAATAATTAAGTGCATAGGGTAGCACAGTGGTTAGCACATTGGATTTGACATTAAACGAACCTAGTATGAGTCTCAATCGTGCCACTAACTAGCATGCCACCTCAGCTGGGCTCCTCAGCCTCTCTGAGTGTCAGTTTCCTCATCGGTAAAGTGACAGCAGCAACACCCTAGATCATGGGCCTTTTGGGGAGATTAAATGAGAGGTAAAGTGCTTTGAACAGTGCTTCTCCAAAGGCAAGAACTCTATAATGTTAGAAAAACTGCAGCAACTGCCTACATTATGCGAAAACGTAGACTTGTATGAGCTGTACGAACCTTCCTAAAAAGCATTTTGACAATGTGCTTCAAAAGTCTCAATAGTGTTAATACAATATCCAGCAGAAATGTCACCTCTAGGAATACAGCCTAGGAAAACAGATGTTCACGTGTATAGAAATGTTCATTGCATTAATGGTTTTTATTTTAACTTCTCATTTTCAGATAATTGTAGATTCACATGCAGTTGTATGAAATAATACAAAGAGATCCTATGGACTCTTTCCCAAATTATTCCCTAATGGAAATAACTTACAAAACTACGATACAATATATACCCAGGATACTGACATTGATACAGTCAAGATGCAGAATATTCCCATCATCATAGGCTCCCCCGTGGTGCCCTTTTATAGCCACTCCCACTCCCTTCCTGCCCCCACTCCCTGAGTAATCCCTGGCAATCACTAATCTGGTCTTCATTTCAATAATGTTGTCATTTCAAGAATGTTATGTACATGGACTCATACAGTATGCAATCTTTTAGATTGGCTTTTTATACTCCATATAATTCCCTGAGGATCCATCCAAGTTGTTGTGTGTATCAATAGTTCGTTCCTTTTTATTGCTGAATAATAGTCCCTGGTATGCCATGTACCACAGTTTAATCATTCACCCATTGAAGGGCATCTAGGTTGCTTCCAATTTGGGGTTATTACATATAAAGCTGTTGTGAACATTCATGTATATGTTTTTGTGTAAGTATGAGTTTTTCTTTCTCTCAGAGGATGCCCAAGAGCTCAATTGCTGGATTGTATGGCAGTGCATATTTAGTTTTCTTAAGAAGCTACCAAAATGTTTTCCAGAGCAGCTATACCATTTTACATTCCCACCAGCAATGCATGAGTGATCCATTGCATTACTTTAAACACCAAAACCAGTAAACCACCTCGATTTCCACTGACAAAAACAAATTATGCTACAGCCTTGGCATAGACCATTAGTCAGCTATTTAAATTTGTACATTTAATGGAAGAAAATGCTTACCATTTTATGTTGTTTAAAAATTCAAATATAAGTATGAATAAATATAACTATATAAATACATATATTGTGTATATATGCACATATACACATATATATTGTGTATATGTGCACATATACACATATACACACAGAACTAGAAAGCTAATGAAAACATAACAGGGCTAACTCTGAGAAACATAAGTTAAAAGTTTTTTAGTACTTACTATCCGGATTTTCTGTATTAACTATGTGCCACTTTTATAATTTAAAAATGTCAATTAAATTTGGATTGTCCCACCAAATCAATATCTTTTCTTTAAAAATTAGCTCCCTAATATTCTGCAGTATAATGTGTCATTATTTATTCAGTCTATGCCCTGATTATAAACATTGATAATTTTTCTACTTTTTGCTGCTTCAAACAATGCAATAATAAGCATCTTTGAATACATATTTTTACACCCTACTGGTTTCATGTAGGAGAGATTCTTAAAAGGCAGAATGGGTCAAAGAACATGATAAATTTTTCACTTTAATCTGCTGGATAAGTACTTTCTTAAAAGAGGACATTTCACATTCCCAAGAGCAATTTATGAGAGCTATTTTCCCCACAGTCTTTTTACTTCTTGTTATAAATCTTTTACATTCTGGCAAATAAAATCCATGAAAATGATAGCTTATTTCTGCTTTAATTCACATTTCCATCACAATTGGTAACGTTTGCACCTTTTCATGTGTTTATTGCCTGTCTGATTTCCTCTTCTACTACCTGTTGATATCCGCTGTCCAATTTGAAACTGGACATGAGTTTTTAATTTTTCTTATCAGTTTGTAGAGTTCTTAAAAATATATAAGAACATTAAGTCATTGATGTCACATGTATTAAAAATATTTTCTCCTTACGTGATTGGTTTTCATCTTTGTTTACTGTGTCTTTTTCCAAGCAAAAGTCTTTATTTATTTCTTTTTATATTGTCAAATTTGTCAATCTCCTTGGCTTCTGGGTTTCTTGTCTTGTTTAGAAGTTCACCTCAAGGTTATAAAAAGAATGACCTAGGTTGCCTTCTATTATGGTTAATGTCTTATATTTAAGTCCTTAAATTTGTTTTATTTTTATGTAATAGTCTTTGTATAGGATGCATGGTAAGAATCTACACAGATGGGAAGGAAAGGAATTATTTCCTTACCAATTTAAAATGACAAATTCCCATATGAATTTGTAATTACTCCTGGACTCTCTATTATGATTTATTTTTTGTGCTGATGCCATACTATTATGATTAATTAGCTTTATAATAAGTTTAATATCTAAGAAGTCAATTTTCAAAATGGTCTTAGAATTACAATCACACTTTTTTGTCTATGTGAACCTTAAAATCAGTTATACCCATGATACATTAAGTGAAAACATCAAGTTATTGAACAGCATATATAGTATGATCTTATGATCATTAAAAAAAAATAGCAAACACCGTGGAGGAAGGAGGGCAATGGTGTGCATGTGTATGTTTGCATTAGTTTGTATGTGTGTAAAGAAAAGTCCAGAAGAACACAAACCAAGCTGTCAACAAGGGTTACTCCAGAAGGATGAGATTAGGAGGAGTAGAGATAAGCCCTCTCACTCACCCCACCCTGTCATTTGGTTGCCTTGTGGTTTGGCTTGCTACAAATATGCTGGTTGGGGAAGAAAAAAAAAAGTCCAATTAAATATTTTAAGTAAATAAAATATAATTTTATTATTAGATCTGGAAGAGACCTTAGAATTTATTTCTTCCAACTCCTACTCAAATAGGAATCTCCTCGGCAATATCTCTGCCAGATGGTCTTCCAGACTGTTTGAAAACTTCAAGAGACAAGGAGTTCTCTTATTTTTGCTCAGCTGCCTGCTCTGTCATTGGAGAGCTCTAACTATTAGGAGTCTCTTTCTTATATTTTTCCTAAATATATCAGTTTCTAATATCCACCCAGATACTGGGGCTGCCTTCCAGAGCAACAAAGTATAAAGGGACTTTTTTTTTTTTTTTTTTTTACAGTTTTCAACACATTTAATTGTATGCCCCACCATGAGCTAGGCCAATACTTCAACTGCAATATTATTATTAATTATTAGTCATGTTTTTAGAGTGTATCATTTATTAATAGTAGTCATTGTGCTACATATTTTACATGGACTTACTTATTGAATTCTCAGAACAACCCAGTGATGTGGCTATTGTTACTATCCCCATTTTACAGATGAGGAAAGTAAACCAGAGAGGTTAATGAATTTGCCTGAAATCATTTCACTATGCAGTGATAGCACTAGGACTCAATTCTAAGTCTGTCTAGCTCCAAAGACTACATCCTCACTACTACACTTCATTCCACTGCTCCCTTATGTGTCTGCAGTAAGCTGGTAGGCCAGAGACTGGCTGGTCTGGGTTGGCCTCAGCTGAGATGACTTGTTTCTGTTCTGTGTGGTCTCTCATCCTCCAGCAGGCTAGCCCAGGCTTGTTCTTATGGTAGGGTTCCAAAAGACAAGGTGGATGTACCCAAGGCCCCTTAAGGCCTAGGCTTAGAAATGACCCCCACCCCCATCACTTCCATTGCATTCTGTTAGCTAAGGCGAACCACAGGCCAGCCACATCCAAAAAGGTAAAGAACAGATTCTCAACTGGAGGGGCAACAAAATCACACTGCAAAGGTAAGAATATAGGGAGGCCTTTAACTGGGGCCACTGATGCAATCAATTTACCAGAATTAGATTTACCCAAAGCAGAAATGTATGTCAAAGAAAGACAAGGGCTTGGAACCAATGGACAACATTTGACCCTGTAGGTACATGGAAGAATCCATTGCCTTCTGAGTCAATGTGAAATAATGCCATCATCCCTCCCCCCTCAGGGTGGTAGGGTGTGTCATCAGCTGTCACTTGGTCAGTGGCTGTGCCACGCTTTTTAAATACTGGCATTTTTTATTATCATTATTATTGGTGGACACAAGGTCTCAGTTGATTCATAGGCAGCGTTTAGTAAAAATACTCTGGCAACAAATGCTTTAATTAGCACCACTATCTCTAAAGCATAGGACTGGCCCTAAGAGGTGAAAACTGGCCTGTTTGCACATGGATAAAGGCCCTACGCCCTCTAGACAGATCCACTGTTGAAACCTCTATTTTCTATGTGTTCTATTCTATGTAAAATTTGTATGTTTTTCTAAGGTTCAGCTGGACATGACTTTCACATGATCATTCCAGAAATAAACAGACAAGGATTTAGTGACTCTGTCAAAGCATGTTGTTTTGTTAACTTATAAATGTTGACACTGACTGTTGACAGGTAGTTAGGAACTGTTTATAAGAATTGTAGGCAAAAAAAATTGTAGGCATTTTCAAGTGTGTATTTACTCAACCTTTAAAAAATTAAACTTAGACTTTCTATAATGTGTAGGAACACATCTATTTTGAACTTAATATGACACATAAACGTGTTTATAAGAATTGTATTCCTTTCTGAAAAGTTGTTTTAATCCCAGTCAAAGAATTTTTATGTGTTTTGGAGCAAGTATTTATTTAATCAAAGGTTTAAAAGTTTTAAGAAGTATCAAAATGGCTGAACCATGTGAAGGAATTCTGAGAAACCATGGATGAGATGCTAATGAAATATTGGAGAAGAAGTTCAATAAATCCCAAGACTAAAATAAAATTCTAGGATGATAAAGACAGTGAAGGAACATTTGAGAAAAAGAAGAACACTTGGAAAGAAGAGGAAAAACCATAGATAAAATCAAAGAGAAATACCCAAAGCAAATAATTTTTTGGAGAAGTACTTCAAAGAAAATATATGAGTTAAAATATGCACAAGACAATGCAGATAATGTCAACAAGAGTTATACACATAAAATAAATACAGTCACATTCTGTTAATAATTGCTAAGAGCTGATAGATGACAGTACATTATGTCAGAGATGGCTAGCATACAACAATGTGAGATGATCACATGCTACTACTTATTAATCTGAGGGTTATAAATCATCTTACATGAGTTAGGAAATTCTTATATCAGCTCAGCTGATGTTGTGGCATCTTCCATAAAGCCAGGAAAATAGGACTGGGGCATGGACCCAGTCACAGGGCACATTAATAGCATACCTGAAAGAAGACCAAAATCTTAACCCATAAACTTCTTTCCTACTCTTGGTTCCACTTCCCCAAAGCAATCCCTTGAGATGGTAGATTGATTGCCCCTGAATTAAACTGCCAACTTGTAACTGTTACTTTTATTCATGCAATGCTGCTGGGCTGCAGAAACTCCAGTTTGAAATAGTCCCTGGCTTTGCCTATTAGCCCAGCCACAGGAAAAGTTAAGTGCTAGAAACCAACACCTTCATGTATTTCCTCATTTGATTTAGTCAAGTTCAGTGGAAAACTCTCGTGCCTATTTCTATGCCTGGAAAGCCAGCTTGATGACCAGAGATGTTGAGTCAGGAGCCTGGACACAGGGAGCTCTTGGCCACTCCTTCCTTTGCTGCCAGCTCAGCTCATCATGTCCCATGAAGACTTTTGAGTTGACCGTGACGAAAGAGAGTATGTCGACAGAAAATTCATGCTTGAAAATATTTCTTACACAACTTCCATTTTTTTTTCAATGAAGTTTGTAACCCATTCAAGAACTAACAGGGTAGCGACAATGTGTACCAATCAGCTAAGCCCAATCTTCAGACCAAAGGTACTATGTCACCTGCTGGGTACCCAGAACAGTGGAATGTCATTCCATAGCGAGAGGGTTAAAAAAGGCAAAGGCACCCACAGGCACCAGATTCAGAAGGGAAGGCACTCTCCCTTTTGAATTCATCCTATTCTTCATATAAAGTGTAAGGGGGAATTATTATCCCTAGGGTGGAAGGAGTTATTATCAACAGATTTCAGCAAAGTTGAAAAAGGATTGAGGAAATGAAAGAAGATGACCATAGGAATAGGACCCATAATGAAAATTACTATCATTACAAAGAAAATAATGACAGTTGGGAGCATTATGTGTAAAATACAGAAGGAAGACCATAACAGTGATGAGAAAGCAAAGACAGAGTAAATGTGCAACACAGAAATCATAAAGGTGTATGTGTGTGAGACAGAGATTCAGAACAGAAACACAGAGATGGAAACGTAAGAGAATAAGGCTGACATGCAGATGCAACTTTCTTTCCCTAGGTTTACCTGATTACGGCAATGAAGCCACTGTCCAGTCCTATTCCTGAAGGTTTGGGGCTAGAAAACAGAACAGGAAAGGAAATCAAGAGTAGAGAATGGACCACCATGTTAAGATTGGCTGTAGCTGCTGAACTAACCTTTAGAGATTGGAAGGAGCGGTCTCGGAGGACTTTGGACACACATGAAACAAAGGGGATTCCCTTAAGTAAAAGCAGAGCAGGCATTCTGGTGATTGACATTAGATAGGAAGAACACAGATAACCTGGGCTTCCAATTAGGCCATTTTCTTCTCCGTTGAGAATGGACCAACACAGCTTGGTTACAAACTTCACTCAGGTATTTTTCCGCTTGTTAAAAAAAACCCATGGTAGTTTTAACCCCTGGGTCTGCATGAGGAAGTGAATGGAAGAGGCAGGGGCTCTATCCTCTTATGCAACTGGCCCACACTGACCCACCAGCTCATGGGCCCAAGCCACCCTGACACCTCTGTGCCACCCTCCAGGTGTTTTTTCCCTACCCAATCACATTGCTGAGCTGTCCCAGGAATGGAATGGAGCCATAACAGTGTCTGGCAATCACACACAAACTCACAGTGCCAAAGTAGGATTTGGGGAATGAGTTCAAGCAGCCGCAAGATCTAGCCAAGGGCATAAAGCCAAGAGCCACAGTGGACAAGGAGGCTGGAGGGCAACCCGAAGACCATGAGTTATTCAAAAGAAGATGAAAGAGGAAAAAGCAACCGAGCCTTTTCTCAGCAGATGGTTCTCTGTTGTCAATTGACTTTTATTTTTCCTCATCAGTTACCACAAACTTTAAATTCCACCTCACAGTTGTGTTTCCTTAAAATATTCCTTCTGGGACTTGTGAATTTCATGTTGCTTCTCGTCATTAGCCTATGTTCTTGAGTTTTTTTGTCCTTTGTTGCATATCTTTTTTCCTGAGTAGTTTCTGGTCACCAGATGACTTTGCTACTCATCCCTCTCCTTGGCAACTCATTTTAAAAAATAGCAGCCAGAACTAATCCCAAGGATTAGCTCTTTATTATTGCATTATTAATACTGTGTTTCATTAGCTATACTTTGTTGTTTTTCTTTTGGCCTGGCTTCTGGTCTTGACTTGAACTGTGTGATTTTAAATCTATAGTTTAATACAGTTGAAAATGTTTACACATATGCTATGTATGTATGTACACATGTGTGTGTGAAATTATTCCAAACAATTATGTATTATATATGCCAGGTTTTTTAAACTGCCTTTTGTTTTTTTCAAATAGGCCCAACATATCTGAAAAGTACAGTTCACCCTTCTGAATATGCATTCTCACATATATCTTATATTTGTGAGAGTTTCTCAGTCACTTTGGAAGCTGTTTGAGAAGAAAACTCTCAAATGAATTTTTCAGTCTTTCATAAAGACAGGCAACTATTTCAAAATCAGGCAACAACCTCTAGAATTCTAATTTCTGCAACAATAATGTCATGCTCCCCCAGACAGGCTTTCTACTGAAATGTGCTTCACTCCCTGAAAAAGCCCCTTTAAGCCCTTGTAAGTAATGCCTATTTTTTCAAACAATGTAATATGGGGGGTCAAATTCCTGATTCGTTAACTAAAAAATTTACTGCAATGTCACAGATAATAAACTCTGAATTATTTTTCAGTCAATCATGAGTAAAATACTCCTTTTTGAAAAACTAGAAGTGGATTTGTTTGTGTGTACGTGTGTGTGTGTGTGTGTGTTTGTTTTGGTCATACATGTTCATGGCAGAAAAATTCACAACTAAGAAGAAAAAAGAAAATGAAATTGCCCATCATCTGTAATATGGCTAATGTGTTCATCTCATCAGTCTTCACAGTTTAGGATTGATGCTGACAGATATTGCAGGTGAGCCAGACGGCTCTCAAAAGTGGCTGAAGTATTAATAAATGGTCAAACATTAATTTCCCAGAGAGAGTCAGAGCCTTCAATTTGCTCCAATCTCTCTAATGATAGTACTGATAATAATAACACTCATAATTATTATTATCAGTTCAGCTAACATTTGAGTATTTATCATATTAAGCCACTAGTTAAACACTGGGCAGACAGTACCTTATTTAATATTCGCAAATGTTTTATGAAGGAGTCATGATTATTCTCCCCATTTTGCAGGTGAAGAAACTGAAGTAATAGCTCAAGTTCCCATAGGTGGAAGGGGAGGCTCTTAACCTGGTGATCTGTTTCCAAAGGCAGCTTTTACTGCCACACCAGTGGACTGCCAAACTTGAGTGGCCATAAAAATCACCTGGAGAACTCGTTCAAATGCCAGATACCCCAGCTCCAGTTCTTGACACTCTGATTCTGTAGGTCTGGGCTGGGGCCTAGGGATCTACATTTTCAAAGTGGCCCAGAGGCGATACTGATGGAAATGATACACCAGCAAAGTGCACTACTACTATTCTGCCTACAGGAAAGCAGAAACCATGAACTCCCTTCAGATAGCTCTCTAGTCTAGAAGGTCTTTATCCACAGTGCTTCTTAACCTTTTTGGAGGGATCCCGAGACCTCTGAGAATCTGATGAACGCTATAGACCTTCTTGCAATCAAAATGCACCAAAAATTTTTTTTGCATTCGTTTTCAGGGATTTAAAGCCCATAACCCCAGATTAGGGCTTCTATTTTATTTAGTCTTTCTCTAACTCTTTTTTTCTCTTAGCCTCATTATTCCCACTTCTGAAATAAGGACACTAACCCTGCTGACTGCCTATTTTGCAAGGCTATTTTGAGGATAATTTTTTTTCATACAAGGGTTTTGAGATACAGAAATAGAAACACTGCATGTAAACTTCATGCTCATAACAGAAATAGAGACAGAGGGAAGAAAAGAGGTGAATAGAAGGGGCCCCTCAAGAAAAACTTAGCACTGGTTAAGAAAATGACGAGCAAACAAGCATGAGCATAATCACAACAGTCGTTTGCCATTTGTTGAGCATCTACCATGTGCCAGGCATTATTGTTCAAGCCTTAAAATAATTTTTTCTAGTGTTCACAACAGCCCTTTGATGGTATCATCCTTATTATACAAATGAGGAAATCTAGGCTGAGACAAACATTAAATAATTTGCCCAGTATCAAAAAGCTAGTGAAGTGACTCAAACCCAGGTCTGTCCGTGTGCAAAGCCCGTCCAAATTTTTATGATGTGAGGATATGGCCACGGCTCCTTTCCAGACCTGATTCCATACACGGACCAGTCATTGGTTTCTGAGGCCAGCCCCTGGAACAGGGAGCCTTAACCACCTCACTCTTCCAACCATCAATTTCCCTCCTATGATGATAGTTTGCAGCACTCCAACAGGCCTTAGTTACTATTATCAATCAGTTGCTTTGCAAAACAACAGAAGGCACTGGAAATACTTAGGTTCCTGGTGGCAGGGCCACAGAAGACAAATCATGGCATTATAAAGGTTAACATCTTTAGGCTTGCTCTGTGGCAAGTCTACTCTCGAGGCGCTTGGGACCAGCTGCATGAATCATACTTCTAGATGTCGTTCCAACTAGTAGGAAACAGCTTTTCCTTTAAATAAATTTCACTTTCAGAAAAGGCTTTAAAGCACATTACAGATAGGCCCATGAAACATTTGGCTACATGTAAATCCTTCCACAGCAAAAGGAAACCTCCTTATGTACCAAAAAAGGGAAAACTAAGTCCAGGAAAGTCTTAGCTATAAGGACCAAAGAGATATCTGGTGGAAAAGAGTGCTTCATTCTCTTTCTGTTTCAAACCCATAACCATTCTTTTGAAGGACTCTTTAGTAATAGATTTTAATAGCAAGAACAATAACCCAGAAAAGTGTTAACTGAAATGTTCGGCCCAGCAGGTCATCTGCTCTCCTTCCCACAAGTAACCCTATGCCATCCTCCTCCACTGCCTCAGCCCATCCTAATGTCTTTTCCTAGGGCTGCTTTTCACATCCTTGTTTTGTGGAATAAAGCAGTAACCCAAGCTTGCCTCAGCACTAACAGATGTTGCAAGGAATCGCTTCAGCTTGAATCCTGTTTCTCTGCCTTCACCCCACAACTCCTCTCCTGTCAACACCACCAGCCTTTGCAAAGAAATTTGTAACTCCAAAGGCACTGCTTATTTTTTTGCACCATCTGATGAACCTTCTTCAGCAGAGGTTTTTAAAAGGAGAGCTGGCTCCACTAAATATCTTAGCCTATTGTTGGCTGGTTAGTAGAAGAAATGTGTTACATCATTCAGTTGCTTTTCTTGTTGTCAAAGATAAGATTTTCTGATCTGGCTCTGCTATTTATTAACTAACTTCATGACTTTCAACAAATTATCGTATGTCTCTGAATCTCAATTTTCTCCTCTATAACACTTTCCCTTACCTCTGACATAAGAGATCATGTTTTCAAACACCATAAAAGAGGGTACAAATATAATGCTTTATTATAACAATTATTGCCGTCAATTTTATATTACATGTCATCCGGAGATCACTGAGATACCCAGGAGCAATGGCTTATTAACACAACAGACAAGACCATCCTAAACCCAGGCCCTGATGGATAAGTTAGCAGGCTCAACAGTTTTCTGAACATAGAATTTAATATGTTACAGGTTCAACATGTTATTAAACATAATAAAATGCAAAATCGTGAATTTCTAATTGCTTACCACTTACTAGACTATAGTGGAAAAAACACAATAGCTGGAATTCAGGAATCAAAAGTAACACATCAGCAGTTTTGCAAATAATTGTCTAAAACCAAGGCAATAGTAACTGGGGAGGGAAACCCTCTAATACCTAACTCAGAAAGTTTGATTCAGCCCCACATTGGCAAGCTGTGGGGGTCAGGGTTTTACTGCAAAGAAAAGAATTCAATCTGGCTAACTTAAGCAGAAAGGGATTTATTACAATATACTAAATGGCTTATAGAACATTGGGAGGGCTAAAGAAACAAACTCTAGGTTCTTCTGGAAACAACTTACAAGTCACACAACAGAACCAGGCCTCCAAAGTTGCTGCCTGCTGATTGGGAAGCTGAGCTACAAACACACCCACTGCCATGATAATAGGCTTGGGCAAGCCCCGATTGTGGCTGCCGGCTCCAGGACTCCACCAGTTGTGAGATGATCTGTGCCAGCAACAAGGGTGCCCTGCTCCCTGCCTTCCCACATCCATTCCCAGTCCACACACATGGCTAATGGCCAGGCAGTGGGGCCTTTGCTAATACTGCTACAGAGAAACCACATGCTTCCTCAACCATCCTTGCCAGGGGAAGTGATGCAGTTTGAATATTTGTTCCCACCCAAATCTCATGTGGAATTCTAACCACCGATGTTGGAGGTGGGGCCTAGTGAGAGGTGTTTGCAACATGGGGGCAGATCCCTCATGAATGGCTTGGGCCATCCTCCCGGTGATAAGTGAGCACTCGCTCTGAGTTCACAGTTCTGACCACTTAAAAGTGTGTGGCATCTTCCCCACTCCCTTGGCTTGCTGCTGCTTCACCATGTGACATGCCTGCTCCAGCTTTGCCTTCTGCTATGATTGTAAGATCCCTGAGGCCTCCCCAGAAGCTGAGCAGATGAAAGCACCATGCCTCCTATAAAGTTTGCAGAACTTTATTGCAGTGAGTCAATTAAACCTCTTTTCTTTATAAATTACCCAGTCTCAGGTATTTCTTCATAGCAATGCAACCACAGCACAATACGGGAAGCAATGCCTCTGCTTCCCTTTGCCTTCCAAATAAGAATGCATCTAAACCACATCCACAACTCTGACTGCAGAGGACTCCGGGAAATCCAGTTTTTAGCTTTTAAACCTCTGCATTATAGAAAGGCCCAGCAGAAGAAGGTTGAAATGGATGTTGAATGACAACCCCTCATGCCCATCACATAAGTTCTTGACTAAAAGACACATCTTTGTAATCCCTTCTCCCCACCACCCACCAAGACACCTGGAAGGCATATGGGAAAACTAAGGTGACAAATATAGCAAGGGTTTGGTTGTACAAATAGATGGCACATAGTTGGTGGAGCTGTGTACATTAGGCTTCTCAGGAGGGTAGGTTACAACCAAGTTGAGTGAACTTCCCCTGTATAGTAATCAGGCAGCAAAATTTAAGAAAAAGCATTATTCTTCCCCTTCCATCCATCAGGGGACATGGGATCATTTTCCTCCCACTGGGGGTCTGAGTTCATTATGTGGCTTTACTATATGCCCTATTCACAAGCCAATATAGGGTAACTTCTCTTCCAATGAGACAATCAGATTACTCATTGGGCAGGACTTCCTGGCTCATCAAGGGCTCTATTAGAGAGGATAGTAGAAAATCATCTATTTGTTAATAAATACCTAGTCAAAATAGCTTTCTCCCTGCAAGGACAGTTGCTGTAGTATTGATGTTTTTATGTATTTCACAATACAGTCTTGCTTTCAGTCTCATTACTATAATGCTGTGTTTGTACCTTCCATCATGTGACTCTGAATTCCAAGTTCCCACCACACATTGAACAAAACTCTTTTTTTTTTTTTTTTTTTTTTTTTTGCGATGAGGTTTTGCTCTGTTGCCCAGGCTGGAGTACAATGGTATGATCATAGCTAACTGCAAGCTTGAACACCCGGGCTCAAGTGATCCTTTCACCTCAGCCTCCCAAGTAGCTGTAACTACAGGCATGCACCACTGCACTCAATTACTTTTTTTTTGTTTTTGTAGAGACATGGTCTCACTATGTTGCCCAGGCTGGTCTTGAACTCCTGGGCTCAAGATCCTCCAGCCTCAGCCTCCCAAAGTGTTGAGATTATAGGCATGAGCCACTGCGCCCAACCTGAACAAAATTCTATTGTGCTACTCTATGCCGGGTGCAGGAAACACAGAAATAAATAAAACAGCACAGTCCCTGCCCTTGTGGAGCTTACAGTCTAGTGGCAGGTTCTGAAAAGATGCTTGGCACAATAAATAATACCATTACAGCTCTGCAATCTGCATGGGAGTTCTGAGAACGAATTCCTCCAGAGCTACCCACCTTTGAACTTTGTTCCCACACATTAAGAAGTCTTAGCTACAAAATAAAATTGCTTCAGTGTTTGAATGTGGACAATCCTCTGAAAGAACACACTAGGTCAGGGCAATCTATGGACCAGGTGTAGTTTGCTAGGTCCTAATGCTAACTCTGGGCAGATATTTCTGTTCCGCAGTGAGGAACCTAGAACTGAAATAGCCCGTAATTGAGGAGTGGGGCTTCTGGTGAAGGTTCTGGTGTAGTTACAACCCTGCAGAAGCCTCATGGAAACTCCACCTCACTGATGATTAACTGGCCACATATCATTTCCATTATCTTCCTGGGAAACAGGATGACAAACAAGCAAAAACAACCCAGTCATGATTTCCTTCACTGTCTGAATAGTACCTGCTTCTATTTAGCAAAAGAAAAAAATCATTTTTAATTAAATTTCCCTCAAAATCCACATGGGTTTAGATTAGAGGGAGGTGTTAAACAAAAAAAGGGAAAGTTTTGCCAAAAAGATTTTAAAGGGGTTCTCTAGAGAGTTAGCGAAATGCAGACTGCTAAGCTCCCCTACCCCCAAGTCAATTCCAGTTTGTTTTGCATTTACACTGGAATTCGTGGTGACATTTCCTTCTATTGAAACAAGACACACTAGTCACATTGGGCTTTCCTGGTTCCATATTGGACAAGAAAAGGCCTAAACTTTGTGCATAAGACTTCTTTCCAGCTTATTTCAACAATCTTTATTATGAGCAAGGCAAGTGCTGGACACTTAGATTACTGAGATGAGTAAGTTATGATCCTTGCCGTCCAGTGCCTGCACCTCACAAAGAGACCAAGTCAAGTTCCATTAAAAACAAAGGGCCCTGTCTGACAATGGCTACACATGAGCCATTCTACCTGGGCTTCAAGCAAGTATGGACATAAATTAAGACCAACCAGATGAGAAAAGCAAAGGCTGTTTATTCAGAGCTTGCCATAACAAGGGAGTCAGCTGCCATCATTTACATTTTGGCAGAGACTCAAAAGAGGGCAGGAGAGTGAGAAAGATTTAGAGTGGAAAAAAGGGAGAGTCCATTCCCACTTCCTTATGCTGACAGGCTCCAATCAGGCCATACCTGGGGCTGTGCCTGAGGAAGCTGTAGGTGAGCTAACCAGAAGCCTGGCATTCTATGGGATTGGTTAGGGGGCATAGTTAGCTTTCTCTGATTGGTCCAAGTTGGAAGTCAGGATAAAAATTAGGGAAGCTGCCAATTATTAATCACATCCTGGCCATTCGGGGCTGATTGTTATAGAAGTTATTGTTTAGCTTCTTGGATCATGACTAAAGATAACAATCTGGTTTCCTGCAAGTCTGACTTCTAGCAGGCTGGCTACCTGGGCTTTTCATTGTAGATAAGAGGATTGGTTTTTTAGGCAGGTTGCTGCAGGCTGTGGGTCAGAGTTCTATTTTTATGTGGGGTCCAGCCGTCATCCATTTGTATATTCAGCTCTCACAAGTCTAGGGTTCACTTCTGTCCTGGCCCCAGGACTCCATTTGGCATTGGCTCCCCTTCGCAGTGCAAGCATGAGAGGTTCCCACCTGGGCCTCCCTGGTGTCTCCTGACACGCTGAGCTTGCCCCTGACTGACTCCCTCCGAGAATGGCTCTTTTTTGCATCATTGTCCTTATTCCACTCTGTGTAACATAAGAAGAATAAGCCTTATCCACAAAGAAACAGCAAATTATCATCTATACAACAGCAAATCCTTGAGTCATTCAAAACCCTATGCCAAGGACCTGGTTTATTTCTAATGGTTTCAAGCATCTGTGGGCATAAGCATCCATTTGCAAGCATAATAGCAACACTATGGCAAAATAGAAAATGTAAACATTACTGAATAAAAAGGCACTTACAGAACAACAATGTACAGCATTCCATTTTAAATAATATGTGTATACATAGAAAAATATAGAGAATAGACAAAAATCTCAGTTAAGTTCTCTCTCAGTTATAGAATTAAAGGTGTTTTATTTGTTTGAGTTCCTACATTTTTTTTACTATCAGTGTGCATTTCTTAGGAAATAATAAAAATTTTCATTTATTGAAAGTCTATAGCATGTTAAAAAAAAAACAGGACCTTCTCATAGCAAAACATCTGACTCGTTAATTCAGTAATAGCTGCCACCTACCATTCTCCACTTCTATAGTTATTATCCTCTTAATAACTACAGCAAACCTATGAAGTGGGTGTTTCTGTCCATCTTATAGATGAGGAAACCAAAGTGCAAAAAGTTTTTTAAAGGACTGGGCCAAGAGCAAAAAGCCTGAAACCCGCAGCCTAAAGTGAGAATGTACGTCCCTGTTTTCCTGCTTGAATGTTGCCTTTTCCTAAACCACCCATGGCCCCACCCGACCCCATCCTATGCTTATAAAGACCCCAGACTCAGCCAGCAGAGAGAAGCAGCTGGACAATGGAACGACTGCAGCTGGACATCAGAGAGAAGTAGCTTGACTTCAGAGGGACAGCTTGACGGTGTAACTTCAGAGAAGAATCCAGCCCTGCGAGGGGTGGATTGCAGCTGATCCCAGTGAGTGGAGCTTGTTCCCGCCAGTACCGAAACGGTCAGCCAGTTCCAGCACTTGTGCACTCCAGTTCCCTCCTCATTTGCTTGCATGCTCCCTTCCTTGAGGAGCTGAAAGCGGGCAGGCTGAGTAGACAAGGCACTCCCTTTCTGAGTCCCACAAACGGGTCAGGGAAATATCCTGCTTCATATGGAGGTTCTTCAAAAAATGAAAAATAGAACTACTATATGATCCAGCAATCCCACTTCTGGATATTTATCCAAAGGAATTGAAATCAGAATCTTGAAGAGCTATTAGCACTCTCATTCTCATTGCAGCATTAGTCACAATAGCCAAAATATGGAATCAACCTAAATATCTACTGACAAATGAGTGGATAAAGAAAATGTGATATATACATATAATGGAATGGTATTCAGCCTAAAAAAAAAAAAAAAAAAAAAAAAAAAAAGGTAATTCTGCCCTTGGGACAACATGGATAGACCTAAAGGACATTATGATAAATGACATAGCCAAACACAGACAAATACTGTATGATCTCACTTTTATGTGGAATGTGAAATATTCAAACTTACAGAAGCAGAGAGTAAAGTAGTGGTTGCCAAGAGCCAGAGAGTGGGGGGAAATGGGGAAGGGATGGTCAGAGCGTACAAAATTTCAGTTATGCAATAAGTTTGGAGATTACTATACAACATAGTACCTATGGCTAACAATGCTGTATCATATACTTAAAACTTTCTAAGAGGCTAGATCCTATGTTAGGCATTCTTACCAAAAGATAATGATGATAAACATAAAGGGACAGGAGAAGACTTTGGGAGGTGATGAATATGTCCATGGCCATGATGGTGAGGATGATTTCATGAGTGTATACTTATGCCCAGGCTTATCGAATTGTACACATTAAATATATACAGCTTTTTAAAAAATTTTTATTATTTGAGATGGGGCCTCGCTATGTTGCCCAGGCTGGTCTTAAACTCCTGGCCTCAAGTGATCTTCCCACCTCGGCCTCCCAGAGTGCTAGGACTACAAGCTTTTCACATGTCAATTATACCTCAATAAAGTGTTTTCTTTCAAATGAATGCTAATCGGACTCTTGTTCTTTCCTCCCCTGAAACAATTAATTTTCAGATTATCTGCTGCTTAATTTGGCTATTTTGATTCTACATTTTTGAATGTGAAAAAGGAGTGGATATTCATGGAAGAGATCTGGTGTGGGAATTATCATGCAGAACTTGAAGCAGTATAATTTAATTGTGTAAAATGACCCAAGAGGAAAACACTAAGACTCAACTTCAGAATTTGTGAACCCTGTTGTAAGGTTTTTGGAAACTAAAAATGTCACACCATCTTAGATACCAGATCTATACTAGGAAACTGAAATTTAAAACTGTGCAATTATATAGAGTATTCAGCACACATCCCCAGGGGTCCCTTTAATTTGCATAAACTAAATAAAAGAGATAAATGTTTGCATGGAGCTGGGGAAGGTTAGAATCTTGAATCATCTGAGTAATTTACTAAAAACCTCACCATAAACTTTGCTTACTTTCTTCACCCAAAATCAAGAGACCTGAAAGTAATGAAAGAATGAAGAGGGTTTATATATTTTTTATGTTTATGAGACAGCTGCGTCTTTTACTGAAGAAAATGTCACTGTCAGGGTTAAAGAATAATTTTCATCAAAAACTCTCTTTTGTTGATTGCTTATAAATATACGGTCTTTTTTTTTTTAAAAAAAAAAAAAAGGCTCTAGCTTCCTTTTGGTCTTGAATGTCTCCGACTCTCAGACTTGGTCTCTGCTCCCCAAGATAAATTACTTTGCAGCAACTGAACAAAATAGTCTTCAGCAAAAATGCTATTTTTCACATTCAATGAAAAGCATCTCTACCCTTAGTGTTCCTCCAAGATGTCTAAGTCCAGGACTTCAGACTTGGCAAATGTTTTTAGAAGCACCTATGAAGAGAAACAGAGCCAAACCTGACCCCTCTAGCTGAGTGTTTTATTTAAAACGCAAAGGTTTTCATCTACAGATAAACTAAGTGCTGTAATAGGAGTATTTCTGCTCAGTGTTGAAGTCTACCAGAAACAAAATAGGCTACCAGGTAAATTGAACTCACTAAAGTTTCCTCCAGACAATAAAAGCCAGTTAAGTAAGACAATTGGAATAATTCATGCCTCCATAAAGCAAAAGGGGCAATATGAAATGTGATTCTTAGATTGGAAAAAGAAGTATACAAGAGTCAGAAACATCCTTCCAAAATAAAAGTGTGGGTGGAGATTAATTAAATGTTAGAAGTTGCTCTGATATGTTTTAGTCCACAAAAAAGAATTCTTTCCTGCCAGGACTAAGTGTCAGGTAGCAACCTCAAGTCTAGCCACTTTCAAACAAACACACAGGTATGGCAGCAATTCAAAGCAGTCAGCTGTGAGTTACATCCAGCTGACTTCATCTTGGACCCCGTCTTCTGCATTCGTTCCTTATCCAGCATACAGCCCGCGGTGTGAGTCTGTCTGCCACGGAGTTGGCAGACATACCTGGCACTTCTTTTGTCTCCACTTTCAGCTTAGAGTTTGCAAAAAAGCCTTTCTTCTCCAGCTCTTCTTTGTCTTTATCTCTGGTATTTGACATCCCTCAAATCCTTATGATCTACTGTTATACCCATCCCTATATACACTTGGTTATATTCTTTTAAGAAGATAACTTGAAAATATATAAATCATAAATTGATGAGTTATAAAGAGAACCTGACACATTACAACTATAGTGAAAGATTTTAATGTTCCCAAAACAAGTGAGGAGGAAATAAGTAAAGATATAAAAGATTCAAACAATAGAATAAACAAGCTCAATATAAGAACGTGTATCACATACAGAATGTCATTCATTTTAACTACACACAAAACAATTTTTAAAATATCTTTGAAGTAAATTAAAGTGGTCTCAACAAATGCCAAACAAATGACATCATATAGACCACAGTCTCCAAGAAAATAAGGAATCAATTAAAATTTTTAATTCGTATATTTAAAAACTAAAAAATACTTCTAGATAATTCAAGGGTCAAAGAAGAATTGTAATAAGAAATATAAAATATTTATAATTAAACAATGGAAGCATTTGTATTCATATGCAGCTAAACAGGAAAAGGTATAGACTTAATATCAGATTAGGAACAGAAATTTGTAAATTATTAATTACTACATTTAACTCAAAACATTATTTTAAAAACTACAGAGTAAGAGCTGTGTGTGTTGGCTAACACCTGTAATCCCAGCACTTTGGGAAGCCAAGGTGGGCAGATCACTTAACCCCTGGAGTTTGAGACCAGCCTGGGCAACATGGCAAAAGCTCATCTCTACAAAACATACAAAAATTAGCAAGGCACGGTGATGCACACCTGTAATCCCAGTTACTCTGGAGGCTGAGGTGGGAGGATCATCTGAGCCCAAGGAGGTCAAGGCTGCAGTGAGCTGTAATTGCACCACTGCACTCCAGCCTGGGTGATAGAATGAGACCCTGTCTCAAAAAAAAAAAAAAAAAAAAGAAAGAAAGAAACTCAGAGGAGGGAAAAGGAATAAAATGTGGTAAAAGAGGAAATTAATTAAACAGAAGAGAAAGAAAAGACAGTATCAACAAAATTGCTCTTTCTTTGAATAGATAAGTCTTTGGTAAAAGAGAGTAGAAGAAAGAGAGAGTGTGTGTGCAAAATAAACAATATTAGAAATGAAGAGAGACTAAGTATAGATATAGTAAATGTTTTAGTCTATTCAGGCTGCTGTGACAAAATACCATAAACTGGGCAATTTATAAACAAAAATTTGTTGCTTACAGTTCTGGAGACTGGGAAGTCCAGCATCAAGGTGCCTGCAGATTTAGTGTCTGGTAAAGACTGCTTTCTGCTTTACATATGGCATCTTCTTGCTGTGCCCTCATATGGTAGAAGGGCTAAGAAGCTCCCTTCCATCTCTTTTATAAGAGCACTAATTCCATTCAGGAGGATTCTGCCCTAGTGACCTAATCACCTCCTAAAGGCCCCACTTCTTATTCTATAGCACTGTGGATTTGGTTTCAACATAGGAGTTTTGGACACAAACATTCACATTGTAGCAGTAAATATTTGGCAAACTGTAAGAGAATACCATTAACAAACTTGCCAGTAAATATGTAAGAACTTAAAGATCATGGAAAGTTTCCTGGAAAAATATTACAATTTCCCAAAACTAACTCAAGAAGAAGTAGAAAACCTAAAGGGAAAGTAACTCAGTAATTTAAGAAAGAAAGAAACAGACAAAAAAATCACCTTGCCCATAAAGAAGCACCAAAGCATGAAGACCAGACAGGCTTATAGGCATATTTTACCAGAACTTTAAGAATTAAATAGCCTTTTTCTTTTTCAAACTATTGCAGAGACCAAAAGATAGGAAAGTTCTCTACTTCCTTTCATGAGGCCAGCAAAATTTTAATATCAAAACTGAACAAAAAACAGCAACAGAAAGTGAAATTATAAGCTCAATCACTTGTATAAGCATAGATGGTAAAATCTTACATATAATATTAGCAGTCAAGCAAGTTTTAAACAGGAGTGTAAGGATAATTTAATAGATGTAAAACCTATAAATGTAAATACTGTATTTATACAGAAAAAATCTCAAATAATACCATATTATGTGATAAAAAGCTCAACATCCTCTTATAATACAGAGTTTTAACCAACTAGGAAGAGTAAAGAAACTTCTTTTAACTAGGAAAAGTATATATATATAAAGTAAACCTCCTACTTTGCTATCAATGATGGAAGCATCTGCTTTAAAGTCAGAAACACAATGAAGACACCTGTTATTTACAAAACTGTTCAACTTCTAACTGGAGGTCTTTCCCAACTCAATAAGACAAGAAATAACAATAAGAGAAAAATAAAGAGCGATTCAAAACTGTCATTAATTGTAGAACTTATTGTCCACAGAAAATATTTTGAAAATTACAAACTTTTAGAACTAATAAGAGAATTCTGTAAAATTGCAGAGTACAGGATCAATTAATAAAAAATAGATCGATGACATTTCCATACACAAGAAACAAACAATTAGAAAGTGAATGACAAATTAAAATATCTATTCAATAATAAATGGAATTTTTTAAATCTGTAAGGTTCTTGGGAATAAATCTAAAGTAGTATATTACTTGAAAGTATGAAATTATATACCTTTAATGAAAAATGTAAAGGAATACTCAAGTAAATGGAAAGATACATCACATTCATTTACCAGAAGGCTTAAAATATCATGAAAATATCATGAAGATATCAATTTTTCCCTAAACTGATCTACAAATTTGTATTTTCCCTAAACTGATCTACAAAACATTCCCAGTGAATATTATAGCTTGTCATGAAAATTAACAGGCTTAATCTGAATTTTATTCAGATGAATAAATGATCAAAAGTGGACAAGGAGATTAAAGAAAAGGAACTTGTTCCATCACATACCAAAGCTACTATAAGGCAGTAGTAAGTAAAGCAGTGTACAGAAAGATTGACAAGCAAACAGAAAAGAATGGAGAGCCACTGTGCCAAACACAATGATACTAGGTGTGCATTAAAGCATCTTAACACAATGCCTTGCACCTAGTAAGCACTCAGTAGACATTTATTAAACAAAGAGTTTGTGTTTTTAATATTACCATTTGATTTCACTTCAGCATTTACAGGTCGCTTAGAATTTACTACATGAAACAAGACAGTAACTAAAGCAAGAATGGGTCTTGCCCTGTCACCCCCAGGCTCAAGTACAGTGGCTCAATCATAACTCACTGCAGCCTTCAACTCCTGGTGTTCAGTGATGCTCCCGCCTCATACTCCCAAGTAGTTGGGTCTACAGGCATGAGCCACCATGCTTCTCTAATTTTTAAAATTTTTTGTAGAAACAGGATCTTGCTATATTACCCAACTGGGTCTTGAACTCCTGGCCTCAAGTGATCCCCCTACCGTGGCCTCCCAAAGTGTTGGGATTATAGGCATGAGCCACCTAACCACAAGGATGTTTTAGTTTGAAAGTCATTATTCTGGGATGAGAACATAGCCTCTTCTAGTGTTTCTCAAGCTTCACAGTGCATCAGGGTTACTAGAAAGACTCATTAAAATGCAGATTATGAAACCCCACCCCTAAAGTTTCTAATTCAGTTGGTCTGAAATGGGGTTACAAGAGTTGAATTTCTAATAAGTTTCCAGGTGATGCTGATGCCATTGGTCTGGAGACTGTATTTTGAGAATCACTGGTGTAATCCTTTGGGGGTGCTTAGAGAAAGTAAAACACTATTTTTTTAAATCTGAATCATATATAAATATATATACACACACGTATATATGTATATGTAATATAATAAGACATATATACACCAATACATATAATATGTAATAATGCAATTATTAAAATCATACTCCTTATATTACAAATTTATAAAATAAAAAGTAAAAATAGCTACCAATTATTGAGTGTTTATTATGTGCAGGGCACTGTGGTAATTGCTTAAGATACATTACTTATTTCAATCTTAACAACTCTACAAAATAAACATTATCATCCCTATTTTCCAGATGAGTAAATTGAGCCCCAGAGAAATTGTAAGTGGCCTAGCCAGCTAGAGAGCCGTGACACTAGAATCTATCAGACTCCAGATCCCAAGCTCTCAGCTTTTGCACTACATTGCCTTTATCTCTGAAATAACAAGTGGCTGTTCCTGATCCACCTATCCACAAACCTGACAACTGTTTACAATTTAAAGCACCAATAATTGGAGCCATCAAGTCCACTCTGAAAGTCAGATTATGGGGAAAGGCAATAAAAACCTTGCTTCTTTTTACCTGAAATTAATCATTCATTCTGCTGAGAGGGAAGAAGACTCAAAGAAACAAATTGAAGATGTTAATAAAATATCCAGGTAGTATTGGTCTTGATCTCCCCAAACCACAGAACAAAGATTCCTATGCAATACATTCATTTCCTCCCTCAGTCCCAGTGCAATCATTTGCAAACACAATGAAGAAAAGAACTAAACTGCACTTTTTGGGAAAATGTTCTAGCATCCTTTTGTTTGCCTTTCTCTGTGTAGCGAGCTATTACAGAAACTCTGAAAGTCTCTAAGTGTAAGGGGATGGAAGCAAAGACACTACTTATTCTTTAGTGATCCTGAAAGTTTGCTGATAAAAGAGAATGAAGTAGCAAGAGGATATGTAGCCAGATTGGCCCAGTCAGAAAGTAAAATTTCAAGAAAACAGAGATTGGGAAAATTGAGACAAGCTGTTCTTTAAGAAGGAAGGAGCAAAGTGTCATCTTTATTTTTAAAGTTGATGGCATATTCATTTTTCAGACTTTTATAGTTTTAAGTTTTAAAGAAGGAAAAAGTGAAAACATTAAAATACTGAATGGACAGAGCAGAACTTCCCATTAAAATAAATACACTTTGTTTTATTGTTGGGAAAACTCTAACGAGTGCCAGACTATTAACTAAATTCTGTCATTTTTTGAAAGAAGAAATTTCCAGAAGGTAGGTTAAATTGGTATCTACTTAATATATCTTGGAATTATAAAATTAAAAGAAAATATGCTAAAATACTTTGAAAAACTACACATCTTAAACCTCCTGCATACCATGTTCATGCCAAAACCTGCTTCCTTTGTGTCTGAAATATGAGGCTATTAGCAACATTAACCTGAAGGAGACTACTGCCTCAGTCTACATGGGGATCATTTTGCTACATGGCTAAGAATGCCAGCTCAGTTTGTGCTGATCTTATAGGTGTATTGGGGACTGAGAAATCTGATATCTAATTAGCACTAGTATTTATGCATTGCTCAAGATTAGATCTTAAACTCATCCTTAATGCCTCTTTCTCACACTCTTCTTTTAATTGACAATTCCTGTCAGCTCTGCCTTCAAAATTTATCTCAAATCCAGCTCTTTTTCTCCCCTTCACCACTTGCACCTTAGCTGGAGCCACCATCATCTTTCTCTTAGACTGCTGAACTAGTTTTGGTCCTGCTTCTGCTCCTGCAAAATATTCTGCACAGAGTGGTCAAAGTGATCCTTTTAGAACCTAAGTCAGATAGTGTCACTCCACTGCTCAAATTCTCCAACAGCTGCCCATCTCACTCAGAATGAAATCCAAAGTCATGACCACAGCCCAAAAGGCTCTAGTACATCTGACCCCTGGTTACCTCTCACACCTCAATTCTTACCTGTCTTTAAGTCCTTCGTAGACATGACCACCAAAATGCTGCTGAGCAATCACAATAACACCCCTTGCCCCATTCATTTCCCTTCTCTCACAATTACTTCTCCTCTCTCCTCAAAGTCCTCTCTCATTCCTGCTCCCAGATGATGCTCTTATTCCTTGTTGTGCTAAGAAAGCTTTAGAAGAGTCCACATGCCCCTATCTCTATATTTACCCACCTACCAGCAATTAGAAGAGTCCACATGGTCCCATCTCTATACTTACCCATCTACCAGCGTCCATGCCCATTGATTTGCCCTCCTCATGGATACACTGGCCGTGCTTGTATTTAAGGCCAATCTCTCTTCTCATGCATCAGATCCCTCCTCTCTAACCTTCATCAATTCTCTCCTCTCACTCCTGTATCAATTTTTCCCTCTCCCCTGGATTATTCTCATCAGCATACAAACATCACATGATTTCTCCCTTCTTAAAAGTAAAAGAGCTCTCTCAACTTTGCTTCTGATTTGTACCACCTTACTGCAGCAAAACTTCTCTTAAAAAAATAATCTTTACTTTCTCTCCTCCCATTCACTCTTGATCCCACTACACTTACTCAATGCAAATCTAAACCCAGTGGTCAGTTCTCAGACTGCACCTCGTGTGACCCACCAGCATCTTTTGGCATAGTCCATCACTCCCTCCTCCACACATTTTCTCTGCCTGGCCTCCAGGATGCCACAAAATTCAGGTGTTGCTCCTAGTCAGGACTTACTCTCTTCTGCTCCCCTCACCCTATTCCCACCCCAGAACTCAGCTTCTCTGGCCGCATCTCCTATCAGGATCTCCTCATTCTCTATCACTAGTAACACAAGTTGGCCTCTTTGCTGTTCCTCAAATAAGTCAGTTTAAAAGGCCTCATCCTTGCTCTCATCTCTGCCTGGAATGCTCTTTCCTCAGCTCCTTTAAGTTTTTGTTCAAATGTCACATAATCAATAACATCCTCCCTGACTACCATATTTAATATTGCAATATCTACCAACCCTTAAACTTCCTACTCCCATTTATTTCCTTCATGGCATTTACCACTTTCTAATATACTACAACATTTATTTATTCAATTTAAGTCTTCCCTTTGGCCAGAATATGGTCACCTTGTCATTCAAAAGTTATTTGATGCAGATTTTTTATTCTAGACACCTGGCCTGTTAACCATGTAGCAAATCATTGTCAAATTAATGAAGCTTTGGCTTCTAGCATATGAGTTAAAATAAATATCACTATTGGAGACATTATATCAAAAAGCTGAGACATACTTAGGACCCCAAATTAATGAACAAAATATTCAATAATAAACAATATTAAGTTCCCAGAAGATTGCTCAGAGCTGGCTTGGCCGACATAGAGAACTGTTTCCATAGCCATGGTGGGAAATACTAATCTTGAAAAGAGATGCCTCTCAAATCTTTAAGTGAGCCAGTACCCTAGGTAACTAAATGAGTAGAGAAAGTTAGGTTCTATCTTACACATAAGATTATCCAGTTGCCAGCCCTCAAATACTGACACCCCATGAGCAGATTGCTCTTAAATTCTTCAGGTCTTCGAGTAGACATAATCATTTTACAGAAGCCCAACTCAGAAACAATTATACTGCAACATAAGCAGTAGAACCATTTCATGCCAAGCTAATGACTCTGGGACATGCAAGGCATGACTCTCTGTACAAATCCACTTTAGAGCAGAGGTCAAAACCATTAAACTAATGGTGAACTTGAGTCCCTGGGCTCTGAGTGCCCCATGACTCCAGGGGATTGAGATTTGTAAGAAAAATACTAAACATAGAGCTCTGTATAAACACTCTAAAGGATTCTTTATACAAATGCCTTTTTGTCTAAAATCAAAACTCTAGAAAATAGAACATAAGTTTCTACATTTAAATTGTTAAAAATCATTAAAAAGACATTCAAGAGTTAAAGAAAAAGAAAAAAATTCTCAGCATGAAGTATGAAGATATCGCTGCTTGACTTTAATAAAAGTTCTATTAAATCTGTTCTTTTCTGTTTAAAATGCTCATTATAAAGCTGTAGTCCCTTTACATTTTCTTAAAAATTCAAGCTTTGCAACTTCTGAGAGCTTTGGTGTTAGTGTGATGAGCTACCTTCCCCCTCCCCAAGAAATGTCCTTATTGAGACTGAGTTTCCTTGGGGATGGTGGGGGGAGGGGGTGGTGAGTGACCTGGCCATATGATGTCAACATACTACCACAGAAGACAGAGATGAAAAACCATGTTCATGGACTTTTAAATTTAAATTTAAATCTGTAAAATCCTTATAACAAAAAACACTCCTACACAGAAACTAGCTAGCTGTTCACCAAGCATTTTCTATTCTTGCCCCAGTTTCCCAGCCTCCCTTGAAGTCAGCCATAACTGAAGTCCAGCCAATGAAATATGAACAGAAGTGATGTATACCATCCCCAGGACTTAGCCTATAAAAAATTTCTGGAACAATGTCAGCTTGATGTAGATGGGTGTGGCAACCTTAGAAGCCCTAGGTCAAAAATGGCAGAGCCAGAGATGGAAGAAGCCCAATAAGGAGCCATAAATGACTACTTGGAAGATAATTGCCATTGAAAGAGAACCAATATTGGACATTACATAGATGTTAACATAATTTTATTGGCTAGGCATGGTGGCTCATGCTTATAATTCCAGCCCTTTGGGAGGCTGAGGTGGGCAGATAGCTTGAGCCCAGGAGTTTGAGACCAACCTGGGCAATATGGCAAAACCCTGTCTCTATAAAAAATACAAAAATTAGCTGGGCATAGTGGCATGTGCCTATAGTCCCAGCTACTCAGGAGGCTGAGGTGGGAGGATTGCCTGAGCCTGGAAGACAGAGGTTGCAGTGAGCCAAGATAGTACCACTGCACTCCAGTCTGGGTGACACAGCAAGGCCCTGTCTCCAAAAAAATAAAAATAAAAACTTTTATTAAGATTTTTTTTCTTGCTGTGTTACTATAGCCCTCATTACCTTAACAACATTGTATCTTAGTTCAGAATGGTAAAACTCAGTGAAGAATTAAATTACTAATGCCTAATCTATTTAAGGTAAGCAACTGTACACCAAGCTCTAACACACATTGTCTCTTAGCATTCAAATTCAACAGGCTTGCAACAGTTGTAAAGAGACTAATACCAGGGTCTTCTTTTTAATAGCTAAAGCTTTCAATCAGCGAAACACTTGAAACTGCCATAAATAATGTAAAAACAAAGATTTGGGTTGCTCTTGCTACTGTTGAATAAAAAGAGTCATGGCCTTCTTCACTCTGATCAAGCTTCTCCCAATCCAAACCCTGGAGAAGCCTGAGCACTGGAAATAGTGGGGGAAGAAAAATAAAAGATCTAGGAAAAGGAAAGGGTCCTTGAGCCACTGATCATCTGCACATGGTCAGGGAAGAAATTTTGGATTCGATATAAAATTGAAGTTCTGATTTTACATGAATAAGACTTTCAGTGCCCAAAAATATCTTAATAATTAAAACAAGGAAAGGTAGAATAAAAAACAGATAAACAAATAGAAACATAGATATAAATCTTACCATATCTGCCAGTCACCATGCTTACATCTGTAATCCCAGCACTTCAGGAGGCCAAGGTGGGAGGATCACTCTTGGCTAGGAGTTTGAGACCAACCTGGTCAACATAGCAAGGCCCCATCTCTACAAAATTTTTTTAAAAACATAGCTGGGCATGGTGGTTCATGCCTGTAATTCCAGCTATTAGGGAGGCTGAGATGGGAAGACTGCTTGAGCCCAGGAGTTCGAGGCTGCAGTGAGCTATTATCATTTCACTGCACTCCAGCCTGGTCAATGGAGAAAGACCCTGTCTCTAAAAATATAAAATAATTTTAAAGAAACCTAAACATATCAGTAATAACATTAAAAGTAAATGGTCTAAACATCCTAATTAAAAAGCAGAGATTGTCAGGCTGGATTAAAGAACACAACCTAATGACATGCCATTTATAGAAATCACACTTTAACAAATTAACAATATTGGGAACAAGAAAAATAACATCGCTACAAATGTGACAGTTATTAAAATGATAATAAGGGAATACTATGAGCAATTTTATGTCAATAATTTCAACAACATAAGGAAAAAATGGACAAATTTCTTGAAATATACAAATTATCAAAGCTCACTCAAGAAAAAAATAGGTAACCTCATTAGTCCTATATCTATATCAAAAGGTGAATTTATAGATAAAAACCTTTCCAAAGAAAACTTCTGGCCCAGATGCTTTTACTGGCCAATTCTACCAACATTTAAGAAAATATAAAATCAATTCTATACTAACTCTCTCCAAAAAGACATCCAGATTTGAAAGTGAGAAGTAAACCTATTGTTATTCACTGATGACATGATCATCTATGTAGAAAATCCAGCAGATCTACAAAAAAAGCTACTAGAACTAATAAATAAACTTAAGATTGTAGGATAAAAATTAATTTGCAAAAAGTCCATTTTTATTTCATACACAAGCAATGAACATTTGGAAGTTAAAATGTTAAAATATTTGTAATTGCATAAAGATATTCTTAGGGATAAATTAAACAAAAGATTGCAAGATCTATAAACAGAAAAATATAAAATATTACTGAGAAAAATTAAAGAATATTTACACAATTAGAGATATATACCAAACTAGTTTGGAAGACTCAAAATTGTTCTCCCCAAATTGATATATAATGGCAATATCAAAATTAGCAGACAGAAGGAAACAATAAAGATTAGAGCAGAAATAAATCAAATAGAGAATAGAAAAATCATAGAGAAAATCAACAAGAGTTGATTTTTTGAAAAGATAAAATTGACAAACCCTTAGCCAGACTAACTATAAAAAAGAAAGAAGAATTAAATAAATAAAATCAGAAATTAAGGTGGAGACATTACAACAGATACCTAAGAAATTAAAAGGATCATAAGGGACTATTATAAACAATTACATATGAACAAATTGGATAACCTAGAGGAAATGGATAAATTCTTAGGAAAATACAAACCACAAACATTGAATCAGGGAGAAAGAAAAAGCCTGAACAAACCCATAACAGATAAAGAGATTGAAGCAGTAACTTAAAACCTCCCAGCAAAGAAAAGCTCAGGACCAGATGGCCTCACAGCTGAGTTCTACCAAACATTCAAAGAAGAATTAATACCATTCCTTCTTAAACTTTTCCAAAAAATGTAACTAGAGGGAATACTTCCAAACACATTTTACAAGGCCAGCATCACCTTAATACCAAAGCTAATCAAATATACCATAAGAAAAGAAAACTAAGGCTGATATCTCTGATGGATGCAAAAATTTTAATAAAATATTAGCAAACTGTTTTCAACAACACATCAAAAAGATTATACACCATGAACAACTGGAATTTATTCCTGGGATGCAAGGCTGGTTTAATATATGCAAATCAATCAAGGTGTTACATCATATTAACAGAATGAAAGATAAAAACCACATGACCATTTCAACAGATGCAGAAAAAGCATTTGACCAAATCAACATCATTCGTAATGAAAACTCAACAAAATAGGTACAGAAGGAACTTACCTCAACACAGTAAAGCCCACTGTGAAAAGCCCACTGCTATCATAATCAATGGAGAAAAACTGAAAGGTATTCCTTTGTGATTCAGCACAAGGCAAGGATGCTCACTCTTGACACTTTTATTTGATATAGCCAGAGCAACTAGACAAAAAAAAAAAAAAAAAGTAATGGGCAGCCAAATCAGAAAGAAATAAGTACAATTGCCTATGTTTGCAGATTATATGATCTTATATAAAGTAAATCCTAAAGACTCCACAGAAAGAACTGATAAACAAATTCAGTAAAGTTGCAGGATTCAAAAACAACACACAAAAAATAGATGATATTTCTATACACTAACGATGAACTATTCAAAAAGGAAATTAAGAAAACAATCCCATTTACAATAGCAAAATAAAAAAAATACTTAGGAATAAACATAACCAAAGAGGTTAAGATTTGTACACTGAAAACTGTAAAAATTTAATGCATAAAATTAAAGACACAGACCAATGGAAAGACAACCCTTGTTCATGGGTTGGAAGAATTTATGTTGTAAAAATGTCCAAGGTGATCCACAAATTCAATGCATGGCATTCTTTACAGAAAAAAAAAAAAAAAAATCCTAAAATCACAAAAGACCCTATTACATATACTATTTGTTTTTATTATTATACTTTAAGTTCTGGGGTACATGTGCAGAATGTGCAGTTTTGTTACATAGGTATACATGTGCTATGGTGGTTTGCTGCACCCATCAACCCATCACCGACATTACGTGTTTCTCCTAATGTTCTCCCTCCCCTAGCCCCCGACCCCCAAACAGGCCCTGGTGTGTGATGTTCTCCTCCCTGTGTCCATGTGTTCTCATTGTTCAACTCCCACTTATGAGTGAGAACATACAGTGTTTGGTTTTCTGTTCTTGTGATAGTTTGCTGAGAATGATGGTTTCCAGCTTCATCCATGTCCCTGCAAAGGACATGAACTCATCCTTTTTTATGGCTGCATAGTATTCTGTGTTGTGTATGTGCCACATTTTCTTTATCCAAGGACCCTATATAACCAAAGTAATCTTGATCAAGAAGAACAAAGCTGGAAACATCAATACTTTCTGATTTCAAAATATATTACAAAACCATAGTAACCAAAGTAGTATGATACTGGTATTAAAACAGCTACATAGACCATTGGAACAGAATTTTAAAATCCAGTGTCCAAACTCAATAAAAATGGAAGCAAAATAGGAAACTGGAAATAAATCTGACTTATAACTATAAAAGCAAAAATTCTAAATAAGTATTAGCAAAGAGAATCTCTCAATATATCAAAAGACTAAGTTGAGTCTCTTTCAGGAATAATCGGTTGGTTAACATCAGGAAATTAATATATCCATTGAATTAAGTGCAGCAAAAAAGTAAAAGATAAAACACATGTCCTATCAATAAATACTTAAAAGGCATTTGACGAAATTCAGTAGCCAGTCCTAACTAAAATAGGGCTAGAAAGAAACCACTTAAATTCAACAAAGAAATTTCCTAAAAGCTAGCGGCAAATTTTAAAATCATAGCTAGATAAAGATTATGTTTCACATTATTTCAACACTATTATAGGTATTATAGTATACATAACATGAAAACAACTGGCACAAGTATTGGGAAAGATGAGAAAAAAACTCTTTTTGGTGGTTACATGATTGTATACCTGCATGCACAGAAAAAAAAATCAAAAATTTTAGTAAAAAATTGTAAAATTAATTTTAAAATTTGTTCTAATTTCTGAATTCAAAATAAATATTTTTAAAAATTAGCAGTTTTTCAGCCAGGCATGGTGGCTCACACCTGTAATCCCAGCACTTTGGGAGGCTGAGGTGGGCGAATCACCTGAGGTCAGGAGTTCAAGACCAGCCTGGCCAACATGGTGAACATGGTGAAACCCCATCTCTACTAAACTTACAAAAATTGGCCAGGTGTGGTGGTGGGCACCTGTAATCCCAGCTACTCGGGAGGTTGAGGCAGGAGAATCACTTGAACCCAGGAGGCAGAGGTTGCAGTGAGCCAAGATCACGCCATTGTACTCCAGCCTGGGCAACAAGAGCGAAACTCCATCTCAAAAATAAAATAAAACAAAATAAAAGTTTATTTATAGTATGCAAAAATCTCTTAGAAATACATAAGAAAAATGTAACCCAATAAAATAATGGGCAAAGACAATTCACAGATGGGTAAATCAATGGCAAACAAACAAATGAAAAGATATACAAATTCACAAGCAGTAACCATGGATATGCAAATTACAGTAACAATATGATTATCACTACAGCCATCAGACTGATAATTTGAAATGCCATAACAGCTATTGCTGGCTGGACATAATGAAATGGGTACTCTCTGAGATTGCTCCTGGGAAGGGACGTGTTTGGACCTTCGGGCAAAGCAATCTGGCATCATTTCTTAGGGGTAAAACACGTATCCACACTTAGGCCACTTACCAATAACATTCCTGTGTGTTCCATAAAATCAATTTCTTTGTAAAGACATATGTTAAAAGATATTAACTGTAGCATTGTTAGTAGTGGTAGAAGAAAAAGAAAAACCAGAAACACAAGCAATGCCTATCAATAGGAGCATGCCTTTAAAAAATTTCAGTCACTGAAAATGATAAATTGTAACTCCATCAAACAACTTGGAGGGTTTTCAAATGAGGTACTGTTGAGTGAGAAAAGCAGGATGCAGAAAAATATGTAATATATGATCCCACTTTTTAAAAAAATCTATAAAACAAACTGTATATATATATATATATATATACACACATACATGTGTATATAATATAGTGTATGTGTATGCATGTATGTCATACATTATATAAGGATTATATAAGGACATATAAAAATATGGAAAGATGCATTCAATGTTGTTTTAAAGGCTGTTTAAGGGACAGAAAGGATGATGTAAAAGGAAAGAAGAAGAGGATAAAGCAAACAAAAAAAATTGCAATAAAAAGAGAACTTCATGATTTTAAAGGCATGCATTGATGAAATTATGTACATGTGAGTACATATAATTAAAATATACTTTTTTTTTTTTTTGAGACGGAGTCTTGCTCTGTCGCCCAGGCTGGAGTGCAGTGGCACGATCTTGGCTCACTGCAAGCACTGCCTCCTGAGTTCACACCATTCTCCTGCCTCAGCCTCCCGAGTAGCTGGGACTACAGGCACCCGCCACCACACCTGGCTAATTTTTTGTATTTTTAGTAGAGACAGGGTTTCACCGTGTTAGCCAGGATGGTCTTGATCTCCTGACCTCGTGATCTGCCCACTTCGGCCTCCCAAAGTGC
Organism: Homo sapiens; assembly: GCF_000001405.40. Lineage (NCBI taxonomy): Eukaryota > Metazoa > Chordata > Mammalia > Primates > Hominidae > Homo > Homo sapiens. The sequence continues at coordinate 50,430,238 of NC_000013.11, read as the reverse complement.
TGGGATGACAGGCATGAGCCACCACATCTGGCCAAAATATACTTTTTAATATGTTCAAATATATAGGATTTAAAATATTTTAGAGAAAAATATGAATACATCAAGAGACAAAATTCTGCTTCTCTAGTGATCAAAGAATTCCAAGGTGAAAGAATGAGTTACCGTTTTTCCTTAGAAGATTAGAAAAGATTTTAAAAGTTGATAATACCCATTGATTGTGTGGATGTAGAGAATTAAACACTCTGGATGCTTTGTGCTTTGTGAATGTAAATTGTTAGAACCTTTCTGGAGCATACTCTGGCAATATTTATGAAAAGCCCTTAAATAATCAGTGTACAATCCTACAGAAAGGTATACAGAGAATAAGGATAGTCAGTAATATCAAGAAATTGTAAGCAAGTTACCTAAATGAAATAACATATGTAAAGTGCATAGCGCAAACTTGAAATATTATTAACATTCAACAAATGTTCTAAAACTGAGGGATTTGGTTAATCAATTGGTAGTTGATATGGTTTGGCTGTGTCCCCACCCAAATTTCATCTTGAATTGTAGCTCCCATAATTCCCACGTGTCATGGGAGGGACCAAGTGGGAGGTAATTGAATCATGAGGGCAGGTCTTTCCTGTGCTGTTCTCCTGATAGTGAATAAGTCACAGGAGATCTGATGGTTTTATGAAGAGGAGTTCCCCTGCACAAGCTTTCTCTTGCCTGCTGCCATCCACATAAGCTCTCTCTTGCCTGCTTGCTCCTCCTTGCCTTCCACCATGATTGTGAGGCTTCCCCAGTTGTGTGGAACCGTGAGTCAATTAAACCTCTTTCCTTTATAAATTACCCAGTCTCGAGTATGTCTTTATTAGCAACAAGAGAACAGACTAATACAGTAGTCAAGCTCAGGAGGAGAAAAAAATAATGAAATATTTAATAAATAGTACTAGCATCCTGGAATGGAAAACAATGCAAGTTTTTAAAATGATAATGCAGATCTATGTTCTGATTTAGAAGAACATGAACAAAACCCAAAATATTATTAAAGGGAAAAAGGAAATTGTAAAGCAGTATCTTTGAAAATGCATTTGCAATTACATTTTGTAGAAAAAAAACTGAAAAGAAGTGCCTGAAAATGTTAACAGTGGTTATCGCTGAATAGTGGAATTTTTGAGGTTCATTTCTTTTTTTCCATCTATGTTTTCTCATTTTTTTCACAATGAGAGTGCATTGTTGCATAATTTTTAAATTTTCCAAAGCATCACAGTGTGGATCAATGTTTAGAAAAGGGAGTCAGAATCCTAGCTCCTTAATGTAATAGCAATGTGACATTAGGCATTTTACTTTTAAAAATCTGTTTACACATCTGTTGATTAATGATACAGAACCAAAATAAGCCATCTCCTGGTCATTCCAAATCAACAGGCATTTGCCATACTTGAATCCACAGGCAGTGGGGAGGAGGGTGCATGCTGACATTAGCTCACACTAGCAAAACTTCATGTTGCTCAAACAGATATTCAAAAGACAGGCTCAGATGCAGGAACTTGTGTGGTTATTTTCAAATGTCTCATGACTTGAAAGAACAGGTGTTGGAGGAAACTGTGTCTACATACTTGCTAGGAAAGCATTCTCAGGTTTCTTTTCTAATCATGGAAAAGATGATACATTGATGGGACTGTTACCCCTACTTTCTGAAAACAGCCAAGCAACCAGATGCATGAAACCCATATTCAAGAGCAATGAAGTCATGGTTAAAAGTCCCAAGCATCCTAGCAATGAAGCTAAAAGAATTATATAACCTACAAGTCCCAACAAGTTTCCCCAGGTCCACCATGTACCTAATAAAACTTTTCTGAGGACCATTAAAAGACAATTCGAAGTTCATCTATCAGGACCTTTGGATCAACTCCAACAAAATACAGAATGTCCCTGATGGGGCTGTTTAGAGATACAATTGCTGCATGCTCAAAGTTACTTTGGAAGACAAAAGGAATTTTTGATTTACAAACAGAAAGAGAAAAGGAGAGGACATTCCATTCTGGAACCAATAATCTACAATGACAATGAAGAGCACGAAGAGGGGTTGAGACCTTTATGCTGCTCGGGGAGGACAAGGGAGGTAGGGCAGTGAGACACTGCAGGGAAACCCACATCCTCCACCGGCCCAGTACCGTCCTTGGAATCAATGATCCTCTAATTTTCTTTAATATTGAGGGCAAATAATTCTGCTTTGGGAAAGAATGAGAGGGCCGAGCCTCAGGATGAGTTCTGTGTAGAGTCTAATAAAAATGATGTAAGCCTGCCAGGTGTGGTGGCTCACGCCTGTAATTCCAGCACTTTGGGAGGCTGATGGGGGCAGATCACGAGGTCAGGAGTTCGAGACCATCCTGGCTAACACAGTGAAACCCCGTCTCTACTTAAAATACAGAAACAAAAAAATTAGCCGGGCATGGTGGCGGGCACTGTAGTCCCAGCTACTCCTACTCAGGAGGCTGAGGCGTGAACCCAGAAGGCGGAGCTTGCAGTGAGCCAAGATCACGCCACTGCACTACAGCCTGGGTGACAGAGTGAGACTCTGCCTCAAAAAAAAAAAAAAAAAAAGGTGTAAGCCAAACCCAATGTGAGGCTGAGCTGTTATCTCTCACCTGGGCTTCTGTGATGGCCTCTTCACTGGTTTCCCTGTGTCTGCTGTCTACCTTCCAGAGAGGTCTTTTTAAAACACAAATTAGATCACGTCCCTCCCTGAAGCTTCTCCTCACACTTAGAATAAAATCCAAAGTCCTCACCTTGGTCTATAGGGTAACCACAGGTGTTAGTTTTCCTGGGACAATCCTGGTTTATGGCTATTGGTGTTGCTCCCCTCTGATCTCCCCATGAGTTGGTCATTTCTTCACTTGATCCAGGTCTCTGATCAAACATCATCTCCTCAGAGAGGCCTTCCTTGGCCTCTCTGTTGAAAAAAAACAACTCCCTAATCCCTTCCCCTGCTTCACTTTTTTTTTTCAAATATCTTATCACTACTTATTATGTCACATTTTTATTTCTTAATTTGTCTGTTTCCCTGACTGGAACTGTGCCCTGGGAGGGCAGCTCTCTGCAGTCTTCACTAACACACACCCTGTATTGAGAGCTGGGCTTGGCACCTGGCAGTGGCTCAGTAAATATCTAATTATTCAGTGAATGAATATATAAATGAATCTTTGGCTCTGCATAGTGAGTATTCATTTACTCCAAACTTGTATTGAACATTGCTTAACCTAGTGATTTGTAGAACTGATTCTGCCAAGTGCCATTTAACACTGTCAAACCAAATTTATATTATACTTCTGGTTGCTCTGCTAGTTTTTAGTTGTTATGAGCATTATCTGTGGACAATGTCTCTGAGATAAGTCCTGAGTATGGATTTCCAAGAGAAAATTGCTGCTCTGTATGGCAGTTTCCCCCAGTCCCATAGCTAGGCTTGAGGGTCCTTGTCTACTTACTATACACCCCTACCCTTGAACTTCACCTCTCTGTTTGCATGCCAGAAGAGATTAACAAGGAGCTAAGAGTAAGCCTGATTTTGTACTTTGTATTAAAGTGTCCTGGGAAGCACACACACACACAAAATAGAAGTTACCAAAATCCCAACACATCCAATTTCTGTTGGAACAAGCCAAGCATCCCCATCTTAAGGGTGAGGAAATCAAGAGAATTTAAGAGATATAGTTGAGTTCATATAACTAGTAAGTTGCAATGCCCAAACGTACAGATACATATTTGTCTGGCGTCAAAATCTATGCTGGCTTCTAACAAAAACAAGGAGGCCAGTCTTTAAAGGGAGATGGATTTATTTTTCTACAAAATTTTAAGTAGCCCATGCCCCAAAGGGGAACCACAGAGCTGAACAAATGACCTGAAAACATATTCTTGACTGAACGGTAAATAGTTGTCAACCATGGTTCCCCAATGACCCAAACTCCAACTGAGCCTATCCACAAGTTCAGTTTTCCCAAGCTTTGAAAAAAGGCCGTAGACAGATGGGCTCCAACTACTGCAGCCCAGGCCTTTACAGTTTTCTTTTTCTTTTTTTTCTTTTTTTTTTTTTTTTGCCAACAAATGGTTGCTCTTGAATAATTACACTAGAGGAAAAAGTTGGCCTTCAGTGCAACTCTCAGTGAACTTAAAGTTACCACTTAAATTACTCAAAAACTAGAATTTCTTCTTACAGGCCTGAGACTCCAGCAGCAAGGCCTCTATGAGAGAAACTCCATCCCCCATGGGAGGTTCAGAGAGTAACTCCCCCAAGTTCCTGTTTCATTACTCTGTCTCAAAGCAGGCACTTGAGATCCCAGCCAGCCCTACAGCACCCCAAATTATAAGAACTGGACTGTATCTGACATTGCCAGACTTTCAGCAGTGGGAGGGGGAGGGCTCCTCTGCATTGTGCCTTTCTCTTCAAAAGGATTAACCTGGTGATGATCAACCTTTGCACAAGGATGGTGGTGCCAACACTCTGGCTCTCAGAGTTCTCCTTACCCTCTACTCTTGAATTTCACAGGTCAAGCTCATTGGTCTTCTCTTGTCTTCCTTCTATCTCCAATTCTAGGATCTGAAAAACAACCTCACATCTCTGGGGGCTCTCCATGATATCCATCAGACCCCTTAGCCAGTGGTGGTGGGGACAGTTCCTGAGGAAATGAAGATATGGGGTGACTGGGAGTCCAGGAGCCAACCTCTGGTGAAAGCCCACCCTCTTGGCATGGGTCTCCAAGGCTTCACACACTCTCTTATAAAGGCTGCTGCCCTCAGGAATGAGAAGGCACATGCTGAGACCCAGGGGGATTGAAAACAAGTATTTCCTAGGAGTAAGAAGGATGTACCCTATATCCTGAAGCCAAGCCAGCTCCTGCTGGAGAGGTTAAAGAAGTGGCTGAGGGTCTCACCAAGGAGCAGCAGGGCTGAGATCAGCACTTTATCCATGCAACTCTTATAGGACTGTAACAGGTTTGTATAGAAATCTAGTCTTCAAAACACTTTGTTAAGCAATCATACCTTGGCTTATACAGAGTGAGGTATGAATGATCAGAATCCCCCCTTTGACAAAACCTAGAGCAGTGCTGGCCACAGAGAAAATACTGAATGAATATTTGTTGAATAAGTTGCAGAATGGGTGAAAGGAAAGAGAGACTCAAAGCAATCAGGTAGTTGAGAACAGGATTCGCGGGTGTCACCTTTAGGCATGTGCAGGGAGGGATCTCAGGTCCAACAACTCACCTCTTGACAGCCTCATGGCTTGTCTAAGAACCTGCAAGGCTATTAAACCCAAACTCTCTAATTACTGAAAATAAAAGGCAGCCAAAACAACACCTACCTGTCACTACTCTAATTTTCAGATTCCTCTCTATTTTGTATCCCTGGGTATTTCTTTTACTTTCTTGAGGCTCAACTATGCACTTTAAAAAAATGTCTGTTATGGTCTAGCTGGCATTTCCAAGTGTTTTTAGCAGGAGGGCTTCAGGTTATCTTGTTTGTCCGCATTACTGAAAATGGAACTATGTTTCTTTTTAACATGTTTTTCAGGGATAATGGAATTACTGTATTTAACCTAACGTTACTCACCTAATGTCACCCTACTTCAGTACATGTTTGAAAAAAATATGCTAGTGAGTACATATTCTGTTCTGTCCCTAAGCTCAATGAAAATGCATGTTCCCTGAATTGCCTTACTTCTTGTGAATATCCACTTCCCTTCCCACACTAATACTCATGCAGTTCCATTCCTCTTTCCTTCTTCCGTTCTATTTCAGAGATGCTTCGTCCCCTGTTCTCAAAATTCGGGACTTAATCACCCAGCCCAGGTCCAATAACAGTCTTCTCCCAATACAATGCAATGACAACCAAGTGCACAGACTAAACCAGATTATAATTTCAGACTTGATAGTTTGCAAGGTACTTTCACATAACATTATCTCACTTTAACCTTCTCAACATCCCAGTAACATGGGTGCTATTGTCCTCATTCTAGAAGAAAAAAAAAAAGACCTAGAGAGTTTAAGAGGCTTGCTAAAAGCTAGAAAGTGGTGGAGTTAGCTTCAATTCAAGTCTCCTCAATTGGCATTCAATTACCCTGGGACATAGCCAACAGCCTCTGACAGCACCCCCACATCCCAGAGAGCCAAGTGCATGTACCAATCAATTCTCTTTACACCTATTATAATATTTTAAAAATACAAAAGCAAAGAATTTAATTTGCAAATCTTTTAAGAACTAAAATAGTCTAAGGATGGAAAAGAGAAACAGCATGTCTTGACATGCACAGTATTTCCCCAAAGGAATTTCTGTATCATTTTATCCTTTTGCAAACTTTAGAAACAAGGCTACATTATATTTATTTATTTTACATTAAACTGTACAATGGAATTTATCTGTTTGCCCTTAAATATCTCTTGTTTTTGTTTTGTTTTGTTTTGTTTTGAGGGACTATTTTTAGTTTGCAACAACATTGACTAATGGGGGTAGATGATGAGCCAAAAATAGGTGACCTTAATCAGGCATTCAAAAACCTAGGTTAGCCAACAAGCGCAGATATCTCATCTGGAATATTTCTCTTTGAAGACATACTTACTACTCTTTGGAAATTCATAACACAGGCCCATCAGAATTGAATTTTCTGAAACACTGTTTCCCAAAATGTGTTCTGGGAAACACAAAATTCACGAGATACTTAACCGGGGGCAAGGAGAAAGCAGTCTGTGAGTAAATCAGTTTGCAAAGTTGTGTTTTCTGACAATGAGAATAAAAATAGTAATTATAACAGCTAGAAGAGACTTAGGCCCTAGCAACATCGTTATTCACAACTAAAATAAGAACAGCAATAGCAAGCACTTTGCTCAGTCCAATTGTACAACCTAAGAGGAAAGGCCAAGCTGGTATCAACACTTAATGAGAAGGATTCACTCCACAATCTTTACCACAGAACATTATTTCCATCCTTAGCTGCAACACAGAAAGATCAAGAGTCTGACAAATGTTCTCTAGCATGTTATTCCTTCATAGCTTGTAATATTTTACAGTAATTTTCTTCCTTTTATCATTCATTTACTGTCTCTGTCTCCCACCTAAAATGTAAGCTCCAAAAAAGGAGAATCGTGGTGTCCCAGCTGACTAAGCACGTGCTTGACACAGAGCCATGAATAGTTGTTAATTAAGTGGACGGGTGAAGTTCCCTAATTAAGGCCTGGCTTCTAAGGTCTAAAATTTACTAGGACCCATCAAAGAGACTGATTTTCAAGAGTAACTAGAAAAACACATCATTCAAATTCCCAGAATTTTATCTAAACTTTTCAGCTTTTCTCTGCAAGCCCACACAATTTGCACTCATAAGGTCAACCTGGTTTCACCGTGTCTCATGGAGTCATCCTGTTAGGCCACAATATGGGGTCACACGGGTGTAGCTGTCTTCCAGTTCTGCCAGCCAAGTTTGCATCTCTTTGTATTTTATAGAAATGTGCTTGATGGAGATTCAACCAGATAGGGCCTGAGGACCACTACCTGAGCTCTGCCCTTTGTCCTGTGAGCCAGTCCATGGGAGCCTGGGTTCTAGAGGACAAAGCAGCCCTCAGCTCTCAGCCATGACACAGCAAAGCCTCATGGAGCCCTAACGGAGGACAGTATTCCCCACAGAATGTTCCCTGCAGAGTGCCACATCCACACCTGCTCAAACTGATTTCTCACTCTCTGCGGTGGAAACTTCACTTGCCAGAGTCTTACCTTCGTTTTAAGCAATTCCCTTGAGAACAAAGGAACTCAGTCCAAAGGCCAAAGTGCCAATCAAATAATGAAAGTAAAAGAATAATTAAAACAGCCAACACTGCTGCGGTATTTCCTAAGTAGGGTCTAGTTTTTGCTAAGCCCTGTGCATGCATGATTATTGTATTTAATCCACTCAAACACCTTACGATGCAGCTTCCGCTGTTATTGCCACTTCACAGATGAGAAAAGAAAGGCGTGACACATGTTAAGTCAAACAATGGCAATGGCAACCCAAGGCAACAATCACAAAGCACTGCATGCCCCATTCTGCCTTCCTACAGATCCAAAACCTGCAGTGACCAAGGGGATAGAAAAACTGTACCTAGGCAAGGTTTATGCCTCCCCTGGCCACTCAGTGGCCATCTGAGAGGACTTTATTGTATTGATTCAGCTCATCTCAGATGCATATACCATAGGTCTAAATTGACTCCTAGAACTGCATTAGTCATTCTAGACACTTTAATCCATTACTTAATGCATTACTCAGATCCTGCTACCAGAGAGGGAATGGCAAGAAGTCAAGGTCAGTTAAATACGGATGAAAACAATAATAATCTTGAAAACACCTGCACCTGTGAAGAAAGACCCATAGTTGGGAAGCCTCTCACTGTCTAAATGTTTCATCATTTGTCATTTAAAATGCTTGCCATGGTCTTATTTTTAAGCACATAGTATCTTTGTGTTAGAGACCAAATTTTAAATAATCATCCTCTAATTAGAGCAACCCCCAATCAAAAATGAGTCACTGACCTTTTCCTCAGTGTTTTATTTCAGTAAGCCAGAATAAACACATGAAATTGTTACTATGGAGACCAAAGGTACTAAAGGGACCCAGCCTCTCATTAAAAAATTGACACACCAGCAGGAAAAAAAAATGATGGATGTTGTAGTTATTTTAGGGAAAAACGTGTCCCAAATGTTGAGGTTAAATCAGCCACCCCTTTTCCTCCAGGGGAAAAAAAAAGTTTCCAATGCAAATGGTTTGAATTAATGCCACGGATATTTATAACAACAGTCTGGTTAGGGAATTTATTTGCTATTCATCAAGCCAATATCCCTGAGGATTAAAAGAGCCCAAAGAAAATATTTTTAAAATAATAAATGAAATGTCTTTTGGGTTGGGAAGCCACTATATTCATATTCAGCACCACGACTGCTGGGCTGCGTCCTCAAAGCCCAAGGCCTCTGGGACTGGACAATTCCACAGTGCCTTTGGAAGAGATGAACAGAACACATGTGTCCCAGCTGACTTGCTGGTAGGAGAGCTGAGTTTTCTTAAATTGACACCCTCAAGTAGTAAATAAGAAAAAAGAAACCAAGAGTGGCCCAATATGCAGATCTAAAAGTGGAAAAGGCATTGACTGTTTCTTTTTTAAACAACTTCGTTGGTTGGGTTCTGGAGAGAAAAGGTGGAGAGGGAAGAGGTGTAACTCTTCTAACATATCATTGGAAAATGCCATCCTCACTTTTTAAAAATAGCACTGCATGATGAAATATTGTTTTGGTGACGTGATGCCTAAAGAAGCACTGCTCATCATCATGGTGACTGTGATGGAGGCCTGGGTGAGCAGTGGTGTAGACAGTTGCACAGAGGAGCCCAAATGTTGCTCGAGACCCAAGAAAGCCCTGTGGGGTGAGGACAGCACCAGGCTCACCTGCCCACCTGGTCTCCATCCAGGAGTCCAGAGACCCAGGACCAAACTGATCCTGTCTTTATGTTCAATGTGGAGATCTTGTTCAGGTGTGGATATTTTTGGTATTTGTTTTGATTTTTAAAAAATGTACTTTAAGTGTTTAATATTTACCTATTTGTAAATGTTGCATTAAAATATTACTTATCCCTTAGCCCAGCAGGTGGTGCACACCTGTGGTCCCAGATACTTGAGAGGCTGAGGTAGGAGGATCATTTGAGCCCAGGAGTTTGAGGCTGCAGTGAGCTATGATTGTGCCACTGCACTCTAGCCTGGGTGACAAAGACCCTGACTCAAAAATGTATAAATAAGTAAATAAAATATTATTTATATTGATTACTGCATATTTAGTGTCCCCTGAAATGCAATGCCCAGGACAAGTACCTCACTTGTCTCACCCCACTGCCTCACCCTCCAATGTGGGAGTCTTTTGGGGTGGTTCAGAAGAAAAGCACTCTCTTTGTAAGACAGGCAGTAGGAGAACGCTCCTCAGGGAGAGGCGGGTACCCAGATCCCCCCTCAAGGCAACAGCTTCTACTTAGAGGAGTTCTCTTCCCTCAGCAAACCATTCCAAGCAGAATCTGCAAGACACAATCAAACTGAAAGCAAGACTGGACTTCTGGCTTTGGATCCCTGGTTTCAGACCCTGTCTGACATTGCATCGGGCGGACATCCAAGCTTCAGTTTCCTTCTGTGTTAAATGAGGATAAGAAGAAATCCACCTCCTGGGCTCACTGTGAGGGTTCAACGGGGTAATCGTGTCAGTAGCTGAGAAGCATGAATATTTGATCTATGTCAGCCATTATTACTGTTTTCCAAATCTTGGTTCCTCCACTAGTGACTTTACCTCTTGGAATTTTAATCTCCTTTTCTGTAAAATGGAGAAATAATAGGACTATCTCTTAAGGTTGCTGTAAAGATTAAATGAGTTACTGTACATGAAGTACCTAAAACAATGTGTACATGTGCTGTTAACTGTTACTATTACAACAATCACTACAACTACTACTGTTGTTCATACTATTAATAGCTTATTCTCCCTCCTCCTCCTCCTGCTGTAACTACTACTGCCACTGTGGCTGCTATTGTTGCCCTGGTAGTTAGGTAGTTAATACAATTGCAATGAGAGCTAAAAATGGCAACTCCCTCCCCTGTGTGAGAGATCCTTAGCCTATGTTTAAACATTCAATTTGGTTTGCTATATGCTATGCTTTTTAAAATGTTTTAAGCTATTCAAACATTTTTATTTTCTACATATAATGCCAAATAACCTGTTGAACTGATTGCCCATTTTTTTAGCTGAGTTGTTTGGATATGTTGTAGACAGAACCCGAGACAACAGAAGAGTTAGTGAACTTCAATTGTTTATAAAGGAGCGGCATAAAAATAATCTTTAAAGCTAAGGGAATGTTAATATTTAGATCCATCTAAGGGAAAATAATAACAGTTTGTGATTTCCTCCTGCCTCACTTCCAGGGCAAACATTTTTAAGGGAGGATTTGATTTTGTAACATAAATTGTTTTCTATATAACCCCAAAGACATGAGTGATTAATAGTGAGCTATAGAAAGAGATGCCCATAATTAGCAGCTTGGGTACAGTCAGATATAAACATATATTTTGTTTGTGAAACATGCATCTTGAAAAAAAAATACATCCTGCTAGATGTCACAAAAGGGTCAAGATGCTAAGAAAAAAAGTAAAGACAAAATTTTTAAAATAAAATCAAAATCAAATATGATAAGTACATGCATACCCAAACCACACTAAGCCTGAGACAAAATTTTATCCAGGTTTTTAATCATCATCATCATCATTGTTGTTGTTAATTATTACTTGTATCAATGTTGGTATAATATGGTGATTCTGATTTTTATTTTAATTACAAGGACCTTAACCAAACATGTATCTTGAATGCAGATAAATAAATGCTTTTCATATAATGGGTCATTAACATTTTAAGACTGTAAAATGCATATGGCTTATATCACTAATAATAGAATTATTATTAATTCTATTACAATTCACTAATATTCACTAAAATATTACTAATAATTCACTAATAATCACTAAGTCACTAATAACTGTTCACTAATAATTCAGTAACATATCACTAATTACATTATTAATATATCACTAATAGTTCTATTATATTAATATATTACTAATCTATTATATTATCACTAATAATTCTATTTCACTATAATTCTAATAATTCTAGTATTAGTGATATATTAGTGAATTAGCGAATTATTTCACTAAGAATTAAAATTAATTAGTGAAATAATTAGTGAGATAAATTAGTGGAAAAATTAGTGAAATAATTCACTAGTAATAGAATTATTAGTGATAATAATGACATAAGTTACATCTGACACTTACTGGGCACTTATGAAGCATCAGACACTGGCCTAAGTTCTTTAAATGACTCCTTTAATCTTTATGAGCATTCCTGTAGTAATTTTCATTCCCACTTTATTGATAAAGACACTGAGACAGAGAAATCAAGTAACTTGACCAATGTCACATTTTTATAAACAGAGTTGGGATGTGAACACAGGTGTGTTGAACATCAAAGCTTGCTCTCCAAACCACAGTGCTAAACAGTGAACCACCTGAGTAGGCAGCCTCATCTGCCCACCATGAATATTCTGTATGCCAAGGTCAGCTCTCTTAGTCCTGCTCCATGCATTCATATGGCCACTCAACATATGTTAGGAAGATATTCACTCAATTCAAACAGCGACAACACTATGTTCCACCATTTTATTACATTTGCTAACCAGGAGAGCAGGACTTTTACTCAGGACCACTGCCTCTCACCATGCAGGATAAGCACCACACATATCCAGGGGAGCCGCTCCCAGAGTATTGTTTGGCAGGCACAACCTGCAGTTGTGCAACATGGCAGCCCTGCCCTGACTGCTCGGAATATGGTTTGTGACTCGGCACCAAAACACTCCAGCCAGTGATTGGACCAGGAGTATACACTTGACCACAGGGAGCCAATCAGATTCTTGCTATGTGGACACGGACCTGAGAGACACAAAAGAGTCTCCTCTATCCGTGAGGTCACTGCTAGAACAGAACAGGTGTTACGCTGGGGGAAGGCCATCACGGTCTCTGTGCAGGCTGGAGTGGCAGAAGACTCTAGGAATGAAGAGGGACAGGCAAGGCACACAGGGAAAAATCAAAGAGCCCACATAGCCCGTTACAACAGAGAAGGAAGTTCATTTTTAACTTTCCAAGAATCCCCTCAGATCCTGCTTTACTCTTCTGCTTGGTTTCTGAGAGATTTTTGTGTATTTTTTCAACAAACCCATCTTTGTATTTGCCAGAGGTTAAGGGCATACTGATCTTTGCAGGACAGAGAAGTGTCCATTCTTAATCAGATTTCATCAAATGGAACTTTTCTTTATTATACAAAGAGCAGGCTTGAATCTCAGTCCCCAGATTCATGTGTGCAAAAAATGTAACTTTATTTTTCCATACCACAGCTGAATTTCTATTTTGAGGGCCCATGCCTGTGACAAGGTAGCAGAAGCCTAATCTCAGTCACATGGGGATTCTAGGGGTTGAGCAGGGCTGAGCAGGCAGGGATGGGGTGGTGGACATTGGGTCCTCAGTCATCTTGAGCCAAGCACAGTGGCATCTGCTTCGATGCCCCAGGGCCCACCTGGTCCTGGCTACCATGCAGTAAGTTCACTGCTGCCCAGCCCACATTCCCACCTTTGCCTCTGCTCTTCTTTCTCCTTGCACTCCTCTCTGGTGCCCAGTAATTCACTCACTGCTCCACACCATGCTGGGGTGTGAGAAACTGTGGGGCCATTCAAAAACCCATCTACTTGGCTCAAAGAATCATTCTTCCCATGGAAACTGGTGCTATTGAAGGCCCTTCATCGCCATACAACCATGTCTTCTTTGAGCACTACCCAGAAACTGAGGCCCAGGCCCTGGGTAAACACAGCTCCCACAATTCTATTGGGGGTTCTGGAATTGTACTTCCCAGGGTTCAGTCTGGGTAGGGACTGGGCACCAGTCCTCTTTCTCAGAGATGATACACATAGAAAGTTCCAAATATGTCCCCACAACTCCCTGATGCTTCTTGACCCCAAGGAATCTTTACCTGCTTTGGGGTGGATAACTGGCCCTCACAGCTCAGGTATTTTAGCTCATCTGTACCAGGTTCTTCACTTTCCAGAGGGACCTAGCTTTTGGAACTCAAAAGGCAATATTTGACTTCTTTTTCTACACTTGCTCTATGACAGACCTTCCCTAAGACAATGAAGCCAGACTGACCTAGTTTACTGAATGGAAGAAGAACCAAGGGACCCCAGTAAATACTAGAAAAATACTCAGTTGATATTTCAAAACACTGTCCCAACACACTGCTCTGGGATGCTTTAGCCTCACAAAGCTTGGTTTTGGCCACGGGTTTTGGTCTCGCTGTCTATTTTGTCTAGATGATGTTGGCCAAGCTAAAGTGGGGGTACCTCTATCTTTCAAAAGCAGAGTTGATGGCACTATGCTTCTGCCATTTTCAATGTGATAATGGTAATAATGCAAGCTGAAACATTCATCTAGTTTTCTTTAAGTTGTGCCTTTAGAGTAAATCTTGCATTGTGAAGTCTTGGAGCAAAATAAATTGTAAATGGAGATTTGTCTTCTTTTTGTCTCACATCTATTGTGATAAGCATTAAGAAAATGTTTCCTTTACTTGCTAAAATAATTGTCAGTCCACACTGAAAGGCTCATAATTTATTATCCCTAATTCACTTCTCCATCTTTTTAAATATATTAAGTAGTAATTTTCCTTATATATTTCACTATCTCATATGAATAAGATTTCAATGTGGACAAAAGAATTTATCGGTGATTTATAGAAAATACATCCTCATGAAATAGCACTTTAACAAAGAAATTAATCATCCTGCTTTATCAGAGTCAATATCAAAAGTGAAAGCTGTGTCTAAACCTGATTGAGATATTTACTTTTTCTTATTTTCTAACCCCAAAGAGTCTTACATTTTCCAAGATTCCCACAGAGGCTTATACCTACATCGGAATCTCTTAACCAAACAACTACAATAGCTCATTCTTCCCTTGATTCATTCAACAGAGATTTATTAAGAACCTACTGATATGATTTGGCTGTGTCCCCAGCCACATCTCATCTTGAATTCCCACGTGTTGTGGGAGGGACCCAGTGTGCTGTTCTTGTGATAGTGAATAAGTCTTATGAGATCTGATAGTTTTAAAAGAGGTGTTTCCCTGTACAAGTTCTTCTCTTGTCTGCCGCCATGTGAGATGTGCCTTTCACCTTCCACCATGATTGTGAGGCCTCCCCAGCCACATGGAACTGTAAGTCCAATAAAACTCTTTCTTTTGTAAATTTCACAGCCTTGGGTTTTTCTTTATCAGCAGCATGAAAATGGACTAATACACCTACTGTGTTGGGCACAGAGATGCAAAGATGACTAAGGCAAGAAACTTGCATTGTAGGCCAGTGGAGGAGACAGGGGTTACAACACAAAGTTAAGTTCTATAACAAAGAACTTACTAGCATTAGATTCTGTTTTCTGTGTTCTGTCCCAGTGTCAGTTCCACCATCCTTCCAGCCTCCACTCTGGTGCCAGTTCCTTTCCTCCAATTCAGTCCAGATTAAACCCCACTCCTAGCAAAAGAAAAAAAAAACCTCAGTGGTTCTTCAAAGTGACAGTGGTATTTCCCAATCTAGTTTAGGGAAATACTAGTTTTAGGGAATCTGAAAAGGGGACCTGTGGTCTTTTCCCCAAGTAGAAGGTAAACTTTAACATGTTTAAGTTTTTCCTTGTATGTCTTTCCACTTACAATGCCCCTTGCCATTCTCCTTTATTTCACTTCTCTCTCCTCCATCTGCACTCTTATCTATACTGCAAAACCCACTCAAATGTCATCTTCTCCATAATGCCTTCCCTGATTTTTCCAGTCTTAGTAAATCAATCCTTTTTAACATTCCCACCTCTTGTTGCATATTGTAGCACCAATCCCTTTGTATCACTCTTTTCTCTGCCTCCCTCAATAGATGGAAAGCCCCCGGACTTTCTCTTTTAGCTCCAGCATGCAGTGCATTGCCTGCCACATAAATGATTGTATACACATTGAGCATTTCATATCAATTGTTCACACATTTTTAAAAACTCCATTACTTTCTTTCAAGCCACCAGAAAAACCAGGCATCAATTTGGTGTGCACCTTTCTCTTAAATTTAAATTCCATGTTTGAAACAGGATTCCTATCAATAGACAGGCATCTGTGATGACTACATAGGGATCCCTAAGTCGCTCACTCCATCTTAGAGGTTTTCTTTTTCTGCTCCATTACAAAATCACGTCGTTAATTTCTACAATGTGTTTTTAAAATTGGATTAAATGTTGCTAGCTATCTCCCTATAAGCAAAAAGGAAAAAAGCAAGGAAACTATATTTCATCCCTTCATACTTTATGCTACTGTCCCTGGTAGCATAAGTGAATATTTGTTGGAAACGTTTGAAAAGCTGTACTCTGGGAAAAAAGATAACCCCATCCCAAATCCCAGTTTAGAGCCGCCCTGCATGCTCCCTGGGCTCCCCAGGTTTTTTCTCTGGATTTTCTTTTCTTTAATAAGTTTTTATCTGCTTCCTAGTTTCCAAGCACTTTCAGATAATCAGACAAACGGTGGGGCTGTGGTGGTCTGCACACTGGTCCTCCTCTACCTGCCCCATCTCCCCTCCCCTGTTGCCTCCTTTTATCACGGAGACTCAAAGGGAATTCGTTCACTTTGCCAACAACTCAGCCACTTCCAACTCAGCAAAGAGGCTGACTTATTTTATTCCCTCATAGGAAAAGAAACATGACATTCTCATTATTAAAACACCACTTTTTCTGGCTACAATGGGAAATTTCAGCATCGTATATCCCCCAAACATTTTGATTTTTAGTTAAATGGTATGTTTCCTCCACATTGTAAACCCTCCTCTGACATACATGTGACACACACACACACACACACACACACACACACACACAGAGTTTCTCATGGAGCTCTAAACAGCCTGCCCTCCACCTTCCCCTTCTTTCCTATTCCCCTCTCCCCGACTCTCCAGGTCGGCCCCCTGGCAATCTGGTGTAGTTGTCAACCCTGCAAGCTTGTCCTCCTTGGTGGCTTCATGCCTGTGATTTCTATCCTCATCTTCAGGCTTCCAAACACAGCTCAGTTCTCCTCCATAAAGCCTTCCTTCACTGACTACATGTACACAATGACCCTTCTCTAACACACAATGTATTTTAATGCTCTAGTGCCTATGTTAGCCTTTATTCCAAAAATTTCTAGCCTTATGTTCATTGTTATGTCTTGACTATGCAACCAGTCAAGCAGTGAGCTGGAGGGAGGGCATGAGCTCTGTAGTCAAGCAGCTATTAGTTCTGGATCCTCATCTCTGAGCTACAAGATGCTCAGTTTTATTTTGTTTTAAATAAAGAAATTAACACCCTCACCCCTTGCAAAATCTAACGTTTCTATGAGCATTAAACGAGGTCTCCCGTGTGAAGCACCTGGACTTCATGCCCTTCATGAACTATCTTACTGCTTCCCTGACAGCAGGACCATGTCTTACCCCAGTCCTGGGTCCAAGGAATGCCTAGCACAGTAAAGCAGGATGTTATCAGAAGCAGTGGTTGAAATGCCCAGAATTAACAAAAAGCTGGAAACATAATCCTCCTTGGCAAGGAAATGAGACAAATCTTTAACTATTCAAATCAATGTGCCTCTAGAAGTGAAATGGAACATGAGATAGCGTAAAAAAGCAGATCAATCACAACACGCAGATCATTTCTATGCTTAGAAGCCTATTTTACTGAGCACACATAGAAAAACAAATGTCTAACACCTTTGGCAAAGGCTGCCTGGAGTCCCACAGGGGTATGCATGAAAAAGTCTCCTGCCTTTTTAACTAATCGAGTTCTGACTAGGTTCTACAATGCATCAGATCAAAAGGCAGGGATTTAAAATACTACAATCGACATTAAGTGCATTTCTTTAGTTTCTAAGTGAGTCAGAAAATGCGGCACAGTTAAGCTATAGACGTTTGCAGGCTAAGTCTTCTCCTTAACCTCAGGAGTCAGGACAAAGACAACAGGCCCTTAGTTTGAGTCTTCTCCGCTACACAATGGGTGTGAGGTGAGTGACTATTTCCAATTTGCATGATTCCTATAATTTCCCATCATGAAATGGAGGAAAATGCCATTCACCCACATAAGAAGTCTCACTGAAAAGCAAAGCACTTCTCTCTATTTACTTAAGCACTGGGCTAGAATACAGAGAAGTACAATAAATTCTAAACATGGTGCACATCTGGTCCAAAAACCACAATCAGTTTATTGCTGCATCTGAAACATTTTCAGCAACTGTCATATAATACATTTTCACACATTTCTAACAAGACATTTTCTTGGAAACAAAACAGACAGGTATATCTGTCAGTTCCATTTCTTGCAAACAAAACAGAAAAAATGTTTGGCTCAGATGTCTGTACCGTCTTTGGAGCAGTGTAGCTATCATATGAGGAGGGTATTAGTCAAAGATGCCAAAAGCTCGGCGGTTACTTCCAAAGAGTGGAATTACTGGCTATACAGAAAAATAAGATATATGCATGTATGTATGCACCTCCCTTCTTTCCCATTCCAACAGAACCATTTATTGCACTTACTTGAAAGAGATGTACCAGGGTCTTGTTAAACCCATCTATCTCCCAGTATGAAAATACTACGCTCCCTATTAAGTAGAATCTTCTCATCCCTGTGGCTCTTTGAGCAGAACTTTATTCAACATTTTATTAAAAATTAAAATGCAATTGAAATCACATTAAGATGCTTAAAAGCTCCACATTTTTACCCTAAACCCCTCACGGGCATTCACAAGGAGAGAACAGAAAGGTATCTGATAGCCAGAGAGCCCCAAACCCAATAAAGAAGGCTGCCAAAATGTCCCAATATAGGCCCCAGTGAAACCATTTACTGGCTCACTGTTGGCTGCATAATCTGCCTTTAAGCACTTTCTCCTCTGCAAAAACCCCAGAACTCCTTTAAGAGCCATGTCTCAGCACACAAAACTTTCAAGTGACTCACCCTTCCCTCCCGCTTCCCTGGCCCAGCCCCACAGCCCCTCACACCAGCCATGCAGTCTTTGACCTTTCCTGATAACCCACTCACAGTTCATTCTGCCTGCAGGGCAGACAAGAAACGCACAGGGGCAAGATTACTGAAGCTTTGACAACATTCATAAAAAGAATGGACATAGTCAACCCCCTTGCACACTTCTGAACCTTTGCCTGTGTGGCTGCCTCCACCAGGAATGCCCTGGCTGACTTTGCCTGGCGAATGACTCATTGTGATTCGCAGCTCAGTTCAACTAGGGCTTTTTGGTGACAGCTTTCCCTGACACCCCTTCCCTTGCTGAATGAGGTGGTCCATCCTCTGGCATGGGGCAGAGCATCCCATACATCCTGCTCCCACTCCAACCTATTGCACTGGTATCCAATAGAAGGCAACATGTGTCACTGTGTCTCCCGCACCAGCCTGCAAGCCCCTTTAGGCAGGGCCTTGGTCATGTTCTTGTATCCCCAGCCCCTGGGATACTGACTTTTATATGGAAGGGACTCAGCAAATGTTTACTGAATAAAAGAATAATGGCAGCAATCCAGAAAATTCCTGACTGTGCCCAGACTGAAGGGCTCCAGTTGCTTCTCCATGAACAAAAAAGAGAACCTCAGGAAATGGCCAGTTGAAAGTTTTCAGATCTTTCAACCAACAAGAGCTGATGGTAAGGATGTCCAATGGACTGTACGAACATGAAGGAGGAAAATGCATGCTTTCTCAAGCTGGGCCTGAAGTCTTGCTATTAGAATTAGAGAAATACGAAAGTGATAAAGGAGACCACCCAAGAGAAGGGAATTTGGGTTACTGCAGTGAATAGGAGACTGAAGGGTGAGTACTCTCCACTCTGAAAGACGGCAGGTGAACGAAAGGCCAGGATCTAGGTGAGAAACCAGGGAAGGGGAAAGTGGGACAAGGATTTATTTGTCAAATTACAGCACCCTAGAATGGCAAAGGGTCTCTTGAAGATAAAAAGAGGTACATTCAGGAAAAATTTTAAGACTCTCCCCATGTGAGCAGATTAGTTTAAAAGACAAGCACAGAAGGGATTGAGGCCCACAGAAAGAAGGAACCCCATGTGGTGCTCATTTGAGTTGAACAAAGGGACCTGCACTGATGAATATATATGGGACTGGTCCCGTACCTAAGTTCCCATCCAGAAGAGAAGTCAGAGGAAACCAGAGAACTTCAGAAGAGCTTGGTGAGCGCCAACGGGCTCACACACACAGGGCTGTGGGAGCCTACAGCCCACAGTCCGCAGCTCTGAGAAACACATTGTGTTCCGCCTGTGGGGCAGTGTCCTCACAGCAATCCAGGTGTGTTTGAAGGAGAACGCCTAGCAGCAGCTGAAATAACCAAAAACAAGGTGGTAAATGGCTGTCCTGGGCCAATACAGGGACAAATTGGCAAAGTAGAATGTTCCTCGCAGAGCTCTCCAAATGTTTGAGAATTCTACCACCTCTCCTGAGGTGCCCTGGAAAAGGCGAAGTGGAAAGGTAGAGCCTGTTAAAATTTTATATGGTTTCTGAGGCATCTTAATTTTTAATAAAAAGTTCTTAATAATGTTCTGGATAAAAGACTGTGGTACTTAAAAGATTCTTTTTATAATGCCAAACTCTTTGTGCAATGTATGTATATATTTTTTAAAAGACCATAGTCTGGCAAATACTGACAGCCTGCAACACATACCACATTCTCCTTCCGCTTACTCCACCACCTCATACTGTGGCCAAGGGCAAATCCATTCAATTCTCTGGCCTGACTTAGCTTCACTTCAAGGTGAGGAGTTTAAAGTGAAATGTAACACAGTGGTAGTTTCCAACAGCCTTTGCCACTGAAATGTGTTCATCCAGCTGACGTTGTTTAACCCTGGCTTTTGGTACATTCTGGAAGGCCCAAGCATGTGAAGAGACATGCATCTGAGGCACATTTCCAGGGATGAAGGCTATCTGGGGGTCGGCAGTCCCAAATGAATAAGACAGCTACTAGTAAGTGGAGGATGGAATCCTTGACACTCTCCTCTCCTTCAGTTAGTGCTTCACAATTTTTAAAGTGCCTTCTTTGAGGCTTGGAGAAGTTGTTTGATTCACCAAGATTCTGCAGCTTTGTGCCAGGGCCAGAAACTTCACAGACTTTCTTCCTGTAGGGTGAGGCTCTGAAGACAACCTCACTGCAACACCTGTGGCCCAGGTTGGTTCAACAGTGAAGTGTACCGAGGAGCAGCTCAACTCTGCAGCTGTTCGGAAGTGGCCCTCAAGCTAGACTCAGAGGAGGAAGAGACCAGAGGAAACTGTCATAGCAAAGGCATCAATGCAGGATGGATTGAGCACTGTGTTCAAAGAACACAGTGCTTCCTTAGCCTTCCTCAGCACAGGAAAGAGGTGGTCCCAGAGCATGATTGGGAATGAGAAGTGGAAAGCCAGGTTGTAGAAGACCAAACATTTAATTTTTAATTTTTTTTTTTTTTTTTGTGGATACAGAGTCTTGCCATATTGCCCAGGCTAGTCTCAACCTCCTAACCTCAAGCGAACCTTGGAACCTGGCTACAGGCTCACACTGCCATGCCCACCTTCCCCAACTTGGCCAAACATTTTAGGAAGAGAACATTACATTTCATGGGAACTAAGGATTGGGGAATTGGTTAGAGTTTAAACTTAAAGAGTAGAGTAAATATGTCATTCACTTAGAAAATGAGTCAGTTGGTTGCATTTTATTACCTTTTATTTGAGGAAGAAATGTTAAGGATGCTGGGAAAGGCAGGGTTCCCTCAATAACAAACCCTGCAAAAGCAATGGATTTTTCCAAGCTATTGGTATCCCATTTGTGAAATTCGATTTTCTTTTTTGCTTCTTGAATTCATATTGTGAGTTTCAAAAGTCTCTTCTTAAGAAAAAATTTGATTTTTCTTCAAAGGACTAAGAAGTTAACAATATCCTGTGAACACAGAGCAAACACACCAAACTTGAGAAAGAAAACCAAGTGACAAGGAAGTGGGAATGTTCACATTTACTCACACATATGGAACTTGACTCATTTTCTAAGCGAGCAACACATTGATCCCACTCTGTAATTTAGCATTTTTGTGCCTCAATGTTCTTATCTATAAAGAAGGAAAAATAATAGTACCTACCCATGGGTTGTTGCAGGGATTAAATAACTCACTGTATATAAATACTTGGCACAGTGGCCAGGATAATAAATGATAAATAAACGTTAGCTATTATTCTTATTCCAATGAGTGCTTTGGTTTGTATAAATCATAAAAAGCGATCCTTGCACACATGGGTGCAAGCAGTTTCCAGTGGTTCATTAGGTCTATGAAATTTGATATTCCTTGCTTTTCCTTGGCAAGAAGCTTAACTAGAAGAAGTTATTGATCCAGGTAGCAAGATCCACAGCTCTACATGACTGTTTCCACTCACTGCAAATTTCCAAAAGTAATCGTTTCAGGCTGAAATTGTCCATGCCAGATCTCAACCCTGTGGAAACAGGCTTGCATTGAAAGATGAAAGCAGAATCCATACCCTGCTTCGGAGTACCTAGAGTGGAATAAATAGACTTTTTTCTATCCCAGAATAATGTCTTTTAGCTGAACTTTAAAAAATCATTAAAAATTTTAAGTTTAAGCTTCCCTGAACCCTGCATACAATAAACGTGGGACCACCTGCCTTGCCAGTGATAAAAACACTTGCTTTGAAGCTCTTGTTATTTTTAAGGTGTTTTTTTTAAACCTCCCTGAGACAAAGTGTTCTCAAGTTGAAAATTTACTTTTCATGTCCCAGTCTTTCAACTAAAATACTCTAGATTTTAACAGTTACATCTCTGATTTTTTTTCTCATTTAACTTAATATATTTTACAGCTTTGATATGCTGGTAAAATGATTTTGAAAAGTATTTTTAACAGAGATTAAATGCCAGAAGCCCTCTGCTCTACCCCCTAGACCTTTGCAGCCACAGGTCCTTATCTTCATGAAGCCAAGATATGCAGATACAGTATTTGGAAAAATCAGTTTTTCAATTGCCAGACCAAGCAAGACCTGCAGCTTAATCACCAATATCCACAGCTCCTAATCCAATGCCCTCCACAATGATAGGTTACTGAGTAAATACATGAATGGGCTTTGGGTGGACCTCACTAGCAGATGGTTTATTGACTGTCATTTACTTGCCTGAATACTTTTTTTAGAAATGCTATAAGGTTTATTTTATTATAAACACTACATTTCTCTAACATAAGAGTCTCTTCTCTCTTTGTCCTGGTTACCACCAGCCACCAGCAGCCAAGTTATAGGAGCAGTGGCTACACATGCTCAAACCCATGACCACTCAGGGTTATGGATGTTTTCACTTCATGGCAATCACAATCCAACCTGCCCGAAGGAAAGCGATTGAGTAATGCAGCCTCTCTGAACCTTCTCCCCTCTGCCATGCTGCCCACAACCAAAGAATCAATTCTGATCTAAATTAGGAGGGGGATGTTGATACAGGAGAGCAGCATTCAAGCACCTCCTCTCACTTGACTCTGAATCAGAGCAGCCACTAGTTCTATGTCAACTCCCAGGGGACAAGGGTGCAGAAATGATGGCCCGGAAAACTTGCCCTCCTTTCACAGCTCCACTTAGACAAATCAGAGCTCTAGGGAACCTAAAGCTCCTGAAACACAAAGACCAAGTCATTTGCTCCTTTGTATTCTCAGGGGCCTAGTGCAGTTGGTCAGGGGTTGGGGGGGTGGAGGTGCTTAGGGAGGGAGTGCACCATAAATATTTGTAGGACAAGGAAATAAGGAGTGAGAGAGAGGGGGGAAAGAAGGAGGGAGGAAAGAAAGAAAGGAAAGGAAAGGAAGGAAGGGAAAGGGAAAGGAAGGGAAGGGAAGGGAAGGAAGGAAGGAAACTGAGCCTTCCCAAGCAGGCTCCAAAGCCCCTATCTTGCTAAAATATTACTTCGAGCACAGCTGTTTAGAAAACAACCAACCAGCCCTACCTACCTGCTGATACCTCAAAATTGTGTTAATTCCTTCTCCCTTTTGTACCCACTCGTCCATCCCTAATTTCATTTTTTAATGCCCTTTTTACAACAAAGCAGGCAAATGGTCAGCAATCATCTGATCTAAGGATATAATTTGTTGTCCAGCACTCATGATCAACTGTGTTAGTCTTCTCGAGCTGCTCTAATAAAATACAATAGACCAGGTGGCTTAAGCAACAGAAATGTGTTTTCTCCCAGTTCTCAAGGCTGAAAAGTCCAAGATCAAAGTGCCAGTGAATTCAGGTCCTGGTGAGGGCTCACTCCTGCGCTGTAGTCGCCAATTTCTCACTATGTCCTCACATGGCCTTTCCTCAGTGAATGTATGCGAGGCGAGCAAAAGATCTCTCTCTCTTCCTCTTATAAGGCCACTAATCCCACCATGAGGGCCCAACCTGCATGATCTAATCTAACCATCATTACCTCTCAAAGATCCCATCTCCATTATCATCACATGGTAGAGGGGTTAGGGCCTCAATATATGAATTTTGGGGAGTACATAAATAATATTTGTAGAACAAGGAAATAAGGAGTGAAAGAGGGGGGGAAGAGGGAGGGAGGGAGGCAGGAAAGGAAAGGGAAAGAAAGGGAAGGGAAGGGAAGGGAGGAAAGAAGGAAGGAAGGAAGGAAAGATAGGCGGTCTATAACACCAACATCTTTTAAATCTGGAGATCTCATTCATATTTGCAGCTTCTCCTGAAGAATGAGAACACTTGCCAGCCCTTTGCCTATGTTATCACCTGGAATAAACTGGATGTGTCTAAATGGAACCTGCCTCCTTTGGGGAGCGCATACTCCCGCCAGGTCACCACAGCCACCATGACCACCTCATGCCTCCCATCCACCTGTTTCATTAATTTGTGCCTGGACCATTTTCAGTTTTCTGGATGACATGGGTGAGGAGGAGGAAACTCAGGTAAATGATAAAGTTTCGACTATCAAGATGGTGAGTTATCTTGTCTCTCTGTGCATGTTGGCTTACTTTAAATGTAGTGTACATTTGGAGGTGGGAGCTGAGCAGGGAATACTATAACACATGGAATCACATTACGGAAAATCATCAGAGGCCTTTACTTGAGTTTTGAGGTTTGTAGGCATGGAAAATTAGAGCCCTAGGGCATGTGATGATATTGAGGAACCAGAAGACCGGATTCTTTGATTAGGGTTCAGGCTCTTGGAATCTCCTGATTGTTTGTCTTATTATCCAGGAGAAATATTAGAAGGCGAGTTAATGATACTTGCTGCTGACTCTGGACTGGGAAGGAGCCGCCTGAAGTATCAGTGATTGGCTAAAGAAAAGAAATAATTACAGGCTGGCTAGATTAGAAATTTAATCTCTATAGTATTTTCCCACAAGTAAATGAGATTCAATTTGTAAAATATCAGGGAGGATAAAAACTATCACACACACTCATCTCTATGCCCCTTAGAAAACTGCCTACTTTGGGACCCTCAGCTATGTGTTCCTTAGAGCTACATTCCAAAGGGTAGCCCCCATACAGAGTGTAACTCTCAAACAGGAGACACTTAGAAAGGGAAGCCCTTGAACCTAACTCACCAGGACTGAACGCCTGAGCATGCCCTCCACCAGTCATGATTCAATGAGCACTGGGCACTTCCCTGGGCCAGCAACTTGTGCCAACACTAAGAATAGAGACAAGGAAAAGTCCACCTCTGGGCTTAGAGTATGGTTGGAAATGGGTCTTTCTTTGGAAAGGAAAACAACAGAGAAGGAACTACATCCCTAACTTTGAAACTTCTGGGTGAACTTGGGATTTCCATGCTGGGGAGCCTTGTCTTAATGCGAGTTCCTCCAGCACAGCTTGCCGAGGCTTCCCACCCTTTGCAATCAGAGGACACCTGACCAGGTCTAGGGAGGCTGTGAGACTTGGAGAGTGTCTGGCCTAGCCCCAAGCTGTCAAAGAGGGGAAGCTGCCATCTGCACCCACTGCCCCCCACCTCTCTGTTTTTTTCCTCCAGGAATTCCCAACACTTTATGCCAGAACCACTGAGGGCATTTTTTAAAATATAGATTCTCCAACCTACCTCAGCCCTGCTGAATCGGAATCCTTGGATTGGGTGGAAACTACTTTTTAAATAATCTTCTCAGAAAATTTGTATACATCAAGTTAGAGAACCACTGGGTAGTAGAAAGAGAACAGCCATCAGAGCCAGTTAAATGAAGATTTGAAATCCAGCACTGACACTTAATTAACATAATTAACCCTAGGGACCTGGGTTAATTACTTAACTTCTTTGTGACCCAGTTTCCTGTACAGTAAAATAGAACAATGCCCAGCGTTGTTATAAACTTAGAATAGACTATGCTAAACACTCATCGCTGAGCTACTATGATAATCTCATCCCAACTCCACCAATGCCTGTCCCCAGTGTTTTGTAATCTGGTTTAAATTTAAGTCAAATTTCTCCAGGATTGTTGCCCTAAGGGTATATTCCTATCTGCAGAAAGAAGAGATTTGTTCACTAATTTTTTAAATCTAGAAATAGATTGCAAATAGAAATGATTCAAGGGATTGAGTTGGTTTTAGCTATGGGTGTGAGCTACAGGTATCCTTCCATGAAGAGACAAAGTCAATTACAACCTGTCTAACTGGGAGCAAGAGATACAAAACTGGTAAGAATTGTGGGAAAGGAGAGAGGTCGCCATTCTTTCTCTTTACATTTCTGTGATGAGCTACCTTTTATTGCATGATAAAAATGAGAAAAGCTATGGACTAGGAACCAGAAGACCTGGATTCAAACCAGCCATGTGACTTTGGACAAGTCAATCCTTTCTGAACCTCAGTCTCTGTCCATAAAATGAGAGATTGGAGTGCTAAAATCCTACTCCACTGACTAATAGGTTTCATATATTTTCAAAGTACAAAATATTCAACTAACAGTCACATAAATGAGGCAGGCACCAAAGCACTGAAGGAAAGGAAGACCTGCCAGGCTGCAAGCTCCCACTCTGGGAGTCTGGATGTAGGATATCTCACAGGAGTCTGACGTCAGGCAGTGTTTACCTTGAATTTGCCAACCCCCAAGCACTTTAGCACTCACAAGAGTTGGCCTCAGCCCAAAGTTCCCAGTAGAAAGAGGAGTGAGCAGAGTGTCCACATGTCACCTGTCTCTGGATGCTCCAAGGGCAGGAGGCAGCCAGAAAATACTTAACCCCAAACTAGGATAGAAATGAGATCCATCCAAGGCAGTAGACAAAAGGTAAACCTGCCCAGCTGGTTTTCCAAGAAAGTTTGGAGAACTTCATCAGAGGGTGAAACCCCTGTCAACCGAGCCACATGAAAGCTGGCAGTCGTGCAGCCATGGTCTCTATCACCAGCTTCCCAGCAAAGGCACAGACACAGCTTTCTCTCTCTCTGTCAAGCCAACACGATTTTGTCAAGGTCAACAGCTGGATTACTCTTGGGTTGAGGTACTCCTGCTTGAGTGTCACCTGGGGCGTACTTGGGGAAGGAAGGAATTGAGTGTGAAAACCCCAAAGAAATGAACATTCTACTTCCTTAAGATTATACAGGCCCTGGCGTGGACTTCCTTAACTCTGCTTCCTCTCCACCTTCTAATGTAGTCACCTTTCTTCTGATCTTTCCTTCCACCTCCCCTGTCTTAGAAGACAAGATGTCATCCAAGCTGACAGTTTTGCCTCATTGCCTCTGGATAGCGACACACCTCCCTCTCCTGGATTACCACAGAACGATTAACTCTTCTTTCTGGACCTTCCTATTGGCTTATTTTCCTCTACATGTCCTAATTTAAATGTTGGCTTCCCAAAAATCCAGCCTGAACTCTTTAACCTCCTTTTTGCACGTTTCCTCTTGGAACAATCTTATCCAAATCTATGGTCTTGGTCATCATCTTCATGCCACAGACTCTGAGTCAATATCAGAGGTCCCAAATTCAATCTTAAGGTTCTGACTTAAGTTTCAGATCTCAACCGTCCCTTTGGTCTCTCTTGTTAGCACAAAAGAAAATGGTCTAAGCTACAAGAAGGAAACTTACAGTAGGATGCTTTTCAGAAGGGCTTTTCCCTAGGAGGCCTATGTGAGGACACTTCCGATTTTCCCATTCAAACTACTCCCCCATCCCCATCCCATAGCTACTGAAGCAGTACAGGAGTGGTTCAAAAACATTGGTACCTAGATTTGAATTTTATCTCCACACTTAGGCAACTTGCCTAACCTCTCCAAGTCTTAGTTTCATCATCTGTCTTGAGGGGTTGTAATAATATCCACAATACTGAGTCATGATGAACATAAAATGAGATAACCCCTATAAAGTGCTTAGCACAGTGCCCAGCACTAAGAAAGAACTCAACAATGTTAGCTATTATTATATGGCCATGCTTATTATGCAAAACAGTGATTCACATTCGAACTTCTGCTATCTTAATAGGGAAAAAATTTTCATTTTTATTTCAATTCTTTCTAAATCCTTTAACCCTTTCCTGCCCCATAGCTACATATAATCCAACTGGTAGGCACCAACTCCTAGGCCAGTTAGTGAAAGATGCTCATGGAGGGAAAAGGGCTTCAGTTCTTTTGAGTTTCTTTGCCTAATTATAAGATTTTCCTATCAGCCAGGATGAGCTCATTCGTGCCAAGTATCCCCTTATGCATGGTGAAGCTGAGAGGAAAGACACATGCCTGAATTCAAACTGCAATGAGAAAAAGAGATGGACATCAGGCAGAATCGGGGAAACAAGGTGCCAAGTACAGGAAGCATGCTTTTTGGATAAGAATTTACATTTGCCAAATTTGTTCTGCCCTCAAGTTCCATCTTCTGCTCTTAAATTAAAATGTCCTTCTTTTCACTCTCAATCAAAATGGGTGGGACTGAGTAAGTTTGAACTCCCACAAGAGACAAGTGACAGGAAAGATGAATTCTTGACCAATTGGACTAATTCTGTTACTTACACCTTTTCCCCTGGGGCGTGGAGGGAAAATGCTAACAGTCTTCTCAGAGCTTCATTCTGTGTGGCTTCCCTGATGCTGTGTGTTTGTACTCATCACGGTGGGGCATATACTTTCTTCCCTGCTGAAATTCCAGCTTTCATTTTTCTTTAGCAAGCAACACTTAGTTTGCTGCAGCCTGCTGATTACAAGGGTGCACAGACCCAGATGAATCATAGAAGCAGGCAGATGGCACAAATACAAATCCTCTGCATTGTGTCTTACACCCACACTAACCTTCTCATGTGGCCTCTCTTCCCAGCATCCCTTTCCTTCATTACCTCATCCATACCCAAAGGACAATTAGTGCATTCAGGCACTAGAGACAGCTAACTGTACAAGGGAGAGTACAGCAAACAACCTCCTGGTTCTTGGAATCTAGACACAAGACAAAGGCAAAAGAATTAAAAACAGTAATCGTATCTGTGGCAAGTGCTGCAGGGTGCCATCCAGATCTCTCATCAGGTCCTAAGTATTCATCCCCCAGCTGCCAGGGGTGTTGACTTCTGGTGGCTTAGCTGAGTTCCTTTTTAAGTTATGTCCATGGGCTAAGGGGGCCACGTTTCCCAGTGACACCTCCCTCCCAAAGACAGACAGTATCCAATCCAGTACCTGGTCAATGTGTATGTGTTGGGTGGGTTTGGTGGGGTGGGGTGGGGGCAGTCAAAGTTGATCTTTCTGCTTAATTTCAGAGCAACTCTGAACGGCCATCCCAGGTCCAAAGCTCCCCGTAAGATTGGCAGGGGCTTTTATTTGGACTGCATTGACGTTTGACTTCTCCTTCTGACCTGTCCTTCTCCTATCACCCACCAAAAGAATTTTCTGTGTACAAATCTCCATCTCAGAACCTATTTGCCATTGAACCTGACCTAAAACAGTAACTCTGACAAATGAATGCATCAAGGTTTGAGGAAACTAGTATTCCAGAAACGTCCACCAAGACTTGAAGCACTCCTTAAGATTCATGGAAAGTTAGGGGGTAGTCTGTGGTGTTACAGAGCCAGCCAAATTGGCCCCACAGTTAGATGGATGCACAAGTTAGGCTCTGGGGAATGACAGGACCTGGGACTGAAGCCAAGATGCCTTGGGCTCTGTCCCAGCATTTCTTCTGTGTGCCCTTACACAGGGTTTTTAGAGCAGTGCTTCTCAAATGAGCAGTGTTGGAGGACCATTTTCACTTTCAATATATCACAAACCAATTTCTTGTCAAGTACACTAAAATAAACTACAACTCCACACTCCCTAAGTGTGGCCTACACATAGTAACTGCCTTCAAAAGAGCATAGTATGAAAGTAGGGGCAGGGAAGAAGATAACTTTACAGTAAAGAAAACTGGCAAAGACTGCCTCTGCCAGACGACCAAGGTCAACATCAACAACAGTGATAAGTCCTGTGCAAAGTATGTAGCCTTGATATGATGTGGTGAAAATGGCACTTCAGCTCTTTGGTCTTCCTCCCCCAAACCCATAAGCCCAGTTTAATCATGAGAAAGGCAAATCCCAATTGAAGGACATCCTACAAAACACCTGCCCGATAATTTTCAAATCTTTCAAAGTCATGGAAACCAAGAAAAGTCTGAGAAATTGTCACAATCAAGAAGAGACATGATGATTAGTGGTAATACGGTATCGCTGGATAGGATTCTGAAAGAGAAAAAGGACATTAGGTTAAAAACTAAGAATATCTGAATAAAGTATGAATTTCAATGAATCATAACGTATCAGTATTGGTTCACTAATTGTAGCTAATGTAATATATTAATTTTACTGTCTTACACTATCTATAAGATACTGCAGAGTATGCGCGAACTCTCTGTACTATCTTCTGAATGTTTCTGTAAATCTAAAACTGTTCCCAAAATAAAGTTTATTATAGAAAATAAAACAAATGACAACACACCTGGTCTTTTAAAGACATATGAAATATAGGCCTAGATGACTTAAAATTTCTCTGTCAAATTACCATAAAAGTTTTTAAAAACTTACTGTCACTTTCTATATTCCAACCACCAGGAGTAAGTGGTTCTCAGACTGGCTTCGGTCTGTTGACTATCTTTGAGGAACTCTCAATTTGACTCTAGGGTTCAGTTTCCTCATCAGTAAAATGGGAGCATAGGGCTATAGGATCATATTCCCCTCTGGATAGCCTCTGGATAGCCTCTGAAGTGCTGTGCTAAGTGATCGATCACCGTCTGCCAAAACAGCAGGTGCTCAGAACCAGATGACTAGAATCAAGCCCCCTTCCATGACGATGACATGAGGTCCTCACTATCCAGCATTGTGAACAGCTGTCCTCTCCCTAAACCTCTTGAACTCCAGTAATACAAAGGCTACTATCTCTGGCCTTTTCTTTTTTTTTTTTTTCCAATACAGAACTAGAAAAGAGGGAAAACATAAAAATAATGCTATGTGTTCAGGCTGTCACAGATGGTCCCCAAACCAGGGTGCTGAGTGTTCTTTTTCTGTCTCTCACTTGGAACCCCAGAAACCCAAGAGAAGACTCTGGTGCCGGGAGACTAATGGAGTTGCAACCCAGCTGTGGGCCAGGAACCAGAGCGCTGTCTGCAGACCATGAATTGTCATAGTACAGACAGGGCACAGTATGAAAGAAGACACATCACAAATGGGGAAGCTGATAAAATAATTAGAAGACAAACCTTCCAACGAGCAAGAAAGAAAAAAAAATGGCAGTTGAAAAACAGATGGTGGCAACCTGTCCCATTGAATAGGTTTTTGAGATGTGAGGGGTAGGTTTTAAAACAACCCAAGGAAATAATTTTACATCTGAGATGGCCAGAGATTATGCAATTTCTTGTGGATCTTGGAAAGCCAAGAGCTGATGCCCACAACTAAAGCCCCAAGAAACAGGATGCACACAGAGCAAAAGCCAACAGGGAATTGGAATGAAGAACACTGGTCACCACTCAGACTCCATGAGTGAGATGAAGGATAT
The DNA here is from genome assembly GCF_000001405.40 of Homo sapiens. Classification (NCBI taxonomy): domain Eukaryota; kingdom Metazoa; phylum Chordata; class Mammalia; order Primates; family Hominidae; genus Homo; species Homo sapiens. Next base: position 50,398,651 of record NC_000013.11, on the reverse strand, counting down.
TTAAATATTGTAACTTGGAAGGAATTTAAATATTGAAACACTTTGGGAGGCCGAGGCAGGCGGATCACAAGGTCAGGAGTTCGAGACCAGCCTGACCAACATGGTGAAACTCCGTCTCTACTAAAAATACAAAAATTAGCCAGGCATGGTGGTGCACACATGTAGTAATCTCAGCTACTCAGGAGGCTGAGGCAAGGGAATCACTTGAACCCGGGAGGCAGAGGTTGCAGTGAGTTGAGATCACACCACTGCACTCCAACTTGCGACAGAGCAAGACTCCATCTCAGATAAATAAATAAATATTGAAACTCTTATTCCATGTGTCATTCATATGTTATCTCCTACTAATTATATATTATTTCCTATTACTTAAACTTCTACTACAAAACTCTGTGGTCCATCTCCTAGCAAAAGAGTCCGTCTACGTATTTGACCCATATTTTAGAAATTCTAAGAGATGGAATGTTTCAGCAAAGGTAATATTTCATAAGAGTAACGTATTGGCATAAGAGTGACATACTGGCATAAGAGTAGCACATTGGCAATGTCATGTTACTTGTTTTAATAAATAATCTCAGAATCTCAGTGACTTAACACATAAAGTATGGTTCTGCACAGGTCAGCAATAGGGGCTCTGCTCCAGGTGGTCTTTCAGGAAGCAGGCTTCTCCCATGCTGTGGCTCCTCCATTTTAAACACAAACCAGCAGAAATGGGTAGGGAAAGCAGAGAAAGGAGAAAGCCCATCCACTCTTACCTGCCTTGGCCTAGAAATGACACACTGCTTTGCTCACATTGCATTGGCAAGAACTAGTCACATTGTGTCCGGAATTGGTGGGTTCTTGGTCTCACTGACTTCAAGAATGAAGCCGTGGACCCTCGCCGTGAGTGTTACAGCTCTTAAGATGGCGCGTCTGGAGTTTGTTCCTTCTGATGTTCGGATGTGTTCGGAGTTTCTTCCTTCTGGTGGGGTTCGTGGTCTCGCTGGCTCAGGAGTGAAGCTGCAGACCTTCCAGGTGAGTATTACAGCTCTTAAGGCCGCGCATCTAGAGTTGTTCTTTCCTCCCGGTGGGCTTGTGGTCTCGCTGGCTTCAGGAGTGAAGCTGCAGACCTTCACGGTAAGTTACAGCTCATAAAAGCAGTGTGGACCCAAAGAGTGAGCAGTAGCAAGATTTATTGCAAAGAGCGAAAGAACAAAGCTTCCACAGTGTGGAAGGGGACCCCAGCGGGTTGCCACTGCTAGCTCCGGCAGCCTGCTTTTATTCTCTTATCTGGCCCCACCCACATCCTGCTGATTGGTAGAGCTCAGTGGTCTGTTTTGACAGGGTGCTGATTGGTGCGTTTACAATCCCTGAGCTAGACACAAAGGTTCTCCAGTCCCCACCAGATTAGCTAGATACAGAGTGTCAACACAAAGGTTCTCCAAGGCCCCACCAGAGTAGCTAGATACAGAGTGTCGATTGGTGCATTCACAAACCCTGAGCTAGACACAGAGTGCTGACTGGTGTGTTTACAAACCCTGAGCTAGATACAGAGTGCCGATTGGTGTATTTACAATCCCTGAGCTAGACATAAAGGTTCTCCACGTCCCCACCAGACTCAGGAGCCCAGCTGGCTTCACCCAGTGGATCCTGCACTGGGGCTGCAGGTGAAGGTGCCTGCCAGTCCCGCGCTGTGCACCCGCACTCCTCAGCCCTTGGGTGGTCGATGGGACTGGGCGCCCTGGAGCAGGGGGCGGTGCTCATCGGGGAGGCCGCACAGGAGCCCATGGAGTGGGTGGGAGGCTCAGGCATGGCGGGCTGCAGGTCCCCAGCCCTGCCCCGCGGGAAGGCAGCTAAGGCCCGGTGAGAAATCGAGAGCAGCGCCGGTGGGCTGGCACTGCTGGGGGACCCAGTACCCCCTCCGCAGCCGCTGGCCCGGGAGCTAAGCCCCTCATTGCCCGGGGTCGGCAGGGCCAGCCGGCTGCTCCGAATGCGGGGCCCGCCAAGCCCACGCCCACCCGGAACTCCAGCTGGCCCGCAAGCGCCGCGCGCAGCCCCAGTTCCCGCTCGCGCCTCTCCCTCCACACCTCCCTGCAAGCTGAGGGAGCCAGCTCTGGCCTTGGCCAGTCCAGAAAGGGGCTCCCACAGTACAGCGGTGGGCTGAAGGGCTCCTCAAGTGCCGTCAAAGTGGGAGCCCAGGCAGAGGAGGCGCCGAGAGTGAGCAAGGGTTGTGAGGACTGCCAGCATGCTGTCACCTCTCAACATGACCTCACCAGATACAAGAAGGCTGGGAAATAGTTTGACCCTGTGCCCAGGAAGAAGAAATAGGTTTGATGAGCACTAAGATGATTGCCAGGAGTAATCATAAGAGGCACTCTCAGAAAGCTGCCCAAACATGTTGGTCTTCAATAGTTTCACAAGGCTCAGAGAATGAAATGCTCTGAAAACATGGGCACTGTCTAGACAACTTTCTTATTAGCACTTGAGTCAGTGCCCCACCTGTTAGCACTTAATCACAGGATTAAAAGTGTGGGTTCTGAAGTTTGACTGCCTTTACTCAAATCTGGCTTCTGCTTCTTGCCTCCTGTGTAACCAATCTGGGATAAGTTAAACCTCCTCTTTGCAGCTTGGTTTTCTCCTTTTCACTTAGATGTTGGTACAAAGGATAAGGATTGTTACTTGTTTCAGAGACTGTGAAGTTTAAATGAGATAATTCTCATAAAACACTTCACATGGTGCCCAGTGCATAATAATTTCTTAACATTTGTTAAATACTTCTTACATACCAGGGAGTACCATAAGTGCTTTATATTAATAAACCAACTTAATGCTCACAAGAACCCACAGAAGTTGGAATAGTTTTCTCCATTTTAGACATAGAAAAAAAGGCCCAGAAGAGTTAACCAGTCCAAAGTGATACAACCAGTGAGGAGAAGAAAAAATTAGTAACCCAGGCATCCTGGCTTCAAAGCTAAATTGTTTTACCCTATCATCACCTGCCTTTCAATGAATATCCCCTATTTACTTGCTATTAGCACCTTTATTGAGGTGTAAATGATATAAAATAATGTACTTATTTTATATAAGTACAATCTGATAAGTTTGACGTCATACATATACATATACCTATAAAACTGTCACCACAATCAAGATTATGAACATATCCATCATCCCAAGACGTTTTTCTAGCCCCTTTGAAATCCTTTTCTTCGACTACTCTCCACTCCCCCTATCCCCAGGCAACTACTTATCTGCTTTCTGTCACTATAAATATCTGAATTTTCTAGATTTGTGTATAAATAAAATCATACAGTATGTCATTTTTATCTGCTTCTATCAGTATAATTACATTGAATTTCACTCATGTTGCATGTGCTAATAGTTCATTTATTTTATTGATAAGTATCCCATTGTATAGCTATACCACCGTTTATTTATCCATTCATCTATTGATGGACACTGATGGACATATGGGTTGTTTCTAGTTTTTGACTATTAAAATAAAGCTTCTATGAATAATCATGTTCAGTCCTTGTATAGACCCATACTTTGATTGCTCTTCAGTAAATACCTGTAAAATGACTGGGTTATTTGCTATCTATATGTTTAGCTTTTAAAGAAACTAGCTATTTTCTAGAATGATTGTACCATTTTACACATCCATCAGCAGTACATGAGAGTTCCAGTTGCTTCCTGCCCTCGACTTGCTATGGTCAGTCTTTATTCTAACAGATGTGTAGTGCTATCTCAGTGTGGTTTTAATCTGCCCCTAAGGAATAATGATATTGAACATTTTTAATGCATTTATCTGCCATCCATATGTCCTTTATGGTAAAGTACCTGTTCTAATATTTTGCCCTATTTTACTGGTTTATTTGTTCTCTTATTACTATGTTAAGGGAATTCTTTATATATTCTGTATGCAAGTCTTATTAGATATGTGATTTGAAAATATTTTCTTCCAATAGGTGGATATTCTTCATTTTCTTAAGTTTCTTGCAAAGAATAGAGGTTCTTAATTTGAATGAAGTCCAATTTATATTTTTTTCTTTTATGGTTTATTCTTTTGGTATGGGATTTATAAACATTTTTCCTAATACCTTGTCACAAAGATGTTCTCTTCTGTTTCCTTCTAGAAATTTTATATTTTTAGATCTTGAAAGTAGGCCTATGATCTCTTTTGGATTTGGATATGTTGCAAGGTTTGAATCAAAGGAGTTTTCTGCTTTTTTTTTTTCCTGTTTTTATGAATGGATGATCAATTGTTAAGAAGACTATGCTTTCTCTGTTGAAGTGCCTTTAAACCTTTATAAAAGTCAATTCACCAGATACATGAGATGTATGTTTCCATTATATCTACTTATATATTGTCCATCTTGATACCATTACCACACTACCTTGATTACAATAGTTTTATGTCTCAAAATTAGGTAGTATGAGTCCCCCAACTTTGTTGTTTTTCAAAATTATCTTGGCTATTCTAAGTCCTTTGCATTTCTATATAAATTTTAGAATCATCTTATCAACTTCTACCAAAAAAAAAAAAAAAGATAAAAGAAAAAAAAAGCCTTCTGGGATTTTCACTGGGAATGCTTTGAATTTATACATCAATTTGGAGACAACTAACAATATTGATTCTTTCATTCCAAGAATTCAGAATATTGTTCCATTTATTTATATCTTCTTTAGTTTTTCTTAGCAATGTTAAGTAGTTTACAACAGGGATCCCCAGCCCCTGGGCCACGTGGACCAATACTGGTTCATGGCCTGTTAGGAACCAAGCCACACAGCAGGAGGTGAGCAGTGGGCGAGCAAGGGAAGCTTCATCATATTCACAGCTGCTCCCCACTGCTCACATTACTGCCTGAGCTCCGCCTCCTGTCAGATCAGCGGCGGCACTGGAGCCTCACAAGAACGCAAACCCTATTGTGAACTGCACATGGGAGGAATCTAGGTTGCATGCTCCTTATTAGAATCTAATGCCTGCCTGATGATCTGTCACTGTCTCCCATCAACCCCATATGGAGTCCCATATAAGCTTGTAGGAAAACAAGCTCAGGGCTTCCACTGATTCTACATTATGGTGAGTTGTAAAATTATTTCATTACATATTACAATGTAATAATAATAGAAATAAATTGCAAAATTAATATAATGTGCTTGAATCATCCTGAAACCATCCCCCGACCGCCCCTGGTCTGTGGAAGAATTGTCTTCCACAAAACCTGTCCTCGGTGCCAAAAACATTGGGGACTGCTGGTTTACAATATACAGATATTACGATTATTTTTAGCAACTTCTTTTATATCCATATTATTTCTCTATACAGATTATATCTAAAAGTAGCAGGTCACTAATACTTCTCCTGTGTCTTCACTGGGCCTCCATTTCCTCATCTGTGAAGACAGAATAAAAACAACTGCTGCCAAAGTTGGGCACAAAATTGCATGTGTAAGGCACCTAACATTTGTGCCTATTGCACAATGCTGCTGGTCTGATTACAGAGTTAATAAGTTTTGTTTAATAAAAGGATGAAGAGGGAAATAGAGGAGTCATAAGGGTGAGGCAACAAAGTGTGGGTTCAAAGCAAGAGGCATCCAATCTGATAAGATTGAGCCTAAAAACAAAACAAAACAAAACAAAACAAAACCCAATGACCACAACAGCACTAATTGCTCAGAAATTAACCCGAAGACTCAGATAGCCAAATGAGGTGGTGTGGTGGAAGCAGTTGTAATGCTCCTGGCTAGACAGAGAATACATAGTAAGAATCTGTTGTGTGCACATACATTAAGAAATTAACAGGTGATGTTCCAGTTATAGGAATGGGAGCAACCAACAGAAATTTAGCCAGGAAAGGAGCTTGAGTATGTAGCACTGAATACTCTCTGCATATCTGGGTAGACTGTAACCTTGTCCATGTCCAGATAAGAACTAAATAAAGCTGACTCGTGATGCTTCTTAACCTCTATTCATCTGCTGATATAAGGGAGTCCATAACCCACCAGGAAAGGGGGCTCCACCCACTCAGAGTGGGCACTGATAACAAAAAACCCAGCAAAATGCTAAATGCATAGCAATCTACAAGAAACTCTTAGCTGACCAACTGTGAAAACATTTATAATCAGGGTTCTGAATTTTTTATTGATTGATGGGTGTGGAGAGAATAGATTTATTAATCAAGGTAATTAGCACTTGCTACCCACAACAAGCAAACCAGGAATCTCAGAGGCTTAGCAGGATAAAGGTTGCTTTGACAGGACATAAAGTTGCTGTTTGTTGGGCAGTGCTCCTGAAACTCACAGCTACACCATCTGGAACACACGGCCTCCAAGGTTGCCATACCCAAAAAAGAGAGCCACAGAGGAACCACACTGGCTCTTCACTGCCTCAACTCAGAAGATCTGCTCACACCCATTGGCCAGAACAAATCACATGGCCCTGAACTAACTGCTAGGGAGATTGGGGCATATAAAAATGCACACCATAAGCATTAACTATCTCTCCTGCAGAAAGAACTAGGTTCTTGCCCCCATTCCACTCCATTTTTCTCCTGCAGAAGTGATAGGAAGCAAACAGATAAGCTGTTCAAGCAAAGGGTCTGCTGTGAGGTGTGTTACATGGCCAGGGGTGAAAAAAATATGAAAATCTGGCCACGGTGATGGAGACACCTCAGTATTTATGGAAGGAATTTTGGAGCACTGCTCTCAATGACAGTATTCCTGTACCCAAATCTTTACACCCAAAAAGCTCTGAATATGTTCCAGTGTACTGAACATGTAACCAAGGGGTGGAAATAGGAAGGATCACACTTGTCATCACTCCCAGTGACCCACTGGGGGATTTCTGTCCTTCCTGCCCCCATAATTCTGGGTTCTGTAGGCTTTGACCCTAGAAGGGCACATTTTCGCCAGAGGACACAGCAAGTGTCCCACTGAACTATAATTTATGATTGTTCACAAGGCATGTTGGACTCCTAGTGTCCAGAAATCAGCAGGCAAAAAGGGTAGTCAACATATCATCTTATTATATGTCTGCAGGATCTGTAGTTATATCCCCTTTTTCATTCCTGATATTGATTATTTGTGTTCTTTTTCTCTTGATCAGTCTAGCTATGGTTCTATCAATTTTCTTGATCTTTTCAAGAATCAGTTTTACTCCTACCTGTGTCTTTATACTTAAACTGCATCTCTTATAACCAATATAGTTCCTCTAATGTTGTTTTATATTTTGTTGATATCTTTTCCTACCTTAATTAGTTCTACTCTTCTACTGCATTGGGATTTAACTTATTCTAATCTTTTGGCTTTTTAAGGTAGCCTTAGGTCATTAATTTAGACTTTTCTTCTTTTCTAATACAAGCACATAAAAATATAAATGTTCCTTTAATTACTGTAGTAACAGTTGCTTTAAAGTCTACATCTATTAATTCCAATATCTAGGTCATCTCAAGATTGATCTTCATTGATTATATTTTCTCTTCAGAATAGGTCAGGAATCTGGTTCCTGCTCTTTGTATGTTGGGTAATTCTGGATGGTTTCCTGGACACTGGGAATGTTTTGTTAGGGAGATTCTGCATTTCTGTTACACTTCTCCCGTCGAGTGTGATGTTTTTGTTTTGACAAAACTGCAAACTCTGTCTTTTGGGCAGTAGCTCTTATCTCAGTTAGGTCATTGACCCTTTACTGAGCTGCTTGCAGTGTGCCACATGCACACAAAGTTTGGGACTCAGCCAGAAAGTTGGGCACCTGATGCATGGAATTTGGGGCTCCCCTCTCTGGCACTCTTCTTTTAGAGGTTTCCTCTCACTTTCTTCTGGCTCTGGCTGCTCTCAACTTTTTCTTCTAGTTCGTCAGGCCAGAAAGACTATGGGCATTGTCTAAGGCCTGCTCTTAAGCTAAAAACCATAAATAGGGGAAGACACACCTTGTCTTATCCTTTCACACATGTGCCAACTAATCCCCATAATCTGCTTACAGTTACTCACCTTCAGATAGTTGTTCTTTGTATTGTTTATCTGTGGTCAGTCTGGTAGCAATTTAGCCATCCCAGAAGTGAAAATAAGTATGCACATTTTAAAGTAACAATTAGGCATAAGACATTTAAGTGTGTGAGTTAACTTTTTGTGTTCATTTTTCCACAATAAGAAGACTTAGAGGAGCAAAAGAACACAAGACAGCTTGGAAGTGGAGAATAAGTTTCTGGAAATTGAGAAAACACAGAAAAGGAGGTAGAGGCACCACGACAGCATAATTATGGGCTGAGTTGATTCTCGGTCCAGTCTGGCAAGAGTGATGAAGGTTACTGGTAAACATGTGGAGAGCCACATGCTGTGCTCCATACCTGCTCTTTGTCCCCCAGCCCCACTCTCCACTCTCACCTGCTGTCTGCCCTGGAGGCCAATCTATATGAAAACTGTGTCAAGGGTTCCCTTTTCCTCTGGCTTCCATTTGCATTCAACCAGTGGAGAATACCTGCAGGAGATTAAAGGGAGGGAGGAAAGTGAGGTCAGGATATTTTTCCCCCAAGATCTCTCCCTGGTAGGTTTCTGTGACTTGATTGCATTCCTCCACCAAAGGCCACATTAACTATCAGGCAGCCCTCTCAAAAACCTCTCTAGGTGCTGGTAAACACTCCTTTCCTTCCACCCTTCTGGCTTAGTGTTGGTAATGGCCCTCTACTGGGGCGCTGCAACATCCCTTGTTGCTTTTCCTAAATCCTGCGCACACTTTTGTAAACAGTTCCTTTATTAAACTCTTCCCAGCATGAGCGCACCATCTGTTTCCTGCCAGGATCCTGATGGATAGAGCACGCTCAGAAAAACAACTTTAACAGGGCCTTAGAAACAGGATGGTAAAATATCAGCCCACTGTCAAGGAGGGGAGAACACATTAAATACCTCCAAAATAATAACTCATAAGCTTTATTCACATGTATTGCCTAATTTAATGCATTTAACAACACTCAGATTACATAGGTAATGATATCATTTCCATTTAAAGTTGAGAAAATTGAGACTCTAAAGCAGGTGGGCCACTGGGATTCCCTGACCTTCTTTAGGCTATAAATCCTCTTATCTCCCCACTACCCCTAACCCATTTCATTCAGACAACACACACCACCAACGCTGAAATGTAGAGCTCTCCAACTTCTGGGGCAGCCAGGACATTTTTAAAGTCCTTGAAGCCCAGGAAGGGTGTGGTCATCCCAACTTTGCTCTGCTTCTGTTAAAATCCAAATGCTAGAAAAATAGTCCGTGGTAAATTCAGCCAGTTTGGAGACCTGAGCATATTGTTCAGAGACCCCTCTTGCATTTATTTTAAAGAAACTATTTTTAAAAACTAAAATGCAATATGGGAGTTGTAGTGTGTACAGCTCACTGAAGTATTCCTTAAACATCACTCCAGGGCTCCACAGGAGTTCCCAAGCTTCAGGTTGTGAAACTCATGATACAGAATTTAAGTCAGCAGAATAGATTAAGACCTCAGGCTCTGGGAATGGGCAGATCTGAGTTCCTTTACAACATTTGCTAGCAGCCATATTCTAGGCAAGCTGCAGAATTTTTCTTATCTTCAGTTTTCTCATCTGTAAAATGGAGATAATAATAATACCTACATCATAATGTTAAATAAATTAAATAAGCTCAGTCATTTTAAGTGCTTAATACAGAGCCTGGCTCACTATAATCACTCAATAAAATACAGCCAACATTAATATTCAGATTCAAATTCACAGCAAAGATTCATCTTATTATAATATGGCATGTAAATATTAAAAGAAAAATGTCTTTAAATCCTTCTGGACACATATTAAAGCTTCCCAATTGGGAATTTACAAAGAAATAGCCTTAAGAGTATCCAACATTGCTCCCATTTCCATTTCAATAAAAGACTCCAGAAGTTGCTGGTCCTCTAAATAAGCCTTGTCATTTCCTTAAGTAAACTTTCCATACCACTGGGTATAAAATGTAACAGAAAGCTATGTGCTCAATTTATTTTATAGTTTCTTACTTATTGTTTTCCATTTCCTGTTTCAAAGCTGTAAACGTTCCTTAAACTGCAGCTAAAATTACTATTGCCATTGAATTACCTAATTTCTTAGTGTAGAGTCTGGATTGGAGGGCACTCCACCCCCAGTGGGCTACAAGCGGCATGTTGCTAAGCAAGGGCTGTGCAGTTCACTCTTGCACGTGGTTCTGACTTTGCCATTTGATGCAGGTGGGTTCTTTCTGCAAATTGCTCATTAGAAAATCTGGATCCAGATTTTAACCATGGAAGTTATTCTAGAAATATTTAAGGACTGATTGATCCACCAGAAATGGGAACATTTTTACCATATTTGGTCATCGTTCACAGGGAGACCAGAGTTCTCCCTTGTAAAGGCTTTCAACCTATTAAATATTTTATCTCCAAATTCCAGTGAGTCTTTGGAAAAACCTCCAATCTATCCTTCCCCCTTCAGTCAAGGCCAGGATCATGGAGCCCTGCCCTCTAAGATTGACCCATGGAAAGCTCAGGGAAGCGTACTCCTCAGACATCAGTGTCCAGGCACAAGCAAGGCCTTCTGGGGACATCATTCCGTGGAGCTGGGTGCAAGGCCAATGTCTAATCTATTCCAAGAATCAGAACCTAGTTAATGTCTCTCACACACTCCTCTAGAAATGACCATAAAGTTAATGCCATAATCAAATATTTGGGTTTTTTGTTTATTGGTTTGTTTTGTGCCTCCTTCATAATCAATCTCTATTCTGAAAAATGAGAAGTAAACTGCAGCTGTTGGGATTTTCTGCAGATGGTCTCGAGATGGACAGCAAGGTCCCCAACATAAGACTCTATACACTTATGATAATTTTTGTCAGCCATAAACAGATATAATCTCAACCACAATGACTTTAGGCATCCCAAGGCTTCAATCAAATAAGTTTAGATGTCCAAGTATTCAATTTTTATTTAAAATATCACCAGAACTTCAGTGACTCTGAAAACCAATCTTTCATTTTTCCTTAATGGTACCACTGGCTGATCAGACAGACAGGACTCCTGATATTCTAAGTATAAAGGTTATTAAACTGTTAGGCAAACTGTCTTCAGCGAAAAACAGGTTTCAGTTTTCAGTAACCCAAAATAGCATACCACCGTGGCCACTGTGATCTTAGGTAGATCCACCACCGGTGAGGGAATCACTAAAAAAAATGGAAGCTACAGAGTAGTGTTGCCTCAAGCCCTGTGAGCCACCAAGCCTTGATGCCAGAAAGTCTGGATATCATGCAAAGTAGCTGGAAAGCAGGCTACCTGTTGCATGGTGGTGAACTGACGGCATCATCAGGCATTCTGCCCTCCCCACCACAATCTAAATATCAGCAGATGAAATAAACTCGGCGCCAGTGCTGAAGTGGCTCCAACTGTCTCCATCATCAGACACACCCCCTGGCCCTGGCCACTGGGAGGTGCCCCAGAGACAGCAGGTGGGGCTTCTGCTCTCTAAATACAGGAGGCCCTTTCAGCTTCTGCTCTAAGCTCCTTTTAAACCACCACTGGAGATTGGAAAAATCAAAACTTCACAGCAGTGATAAGAGCACTGAAAAGAAGCAGATTTCCTGAGTCTTGAAAGGAAGGGGAATTGGAAGATAATATTTTTCTCACTGCTGTGCCTGTGTTTTCTTAGGCCCAGCTAAATCCAAGGCGGTCTCTCCCAGGCCTAGGCTCTCCGGAGGACTGCGCGCAGGCAGCTGCCGAGGGAACAAGGGAACTTGCTGCCCAAAATGTGTAGCTGCGAGTCCAAGAAAAGGACACAAAATCCTCAGGAAGAAGGTGTGTAATATTTTTGTTGAATCAAATCGTGATTGTGTAAGGGGAAAAAAGACACACATAAAAGGCTATTTAGCGTTTGGCAAAAAGGGGGAAAAAAGAGCTTTCTGTGTTCAGTACAAACTCACTTCAAGGGAGCTGTAGATCAAATTACCAGCCTGTGACATGTGGAGATTGGCTGAGCAGCGGGCTGACAGTAACTCAAATTCCAAAGCTTCTGGACTGTTCCCGAGCCCATAAACTACACAGAAAATGATCCTGTTTGCTGAATTATTTTCAGTTGCAACAGCTGCTGTAACAACTCAGAGAATTTTAATATGTATATACAGGGCTGATGAGTAACCACTTCAAATATTCTGCAATGGGGTCTCATCTTCCCTTTCAATCCTTTTAGGTGGAGGTGCTAGAGCTGCTGTGAGGGGCCCAGAAAAATGAATGGGCATGGGTGCATGTTCAGGGGTTCACACAAGGAGTAGAATTAGAACTGGAATTCTGAGGGGAAGATCCACAGGAGGAAAAGAAATGTATCTTTTCACAATAAACATATACGTATGCATGACTTTTATAATTCAAAAAGTGAATTTTTTAAAAAATCTGGATAAACCCCATATATCATCATGATTAAGAAAGTATCCAATAAAAAAGGTTCGGAAATTAATTTGAATTTAACAAGTGAGTTTGCAATTTAATTTACTAAGAGGTGAGTATATGAGTGGCATTACAGAGTCTACAGACAAGGTTTGGTTGGCACCTGTGTTTATGGACCTCTTGTAATAAATCAAGGGAACATGGGGATGAGGCCCAGGCTGTACTGGAGCAGGGATTGCAATTGCCAGACAGTCCAGGTAAGGACTTATTTATTCATTTGGGCTGGCACAGGGCTTTAAAGCATTGGAATCTGAATGTCTTTAAGTGGGAATGCACCCTTCATTGTGACAGCAACCACCACACGTCTTTATTCTACATCCTGGATTTGCACATCCACATGCATGGTCCCTAAGGCATTTGAGTTTCCAACACCTGCTGTCCAACCCCATCACTTCCATTTCTGATCAGGAAGTCAAACGTCAGGATATCAGTGAGTGAGAAAGGAGAAAACTGTGTTGGAAAGTAAATGAAACAAATTAACAGAATAACAAAATTGATAAGCACCATTCTAGCAGTATATCAGTTTGTTGGGGCTGCCCTTAACAAAGTATCACAACTGGGTGACTTAAACAACAGAAATGTATTTTCTTGCAATTCTGGAGGCTGGAAGTCCAAGATCAAGGTGTTGACTGGCAGGGTTGGTTTCCTCTGAGCCTGTGTCCTTGACTTACAGATGATTGACTTCTCTGCATGTCTTCACATGGTCTTTCCTTTATGCATGCATATCTGTGTCCTAATCTCCTCTTCCTGTAAGGACTTCAGTCATATTGGATTAGGGCCCACCCATATGACCCCCTTTTCCCTTCATTACCTTTTTAAAGGCCCTATCTCTAAATATAGTCACATTTTGAGGTATTGGGGGATAGGACTTCAACGTACAAATGGTCAGTAGGTTACTATTCAAAGAAGAAAAAGTTGTCTATACTCTCTCTCTCTCTATATATATATATAAATATATAATCAATATTGGCCCACAAAAACATTCCCCCTACAAAACCTTCTTTAGCCAAACCAACCCATAATTAATCATAATACAGAGATTCACAAACTCTTCCATTTATACTCCTGGGAGTCTTAGAGGATGTCTCAAAACAGCCTTCAATAAGCATAAAATTCCTTTGGCATCTCCCTTTTGCAGGCTATTCCAAAATATACCCATGTTTATTTTAATATAAAAGTAACTTCCCTCAAGTCTACTCACACTTTAGGAAATTGCACTATGTTCTGCTTGTGGCTTTGTGTTCTTTTTGACAAACCATATCTAGGCCTAGGGGTAACCACTAAGCCCCATTCCCCTCTCTGCAGCAGGGGTGGAGAGAGGGGATCTCCTGTTGTCTTCCTGCCTCAGAGCCACACCTGTCCTGGGCCATTAGAAATTTCTCCTGCAGATCTCCTGCCATTGCACTTGGTATTTCTGTTATTGTTGTTGTTTTCATGAGAATTTCAATGGCAAGATGGAAAAGGGCAAATCTCTCCATTTTAGATTATCACGTAATTTATGAGAGGACTATGAGTTTAATGTTAATATGAGTTTTTTTGGGAACCAACAGTGAAGGTGTGAGGTATCTGATAAGGGGGCTAGGCAGGTGACCAGAGAGAACACAAGCTCTGCAACTTCAATCTCATCATCTTGGCCAATATATACAGGCTGTTCCTTTCCCCAGCCAGCATCCAGGACCAGAGGCATTACCTGGTTTTATAAAATAGTAAACGCATAAATTTTATAAAGCAGTAAACAATAAAAATATAAAATAGGAACTAAAAAGTTATGACAAAAATACAGAAAAACAGATAATAATATAAATAATACTCAAGTTAAGACCAAAAATTGAAAAACAGATAATAAAGATAAAAATTGTTTTGTTTTTGTGTTTTTTTTTGTATTTTCTAACTTTTACCATGAAAATGTTCAAACCAACAAAAAAGTTGAATAGTGAAATCAATGCCTATATATCTTTCAATTCAATAATCGTTAATATTTTACCTCATTTACTTTCTCCATCTCTCTCATGAATGGCCTAAGGATAAGGATATTCTCCTACATAACCCTGATACCATTACCACACCTAAGAAAGTGAACCATTATTCCAGTTCATATTCAAATCTCCACAATTGTCCTAAGAATATCTTTGCTTGCTGTGTTTTGTTTTGTTTTGTTTTGTTTTTGTACCAGCATCTAATTCAGGTTCCGAAGTTGCTTGTGGTTAATTCTTGTTCCCTTTTACTCTAGGATGGTCTCACCCTATCTTTTGCTCCCCCCATACCATTGCCTCTCTTTGGAGAGAATGTGTCCCTATGCTATTGTGTAACTTTTTCTATATCCCCTATATATAGGAAAAAAAGAACTTTTTAAAAGTGGATTAAAAAAATGAAAAATGTTAACCCTAAGGCAGCATTAAAGAAAATAATTATTAAATGTAATTAAGCAAGTAGAATACAAAAATAAGAAAAAGAATTGAAAATATTGGACAATACAACTTATCTTAGAAATAATTTTTAGCAATAAAAATTTCAGAATGATAAATTTAAAAGGAACTAAAACTTTGGGTATAAAACTGGATAACATAAGAATGAAAATCTAATTTAATAAAAGGAAAAGGTCTAAGAACATGTATATTTATAAAAGGGGGATAATAATAGGCCTACATGTATTAACATAAGGTGAGTGTTTAGAGCAGTGCCTGGTACATTCTGATGGCTATGTAACTGTTTTCTATGATTGTCATCATCATCATCACCACCAGATAAAATGGATATTGAAAAGCAAAAGTTACAACAGGAAACCTAAAGTATTTATGAGGAAATAAAGAGAAGATAATATTATAATGAGCAAGAATAAAAATCCCCAGTCAGTAAAACACTTCCATTGAACCCCCACGCAATTCACAACATTGTCATTCAGGAGACGAAAAGGGGGCAAATACCCTGGAAAAGTCCACCAGCCTCCTGGTGACAGGTAAGGGTCTGGGAATTTGCACCTGTGTCCATACACTTCTGTGTACCTATCACAAATGACAGCAACTGTTTTAGAGCAAAGGACACATCACCACATGAACATCTCGGAAATGACAGAGGCTGGGTCACTTATGAGGGCCTCCCACACCAGCACAAATTCTGCACCACCCACCCACAGTTGCTGCCATGCCAGCCCAGGAAGAGTCCCAGCCACTAGAAGAGAAGGAAGACATGCATCTGCACTCCTGCACACCTAGAGGCTGCTTCCCGCAACTAAGTAAGCATTCTCTTGGAAAAAAAAAAAAATAGAATGTGGAGATCTAAGACATTCAACTTTTTGAGGCTTTCCCCAAGTTTGTCCATATAACAAAAGAAAATCTCCACATAGAGATTTTGAAATTGCTTCCAAATTCACAAGTGTGGCAGTTACTCCCTTCTCTCCTACACCTGATCATCCTTCTCCAACAACACAAACACACACACACACACACACAGCCCTCCCAACCTCTCGACACTCTCATAGCTCTTAGTCCCTAGAGTGTGGCCTTTGTCTCTCTTCTCCTCTACTGCTAACCTGTTAAGGGTCAATTATAGAGCACAAGCTTTGGGGACTAATCCATAAATTTGCAAAGCTGGCCACTTGTTTAAAAACAACAACAATCTTAGATAAATTTGTTTTGGCTTCAAGTTTCCCCAAATTCTTTGGTCCAGACATGATTGTTAACAGATCACAAAACTTTCTGGAGGAAGAAAGTGTTCTAGCTGGAATGATGACAGTCACACGGCTTCCCAAAAGTTCTGAGGAGAAGCACAACATGGAGAAGTACAGGTCAATTTTGCCAATTTGAAACGCTCTGCAGCCCTTTGCCTGCCATGGGCCTGGTCAGAGCTCTCAAATGGCCCCATCTCTCTTATCTCAGACAACAAATGCTCTGTGCTGCTTTCCTGAGTCTCCATTTTTCTACCTGGGATTAAAGAGTTCCAAGGGCCCCTTCAGCTCCAAAAAACTGGGTTGCAAATAGAACCCGAGCTCTAGTTCATTTACTAAACTGCACTGCACATCCAGACCACTTATCCTGAGCTTAAAGTTTCAACAGTCCGCGTAGGAATCCATTGACTAGAAATACTTAACAGAATGTCAGTTGAATAGAGACCTTATAAAGCACTTCTGTTCAATATAAGTAGTCTCTGATCTGCACTTTTATCATTGCTACTAAATGCTCCTGACCCTAGTAAATAATAAATGAAAAAGTTTTCTTACTCAGTTGAAAACTAAGAAACACTTGATTTGACGACTAAAAGGATTGGATTCTTTGAAAATGTTTCTAAAGGAAAAGGGACATCATTTGTCAGCCAATAATGAGAAAAGGTTACCAATAGTATTTAAATTGAGATTTACCTGTGTTAAATTAGGTTTAGCCTAAAGCTGGTTTCTTACATATTTTAAGTTCAGCCTAAAGGTTTCTCCATACATAGTGAACTGTAATCTAACTGGATGCGTACACAGACTGTCACCTATGCTTGTGCCAATCACCAAGTTTGGACCAATCAAAGGCAGCTAACTGTTCAGACTGTGTACAAATAAGGCAAACGTGGAGCTGTAACTAAGCCAGCTGTTTCTGTATCTCATTCTGTCTTCTGTATATCACTTTCCTTTTTCTGTCCATAAATCTTTTTCAACCACAAGCCAGCACAAGGTGACACCAAACCTATTCTGGCTCAGGACACTGCCTGATTCGTGAATCATTCTTTGCTCAATTAAACTCTACTAAATTTAATTTTTCTAAAGTTTTTCTTTTAACACCTGCAATATAATCATAAATGTAACTGTAAGGGGAAAATAAATTGTTCTTATTTTAAACAAAAACCAATTGCAGTTGCATTTTTTTTTAATTACCCATGTTTACCTTTCTGTTTGTTATTTGTTTGTCTATTCAACTTTCCTCCTGTAACTCAGATGTTTCTTCTGGAACCATTTCCCTTCTTCCTAAAATATGTCCTTTGGAACTTCCTTTAGTGAGAGACTTTGGATAATAAAACTCTCATTTTTTTGTGTGCTTGAAATTGTCTTTATTTTACCTTCATTTGTGAAGATAGTTTCACTGGGTATAGAAATTTATGGTTGATGATTACTTTTGTTCAGGATTGGCCTTCTAAAGGAGAGGTGGAGTCAGGAATAGATTCCTGTTTTGTTTTGTTTTGTTGAGGAAAATACCTCATGGGTATGGATAGGCTTTTGCAGACAAGGAATGGGAGGCCTCCTGGGCTCCTGGTTATACTAAGGCAAATCCAAGAGAGATGGATTGCTCTGCATAGCAAAGTGAGGGGAATTTTGCATTTCTAAGGCAGCCTAAAAAAGAAAGAATATGCATCCATGAATGAGGTAAAAGGATGATATTCAGAGGGTCTAGATAAAAAAGGAACTTCAAAAAATATAATGGAAAATGAAGAGGTTGTGAAAGGAAAATAAATCTTGGGACCCCGAAATCACTAAGCTGAAGGGAAAAGTCAAGCTGGGAACTGCTTAGGGCAAACCTGCCTCCCATTCTATTCAAGGTCACTCCTCTGCTCACTGAGATGAATGCATATCTGACTGGCTCATTTGGAGAGGCTAACTAGAAACTCAAAAGAAAGCAACGATTTGTCTCTTATCTACCTATGACCTGGAAACCCCCTCCCAACTTCAAGTTGCCCCGCCTCTGCCTCGAATTGTCCCACCTTTCTGAACTGAACCAATGTACATCTTAAACATAGTGATTGATGTCTCGTGACTTCCTAAAATGTATAAAACCAAGCTGTGCTCCTACCACCTTTGGTACATGTCATCAGGACCTCCTGAGGCTGTGTCACAGGTACGTGTCCTCAACCTTAGCAAAATAAACTTTCTAAATTAACTGAGACCTGTCTCAGGTTTTCAGGGTTCACAAGGTGGAGAGAAGACCTAGTCAGTGAGATTAAGAATGATCTATAAATTTCTAGAAAATTTTTGTTAATATAATTGTTTCGTGAAGAATTAACTTTACACACACACACAAAAGCTCTGGCTTTTGCCCTCAGGTACAAGAAGGTGATGCTAGGCCCCTGGAGTGTCCAGTCTAAGGGGAGTATCTTTGTTTGCCTGGGGACTTTGGCAATCAGAGAGTCTAATTACGTGATTTGTGATGGAGGCTTTAGGCCATGTTGTATCAGTTCACACTTGCAGAGGAACTGAGGATGAAAGATGCTAGCCAAAACTTCTGGGAAGGTCTGGAGACTGAAGATCAGCCATGCAGATAGTATGTGATTAGGACTCAATAAAAATTCTGGACACCAAAAGCTCAATGAGCTTCCCTGCCCAGCAATGCCCTGCATACTGCCACAAACAGTGGTCGGGAGGAGGTAATACTCTCTATGATGCCAGCGAGAGAGGATGAATGGGAGCTCCACATTTCGACCCCTCCTGGGCTTTGTCCAAGGCATCTCTTCCTTGGCTAATGTTAACTAGTATCCTGTTCCTGTAATGAATCATAAGTATGGCTTTCAGTGAATTCTGTGGCTCTTTCTGGTAAATTATCAAACTGGAGGGTTGTTTGGCAAACCCTCTGAACTTGTAGCTGGTATCAGAGTAAGGGTAGCCTCAGCCCTCTGAAAAGTCAGCTTCACACAATAATCTCATACCAGCAGTACTCTGGGGTAATAAAGGACAAGAGGCAACACCCTGCATAGGAGAAGGCAATGCCAAAACAAGAACGGCCTCCAGAGGTGAGAGCGACCATGGAAACCAAGTGACCGCAGAGGCACAGCGTAGGTCCCCAATCCTGCATCCCCACAAAATACACTTCTTGGAAATAGGGGCTCCGATCTTTTTGTTGTGCACTAGAGAACAACTTGCCTTTTTCACATGACCGCTGTGTCAAACAATTCATGCCTTTTTATTTAATTAAAGGACAATCCCCCAATCATCCTACACCACCCCCATAAGACCATAAGACTTAAAGGCTCCCAGGAGGCAGATTATTAGGTTGTAACAAAACCAGGCACATTAATAAATAAAAGTCTAAAATTCTTGCTTTGGCTGGGACTTAAACTCTTGAATAAAATGCATGCAAATATTTTTTAAATATATGCAGTGCATGGTGCCTAATAGATATTCAGTTGATGGCTTTGAATAAGGGAAAAATGAATGAATACATAAATGTATGAATAAATACAGTTTATTCTCAATGGCATGTACTTATTCTATTAGAGAAAACATGAATACTTAAATAGGTAATCCACAAAAGTCCAACCTACACATTTTAACTGGTAGCCTCATGCTTCTCCCAGAAGTTCTTACCAGAGAAGCAAACAGGCAGTAAAAATGACTGGCTCAAGTTTCATCTCTTCAGCCTGCCTGCGCTTGGTGCCTTGGAACTTTTAACTAACAGCAAAATTCCCCAAATGCCCTTGTGACACCAAGGGTAAAAGAAAGAGTCTTACTGCCAATAAATAGGATTCTCATGCCCTGTTCCGCTAAGCACATAAGATGAAAAGTTACACAATAAAAGCAGCACTGCAGTTTTTATTCCACTCTAAGCCATTATTTCCTCAAATAGCATTTGTGGTAACTATCTTTGATCGTTGACTAGGGCCACAGGTGGTTGGCCCTAGCTAGTGTATCAGGAGTGTAATCTGAGTTGTCTCTAAACACATCACAGCAATGACAGATTATACCAATCAGAAGCAACCGTGTAATACCAAGCTGTAAACTGCAGACATTCTTTGGGTTTACGCTCTTAATTTACTTGCCACGAATGGGCTCCTTGAACTTTGTAGGTCTTTCATTTTCCAAAGGAAGCACATCTTCCGGGGCTTGAGTTTAATTCGATGCTACTGCTGCCAAAGCCACATGGGATGCAAATGAAACTGGGTTCACCTTTCTCCCCCTGCACTGCTCACTAGGCAGTTCAATAGATCCATTGGCAAAAAAAAAAAAAAAAAAGAAAAGAAAAAACAGAAAATTGCAGTGGTATTCTGAGACAAAGCAGCCAGAGCCAGCACTGAAAATTATAGAACTAGTAATCTCATTGCAAAGCATTAAAAAGCTTAGAGAGAAGGCTAATGCTCTGAAATCAAAAGGGTGGGACAATCAACACTAAAATCCAGAAGGTTCTACAGGACAGGGGAAAAGCCCAAAAAGAAGCTATAGAAAACAAAGCTTGTCTACGAGAGGCTGCTGGATTGATATGTAAATTAGCCTAGACCTTTTGAAGAGTAATTTCCATAAGTATTCTAATCCTTAAAACCGTGCATATGCTGTGACCTGACAATTCCCCTTCTAGGACTTTATCCTGAGAGATAATTACAAATGTGTGCAAATATTTACCTTCAAGGTGATTTACCACAGAACTGATTACAGTAGCAAAAAATAAATAAACAGCCAAAATGTTCAACCATTGAGAATTCATTGAACTTTGGACATACAACAAAATATGACATAATAATTAAATATGTTGTGATAAAAAGAAAAAGATATTTACAATAATTAGGTTAAAAAAATAGAAAACAGTGTATGTGGTGTGCACCCATTCTTGCAATTCGAAAACAGAGAAAGAGCCCTTCACAGATATATACCAAAATTTAACAGTGACTGAGTGAGGGTAACTATAGGTATTTTTATTGTCTGCTTTGTACTTCATTGGGTTTTCAATTTGTCATGTACTATTTTTGCAGAGAAAAAAAGTTATTATAAAAAAATCCTTAAGAATAAACCAGAAGCATTCATTAGACTTTTTTAGCTACAAGGTACAAAGTCCTCAAGCTACTTCAAATTATGATAGAATGTATTACAAGAATGCATTGGGTAATGAGTAAGTTTAGAAGTGGAAGTCACTGGAAATAAAAACAGGAATGTCTTGGGGCAATCAGGAAGGTGCACAGCCCAACCTAGCAAAAGACAACTGGAAGGTCCTAGAGTTGATCTAGGAATAAGGTTACCTCTTTGCCCCTCTGGTGCAGGCAGTCCATCCACCTCTCCTCTGTAACTTGGATTTCCTGTCTCCCATCCACAGCTCCTGACACAGCCTATCAGCCACCCTGCCTCCCACTCTGCTTTTCTCTTTCATCTCTCAAGGCTTCCACCTATACCTGACTGATTTCCTCGGAAATCCTCAGGGACCCTGCTGCCTCCCAGTGGCCTCTATGTGTTGTCTGCTAATTGACTGGTCCTGTCCTTGATTGGCAGTTGTGGCCAGTCCATGATCTGGCCAGCCTGGAATCCAGTGCCCACTCCCATCACCAGCCATGATGAGGGGAAAAGTCCAACTATGGCTGCCTATGAGCAGTAGCTTGTTAACTGAGTAGTTTTCCTTGGTAGAAAACTGAGGGTGTCAAGACCTCACAACTGACCTGCCAGTAGGCCAGTACCAATATTTCAAACACTGTATGTCCGGAACACTGTTTCTACATTAATGAAATCTGCTTAATTTTGTTCAAAGTAAAGTTTCACAAAGTTATGTGGGCACAGAATCCTTTTACTTTTTCCAAAACACCTGCTGTACTAATACCAGGTACCAAGTTTAAGAATTGCTGCTACAGAGTAAACTGTCATCACAGAAAAAACAATTAACAATGATATTTGTTCCATTTTTCTATGCCTGTATTCTCTGCATAAGTCATTTGGTTAAGATCCTCCGTCTTCTTCAGAGGAATTAAAATATTTTACCATGAAAATATATGGCAAGCCTAGATTCATTCTTACTATAAAAATGAAGAGTTATTAAATATATTAGTAAAATAAGAGCAGCTTTCAGTTACTAAGGTCCTCTTGGGGATATAGAACTTCTAAATTAAAGAAATAAATAATCAGACTTAGAAACGAACTTGTAAACAGAATGTAGTTCATGAGTTTGTTGGCTTTTCTCCCCTGTGGATGGTTCATAACATAATTTAAAAGGGGAGAAGTTGAAGAGTTGAAGCCTTATTTAAAAAAAAAAAGAAAAGAAAAGAAAAGAAAAGAAAGAAAGAAAAGGCAGAGCCAAAAGCAAGGAAAGGGAGAAAGTAGAGATCTAGAACAATGTGAGACTGTGGCTAATAGGTCTGCAGTCGGAAAGGAATCAGAGAAATGGGGCCCAGGAAGTGGAGGTATGAGTAGCAGTTCATTTGGATACAATTCGGAGGTGGCTGGTAGCTGGCTGCTTTGTGTTTTGCATGTGTCTATATTGTTGCTGCTGCTGCCGCTGCTGTTGTTGTTGTTTTTCATGCCAGTTCACCGTGACTTTGGTCTGGATTCTGTGCTGATCCAACTCAAATCCCTCTGACTCAGCCAGGCTGCCAGCTCTAGAATTCCTGGTCATCAGAATCATTGTGGTTAGAATACTTGGGTCTTGCTGAGAAAAAAGGGCACAGAAATCTAAGACAAGTGAGATGCGTGCTGCTTGTTTTACTATTTTTGTTTTAGTTTTGGTTTTTATCTCTTTAATAAGAGGACTGCTATTCATACACAATCAGATGAAGCTTAAAGAGTCTGTCCAGTAACCAAACCAGATGAGAGATGACCACTCACATCATTTGTTATATGCAAGGATATTAAGGTCAAAGCCCTGTGTAGGAGAGGGAGAAAAGAGGGATGGAGGAAGGGAAGGGAAGGGGAGGGGAGGGGAGGGGAGGGGAGAGGAAAAAGAGAGAGAGAGAGAAAAGAAAAGAAAGAAAGAAAAGAAAAGAAAGGAAGGAAGGAAGGAAAGAAGGAAGGGGGAAAGGAGGGAGACAGCCAGGCAGACAGGAGTAGGGGTGGGGGGTTAAGGAAAAAAGGAGAGAAAAGGAAAGAAGAAATGGAAAAGAAATATACATCAACCCAAAATAATTCCAATGCTGATAATAATATTATAATTATAATATCTGAATACTTTTACCTATAAAAACAAAAACCTAGTAACAATAGCCACTGTTATTACATGCTTAGTATACACCAGCAGTGTGCACAATTTATCCATTATGGCATTTTATTCTCAGGACACCTCTTTGAGACAGACACTGGTACACCATCCCTCATTTGCAATTCAGAAATCTAAAATCTCTGAAAACTGAACATTTTTTCATAAGTCTAAAGCAAAATTACTTGGCAGCAAAACCTAACAAACTAACATGAGGCTACTTATAGTCTTTACTTAACTCATTTGGTGCACATTTCACTACAGAAAAATTAATGTGTTTCATTAAGGGATATTGCCCTCCAATGCCTCTGAGTGTTCTATATAATAAATGACAATATGTACTTTATTATCTTTCTGTAATACTAAAAGTTCTGAATTCTGAAACTCATCTGGTTTCAAGAGTTTAGGATAAGGGATTGTTTCTGCCTATTTTACAGATAAGGAAACTGAGACCAGTTCTGTTTGTCTTCATTGATGTATTTACCTTGGAATTTTGGTTTGTATCTTTGGGACTTCGCCTTTTTGGTGATGGCTTAAAATTTTTTTCTCCACACTATCTCCTTTCACTTATGCACTGATGATATTTTAGCAAGTTCTCTGAGAGAAAAGTTTTTTAAAATCTCTTTTTTCCCCCAACATGGAAAATGCTGACATCCTCAAAAATTTTCCTTGAACCCAAGTGAACTCGTTTTTAATTCCCCCACCCTTCATTTTCAGATTACTCAGTGTATTTAATGCTGCCCTTCCTCAATTCCACCCAAAGCTCACATGGCGACACGAAGGGCATTGGTGAGGAAACCAGCGAGGAGTCTGCATGAGCCTGAGATGTTGCTAAGCTCTCTGATATCTGCGGTGAGAGTGTCTACGCGAAGATTACCCATGCTGGGCTCCAGCGTTTCAACCCTAACCCCACAATGAGCGCCTGGTCACTCTGTGGTCTAAACTCTGAGAGAAGAGAGCATTCCATACTATACTACATTTCGTACACAATTATTTGATACATGGAAGAAACCATAAATATTATTTATCTTACCATGGGCCTCAGAATGTCCAAACACCACAGCTAATTAGGGTTCAATAATAGATTCAATAAGCTGAAGCCTGTTTTTCTGGTTTATCAAAACAAGTAAAGCAATGGCCATTACATTCTAATTTGTAAGCATTTTGTTTGATGGCTTTGAGTAGAAAGTACTTAGCTTTGCCTGTCCTATAGGAGGTCCAGCCACCATCTAAAGTCAGCACTAAACTATATCTGTTGCCATTTACGATACTTTTTTCCATTTGTGGAAACAAGTTATTTGTTATAACCAAACATATATTCAAATACAGACGGAGCTTTTGCTAAAAGATTAGAAAGTCAATATTTCCTAATTGGCAAGGAGAAGGATTTGGTCAAAGCCAATGAGAATTTCTTCTATGATCAGTCTTTCCCCAGGAGCTGGCTCCTGTGAAGATTATAACTCACCTGCTGCAGATGCGAGTAAAGTTGACACTGTGAAGCAAAGCATACTAGTATATTTCACCATCTCAGGGTACCCCAGTTGAAAAGTTTTAATCAAGACTCCCTAAACCATGATTTCTCAACTTCAGCACTATTGACTTTGAGGGTAGATAATTCTTTGTTGTAGGGGCTGTCCTATGCATTGTCAATGTTTAGCAGCATTCCTGGCTGACACCCACTAGATGCTGGTAACATCCTCCTCACCAGTCATGACAACAAAAAATGCATCCAGACATTGCCAATGTCCCCTGGGGAAGAAAAATCACCCCCAGTGATGCTCCTCCACTCCTTGTGCATGATATACATTAATATTTCCATGGAGGTGACTTGCCAAGGTTCATAACCTTGTCCTTAAGCAAGAATTTGCATGTGTGTGTACCTTTATTTTTTTAATGAATTGAACATTTATTTAAAATCATATTGTGCTATTTATAGTATTCTTGTCTTGCATGTTTTACTTAATCACATATCCTCCAGAACTGTGAGAATTTTGTTTCTGCTATTAAGCTACCTAGTCTATGGTATTTTGTTATAGAAGTTCATATTAACTAAATACTAACTAAATCAATCTCTCTCTTTCTTCATAAATTTATTTTTAAACTATCTTTAAAAGAATATACTGTGAGCATGATTTCCATTCTTAACATATTAAACATTCATTTTTCACTTTATAATGATAGCAAAACAAAATTATCTGATGTCATGTTTTTTAAAACTATATAATAAAATTTTTATTATTTAAAAAATTTATATATACATATATAAGTAATATGTAAAATGATATAGCCACTCTGAAAAACAGTTTGGCAATTTATTACAAAACTAAGCACGCAATTACCATTTGACCCAGAAGTGATTGTACTATACCTGGTCACTTATCCCAGAGAGATAAACGTATGCTCCCACAAAAATCTGTACATGAAAGTTCACAGCAGCTTCACTGGTGATAGCCAAAAAATGAAAACAACCTAGATATCCTTCAGTGAGTGAATGTTTAGAAAGAAAAGAAAGTGGTATATTTACTTATTTTCATAGTATAAAAGATTGTATTATGAAAGTTAATATTAAAATATATAAATCCTTGATGCATTTGGTGCACAGTGAAGGGTGTAATTGTGTGTGTGTTTGTGTGTCTGTGTGTGTGTGTTTGCAAATGGCCACCCAATTATCTCACTCTTTATAGAATAAACTACTCCAACTGGCCTTCCACTCCACCACCCACTTTATCCCTTTACCCTTCATCTTTATCCTCTTCAAATAGCTCTTGTGGAAGTTGAAATGCATTCGGTCGTGTATCTTCCTCTCTTCTTTTCAAAGAGGTCTGTACCAATATTATCACTTGCCTAAAGAGTTTTTTTATTAACACTCAAATTAAAACTGCAGAAGGGAAGCCCTACAACTCTTAGAGCCTCCTGAACGCTACACAAAGCTTGCCTAGGTGGAGAGCTGAACAGCAGGGTGCCCAAGTCCAACTTTGACAAGAAGGGAAGCTTGGGCTTTGCTAGGACAGCAGGTCAGGAACCTTCCCGGGACATAACTCCTAAAGTGGGGCTTCCCAGGAATAGTGCTGGGGGCTTTAAAGAGACTTTCTCCCAAACCCAATCCAGAGGCTGAGGTTGATCTGCCCACCCCTGTGCTCTGCATACTGCAGATCCTAGAGCAATTTCTGCTAACAAAGCTAGTCCTGTGAGGAATCCAGCTGTGTCTTGCAAGCCATTTTCACAATATTATTTTTCAAGTCCCTTGTTGGATCTTAAGAGAGGAATTTCAGGGAAGGGAGAGGAAAGAGTGTCAAGGGTTTAAGTTCACACCTTATTATGCTTTTACTACTCTTCATAGTCACATTTTAACAATTCGTGGTAAGAAATAAATACTTTGGCTCTTGGCGGAATAATTCCAAGTTACTCTTCGCCGCTCAGCTCTCCCTGGCTCACGGGTCAAGCCTTTCTCTCCAATAGGGAGTCCTCCATTCTTCTCATCTCACACCTCAATTCCTAGAACAGCCTCCTCACCAATTTTCTTCCTTCATTCCTCCCACTCTACTCCATGCCACACATATCTGTCAGAATAATCTTCTAAGAATCCTACTTACATCATGAAACTAATTTAATTATTCCCGCTTCTCTCTCCCTCCCCACCTCTCCAGGCTCAGTCTGAGTTCTATCTCCTCCCTGAACTGTTGCGCAGTGGCCCCAGTCCCTAGAGACCTTTGCTCTTCAATGCTGCCATACCAGGGCTAATATTCATGGGGTACAGATTGTCCACTCCCACAGTGTGTTCTGATGGGATTGGCATCCATCGCAATCCAGTCTGATGCCTGTGCAGTACTGGCTGTTAGAAATTTTGACAGATATTTTGACTGTCTTCCTTGTCTACAGCATCTATTGTCTGGATCACTCATCTTGGTATAAACTACACAGCCTTGCTATTTAAATATTCCCAATGTGCATATGTTTTTACTTTCCTACCAGATTGTGATTCATTCTCTGAGGGCAGCCATTCTTGCACCCAATCCCCAGGAAGGAGCCCAGAAGCACGTGCCAAGCTGGTCCCTCCAACACTGGCTAGAGGAATCAATGGATGGAGTAAATAACTAATTTACAATAAAAATTTAAACACTGCACTTACTTCCCATCATCCAGCCTACAAATTTTAGAGCCTCCTGCCTTGCCTTAGTGTACCCACCTCCAACACACTCCACCTGTCTTCTGCCCTCTCCCTCTTACTGTTTATTATTCCCTGAATGTGCACGCCCCGCCTGGCTGTCTCCCTCACACACTGAAAATGAAGTCCCTCTGGATGCTGCCCAGTGACAGTCCCTCCTCCCCTCTGTGTGCTCTGGACTTCCTACACTGAAACTTGAAAGTTATTTCTGAGAGACTTTAAATTTCCACTCAAGATTCCAACAAGTCAGAGTGTTCTGGGCAAAGCATGGATGCCAAGGAAGATACCCCAGTTTCATGGCTGACAAGCTTTATTGACGACTTATTTTAACTCTAGCTGAAGAAGACCATGAAACTAACCACCCCGTTTAAAACTGAAAACACACTCTCCTTGCTCGCAGCCCTCCCAATCTTCTTCAATCTGTTCTGTTTCTATATCACTCATCTCCTTCTAATAGCTTATGATTTACATATTTAATCTGTTCACTGTTCATGTCCCTGAACTAAAACATGAGCTCCACAAGGGCAGAGATTTTTTAAATTGTGGTGAAATACACATAATATGAAATTTACTATTTTAACCATTTTTAAGTGTACAATTCAGTGGCATTGAGTACATTCACACTGTTGTGCAACCATCACCACTATACGTCTCCAGAACTCTTCATCTTCTCAAACTGAAGCTCTGTACCCGGTAAACACTAACTCCCCACTTCCCCTTTTTGCCAGCCCCTGGCAACCACTCTTCTACTTTCTCTATGAATTTGACTGGTCTAGGTACCTCATATAAGCAGAACCATATATTTGTCTTTTTGTAACTGGGTTATTTCACTTAACATAATGTCATCAAGGTTCAGCCATGTTATAGCATATGTCATAATTTCCTTCCTTCTGAAGACTTAATAATATTCCATGTGTGGTAAATGCATATAGGCTACATCTTATTTATCTATTCACCTGTTGACGGGTACTTGCATTGCTTCTACCTTTTGGTTAATGCTGCTATGAACATGAGTCTACAAATATCTCTTCAAGATCCTGCTTTCCATTCCTTTGGGTATATTTCCAGAAATGGAATCATTGGATCATATGGTAATTATATTTTTAATTTTCTGAGGATCTACCATACTGTTTCCCATAGTACCTGTGCCATTTTACATTCCCACCAACAGTGCACAAGCGTTTCAATTTCTCCACATCCTTGTCAACACTTGTTACTTTCTGAAATGGCAGGGATTTCTGTCTATTCTATTTGCTGGTGTATGCTAAGCATGAAGAACAGGGCTTGACATGAAGTCAGCACCTGATAAGTATTCATAGAATTCAACTGTAGAACTGGTGTTGACAAGTGGCCCAGGATGGCCGGGGTTTGAACCTTGGCTTACACACTCAGACACTCCACATGGACACATTATTTGGCCTCCCTGAAGTTCAGGTTGTCATTCATCTGCAACAGCACCTATCTTGAAGGGTGTTGTCAAAGCCCAATAAGATGAGAGATGTAAAGCTCCCTGCCCACTGTGTCTGATACAGGACTCTCTTGCACATTTCCTTCCTTCCACACTGATTCTCTTGAACAGCACATTAAGCTGACTTGGAAAAAGACTATCAGTAATCAAGTTTGGTTAGAGAGAAGTCATTGTCTTTTTTGGTTAAGTTTCATTTGATCACCTCTTGATTTGTGAATCTAAGAGAAATCCCATCGACCCACAACCTCCTACACTGCCTTTTTTCTTCTTCGTAGCACATATCATTACTTGAAAGTATATGCAATGTCTATTATTTTTATCTGTTTATCCATTTTCTCTACCGGAACACAAGCTTCAGGTAGGAAAGGTCTTTGTTTTTCTTGACTACTGCCACATCTACAAGGCCCAGAACAATGCCTGCAACATAAAAAGTCTCAAGAAATATTTGTTAAATGAAGAATTCATTTAAACAGTTACTAATCACCTGTACAGGTATAGGCACTATGCTTACTACTGGGCATCCTATATAAATAAAATACAATTCCTGCCCTCAAGGATCTCACAGTTTAATTAAAAGATGATTATAAACAAATTATTAAATATAGTTTGAGATGCACAGTAAAGGAGCAGGTAAAAAATTATACAAAGAAAAAAGGTATTAAGTCTATCTGGAGGATGTTGTCAAAGAAGGCTTTCATAGGAAAGTGTCCCTTATGAATATTTTGAAGATTAACTAGGGTTGTTTCAGTAGGAAAAGAAGGAAAGGGCATTGTCAATTTAAGTGATAGTTAAGGTCACAAAGACAAGACACATAAGGCTTTATTGTGGAAACAACAAGTAATTTTGTGTAACTAGATATAAAGCTAAAGGGACAGTGTGATGCAACAGGAGCCCAGAGCCCAGAGGGGGCATAAATCATGGAGGCTTATTCAAGCATCATGCTTAGACTTGATGCTATAGATGATCAGAGCCACCAAAAGGCAACACACAAATAGATATTTATTTTAAGGAATCTATATGGCCCTGGTATGGCTGGAGGCCAGTTGGGAACCCCAGAGCTTCCTGGAGGACACCCACCATGGGGATTGGACCAAGCATTCCATTTTCATTCTCTGGGGGCTACAATGGGCTGCTAGACTGGCAGCTGGGTGCTGGACTCAAATTTGAGTCTTCTCATCTTCAAACTCTTCATCTTCTCAAACTGAAACAGCAAATTCTGAGAGTCTGAATCTCTGTTCTGACACTTTAAAGAACACTTTTTCAGGGTCCTAGTCACTGGGGTTTTAGAGCGGCTGCTTGAGTTAGGGTAGTTATATAGAATGTGGAATAAATAGCCATTGGACCTTTGGCTTTAACATTACACATTTCAAATTCTGTTTTATCTATAGAACTAACCTGGCCTATACTTGTGTTGACCCACTAGTAAAAAAGAGAATGTCTATTAAGCTTGGGCCAATTTATACTCTTTGAATGAATGTGTTCTGTATGGTGGGAGGAGAAAGATTTGGCCATACATTGCTACATCCCATGTTGCCTATGGACAAGAGTGTTCCTGACTGTATTCCTTTCCTAGGGCTACCATAACAAAGCACCATACATTGAGCAGCTTAAAACAGAATCATATTCTCTCACAATTCTGGAGGCTAGAGGTGTAAAATTGAGGTGTCAGCAGGGACATGTTCCCCCCTAAACCTGCGGGTGAGTGTCCTTCCTTGCTGCTCTCCTAGCTACTGGTGATTCACTGGCAATTTCTGGCATTCTTTGGCTTGTAACTGCATTAATGCCAGTCTCTGCCTTAGTTGTCACGTGGCATTCTCCTCATGTGTCTCTGTCTTCACAAAGCCACCTTCTTATAAAGACACCAGTCATATTGGGTTAGGGGCTACTCTGGTCTGAATGTTTGTGTCCCCTCAAAACTCATATGTTGAAATCCTAACCTCCAAGTTGATGGTATTAGGAGGTGGTGACTTTTGAGAAGCCATGAGGGAGGAGCCCTCATGAATGGGATTAGAACCTTTATAAAAGAGACCCCGTAGAGCTAGTTTGCCCCTTCCCCTATGTGAGGACACAGTCAGAAGGCACCATCAGTGGACCAGGAAATGGGCCCTCACTAGACACTGAATCTGCTGGTATCTTGATCTCAGACTTCCCAGCCTCCAGAACTATGAAAAATAAATATCTGTTGTTTATAAGCCATCTAGTTTATGGTATTTTGTTATAGCAGCTCAAACAGGCTAAGACATGAGCCCACTCTGCTGTGAGGGAGAACCTGTCCCAGGTCTCTCTCCTGGCTTCTGGTGGTTGGCTGGCAATCTTTGGCATCCCTTGGATTGGAGTTACATCTCCCCACCTCTGTCTTTATGTTCAAGACGTTCTCCCTGTGTACAAATTTCCCCTTCCTATAAAGGCACCAGTTATCTTGGTTTGGGACCCACCCTACTCCAGTACGACTTCATCTAAACTAATTGTATCTACAACGACCTTATTGCCAAATAACGTCACATTCTGAGGAAATGGGGATTAGGACTTCTACACATCTTTTGAGGGGAAGATATCACTCAACCTATAGCGATACCTCTTCTTTTGGCTGTTCAGTTGCAGTATTTAATCCAGTGCGATGAATGTGACAGTAAGTGTCCCAATGTGAATTAAGTCACCAGGCCAGCTCTGCCTACAAAAGCGCATAGTAGCACCATGGTTAGTTACCTCACACCAACACACCAAACAGCTTCACTTTCAAGATGACTGGAGAAGAGGTTGAGTGGGGTTTCATCAAACTTGTGGTCATTCTGACTAAAAGCTGGAATGGGAACTTTTCATTGTCACTTAAGACATAATGGCATTGTTGAACTTTAATGGCACAGCAAATAGAATATCAGTTTATGGGGCACACTCAGGTGCTTCTGTGCTGTCATCTCATTTGAGGCTTTTCAAAGGACAGTGGTGCTTTTAATCACAGCAACACTATATAATAATTAGTAATGACAATATGTACTTTGAGTTGCCCTAGAGGGCCACAGAATCTCAGGCTGCCACCCCTGCAATTAGATTAACAGCTGGCAAAAAGCCAAATTAGGGAGAGAGGGGAGAGATCTACTATCAAATTCAATAGGCGTTTGTTTTGAATTAAGCATTCAACCTCCTGGTGGGGAAATCTGCTCTGATTGTACCCTGCCATTTATATACGTAAAATACGTTAAAAGAAAAATACATATTCTGTACCCTGTTAGCCATTAACAGTTTTCAGAGTTCTTTCTCATTAGGCTATTTCTAATGGGACCCATGAGACTCAAGTTCATGATTGAGGGAGCTGCCCCTATGCCAGAGAAGGTCCCTGAGAACAACCAGGAAGACACAGTTTGTATGCCCCTTATTTATTTTATTTCATTCAAGCAAACAGTTGGCAAGAGCAGACATTTCCTATTGCCTGGGCACTGTTTAATCACTGTTTAAATATTTGCCATCCTGTCTTTGTTTTGGTTAGAATTGCTGAGTTAATGTAATACAGATTTGTACCCTCTGCTGAGTGAAATATAGATTTCGTCTTCTGAACTAGGGCTATGTTCACTGGAAATAGTTTTCTCACTCCCCACCCCCACTGCTTGTCTTTCATTTTATGCATTATATTAATCCTTTTCATAGCTTCTCAAATGCCTACAGGTTACCGACAAATTGCCCCCAGGCAGTTTCAACACTTTCGGTTTCAGCAAACCTG
Source organism: Homo sapiens (assembly GCF_000001405.40). Lineage (NCBI taxonomy): Eukaryota > Metazoa > Chordata > Mammalia > Primates > Hominidae > Homo > Homo sapiens. Next base: position 50,366,024 of record NC_000013.11, on the reverse strand, counting down.
GCCTTATGTGTGACTCATTGTGAAATTTTAAGGACTCTTAAGTCAATCTCTGAGTACCAACTTAGAAAAATATCCGTCCTAGGCAAGAACCTCATCATCTGATGGACATTCTGAGGTTAAGGTAAAATGAGTTTCTGGCCTCAGGCCAGTTTCTGACCGGCAGCGGGTTTGTACCAAGGACCCCTTCTGTTAACGAAACTCTGCAAGGTGGAGCTGGATCCGGGTTAACTTGGCTTCTGTGTAACCTGATTTCCCCCAGGCCTCACAGCCTGGGTATACTTAAACAGTCACCTTAACAGTCATAACTCAGATTTCACTGCCTCTCACTCCCACCTGTTGATAGAGAGCCTATGGCTCCATATTTTACAGAATTTTTATAAAAGTGCATTTCAATTTTAACAGACTCTCAATGTCACACTTCACAAATCGAATGGGATCTGAACAGGAAAGAACTATGAGTATGTGGCAGCATTCTCACTCTTTCTCCTCCTCTCTGATAACCATGATTCAGTTCTCTAGCAAGGCTGTCATTTCCGGCTCCTTCTCCCCTCAGAACAAGCACCCTCTCACTCCCACACTCCTCAGTCCTCAGCAGTAGGTTCTTCTGCAAGAACTTGCAGACTGGCCAGATGGTCAGCTCTCAATCCCAATTGGACTCTACCTTAGGACTCCAGCAGACCTGAAATAGCTGCTCACTTCTCTGGAAAAAAACTTTGTTGAAATTAAAAGGTCTGAGGCCTCTTATTCCAATAATTGCAGACTAGGTAATTACTACCAAACCATCTACAAAAGCAAACTAGAAAAACTGGATAAAATATTAAAAATATGTTCAATGAAACAAGAAAGTGAACACAATAGTGAATAATCATCATGACAGAACCCAACAGAAGACATAAGATAGAAAACGAATGAGAAGAACCCTACCAAAGCCCTAACTTACTGACATGAAAGTTTCCAGGCCATATCATAGGAATGAGAAACTCCAGTGCAGCTCAACGATTCCCTACAATGAAGAAATGAAGCAAGGGTTTGGAAAGACCAACATGGCTAAAGTTGGCAGGACAGAGAGGGGACAAAGAGTTGCAGGGAAAGAGAATCAGACATCTGTAGATGGTCCCCCTGAATATTCAACAGAGTACTAATCAGTGCACACAGCTGAGGAAGCTAGCAGAGACCAGGGGAAGAACCATCTAAAAGAATTACAAAGAACAGCAACTGGAGCTCACATGAGGTCAGAAAAAGTGACTGTTGCCAGTAACTAGATTGAAGAACCTTATAATTTTACATATAATTGAGTAGAATATTCAGAAAGATGTTGCCTCAGTAGTAGAAGGTTATTAGCCCTAAGCTAAACGATGTTCTAGTCTTGCTTTCCAAATATGAAAGGTAAGCCATAAATGGATCAGTTTCTAAGTAACTTAACTGCATCTCAGAACAAAGCCCAAACATGTATAGGAATAAAAAAAAATAACCATCACAATGTCTGCCATTCAAACAAAAGTTATTGGGCATGCAAAGAAATGAGAAAACATTGAGGAGAAAAATTAGTCAAAAACAACCCAAAACTGACACAGATGTTAAAATTAACAGGCAAAGGAATTTAAAAAGATATTAAAATTGTATTCCATATATTCAAAAAGTTTAACAGAAATGGAGGAGTTATTTTTAAAGACCTAAATCAGACTCCTAGAGACAAAAACTGCACTGGAAGGGATTAATGGCAAGTAAATTCAACTAAACATTTAAGGAAGAAATAATGCCATTTGTACGTAGACTCTTCCAGAAAATTAAAGAAGAGAGGAGATTTCCCAATTCATTCTGCAAGGCCAGCATTGCACTGATAACAAAACTAAACAAAAATATTTCAAGAAAAGAAAACTACAACCTAATATTCTTCATAAAACAGATGTAAAAATTCTCAATGCAATTTTAGAAAATCAGATTCAACAATATATAAAAGGGATAATACATCATGACCAAGTGAGGTTTGTCCCAGGAATGCAAAGCCGATTTAACATTCCAAAATCAATCACTGTAATTCACCATATTAACAAACTAAAAAAGAAAAACTATATATCATTTCAATACATGTATAAAAAGCATTTGACAACATGCAACCTTCATTCTGATAAAAACCCTTAGCAAACTAGAAACAGAAGAAAAGTTCCTCAAATAAACGAAGGACATGTACAAAAAATCTACAGCCAACATCCCACTTAATCGTGAGAGACTGAATTCCTTTCCCCTAAGATCAGGAACAAAACAAGGATATCTGTTCTCACCACTTTTGTTCAGCATTATACTGAAGATTCCCACCAGCACAATATGTAATGAAGTCCAAACTAAAGGCATAAAGATTGGAAATAGAGAAGTAAAAGCAAGAAAATGACAAGATCATCTGTGTGGAAAATCTGCCGGAATGTACAAAGAAGCTACTAGAACTAGTAAGTGTGCTAACTAATATAGCAAGATTACAGCATTGCAATACTAGTATACAAAATTAATTGTATTTTGTATATAAGCAATGAAAAATCCAAACATGAAATTCAAAATCAATACAATTTACAATGACATCAAAGAATACAGAATTCTAGGAATAAATCTGACAAAAATATAAAGAAGCTATACACCAAAAATAATAAAACATTGCTAAAAAATTTAAGATGGTCTTAATAAATGAACAAACATACTTGCTCATGAATTGGAGGATTCAATATTTTTAAGATGTCATTTTTTCTAAGTTGATGTATAGTTGCAACACAGAATCTGATAAGGAATAAATACTCAAAGTATTAAATTGGTACAAAAGTAATTGCAGTTTTTGCCAATAAAAGTAATGGTAAAAACCACAATTACTTTTGCACCAACCTAATATATAAATTCCTAAAACACAATGAAACCAATTTAAAAATGGGCAAAGGACTTATATAGACGTTTATCTAAAGATATACAAATGGCAAGGATATTCAACATCACTAATCATTAGGAAAATACAAATCAAAATCATAATGAGATACTATCTCACACCCATTATGAGGGCTATTTCCAAAAAAAAAAAAAATACCCAGAAAATAAAGTGTGGATGAGGACGTGAAGAAATCAGAACTCTTTGCACTATTGGTAGCAATGTGAAACTGTATAGTCGCTATGGAAAAAAGTATGTAGGTTCCTCAAAGAATTAAAGATAGAACTACTATATGATCCAGTAATTCCACTTCTAGGTATATACTCAAAAGAATTGAAAGCAGATATTTGTACACACATTTTCATAGCAGCATTATTCACAATGACCAAAAAGTGGAAGAACCCAAGTGTCCATGGATGTATGAATAAATAAGCAAAGTATGGTATGCCGATAATGGAATAGTATCTGGCCTTAAGAAGGAAGGGAGTTCTGATTCATGCTGCAACATAGAGGAATCTTAAGGACATTAAGCTAAGTGAAATAATACAGTCACAAAAAGACAAATAGCATGTGATTCCACTTATAAGAGGTACTTAGAGCAGTCAAATTCATAGAGACAGAAAGTCGAATGGCCATTGCTAGGGGTTTGGGGGAGGGAGGAGGGGAGTTAGTGTTTCATGGGTACAGAGTTTCTGTTTGGGAAGATGAGTTCTGGAGACTGATGGTTGTACAACACTGTGAATATACTTAATGCCACTGAACTGTACACTTAAAAAGGGTTAAGATTGTAAATCTTATGTGTATTTTACCACAATAAAATTTTTTTTACAATACTAAGTTAAAAAAAAAAAAAGAAGAAGACCTCTCGGCCAGGCTTCTATGCCTTATGTGTGAATAATGCCTTCGAGGAGAGGCTATTGGCCAAACACCAATCACCCACTGCCAAAACTTGATTCACCAGAGAATTGATTTTAAATTGTTTTTTCACATGTGCTGATGGTTGTCAGCATCCAGGGTAATAAACCAAGCCAGGAGAGGCACCCCTGTGTTTTCACAAGTCATTTGTTCCTAGCAATTCATTCATTAAGCACACCAACATTAAGCATCTTTCTGTGTTCCAGGCATTGGACAAGGTGCTGAGGTTTCAATGGGGAATAAGGCATAATCACTGCCCTCATGGAGTGCTCCTAGTGCCTAGTGCTGGGCAGGGTGGTGAGGGTCCAGGGAGGGGGACTAGAGAGAGAGAATAAACAAATAAGCAAGCAATCTTAATATTAAAAATTATGTGGAGGACCTCGCAAGGTTCGCAAGGTTTTCTTCTTCCTCTTCCGGGGACATTGTCTGCAGGCACTCAGAATGGTCCTGCGTTTGACACACCAACATAGGCTTTCCTACAATACAACCTCTAACAAAACTAAGCTGTCTGGAACCCCTGGTAATAGAATCATTTACCTTTATACCAAGAAGGTTGGGAAAGCACCAAAATCTACATGTGGTATGTGCCCAGGCAGACTTTGAGGGGTTCATGCTGTAAGACCTAAAATTCCTATGAGATTGTCCAAAACAAAGAAATATGTCAGCAGGGCCTATGGTGGTTCCATGTATGCTAAATGTGTTCATGACAGGATCAAGCATGCTTTCCTTATCGACGAAGAGAAAATCGTTGTGAAAGTGTTGAAGGCACAAGCACAGAGTCAGAAAGCTAAATAGAAAATGAAACTTATTAACAAAAATGAAAAGACTTGCAAAAAAAATTGTGTGGAGTGAATAAACAAGTGCTTCTTTGTCAAGAAGCAGCTGGAGGAGGATATTATAGGAAAAAAATAATCTGAGAAGCCACCTCCATAGAAGGTAACTCCTTGAATTGCTTAACAGAGAGGTTAAACAGCAAACTCCATGATGCTATAGTGAGATGCCCCCATTTGGGAGAAAACTGTAGGTTCTCTCCTTTAGACTTAGCTCTTTTCGGAAACCCACTCCATAAGCACACTATTAAAACATGTCAGATGGAAGAGATGTAGGTGTACTTATACATACACATATATTAACATATACATATCCAAATAGGTTCTTTCAAAGAATGACAGGTTTTGCCTCCCTGAGATCACTGGAACTTAGGATTTTGTCTATAGCTTTCTGTTTTCATGTTTAGGATTTATTTTGAACAGCAAGTTTTGCACCTGTACAGAAAGATTTAGCTGACTTCAACAACTCAATTCATCAAGTTGTTCCTGAGTGCCTGCCTGCCAGGCCCTGCTCTAGGCACGGGGACACAAGAGTGACGGTGCCTTGTTGAGACATGAGTGTCCCAGCACTCAAGGAGCCAGCAGGCTTTTGCTGAGCACCAGGGATAACAAGAGTTCCTCCCAAGGTGACTTTCCCTGGGTGGGAATATCATATCAGATGACATCTCTAGTCTCAGACCAAATTACAAACTCAAAGAAACTTGGTAGGGTGGCAGGGCAGGGCAGGCCTGTGCATGCAAAACAGGGGCCCCAGCTGACCTTCTAGGGAGGGCACACGTTTCAAAAAATTTTTTGGCCGTATTGGTTCCTTCACTCATTAGTTGAGCAACAACTACATCAGTGTTTATCCCAGTGGCTATGGGGGTCGATGGCCCCAACAGGAACTCTTTCCCTTCAGAGCTAGAGTCTCAGGACAAACGAGAAACACCTTGTGTGGAGTAGGCTCCTAGCTCAGGGTCACACGGCAGTGGTGGCAGGGCTGGGATGAAAGATCTGCTGATAAGAGTGTTCCCATCACATGCTTTGGTGGATGCACACATGCAGATCAGCATTTGGGGGCAGCCTTCCTCTCCCCTACACCTCCAGCACGTCCCAAGGCTGCATCGGGTGTGATGGCGCAGCTGGCTCTGACCCTGGCATGAGCCTAATCTAAGCAGAAGATGTCAGGAAGGAGGTACGGAGTGGCATGCTTTCCCTATTTGGTGCCTTCAAGGCTGTGCTGCCCTTGGGCTGGGCTGGCGAATGGAGAAAGCTGGTGAGACAGTGGATACGATGAAGTCAACCTGTGATCTTAAACTGGAGGGGAAATACTCCTTGTTTATGGCTTAGAGATCCCACCCCGAGGAAGAGTGCTCAGCAAACTGAGGGCAAGGCACACTCATCAAAGAACCCACTAGTTCGCAGAATCAGTCAAGCAAAGCGATTGATGCCGTCATCAAAGGAGTGATGTTATACGCAAATTACCTAGCTTGCTACAGACACTGGCAGCTTTTCCTTGCCTCTCCAACTGCAAAAGCAAATCGCACTCTACCTCCAGAAATGAAAAGAAGCACTCCCTCTCCAGGTACAACCCCAGTAAGGCACATGGGAAAAATATAAGTCTCATCCAGTGCTCAGCTCTTTCCAAAAGTCAGACACCCCTCACGTCTTCTATCCCATGTGTGGCTATGGCCCACTGTCCACAGGAGGCATTTCTCTGCTAGAAAGGTAGAGCTCTTCCAGTCTTCCCAGTCAAACAAGAAGGCTCAGCCTTTGTGGTCCTCAAGTAGCTTGCAGGGAGCAAGAAGTCGGGAAGTGGGAAATTCCAATTCCTCTGGAGTAAGGAGATGCTGTTTCTTTACTGGGGAAAGAGAGTAAGCAGGTGCATATATAACAGCCATGCTGTTAGAAGAGAAGATGTAGGATTTGAGCACATGAGAATGTTTTATTAATTTTGTATTTTAATTAGATTTTTGGGTTTTTTTTTTCTCTAGTCTGTCTTCTGTGTTTTTTTTTTCTTTTTTTTTCCTGCATGAACCAAGAAAGAGAATGGCATTGAGAAGGTATAAAAGGGTTCTTTAATACTTCCACCTCCTTGGATATACAGCAGGAGAAAGAAAGTTGGATTACTTTATACTGGGCCTTTAAAAAAAAGTCTGGTACCTTTGTATATCATGAGCTGATGTGAATGGTAATGGCGCCAGCCTCCTGGACTAAGATTCCACCAGTTTCCCCTGTGATGCAGGCCATCCCCCACCCGCACCCCAGCTGAAACAGAACTGAAACTCAGAAAACCTAGCTATCCCTGCATTAAAAAATATATTTGCAAGCATCCAGGGATTTTATTTCCGTCCTCAAAAAATTGAGAGCCTCAACATTTATTTTGTGCAGAGGCAGAGAAAGTACCCCCATAGTCTGTGGGCTGACCCCAAAACTGAGTGTCTGTGGCTATGACTATTTGATAACTGGGCTGCTACACTTGTAAGGTTTCATTTCTTTATTTCCTTCAAAATGAAACAAAGATAAACAGTGAGAGTAGTATTTTATTGTTTGAACACCAGTTTCTCCCCTTAACAATCCTGTGTTAGTATGCTATTTTCTTGATGTGATTTTAAACCTCAGTGTGTACCCGGCCAGTTCTGTATTCCAGAAGCTACTGTCTACTGCCAAGAGCTATTAATCAAAATAAATGGGTGCTTGGGATCCTGGAAGTGGTGTGGGGACTCTGCTTCTCTGTAGACAGACTACCCTCTTCTGCCCCAGAGTGGGGGCAGCAGGAGGATGATAGTGGTCAGGGAGGCACTGTGGCATTCTGAATCCCTGGTGACACAAGAGGGTGTCAACACAGCCTGTGGATAACAGGAGAAGGGCCTAAAATGTACTTACACCACCCTAAGACTGGACAAACTCTGGGGATACTTCCAGTTCATCTCCCACAATTTCTAGAGGCATCTGCATGCCTGTCAGCTTGGGCCAAGTGCACAGAACACCATCTTTGTCAAAGCTAATTCCTGGCACCTACCCAATAAGCCCAGGCTGCTTTCATTTCTACTCTGTATTCTTTTATGACATTTGAAAGACAAAGAAAAGAAAGTGGTCTTAGAAGGTAAAAAGGTTACTTGAGTTCACAGACTTGATATTTTAGGAAGAGGCTAAACTAAATTATTCCAAAGTCTTACATTTAATTTGTGCCATCAGTGACCAAACATTTTCAAGAGTTAGTGGGTATAAAGGACTGAAAAGGATGATAAAGTTACTATCAACATTCAGGCCACAGAAAGGCAGAGGAGGGAGAGAACAGTTAGAAACATATTAAACCAAAATCTAGTCCAGCCATCCCTCTAGCCCTTTTATTTTGTACCTGGGGTAGGGGGTGGGGAGAGTTGATGTTAGCTTTTGGGTTTTTGCTTGCAGCAAGCATATTTCATTTTGAGCCGGTTGTGCCAGTTAGTGACATAATGTCCACATGGTAATATGATACGGTAAGCACAAATGCAGTGCACAAACCAGACTGTGGCCTGGGAAAGACAAGCTCTGTCCATATATCAACGGGAATGGCTCGGAACTCAGGGAGTGAGTATTTTGAAGCAATCGCACATGAATTCACCTTCAGGAGATTAGAGGCTGATGTCACCAGGAGAGTGAAGTCATCAGAAATGACCTAAACTGATGGGACCTTGCCAGAACAAAGCTGCGCTGTGCAGACACACAGCTTAACTCCTTCTGGGTTGAAGATTTCTCCAAGGCTGCTTTTTTTTTTTTTTTGTGAACACGAAGAGTTTCTAACAGACGACAACAAAGCCGATATGACTCCCACACTCCTAGGCATCAGCTGGTGTTACTTGATGAAAGAGGCCCAAAAATAAGTAAGTTCCACTAACCAGATGTCCTAAGCCCTCACCTTTTCATCCAAGAGTTCTACCCTGTCTCTATAGATTCTCAGGGGAATAGCACTAGTAGGCCTTTCATAACAGCAATTGAATTGAAGTGAATGGAATTAAGCTAGCAATGGCAGATCCCCCAGAATGGCAACAGTTGGGCCCACAGAATGGTGGTGGAACAGCACTACAGAAGACAGCCCATTTGAAAAGTGGCTGGTTGCCTGAGTCTGCCTGTGATTCTCAGTGGAACACTCCATGTGCCAGGAAGCAGTAAGATGCTGGCTGTCTCTCACCTAGTCAAGCTGCTTAGCAGTGAAGAACCATCCTCTTCTCCTTGTTACCATAATTCCTGAGAGCCATTACCACTTGCTTATTTCATCCTCTCTAATGTCAACCCTTGGCTACTACAGATGCCATAAGGTCAGTCACACCTTGCTTAGGCCAAGGAATACAACATAACTTTAAAAGTTAATCATGCATGGAAAATACCTTCAGATTCATGTGTCCCCTTATGGGCAGTGGCTGCATTAACATTGCATCATAAAAACAAGCTAGATAAGATCATACTAGAGGTGGTCTTAGGGGCAGGGGGCTGGACCCGGCCTCTCTTCTGGGATGAACCTAGCATCTGGTGTGTAGAATCCGTAGTCAAGTGGGATAATGTAAATAAAAGCACCTTCCAAGCTGCAAAGTATTCACTGAAGAATATTTTGATTTCATGATGGTCCTCCACAAAGCAAGGATAAAGGACCAACAACAATAGGTATGACCTTAATATAGGCCAAATGGGAAGATGGCTGCCGACATGAGGTAGTGGGAGGTACACAGAAGAGGTCTCCTGCCCCTAAACCTTCCTCCTGATGCCTGTTGTGTACCTACAAATCCACCTCTAACAACTTGCTTGAGGTCAGTGCTTTTCAAATTGTTCTCATCACAACCTTTACAGTACTGTTCAGTACTCTCTCATACACGTACAATTGAAATAAAAGTTTTTGCAGAAGCAATACTTTCCCTACTGCCTAAGATGTGCTCTGACACTTCCTAATATATTTCATATGACTTCATTTTTTACTACTGGCTTGACCCATTAATTTAACAACTACTAATGGGTCAAGATTCACAATTTGAAAAACACTGAGAGTTAATTCCACATAGGAACAGAGCAGAAAAAAATATAAATTAGGGTTTTCACCGTAGGGAATCGAGTCCTGAGAGGGGAAAAACCCACGATGCTTTAAGGCTAGAAAGCAGAAGGCTGGAGAGAGCAAAAATCAGCTTCTACTACTTCATGAATCACTTTGGGCCGCCACTGGAGACCCTCATCAGAGTGTACCCATCTTCTCACTACATAACTCCTCCTCTATTCATCCACTCCCAAACTCATACACAATCACAGAAAGATAATCCATCCCCGCCCCTCTGCCCAGATAGAATCTAACAGAAATCAGTGTGCATTCTTACACTGAGACCAGAGAACCAAAGAGCAAAGGGACAATGACCAATAAGTGAACTGAAACCATCATGAATACTGAGACTGAAGTGTGCTTTTGCGGGATAGGAATCAAACCACATTGAGGTGAGTGCACTCTTGCATCTACTTACACATGAAATGGGAAAATTAGCTCCACTTTATCACATTAAAGTATCTACGTCAGGTTTGGAAGCTATGGTTGGCTTTCAGTGCCACTGAAGCACCACGAGATTTAGGCTGACTTGGGCTACCCTATCTTGGGCTACATGATGAACTACTGTGACCAAACCCATCCAGACACTGGGTGGATTTTTTTAAATATAGTAAATATTTACTGAGCTCTTACTAAGCTGTGCACTATAAAAAAATCTGTCAAGCTTTTTACTTGATTGTATAGTCCAAGCATTTGATTGAACTCACAGAATTCAGAGTTACGGTTATGCTTATTATCACAACCCTGAACTTGAATGGCCTTCAGACCTTGGCACATTTTGTGGGTTTTTAAAATACTGTTCAGCTTGCCACTATCAATCCTTTGGATATACTTTTCTAAAACGTCAATAACTTTCAAATGCTCAGATTAATTCTGGAATAAATACATTCTCTGCTGAGGGAGGTAATTTACTTAAAAGGGAGAAATAAAAGTGGTCAATTTCACTTTCTGTTTCCATTGAGACTAATTTTCTGTGCACCTGCCTTCAGGATTTAGAATGAGTGAGAAATTTACCTGTATTTTTAATGAAAATTCATGTTGTTTCCTTTTTTGAAAGTAACACACCAAAAGAGATAGCATGCTAGTGTGGGCCTGTTCCTAATATTTGTAAGATGCAGGCAAGAACACACGCAGGGACCAGGACTGGGCAGCCCTGTGGTTTCTTACCGAGGTCGAGGAACACTGATTACATGCATGTGAACACTTCAGCCAGTATATGCAAGGTCTGTCTTCTTTCCCATCCCACCCTCATGAGACACAGGTATGTGTCCACCACAGTAGGCACAGGGCCAGGAGAGTCTAGGTGCTGATCCTAAGCATAGTCGAGAGTGGGTTGTCAGGGTAGGCATGGGGGATAATCACAGGTGAGCCAGAATAGATGTGGAGTCCAGGGAAGAAGCAGCTTTAGCTGCCTCAAACCTAAAGGGAGTGGGGAGGTAGGAGGAGCGAGTACTGTACTAGTATTAATCCATTCATATCAATGCATTCAATGTGTCCTATTGCGTATGAGACACCCACAACCACTTAACGAAACCCATTGTTACACCAACAAAACAAACATGAATGCATGCCCTGCCCTAATCTAGAACCCAAGTTGTAGCATTTCACTCATAGAAAACAAAACAAAACAAACAAACAAAAAACAGATTTTATTTTTACTCAAGTAGCCTTTGTATTTTTTAAAAGAAAAAGCTAATATTTCTCATACGCTCGTTTTTGTATTTTTTTAACATTGCTTTCAACTAGGGACCCATTTTAACCTGAGCCTACTTTGAGCAGGTTTGTAAAGTAGTTGAACCTGATGTTCTCTTTTGCTGTTGATGTATCCAGGCCATTTGCAGGGAACAGAAAGAGAGAATGTCAGAAATGCACCCTTCCCTGGCTTAAGCAGAAAGCAGATCTTTTTCACAGGTCTATGTATGAGAAGAATGGAGAAAAGGAAGGGAGCCATTTAAGCCCATGTCTCTGGACATCAGCCTGGTATGTCTTAATAGCTTGTCTGTTACAGAGTGTCATGTAACTTGTAGGAAAGAAAACATCTCTCAAACACCTGTAAGTACATTCCATGGTACAGATGTGGCATCTTTTCCCACAAGGGACCACTGCAAAGCTAAAATCAACAATTAAGAACAGCTGCAGTCTTGCGACCAGCTGCCCTTGCTAACCCCCTTGTACAGAGGGCAAGGAGAAGGGTAATCAACACAGAAGACTGAAATTATCCTTTCCTTGCATTACTTTTCCCTCTTGTGAAATGTGCTGGAACTTCCCCCGTATGCTGAAGATGTGTTCCTAAGGCTGCACTTCTGTTTACAAAATGTCCTGCAGTGTTTCCAAGCCTTGGAGTCTGTGGTAATGTCTAACCTTCTGCTTCACAGAGCTGGGCTCACAGCTTCAAACTGCTGCAAGAGCAGATTCAAATATGCAAGGAAATTCTATTGCTTTTGAGAAAGCTCCTTCAGGAAGCCATCAAGTGTGTCATTTGGTCACAGGCTCTAGGACCCCTCAAGAACTAAATGAATAACAGAAAACCAAAAGCCATTGATGAATCATGTGTGTGGCAAATCCTTTCAAAGGATTGACCTGCCCATGAATCAGAAAAGAAAGAAGAGCCCTAGCTGAGTGGTTGGAAAACTAACATGACGAATAATAACTCATAGGTATCATGGGAGAGGAAACTGGGAAGAAAAAGGATTTCACGGTGGTTGGAGGAAGACTAATGCCATAAAATCCTCTGAAAAAAATAATAATCATCTGAAGAAACTTCCTAATACTGATGACTTTCATGTGTGTGTTAAGGACTATCTCCCCAAGAGAAATGGCAGGAAAGTCATCAGCTAAATCACTTCTAATGAAGAAAGAGAAAAATCAGAAAATAGATTATTCAGACATGCCCCTCCTCTCCCAAGCCTTTCAGGCAGTAAAGTGGGGAGTTCAGTGAGATGATCTCATGAGCTCTTCCATCTCTTAATCTTGTTCAGAGTGAGAACCTGTTTCTGGCTGTATTCCTCCCACTCCTTTTTCCTGTGGTCCTGCTGCTAATGGAGGCGTCCAACCCACAAACCTGGGATGCAGTAAATTTTCATCAACCTTCTCCATTTCACTTTTAAACAAGTTAGGTCACCTTATCAGCATAAATTGTGATTTAGAGAGATGACAGAGGAATAAATCAGGTTTGCAGGCCCTGCTGCTATGGCCGTTACATGGATGTTTGTCCCTGGGCCAAATTCAGAACTTAGCTTTGGTGCCTTCTTGTGTTTGCCCTTTCTAGGACTTGATGGTGTGCAATATAAAAATAAAACTAGCAACAAAAAGTTGATTCTCAGATATCTGATATCTTGCCTTACATGCCTAGGTTGCTTGTTTTCAAAACATGAGCACACTGATCTGTGAATCTGTCAACAAGTCATAGGTCAGGGATCCTGACCTGAATTTGTTTTGCTATGTCACTACACACCAAATGTTTGATTCAGATGTTTTCAGACCTGAAAATCAACCTATTTGAAAAGTTTTTGTTTAAACTTTTAAGAAAACTATTCATAGCACCTACTCAAGAAAAGACAATAGAATTTAAAATGAAAATAATTCATAGTGCATTCAGTTTTAATATTATGGACTTTGGGTTCATCCAATATCCCTTCTTTAACCCTTCTCTTCTGACTCACCATATTTCACTCCCTTCCTAAAGTCATTCATGTCAACTGGTGTCAACCAAGTGGGATTCTTACATTTCACAAAAGTGAGAGGCATCCCAATGCTCTCTTTAATTTCTTTTTTTTTTTCTTTTTTTTTGAGACAGAGTCTTGCCCTGTCGGCCAGGCTGGGGTACAGTGGCATGATCTCAGCTCACTGCAACCTCTGTCTCCCAAGCTCAAACGATTTTCCTGCCTCAGCCTCCCGAGTAGCTGGGATTACAGGTGTGTGCCACCATGCCCGGCTAATTTTTGTATTTTTAGTAGAGATGGGGTTTCACCATGTTGGCCAGGCTGGTCTCAAACTCCTGACCTCAGGTAATCTGCCTACCTCAGCCTCCCAAAGTGCTGGGATTACAGGCGTGAGGCACCGTGCCCGGCCTCTTTAATTTCTAGCAAAAGCAAACTAAGCTGCCATTAGAATGTGCCTTGCAAATATCCAGCTACAGGGAAGGTAATTGACCAAGGTCTTCAGCTGCTGCACTCTGAGATCCACCATCACATTTGTACCACGTCCATACTGGCTGCTCCCAGCCACAGGCTGCTCCTAGCCAATGACTGGATGTGGTGGGCAAGCCTGTTCCTGGGACACAAGGGACTCCTCTGACAGCCAACTTTGGTTCACAGACTCCATAACAACCTTGCTGAAGCTTCCTTAGGCTGCACAATGGTCTAGGACACTTCCACCTAACCTTCCTTCCCTCTCTCCATTTGTGAGATAGACTTGTTCCATAGTCTAACAGCTCTTTCTGCTCCCTACCCATTTTCTCCCAGACAGGTATTTCCCCTAACAAAATCCTTGCACATTTAATCCCACCCTGATGTCTGTCTCTCAGACTAAGACAGCTTGCTTTTTCATTCTTGGCCTTTTTCAATAAAAATGGGAGGGCAGTGGTCTTAGTATGCCAATATAGGCTCCTTACATTCTGCTAGATTGGGTCGCAGTTTGGAGAAAACAGATTCAAATCAGTGTAGTAGAAAACAGATATCACATCTTCTTTCTTTCAAGGCACAGATTACCCTATATACTAGTGAACAGTCTCAAGCCTGTTTGAGGGGAAGGGGAAGAGTTGATGAGCAATACTAAAAATCATCTTATTAAAAATATAAGTAAGATAATTCAATGCCCTTTATGTAGTTATATGTGACAATGTGAACTAGGGCTTATTTCCTGAAATATTTTTACAATCTTTTGTTCCAAAACTGATATGAAAATTTTCTCTTACCAGGGGATGCATTGGGCTGAAATGTCATGGAATGCTTTTCTGGGACTCTCAGCTCCATCAAACCATAAATGAGATTGGTGGTGGGGAGAATCTTCTCTGGCCTATACACTTTCCATGGGAACCATCATGGCCATCCCATAGGCTTACTAGAAGAGCTGCTGTGACCTTTATTCCTGCTTAGCCCAATCTCAGCAGACCAGGGAATAACAAGAACCATTGATTCCCCTGAGCTGCGCCAATGTGGTTCCAGCTGTAACAGCACAAGCCCTGGAACACTGCTCATTTGATAAGAAAAGAAGGTACCACTTCCTTTCTTCTTCCTTCATCCCTACTAGTTTTAGAAAAATTAGGGACTGAGCCAGACCTTGCTAGTTGCCTGTCCATTCTCCTCTTTTCAAAAAATCTCAGCTTTGTGCAAAGTGACAATAGGTCCATCTAAAAATACTATATTTTCTAGTCTGCAAGCCAAGGAGAGAGGCCTCAGGAGAAACCAGCCCTTCTGACACCTTGATCTTGGACTTCTAGACTCCGGAACTGTGAGAAAATAAATTTCTGTTGGTTAAGCCATCTAGTCTGTGGTGTTTTGTTAAGGCACCCCTAGCAAGCTAATGCAAGACTCATATTCAGAAGATAGAGAGAGCTTTATAAAACAATATCAAAAAGACAGTCAATACAATGAGAACTGTACAAAAAAAATTACAGAAAGCACTTCACGAAAGAGGATATCCAAATAACCAATAAACATATGAAATGAAAAGTACCTCAACTTTAGGTGATTCATTAGTTATTAGGGAAATAAAAATTAAAAACATTATATGATACTATCACATACTCATTGGAATGGCCAAAATTGAAGGGATGGATAATACCAAGTGTTGCCAAGGATATGGAACAACTGAAATTTTGTACACTACTAGTGGAATGATAAATTGATAAAAAATACTCTGAGAAATTGTTTTGCAGGAGCATAGCTAAATATAAACACAATCTACAATCCAGGGATTCTTCATATAGGTATATATCCACAGAAATGTGAACATATGTTCACCAAAAGATGTGTACTAGAATAGTCATTGTAGCATAATTTATAATTACTAAAACCCGCAAGCTACCTGAATGCCCAACAATACCGGAATGGATTTTTTAAAATTTATATTTATACATTAGAATATAGCAGTGAGAATAAATGTTCTACAATTCTATGAAATAATATGGGTGATTCTCACGAACATTATGTTAAACAAAAGAAGTCAGACACAAAAGAGTATCTGCTATATGACTCCATAAAGTTCAAAATCAGGCAAAATTAATCTATGCCATTCTTTGGGGTATATAAGAGGTATTTCAAGGGAATAAGGATTCTGAAGTGCTGGAAATGTTCTAGTGTGTCTCCTGGGTGCCAGTTACATTGGTATGTTCACTTTGTAAAAATTAATCAAGCTACATACTTGTGATTTGTGAACTTTTCTGTATGTATATGTCACTATAAAATTTTTATGAAAATGAGAGAATCAACTCAGTAGGCTTGCACTTTTTTCTTTACATTTTCCCCTTTTCATTCCTAGAACACAGATGTGATGCCTAAAGAAGAACCATGAGATGACAAACATGAAAACAAAAACTACATGCTAAGTTTGCTAGGTAGAAAAACAGAGGTATCCTAGGGGGACACTGAGTGCATTATAAAGCTCTGAACTGCCTACCACAGTCAGCCTTCTTGTTCCACACGAGAAAAAACTTAAAACCCTAACTTGTTTAGGCCACCATCTAGTCAAGTTTTGTTATTCACAGCTAAATGCAATGCTAACTGACAAACCAACTCCTCAACAGCTTCCTAAAAAATGAAATAGATTAAGAAAATACATGTTTCATGCGATGACCAAGAATGCATGACCAAGAAAGGTGATCAGGGATGATCTTGACCAAGGTTAACCCTGCCTCATCCTTCCCAGTTGATATAATTGTACCTAGATGTGACTCTGAGTTAGGTTTCAGGCAAAGGAATTTAAGCTCACAGGGATACACTCTCTGGAAGTCTTTAATATGGGACTGAAACAGGCAAAGAATTCAGACATCAGTATTATCCTGGAAATGCATATGAATACTACAAAGAAATGTCATTGTTTATGTTAGTCTTATTACATATATGATTCAACTACTGTAACATAAATCCAAATTAGCAATGGCTTATTTTAAGGTAGCCTCTCAGTGTTAGGGTCCCTCAGTTTTAGAGACCTAAGCTCCAGTTATATTGTTGCTCTACCATCCCTAGGACATTGCTCTCATCACATGGTTCAAGACTGATCACCATTACTACTCTGCATTCCAAGCAGCAGAGTAGAGAAAAGAGGGCAAGGAAGACGTATCTCTCCCTTTAAAGGCACAACCAGGAGTGGCATTGTCACTTCTGAGCACATCCAATTGGCCAGGCCTTGGTCAAGAACAAGGGAAGGGTGGGTAATGTAATAGGTAGTTGAGGGGCCATGATATCACTTAAAAATTCTGCTGCTATGAAAGAAAAGGAAAAAAATGGATATGGAAGAGGTAGGGACTAGCAACCCACTACATGGGATAATATACTCTACTGTGATTTCATCTATTGAGAATCTACACACCAATAAGAACAAGAAGCAAATTTTTTATATCCTCAAAGCAAGTTTCTGAAAGGAAGAATGATTTGGAGAATGACTTAATTTTTTTACAAAAAATTTAATCTAACTCTTGTCTCACCACGTTCTTCTATTCCCTGAGAATTCTGTTCAAAGTTCATCTTTCCTGTTAAGCGCCCCAGATGAACTACACCTGGCTCCAATTGTTCTGATCACTTCCGCAATTTCACCAGCAGCACGTATCTGTCTGTGTGTAGCACTAAGTGATTATGCATGTGTGCACATCTTTTACTGAGGCTATATGTATTTTTCTAAGAAGAGGTGGAAATCATATGACTTTTGAAATCTGGCAGACATTGATTCAAATCCCAACTCTGTAGCTAAGTGGCTACATGCCCTTGCTACACCCCTCCCCACACCCCTCCCCACTGATATCTTTGGTCTCAAAAGAGGGGTCTGCTCTAGTTCACCCCATCCCTCCCAATTATTCTAACAGTTATCCCCCTTATGCCTTCAATCTGTCTTTCTACACTAACTTCTTTCCCTCATTATAAACCAGATCACATTTCTTTAATTTTTTCGAAACTCTCCCTCATCTTTATTTCCCATACTAGCTTAGCTCTTCTTTCTGTCATTCCACACTATAACTTCTTAAAAGTGTGTATCCCCTTCCTCGCTGTGGGTCACCCCTCCCCTGACTTCTTATTACAAAATCAGTCTGTTACAAAAAGTCCTGACCACTTCAAAAAGCCAGTCCACCCATCAATTTTCTGCAGTCTCAGACATAGTTGACCATTCCCTCCTTTACAATTGTTCCCCCCAACCTTGGCTTTCACAACCTTATCTTCTCATATCTCTTCCCTGTCTCTCCAGGCTTCCCATCTGAGGCCCCTTCATGAATTCCTCTTTCTCTCCTACCCATCAAAGGTTGGTTTGCTCAGGAACAACCTTTGGCCTTCTTCTCTTCTCTCTCTCCACACACCCTATGAATGTTCATCCATGCCTATGGCTTCCATAAATTCCAAATCAGTCTCTCTAGTCTAAACTCTACTGAGTTCTAGACCATTCCAGTTTTCTTGGGACTGAAGGATTTCTTGGGCTGCAAGACTTTCAGTTTTAAAACTAAGAAAGTCCCAGACAAATCAGAATGAGCTGGTCACCCTAGAAACTACTGGACATTTCTATTTGAATGTCCTACAGACCCCACAAATTCAACATGTCCATCCCTGAGGTCATTGTCAATGTCTCATCCCAAGCCTACTCATCTTCATGTATTCACTGTCCCGGTGAATGGTGCCATTGTCCAGTCTACAACAGAAACAAAAACCCAGGAGGCATCCTGAACACGGACCACTCTCTCACTCACCATGTCTGCTAGTCACAAAAACCTGAGAAGAACTGAAATGTGTCTTCATTGCCTCACCTAATTCAGGACTTCCTCATCTCTTGCTTGAACTATCATTACTACATCCTATCCTCCCTGCCCCTAGTCTTGTCCCTCCAATTTACATAGGCATCAGAGTGATTTTTCTAGAACCAAAATCTAACCATGTTATCCTCCTGCTTTATCAAAGGCTCCCATAAAGCTCAAACTCCTTGCATTGGACTCATACAAGTCCTGCAAGATCTATCTCCTGCCTGTGACTCCAAAAATCCTCTTTCTCCTTTCACCAGCTACTGAACTCCTGGAACTCCTGAGAAATAAAATGCTCCTTCACAGTCCTGTTACTTTGCTCATGTTGTCTTCTCTACTTGAAATGTCCCTCTTGCTGCCTGATAAGCTCTTATGGATCCTTCAAGGCTCAGTTCAAGTGTCTCCTTCTCTAAGAAGCCTTCCCTGTATCTATAATATACCTCTATCATGCATCTCCCTTAACATATGAAAATGCAATTATAGATGTATTCACATCTGTTTTTTTCTACCAGACTGGGTATAAAACTCTTGAGGGCAGGAACCTTGTATATTCATTTTGTGTTCAAGGACAGTATTTGGAACAGTCAGAACTAAAATATATTTTTACATGACTGACTCAACTCTGGGTCTGGTTCTCCGTCCTTAAGAATGTTACCCCTATATCAGCTGTTACCCCTACCTTGAAGAGAATATTGCAGGGATTTACATACAGGAAAGTATCTATCCTTTGTCTGGAACTCGGCAGATCATCTCCTCCCTTTTATGATTAGGTGATGACCTGTATTTTCTGCATCCTTCGTGATGTCTCCAGTAGAAGCCTGATTGATACTTCTCGATGCCTAACACCAGGATTTGGAGCTGGGGACCAGTAAAAAAATCCCTTTTACTCCTGGGGGAAGGCAAGAAGTCAGCTTAGGAATTAGTCAATGTTTATATTAGTATTGATTCTCATCAATAATAGGAATCTCTACAGAGTTACTATCTGTGATGCTCCACCAGCTTCGTTCATGGAAGGAGAATCTTGCTCTAAAATAATTCTCGTTGGTACACTACATACATTGCACTCATCGCCACAGAAGTGCACAATAAGAAGAGCTGAGACTAAATATTTTTAAAGGGAAGGTAAAGCCATTTCACATCCACTAGATTGACAGAAGATTTTTAAAGTCATGGCAGATGTTGGCAAAGATGTGGCACAAGGGAGATTTTCATGCACTCCTGGTGGGAGAACAACTTGGGTTAACCACTTTAGGAAACAACTGAGCAATACCTAATAAAGTTGAACATGCAATTACCCTAAGCCCAAGTAATTCCACTCCTATGGAGATACCCTAGAGATACTCTCATGCATGTACCAGGAAATATGTGTGGGAAAGTTCATGACAGCATAGTTTACAGTAGTATAAAAATTAACAAGGAAAGAAGGAAGGAAGTCTCATATATTTTCAAGTAGGAGGCAGGAGCCTACCTTCTACGAAGGAAGGAAGGAAGGAAGGGAGGGAGGGAGGGAGGGAGAGAGGGAGGGAGGGAGGGAGGGGGGAGTGAGGGAGGGAGGGAGGGAGGGTTTATAATAATAAAAATGAATCAACTATAGCTATCCATTTCAACAAGGGTGAGTCTCAAAAAATTAAAGCTTAAAGGAAAAATAACAGTGAAATTTCATTAATATAAAGTCCAAAAAGCACCCCAAAATCAAACAATACATTGTTTAGAGATCTACAGGTATGGTAAAACTGCAGAGAAAAACACAAGACTAATTTGCATGAAATTTAGGATACTAGTTCAGGACAGAAGTGAAAAGAGTCAACCAGGAGGGGTGCTGAAGACTTTCAAAGGTCCGAGTAATGTTCACTTTCTTAGTCTGGGTGGTCAGTATATGGCTGCTTGCTCTATTTTTGTATTATTATATTATTGCTCTCCAAACTGGACATGGACATTTACATTCTCTTTTGCATTCAAGATATACTTTAAATTTTTAAAAATTTTTTTAAAGAGAGGCTAAGTAACTTTTTCAAGGTTTTGCTAATAAGCAGCAGAGCCATGACTGGAACCCAAGCCTGTTGACCATAAAGTTCATGGTGTTTTTCCCTCACACACACACTGCCTCCCCAAATATTGCACTCACGTGTAAGTTGTAGTCCTTAATCCAAATGTTCACTAATGGATGAATGAACAAACAAACTGTGGTGTATACATACAAAGGAATGTCATTTGGCCTTAAAGTGGATGGAAATGCTAACATGTGCTACAACATGGATAAACCTTGAGGACATTATGCTAAGTAACATAAGCCAGTCACAAAAAGACAAAAACTGCATGATTCCACTTAGATGAGGTACTTAGAGTAGTCAGACTCACAGAGACAGAAAGTAGAATGGTACTTGCCAGCGGCTGAGGTTGGGAAAAACAAGAAATAAAAAATAGCAGGTGCTGCTGAGGCAGGGCTGGTGCCCAGGCGTCTGTGGGACTAACCTCTTCAGCCCGTCACTCTCTAACCACATGGCAGGAGGCATAAGAACAGGAAGGGGTGTGGCATTAGGAAGAGATGAGAAACAGAATCAGCACCTGGAATGCTAGCACCAAGAAGCCAGAATTTGCCACAAAGTTGAGCTCTGAGCCTGAACACATCTCCAAGAAGGATTTAGCTCATGTAAAATTTAGTGACTCATGCCTGACAGAAACACAACAGAACATACAAACATACATAAACAGCTATATCCCAAAACACAAGCAGAAAAAGACAAAATTCAGTCATCTGGATAACTTGCCTGCATGATATCAAGCTGCCAGTCTTTGGATGACTGACTTAAGTCTTTATGTCTGACTTTTTGGCCTCAGCATGCCCAAAAGAGTTGAAGTCCAACAGCAGGCTGGCACTCTTTGTCCATTACATTAAACCTGCCACACAGTTATCTTAAGAATTCTCATGGTCAGTAGAGAACATATATGTTAATTTAACATTTGAAAATGAAATGTTGGCCAGGCGCAGTGGCTCATGCCTGTAATCCCAGCACTTTGGGAGGCCAAGGCAGGCAGATCACGAGGTCAAGAGTTTGAGACCAGCCTGACCAACATGGTGAAACCCCGTCTCTACTAAAAACACAAAAATTAGCTGGGCGTGGTGGCAAACGCCTGTAATCCCAGCTACTCAGGAGGCTGAGGCAGGAGAATTGCTTGAACTCGGGAGGTGGAGGTTGCAGTGAGCTGAGATTATACCGCAGCACTCCACCCTGGGGGAAGGAGTGAGAATCTATCTCAAAAAAAAAAAAAAAAAAAGAAAGAAATATCACTGAGATAGTGTTTGTAAGCACTTTTGGCTCCATGAGGATGCTATGGGAGGCAGCCTTCTCCCAGGGCTCCAGAGGAGAATACTGCACACATCCCCTCTAGCCTTGAACTCAGACTTCTCAGTATGTTCTGACATCATTCCCTTTTACAGCCAACTCCACTGGATGAGAGGGAGGGGCAAGACACACAGCCTTCTCTGAGATCCCGCCACCATCCTCTTCAATTCTCTACCCCATCTTCCTTACCCAGAGGGCTTTGTCACTTCTCTGTTCTGGAAATCTGTTCTATGAAAAAATGGAACATCCAGCCCCATATATTTTCAAGTAGGAGATAGGACCCTGCCTTCCACCAAGACTCATGTGATGGAGGAATCCCCAAAATAGGAAGGGCCTCAGAACTCTTGAGAGATGAAAACAGGCTAATATCCACAGCAAGGACCAAGACTTTATTATTATTATTATTATACTTAAAATTTTAGGGTACATGTGCACAACATGCAGGTTTGTTACATAGGTATACATATGCCACGTTGGTTTGCTGCACCCATTAACTTGTCATTTATATTAGGTATTTCTCCTAATGCTATCCTTCCCCCTGTCCCCCACCCCATGACAGGCCCCCATGTGTGATGTTTCCCACCCTGTGTCCAAGTGTTCTCATTGTTCAATTCTCACCTATGAATGAGAACACATCATTTGACCCAGCGATCCCATTACTGGGCATATACCCAAAGGATTACAAATCATGCTACTATAAAGACACATGCACACGTATGTTTACTGCAGCACTATTCACAATAGCAAAGACTTGGAACCAACCCAAATGTCCACCAATGATACACTGGATTAAGAAAATGTGGCACATATACACCATGGAATACTGTTATATGCACATTCCATATGGAATATGCAGCCATAAAAAAAGACTTTTAAAACTAAGAAGGAAGAATGTGACTTCTTTTGTCCCTGGCTTAATTCTCTCTGATTCCCTCTAATCTAGCTATCTAAATAAAAGAATGTCACAAGCTGAAAGGAAATGTGAAGAAAAAAACATATGAATTAATAGCTCATGATATCCTGACAAATTTTATACCCATAATTTCTTATAATTCCATCAATTGGTATTTCTATTCCCATCTTGTAGGTGAGACTGTCCAGTTTTAGAAGGATTCCCTGTGATCTTAGGCAACTTCTTTTTCTTTATACCTCTGTGTCCTCACCCATAAGTTAGGATATATCTACCCCATAGGGCTGTACTCATGACCAAAGCTCATAGCTCCAAGCAACAACAAGCAGAGCTCCAGGGATGACAGTGTAGTGTGGAATGGACACCACTAAACAGAGAGGGCCTCAGGCACACTGGCTTCCACACTGGCTGCCACAAATCCTCCATGAACCATAAACACACCTCTTTACCTCTCTGAGCTTCCATGTCACCATCTGTAAAATAATAGTGTTAGACTAGACTATTGCCAAACTCCCTTCTATCTCTAAAATTCACTGTCCACAGGTTCACCCTGCAAGTTAGCTCCTAAACCCTGACAGAGTCCATGGGATGGGGCTGTGACCAGATGCTTGTTTCTCCTCACTGTCCCAGTTCCCAGAGGAGGCCTGGTCTCTCCCCTCAGCTCTGGAATAACAGTTTGATCTGACCTGTCAAACTGTGAGCATCAGGTACTGGTGTATCCTACACTCACAGCAACCCTAGGATCATTTTCATTTCATCATCATGCTATCTTTCTATTTAAATGAAAGATAGCATGATCAGAACAGCATGTGGTAAACAACAAAGCCCACAGGAAAGAAATGCAAGGACCCCAGGGCAGAGGGACAATCTCTGATCAGAAGGTCTGTAAAGGGTGCAGAACCCAGAAGTTCATTATGAGTGGGTGCCACTTAAGATTGTTTTTATTTTTCAGGCATAGTTTTTGCTAACATCATAATGTCATGTTGAAGGAGTTAAGGATATTATAGCCATGAGTTCATGCTGAGATCTCAAAAGAGGAAAAAGGAGAAATGATACTGTCTTTGCTCTGTGGCACCTCACGATGGAAATAATAGATGATAGATGTGTTTGGAAGTAAGGGAGGATTGGTGGCTAGGTGAGGTAAACAAAAAGAAAGCCTTGCCAGGTGCAGATCTGCATTTGAAACACGGCTGCTTGGAGTGGACCATAGATGTCACCTAGGGACACATGCTGCTCCCATCTCTCTGATTTAATTTTCCCCTACATGGGGATTTCTAAAATGGAGCATTAGTGACTCCCTCCTTTGTATTCCCACAGCTCTTAGGCCATATCTTTATTGTACTGCTTCAAATGCTAACTAACCACGGTCCATCCCCCACACCAGACTCTGAGGGTCCCTAGTGCCTTGGCATCCGGCAGGTTCTAGGTCATGCTTATTTTACCAACAAAAGCAGCAATTAATTCCAGCATGGGAAGCAGGGGTTGGGTGAAGTTCCACAAAGGTTTTAGCCTATGAGCAGGACTGTTTTTAAGCAAGGATTTTTCCAGATGAAAAGGCAGAAAAGTTTTGCAAACAGTGAAAAACCAAGGAGAGAGGAGAAAAGGCTAGAACAAAGAAAGACCCATAATCCCAGGAGGAGACTGGGGCATGAGGTCAACTTTTGGGAGACATGGAAATTAGTAACTGAGGCAGAAAACAGAGGACAACAGAAGTTTGAGATGGCTGTAGGAGACCCAGGAGATGTCCCAAAGGGAGGCAGTAGCATGGGTATGGAAGTCAGGAATCTGGATGACCCCAGAAAAGTGCTGAGGGGGAAAGGGTGAGGGCCAAGGACGTGGCTCTGAAGACAGGAACATTTCAGGGCCCAGAAAAGAACGCATGAAGGAGACTGTGTAGGAACAGAGGTAAGGCTGTGCTGGGAAAGCCATGAGGGAAAAGAGTTTCCCAGAGTCAAAAAACACAGGCAGCTGAGCTACCCTTTTAGATTTAGCCCAAAGAGCACAAGGAGTGGACGTCATTTCAAATCCCAGAGCCAGCTCTGGTTCAGTGGCCTGGCCTGGGTCACCAGGGCCCCACCTAGCCCCTGGCAGTTTTCGTGGAGACTGTGCAAATCCACTTTGGAACCAATGAATGGGTTTGTGTTCCAGGCTTATTGCAAAAGACTTGAAGTTCTGGTGTCTTACGGGGGAAAAAAAGAAAAACTGGTAACTTTTTTAATGCATGATAAAGAAAATGTGTGAGAATGTTCCCTGAGGTGATGGGTGGTTATTTTCCCATCAGTAAATCTCTGTGAAACAATCCGGGACTGTCCTTCCTCAAGGAGCTGAGGCCGCTCACAGAGGCCACCATCTGGGCAAGCAGGTGTGGCTGAAAAGCACACTGACAGGCCCGCCACGAACGCACGTGCAGAAGCTGATGTTTCTTTAAACGCTGCAGCTGCTACTCGTAGATCCTGACGCTGCTTGTGCCTGGCTATTAGAATCGTTGCGGAGTCGGGGAGGGAAGGGGGATGTTTAATGCCTTAGCTCTGCGTAACCTATCCCAATTCTGTTTGCTACATAATGTGCATTTGTGTTTCACTAGAGTGCTTGAATCTAGCAAATGTGTTACAAGGCTGCAGAGACTGAGTTGGTCGGCTGCCGGGATCATTTCTCAGAAACTCACCTAGTGGTCTCACCTAAGGCTGGATTCTAAAATGTCTTAGGTCCATCCTGAATTCGGGCAGGAGAGCTCACAGATTCCCCTGTTTGCCAACTGGTGCCTGAAATTCCTAAATGCAAATCCTTTGGATTGGAGCATTGTCCTTGGGGACAAAGAAATGCCCTTGGGCTTCTAGCTAACAAACAAGAGAACATTCTAAAAACCACCCCACCAAAATCACCTACATGAACAAAGGAAATATCATAAAATGAGAAAAACTGTCCATGCAATAACATAAAGTCTTAGAAATTACAGCACTCTCGATTCCAATACAACATTAAATAATCCCCCCGGATCTACGGCAGGCAGCCAGCCCCTATGCTTGTTCCGCTTTGGTGCCTCAGGCTCTGGAGTGTGTCTTTCCATCCTGCACTGCCCTAAGACTGTTCTGTTTCTGCAGGAAACTACAGGTATATTGACTTCCCTCTACCCATACATCTGTCTCTACCTGCTCCCAGCTGGTCCAGTTTGCTCGTGGTCCAGGAAACTGTTGTTTGTTGATCGAAGGCATAAGAGTAAGCCTTTTCTCCCAGGACCCTGTTTCTCCCAGGTATCTGGGCCGCAGGGGCTCAAGAGCAGCTTCCATGAAATGAGGTCCCACAGCTGCAGCCACTTCTTCCAGCACCACCCCCTCTTCCAGGTTGCCAACTCAGCACCCTCCATGCGTCCTTTTCAGTCCTTTTTTGAGCCCCAGACAGCACCCTTTGTACCTTACCAAAGTCAGACTGTGCCCCACTGAGCAATTCCTGTGTCTTATCTGTTCTTAAAAATTGGGACTTCACAGACCTCTCTTCACATGGATAAGTAAAGGAGAATAAACCTGGGCATGTGGAAACATTCCCAAGCACAGAGATGAGAAGAAAGGCCAGAGGACTCTGAGGGACTCATTGCCTTCTAAAGCACACACATTGCAAGCACAAAGAAGAAAACAATTGTAACACATTCTTCATGTTGCTAATAAAATACAAAAGCACATAATCTGTGAACAAAAGGAGAAGCCATGGTAAAAGCAGAACTATTCAAATGTCTATATATATTTGAGTAAGGATTTAACCAAAATAAGCATTTCTAAAAATAAACAATAAAACAGTACGAATAGATAAAATACTAGAAAAAACTATCCTGATTTTTTTTTTTTAATCCAAGTCTGGATGTAGAGAGTTCTCACAATGATCCAGGCAGCAGTTTTGAAGTTTATATCTAGTTTGTTTTAGTAAATTTTCTAAATTCCAAAAACAAAGAAAAAATTCTAGAAGTATTCAAGCAAAAACCACCTGTTTTTGTTACCTGTTGTTTTAGCCTGGGTTTCTGTAAAGACAAAGCCTGAGGCAAAGGTTTAGGTGCTATTGTTTTGGTGGGTGTAAAACAACCCCAGGGAAACAGAAGTTGGGAGAAAGGAAGAGAGCAAGGAAGAGCAAATATCCAAGGTATCCTTAGTATCAAGCATAACAGATTTCTCAAAATTTCACGGGGCCTTTTGAGCCATGGCAATTCTGTCCTGAGAAGGAAGGGAAAACATTTTACCCACTACCTCCCCACCTCGTGTTGGCCAAAAATGTGCCCCTGGTGATGTAAACTTCCATGCATTTCTGGGTGCACATACGTCATGGTGAGCAAGTCTCAAGATATCCAGTGCCTCTGTATCAACAGGGAAGCCCAGGTCCGAAGGTGAGGGATGTGGGACTGACAAGGCAAGGCATGGTCGGCTATGTCCATATGAAGTCCACTGGAGGCCACACAAAGCTGGTCGTCACAGCAGCACCTGGGGCAGGACAAATGCCAGGGGCCCCAGAGACTGGTTAGGCCTAGAGAATGGGAGGTGGCTGCTTTTCCTACAAAGGATCAAAAGTCAACTTTAGACTTATCCTCGGCAACTCTAATTTTAAATAAGCTTGGCAAAGCATGCCAACTTCATACAAGGCACTAGACACTAAAGCAATGGAGCAGCATTTCCGGAATTTAAGTGAAAAAAAGTATGACCCAAGAATTCATATAGAGTCATTGATCTTCTTGTAGAAAGACAGCAGAAAGGCATCCTCAGATGCAGAGGCTCAGAAAATCTCCTAATATCTTTCTGAATAAAGTTCCTGCAGTACACAGTCCCTAGTACACAGAAATGAAATGCAATTAAGAACCCAAGAAGAGGCCAAGTGCATTGGCTTATGACTGTAATCTCAGCACTTTGGGAGGCCGAGGCTGGTGGATCACTTGGGCCCAGAAGTTCGAGACCAGCCTGGGGAAAACGATGAAACCCAGTCTTTACAAAAAACATAAAAACTTGGCCAGGCATGGTTCCTGGGGAGGGTGAGGTGGGAGGATCACTTGAACCAAGGATGTCAAGGCTGCAGCAAGCTGTGATCACGCCACTGTGCTCCGGCCTGGATGACAGAGTGAGACCTTGTCCCAAAAAACAAGAACAAAATAAAACAAAAAAGAACTCAAGAAGAGAGAAGTTGTAACTAAAAAGGATTATCAGGAAGCATTAAAACCTGTTAAATTACAGATATATTAAGTTGGTGCAAAAGTAATCATGGTTTTTGCCATTAAAAGTAATAGCAAAAAAACGCAATTACTTTTGCACCAGCTTAATAGGTCTGAATAATCACTGCAAATCTTAACAGAAAAAAAGAAAAATATTTTATAAAGAGATACATATTGACCACTTTAAAAAATTAAATGTGGCATTTATAATCACACATTAAACTTTTAAAGTCCCACATAGCTCAGCGTTCAAAATTTGGAGTCATAAATGCTTATTTTTATTCTTGATTTTTATATTTCAAAAAAGATGAGCTTTATGAGTTAGGGTTTTCTTTATTTAAGGTATATATTTGTAGATTGAAAATCAGGATGTTTACAGAGAGGCAAATGCAAAGCAAGTAGTATATACAGCACAAATCAGAATAAAAGGGAAATATAGACACGAAAGTGTAAGTTAAGATGCCTGAAAGAAAAATTAATTTAAAGTGCTGGGAATAAATATAAATGAATCAAATGGCTGTACTAAAAAAGAAAAAGGCTTTCAGACTGAATAAAAAACAATGAGCTATCTATAAGAGATTTGACACATTGTTTTTTAAGTTTGGCAAAAATATATCAGACAAATGTAATATACAATTCAAAACAAATTACATTCAACTTTAAAAAGCCAATTTTTAAAAATTGATAATGGTACCAGTCATAATAAAAATTTTACAATTAACAACTTTTATACATCTAAGAATAAAGCACCAATAGAGAAACCTGACTCCAAGCTCAGAGACACCAGTACCAGCCAGACAGCACCTCACCATCACCCAGACACATTAATATCACTGATGGTCTTATTCTATAGGTAAGGAAACCAAGACTGAAGAAAGTTAAGTGATCTGCCCAGAGTCATCTAAATAATTACTGAAAAAGTTCAGAACCTCCTATCAGGTCCTCTGAGGGAAAATCCTATTCACTATACACCTAATTTTGTGTCATCCACCAACACCTTGTTTCCATCCCAATGGGTGTGGTGGTCATTAGGGCTTTTCACAAACATGGCATTTCTCTCCTTGCAGGCACACTGCCGCCTTGCACACCCATTCACTTGAGGTGTGTATGGTTGTGCATCCATATGGGCTTCCTCACCATCTCTTTTCACATGGCCTTGGCAGCCAACGATGTTCCAAATAATGACTGCAATAATAACCCAAAGCAAAGACCCCACCCATCCAGCCCCCATCATCTCAAGATGAACAAGTAGTGTGAGAGAAATCAATATTTATTGTTTTAAACCACTAAATTGGCAGTGGGGATGGGGTGGGGGGTCTTCAATACTACAACATTATCTACATCTATTCTGACTGATTCATCATTAATAATTTTTTTCTCTAAGACAAGGCCAAGGACAAATGCATGCCAGCATTTCACGGGAAATATTTCACAGGCCAAAAGCCATTATTCAGTCATTTGTGGCTTTAGCCATTTAACCAGTTACTAATCCCCCTAATTGTACTATTGATAGACCAAAAGCCTATCAAGAGAGACTCTATCAAAGACTTACTGAAATCCAAAGATATGTCTATTGCATTTATTTATCAGATGAGCCATAATGCCAAAGAAGAGATGAAGTTAGTGCAGAATGACTTCTTTATCAGCAATCCACACAAATTCCTGGTGACCACTGCTTGCTTTCCTAAATGTTCACAGATCCTTTTCTTTAGAAATCTACCCTAGGAGGTAAGGAAAGGTAATATTTGATCTGAATCTTAAGAGACAAATACAATTTTCACGGGCAGAAATTGAGGGGAAAGGATATTTCAGGTTGAATAACAGAATGAACAAAATTTAGGTGGAATAAAGTACATGGCTTTGAGTTAACCAACCCTTTGCATCCATTTTAGCCCATGATGCAAAGGTGGGCTAAATGGCGACAGTGACTTCATAATGTGTAAAGATTGTTAATGCACGCAAAGGGCTTTGGAAACAAAAAGTGAGCTGGACTGAGAAAATTGCATGTTTTAGCCTTTGGCATCTTGTAATAACTGATATATTACTTTATCTTTAAATGAACCTAGAAGAATTTTAAGTATATAATTACATATTAACCTAAGCACCCCCCACAAAATTGCTTCCTAAAGGAATAATAAATTTTCAGTGACAAAATTTAATTAAAAACTCACTCTTAAGATTATAGGCAGATAAATAAAAGACCTTTAAAAGTGTTACACTTGCTGGGCGCGGTGGCTCACACCTGTAATCCCAGCACTTTGGGAGGCCAAGGCAGGCGGATCACTTGAGGTCAGGAGTTTGAGACCAGCCTAGCCAACATGGTAAAACCCCATCTCTGCTAAAAATACCAAAAAATTAGCTGGGCGTGGTGGTGGGTGCCTGTAATCCCAGCTACTCCACAGGCTGAGGAAGGAGAATTGCTTGAACCTGGGAGGCAAGGATGCAGTGAGCAAAGGTCATTCCATTTGCACTCCAGCCCTCCAGCCTGGACAATAAGAGCGAAACTCCATCTCAAAAAAAAAAAGGTGTTACACTTGAGGAATGAATTCTTCTTGCTAAGCTTTTTTTCCTAAAGCGAATTTGTTTCCCATAGGCTCGGTGACTAAATTCAGAGACTTCATGACAAAAATAATAGAAAGTGTCTGCACAGTCATTATGGGCCCTCCCTGGCTAAGTAAGAGAAGGCATACCTCGCCTTTATGCTGTCATCCCAGAGGTCAAAGGTCTTCTGTCTAGTGCACAAAGCTGGAAATTTCCAAATAATCTAAGAAAACATTCAAACAGTTTCAGACAGTTTTTTCCATTATTTACAATGCCGCCCATGATAAGATGGAAATTTTCTGAGGGTGGCGTGATAAGCTTCATGTAAGCAAGACACAGCTAATGGCTTGAAGCGTGGAATTCCAGGGCTTCCTGAACAGGCTGTTTTAGTACAATCTTCCGTTGACAGGGTTAAGCTGCTTATAGATTCCTTAGATAACATTGCAAGGCAGACAGCAGAATAGAAACCCAACTCTAATGACTCAAGACAAAAATGACAGAAAATAGCAAACTAAATACCAAAGAGCAAGGAGCTTCTGAAAGGCGAGACATTTCTCTTTCTATATCCTTCCATTTTTCTGCCTCCACTAAAGATGAAAATGGCAACAAGCTATACTGTTTTTGGTAAATTACTGGCCACACAGTCGGGTGAGCATTGTTAGACTGAATGAGCCAAACCCTAGATTTTACCAAAATTGCCAATGGATTTGAACCACGGGTTTGAGCTTCCAACAGCTGTAGTTAGTTGGCTACATGGCCATCATATTCGAGCGTGTCTGCTCATGGTCACAAGACAGGAGGCCACAAGGATGGTGCCACTGAGCCACGCCTGGAAGGCGAGAGAGCTGTGTGCGAGCTCCATGCTTGCTGTCGGCTGCCCTTACTCAAACTGCCTCTCCTCTGGGCATCAGAAACCCCTCTACAAAGCTGGCCAAGAGGCAGGCAGGGGCTCATCCTGATATCTAGTCCTCACTAGCTCAAATTTTATAAAAACAGGAAACAAAAATCCTAGAAAAGTGCAAGTTCCTATTTTCACAAGATTTCTCAGGCTATTTTACAGTTTCGAAACACTAAGCTGGTGTCTAAAACTACAAGAACACAGAAGTGTTAAAACTGCCAGACACTTGAAAGATCATCTAGTTCAGAAAGTCCTTATACAAATAAGGAAGTAGAGGCCCTCAGAGGGGAGGTAACTAGTAAAGATCATGGTGCTGGTGGTGGAGCCAGGCTTCAGATTTCCAATCCAGATCTTTTTTTCTCTATGCTATGCTGTGTCCTTTGTTTTTTGTTTTGTTTTGTTTTGTTTTGTTTTGTTTTGTTTTGTTTTGTTTTGTTGAGACAGAGTCTTACTCTGTCGCCCAGGCTGGTGTGCAATGGCATGATTTTGGCTCATTGCAACCTCCACCTCCCGGGTTCAAGAGATTCTGCTGCCTCAGCCTCCTGAGTAGCTGGGATTACAGGTGCCCCCCACTACACCCAGCTAATTTTTGTATTTTTGGTAGAGATGGGGTTTCACCATGTTGGCTAGGCTGGTCTCAATCTCCTGACCTCAGGTGATCCACCCACCTCGGCCTCCCAAAGGGCTGGGATTACAGGCATGAGCCTGGCCCTCCTTTGAGGATCAAGGGGAAGTGGAAAAATTCTACCATCTAAATATCTCCTGAATGTATTCCTCTCTAGCTCAAATGATACTACCTTCCACATTTTTTTTTTTTTTTGAGACAGGGTCTCACTTTCTCACCCAGGCTGGAATAAAGTGGCATGACCATAGCTCACAGCAGTCTCGACCTCTTAGGTTCAAGTGATCCTCTTGCCTCAACCTACCAAGTAGCTGGAACTATAGGCACCCAACTAATTTTTTGTATTTTTTGTAGAGAAGGGGTCTCACTATGGTGCCCAGGCTGGTCTCAAACTCCTGGTGTCAAGCAATCTTCCTGCCTTGGCCTCCCAAAGTGCTGGGATTACAGATGTAAGCCATCATGCCCAGCCCACACTTGTTAAATGCTGCTAAGTGTAACTTGCTTTTTTCCCTAATGGATTGCCAGGACTCAAATCTCATCTACTCCAATTCTCTTCTCCACTATTTTTAGTAAACTGAAGTAATGTACCTAAATTTCCCAATGTCAATATGGCCCACATCACTTTCTTACTTAAACCCCTGTAATGATTTCTCATTTTTTATTATGTAAAATTAAGTTTCTCATCATGGCCTGAAAATTGCATGATCTGGCCATGCCTAACTAACACCTTCCCTACCATGTATGCTGAGCTCCTGCTGCAGGCATTCCTTGCACATCATGGTTTTGGTTTCTTCCCTCTGTACCCTTTCATGTCATGGGTCCCTTATCTGGAAGATTCTTCTCCCTTTTGTTTGACTGGGTAATATTTATTCCTCTTTCAAAACATGGTTTAATGAATATTCATCCCAGTGACCAATGACTATTGAGATCTAACTATTAGGCAAACTTCTAGTAACCACACATCATGTCCCCAAGTGCCGTATTTATTAGGCACTGCACCAGGTTGCTGAAGTATCTTATGGGCACCATATTAAAAATTCATCTAGCTTTCAAACACATAGACAAAATATCTGATTAATAGGATAGGGACTTTCTGAGCATATAAAAGCTAGAAATCAAAAAGAAAAGACAAGTAGATCTAATTACATACAAATTAGAAACTTCTGTTAAATAACTCGGAAAACTTTGCATATGACAAATTATTGGCATCCTTAATAAATAAAAAGTTTTTATGAAACAAGTACTAAAAACCATAATAAAGAAACGAGCAAAGAACATAAACTGAGATTCATTAAAAAAGTACTAATTACTAATAACTGTATAAAAAAGAATTTAATTAGCTACTCAGGAGGCTGAGGTAGGAGAATCGCTTGAATCTGGGCAGCGGAGGTTGCAGTAAGCCGAGATTGCGCCACTGCACTCCAGCCTGGTGACAGAGAGAGACTGTCTCAAAGAAAAAAAAAAAAGAATTTAATTCCACTAGTAGACCAGAATAGAAATAAAAAGAAGATAATATTTTTCAACCATCTAATTAACAATAATCATATTCAGCAATGACAGGGTAACCAATAAAATAATCACTCTCGTACTTTGCTAATGGGAGCTAGATTTATATTACCTATTTGGAAAGCAATTTTGCAATACATATCACAAGCCTTAAAATTTCACTCCCTTTGACCCTGTTATTTTTCTTCTCAAAATCTAGCCTAAGAAAATTGTCATAAACAATCGACAAATGGGATCTAATTAAACTAAAGAGCTTCTGCACAGCAAAAGAAACTACCATCAGAGTGAACAGGCAACCTACAAAATGGGAGAAAATTTTCACAACCTACTCATCTGACAAAGGGCTAATATCCAGAATCTACAATGAACTCAAACAAATTTACAAGAAAAAAACAAAAACCCCATCAAAAAGTGGGCAAAGGACGTGAACAGACACTTCTCAAAAGAAGACATTTATGCAGCCAAAAGACACATGAAAAAATGCTCACCATCACTGGCCATCAGAGAAATGCAAATCAAAACCACAGTGAGATACCATCTCACACCAGTTAGAATGGCAATCATTAAAAAGTCAGGAAACAACAGGTGCTGGAGAGGATGTGGAGAAATAGGAACACTTTTACACTGTTGGTGGGACTGTAAACTAGTTCAACCTTTGTGGAAGTCAGTGTGGCGATTCCTCAGGGATCTAGAACTAGAAATACCATTTGACCCAGCCATCCCATTACTGGGCATATACCCAAAGGACTATAAATCATGCTGCTATAAAGACACATGCACACGTATGTTTATTGCGGCACTATTCACAATAGCAAAGACTTGGAACCAACCCAAATGTCCAACAATGATAGACTGGATTAAGAAAATGTGGCACATATACACCATGGAATACTATGCAGCCATAAAAAATGATGAGTTCATGTCCTTTGTAGGGACATGAATGAAATTGGAAATCATCATTCTCAGTAAACTATCACAAGAACAAAAAACCAAACACCGCATATTCTCACTCATAGGTGGGAATTGAACAATGAGAACACATGGACACAGGAAGGGGAATATCACACTCTGGGGACTGTTGTGGGGTCGGGGGAGCGGGGAGGGATAGCTTTAGGAGATATACCTAATGCTAAATGACGAGTTAATGGGTGCAGCACACCAGCATGGCACATGTATACATATGTAACTAACCTGCACATTGTGCACGTGTACCCTAAAACTTAAAGTATAATAATAATAAAATAAAATAAAAAAAGAGTCGAAAAAAATAAAATGTTTCAAAAGAAAAAAAAGAAGAAAAAAGAAAATTGTCATAAACTATAGAAACTTGCACTTCACAGCATTATTTATAGTAGCAAATGGGACACATTACTAGTGTTCAATAAAGGAATAATTACATAAATTCTGATAGAAATATAGAGTATAATGAAGTAAAAAAATTTCCTTTAAAGATTATTTTATGACAAGAGAAATGGTCGTGATTCAATGAAAATGCAAACTCATCTTTGCAATATGATCCAAATTATATTTTTAAATCTATGTATGTCTAGAAAAAAAGACTAGAGATAGGTATGTAGATAGACATTAATTATTTCCGGGTAAGTTTAATTTTTTTGTAGTTTTATGATATTCCAAATTCTCTACAATCACTTTACATTGCTTATGTAATCACACACCCATATATATGTATATACATATATATATACACATGTAACATATACACAGATATATATACTTATATGTATGTGTGCTTCCATGTATGTGTGTGTGTATATATATCTGTTTAAAAATCAATGCAATCCAGCAACCCATCTACAATCTATATGATTAATTACTAGAATATTCTTTTTAAGACCTAATAAAAGTACCTAAAGCTGATAGCCACAAAAAAATGGGCTATAGCAACCCCAACACTGATGAATGCATCACACAAAAACAGTCTTCCCTAACAACCTCAACGCTCATAACACCATAAACCATAAACATTGGTTACAACTTTGCAGTGTTTTTGTGTAGTTCCCCACTAGACTGTGAGTTCCATAAGAGCAAGGATTATGGACGTGCTGATCACTAGAGTTTGCTCCAGGGCAATAGAATGCGTGGACACATATAAAGTGCTCAATATTTTTTTAAATTAACTATAAAGGGAGAAAGATATTAAGGAAATCTAAAGTCGTGGGGGCCTCTAAAAGAATGCAAAAATTGACAATAAAGCTCTTATTATCTCATAACCTACTTCCCCACTCACCATAGTCAGCACCCAGAAGGAAAGCTGGAATCTAACTTTTCTCTTTTCCTCAAAGCCATTCTTACTTAAAGTTCTTTTCACTGAGACTAAATCCTTTAAATATTTTATCTAACTAAAGCCTCCAACACTCAGACATAAATTAACAATCGGCTAATTGCAGCCAGAAGTGTCTGAACCCATAAAGAAGCTCTTATTCTCTGGAATGAAGCCCCAGTTAACAAAAGGAGAGGTCAGGGAACGTCTTCATAAGCTCCGGACTTTCTAACACCCCTTCAGCTGTGTTTCTGTCATACAGTAAGTCCTGTTCTGATCTTAAATAACAGAGAGAGAGACAGACAGATAGACAGTGTATTCATTTATTTTCACACTGCTATAAAGACATACCCAAGACTGGGTAATTCATAAGGAAAAGAGATTTAATTGACTCACAGTTCCACATGGCTGAGGAGGCCTCGGGAAACTTACAATCATGGCGGAAGGGGGAGCAGGCACATCTTACATGATGCTGCTGAGAGAGAGTAAACAAGAGCAGGGAAAACTGCCTTACAAAACCATCAGATCTCGTGAGAACTCACTCACTATCACGAGAACACCATGGGGTTAACTGTCCCCATGACCCAATCACCTCCCTCCCTTGACACGTGGGGATTACAGGTCCCTCCCTTGACACACGGGTATTAAAATTTGAGATGAGATTTGGATGGGGATACAGAGCCAGACCATATCGGACAGATACTGCCAGGGACTCAAATAGACTCCACAGTGCTTAGTAGTGAGTCTCCCATCCCCAACCTACCCCTACCTCAACTCTGGGCGAGGACAGCCACAGTCTCAGTAAGAGCAGTCACCGATGGCTAAAAGAGTATCGCGGACTGAACCAAATACTAGAAATAAGAAAGGAGAATGCTATGGGAAGCTTACCTGGGTTTCTCAGTTCAGTAACTGATTCAGGACAAGCGAACAATTAGGCCAAGAGGATAGTAAAGAAAAATGCCGTTGTTCTACTGTCTCCATGCCTTGTGAAGAAAGAATGGATTGGTAATTTTTTTAGCTAGTAAAACATTTTGTTTATTTATAAGGATGTTGAGAATAAATTCTACCACAAAGGGGGATAAATAATGATTTTCCAAAGCATTAAATTATAACTAATTTCCCCTGAGCATCCAAAGTGTGTGATTTATTGCTACTGTCTGGAATTTACATATAAGAAAAGTGAACTATCTAATTTGTTATGAATCCCATCTTGTTCTCAATTTTCAAAACACACAAAAAAACACCACAAAACATTCACCATTGCACAATAGTCTTTGCAATTAAAATGGAGTGCTGACTTTACCATCAAACAAATCTGGTTTTCAATCTGGCTCAGGCGCTAAGTGGTGATGTGACCTTGGTCAGGTCTCTATCCTCTCTCAAATAGAGAATGATGGCAGCCACCTCAAAGGGGTTTTACTGGGATTAATCGAGGTTGCCTCCTGTGGTTCCTGATACAGCAGCCACTCAATAAATGGTCCCTATCCAGATCTGAGCAGAAGTAAAGCCATGTAACCCAATATTTATCAATAAAAACACCTTAAGTGCATATAGACCTTGCATTTAGACCGTTCCCTTTCGTTGAATGTGAATTGCACTGTATCTTCTTGTTTGCACCAACCTCTTCTCATTTTACTTCACATTATGCCTGAGAAGTAGCAAAAGCTGTTATTATTAATCCCCATTTTGAAGTTGAGAAATTAAAGCTCAGACAAGTTCAATGGATTGTAAGCCATCACCACCATAGCTAGAAAGAAGCAGAAATGAAATGCAAATCCAGGAGTTCTGGGTATTCCAAGTACTTTACTCTTTCTATGCCTCCAGGTAGCATAGTTTCTAGACAAATAAATCTGAGATGCCCACCGGACCAACACAGTCAACTAAACAACTAACTTAGGAAAAGTTTCTCAAAACAAGTAATAGAGGCATAAAGGACTATGTCCAATAGATCATCTGGAAAGAGATACCCCTGCAACCTATAGTAAATGAAATATATATTGGAAAGCCAATCAGCTTGGCAAACAGCAGCTGGTGGACTGAAAGTAAAATAATGACTCAGATCATAGAATAGTATATTGAACTTCCAATAGAGGAATTACTTTAATTATAACCAAAAAAGATTTTGCAAACAGACATGTGCCGAAAAAAAAAAGGGGGACAAAGATTCTCCAATGCTGTTAGGCTAGGCTATAAAATAACATTTTATGATGAAATAACATTTTTCTGATTAAACACCCTTGATACAGCAACTCTCTCAGTGAAGCAAGACAAGGACAGGTATACAATTACTTCTCAGCAATTCCAAAATCCAAAATGCTTCGGAAACTAAGGTATTTTTGTTAAGTGTGGCACCAAAGTTCATTTGGTGAACTAACGTGAGGCTATGCTATGCAGTGTGGATATTCAGATATTCCGTATCAGACATGTTATGCGTGATCACACTCCAGACCCCACCTATAATATTATGTAATATAGGCACCATATTATCTTTCTAATATCTCAGATATTTTGAATTATTAAATATATCTGGCCACAAAAGTTTCAGATAAGAACATGCAGGCCTATTGTACTATTATTTCCATTTTAATTTTCATTTCACTGTCTGTCTAATACTAACCTTTGGGTAAAGATACTCAAAATATAGAGAATTCTGCTAAACAGAAAATCCATATGGCCATCATTCTTAAAACTCTTCTTGTACCTGGAAAGAAACCCAAGATATGTCTACAAAACTAGGAAAAATTGGTTCAGAGAGGAATTAAATCACGTATAGAGTTCCCAAGGTTACATGTTAATTACTGTAACATGACTGCTAAAGAAAATGTTTTTTATCAAACTGTGTTGTTAAAACCATTGAGTTCTGATGTAAGAGAAAGATTTCAGCCAAGTCATCTGAGAAGTGTTCATAAAGATATCCCAGACTATTCACCTATATTTTCATCTCTGCCTTGATGTGTGCCCTGAGACAGGCTGAAGTCTCCAGACCTCTCTTCTCTTGGATAACTGCCTAGAGCCCGGGCTTGAGAGGAAAAGAGAAAAGTTATATCCTGAAAACAGCAACATAAAAAGATCAAACAAGCCTACGAAATTCCTCTGTTTGAGGAAGAATTTTTTAAGAGTTATGAGGTCTCTGGGTGGGGCTTAGGTGGTTTCAAGGTTTACACAGCTCTGAATTATTTGAGGTTGTCGCATGGAGATGGGGAGCAGGGAGGCTTCCGGTGGTTTGCTGAAAGTCGTCTGCTTCAGATCAAATTATTGGCTTCAAGCTTGGCAGTGAGGAACTAATCCCAATGAGTACCAAAGCCGAAAGAAGAAACCAGGCAGGACGGGGCAAGAAAGGGATGGAGAAAGCATTATACTCTGAACTAGACTCTCCAGAGTTCCCTGGTTCTTTTTAAGCTAAAGATGAGCCCTGACGTGAATACTCACTCTACACTCCCGCTCCTCTCCCTACAGTGCTGAGCTAGCTCCCTTGGAACAACCAACAGTGCTGTTTCCTCTGCCTGAAACAGTCTTCTCTTCTCTTCACCTGCTGAACTCCAACTCATCTTTTAGGTCCTAGCCTAACAGTCTCTTCCTGTAGGAAGCTACCCGTGGTCCACCCCCAACCTGTCCCTGCACTACATTAGGTCTTCTCCTACATAGCCCGCAGCTCCTTGCCACCCACATCATAGCACTTACTTCACTTGGTTATAATTGCTTTTTTTCTCTCTGCCATCCCTGTTAGATATAACCTCCTTGAGAGCAGGGGCTATATTGATTTCAATCACCATTATATTCACAGCACCTGCTACAATGCCTAGCCCATAGTAGATATTTCATAAATCTCTATTATTTCTGTGTTTTACATGTGAAAAAAAATGTAAAAGCAGTTTTTTTAAAGGGTGTTGCAGTAACGTAGGCTAGTAGCTTTCAAACTATACCAACTTCTGGTACTGCCTCAGTGGGCAAGGGATTGCTTTCAGATCCCTTCTCCCACCTTCAGCTAGAGCAGCTCCCTTCCGTCCACCTCATGTCATAATTTTTACATATTCCTCTTACATAAAAGAGTTCTCCTTCTGGAAAAGTTAGAGAAGAACAAAACTAGGCAATAGTACTTAGGGGCATATAAGTGGGGATTTTGGAAAGGGACATTTCATTTGCATCAACAGAATTTGGTATTTGTGGAAAAGGAAGAAAAATGACCTTAGGTTTTGGGTTTAAGCCGTTTGAAATGGGTAGTGGCAAACTTTACAAAGGGTAGGATTAAGCAGAAGAAAAATATTTAAGGAAGATAACCACTTTGGTTTGAGTTAGGTTGAGTTTAAGTAACTAGAGGACAATTCCAGGAAGATAATCAGTTGAAAATACAGGTCTGGACATCATGGGGCATTATGGATATGGATGGTGGTGAAGCCATGGTGTTGGATAAGATTACTAAGGAAAAGGAGGCAGACGAAAAAGAGAAAAAAAAGTCAAAAACCAGAAAACCCTCAGGAAGACTAGCATTTCATTCATTTGCCCAATAAGTATTTATTAGATAAAGTGATAAAAAGAGAGAAAAAAGATAGTAAACAAAACAAAGAAGGAAGAGAGAAGAGTAGTAAGAGAAAAAAGTGAAGGAAGAAAATGTGCCTCAGCCTCCTGAGTAGCTGGGATTACAGGCAGGCACCACCACGCCCAGCTAATTTTTGTATTTTTAGTAGAGATGGGATTTCATCATGTTGGCCAGGCTGGTCTTTTAACTCCTGACCTCAAGCAATCCTCCTGCCTCACCCTCCCAAAGTGCTGGGATTACAGGTGTGAGCCACTGCACCTGGCCCAGCCTCTGTTATTAAGTGGTGGGCACAACAAGACAAGCCTCTGCCCTCCTGAAGCTTATACCTTCGTGAGGGAGACAGATGTTAATCAAATAATCATTCTCACTAAATAGAATATGTCAATTATGGCAAATTCTAAGAATAAGACATAAATCAAGCCATGGGAGTCTACAGGGAAAAAACTGGCAGAATAACAACTTGTCAGGGAAGGTTTTCCTACAGAAATTATGCTTAAGTAAGACAGCAAAGATGAGTGGAACTTAAGTAAAGAGGGAAGAGCTTGTGCAAGGCCCTGTGATAGGAGAAACCCCAAGATGTGTTTCAGGGATTGAAAATCCAGTATGTGTAGAGCAGAGAGAGGAGGAATGAGTGAAAATAAGAATGGAGGCTGCGCATGGCGGCTCATGCCTGTACTCCCAGCACTTTGGGAGGCTGAAGCAGGCAGATCACTTGAGAGCAGGAGTTTGAGACCAGCTGGCCAACATGGCAAAACCCTGTCTCTACTAAAAATACAAAAATTAGCTGGGCGTGGTGGTGCACGCCTGTAATCCCAGCTACTCAGGAGGCTGAGGCACGAGAATCTCTTGAACCACGGAGGTGGAGGTCACAATGAGCCGAGATAGTGCCACTGCACTCTCTCTGGCCCGGGCAACAAAGTGAGACTCTGTCTAAAAAAAAAAAAGTAAGAATGGGGAGGCAGGCAGAAGCCAGACTATGTAGGGCTTTGGAGGCCAAATGGAATAATTTTTTCTCAATATATCCTAAGAGTACTAGTGACCACTGCAGGGTTTAGTGTGTGGGAGTGGGGAGGCTGGCGGGGAGATACTATCAGATTTGCAATCTGGAAAGATGGGTCCAGTTGAAAAGATGGAAAATAAGAGGAAGCAGAATATCTGAACAAAGTTCCTAGAGACACAGGAGATCAGCCAGAATGAGAATAGGGGGTGAGGATGTATTTGAGAAGGATGCGTCTTCTTGAGAGATAGAAAGGATAGAAGTAAAAAGATGTGAGACAATGGGCACATTTGGAAGTAGAAAGAGAAAGTGTAGTTGAAAAGTTAAAAATTTGATTTATCTGCTAAAAATGAAGAAAACATAGGTAGAAGGTGGGAGTACAGTTTCTGTTATGGAGAAGGCTTCCATCAATATTTATTGGATGTTAATGAATGTAAAGGTTTGGAATAGCTGCCGTGGCAATTGAGAAAGGGATCCCTCCAGGGAGCATAAGAATTGCCCAGCAATCCAACACCCACATTGCTCATTCTACTCAGTGTGGGTCATCAATGCCCATAGGGAAAAATGCATAGGCTCCAAAATATCATAAATTTGGAAATATTGTGGACACCTGCAATAGGAAAATCTGAATCATGGCATCATACTGCTTAAAATGCTCAAAATTAGGTGGAATGTCTTCAACGCACTTGATTACCACGTCACAAGGGGAACATTGGTCATCCTGTGATTAGTCATAGGTGGTTTGAATGCTTTGGAAATGATGTTTGCTGCTGGCATTTTCTAAAGAAGCATAAATTATAACTAAATTTCTCCTGTTTATATGCATTGCCATTTCTTCCCACAGCTTTCATCAACAAATAACAATCAGAGCACTATAGCTAACAAAGTAATAGCTGCATCGCATCTTGTTTCTGACACTGTCAAGCTCTACTTACTAGACAGCCAGATGTTGTCTATGATCTCTTCTTTCCCTTAAGTCATGCAGGGCATGAGGTGAGACATGGTGGCTACTGCCTTGGAAATCCAAAGCAGTCATCACAAAATACAAGGTAATTTTGATCATTGGGATGAGCAGGGAACAATATTTTTTTTCTATTCTAGCATCTTAGAGGTAGAAAGGCATTTTACTAGTGGTCTACTTAGTCGGGAAAAAATTATACACTGGGGTATAGGAAGAAAATACTATAACTTAATCTTCTCTTTATTTTTATTTTTAGAAGGCAAGGAATTAAGCTCATTTGTGACTAATTTATTATATGACTTGACACTGACATTTTGCTCAGCCTGAACATCAGATGCCACATGTGACATACTAAGGGCAGAGTGGGGGCTGCACAGCATTGGCAGTGCCATTCTTTCTTGTTGTGTCCAATAAGGTAGGTTATGAGCAACCTCAGAAGACTCAATTTTGCTAAGATGTCTATTTTCTCCAAACTGATCTATAAAGATTTGACACAATCTCAATCAAAATTCAATTTTTCAATAGTCAAAAGTAAATTTTTCCATAAAAATTGAGAATTTAATTCTAAAATTCATATGGAAATGCAAAAGACCTCGAATACTGAAGAAACTTTGAAAAAAGAACAACACTGGAGGGCTTACATGCCTTGATTTCAAGTCTTATTATAGAACTACAGTTATCAATACAGTGTGGCACTGGCATAAGGATAGACAAATAGATCAGTGGAGCAAAATAGAGGGTCCATAAATAGGTCCACACATATACAAACAATTGATTTTTGCTAGAAGTACAAAGGTAAGTCAGGGAAGTAATAATAAGCTTTTCTATAAATTGTGCTGGAAAAATTGTATATCCACATGCAAAAATATAAACATTGATCCATACTTTAAATTGTATATAAAAACTAATTCAAAATGAAATATAGACCTAAATGTAAAACCTAAAATT
The DNA here is from genome assembly GCF_000001405.40 of Homo sapiens. Lineage (NCBI taxonomy): Eukaryota > Metazoa > Chordata > Mammalia > Primates > Hominidae > Homo > Homo sapiens. Next base: position 50,322,665 of record NC_000013.11, on the reverse strand, counting down.
ATAAAACTTCTGTTAGAGAATCTCTCTGATCCCAGGATAGGTAAAGATTTCTTAGATATAACACCAAATGAACAACCCATAAAAGAAAAAAATTGATAATTTGAAACTCAATAGACTTTTGAAGAGCAGAAGCTTTTAATTTTGACAAGAGAATAAGAAGACAAGCAAAAACTAGGAGAAAATATTTATAAACTACATATCTCACAAAGAACAAATTTTAAAACTCATTAAGAAGAAAACATAAAAACAATTAAAAAAATAAAACATTCAAATAGACACCTCACCAAAGGTAGACAATTGGAAATAAGCACATGTAAAGATGTTCAACATAATTAGTCTTTGGGGAAATGCAAATGAAAACCACAATAAAGCATGAAGTCAAATCTATTAGGATGGCTAAAATTTAGAAAACTGACCACACCCAGCGATGTTAAGGAAGTGAAGCAACTGGAACTCTCATACACTGTTGGTGTGAATGTAAAATGGCACAATCACTTTAGAAAACAGTTTGACAATTTCAAAAATGTTACACATGCGCCTGCCATATGTTCCAGCCATTCCACTCATAGGTTTTTACCTAAGAGGAAAATAAATATGTTCATATACAGGCTTGTACAGAAATATTCATAGCTGCGTTTTTTTTTTTGTAACAGCAAAAAACTGGAAACAGCCCAAATGCCCATAATTAAGTGAATGGATAAAGAAATTGTGATATAATCATACAATAGAATATTACTCCACAATAAAAAGGAGTGAATTATTGATATATTCAACAGCATTGATGAGTCTCAAAGTAAGTATTCTGACTGAAAGAAAAGAGATTTTTTTAAAGATTACATGCTGTATGTTTCACTTTATATAAAATCCTAGAAAATGCAAGTTAATGTGTAGTTACAGAAAAAAAGATCAATGGTTACCTAGGAAAGAGGAATTTCAAAAGGACCCAAGAAAACTTTTAGGAGTAGTGGGTTTATTAGCTTGATTGTGGTGGTAGTTTTAATAAGAATATACATATGTTAAAACATCAAATTGTACACTATATGTATGTGCAGTTTATTGTTTGTTGGTTATGTCTCAATAAAACTGTTAAAAGAAATTATGTCATGTTCAAGAAAAAAATATTTGTAGATTCAGTAAAAGACTATCAATACTACCTTACCTACTGTAGCACTTAGGTAAAAGATAATCTATTAACTTTTCAGGATTCCAGTTGTACATGTAAAATAAAGAAAAAACTCACTTCACTCAAGAATTATAAAAATTATTAGCTAGTATTGACTAGGTCAACTGAAAATGCCAAGTGTTGTGCAAACTGCTTTATTTTTAGCTATACAATATAGTGGTTATTTCAGATTCTTGAATCTGAGCATGTAACTGTTGGCTGAATTTATCCCTAAATCCTTCCATTTGGGCAAATGACTTGATTTGCAGTATCAATTCAGTATATGTGTAGTTCAAGATTCCCAAGAGGTTGTGCTGGTGTACTGGCAAAGATTGTATTTTGGATGTAAGTGATTTCCTTATATAATCTGTAAACTAGAAACTGACAAGTATGGTAGATTTCACAAATATAAACAATGTTACTATTGGACTTCATCTGTAATCAATTTATGAAATGCACCTGAGTAGATTTTCTAAAGAGTTTAGGTACTTCAATGTCAGAAGGAAAAGCCTTTTCTCCTTGAATCTTCACATTCACTAGCTAAATGGGCTAAACAAGAAGCACATCAAAAAAAGAAAAAAAACAGCACCCTGGAGTGACACAAGACTGAATTCTAATCCCAGTTCTGGTACTCACCTGCATGAGACCTTAGGCAAGTTACTTCACCACTTCTGTTTCTTTGTAAGAAGGGAGCAAGATGCTTGCCTTCTGTGCCTCTTAACACACATCATCCAGAAAGTTTGCAAAACCACCTCATCTTCAATATTTAGTTTTAAACCTTCACTGCAATGTTGTTCCAGCGTAACACTTCAGTAAAGGAAAGGAATTATACTAGGGTCTTGCACTATGGCTTGATCTGACCCTCTAGGGCTCATGTTAAAGATAAGTATATTGATTTTAGCCCATTTATAAAGTTACTAGGCCATCATTACCAACTCTTGCAAAATGAAAAATTTATTTAATTGACTAAGGTTTATGAGACTTTAAAAAATATGGCAGCACATTGATAAATGAGTTACCCAGTCACAGCCTGACTCATTCTACAAATATTTGCTAAGTACTTACTGTGTGACAGGGAGTCCATAGTAGACAAATCTCAGCTTACTATTTATTATGGACTGAATTATTTCCCCCCTCACAGACACACACAAATTCATATACTGAAGCTCAAATCCCCAATGTGACTATATTTGGAGATGGGACCTTTAAAGAGGTAAATAAGGTTAAAGAGATCAAAACAATGGGCCCTAATACATTGGGACTGGTGTCCTTACAAAAAGAAAAGATACCAGGGATACTCAGGCACAGAGAAAAAGGCCCTGTGAAGACACAACAAGAAGGCAGCCATCTGCAAGCCAAGGACAGAAGCCTCAGATGAAACCAAATCTGCAGACACCTTAATCTTAGACTTCGAGCCTCCAGAATTGTGAGAAAATACATTTTGTGGTTTAAGCCACACAGTCTGTGGTATGTTGTTATGGTAGGCCTCACAGACTAAGACACCATTTTTAATTAAGAAACTGACATGCCTGGTTTGAGAAGATTTTTGAGTCAGAAGTCAAGAGAAAATTTATACAATTTGAAAGCTGAAAATGTAGAGAAAATGTGTTTTCAGAAATGCCCTGAGAATGAATATCTTTCTACAGCCATTTCTTGGGTCTTGGCCAGCTTTTCTCTATGTGTCTTTAAGGAAGAGTATTTGCACACAAGAGTGAAGTTATCACACCAGGCAATCTGTCAGCATAGGAAAGTTTACACAATAGAAACGGTGACTCTGCAGCACCCCTGGCCAGCAGTCTCCAAGGGCCTCATGCTTGAACCTGACCATCCCCCTTTGACTTTTCCTCCCTGCCCCAAAAGTTCTCACTTTTGCTCTCCCTCTTTCTCTCTTACGGAAGAAAACCAGTCCGGACTGTGCATCCGCTCAAAGATGAAAAGTTGGTCCTGAAAACTTGTCTTGTAGTAACTGCCCTTGAATACCTATAGTTATATAGGTGTGCTGTCTATTGGGTGTGTTTGTAACAGCTTTGGGGTTCTCAAAATAACCTCTCTGTGTCCTCTACAACAGTGATCCCCAACATTTTTGATACCAGGGACTGGTTTCATGGAGGACAACTTTTCCACAGACACAGAGTGGAGGGGGATGGTTCAGGATGATACAAGCGCATTACACTTACTGTGCAATTTATTTATATTATTATTAGATTGTAATATATAATGAAGTATACAACTCTTTATCATGTAGAATCAATGGGAGCCCTGAGCTTGTTTTCCTGCAACTAAACAGTCCCACCTGGGGGTGATAGGAGACAGTGACAGATCATTATGCACTAGATTCTCATAAAGAGCACGCAATCTAGATCCCTTGCATGCACCATTCACCATAGGGTTCACACTCCTGTGAGAATCTAAAGCCACCACTGATCTGACAGGAGGCTGAGCTCAGAGGGTAATGGGAGTGATGGGGCGTGGTTGTAAATACAAATGAAGCTTCACTCACTCGCCTGCTATTCACCTCCTGCTGTGCGGCCCTGTTGCTAACAGACCATGGACTGGTACTGGTCCATGGCCCAGAGGTTGGGGACCCCTACTCTACAAGGTGGCTCCTGGTCTCTAGATAATTTTATAAGCCAAGAGGAGATATCCCCATCCCAACCCAGGAAGCAGGAGGAAAAGGAAGCAGGGAATAATATAAAATATAGAGGATTTGAAAGAAAAACAACTTTTCTTCTGCCTTCATTCCTCTCTTCCCATCTCCCCCAGGGAGGCCTTCACTATCTTCAGAGCTTCAGCTCTTGCCTCTAAGCTGGTGGTTCCCACATTGTGTTCTCAATTCCAATTTCCCCGAGAGTGCTAGTATTATATCTATGACTGTCTAGCTGACATTTTCACCTAGATGGCCCAAACTCACCCCTCAATATTCTAGGCTCACCATAACCTTCTAGTAACATTTTGAGGGTTCCTATGTGTCCCAGACCATCTCATTAAATTTAGTTATCTGTTCACTTCCAAGTATAAGACTTTTTATTCTGAATGTCGTTCCCTTTGGCCTTTTTACAATAGAAACCTTATTGGGTGAGTGTTTTTCCATTTCATCTATTTTTTTAAATTACTCAAATGTCCTGTCTTTAATAACTAGGCTAAATGCTACTATTTCTAAACAATCATTTTTATTCACGAAAACACATTTTAGACCCTTTCCACATCCCACCTTCATCCTATGAATATGTGAGATTTTTATGGGCTCACAGACAGTTTTGGAATAAAGAAAAGACTATTCAGAGTTTACTTTGGATATAAAAATTAATAGTAAGTGAGTTAATTTTATTAAAGTTACCAACCAAATAAATACCAAGAATGGACCAATGATGAGAATGTGTTATGAACCAAGGATTCTAAATGATCCTCTGAACGCCTGTCACACATTTAAAAAAGAATACAGAAACTTGATTATTCCTTAAACTTTTAAGTTCAGCTTACAAGTATTATTTTATTGGTAACTGTAGCAGATTTTAACAATCACTTTTAAGAGCTCTTTGGATAATATTGATTCTTAATGTTCAAGTGTTACAACTAAATTTATAAATTTAACATATTCAGTATACTTTTTAAGTATTGCAATTGTATTTATCCAACAAATTTTCCTCTGTACTTAAAGTAATTCTTATATATCTGATAAATTAAATTTGTAAATATGGTGAATTTTGATTTTATACCAAATATAAGCTAATTAAAATTTCAACCTAAAAATCACAGCTCAAAACCAACTATCCAAAAATGTAAGATCTGTGTCATTTTTTTTTTCTACATGTGGACTTCCATTGTTCCAGCACTATTTATTGAAATGACAAAGACTATTATTTCTCCATCGAATTGCCTTTATTCCTTTGTCAAAGATTAGTTGACCATATTTGTATGGATCTATTTCTGGGTTCTCTATTCTGTTCCATATCTGTCATTTCTTGAAAACAATGTGTTGATTACCGTAGCTGCACAGTAGGCCTGGCAATTGGATAGTTCTCTAACTTTGTTCTTTTTCAGCAGTATGTTTGCTATTTTAATTCTTTTGTGTCTCCATATAAATGTCAGAGTCCATTTGTTGATATTCACAAAATAGCTTGATGGAATTTAATTGGGATTGCATTGAATCCATAGATCAAATTGGGAAGAATTGACATTTTAGCAATCCAGTCATGAACACAGAATATCTCTCCATTTATCTGGACCTTCTTTGATTTCTTTCATCAGTGTTTTATGGCTTTCCACATATAAATCTTATACCTAGTTTTTTCAGATATATAACTAAGTATGTCATTTTTGGATGTTATTATAAAGGGTTTTTTTTTTAACTTCAAAGTCCAATTGCTTATTACTGATATACAGAAAAGCAACTGATTTATGTTTATTAACCTCATATCTTGCAATCTTGCTATAATTGCTTTTTAGATCCAGGAGTTTTTGTGTTGATTCTTTGAGATTTTCTATATAGACAATCATGTCATCTATGAATAAAGACAATTTTATTTCTTCCTTTCTAATTTGTATACTTTTATTTTTTTATCTCATGTTATTGCACTAAATAGGACTTCCAGTATAATTTTATTTATTTATTTATTTATTTATTTATCGAGACAGGGTCTCACTGTGTCATCCAGGCCAGAGTGCAGTGACACAATCTCAGCTCACTGTAACCTCCAACTCCTGGGTTCAAGCAATTCTCCCACCTCAGCCTCCTGAGTAGCTGGAACTACAGGCACACACCACCACGCCCAGCTAATTTTTGTATTTTTTGGTAGGGATGGGTTTTCACCATGTTAGCCAGGCTGGTCTTGAACTCCTGACCTCAAGTGATCCATCTACCTTGGCCTCCCAAAGTGCTAGGATTACAGGCATGAGCCACCTCGCCCAGCCCCAGTACAATTTTAAATTGGAGTGGTGAAAGAGGACATCCTTTCTTGTTCCCAATCTTATGGGGAAAGCATCCAGTCTCTTACCATTTTAGTATGTTAGTTTTGAGATTTTTGTAGACGGTCTTTATCAAGCTGAGGAAGTTCCCCTTTATTCCTGGTTTGATGAATTTTTATCATGAAGGGGTGTTAGATTCTGTCAAATGACTTTTCTACATCAAATGATACAATTGTATGATTTTTCTTCTTTGGTTAGCCTGTTAATGTAATTGATTACATTGAATGATTTTCATATGTCGAACCAGCCTTGCATACCTGGAATGAATCCCAAATGATAGTAATATATTACTTTTTATACATTGATGGATGCAATTTGCTAATATTTTGTTGAGGATTTTTGCATCTATGTTCATAAGAGATATTAGCCTATAGTTTTCCTTTCTTGTACATTGTCTGGTTTTGGTATTAGGGTAAGGCTGGTTTCTTCCTTCACAGTTTGGTAGAATTCACTGGTCCTGATGCTGTCTTTTGGTGGAGGTTATTCATTATTGATTCAATTTCTTTAATACATATAAGACTATTTAGCTTATCTATTTCCCCTTTTGTGAGTTTTGATTATTTATGTTTCAAAGAATTGGTTCATTTTCTCTACGATATCAAATTTTGTCACATGGAGTTGTTCACAGCATTCCTTTATTATACTTTTAATGTCCATGAGATTGTCTCATAACATATATATTTTCTATGTTAAAGACTCTTAAAAGATTGCTGTATTCTTTTCATATGCTTCCAGTCTTAGGGTCATGCAATTTGAATGGATATTAAAATGATAACCCCTTTGAATTCTGGACGTATCTCATTTATTCATCTATCTTGTTGCAACTTCCAAAGTCGTTTACCCAATAGAATTAGAAGGAATGTAAGCATAAAGGATTTAAGCAGTTTTGCCCTAAGAGAGCAATAGATGAGACTTGTAATTCCAGCTTTAAATTGTTCATTGAATAATTCATATAGACTTGTGATTTTAAACATCAATCTTACTACAATTATGTATAGTATTAGAATATTTAAGAGAAATTAAGAATCAGCATATGTATAAATTTATTTTATAAACTTATAAGCATAATTTAAATCTTCAGAAAAGTTTTGTTAAAGAAAATCAAAATATTTAACTGTAAAGAGAAGTTAAATAGGGAGAAGTACAATTTGTAAATTAAAACATTATTCGAAGCCCATCTTAAGAGTGATTGTTAAATGTGTTGACATAAATAAAATAATAAGAGCTGTAAGCTGAGTTTAAAAACTAAAGGAATAACTAGGTTTTCAAATTTGTACCTTTAAAAAGTGAATATTAATTTTAAAACCAAAATAAATCCCTTGAATTCACTTTTGTGGGCAAAAAAAACCCCACCTTTGTTGCCACCAAAAACTCACATTTCCTAGTTGTAACATTTTGGGACAACTTGCAAGTAGAGAAGGCTGGGTGAGCAGTACAGAGGGTGGATTTCACAGGTGCTTGGTTCTATTGGTAGGGGTTCTATTCATAAAAGAGTGCCATCCCTGAAGAAAACCTGACACCTGAAGGTAATCTATAACTAAGGGTTATAATCCCTTGGGGCTTGAAAAGGCAAACCAACTCCAAACCACATAATTTTACTCTCTAATGGCTGAAAATTAATAGGGAGTAGAAGGAGAAAGAGAAGTTGTGATGAGACTGGCCCTGTTTTTTTAATTGTCTACTTCATAATATCTCCAGGCGTACTCCACTTGTTAACTCTTGGAGATGATCAGAAACTTATGTGGGGGCTTTAAAAGACAACCTCAGACACTTCAAAAGATTAACAACTTTAATCAATGCCTCCAAGTGTGTCTAACAATCACAGCAGCTAATGATATATGGGAGATGCCACAGGTATAATGTTCAGCCACAAACTCATTCTCCATCTAGCTGAAAATGGTGGTCTTCCCTTCTGAGACCTTGTGTGACTGTCTATTTGTCAAGGACTCTAATCTTTTAGATGAAGAGAAATACACAAGTACAGGCTACTTTATCCTGATCCCAAACAATTCATTATAAACAAAGTGGCCACATTTACTAGTGGTAAGTAAAATGCACAAGGAAGAGAATCAGCATTTGCCCAGTGCATATTATCTGCCAGATATCACAGGAATTATTTCAAGTAATACCATAAATAATGACATGTTTATGTTACTTATATTATTATAAATATAATTATATATTAATCACAACATATGAATCATTACAACCCTGTTAGGTAGATATTATTATTCCTGTTTAACTAGTTGAAAATTGAAGCTTAGAGAGTTTTCATAATTTATCCAAGTTCATAAGGCAGGAAATGACTTGAACTTCCCAAGCTCTTGCTCTTAATTCAACACTGTCCAATAGAAATATAATGCCAGCCACAAATGCGAGCCACATATGTAATTTTAAGTATTCTTGTAGCCACATTTATAAAGTAAGAAGAAGAAACAGATGAAATTAATTTTAATAACATATTATATTTATCCCACTTTGACCAAAATATTATAATTTTAGCATGTAAATCAATATAAAAATTATTAATGAGATAGTTTACTTTCTTTTTTTCATACCAAGGCTCCAAAATCCACTAAGCTCTTGTAGCACATCTCTATTCAGACTAGCCACATTTCAAGTGCTTACCAGCCAGGGGCTACCATATTTGATAGCATAGATCTAACCTCTGGGCCACCCAACCTCCCTAGATTAGAAACAGCTATACTGCACCTGCAACAAAACTGAGAAGAAAAATGTTACAGATTAAAAGTTAAATTGCTAGAAAACCATACATTTTCTGGTCAAAAGATAAATGAAAGGAAGTAATTCATCAGCTGCACTCCTCTGCACAACAATCATAAATGCACCAAACGCACTGAGCTATTTACCTTAGTGGGACGGGAAACAAATGATCTAAAACTCATAAATCCACACTTCAGAAAGTGTAGACTGCAAAAGAGAGTAATAAATCCAAATGAGTCCTGTATGAATTCTGCTTGGCTGTCCTTTTTGAAATGATTTTAGAAGAATCCCCCACAAATTGTACAGTCCTACATGAATTTTATCCCCTCTCCCCTGCCCCCCAACCACCATCCATTCTAACAAATCTCCCTCAAGGGACTTAGTTTGGGTGAAGGAATTTCCTTTATTTATTTTCCATTTCCTTCTTGTTGTAACTGTATTTTTATCCGTCCTGCTTCCCCCACTTCCCTCCCTCTCTTCTTCTAGCTGGTTTCCCAGATTCTGAAGCTTGCAGTTAGGTTTTTTGTTTTGTCTTATTTTTGAACATTACCCGCGTTACTTTGCTGCTGCTTTTCATTGATTGCCTGTAGATCATGTTCCCTCCTGCCTGGAGGAAAACGAGAAAACCTTTCCAGCACCATGATGCCCCTGGTAGGAGCCAGGGACCGAGTTGACCGACTTAGTAGGATACATGGTTGGGGAGTGTGGGGTTGGATGGGGTGGGGGGGTGGGATGTGTGCAGCTGCTGAACGAAGTTTTCAAAGAAATAAAAAAATTTACCATTCCGCATCTTTGGTCTGGTTTATGTTTACAAAATGAAAATAGCTTGACTTTTTAGACTTCAGAATAATACCAAGAAAGGAAAAAGCACCTGAAGTCCCACTTACCAGAGGGAACCACTGTTAGCATTCTGGTTTTTAGAAAGTCTTCATTTAGTCTTTAACCCACAGAAGGTTAGTGAAGCAGCCCCACCCCTTTATCTACCCCTAGTCCAGGGTGAGAAGGGAAAGGAGTTCTGATTTACTTCTGAGATAAAGTAATTTTTGAGTCTGAAATAAGCACACAAGTTAAATTACAAATGCCCTATCACCTGCTCAAGCTGCTAGTAATGTTTATCTGAATACATGTCCTTTTGAATGTAATTACGGGCTAATAATAGAGCAATAACAATAATACCTGTCATTGACTGAATACTACGTGCCAAGCATTAAACTGGGTGCTTGCCATATGTTCTCCCATTTTAAATCTTGTCCCAATCCCAGGAGTTAGGGTATTGTTTGCATTACACAGGTAAAGAAACTGAGACTCAGAGAGGTTAAGGCCACCTAGTAAGTGACAGAGTTCAAATTTGAACTTAGGCCTGTCTGATTCCAGAAGCTATGTTCTTTTCACTATACCATGCTGCCATAAATTGCCAAAGTCATTATAAAAAGCCCCAACTGTGTCATCCAGAGTTGAGTGTTTATTGTTGGAAGAAAACAGTAAGTTACTACATTTACCCTCACCAATTTTAATACCTAAAAAATTGAACCTAAGAACTTGAAGTCAAACATGAAGTAATTTACTACTGGCAGAAAGATACCTAGAATTCCCACCAGACACCTTCCCTAGCCCCAGGGACAGCAGGAGGGTTTCCTTGCTGCAAGAACTCCACATCCCAGTAGGCTCTGGAAAGTGGATATCTACCAGCCCACAGCCAGCACTTTCAGGAGAGCCCTGAGTACTGGATGGGGGCAGCCACCCCCATTTTCCTGCAAAATCAAGAGAAGGCTCTAAGAAACCAGCTCATAAAAGAAACCTGTCTTTGATCAAGAGAGAACTTTTACCTCTAAGTACCATGTGGCTTGGGCTGTTTTCTCAGGGGTAGTGTTGGAATTGCAATGAATTAAGAAATTCACATTTACTATCCATAATCTCTGTATCCAAACACCCTAATGCCAGCCTTGATTTACAAGTACTTAAGAGCTTTAGAGGAAAATGTGCTCATAATACAAAGAAGAAGCATAAAGAACTTTTGGCAGTGGGTTAAGCTGATGAAGCAAGGTACTACCAGCTCACAGGAAACTCAATAACAATTAGATAGCCAATAACCAAGTGATGGGCCTTTCTTTAGTTTACTGCTCTCCAATGGTGTCATGTCATGGCAGTCAGAGGCAATGATAATACTTGTGTGACACAATGGAGTAAATTGGAAGAAAGCTGAGAGAAATCACTATGACTTTCTTATATATTTATGATTGAAAACTGAAAGTATTAGGGAAGCTATTAAGTATTGAATTATTTTAAACTTCCAAATAAGATCTTTTCAAATTTTTATTTAAAAATTTCAGCTTACGCCTTTGAATCTAACTTTTTCCTATAAGGTTTTATGCATAAAATGGCTACATGTGCTTCTTCACTAGGCTTCTTAAAATCATGCTGTCTTTAAAATTCTCAGTAACACCAAGCAAAACTTTGCACAAGCAAGTGATTAAAATTGTTTAAACATCTTATAATCATTCAGAAATTCATAATTATTAAAGCTGTTTAAAGAATCTAAGCTCTTCTTTTAAATTAAAATATTAGCTGATAATATAAATGTGTTGCAAAACCAAATTTTTTCACGTTAAGAATTTCAAAATAATAATGAAATTCTAATGGGCAGAGTGCACACAAGTCATTATTAGTGCGGTGCTCCTGAAGATAACATAGATGTCACTCCATGGGCATATCGATAACAATAACGCAGGAACAGACCTATCAATGTGTGAAGGCAGAGATTCGGGGTGGCCACCTACGACTGTGTTCTCCATCAAGGCAACTAATCCAGACCAATATTTCATGCCTGTAATCTATTCACACCCACCCATTGGGAAGCTCTGCCCTACATGAAGATTACAAACCTGCATGGGACTCCTTCCAAAGTTCAGTCTGTGGTTTTTCCTTCACTACACACATTCTAGTTCCTGCAATTGAAACAATCTTTCTCTGTTTACCTATTTGATATCACCCCCTTAACCTTCCACTAATCAGAGTTCTCGTTAGAGAAGACACCCATCAACTTTCCTTCTTCATATTACACGAGAATCACCATGGGATTTCAAGAAGAAAGTCCCCTAATATATTTCAGATCTTTAAATTAAAATATTCTTAATTAATGTAACTTCTTAAGAGCCTTTATACTTAACTTTTAATAAACTTTTATGGTCCAATAGGGACTTGCATGTACATCATCTTCAGATCCTTAGGATGGCCCTTTAAAGAGATAGGGTGAGTACTGTTTTTCCCATTTTAAAAATGAGAAGCTGACACAGAGAAACTTAAGTAACTGGCCCAGAATCATTCAATTAGTAAGCAGGGGCTCAAATCTCCTGACTCACAGCCCAGCGCTTTTCCTCACCCCGCCAGCTCTTATCTACATTAAGGTAGCTGCCCGGGGCTCCCAGGTTTCCTACTAAAAAGCAGACGGTGGCAGTGTAAAGAGGAGCTGTTACCTTTGTGTCTCCAGGGTCTGAAGTCCTTTGCCCACCTACTGTGACCTGAATTGGATGCACTTCGAAGTGCTCAGAACTGTCCAGGAGAGATCCTATTAAAAGGGATCCAGATCCAGGACAGGATGAAGAAAATCACTCTCTTTCTTCTCTTCCATTTCCTCTATTTCCCCACCCTTCCACTCTATCAAACTCGACTGAAGGCAACTGCACAGAGAAAAGGAAACCACAAAGGAAAGTAGAGTCTGCATATGAAGGAGGACAGAGCAGTCCCTCTTTGCCTTAAGGTGGTGAAAGGTTAAGAGTTTCCATGGAGCCTTTAAAAACCATTACTGGCAGGGTTGTCTCTTTCACCCTAACTTCCTCTGGCATTTATTACTCAGTGGGCTCCTATCATGGACCGTGCTGCACCTGAGGAATTTCTGCACTGCTGGTTTTCTCTCCATTAGGGCCAAAATGAGCCTGTACACTCAGGAGGTGTTAAACTCTTAGGGTGGGGGTCCAGACACTATCATGCTTTGGATGGAGACCACAGCCAGGAGACCATGTAATTACAGAATTGCATTTCTTACACATCACTGAAAATATTATGGCAAATGTCAGCAAAAAGATTGCAGAATGAAGCTTAGTTCACTCCCAGCTGTCTCTCAGCAGACGTATCCTGCTTCTCAGAAAGCAGAGCTTTGTATATTCATCCAGTTAGAGTCCATCTCTCTAGATGATGAACTGTCATTGCCTCAAATTCCTTGATGATTTTAGCTTAAGCAACTTTCTTTAGCAACTTTTGCTGCCATGATTATCTTCCTCACATGGCTGTCCTCCTTCTGTCAGAGAACAGGGAAAAAACACCATGCTAGCTGGCTAGTATCTTGCCTTCCTCTGCTCTGGTTCCTGCCAAGTTTTCTTTATGCCTTTCATGCCCTAAAGCCTTTGCTGAATCCCCCAAGAACCGATAAATCAAGATTTCTGTCAGGGTTGTTTATACTGCATTACTATCTAAGCCCTTTTCTATACAAATCAAAATGAAACTACACCACTGTTTTAATTTCAAAATTAAATTAAAATATTTCCCATGAAAGGCTGATGGCAGATACTTCAGGTGAAAATCCAACACTAAGAACCATCTATAACCAATTCATTTAACTTGATTGATGCAAGAGTTTGCCATTGTTTTCCCATCTTGGTGATAAAAAGATGTTTCATACCTTCATCATATGGGTTGGTTGAAAATCTCAGAAATTCTTTGATTATGACAGTAAAAATTATAGTAATAAGATAAATAATGGTTTATAATTAAAATTTCAAGAGCAGTAAAGATGGTGACTATCAAAGAGTTAAAAGTTAATAATGTAATTTAATAACCTCTGTACCCGGTGAAACATCGAAACGGTCTATAGTAACTAGGATTTTGTGTATTTTGAACCTATTTTTTATTTTTATTTTAATTATTTCTAATTTTGTACTCCTTGAAATAAAAAACCTGTTAATTCAAGAATAAGTTAAGCAAAATTTGTTATATACTAGCAAGTAACTACTTGCATAGTTGCAAAGCTCTACTTATTTTTTTTTTCTGTTTGCAAATTCAAACTCCCATAGTTCTTGGGCACTAATTATACCCTCAACTTACTCAGCTTTTGGTGGAGTTGGGCATAGTTAACCCTTCATTCCTTTTTGAAGCATGTTTCTCTGTTGGTTTCTCTGATCATACATTGTCCTGGGTTTCCTTCAACCCCATTAGCTGTTCCTCCTCAGCTTCCTGTACTGGCTTTACCTCATTTACCCACCTTGAATTGTTTGTGTTCCTCAGAACTCAGTCCTAAACTTTCTTTTTGCTACACTTTCCTTATTTAAATATGTCACTCCTGAGATTATAAAGACTATTTTCTTCTTGACTTCCAATGCTACATCTTTGGCCTACACTTCTTCCCTCTCTCAACTTCTGCACATGGATGTTTTAAAGGGCTTAAACTTTACATGGAAAATATAAAAGGAATTAAAATTCAACTATTCAAAGAATAAAGGATCTAGAATAAAATTGTGTTTTCCAGAATTTTATATGAATAGAATCAAACAGTATGTATCCTTTTGTGCCTGGCTTCTTTTATTCACCAAAATGATTTTGAGATTCATCCATGTTGTTATATGCATCCATAGTTCATTCCTTTGTATTGATGAGTAGTAGTCCATTGTATAAATCACTATTTATTTATACAGTCACCTGTTGATGGACCTTTGAGTTGTTTTCAATTTGGAACCGTTAAAAATAAAGCTGCTGTGAACATTCATGTACAGGTTTTGTAGGAACATATGCTTTCTTTTGGGTAAATGCCCAGGAGTGGAATGGCTGGGTCATGCTATAGGCATATGTTTAACATTTTCAGAAACTGCCAAGCTGTTTTCCAAATGGTACAACAAAAATGGTTGCACCATCTTAAAGTCCCATCAGCAAATTGTGGGAGTTCCAGTTGCTCCACAGCTTTGCCTTGCCAGCATTGGGTCTTTTTGATTTTTGCTATTCTAAGGGGTGATGTTGAACCATCTTTAAGTGCGTTGTTGCACCGTTTATATACCATTTTTTTGTGAAGTATCTGTTTAAACCTTTTAACCATTTTCTTGGAGTTGTAAGAGTTCTTTGTATATTCTGAATACAAGTCTTCTGTTTAATACATGAGCTAAGAATATTTTCTCCCAGTGTGTGGCTTGCATTTCTGTTCTCTTTATGGTGTCTTTCAAGGAACTAATGTTTTAATTCTGGTAAGTCTAAGTAATCAATTTTTTTCTTTACAATTAATGAATTTTGTGTTCTACCTAAGAAACCTTTGACTACCCAGGGTCATAAATCAAAACCACAATGAGATATCATCTCACACCAGTCAGAATACCTATTATTAAAAACTCAAAAAACAACAGATACTGGTGAGGTTGCAGAGAAAAAGGAATGGTTATATATTGTTGGTGGGAATGTAAATTAGTTCAACCATTGTGAAAAGCAGCTTGGAGATTTCTCAAAGAACTTAAAACAGCCTTACCATTCAACCCCGCGATCCCATTACTGGATCTATATCCAAAAGAAAATAAATCATTCTACCATAAAGATACACTCAATTGCATGTTCATCGCAACACTCTTCACAATAGCAAAGACATGGAATCAACCTAGATACCCGTCAACAGTGGATTGGATAAAGAAAACGTGGTACAGATACACCATGGAGTCCTATACAGCCATAAAAAAGAATGAAATCGTGTTCTTTGCAGCAATGTGGATGGAGCTGGAGGCCATTATTCTAAGCAAATTAATGCAGGAACAGAAAACCAAATACTGCATGTTCTCACTTATAAGTGGAAGCTAAACAGTGGGTACTCATGAACATAAAGATGGCAACAACAGACACCGGGGATTAGCAGAGGGAGGAAGGAGAGAGGCGGGCGAGGGCTGAAAAACTGATTATTGGGTACTAGGCTCAGTACCTGTGTGATGGGATCAAGCATATCCCAAACCTGGATATACCATGCAATATACCCAGGTAACAAATCTGCACATGTACACCTGAATCTAAAATAAAAGTTAAAATTATTTTTTAAAAAAGAGAAAAAAATGAAAAAGAAAAAAATTCAAATAATGCCCAAAATCTAAATAATACCATTCCTACTGAAACTATTCTGAAAAATTGAAGAGGAGGGACTCCCCCCTAACTCGATCTACAATGACAACATCATCCTGATACCAAAACCTGGCAGAGACCCAACAAAAAAAGAAAACTTCAGGCCAATATCCTTGATGAACATTGATGCAAAAATCTTCAACAAAATATTAGCAAACAGAATCCAGCAGCACATCAAAAAGTTAATCAGTGATCAAGTAGGCTTTATCCTTGGGATGCAAGCTTGGCTCAACATAAGTAAATTAATAATTGTGATTCATCACATCAACAGAACTAAAAACAAAAACCATGTGATTATCTCAACAGATGGAGAAAGGGCTTTCAATAGAATTCAACATTGCTTCACATTAAAAAGAAACCCTCAACAAACTACGCACTGAAGGCACATGCCTCAAAATAGTAAGAGCCAGCCAGGCACGGTGGCACATGCTTGTAATCCCAGCAATTTGGGAGGCCGAGGCAGGCAGATCACTTGAGGCCAGGAGTTCAAGACCAGCCTGGCCAACATGATAAAACCCCCGTCTCCACTAAAAATAGAAAAAATTAGCTGGGTATGGTGGTGGGCGCCTGTAATCCCAGCTACTTGGGAGGCTGAGGCAGGAGAATTGCTTGAACTCGGGGGGCGGAGGTTGCAGTGAGCCGAGATTGTGCCATTGCACTCCAGCCTAGGCAACAAGAGTGAAACTCAGTCTAAAAAAAAAAAAGCCGTCGATGAAAAACCCCACAACCAATATCATACTGAATGGATAAAAGCTAGAAACATTCCCCTTGAGAACTGGAACAAGACAAGGATACCCTCTCTCACCACTCCTATTCAACATAGTACTGGAAGTCCTAGCCAGGATAATCAGGCAAGAGAAAGAAATACAAGGCATCCAAACAGGAAGAAAGGAAATTAAACTATCCCTGTTTCCAGAAAATATGATCCTATACCTAGAAAACCCCATAGTCTTTGTCCAAAAGCTCCTAGATCTGATAAACAACTTCAGCAGAGTTTCAGGATACAAAATCAATGTACAAAAATTAGTAACATTCCTATACACCAACAATACCCAGGCTGAAAGCCAAATAAAAAATGCAACCCATTTACAATAGCCACAAAAAGAATAAAATATCTAGGAATACAGAGGTGAGAGACCTCTACAACACAAATTATAAGACACTTCTGAAAGAAATCAGAGATAACACAGACAAATGGAAAAACATTTCATGCTCATGAACAGGAAGAATCAATATTGTTAAAATGGCCATATTGCCCAAAGCAATTTACAAATTCAATGTTTTTCCTATCAAACTACCAATGCCATTCTTCATAGAATTAGAAAAAAACTATTTTAAAATTCATATGGAATCAAAAAGGAGTCCAAATAGCCAAGGCAATCCTAAGCAAAAAGAGCAAATCTGGATGCATCACATTACCTCACTTCAAACTATACAACAAGTCTACAGTAACCAAAACAGCATGGTCCTGGCACAAAAACAGATACATAGACCAATGGAACAGAATAGAGAGCCCAGAAATAAAACTGCCCATGTACAACCATCTGATCTTTGAGAAAGTAGTCAAAAAATAAGCAATGGGGAAAGGACACCCTATTCTATAAGTGGTGCTGGGATAAGTGGCTAGCCATATGGAGAAGATTGAAACTGGAACCCTTCCTTACACCATATACAAATATCAACTCATAATGGCTTAAAGACTTAAGTGTAAAACCATAAAAGCCCTGGAAGATAACTTAGGAAATACCATTCTGGACATAGGGCCTGGCAAACATTTCATGACGAAGATGCCAAAAGCAATTACAACAACAAAATTGACAAATGGGACCTAATTAAACTAAAGAGCTGCACAGCAAAAGAAACTATCAGCAAAGTAAACAGACAACAGAATGGGAGAAAATATCTGCAAACTATGTATCCAAAAAAGGTCTAATATCCAGAATCTATAAGAAACAAATTAATAAGCAAATAAACAATGCCATTAAAAAGTAGGCAAAGGACATGAACAGACACTTTTCAAAAGTACACACAGCCAACAAGCTTATGAACAAATTTTCAACATCACGAATCATTAGAGAAATGCAAATCAAAACCACAATAAGATACCATCTCACACCAGTCAGTGTGGCTATTACTGAAAAAAACAATAACAGATGCTGGCAAGATTACAGAGATTATACACTACAACCTTATACACTGGTATAAGGTTGTACGCTGCTTATACACTGCTGATGGAAATGTAAATTAATTCAGCCATTGTGGAAAGCAGCTTGGCAATTTCCCAAATAATTTAAAGCAGAATTACCATTTGACCCAGCAATCCCATCATTGAGTATATACCCAAAGAAGTATAAATTGTTCTACCATAAAGACACATTCACATGTTATGTTCACTACAGAACTAGTCACAATAGCAAGACATGGAATCAATCTAAGTGCTCATCAGTGGTAGACTGGATAAAGAAAATATGGTACGTAAACACAACGGAATACTATGCACCCATAAAAAAAGAATGCAATCGTGTCATTGGCAGCAACATGGATGAAGCTGGAGGCCATTATCCCAAGCAAACTAACACAGGAACAGAAAACCAAATATAACATGTTCTCACTTATAAGTGGGGGCTAAACATTGAGTTTATATGAACACAAAGAAAGGAACAATAGACTCCAGGGCCTACTTGAGGGTAGAGAGCAGGAGGAAGGTGAGGATCAAAAAACTACCTATCAGATACTATGCTTATCACCTCGGTGATGAAACAATCTGTACACCAAACCCCCATGACATGCAATTTACCTATATAACAATCCTCCACATGTACCCCTGAACCTAAAATACAAGTTTTAAAAAAAGAAAATATAATATTAAAAAATTAAAATTTTTTCATTTTAACTGTCAAATACATTCACACATAGTTGAACAAAAGAAAAATTCAAACAATACACAAAGCATTAAATAAAAGGTAAAATAATTATATTCTCAAAAAAATAGCACCATTTAAATTTTTTATTTCATCTTGCATCAATTTTGGTAAGCTACATTTTTCAAGAAATCTGTCCATTTTATTTAAGTGGTAGAATTCGATAACATAGCATTTTCTTATTATCTTGTTATTGTCTATAGAATCTGTGGTTAGAATTCCTTTTTATTGCTGATATTGGTAATTTGTTTCTCTCTCTTCCTTGGCCAATCTAGCTAGAGGTTTGGGGTTCATCTTTTCAAAAACTTCGCTTTTGGTTTTCTTGATTTTTCTCTTTCGCTTGTCTGTTTTCTATTTTATTTCTACTATCTTTATTATTGACTTCCTTCTACTACTTTAGGGTTACTTTGCTCTTCTTTTAGTTTCTTAAGGTAGGACCTTAGGTTATTGATTTTAAATCTTTCTCCTTTTCTAACATAAGCATTTAAAGCCATAGTTTTCACTTTAAGTACTGCTTTAGCTCTTTTCACAAACTTTGTATATTTGCATTATCATTCAGATAAAATATTTTCTAATTTCTCTTGTCATTTTTTTCTTTGACCTATGAAATATTTGAAGTATGCTATTCAATTCATAATACTTGAGGTTTTCCTAGATATCTTGTTATTGATTTCTAACTTAATTCTGTTGTGTTCAGAAATATACTTCCTATGATTTTGCTTCTTCTACATTTTGAAATCTGTTTTATAGCTTACCATCCTTTTTTTTTCTTTTTTTTTTTTTAGCCGTCATTGTTCGTCTTGGTGAATGTTATGTGCATTTGAAAGAAATAGGTATTCTGCAGTTGTCGGATGTAGTGTTCTATAAATATCAATTAAATCAAGGAGGTTTACAATGTTAAAACTATACCTTTACTGCTTTTTTGTCTAGTTGTTCCATCAAATATTGAGAAAGGATATTAAAATCTTCTGTCACAATTATGGAATTTCTATTTCTCCCTGTAATTTGGTTAATCTTTACTGCAGTATTTTAAGTCTCTCTTATTAGGTGTGTGTACACGTATGAATGAAGTGTCTGCCTGACGAAATGACCCTTCAATCATTATGAAATCCCCCCCTTTGTCTCTAGAAATACTCTTTGTCTTGAAGTCTGTTTTATCTGATATTAAAATAACCAATCCAATCTTCTCATTCTTACTATTTGTATGGTATATACATTTTACATTTGTTTATTTTCAACCTTTTTTGTATATTTATATTTAAAGTGTATTTCTTAGGGGCAGCATATAGTAGTAGCGTCTTGATTTTTATGCACTCTGTCAACCCTTGCCTTCTAACGGAGTATTAAGATCATTAACATTTAATGGAATTATTGCTATAATTGAATTTAGCCCTTCCATTTTTATTTTTGGCTTCTATTTGTCTCCTGCTTTTGTTGTTGCTATTCTCTTACCTCCATTCCTTTTTTATTTTTATTTTTTTGCTTGTTTTGGATTCTTTGAATATTTTTTAGTATTCTATTTTAATTTATCTTCAGTTTTTTCACTATATCTTTTTGTTTTGGTTTTTTGGAGTTTTTTATTTATATATGTGGTATATATAATATATATATATATGTTTTGTTTTGGTGTTTTTTTTTTTTTTTTTGAGACAGTCTCACTCTGTCCCAGGCTGGAGTGCAATGGCTCAAACTCTGCTCACTGCAACCTCCGCCTCCCAGGTTCAAGTGATTCTTCTGCCTCAGCCTCCCGAGTAGCTGGGATTACAGGCGCCTGCCACCATACCTGGCTAATTTTTGTATTTTTAGTAGAGATGGGGTTTCGCCATGTTGGCCAAACTCCTGACCTCAGGTTATCCGCCCACCTTGGACTTCCAAAGTGTGGGATTATAGGTGTAAGCCACTGCACCCAGCCTATATAACATATATAGATACAATATAATATTATGAAGGCCAGGTGTATATATATATATGTATATGTATGTGTGTATATATATATATGTATATGTATGTATATATATATGTATATGTGTGTGTATATATATATATATATATATACACACACACACACACACACACCCCAGGTATATATATCATATATCATATTCTAGACAGAGTTCCTATGCTACCATTTTATGTAAATTGTAGAAGTCTTACAACCATAAGACTTTTACCTCCTCAACTTTTTTTTTTTTTTACAGAATCTCACTCCTTCACCAGGCTGGAGTGCAGTGGTGCAATCTTGGCTTCACTGCAACCTCCGCCTCTCAGGTTCAAGCGATTCTCCTGCCTCAGCCTCCCAAGTATCTGGGACTACAGGCACACGCCACCACGCCCAGCTAATTTTATATTTTTAGTAGAGATGGGGTTTTCACCTTGTTGGCCAGGATGGTCTCAATCTCTTGACCTTGTGATCTATCTGCCTCAGCCTCCCAAAGTGCTGGGATTACAGGCATAAGCCACCACGCCCGGTCTACCTCCTTAACTTTTATCTCCTCAACTAACCTTTATGGTACGGCTGTTATATGTATTATATCTACATATATTGAAAATCCCTCCAGAAATGTAAATTTGTTTTCAGTGGTAGTACCTAAGCACAGGGAAAAATATTTACCATTTCTGTTGCTCTTCTTTCATTCCTGAAGATCCAAGGTTTGCTCTGGTATCATTTCCTATCAGCTTGAAGAACTTACTTTAGCATTTCTCATAATGCTGATTTCCTGGCAATATATTCTGTTAAATTTTTTAATCTGAGAATGTCTTTATTTTGCTTTCATTCCTGGAAGACATACCCACTGAATGAAGAATTTTAAGTTAACAGTTCTCTTCTTGCAGCACTTTCAAGATGCTGTTTGACTGTCTTCTGGCCTTCCATGGCTTCTGATGAGAAATCTGCAGTCATCTGAATGACTGGTCCTCTGAATGTAATGTGCTTTTTTTCTCTAATGTCTTTCAGGATTTTAAAATTCATCATTGGTTTTTATAGCTTTTATTTCCATGAGTATCAGGTATCATATTCTTTGATTTTATCCTGTTCAGGGTTCATGGAGCTTCTTGGATCTGTAAATTGTGTCTTTTACCAAATTTGAGAAAAATGCTGGCCATTATTCCTTCAGATATATTTGTCTATCCCAGTCTTCTTCTCCTTTCCTTCTGAGATTCCAGTGACACCTATTGATATTATGCTACAGGTCGCTAAGGTTGTGTTCCTCTTTTTCAATATTTTTTCTCTGTTCTTCAGATTGGATAACTTCTATTGATCTATTCTTAAGTTCACTGGGGTGTTTCTTCTATATTTTCATTTTGCTATTCAGCCCATCCAGTTTTCAGATACTGCATTTTTCAGTTCTAAATTTTTCATTTTATTCTTTTGCAGTTTTAAGATATCCACTTCTATCTTCTCATACATTTCAAGGATGGATTCCTTACTCCATGGTATGCAGCTATAATAGCTATTTTAAAGCCTGTGTCTGATGATTCCAACATCTGGGTCACCTTGATCTGGTCATATGTTGATTATCTTTTCCACTGGGGTAAAAATGTGAACACATTTTTCTGCTTTTTTATATGTCATATAACTTTGGAATGGTATCTGGGCATTGTGGATTTACATTTTACAGGCACTGGATCCTATTATAATCCTCTGTAGAATGTTGATGTTCTTGTTTTATGGCAATCAACTGTTTAGGCTTAGACTGCAAGTTCTATCTTGCCATCTGTGGGCAGTGGTTCAAACCTCAGTTTGGTTGTCAAAACCTGTACTATGCTAGTTGCATCTATTACTCCTCTTTTTCTTTGAGAATGAGCCTGAGACTTGTGCAGATTCATATACAGAATTGGGAATTTTTTCTCCAGTTCTCTCCACTCTGGTATTCTCTCCTCACTCTCCATCCCCCTAGAGCCCCTTTTCTTAGTTACTCTAGCCAGTAGGACTGGGTTTCTATTGAGATTTTATCTGCCCACGCTGCCACCATTCCCTCGCTGCTCCATAATGAGAACCCTTTGGGTACAGCTGTTAAGAAAGAATGGAAAAAATGTGAAACTCACCACCAGTGGTTACTTGTCCAAGTTTTGACCCTCTTCAACAATCTGCCTGTTTCGGTTTACTTTTCAAAATCCTCAGATAGTATTTTGTTTTGTTTGTATTTTGTCCAGAGTTTATAGTTGTAATCAGTGGGAAAGATGGGCTATATTGGGATTATTTTGCCATGCCAAAACAAAAATGCCCAATAGCCTTATAGGCTGAAAATTGGGGTATTTCACTGCCATTTCAGTTATTTAAATTGAAAAATTCTATCAGCGGCATGGGGATGTGTGTGTACATGTATATGGGCATGTGTGCTAAGCACTTGATCTATATGTCCCATACACTAATATAAATTCTTATCTCAAAATGTTGTTGCATTGCTTAAATAAGATAATGGAAAGCAAGTGGGTAATAACAAACTCCTCTGAGCTAAAGGAGCCTGTTCTAACGCAAAGCAAGGAAGCTAAGAACCTTAAAAAATGGTTAGAGGAATTGCTAACTAGAATAACCAGTTTGGAGAAGAACATAAATGACTTGATGGAGCTGAAAAACGCAGCATGAGAACTTTGTGAATCATGCACAAGTATCAACAGCCAATCAATCAAGCAGAAGAAAGGATATCAGAGACTAAAGATCAACTTAATAAAATAAAGCATGAAGACAAGATTAGAGAAATAAGAATAAAAAGGAACAAATAAAACCTTCCAGAAATATAAGACTATCTGAAAAGACCAAACTTACACTTGATTGGTGTACCTGAAAGTGATGGGGAGAATGGAACCAAGCTGGAAAACACACTTCAGGATATTATCAAGGAGAACTTCCCCAACCTAACGAGACAGACCAACATTCAAATTCAGGAAGTACAGAGAACACCACAAAGACACACCTCGAGAAGAGCAACCCCAAGACACATAATTGTCAGATTCACCAAGGTTGAAATGAAGGAAAAAATGTTAAGGGCAGCCAGAGAGAAAGGTTGGGTTACCCACAAAGGGAAGCCCATCAGACTTCTCCTTCTCTCTGCAGAAATCCTACAAGCCAGAAGAGAGTGGAGGCCAATATTCACCATTCTTAAAGAAAAGTATTTTCAACTCAGAATTTCATATCCAGTCAAACTCAGCTTCATAAGCGAAGGAGAAATAAAATCCTCTACAGACAAGCAAATGCTGAGAGATTTTGTCAGCACCACGCCTGCCTTACAAGAGCTCCTGAAGGAAGCACTAAATATGGAAAGGAAAAACTGGTACCAGCCACTGCAAAAACATATCAAATTGTAAAAACCATCGACATTTTGAAGAAACTGCAACAACTAATGGTAAAAATAACCAGCTAGCATCATAATAACAGGATCAAATTCACACATAACAATATTAACCTTAAATGTAAATGGGCTAAATGCCCCAATTAAAAGACACAGACTGGCAAACTGGAAAGAGTCAAGACCCATTGGTGTGCTGTATTCAGGAGACCCATCTCATGTGCAAAGACACATATAGGCTCAAAATAAAGGGATGGAGGAATATTTACCAAGCAAATGGAAAGCAAAAAAAAAAAAAAAAAAAAAAAAAAAACAGGGGTTACAATCCTAGTCTCTGGTAAAACAGACTTTAAACCAACAAAGATCAAAAAAACACAAAGAACAGCATTACATAACGGTAAAGGGATCGATGCAACAAGAAGAGCTAACTATCCTAAATATATATGCACCCAATACAGGAGCACCAAGATTCATAAAGCAAGTTCTTAGAGACGTGCAAAGAGTCTTAAACACCCACACAATAATAGTGGGAAAACTTAACACCCCACTGTCAATATGAGAGAGATCAACGAGACAGAAAATTAACAAGGATATTCAAGACTTGAACTCAGCTCTGGACCAAACAGACCTAATAAACATCTGCAGAACTCTCCACCCCAAATCAACAGAATATACATTTTTCTCAGCACCACATCGCACTTATTCTAAAATCAACCACATAATTGGAAGTAAAACTCTCCTCAGCAAATGCAAAAGAACAGAAATCATAACAAACAGTGTCTCAGACCACAGTGCAATCAAATTAGAACTCAGGATTAAGAAACTCACTCAAAACCACACAACTACATGGAAACTGAACAATCTGCTCCTGAATGACTACTGGGTAAATAACTAAATTAAGGCAGAAATAAATAAGTTCGTTGAAACCAATGAGAACAAAGACATAACGTACCAGAATCTCTGGGACATAGCTAAAGCAGTGTTTAGAGAAAGAATTATAGCACTAAATGTCCACAGGAGAAAGCAGGAAAGATCTAAAATCGACACCCTAACATCACAATTAAAGGAACTAGAGAAGCAAGAGCAAACAAATTCAAAAGCTAGCAGAAGACAAGAAATAACCAAGATCAGAGCAGAACTGAAGAAGATAGAGACACGAAAAACCCTTCAAAAAAATCAACAAATCCAGGAGGTGGTTTTTTTTAAAAGATCAACAAAATAGATAGACTGCTAGGCAGACTTATAAAGAAGAAAAGAGAGAAGAATCAAATGGACACAATAAGAAATGATAAAGGGGATATCACCACTGATCCCACAGAAATACAAACTACCATCAAAGAATATCATAAACACCTCTATGCAAATAAACTGGAAAATCTGGAAGAAATTAGTAAATTCCTGGACGCATACACCCTCCCAAGACTAAACCAGGAAGAAGTCAAACCCCTAAACAGACAAATAACAAGTTTTTAAATTGAGGCAGTAATTAATAGCCTACCAACCAAAAAAAAAAAAAGCCCAGGACCAGATGGATTCACAGCTGAATTTTACCAGAGGTACAAAGAGGAGCTGGTACCATTCCTTCTGAAACTATTCCAAACAACAGAAAAAGAGGGACTCCTCCCTAACTCATTTTATGAGGCCATCATCATCTTGATGCCAAAACCTGGCACAGACACACACACACAAAAAAGAAAATTTCAGGCCAATATCGCTGATGAATATCGATGTGAAAATTTCCAATAAAATGCCAGCAAACCAAATCCATCAGCACATCAAAAAGCTTACCTACCAAAATCAAGTCAGCTTATCATCCCTGGGATGCAAGCCTGGTTCAACATATGCAAATCAATAAACATAATCCATCACATAAACAGAACCAATGACAAAAACCACATGATTGTCTCAATAGATGCAGAAAAGGCCTTTGATAAAATTCAACACTTCTTCATGCTAAAAACTCTTAATAAACTAGGTATTGATGGAACGAATCTCAAAATAATAAGAGCTATTTATGACAAACTCACAGCCAGTATCATACTGAATGGGCAAAAGCTGGAAGCATTCCCTTTGAAAACTGGCACAAGACAAGGATGATGCCCTCTCTCACCATTCCTATTCAACATAGTATTGGAAGTTCTGGCCAGGGCAATCAGGCAAGAGAAAGAAATAAAGGGTATTCAAATAGGAAGAGAGGAAGTCAAATTGTCTCTGTTTGCAGATGACATTATTGTATATTTAGAAAACCCCATCGTCTCAGCCCAAAATCTCCTTAAGCTGAGAAGCAACTTCAGCAAAGCCTCAAGATACAAAATCAATGTGCAAAAATCACAAGCATTCCTATACACCAATAATAGACAGCCAAAACATGAGTGAACTCCCATTCACAATTGCTACTAAGAGAATAAAATACCTAGGAATCCAATTTACAAGGGATGTGAAGGACTTCTTCAAGGAGAACTACAAACCACTACTCAAGAAAATAAGAGAGAACACAAAAAAATGGAAAAACATTCAATTCTCACGGATAGAAAGAATCAGTATCATGAAAATGGCCATACTGCCCAAAGTAATTTACAGATTCAATGCTATCCCCATCAAGCTACCATTGACTTTCTTCACAGAATTAGAAAAAAACTACTTTAAATTTCATATGGAACCAAAAAAGAGCCTGTATAGCCAAGACAATCCTAAGCAAGAAGAACAAAGCTGGAGGCATCATGCTACCTGACTTCAAACTATACTGCAAGGCTACAGTAACCAAAACAGCATGGTACTGGTACCAGAACAGATATATAAACCAATGGAACAGAATGGAGGCCTCAGAAATAACGCTGCATATCTACAACTATCTGATCTTTGACAAACCTGACAAAAGCAAGCAATGGGGAAAGGATTCCCTATTTAATAAATGGTGTTGGGAAAACTGGCTAGCCATATGCAGAAAACTGAAACTGGATCCCTTCCTTACAACTTATACAAAGATTAATTCAAGATGGATTAAAGACTTAAATGTAAGACCTAAACTCATAAAAACCCCAGAAGAAAACCTAGCCAATACTATTCAGGACATAGGTGTGGGCAAAGACTTCATGACTAAAACACCAAAAGCAA
Source organism: Homo sapiens (assembly GCF_000001405.40). NCBI lineage: Eukaryota > Metazoa > Chordata > Mammalia > Primates > Hominidae > Homo > Homo sapiens. The sequence continues at coordinate 50,295,360 of NC_000013.11, read as the reverse complement.
TGGCAACAAAAGCCAAAATAGACAAATGGGATCTAATTAAACTAAAGAACTTCTACACAGCAAAAGAAACCATCATCAGAGTGAACAGGCAACCTACCGAATGGGAGAAAATTTTTGCAATCTACCCATCTGACAAATGGCTAATATCCAGAATCTACAAGGAACTTAAACAAATGGCTTAAACAACTTAAATGCTTAAATAAACAAGAAAAAAACCCATAAAAAATGGGCAAAGGATATGAACAGACACTTCTCAAAAGAAGACATTTATGCAGCCAACAAACGTGAAAAAAAAAAGCTCATCATCACTGGTCATTAGAGAAATATAAATCAAAACCACAATGAGATACCATCTCATGCCAGCTAGAATGGCAATAATTTAAAAAGTCAGGAAACAACAGATGCTGGAGAGGATGTGGAGAAATAGGAATGTTTTTACACTGTTGTTGGGAGTGTAAATTGGTTCAACCATTGTGGAAGACAGTGTGGTGATTCCTCAAGGATCTAGAACCAGCAATACCATTTGACCCAGCAATCCCATTACTGGGTATATACCCAAAGGATTATAAATCATTCTACTATAAAGACACATGCACACGTATGTTTATTGCAGCACTGTTCACAATAGTAAAGACTTGGAACCAACCCAAATGCCCATCAACGACAGACTGGATAAAGAAAATGTGGCACATATATACTGTGGAATACTATGCAGCCATAAAAAGGATGAGTTCATGTCCTTTGCAGGGACATGGATGAAGCTGGAAACCATCATTCTCAGCAAACTAACACAGGAACAGAAAACCCAACAGCACATGTTCTCACTCATAAGTGGAAGTGGAACAGTGAGAACACATGGACACAGGGAGGGGGAACATCACACACCGAGGCCTGTCGGGGGATGGGAAGCTAGGGAAGGGATAGCATTAGGAAAAACACCTAATGTAGATGACAGGTTGATGGGTGCAGCAAACCACCATGGCACGTGTATACCTATGTAACAAACCTTCACATTCTGCACATGTATCCCAGAACTTAAAGTATAATTAAAAGAAAAAAAAGATTAGTACAACACAGTCTCCAAAAAGGGGATGTGGGAAAGTAGAAGAGAAATAGAATGAGAGAAAGTAAAGAGAGAGATTGAGAGAGAAAAAGAGACTGAAGTTTCCATGTTCCTTAAAAGTGTAGGAAGAATTCTAATCAAAATATAATCATTCAAATGCTTTTTAGTCTTGCAGCTGTAACAATATGACCCAGTCCCACAGAAGTCAAAGCCATTTGCCATAAATAGAGGCGCCCCATCACCCCAGGTCATGCTTAGAACTGCATTTCTGAAACCCCATTTCTGGTAATCTGCTAGGGAAGAAAAAAAAAAAACATGTTAAAATGGAGAGTTAAAGCAATCTGCACAGAATTTAAACCCTTCTGATTACTACTCTAATTATAACTATATCTACCACCTTTTCTGGTGGATCTGGCAAGAACCTACACTCCTCAACCTAATTCCACCCATTTATTCAACAAAATTAAACTGATAGCATTAATCAGGGAAAAATCTCTTTGCTTACCTCTGCCCCACTTGAAAGCCCTAGGTCAGCTCTCCGCCTGCTTTGCATCATTGTTACACAGAGTGGAACTACTTGAAAGGAAATCACAACACAAACAATAAACTTTTAAGTCCACCTTCCTTAAAAGTGAAGCAACTCTTTATATACAGCCAAGAATATCAAGGTGCAATATAGGAGGATGCCCAATATTCAAGCACAGTTAATAAAACACTAATACAACATAGTTTTCAAAGCATGGGATATGGGGGGAGGTGGATACCTGTGCTCCAGGTATCACTCTTTTGAAAGCAAAAGCAATCCTGCTCATTTGGGTGTTCTCCAATCCAAGGTGGTCTCGAGAGAGAAGAACTGCATTTAGGAGTCTAAGCGACTGCTTCTTTACACTCCTACAACAGCATTGTAGGGGGTAACAATGCTGGGGCTGGAACACGGGCCATTATGAGGCTGTCACCTTCTCATGTAACTCAGCTTTTCAACTGGGCCAAAAGGCTTAGGGCTCCTGGGGCATGGGCCCATAGGAGCAGGCCCTTGAACGGTAACAAGACCTATGTTCAACCTGGAACCAATAAGGAAAATGAAGGAAAGCAGGTCTGAACGATTGCTGATTGCCAAGTGTCCTAGAGCAGGCCTGTGGCATGTATAACTCCATACAAATGTACTTCTTACTGTAATGTAAGGGGCAAAATGGCAACTAAAGATAGTGTAGAGAAGGATGTCCAAGCACTTCAAAGGAGGCTTGTTTTAACTCACAAATGGCTTATGAGTCTGGAAGACTTGGACTCCTTGAATCAGTGTTTACCAGGCTCCCAGAATGTGCCAAACATTGAACAGCAAATTCTAGCCCTCCCTTCAAACAGTCCACTTGCTCTCAAATGGCAATGAATTCTATTCTTTTTTAAGGAATTGCAAGATTTTTTTTAAAGCATTGAGGGTTTTGTTTGTTTGTGTTTTTTGTTTTTTTGAGATGGAGTCACTCTGTCGCCCAGGCTGAAGTGCAATGGCTCGATCTTGGCTCACAGCAACCTCCATCTCCTGGGTTCAAGCAATTCTCCTGCCTCAGCCTCCCAAGTAGCTGGGATTACAGGCACCTGCCACCACACCTGGCTAATTTTTGTATTTTTAGTAGAGACGGGGTTTCACCATGTTGGTCAGGCTGGTCTCGAACACCTGACCTCAGTGATCCACCTGCCTCAGCCTCCCAAAGTGCTGGAATTACAGGCGTGAGCCACCGTGCCCAGCCAAGTTACATTATTAAAGCATTTGGTCAGCTCCTTTATTTTGCTTTGTTGAAAGTCAGCAAAAGGGGAAGGCAGAGATTTTAAGAAAGTTTAAAAAAGAAAGAAACTACCTTCTTGGAAATTTTAATTGTTCCTGGATAGTGTTATAGAAAAGTCCTGAATGGGAGGAAGGAAATGTAACATATTTAGTGGCTACTCTGGCCAAACACTCCACCAAGTACACTTACAAGTGACTCCTTACAGTTTCATGAACACTGGGAAGTTTAGTTTCAATTTCAAGATGAGAACACTGACATTCAGAGACAGTAAGAGGCTTGCCTGAAGTCACAGAGGAAACGCACAGTGGAGCTGGGATTTTTAACTTGGTTCTCTCTGATTCCAAATGCTTCCAACTGTGCTATGTAATATGTGGCTGGAGGCAAAAACAACTGCATTCTGGTCCTGGTTGTTCATTTATGAACTGCTAAGTGACCCAGGACAAGTACCCCTATTTCTCTGGTGGCTGCTAAGGCTCCCTTCAGCACTACCATATGTGCCTCTACAGCCCTTTCACTGCCAAGGTCCCTTTTCTTCTTTTTCATATTTTTCCTCTTGGAAGCTGATATGGTTTGGATGTTTGTCCCCCCCAAATCTCATGTTAAAATGTAATCCCCAGTGTTGGAGATGGGGCCTGTTGTGAGGTGACTGGATCATGGGGGCAGATCCCTCAGGAATGGTTTAGCTCCATTTCCTTGGTGATAACATGACTCACGAATGGCTTATGAGTCTGGAAGACTTGGATTCCTCGAATCAGTGCTTACTAGGCTCCCAGAATGTGCTAAACATTGAACAGCAAATTCTAGCCCTCCCTTCAAACAGTCCACATGCTCTCAAATGGCAATCAATTCTATTCTTTTTTAAGGAATTGCAAGGAAGCCTTCAGTTAGTACACATGAGATCTGGTTGTTTAAAAGTCTGGGACCTTCCCCCTACCTCTTGCTCTCGCTCTCCCCATGTGACACACTGGCTTCCCATCACCTTATACCATGATTGCAAGCTTCCTGAGACCTCACCAGAAGTAGATGCTGGAGACATGCTTCCTGTAAAGCCTGCAGAACCATGAGCCAATTAAACCTCTTTTCTTTATAAATTACCCAGATGGATATTTCTTTATAGCAACACAAAAACAGCCTAACACAGAAGCCATGTTTTGAATGATGGTATCTACCCAAATGTGTATCTCTCAAGTAATAACTGATTTACTTTTCCCAGAATAATTAATTTTTTAATCCTACATATCAGGAACATGGGACCACTATAGCTATTCCAAATACAGGAAATTTGCTATGAGGAATTCATTATGCAAGTGATGGGAGACCTGAAAGAGTCCCTAAGGAGTGGCGAGACAAGAGCAGAAAGCCATTGCCATTCCTAGAGCCGAAGGAACAATGAGAGGAGACGTTGCTATTGCCTTCCAAAAGCCACGACCATCAGTGGGAGCCAGAACTATGGTGGAGGCTGCCTGGTGGGATGGGACTGTGGAGGCAGTGACTATCCAAGCAAAGTTAGAGCCACTGCAGAAACACAGCCACTGAGGGAGACCCAGCCCAGGGCAGAGCAAGAAGGGAGCCACTCACTCCCTGGCTTCTCCCTTCTCCCACCCTCTAGGCTTCCTCTGGTGCCTCCCATTCGCTGAAGCTACTCAGAAGTCATTGGCAAGTAACCCTAGGAAAGTTAATTCCCTTTGATGCAAAATGAGGGAAGGTAGAGAATGAACTTGAGAGGAAGCAGGAGAATGACCCACACAACTTAAATAACTGGTCATCACAGCTTCTGATGAGCATATGACAGAAAAGTGACCAAAGGGACTACATAAAACTCTGGCCAAAAGCAAAGCAACTTAACATCTTATTTAGCCCATGAAACTTTGCCTCAGATGAAATGCAGACTTTCCATCAGGCTCCACGAAATCATTTTACACACTTTGGAACTCTCAGGTGATCAGGGACACCAGCCAGGGAAACACAATTCACATTCCACCAATCTTCTTTGCCTGTGATTCTAATAAAATACAGGGATCTGGACTGAAAGAACATGGGGGTGGAAAACAGGATCCTAATTCTAGCCCTGCCTGATGTAATCCTCAGGAAGTGACTTCCCTTTCTTGGTACTCAGGCTTTCTCTCTGCAAAGGGGTAGTTGTAATTACTACCAATCTCTAGAATTACAAGTCATTACAAGATTACAAAATCACTACTAATCCCCAGAATTACTAAATAAAGTTAGGTAATACAGTTCTCAATTACTTGCGCTATACCCAGAAAATGTACCACATGTCATAAACTCTAAATTTTTTTTACATTTTAACACCTCTAAAATTGAAATATGTCTCACCAGAACTTGCCATAGTTTAATTGGTAGCTGTGATGGTCAGTTTTTGTGTCAAATTGACTAGGCTACAGTCTCCAGCTATTCAATCAAATACTAATCTAAGTGTTGCATTGAAGGTATTTGTAGATGTGATTAAAGTCCATAATCAGTTGCCTATAAGTAAGGAAGATTATCCTAGACAGTTTTGGTGGGCCTGATTCGATCTGTTGCAAAGCCTTAAGTGCAGAGTTGAGACTTCCCTGGTGAAAGAGGAATTTTGCCTATGGACTCATGCCTGGGAGTCTCAGCCTGCCCTTCCTAGTGACCTACCCTTTGGATTTCAGACTTGCCTAACCACCCCCCACAATCATATAAGCCAACTCCTTGCAATATATCTCTTAATACATAGCTCCTACTAGTTCTATGTCTTTGCTTGAACCCTGACTAATATGGTAACTTTTTTCTTTCTCAGTAATTGATAAAACAAAGGTTCTTCTAATAATCAATTGTATCTTAAATTTGATCAAATATGGAAATTTCTACTTTCTCTACGTAACTCATCTGATCATCCTCACAAAGCCTAAACCCCCAGAGCAAACCTGGAAAAAATAATATAAAATGCTTTTTCAATCCATCAACCTTGATCTGATGCAATAATTATGGCAGTCTCTTTAATTAATTGCTTGATCTATTTGTGTAAAATCTTTCCCTCCCCATCCTCCAATTCAAGAAGGTGACTGGTTGGAGGGGCCAGGTACGCTCATTAATGATGGCGTGATAGAGGAAGAAAGGGGGTCCTCAGAGCTTCACCTGGTCATCTGAATTCTCACTGGGCCTCTGCTGCAGAGGAGCCAGACTGAGTTTCTCCCTGAACTGCTGACCACAGAGGAACAAATGGACCTGTCTGGCCATTTGAGATCATGTGCTGGCACCGACTGCTGGAACCCAAGATCCGAGCTATTTATTCTCATCTTTAAGTCCTCACCCAAAATGAACTCTCTCCTGCATGAGGGCCTCTGCTGGTTCACCAGGGCCCTCAGCATCTCCACCTCTCCTCCTTGGGACTTGGAGTTACATAAGTCCCTGGGGTCCAGAATGGCAGACCTGGGCTCCTGGTACCACCTACACTCACTCAGGCACCATGATGGCCACGGTGCCAAGCCTACACCTATGATTTCCCTAAGGGCTTGAGTCTTCACTACAGTAGCTCAAAGGAGCAAAGGTTTCTGCAGACCATCCATACCAATACAGATACTGCTTTCTAAACCCACAGTCCCTTCCCTATCCCAAGTTGGACCCTAAGAAAAGAAAAACAAGGGCTCCGACACCTGACCATCTTATTTCCATAATCTTCTCAGAATAGAAGGGAAAACTGTTCATTTTCCTCAACATCATGTCTTTCTTCTATCCAGGAGGACCTTTGGTTCAGCCTACAGAGGCAGAGCAGGAATCTTCTGAACATTTCTAGAAAAAACTAAATAATCTGAGTCCTCCAGACCATATCACTGAGAGGCTACAGAGATTTAGAAAAGCTTTTTACATTGGTCTTTTGAGCTCATTGTTTCAATAATTGAGAAGCCCCCAAGATACCAAAATTTATAATAGAAATATATCTGAAAAATATTAATATATCATCTCCATTACAGATATTTTTGTCACCATTAGGATCAAGAGCCTACATGTCACATGAATAGATAATTCTCAAAAGAAGATATACAAATTGTCAACAAACATATGGAAAAATGCTCAACATCACTAATTATCAGAGAAATGAAAATCAAAACCACAACGCAATACCACCTCACTTCTGCAAGAATGGCCATAATCAAAACATTTAAAAAAAAAAAAATAGATGTTGGTGTGGATGTGATGAAAAGGGAACACTTTCACACTGTTGGTGGGAATGTAAACTAGTACAACCACTATGGAAAACAGTGTGGAGATTCCTTAAAGAACTAAAAGTGGATCTGCCATTTGATCCGGCAATTCCACTACTAGGCATCTACCCAGAGGAAAAGAAGTCATTATACGAAAAAGATACTTGCACATGCCTGTTTATAGCAACACAATTTGCAATTGCAAAAATATGGAACCAGCCCAAATGTCCATCCATCAATGAGTGGATAAAGAAAATGTTATATATCTATATAGATATATAGATATAATGGAGTATTACTCAGCCATATAAAGGAATGAAATAATGGTATTCACAGCAACCTGGATGGAATTGGAGATCATTATTCTAAGTGAATTAACTCAGGAATGGAAAACCAAGAATGTTACAATAAACTTTGGGAACTCGGAGGAAAGGGTGGGAGGAGAGTGAGGGATAAAAGACTACACATTGGGTACAATGTACACTGCTTGGGTGATGGGTGCACCAAAATCTCAGAAATCATCACTAAAGAACTTATTCATGTATTCAAACACCACCTGTTCCCCAAAAACCATTAAAATAAAAAATAATTTTTTTAAGAAACAGTCTGCATGTCACAGATGAGCTCAATATATAGGCTTTTATAAATCTACCAAATCAGGAAAACTTGGATTGACTGAGTCAGTTTTACTGAATTGAGAATTGGTGGCACACAGAACAGCAAATCCAGGTCTTGCCACTTAATCCATCTGAACACTGCTTCCTCCTTTTCCAAAATCCCTTAATGAAAAATCCCTTTTCAGTAAGGGATTTTTCACATTTCAATATCCCTTATGGAATATCGATTCAATATCCCTTGTTGAAATGTGAAAATGCTTTATACATTTCACAGTGCTTTGTACATACACAGTATTAGTACTACCCTTTTTAAAATCATTAAAATTCTTGCTTCACTAATTTTAAAACTTACATTACTCAGACTAACTTCTTGCATACCTCTAGTCTATGCAACTGTGTCAATTTTCCCAGCTAAAGAGACCCATGGCATCATTACTGTCATCAGCCCCACAATCATCATTATTATTACTATTATTGACAAAATGCGATATATTCCTTGTTGCAGCTAGACAGCTTGACATTTCTTCTTCCTTTTCATTTGCTAATAATATGAGAAAGATTAAGTAGATTTTTAACCAAATTTTATGCGATGACATAGGAAAATGAGTTATACTACTTCGTTCAGTCTACCATTTGAAACGAAATATGTGTTGCTTGATTTTTCAAACAAAAAAAAAGTATTCCATAGTTTTCCAGAATTTCAGCAAAATCTGGTTAGTAGAAAGAAATTACAGTGATTTGAATTGCCCTGAATAAGAACTGCAGATTACAGAATGTGTAGTGATTTCTATTAGGAGACGTCATATGCTACCTAAACTTCATGGTACCAACAAGGGTGGGAAAGAGTGGCTGATAAGAGCAAAGGCTACATCTGGCCAAACAAAAGTTCTTCTCCTGTCACTGCAACTTCTGAGAGCAAGCAAATGCTAGATCCAGCTAGGTAGGCCCTTATTCTTATTTATCTAAGCTCTGCAAACAGCCAGACTGAGAAGCACACTTAATGCATGCTTTTAAATTTTTTATTTTTTTATTTTACCTCAAACCATACCCCTAAGGGCTGTGAGCTGCCTTTCTGAGTCTAAGACGGGGCCCTTTGTGAACGTTGCTAAGGACAGTGGTTAGAAATGCCCAGATCGGTCTGACAGGAGCCTGCAGCTGAGTTCCTATCTATGGCTGTTGCTATAACTAAGTGTTACATTGCTGCAGGCCTGCTCAGCACAGCAGGTTGGTTTAATTACTTTTCTTACCAACTGGGTGGAGAAATATTTCATCTGGATTCTCTGTGGAGTGCTTTATTTGGTAATTGGTCTAAGAACAGAGGAGGAAACAAATCTCTTTTTGGCAGGATCTGGGGCCTCAAGGTAGAATCTCTGGGAGTCCTATTTTTAAACAGAGAGGATGCAGGCAAGACATTGGTGAGGCTGTTGGGCCATCTGAGTGGTACGACTGCTCCAGGGGCCTGCATGGGGACATGTAGTAATATATTCAAGGGGGAACGGAGTAATAGCCATCATTGAGGATATAATTGATTTCAGGAGGTGACTAAAGGTCATAGGAGACAAGACCACTAAACTAGAACCTTGGACTCGAAAAGAAGAAATGTGACTGAAAATAGTGAGAATAATGTTTCTGTGTGGTTCATGCACTGGGTTTAAATGTAATTCGAAAGTTGAAGTTTGAAAAATGGTTTGAATACTAAGCACTAAGTAGGCACCCCTCAAAAATGTTATTGTCCTAATCACCCAACAAAGAAAGCATTGTTGGACTAGGTATATAACTTTGCAGGGTCAGTGTTCTAAATAGCAATACTGATATAAATAGATAAATTATGAAAATTTTAGTCTTTAAATTGTTTGCTGACTATAATCTGATTGTCTTCATGCCCAGAGAAAAATAAATAAATATAATAAGAACTATCGGAAAGTACTTTTTAGACCTTCAGGTATGGGCACTATTACATTCTAGTTTTGATCTACAAGTATGAATATTATCAAATAGTTGGTCAATGGTTGTTGATTTGAAATTTTTCATGTAGCATCATTCAGAGGGTATAAGCAGTATAACCAGATCCCAGAAAGGCTTAGTAACAGTACAAGGGAAACAATCCTAGAGGTTTTTATTAATTGAAAGTTCCATATGTGTCAGCAGAGTTTCATGGTTGCCAAAAAAAAGGTAATGAAATCTCAGGCTTCAGAAACTAAAGTAGAGTGTTCATTGTAATGTGGGCCCAGTCATGCTCAAATGCGCACTGATAAGGAAACCTGGACTCTCGTGTTCACTTCTGGACAAACTAAAGCACAGTAGAGTGACTAGGATAGTAAGGGGAACAGAATGCACAGAATATGAAGAACAATTACAGAACTTAAGAAAACTTCACTTGGAGAAGAGAAGTCTTACGGGACATTTGATGATGCACCAATATCTGCAAGGTTAAAGGAAGAAGAGAAATTAGATTTATTGTCTTCCTCCTCTTCAAGAGGAAGAATCAGGACCAATGGATAAATGTTATAAGAAGTAGATTTGAGCCAATATAGAAAGTATTCTGAAAATTAAAGTGGTCCAAAAATGGATTGAGCTTCCTGGTGAGATAAAGAGGGGCCATTACAGGAGGTGTTTAGGTAGAAAATGCATGACTATTTATCAGAACTATTGTGGGAAGGACTCTTGCATCACAAAGAGGATTGGCCTGGAAGATATCTAAGGACATTTTGCAATTCTTATAGTCCTTGATTCTAAGTATTATCTGTGATTCCTAATGCACTTGCTGTATGGACACATATGCTTTGCACAGGTAGATTTATCCAAATTCATTAAAAATAGTGTGACCCTGCCACTGGGAGAAAAATAATAATCTGTTACTTACTTCCTGAACTAACTGCTATTTACCACCTATCATTATGAAACTTTCTTGTGGGTTTTCAGTTCAGTCTTAGTACTAAATAGGAAGTAACTGAAATATTAGTTGAGTTGGATATTTAGAGGTTATTGGCAAACACTTACTGTGCACATATTACATGTTCAGCACTGCATCCACCCGACACATGCAAAAATGAATAAGGCATAGTCTCCACTCACAAGACGCTCATAGTCTAAAAGGTCAACTCACACCTAAAGAGAAATATAAGATACTCAGTAGCAAGCCAGAAGCCACAGAGTCTAGAAAAGTGGGTCTTAGTCCCACCTAGTTTAAGGGAAGACTTTCAGGACAGAATGATAGTTTATCCAGTAAGAGTTGGCCAAATAAAAATAGGAAGGGTATTCCAGAGAGAAGGATCTTTGTGAAGTGCAGAGCAGCAGAGTATGAAGGAACCACTAGAGTATAATGCATCAGGTGTCAAGCAGGGAGGGTGGAAAATAAGACTTCGGACAGAGAGAGAAGGCAATGTACAAAGGGCTCATACACTATTGCTTAGGAGTTTGTGGAGCAGCACAAGACTGCAGTCAGAAAAATAACAAAGTTAGATCTGCATTTTAGGTGGAATAATCCAGCTAGAATGCCAAAGACGGTAACTGAAAATTTGTAAATAATTTGGTGCAGTTTGAAGTTTTGTTCACATGTATTGTCAAAAGTTTGGTTTTTTTTAATTCCACACAAATTAAATCCTTTGTTAAGCACACATGCCTTCTAAATGAAACACATTTACAAGAAAAGCAACTCCTCATGTTGGCCTTTCTGTAATCTACAGCTCTCTCTACTTCCTACTTCATCCATTTCTCCCAGGAATTGGAAGGTTGAATCAGAAACAGCTCTTTCTTATTCATCTTTTTCAGAAATACATTTGGAAACTGCCATTCATCATCCTCAACCTAGAAAACAAAAAGATAGAAGCAGAAACCTGTCCTTCAAGAAACAAATGTGCAGGAGGGAATTTTTTTTTTTTTTTTTTTTTACTGATAAAAAGCTACCTCTAGTTTTTTCAAAATGTTCATATCACCCTGGGCTGGCAGGGAAGGAGAAACCTAAAATCTGAGTTACTGTTAAGAGACAATTGTTCCCAAAGCTGATAATTTTTTTTTAAGCCAGAGCAAGATAATGATGTTGTCATGCAACTTAAAGATCAACTCTGTACATCACTGAGACAAAACTTGCTCTTCCTGTCAAGGTCCTCCATGGAAAACAACAGAAGTAAGACTCGTGCTGTCTCTATCTCATTTCCTTGGAATGAAAGTCGTCTTTTGTTTAGCATACGCACTGCAACTCTATTATCCTCCTGCTTCCATCCTTGACTATACAATATTGGTGACAGTCCATTTTCCGGCACCTGTTATAAAACAGATGCATTCCCCCCACCATTTAATTCAGTTAATGTTCCTAACAGTTTTGTGCAAAGTATCTCAGTCAGGTTCTCCACACGAAGTTTCTCAAAAGTGTACACATGTGAATAACACTAAACTAACTTCTACTTCCATATAATTCTGTCACAAGGTCACACAAAAAAACTAAACAGAAAAAAAAAATCCAGCTTCTGGGAGGGCTGCAGTTTTGCAATCATTTGCAAATAGTCCATAAGTCTCATCAGAGCTTGCTTCACTGTTAAATCAGGTCAAACAAGAAGAAAACTATGACGGTAGCAGGGCTGTTCAATAAGGGCAGATTCTTCATCCTCCTTTTGTATCTCTAATCCCCAAACTCTATTATTTCCACACAAAGGTTTAATAATTTGGAGCTATGGGAAGTCCTAAAATTTTGCTACTACATCTATCCAACATAGTCTAAGAACCTGCCTTTTGGAATCTCTTACACTAAAGGGCACTTTTCATCATAAACAGATCTTCCACTTAAGGTGACAAAATTTCACATGAATTCTCCCAGGCACAGGAAGAAATCTGCAATCTAGGGAGTAAGCACAGGCAGGACGTGCGGGAGAGCTGGACACAGCCCTGGCCCTGTCATGAGCTTAGCTGTGTGAACATGGACAACTCAGTCTCCTGAGTCCTCAGTGCCTTCACCCGTACCAAGGAGATTTGGACAAGCCACCTTTAACGCCATGCCCAGGCTTAGAATCCCATTAGGGCAATGACACGTGTTCTTGCCTGAGAAAATCTGTCTCAAGTTATAGGAAAAATGGAGGAAAACAGAAAAGACATTTTAAAAAATAAGAAGATAAGCAACCAGTAGAGGCAGATGACATCAGATAGGGTATCACCAAAGAAAGCAGAAATATGCTTAAACATTGTATGAGAAGCAAACAAGTGAGGAGTAGAGAAGACAGCAAATGAAAAGTGAGGATGAGTGACACTGAGAGAAGGGTGAGAAGAGCCACACAGAAGGAAGATAACTAGCCCTGCAGGCTGTTTGCTGGCAAGCCTGGCATGGGCATGGCAAAGAGGAGAACAAAGCCAGAGGCTCACTGGACATCTGTCTTCACCTTCATCTCCCCCAGACAAAACAGCAACTAGAGGACTCCTCTCTCAAGAAGTGCAGTCAACCTCCTGGGAAGAATTAAGGCTGCTTAGGAGACAATGACACTCCAGTGGCCCTCCTCATTCAAGAATGCCAAGGCCCCTCTTTGTCTAAAGGCTGACTCCCTACCAGCTTCCCATAGAGTGAAGCCTGACAATCAACATATTCCACCCTCAAACACAGAGCTCAAGTCAGCCTTCCTTTTATAGCAGATACCCAGAAGGAAGACCATCTAAGCAGAGCAAAATGGCAATGCCTACATACATCATCATAACAATTTTGCACAGAGAATATACAGAGTGTTTACCCTCTATGCAATTTTTATGAGAAAATTACTTGAGGATTTACTCCAGAAAAATGACAGCTAAACACAAAGAGTGAAATTCAAAAAAAAATAAAAAAAAAAGAATGAAACTCAACCAAGTGTCCAATAAAAAGAAATTCTAGGATGATATCTGTGTGTGAGGCTGAGAAAGCAATTGGTCCAACTGGAACAGGATGTCAGCACATTCCATGTATGGTATGTCCAAGAAAAAACTTACAGCTTCCAAGCAATGTACAAATGTACAGAATGACAATGATGCTTGTTATTAGTGACATGGTAAAAAGAAAAAAAAGAAAAAAAGAAAAAAAAAAGAGAGAGAGAAAGAAGTGTCCTATCTCAATAACGAATTCACATTTAGAACCTCCAAGAAAAACACTATCTTAAAAAAATCATGGCCCAAATACGAAACAAACTAAAATACTAAAATACTGCGTGATTTTGAATAGTTTATAAATTATAAGAAAATAAAAAGCATTTATCCTTTTGACCTGTATAGTGAGCATAGTGTCTCTTGAGGGTCAAGAGCTTGTGATGCTAGACATAAAGAGAAGAAAACATAACCTTAGCTTGTGGAAATACAATCTTAGAAAATATAATTTTTGGCTGTGAAATGGCAACATGTTATTCTCACGCATAATAATAAAATAGCTTTTAGCTTTAGAATCCATCTACTATACAAGATTTTAAATTGTTATAGAACAAAATGTCAATGTTAACAACTTTGATAATTAAAGAAATGAAAGTTCATAGTCAGAAGATGGGAGGCGGGATAATATGGAAGAGTTAGAAGGAAGGATAAGAATATGGATGGTCTCATCTAACATGGTGAGGAGTCAAGAGACCATCTCTAAAGTTGATTGCACAAAATTTGAGGTTTACAGGTATATTTTTTAAAGAAACACTGAAAAATTAAAATAATGATTACCAAAATTTGGAAGAGAGGGGACAGACGGGTGTTGTGTAAGTAGCTTAAGCTTCTACTCATGGCAGGGAGTCAATAAAAAGTGTTTTAAATTGATCAATCAACACAAAGAAGGAAACAATGGACAGTGGGGTCTGTTAAGGGTGGAGGGTGGGAGGAGTAAGAGGGGCAAAAGAGATCACTGTTAGGTACTGAGCATAATACCTGAGTGATGAAATGATCTGTACAACCAACCCCCGTGACATGAGTTTACCTATGTAACAAACGTTCACATGTACCCTCGAACCTAAATAAAAGTTAAGAAAAAAAGGAAAGAAATTGATGACTCAAGAAACAAATGTCACTATTGGTGAAAGAATACAAAGTTACAGTTGTGTAGGATGAGTAAGTCTAGACATGTCATGTACAGAATGGTGACAATATTGTATTGCGTACTGGGAATTAGCTAATATAGTAGATTTCAATTGCTCTCACCACAAGACAAAAAAGGAACAATGTGAGGTGGTGGATAATCAATTATTTTGACTACAGTAATCACTTTACTATGTATATCAAAACATCATGTTGTACACTTTAAATATATACAATTTTTATGAAAAAAAAGGGAAGAAAAGTAGAAAGAAAAAAATGAGATCCAGTCTGGGAGATAAAGCTGGAAGACACAAGGTATTATAAGCCTTCCAGAAGCTTTACAATGTGTTTAAGTGTTAGTGCTATATAAACCTAGGAGTATGATTTGTAACCATTTATCAATGAGAAATAAAAGTATATATCACAATTGTAAAAAAGAAAGAAGTCATTGAAGAAAGAAATCGCTTACATTATCACACAATCAAGAAACCAGAGGTCATACCATAAATTTCAAACAGATGGAATATAATACAAGGACTTAGTTACAAGGGTGTTTGAAAGGTCAGAAATCGGGAGAGTGAACGTTGCTTTAAATATGTAGGAATTGCAAATGAGTGACCTGCTGGTCAGGATTTGAAAGAAGGAAGAATAGAATGGTGAAGTCAGAGGAGGAGCACTGGGGTAAAATGGTAAGTTCAGTTGGGGGTGTAATTAAATAATCACAAGAGGCAATGAATAATTGTCAATTAAGTGCTAAAAACTAGAGCCAGCGCTTGCCAAGCCCTTGAGCCTTTGGACACATACGTCATTCTGTTTTCTGACATTGTCTTCTCGAAATGAACGGAAAGAGGGAAAAGGAACTGGGTTCTGAAATGGAGACAGTGAGAGTGGGAGGTTAGCTTGAAGCAGTGTAGCAAGCACTGAATCAGTGCACATGGAGAAATTGATCCCATCTGATCCCAGTGGCACTAACATCCCTTTTGGCCCCGGGGCATGTACTTGGTGATGCAGGTGTTTCTGTGGTTCACGGTTTTATTGCCTTTCCTTGGTTCTGTCCCACCTTCTTCAGCAAATTGGAGGGGTAGGTTCTGAAGCTTCCACTTTCGCTGAAACTACAAATCACTCCTACTAAAGTGCTCCACTCCCACCCCCTACAGGGCACACAACAAAGCCTGGTGCCTTGACAGCAAAGTGAAGGAGAGGTGGAACTTCATGGAAATGCCCTGGAGTGAAACCTGTTGGAGACTTCATCCACTGAGTTCAGGATGTTTGTTTGACTTGAGATGTCCCACCATTCCTCTTTGAACATCATTTAAATGGATGTCATAGTTCACAAAAACAGTGAACATGCTTGAGCTACAGCTAATACTTTAAAGCCCTACCAAAACTACATTTACCCAGAATATCATTTAGGTCTCAACTCAGAAGTCAACTCCTCAGAGAGACCTGTTCAGACCACCAAGCTAAAACCACCTCCAGTCACCCTCTACCACATCACCCTATTTAACCTTCTCTTTAGCGTTTGTCTATGCATGCAATTTTCTCACTCATCTATATGCTTGCTAGTTTATTACTTCTGTTTTGCTGGCTTATGGTCTGTCTCTCCTCACCAGAATGTAGGTTATACAAGGTCAGGGATGCTATTATATTCTCTGCTCTATCCCCAGACTCTAGAACAGTGTTCAGCATTTAGTAGGTCCAAAGTAAATATTTGTTGACTCTCAAATGTTTGCTGCATCTTTTCATGACTTATGTTCTGGTTGGAGTTTTTAAAAATTAGAGAACAGGCTGGGCACGGTGGCTCATGCCTCTAATCCCAGCACTCTGGGAGGCTGAGGTGGGCGGATCACCTGAGGTCAGGAGTTTGAGACCAGCCTGGCCAACATGGTGAAACCTCATCTCTACTAAAAATACTAAAATTAGCCAAGTGTGGTGGCGCATGCCTGTGGTCCCAGCTACTCGGGAGGTTGAGGCAGAAGAATCGCTCGAACTTCAGAGGCGGAAGTCGCAGTGAGCCAAGATCACACCACTGCACTCCAGCCTGGGTGACAGAGCAACAAGACTCCATCTCAAAAAAAAAAAAAAAAGGAAAAAGAAAAAAGAAAAAGTAGGTATCATATGGACATTAAAATTAAATAAAATCAGAATTGGAGACAACTGTGACCAAGAAACCACCTTTGCAAAAATTGTAACTGAGAAAATAACAGTGAACGCTATCTAACCTAACTGACTCCATCTTGTTTCTAACCTCCAAGCTGTCCTTGTTCATTTTTGTGTGTAGGCTGAACTAACTTTGGGAGGAACTTCGTTTATAGTTGAACTTTGAAAAACAGGGTAACAGCCCTTTCCCAAAACAAACCCCCTTCCTGCCTGGGGACTAGACTGCCTTTGTGGGACTAATAAAGTAGCCACAAGATTAGAAATTATGGCTTTGGAGTCATGCAGCTGGAGGCTGCAAGATTCTAAACCTCCCCAGATTGCTCCTGGGAATAACATCACTACTGTAAAACCTAAAATCAGTGCTTGAGATATTTTGCAGACCCTGTATTTGATGGATCAGCTGGCACCACCCAGATCAATAAACCGGCTCAGCTGGTCTTGCCGCCCCAACCCAGGAACAAACTCAAGAGGACAGCTTCGACTCCCTGTGACTTCATCTCCGATCCGATCAATCAGCACTCCCTACTTTCTGACCCCCTAGACACCAAATTACCCTTAAAAACCCCAATCCTCACGTTTTTTGGAAGACTGATTTGAGTAATAATAGAACTCCAGTCTCTTGTACAGCCGGCTCTGTGTGAATTAAACTCTTTCTCTACTGCAATTCCCCTGTCTTGATAAATTGGCTCTGTCTAGGCAGCAGGCAAGGAGAACAGATTGGGCAGTTACAACCACAGGAGAGTAAAACAAATAGTTCCATCAGGGTGAATTCTTGAGTGAACTTTCTTAGAAAACACTTGTTAACAGCTTTAAAAGATAGTTTATTGGAAGATAGTTTATTGGAAAATATGCAGCAGGAAAATTAATGTGAAATAGACTCTTCCAGCAGCTGCTAGCATGCAGACGGAGTCCCCAGATATAGTGCACAGGTAAATCACACTACGGAACACATAACTCCTCCTCAGAATTGGTTACATAATTTGTGGTGCCTAGTGCAAAATTAAAATGCAGGATCCCTTGTTCAAAAGGAATTACGGATTTCAAGGTGACAAGAGCAGAGCATTAAAACAACTACAGGACCCTTCTAACTGTAGGCACAGTCACACGCCCACGAGGCCAGCCCTGCTCTTTCTTCATCTACAACAGGAAAATGGGCCTGGCAGGGTGG
The DNA here is from genome assembly GCF_000001405.40 of Homo sapiens. Classification (NCBI taxonomy): domain Eukaryota; kingdom Metazoa; phylum Chordata; class Mammalia; order Primates; family Hominidae; genus Homo; species Homo sapiens. The sequence goes on along the minus strand of NC_000013.11, from coordinate 50,277,382 downwards.
TGTGGACGTTAGCCCAAGGGCAATTCTCAGAGATTGCGTGTGGCTGGGAGAACAGAGGTTCCCTAGCCCATCAGTGACTCAGCATGTATGTCTGGGTGGTGGGGGAGGCATGTGTGTGCCTGCATGTCTGTGTGGGTGTCTGTGTGTGTCTTGGTGTCTGTGTGTATGTCTGTTTGAACATGTATGTCTCTGTGTGCATCTTTATGTATTTCTGTTGTAGACGTATGTCTGTGTGGTGTGTCTGTGTGTGTATCTCTGTATGTTTGTGTACACAAGCACTTGTGCAAGCAAGTACCTCCATTCTATTACCTAGCCACATGCAATGGTCACCGAGGAATGAAAAGGAGACACAAACTCTTGATAAGAAGAGAGAAGTCCAGAGGAGAGTGTGTGACCTCGCTAGTGAGGGACAGAAAAGGAAAAGCTGGAAGAAACCAGGAAGACCCCAGCCACCTCCAATAGCAAGAAGATGTGTCACAGAAGAAGGGAAAGCTGCCATCAAACTAGAATGAAATAATTTGAATCTACTTTCTAATTTGCCCCAAAGTCAGTTTTGTTTCAAGAACACAGGACAGAACCAGGCAGCCGAGCTCTTCGAGGCCTTACATACACAAATTTTAAGATCCTGCAAACTCATAGAACCTGTACTGGAGGACAAAGGGGTCCCAGGGCCCCCTGGGGTGTCTTGATTACTCCTGTAGGGGAAGTTCACATTTAGATTGATATTGAATTTTCAAGTAGTACAAATTAAAACCAGTCCAACTCAGTAAGTCCCCTCTGAAATTCTTGAGCCAGGTAGGATTGGAATCTTTATAAGCATATGATTGACTGATAGCTAGTCCAGTAGCATTGACTTACAACTACAGTCACACACTGCATAACAACGTTTTGGTCGGGGACAGCCCACATACAGAGAGAGGGTGGTCCCATGAGACTATAATAGAGGTTAAAAATTCCTATTGCCTAGTGACATCTTCAGTGTCTTCACTAATGTGAAAACAAGAAAAAGCCTCAGGCAGGTCCTTCAGGAGATATTCTAGAAGAAAGCCTTGTTATCATAGGAGATGACAGCCCCATGCCTTTTATTGCCTCAGTGCTTTCCAGGGGCACAAGATGTGGCAGTGGAAAACAGTGATATTGATTATCCTGACCCTGTGGAGGCCTAGGCTAATGTGTGTGTTTGTGTCTTAGTTTGTACAAAAAATTGTTTAAAAAGTAAATAAAAATTCAAAATTTTAAAAATAGAAAAAACTTATAGAATAAGGGTATAAATAAAGAAAATATTTTTGTATAGCTGTATAGTGTGTTTGTGTTTTAAACTAGGTGTTATTACAAAAGAGTAAAAAGTATAAAGAATTTAGAAGTTTGTAAAGTGAAAAAGTTACAGAAGGCTAAGGTTAATCTATTACTGAAGAAAAATATTTTTATAAATGTAGTGTAGCCTAAGTGTAGGTGTTTCTAAAGTCTACAGTAGTGAACAATCATTACTAGGCCTTCACTTTCACTCCCCACTCATTCACTGACTCAGCCAGAGCAACTTCCAGCCCTGCAAACTCCATTCATAAGTGCCTTATACAAGCATGCCATTTTTTATCTTTTATATCATATTTTACTGTACCTTTTCTATGTTTAGATATGTTTAGATACACAAATACTTAACCATTGTGTTACAGTTGCCTGCAGTATTCAGTACAGTAATATGCTATAAAAGTGTGCAGCCTAGGAACAATAGGCTATTGCATACAGCCTAGGTGTGTGGTAGGCTATGCCATCTAGCTTTGGTAAATACACGCTCTGATGTTCACACAATGATGACATCACCTAAGAACATGTTTCTCAGAACATATGCCAGTCATTAAGCAACACATGACTGTAGTTATAAACAAGTAAAACCAGGGTGTTAATTAATCATTTATCAACCAGCAAAAAAGTCTTTCACAAAGTACTACAGGGGTCTGTCCTTAAATCTGTTCTAGTTAGTAATTCAAGTTAATAATTTAGACAAAAATATAGAAAACACATTTATCAGATCCACAGATGACCCTAAAGTGGGCAGGATAACTAATATGATAGAATATAGAATCAAGATTCAAATGTATCATCACCAGTGAAATGCTAGATAAAACTAACAGAATTAAATTTAACTGGGTCATTGTGAAGACCTTTTCAGGTCCCAAAAAGTACATGGCAAAGTCATAAAATATGAACAGCAGTTCAATTTGAATAATCCAGAAATTCTAATTAGTCAGAAGCTTACTACAATGCAGTAATATGGCATGCCTATTTAAAAAAAAGAGGGGGTGTGATGGTGAGACTACATTAATAAATAAACTCACAAAAGCCCAAATCATAGAAAATAATAATCCCACTTTGTCTTCATTAATGATACCCAAGCAGCTTGCAATACTGATGTGGTCCAGTGGGATGACTTTAAAGATGGCAACGCAGCACCTAGAGAGGTAAAAAAAACCACCTTCAGCTGCAAGGATTGTAGTACAATGCCAGGACTAGGACCCAGTGGTATGTAGACCATTAATTTTTCCCACTAGATGACAGCTCCTCCAAGCTATGTTTGGCATTGTCTTACCTGGACTAGGATGTATTTGGGAACATAATTTGTATTCACAAATAGTCTCCAGCAGGTTGACCAATATAGAGAAGAATGGCATTAGAAAATCCAAATGGGTTTTTAGGATGCTATAATTTCTACAGTACTCCAATCTTCCTATGAGGAATCATGGAGCTCATGCTATGTGTCTATCAGCAGGCTGGGTGCTGGAACTAATGAACAAGAGAGCTCATGCCCTCAGGTCACTCAGGTCAAAGATGGCAGTAATTGAATTCTTATTACCCAACATGATATGTAACAGTTGTAATTAGAAAGCACAAAACCAGTAAAAAGAAGAGAACTATTAAGTCTAAGATAGCCAAGGAAGGCTTGAGAGAGGAAAAGATATTCTACTTAATATTTATATCATATTCTGATTGCTTCTTTTGTTACGTCAGCAAATTGATTAGCACTTAACTTTTGGGGAGACAGCATGAAAAGAAACAAGATCTTGCCCAGGTTGATTTCCAATTTAGCCAGTGTACTAGCTAAATTTGATACAAAGAGGGGAGAACCATATATAAGATTGAGAGACTCTTTTATTTTTTGGGTCTGGGTCTCACTATGTTGCCCAGGCTGGTGCAATCTCAGCTCACTAGAGTCTCCATGTCTTGGGCTCAAGAGATCCTCTCACCTCAGCCTCCCAAGTAGCTGGGACTACAGGTGCACACCACCATGCTCAGCTAATTTTTAAAAAATTTTTATAAAGACAAGGTCTCAATATATTGTTCATGCTGGTCTCGAACTCCTGGGCTCAAGTGATCCGTCCAGCTTGGCCTCCCAAAGTGCTGGGATTACAGATGTGAGCCACCATGGCCAACTTCACAGACTCTTTTAAAATAAATCTCACATAATAAATATATGCAGTAAGGACTAAACAGCATCCACGCTTCAAACGCAAAGACCTCAACATATGCACTGGCGACATTGTGCATGCCGGGAAAAATGTAAGCTCGAGGAAAGCAATGCTTCACTTTTCACTGGTGTTCTTTCTCCCTTCAAGAACAGAGTGGATGTGGCCTGCAAGCACTGTCTCCACCAGAATAAACTTCACAAAAATGGTCGGCTTTGGTCAGTTATTATTTTGTTCTTTTTCAACTACTAAAACAATACTTTTTTTTTTTTTGAGACAGAGTCTCACTCTGTTGCCAGGCTGGAGTGCAGTGGCGCCATCTCGGCTCACTGCAATCTCCGCCTTTCAGGTTCAAGCGATTCTCCTGCCTCAGCCTCCCAAGTAGCTGGGACTACAGGCGCGTGCCACCACACCTAGCTAATTTTTGTATTTTTAGTAGAGACGAGGTTTCACCATGTTGGCCAGGATGGTCTCAAACTCCTGACCTCGTGATCTGCCCGCCTCGGCCTCCCAAAGTGCTTGGATTACAGGTGTGAGCCACCATGCCCAGCCAACAAAACTTTTTAAAATAGACTTTATCTCACTGGTATTTTCTCAGTGCTATTAAAGTGATTCCCACTGTATTTCAATAGGAATATTAGATGAGTTGCATTATGTGATCTGGTGGTTCTCTCTGCCATGCTTAAGGAACCATGAAGTATCATTTTCATTGTTTGAGAGTATCATTGGAAAGTACTTGTTGTAAGTCACCATTCACTGCCAGTTGGGGAGAGGGGTTTGTATTTTGGAGGCTCTTATTTTCTCATATAGGGCCTGGCATGTAGAAGTTAGAGGCTGCGCTTGGAGAATGACCAGAGATCTCCCTAATACTCAGTGTTAGACCAGAAAGCCTGAGACTGAGAGGGGTCCTCACTCTCAGATTCTCTCCCCTCACTTCCTTGTCTGTTGGAGTCTTAGTCAGCCCTCCACTTTTTCAATAAAACTTCCCTGAAGCCCCGCTTTGAGATGAATTTTTCTTTCTGTTAAGTTCCCACTGTCTCCAGCTGTTATTACCCTATTTCATTTGGCCTTATATTCTAGTAAGGTGCTTGCACGTCTGTCTCCCTCACTTCTTGGGAATAAGAATTGATCTAATGAATGTGTGATTTTTCTCTGTTGGCATGGAACATGGTATTTGACAGTTAGTAAATCTTTGGTAAGTTGAATTCTATGAACTTTCATCTTTGCACGAAATGGCCAGTCTGATAGATGTATTTTCAGTAACACTTACAAAGACCACGTAACCCTCCACTAAACATGGCGCGTGTATATTTGTTATCAGTCTCACAAGTCACAAAGAGCATGGGTCCCTGCATCCGTGCAGCCCACGCTTCTATCCCAGCTCACTGTAGGCAGCTTCTCCTCTCATTTCTCCCTCTGTAATCTTGCAAATGTTCATTGCTTCATCATCACCCACAGACCAATGGCCCCCAAATTCACACCTCTGGCCCTCATCTGCCTTCTCAAGCTCCACAACTGTACTCTCCTAACTATCTATCCAAATACTCATCTGAATAGCTACAGGTAATTCAAACTCACCATGACAACCATTCTCTCTAAAGCATTACCGGTTTCCTGGGATCAGCAAGTGATAACTACTATGTATGACTGAAGGACACTGAATGCTCTCCACCTAGCCTAACTTTTCCACCATAAGAGTTATTCCTTTGATTAAGGTTCAAGATCTACAAAGATTTTTATTGAGTCAACGTGGTATATAAATTAATGCTAGTAGATTTGTTATGTTTCCCCTTCTTAGCAACATAAGACTATAATCTCATGACTTTATTCCAGCCCCTAATGAGAAGGTCGGTGGCAAGTTATAAAAGGAAAAACAACATCTGCTTGACCATACACCTTATCTAAACCCACAGAGGGTCCATTTACCTCCCTGCTAAATTTAAGCTGGGAAACAGCTGGGATCTTCTCTCACAGGTGTAGAATGCAGAGGGAATCACTAGGTGCACCTCCCCTGATACAAAGGCAAATACATATATGTGTGCCCCCCACACTCACACACATGTGCAGGCAAATACAGGCAAAATCTCATGTAAATGAACATTAAGGCCAATGTTATTCAATGGAACCAAAATTGTAACCAGAGAAAACAGCAATAAACCGAAGGCAGAGGTGTTCCTCAGTGGAGGAAGAACAAATACAGGTGAGTCTTTCTCCAAAATGGCAGCCTAGAGCCCCGGGAGAACATGTGGAGGAATGAAGGAGTTGGTTCCCACCAGCCACCCTACACATACACATGTATGTGCACACATCATGTGTGCAAACAGACACACAAACTCTATGGGGCCAGTAGATGAGAGCCTTTAGCACCAGCAGGTGTTACCATCCCTTCTCCCCCTACCTCACCCCTACCTCTGGCCTGGACTCAACACTTACCCCAGGTATCTGGCCTTAAGGCCAAGGAGAGGGTGCCAGACCCTGGGCCCTGCTGGGCATCCCTATTCCAAGACTGGCCTGGATGAAAACAATCCATCTCAAATCACTTCGGGAAATGGGTAGGCTTATGGGAGAAAGTCATACAAAGATTAAAAAACAAAGTAAGTTCCCCCAGAAGTTCAAGTTTTAATTTTTCCATCTAAGTTTCCCTTTTCTCAAGGCAGTTGCCCCTCTATGTCCTTAACCACTGCCCCCCACCCACCACCTTTTCTTCCATCCATGGGCATCTTGACCAACATTTCTTCTCTGCTCTCCCACTGAAAAAAGGAGGGAAAACATTTTGATCCCCTCTTCTCTCTTTCCTCCCAAAATCATGCTTTTAAACAGCCAGATATAACTCAAAAAAGGTGCTGTGTTTCACACCCTTGCACTAACTGCTTGTGGTGTTTTACAATGTGTCCAGAGAATCATCCGGCACACTAGACTGCCTTCAGCATTGCTTTTGGAACTTCTGCTTTTCAAGAAAACTCCTATGAAGACATAAATTATTTTAGTGGTTCCAATCACTTTGATTGCTCAGGCTGACTTGAAATATATTCTGGAAGCTTTACCTTGATGTAAACTGCCTTCATGCTAGCTTTTTACTTTGTTCTTTCCCCAAGTGCTCAGGTGTTCAGGCATAATGTGATCTGAGAAGACTGTTTTGCATGTTGCAGTCTTATCTCCCAGCCTAGGGTTTCACCATGGATCCCATGGGATTTTGCCCTGTAGCTTGGGGACAGACTGAAGGGGGCAGTTAGAGTGCCCCAGATGTAGCCTCAGGGCAGAATCAAAGAAGAGTATTCTAGGACAAACAAAGGTGTCCTGGGCCTCAGCTGGAAGGGTCCCCACTTGTTTGAGTTGAGAGGAGACACTCCTCAAGATGGCAGCTTTGATCTTCAAGAACTTAGAAGGCCAGAATTGTTTTGTTTTGTTTTCCACATCCTCCCTCCCTAGTTGAGAGGGAATAAAATTTATGGAAGTATAACTCAATGTTGTTAGGGAAAGTAAATTTCTATAAATGAAATTATATTTGCCCTTAGCTTTCATTAAGTTACACTCCCATAAAATAAACATCTGTGCATAAGACATATAACTAGATTAAAGAATATGACAAAGCCTTTGAAATCATATATGTAATGAAATGATGCATTTATGATAAAACATTAACAATTATGAAAAGTCTTCATGTCATTCAAATTACCTCTTCAAATTCTAAGTGTCAAAACATTCTTATCAGATGATGATAATCAGAGGTTGAGGGCTGGGGGGGTGAATGGGAAACAAGGAGTTGTTAGTCAAGGAGGACAAAGTTTGAGTTAGACAGGAGGAATAAGTTTTTGAGGTCTATTGCACAGCAGGATGACTATATTCAATGATAATGTATTACATATCCCAAAAGAACTAAGACAGTAAATTTTAAATATCTCTGCACAAAATATGGTAAGTACCTGAGGTGATAGATATGCTAATTAGCTTGATTTAACCATTCCACATTGTATGCATATATCAAAACATCACAATGTACCCCATAAATATATACAATTAAGATTTGTTAATTCAAAATAATATTGAATTTTTTAAAAAAATTCTTATTAGGCAAATTCCATAGAAGGGGAGACACATGTTGGTTAATAACTTTGGAATGTCAGTCTTTATCTCATCCTAATATAAACAGTCCTATTTAAAGCTCTAACACACCTCTAACTGTTTCTTCTGACGAATGTTTAATTTACATGATAGGTGGATCTAAATTGTGTGTTTCATAGGGTTAGGGTTCTTATAGCTCTCCATGTGTTTATTTAGTAGCTTCCATAAATTCTTCATGGAGAAATTCATATCAGTACACACAAACTAAAAAGGCTATTGCCTTGTCTTATTATAACTAAGAATGAGAAGGGTGAAGATTTTCCCAGAGTGAGATGTTTCGTATGCAAGATCTATCAGCCTGTTCTTAAGCTGTAATATTAGCAGCAGTTGGAGATAATTTTTTTTTCAGTTTTAAACCATCAAGTGGAAAATACTAATTGCTAAAGTGTTTTTAATCTGCCACTACCTGTGCTTACAATTCGTTTTTGCAACTAGTGTCCATGGCCAAACCTCTTCCCTCCTCTCCAATAAATAAATGACAAATTTTTTAATTTAATAAGAAACAAATCACAGAAAGAACTGTTAGGGAGCTTTCCTTGTTCATCTCAAACGCCTGTTATAACAAAAAGTTAACCTAAACTCCCAAGCTGTGAGCTGAGGGGAAAAAGGGATGTTGAAAGGCATGTGTTTTATTTACTGCCATTTTGAATGTTTAAAACCTGAGAGTACTAAATGGGAAATTCAGCGCCCGTCTGCCAGGCTGGACCAGCAATCAATCTTAAAGCATTAATCAGGGGAGGCTATGGCAGTGAACGTTATCACCTTGCTGAGAAAGAAATCCCTTTGAAGGCAATGATGACTTGGCAGGCAGGGGTCTTCCCAGAAGTGTGGACTGCAAAGCATCTGGGAACCAAACAAATGACGGCACCCTCTCCAGATGTGCAGAATGGCCGCTTTCTTTGGAAAAAGAAATTTCTAATCTCATTTATTCTCCTCCACCACTATGCATTCCTCCCAAGCCTCCAACCCCTCCAGAAAAATGTTCCTCCCGAGTTCCCAACCCCTCCAAAAAAATGTCCACCAAGTTTCCTCTGCTAACACTTGAGAGCAGAAGTGGGAGTCAACCAAGCTGATAAACCATCAGGCTTAAATATGCTTTTCAGAGAAAATCTTCTTACTCCTTTCCTCTAGGGGGACCCTTATCTAGACTTTTAAGGAATTTGATTTGATTAAAATATGATTAAAGCAAGATAAATCTATGGCAGGCAGCATAGTTTTCTATCACCACAAAATTAATGGTGAAAAAAATTCCAGCCATGTTGTAAATTCATTAGAATAAATTAATAGTTCCATCGATGTACTCAAAATTAAAATGTGGTTGTCATAAATGTAATTAAGTAATTCAGTGGAAAGATTAAATGCTGAAACAATTACCCACATAGTTTAAAGCATTATAAAAATATGAGAAAGAAAAATGGAAGCTGTTATTAATAGAACATGGGGATTTTCATGTCTTTGGCTTTTTTTCTCATTCCCTCGTAATGAAAAGAAAGAGAAAATAATATTTATGAAATGCCTTATATGGGACAATAAGTACTTACTACCTATTATTCCACTTGATTACCATAACAATCTTGCAAGTCCAGTTTACAGATAAGGCAAAGGTCACTGAAGTTTGGAAGTGCCAGGTAATTTGCCCAAGACCACATAGCTGACCAGTGGCCAAGTTAGCATTCCAGTTAAGGTCTGTCCAACTCCAAAATAACATGCTCTTTCATCTGTGCCACTCGGCCTCTCACCTCAACCTTCTGTTCCACATGCTTCTCTGTAGAAGCACAGACTGTAGCCCTAGCCACTCCTGTGCTCCCTTCAATCCTGTTCCAGCCTAGAGTCATCAAGGAAGGTAGATTCCTCTCTCTGGCCCCATGACTATAACCTTGACTTCTATTTAATGTTTAATGTACAAGGGTCAAGGAACAGTAATGTAAAAAATAATGATATTAAAATAAAACAGGAGGCAAGCAATGTGATTGGGCTCTCTCACTCTCAATCTCTCTCTCTCTGTCTCGGAGCCTACAGATATCTAATATAAGTCCCTTGTGGTGAGAAGGTACCAGGAGGGCTGCTAACAGTAAATTGGGAGTGGGTGTGGCAAAATGCAAAAGAAAGAAAACTGCTAAAAAAGACTGGCCATATGTAGCAAATTATAAGTTATCTGGCTGCAAATATAATTTCTGCACCCAGGGCCAGTTGGGGAACACACCTCAGACACACTATAAGAACCCCTGGGTAAGACTCAGTGAAGGTCCCAACAGGGCAACCAAACAAAACCATTCTAAGGTGTGGATCTTCTCCAGGATTGATGCCACTGTGAACAGTGGGTCTAGAGGCTGACAAACTGGTGTTAACAGAGGTAATGATGTTACATATTTTGGGGCTCCCTCATAACAGGCCGTTCAGCTTCGGCCTGTAAAAAGTTAACATCCTGGCATGATCCAAACGTTGGAGATTTCTGAAAATGTACAGAAAGGTTCCATTCACCTAAAGTTATCGTTACTAAAGACCACAAACCAAGAAACAAAGGAACTTCCTGCACTCTCAGTAACAAGACCACCTTATGTAAGAACACACACCATCCACATCCCACCCCCAAGAATGCTTTCTGCAAAAGTGGAAGAAGCTGGGAAGTGTGTGCTGTGGCTTCAAAGTCCCTTCTCCACAAACTGCTTTCTTCGTTATCCTGAAACAGCCTGAAATTCACACATCACACTCCCCTTTGGAATAACACCCCCAAAGGATCCTGTTAGGGTGTAAACTTTATCTTGAAGAATTAAACCAAAAAGCTAATACTATCTATGAACATCACAGGGTCAAAAAGGTTATTGGAATAGCTCTTGTTATTAAAAAAGGAAGAGACCCAGAGATTCCTGGGACTCCAGTAAGAGACCATTACTACCCCGAGAACACACCAGTTCTAGCAAAGCCCTACTGTCTTCATACTAGCGGGGCTCACCAGAGAAAACATAAATCACGTGAAACCCAGCACAACAGCAGATACCACTCTTTATAACCAAACACCTGTTTCCACCACTTACCAGTACCTCTTGTAGTTTTATCTAGTTAACTCCAGACATACACTTCCTTCCTTTCTGCCTTTCTCTCCCAGGTTTGCAGTTAAGTGTCAACAGGGCAGGGGAGGGGGTCGGGCGCGGTGGCTCACGCCTGTAATCCCAGCACTTTGGGAGGCCGAGGTAGGCGGATCAGTTGAAGCCAAGAGTCAAGACCAGCCTGGTCAACATGGTGAAACCTCGTCTCTACTAGAAATACAAAAATTACCTGGGCGGTGGCACACACCTAATCCCAGCTACTCAAGAGGCTGAGGTACGAGAATCACTTGAACCCAGGAGGCAGAAATTGCAGTGAGCTGAGATCGCACCACTGCACACCATCCTGGGTGACAGAATGAGGTGTGTCTCTAAATCAATCAATCAAACAATCAATCAATCAATAAAACAGGAAAGGAGGGAGTGGAACCGGTTCCACTAGGGCTAGCCTCTAAAAGGAAGGGGGCTTTATTCTTAGCATGTATGACAAGGACTTCCCTGTCAGGTGCTCCCGGCACCCTGGCCCCTCAAGCTGCAAAGGTTTCAGAAAATCAAACATGACTTATCTTCTCCAAGTCTGCAGACCTTAGATATATATCCAATACAACACAGGATTTGTTTTGACATTAAGTGATTTTTCAGTAGTGTTTCTGTTAGGTGAAGTGAGCTTTTGCTGAATTTGTGCTTCTGCAGGCTTTCACTATTTTTTGACACATGGATGAAGATACTCCCAAACTTTCACTTCCCTGGAGACTGGGACACCCACAAGGCTCCACCACAGAAACCAAGTCAGCCCAGGCTCTTACCTCCAAGTGGTTTCTGCCCTTTTGAGATTTTATTCTATATTTTAGGGTATCATAACTTGGTAAAATATTTTAAATTCTTTTTTAAATTAGGCAGTGTAAAAGCCATGAAATAAATGATAACTGGGGAGGTTATAAACCACATTTCTCTACAGGTAGAACATGCCACAAGTATGGTGTAGTGAAAGGGGGCTGGGAAGGGAGCCAGGGGGTCAGAGGCCAGGTGACCTCCCGGTGTGGGAGGATCGGCTGGGTGGTGCCGAGACATTCAATCCCTCAGGGCCTGCGTCTTATGCCTCTGTAGTGAAGAGAGGAGTGGGGAGTTCTCTGAGGACTATTCCAGACACCTGGTTCTATAATTGGAAGGATTTATTAAAGGGCATCTTTCTACTTCTTCTCTTCAGAAATCCTTTTCATCTAAGGTATGTGTCTCAAATGAGTAGCAGAGGCAAGACGTGATGACATCAGGAAAGACTGTGCAAGTAGGGCTGTGCAGACGTCAGGAGCACCACAAAACGTCGAGGCAGTTTCTGACTTAAAATCCCAGCACTTTGGGAGGCCAAGGCAGGCAGATCTCGAGGTCAGGAAATCGAGACCATCCTGGCTAATGTGGTGAAACCCCATCTCTACTAAAAACACAAAAAATTAGCTGGGCATGGTGGCGGGCGCCTGTAGTCCCAGCTACTCTGGAGGCTGAGGCAGGAGAATGGCGTGAACCCGGGAGGTGGAGCTTGCAGTGAGCCGAGATCACGCCACTGCACTCCAGCCTGGGCGACAGAGTGAGACTCCGTCTCAAAAATAAATAAATAAATAAATAAATAAATAAATAAATTCTTCACACTGAAATCGAACTGACCATCAGAAAAGGTGCTATGTCCATGCACCTACAATCATCTCCTTTTCTCCCCCTCTTTGCAATCATTGCCCTTAGTACAAGTTGATGGTGGGTGTGCTGCTACATGTGGATACGGCTGATTGGCCTGGTAATGAATGAGCTTGGTGGCTTTGCCCATGCTGGGAAAAATGCTGAAAACACTGAACAACCAAGGCAGGGCTTTAGCCGATCAGATGGACACCCAATCAGCAGCACAGTTGCAGGCTGGGATGCCACATGCCTGGGCCGTACCCCATCTCACATTCCTCTTCCCAGGGGAAGGAGGACACAGAGATATCATTGGGTGGTGCTGGCCCTGGTGACACCAGCACATTTTAGTGACAGAATCTACTTGCAAAAACTGCTATAACCCACAAGACAGTCGACTCGAATAAGGAGACAATATGTTTATAAAATATGGACTGTATCTATTTATCTATCTTCTATTTTAATATTACAAGAACTCATAAAACAAAAACTAGATTCTTAACAATAACCTCTGCCTAATTATATGGTTCCTCGATTCCATTCACTTGGCTCTACCCATGTGAAATAACAGTCATTCTAAATCCTATGTTCAGTACTCCCTTGCTTTTTGTGATGTAAGTTTTATTGCATTTATATTTATTCAAAAAATAATAATATTTTCAGCCAGGCGCGGTGGCTCACGCCTGTAATCCCAGCACTTTGGGAGGCCAAGGTGGGCGGATCACCTGAGGTCAGGAGTTCACAACCAGCCTGGCCAACATGGTGAAACCCCGTCTCTACAAAAAAAAAAAAATACAAAAATTAGCCAGGTGTGGTGGTGCATGCCTGTAATCCCAGTTACTCCGGAGGCTGAGGCAGGAGAATCGCTTGAACCCAGGAGGCAGAGGTTGCAGTGAGCCAAAATGGTACTATTGCACTCCAGCCTGGGCAACAAGAGCGAAACTCCATCTCGAAATAAATAAATAAATAAATAAAATAGTATTTTCATTTTGGTTGGTTTTGACATATAAAACAACGTATGACATATAAAAGTATAGCGTTTTGTGTGTGTTCTTTTGGAACGTCTTTTAGCTTAATATTATATTGCTAAGATTCACCCACATTGTTGTACTTAAAGATCATTTTTAAAGTAATGTATATTTTCTGATAAAAAGAAATGATGCTCATTGGAGAAATTTTGGAAAACACAGAAAATTTCAAGAAAGAAAATAAAATTCTCCATAATCCTGTATTTCTTTTGATCTTTGTCTGTCCAGTGCACACAGTATTTTTTTTCTCACAAAATTGGGATTATGTTGCATAAACAATAAATAAACAAGTAAATAGGTAACTACAAATTTTGATATGTGCAATTAAGAAAATAAACAGTGTAGCTTATTTTCTGTATAATAATAATGGAATCAAAATCATTGAATTGTATATCATAAATGGGTGAATTTTATGATACATAAATTCTATCTCAACAAAGCTGTCTTTACAAAAGAATAATAGGGTGAGAGGACAGAGGACCAACTTAATGTAGACAAGAAAGAGCTCTAGTATGTGTTATATAGAAAGAGAGACTGTGCTGGGCATGGTGGCTCATGCCTGTAATCCCAGCACTTTGGGAGGCCGGGGTGGGTCACCTGAGGTCAGGAGTTCAAGACCAGCCTGGCCAACATGGTGAAGCCCTGTCTCTGCCAAAAAATATAAAAATTAGCCAGGCGTGGTAGCAGGCACTTGTAATCCCAGCTACTCGGGAGGCTGAGGCAGGAGAATTGCTTGAATCCAGGAGGCGGAGTTTGCAGTGAGCTGAGAGCACGCCATTGCACTCCAGCCTGGGCAACAAGAGCAAAACTCTGTCAGAAGAAAGAAAGAAAGAAAGAAAGAAAGAAAGAAAGAAAGAAAGAGAGAGAGAGAGAGAGAGAGAGAAAGAGAGAGATTGGAAGAGGATTTAGCAAGTCAATTAATATATGAAATATATTTGATTCTTTTGTATGCATATTCTTTGGAGACCCTAACGTCTCTTATTAACAATGTGTTATGTTACATCATTTAATATTGGATTTATTTTTTAAAACTCTTTTCCTTAAATATTTTAAGAATTGCCAGGCTAAAACCCTAGAATACTAGCTGTCAACATTTCATAAATCAGCCATATTTGTAACTTGAACACACAATAGAATAATCCTATCTGAATTTTTCTCAGACTTTATACTGAAAAAAATATATTTAGATCCATCTGTTTAGAGTTAGATAAGTTTGAGAAAATTCTTACTACATTCTGATCAATAGAGAAATTAACAGGCATCCTATAATGACAATAAAATAACTTTTGCTATTACAATTAAGTCTATTCGGCCAGGCACGGTGGCTCATGCCTGTAATCCCAGCACTTTGGGAGGCCGAGGTGGGCGGATCACGAGGTCAGGAGATCGAGACCATCCTGGCTAGCACGGTGAAATCTCTTCTCTACTAAAAACACAAAAAAATTAGCCGGGCATGGTGGTGGGCACCTGTAGTCCCAGCTACTCGGGAGGCTGAGGCAGGAAGATGGCATGAACCTGGGAGGCGGAGCTTGCAGTGAGCCAAGATGGCACCACTGCACTCCAGCCTGGGCGACAGAGCAAGATTCCGTCTCAAAAAAAAAAAAAAGTATATTCAAGGGTCCTAAAGGACTTATTTGAAATAATTACCACAGTGTCTCTGTGAAATAGGTAATTCCATAATCATTTACAAGGGATGTCTCTAAACCCTGAGAGGTGGACAATTAGTCAGAGTGGACCACTTGCGCTTGAATATCAGTTTGTTATTACTTGTTTAGAGGTGTCTACACTGTACAAAGTAGAGATTTAGAAAATACTGAGTTAAGCTCATCAATACAGACAGCTCGGTTGGATAATTCAACTTGATTGCCATCTAAAATCTGACCAGTATACGTAGTTTACAGAAAAATTACAGTTGGTGAAGACCAATATAACCATATTAGTCAGTCTCCTTCAATTGCAGGTATAGAATCCAATTAAACCAGCTTTCCAAAAACAGAATTTATTGGACTCTCAAAATTAGAAAGTCCAGGGGCATTCCTCATTTGAGATATTCCTGGGGTACAAAGAATATCATCTGGAATCTGCCTCCTTTCCTCCATCCCTTGGTTCTGCTTTCTCTGTACTAACTTGTTTCTCAAACTCTCTCCCAGGAGTAGCAAAGATGACCAGCAGCAGCTTTAGACATGCTGTCCTTACAGCCAACCAGCCTAGCAAAGAGATGGCACTTTATCCCAGACAGCTCCAGAAAGAGCTCATGGGCAGGCTCAGACAAGCCTGCTGAGTCAGGTGCTGGCTCCTGAGCCATCACTGCCATCAACTCCATGAGCACTTTGATGGTCCAGGCTTGGGTCATGTGCCTGCCTCTGGATCCAAAGGTTGTAGATAGCCCCATCAGAATACCCATACCTGAGAACTGGGAAGTAATGATACCCACAAAGACGTCAGACAGACAAAAATCTTTCCTACCACAATGACTATGTTCCGTGGCTTACTGCTCTGGCAATAAAGACTGTAGCCTTAGGCTATGAAAATTTGTCAAGTCTCATGTTTTAACTACATGGACCCTGATGTTAACCTATGATTAAAATGATTAATTTCAAATCATAGCCAGAAGGGAAGCTTAGGGAAAGCCTGCCTACACGGACCTCCTTGGCTCTGAATTTAGATGAGAGATGTCTAACATTCATCTGAGTGCTGGAGTCTTGACTCCTGGTTTAGCATATGTGTCAGCATATGCACATGCTGGCATCCGCACTGGTGTACCAGCACAACGCCATGACAGCTTCCTGACTCGGGATGCAAAGCTGTGAAATTCAACAAAACAGACTAACATCTTGGAAGCATTCATATTCCTTTGATGTACATATGAAAATATTAAGATGAAACCACTCTAAGTATCTTTTTGGCAACTTCATGTCATACAAAGGACCAAGATTTCTGCAGGCTGGAAGTACTAGAGTTGATCATCATAATTTTTATAAGATTATACAGATTTCTCTAGATATTATTTGTTTTGTTAATATGACATTATATAACCAGCCATCCAAGGTAAAAATTTCCTATCAGCAAGTATGTTTCTCTAAAAAGACAATTCAGAAAATAACTATATTTATAGCTATAGTATTGCATGTGATGCCTCTATCATAGCAAGGTATCTTTTGAAACAAATGTTCTAGAATATCAGAATATCCTCAACCAGTTTCCTACTACTGAGTACCAAAATATGCAATTATATGCAAAGTGAGTGCCTTATAACTAGGATTTTAACAATCACACTAGGGAAAACATGCTTCTATTAATGAGTCAACAGTGTAACACCAGAACCAATTTGAACAGCCCACCTCTGACTCCTCTAGTGAAAGAGAAGGCTATCGTGAGAGAAAAGAATTCTGGTTTGAGCCTGAGCTGTGTCCAGGGTTAGAATTCAGACTTGTAGGGTTATGTCTGAAAGATAAGTGGAGTGACTCAACTAGAATATATTGGGAGGCTGAGGCAGGCAGATCACAAGGTCAGGAAATCGAGACCATCCTGGCTAACACGGTGAAACCCCATTTCTACTAAAAAAAAAAATACAAAAATTAGCCGGGCATGGTGGTGGGCACCTGTAGTCCCAGCTACTCAGGAGGCTGAGGCAGAAGAATGGCGTGAACCTGGGAGGCGGAGCTTGCAGTGAGCCGAGATCGCCTGCACTCCAGCCTGGGTGACAAGAGCAAGACTCCATCTCAAAAAAAAAAAAGAACATATTGGTTTGAGGGACTGAAGTAAGAAGCCAGTTGAAAATGATTCATGCTAAGGTGAAAACATGCGCATGCAACATCAATGTCCCTGTGTTAGAGTGCACAACATAGTGTCAGCCTAGCAAAAAAAAAAAAAAAAAAAAAAAAGTGGAGGGGAACGTCCATGAAATCTCAAAGATTTTCTGTTAAAAATGGTAGACTGGACTCACACTTCAGATTCTTCTCCATCCCAAAACTGTAATGAAATGCCAGTACAGAGATTTGCTTAAAGGCATAAGCCCATAAGGACAAATGTGAAGATGGGAGACGCTACAATAGCAAAAAAAATAATTTTTGGAAGTTAGCTGATGAAAAAGTGGTAACTGACATCACAGTACAAAGAAAGCTAAATCCTTATCTACATCAGGGAAGGCCCAGAAGCAACCCAATTCCTACCTCAGAACCTCAGGTATCTCAGGAAAGAGAGAATAATATTAGGCTAAAATTGGTTTGCTTAAAAGTCTTCAAATTCCTACTCTCCCTACTAGATGACAAAGGTTTATTCTCTAGAGAGGGTAAAAAGAAGGTCTCTGGATTGCAAGACAATAAACACTAATGAGTGTGGATGTATCATATTGAAAACAGGTGGATGAAGTAAAATGCAAGATATTGAGACCCCCAGGCTTATTTTCTCACTCAGCTCCCATAACACTGACAGGCTTCTACCCTCTGGCAGTAGGTTGGAAGAGTCTTCTCTAGGAATCCAACCAGCCCAAGAGAAAAAGAAACTAAAGTTATGAGCATCAGAAATTTATCCAAAAGAATATTCTAGCCAAACCACCCTCAAGTGTATCACATATACACACACAAGGTTTTCAATAGGCTTTCTATGTCCCATTTTAGCATATGAACAGGCAATTAAGGATATAAGATATACGAGGAAAACTTCTATTATGAAAGACAAATACCAAATAAACAAAAAGAAAAAAGCACCTTGGAGGAAACAGAGTGTGTAGGGGGAAAAAAGCTTCAAAAAATCTATCAGTAATAACTTCAGAGAGATAAAGGAGAATATTGCACTTATGGGGAAAAAAGAAAAGGAAGAAGAAAAACCAGATGGAGAATGGGAGAGAAAACCTAAGAAAACTGGAGAATCAGTCTAGGAAGTTCAATATACATATAATCTAGAGGAAAAAAAAAAAAAACAAGAAAAAATTATCAGCAACATAATTCAAGAAAATTTCCTGAAAATGAAAGACAGGAGTTTCCTCATCAAAAGAGCCCACTGAGTGTCCAGTACAATGGCTGAAAGCATACACACACCAATATATACATAATTGTGAAGATTTCCAATATTGAGGATCCTGAAAACATAGAGAAACAAAAATTTTCATAAAAAGGAGTAGTCAAAAGGACAATAAACTTCTCAACAGAGAAACCAGAGGCAAGAAAACAATGAAGCATTCACTTTACAATTGACAGAAAACAATTTCTAGCCTTGAATTTTATACTTTGAGAGGTTTACATGAAAAATATCTCAAAACATTTTTTTCTCCCATGCACTCTTTCTTCAAAAGCTACCAGAAGGTGTGCTCTGGCAAAACAAGGGAACAAAGCAAGAAAGAGAAAACATGAGCTCTAGATAACAAGTTACCCCATACAAGAGAAGGAATCTCCAAAACGGTGATAAATGAAGATTTATAAGGAAACAGCTATGCAGTAGACCCTGCTCAGCCTGGAGCTGGTCTTAGGTTCCAGAAGATACTTCTTCAAGAAAATGAATTGAGAGAATATTTAACTTTTGTGAGCATAAGGAAAGAAGGTTTATAAAACTAGTGTATTCTTGGAAGACAATTTGATTAAATTGGTCAAAGTTAGTGCTCAATATTTTAGGTAAATGAATAAATGGTCCAACTATATTAGTAGAATAGGGGTATGAGAAATGAGTGTCTACATAGTGAAAGCAAAAAAGATAAAAGAAATCTAAATTTATTACTTAAAAGGCAGAAATCTTACCAGCTATTTGAATAGAGATCTTTTCACATTAAAAATGTGTCAACTAGGCACAAAGCTGAGTTTGTAAAGCTAGGGTAAAAAGAGAACTCTTAGGCATCAAGGAGGTAGGTCTATGTGAACAAAGGAAACTTTTGGAGGAGACCTGTGACCGTTTGTTGCTGGGGTCTCCAAACGTGGAAGAGAGGCCCCATGGGGCTGAAACCCAGAGCTCTAAGGAGGTGGTGCTGCTCAGCTAGTGCTCTATGGGGATGCCATGAAGCCAGACCCACAAGTTTAGGAAGAACTACAAACTGGATTCAGCTGCTGCAAGAGCAAGGAACTGCCATCACCACAATATAGAAGGATTACTAGACTAATGCCCAGAAGAATAGCAAGTGGCTAGGAGGAAGCAAGTCCTTCTTTCCCTCTAGGCTTGCAGGCTCCCCCCAGTCCCCTCTATATGCAGAACCTGACATAGGCACGGCAGGCAAAGCTGAAATTGAGTGTGCAGTATCCCGATACCAGCATCCAAAACAGAATATAAACCACTGAAAACTGGGTTCTTTGTCATCACAGCAGAACCCAGCAGACACTTAAAACCAACCTGTGGTATTAGAAGTGAGGGTAAAAGTTACTTTTGATGAGTTAATGATAAGAAGGAGGTTTGCAGGAGGCCTCCTGGGGCTCTGGCGATGGTCTCTTTCTTGATCTAGGTGCTGGTTTAAATGAATGGAGGCTTGCCTTTGACATGCTACTACTTCCCATTTCTATCTCCTATGCTTCATGCTGATTTTTATACTCCACTCTCAAAAATATATCCTCTACATCATTCCATGAATGTCTCTCTTTTAGCCATTTATTAGAAAACTCCTAGTTCCCTTAGAAAGCCACCATTCTCAAGGAGACATTTGAATTTTTTTATTATACTTTAAGTTCTAGGGTACATGTGCACAACATGCAGGTTTGTTATATAGGTATACATGTGCCATGTTGGTTTGCTGCACCCATCAACTCGTCATTTACATTAGGTATTTCTCCTAATGCTATCCCTCCCCCAGGCTCCCACCCCTTGACAGGCCCTGGTGTGTGATGTTCCGCACCCTGTGTCCAAGTGTTCTCATTGTTCAATTCCCACCTATGAGTAAGAACATGTGGTGTTTGGTTTTCTGTCCTTGTGATAGTTTGCTGAGAATGATGGATTCTAGCGTCATCCATGTCCCTGCAAAGGACATGAACTCATCCTTTTTTATGGCTGCATAGTATTCCATGGTGTATATGTGCCACATTTTCTTAATTCAGTCTATTATTGATGGATATTTGGGTTGATTCCAAGTCTTTCCTATTGTGAATAGTGTCGCAATAAACATACGTGTGCATGTGTCTTCATAGTAGCATAATTTATACTCCTTTGGGTATACACCCAGTAATGGGATTGCTGGGTCAAATGGTATTTCTAGTTCTAGATCCTTGAGGAGTCGCCACACTGTCTTCCACAATGGTTGAACTAGTTTACACACCCATCAACAGTGTAAAAACGTTCCTATTTCTCCACATCCTCTGCAGCATCTGTTGTTTCCTGACTTTTTAATGATCACCATTCTGACTGGTGTGAGATGGTATCTCATTGTGGTTTTGATTTGCATTTCTCTGATGACTAGTGATGAAGAGCATTTTTTCATGTGTCTGTTGGCTGCATAAATGTCTTCTTTTGAGAAGTGTCTGTTCATATTCTTCACCTACTTTTTGATGGGGTTGTTTGATTTTTTCTTGTAAATTTGTTTAAGTTCTTTGTAGATTCTGGATATTAGCCCTTTGTCAGATGGGTAGATTGCAAAAATGTTCTCCCATTCTGTAGGTTGCCTGTTCAGTCTGATGGTAGTTTCTTTTGCCATGCAGAAGCTCTTTAGTTTAATTGGATCCCATTTGTCAATTTTGGCTTTTGTTACGATTGCTTTTGGTGTTTTAGTCATGAAGTCCTTGCCCAGACATTTGAATTTTTAAAAGGAAATCCTTGATTAGAGCAAAGGGGTATGTGTGTGTGTGTGTGTGTGTGTGTGCATAAGACAAGAGAGATTTAAACATGGATGAAGGCAGGTGATGTTGATAGGTACACCTGCATTCTACAACAGAATTTAGAAGGAGAAAATGGCTGTCAAAGAAATTATAGCAAATGAATAATGTATAATTCAATATGTAGTCAGGTCTACTCACACAGACAGCTCCAAGACTAGTGCAAACACCATGAATAAATATATTCAACATCAATAAAGCCAAGCTGAGTTTGAAAAGGAGCTTGGAAAATCAAAGTCCTGTTGTTTGGGATAAATTTTCTTTAGTGAGTTGAAAGCCAGCCTTGGATGCAGTGCATACAGAAAACAGATAGCTCAAGCTATGACCACTGGCTCACATTTGCCACTTCAAGCCTCCTACAAGAAACATAACAGTGAGCAAAGGAAAACCATAGGGCTGGGTTTATTTTTTTCACCTGTAGTTCTTTCATTTTGGTGAGATATTCTTTCCTTTAACTTGACCACACAAGTAACATGTGGTTTTGTTTATGATGTTGTGAAAGGAAAGAAAATCAGAGCAGAGGTGCAAGGCCAATGGCAGTGGCATTATGAGATGCTGCTGTCCTTTATTGACATGAAGTCAAGTCCCCAAGAACACATGCACAACATCAAAAACATAGTATCCAAACGCTCCATAAATAGAACATTTTTCTTTTAATATTTAATATGTCTTTTCCAAGTTGTCTGTAATCAGCCAGTATCACTTTTATAATCAGAAAAACATAATAAATCTTTAAAATATTGAATAGGCCTTCTCTCTTTTCTTCTACAACTTCTCAATTCTATGCAGGCAACATTGCTTTTAAAAAACTCTTGATAGTTCTAACTGTGCAGGTCAGTGAATTATTTGCAGTAGCTGAGAGAGCTCAAACAGCTGTGACTGTTTAGAGGTATCATTGGGACTTCATTCCCAAAGTATCACAGCAGCAGTGACCTGCAATAGTTCACAGATTTAGCAGACCAGTTTCCTGCCCCAAAACTCCTACAGTGCTTGACATCTGACCATTCAAAGAAAGAATACAAGAGGAGTACATTGTAAAAGTGACACTGAAAACATGAATAAAACAAAAAAAAATTATAAAAAAGGACTACTGATAGCAGTGGTACTTTCCTGAAAGAATACTTGTTCTTGAGAGATCTCCAACTTCAAATAGAGAACACAGGTAGGAACACATAGCAGATGTTTCTATCTACTAGTGGATGTTCCTATTAGATGTTCCTATCCAACACAAAATAGATGGGAATGTTCAGAGACTAAAAAACGAATACATATTTTTTTCAGTTATCATCATTCTATTAAGCAATTGTCAACAAGTTTCCTTCAAGACAAGACATATCTCTTTCTCTTTAGTTTCCCAGTTGCTCCCAAAGAGTAAGAAGGTGTTCCACCCCACAGCTTTTCCAAACACTAATTTTTTTTTTTTTTTTTTTTTTGAGACAGAGTTTCACTCTTGTTGCCCAGGCTGGAGTGCAATGGCACAATCTCGGCTCACCGCAACTTCTGCCTCCCAGGTTCAAGCAATTCTCCTGCCTTAGCCTCCCTAGTAGCTGGGATTACAGGCATGTGCCACCATGCCCGGCTAATTTTGTATTTTTAGTAGAGACGGGGGTTTCTCCATGTTGGTCAGGCTGGTCTCGAACTCCCGACCTCAGGTGATCCGCCCACCTCGGCCTAACAAAGTGCTGGGATTACAGGCATGAGCTACCGCGCCCGGCCTCCAAACACTAATTTATTTCAAACTGAGTGACTGCTACCGAGGCAGAACAGCCTCCAGTGAACCTGTGTGTAAAACTAAAGACTGTATTGACTCTAACTCTACTTTGAAACAGTACAATATCTTCCTTCAAGGAAACATTTGAATTTTAAGTGGAAATATTTGATTAGAGCAAAGATGTGTGTGTGTGTGTGTGTGTGTGTGTGTGTGTGTGTGTGTGTGTAAAATGAGAGATTTTTAAATGGCTGAATACAGGTGATGTTGATAGGTACACCTGCATTCTATAAACTTCAGTAGAATTTTTTGTTTCACATTACCATTTATATTATATATTCTTCACTTTTCAAGTTACCAACTCTGTGTGCAGTTATATCAGAATAGTGAATATATGCCCACTCTTTTAACATTGCTTAGATGTGCTTAGTGGTGAATTCCTAAGCTCACACAAATTTTGTATGAATGAGAGACTAACCTTTGGTGTTACAACTATGCTGTATAAGGTTAACACATGTTAGATCTGGCAGTTAAAGACACTAAAGAGAGGGCAATAATTAGTGCCAGGCTTTTTGCTTGGAAATCCTGTTGATAGCATATTTTCCTCCAGTGAATTACATTGTGACATGCACTGAATTTTGACAATGGGCTATCCCAAGCCTATATGAAATGCAAAACGATTTTTCTCTATACTATACTTTTAAATATCTTGGGAAATGACTGAAAATAGACTTGAAATACCCTTTTCTAAATTTGCATAATTCCCAATTATTGGAGCTCTTTCTAAAGAGCACTCTGGAGGACAGCTCCATGCTATAGATACAGAGAACAGGTTCTTGGATGGCAGTCCCACAACAAAGGGAAAAGACAACCCACAGATCCCATAAGGTCAAGGGCAAATGTGGGACCTCTGGTCCCAACAAATGAGTCCTAAAGCCACTGAGTTATCTAGACTCTTCCCCCAAATTAACCTTCACCCAGGAAACACTAATTCCCACATGCCATTGAAGAGGCCGAGAAACATCATAAGCTGAGAGTGATTACAAGATTGGTATTTCCTTAAAGGCCAATGGACAGACTGGGCAAGAAGAGTAGGGTGTATTTAAATGCAAGGGTCTGGGGAATATAATCATATAATCTTTACATCAGTGGAGGACATTCCAACAGTTGTGTGTGGTCTGCACCATGTTTTCCCAATTTATTAGTGCTATTCAAATATAACAGTAGAATCAACTCAATGTGTGTGCTGGAAATTCCAGTCCCTATTCCAAAAACACTCTCTTGTCATCACCTCAAACACTGGCATTCTAATCAATGTCATATTTGAGAGAATAAAATGGCAGAGGAAGTGAAAAAAGAAAAATCTATTTCTCAGAGCCCTAATCACTTCTAAGCCCGACAACTCCAAATTGGGTTTCTTGCAAGATTACCACTTCCATCTGAGCTGAATTGCCTCAACTTGGGGCTCATCCCACATGGCTGGGTGAGGACATTCTTCAAATGTCATGTTATAGGACACATCAGCTGTCTACATGTCTTCACCTCCTACTCATTTCTCAACCTATTCCAATCTGGCCATATTATTCCACTTTTATCACTCCTGCAAAACTGCTTTTACTGAGGCCACCAATGAGCTGAGATGACATGTGTCCAGTTCGTATCTTACTAGATTTCTCAGCAGCAGTTGACCCTGCTATCCGATTCCTCCTCAAAGCTCTCTCTTCCTTGGGTTTCACTGACATTACGCTCCTGGTTTTCCTCCCAACTCTGCTGCTCCACCACACTCTCCCTTAAGAACTCTTTCCTCTTAGCCGGGCCTTTAAATGTTGAAGTAATTGAAGATTTAGTCCTAGAAACTCACTTTTCTTCTCACTCCATATTTTTTCACTAGGTCATCTTGTCCACACCCATGGTCACCACTCTGTATAAATGCAGGAGACACTATTCAGACCACAGTCTATGTGAACGGCTCTCCATGAATTGAAGTGCCTGGTTTGAGTGGTTGTAAGGATAGCTCTTCCTACCCCCATGGTTTTAATTACCATCTATACGTTACTGACTCCCAGATGTGTGTCTCAGGCCCAGACAACTTCAAACCCAAGCCCACATATACAACTGACTACTTGGAATCCATTTGTTCATCTCAAAGCCACTTAAACAGTATGTCCAAAATGGAATCCATACCCTGCCTGGACAGACCTGGTCCTCCTTCAGCATTTCCTGTCTCTGCAAATAGCCCAGCATCCATCAGTTGCCCAATTTAGAAAGCTGGAAGCCATCCTTGTCAATTATCTCTGGCACCATCAACAAATAATGATTGCATGTTTGTTTATCTATCTCTCTCTACTAAAATGTAAGTCCTTTGAATGCTGGACTTGCTCATTTGCCACTGTGTCTCCAGAGCTAGAGGGATGTAAGGAATATAGCATCTGTTGAATGAGTAATAAAGCCTTATTGATTTTACCTTCCATCTAGCTCTTAACTCACTTCCATCATTATCCAGGAGACTTGTTTGGGTTGCTCCCTTAGGTTTCCTCTCCTGGTTTAGTACATGCCTGATCGTCTTTCAGATCTCAACTCAACAGCACTCCCTCAGAGACCTCCTGAGGGCCCAAACTGCGTCAGGCCCCCTTTGTTGTCATAGCTCTTTTATCTTGACACTTCATTCCCTATCTGTCCTCCACAACATTTTAATTTTTGTCTAACCTCTATCTAAATCATTCTTCTCTCTTCCATTCCCTCAAAATTGCTCGTTAATTCACCCAAAAAAAGTACCAAATCTCAGGTACTGAGCTAGGTGCCGAGAATCATGAGAGAATAAATCCAATCTCAAGCAGTTTAGAGATGAATAAAAGACAAAAACTACGAGCAAACCATATAACACAGTAGGTAACATTTGCAAAATTTGAGATGAATACAAAGAAGTGAGATAGTACAGAAGAAAAGGCGATTAACATCATCCAGGAGAGGGTGGTCAGAGAAGTGTCACTGAGTGGGTTTTTCAAGGAAGATTTTTCACTCTTACTTCTCTGTAGATGATTCATGAATTCAGAGCACCCATGTAAATCATTTTGGTTTCCAATATTTTCTCTTTTTTTTCTATATTTTATTTTAACCCATTCCTCAAGGCCAGCCCTAGACAGTTTGAGTCTAGAGAAATGTGGTATCTTATTCCATGGCCTCCCCTTCATTATCCTTTAATTTCAGGTCACTCCCCCGACCCCAACAAGGCCTTTGCCCCTTCTTTCCTTTCTCTTCCTTCAAAAAGTAATGTTACACTTACTCCTGCTAATGTATTATATTTTCTTAGAATACATGAATTTTATAAGATGCCCTTGAGAGAAAGTCACCCTAAGAAATGAATCTCCATATAAGTGTGGAAGATCTGCTCCAAACTCTTTAATTCATAACAAACAAGACCTTCTATTTTGTCTGTAAGTCACACCAACACTGCCAAAACAAGCATGAGTCTCCAAGTTTACTATAATACCTCTATGTGCATCTTGGATTATTTCTCTCTCCAGCAAATATGAGAAAAACTTGAAGTGATCCTCACACACGAACTTTGCAAAAGAACATTTAGATTTCACGGAAATCAGCAGGTGTGGTAACTCATACCTGTAATCCCAGCCCTTTGGAAGATCAAGGCAAGAGGATCACTTGAGGCCAGGAGTTTGAGACCAGCCTGGGCAACAGAGTGAAATCATGTCTTTATGGAAAAGAAAAAGATAATTACCCAGGCATGGTGGTACATGGCTGTAGTCCTAGCTACTCAGGAGGCTGAAGCAGGAGGATCGCTTGAGCCCAGAAGTTCGAGGTTACAGTGAACTCTGATCATGCCACAGCACTCCAGCCTGGGCAATAAAGCAAGACCTTATCTCTAAAAAAAAAAAAAAAAAAAAAGGTTCTTTACAAAAACGATTTCAGGGAAGCTTGATGACGGGGCTTTAGGGAAGTTCACTGGTGACATCTCGCTGGGATTCTCTTCCCCTCCCTTCACGCTTGGCCAATCTCTACACTTTATTCAGCCTCAGCTCAAACACTACTTCTTCAGCGAAGCCTTTCTTTTCTCACAACCCTCATTCTCATGGTAGCTTGTGGAATACTTCCACATATGTAATTAATTATTTAATGTCTATCTCCCCCCAAGAGATGTGTCTGTCTTGTGTTCAGCTGTATTCTCAGAGCTTAGCACAGTGCCTGGTACATAGAAGTTCTCACAGCAAGTATGTGTTGAATTGAATTATTATATCTGTGCTGTCCACGTGCTTCTATTGCTGCAACTATCACACTATATTGTAATGTGTTTGTTTCCATGTCTGTCCCTTAAGAGTAATCATAAATCACTAATTTTTGAATTCCCAGAGTGTAACACATTGCCAGGATAATCAATAATGAGGAAGGAAGGAAGGAAGTGAGGAAGGGAGGAAGAAAGAGAGGAAGGGAGTGAGGGAGGGAGGGAGACTCACTGACATTTCTACAGTTCCAATGAGATCTTAATAATAAATCCTGTTTATTATTATTTAAATAAAGCAGAGAATCAGGCTCTCAGTGTTAGAAGACTCAAAGATTCACAGTAATTCCTAACTTCCTCACGGGTTCTTTAGTCAGCATGTTTGCAAGAATCTATAGCAATCTCATTGTCCTCCTCCGGAAAAGAGAATAAAAACTAACATTTCTGGGCACCTACTATGTGTCAGGCACTTTACATACAGCATAGTTAGTTTAGCAACAAACTAACTGAATAAACATCCATTGAGTTGGTACTAAGTGCCCTGCACATGACCTTGGAGATCAAAGATTTATTATTGTCCCTTTAAAAAATATGACTCCTTGAACTCAGTGCAAAATTTCAGTTGCGTCCTAGTCAGTACAGGGGTGTGGGATGCACTGTCTCTATCACTCCAGCATAGGATTCCAATAAATCACTTTACCACTGCAGACCTCAGGTTGCCTAACACAGTGCTTATGGCCAACTAACTCCTCACTGAGACTTTTTTAATTTAAATGCTGTCAAGCCAATATGTCCCCCACCTTGATTGAGTCAATTCATTTCAAAACTTAAACTGAGTTTATACTTTTGGCTTTACACTAATTTTAGACTATCACTGTAGCCAGTCCAAATTGTAATTCTCTAGTTCATGCCTATTCTATCATCAAACACAAAAGAACAGCAGGCTAAACCTACAAAGTGACCTTGGACAAGTCTCTTAACTTCTCTGAACAGGGCTAACCCACTGAACAACTCCAGGGGGCCCCATTCATCCCATTGTCTATGCGAATGCCTCCTCCTGAAGTTGTGTTGTGGTCTCAGCCCTGGATCTGCCATTCCTCATCTGTAAAATCAATGGGTTAGACCAAAAACCTTACTCTATGATTTGGGGTCACTTATACTTTTTGATAATTATTCCTTCTATACTTTCATCTTCTTTCCTAATAAAATTACTGATGAGCTGCAAAATACAGAGTAGGATGTGTGTCCCCCAGGTCTCATTTTGCATTCTTGGGAGGCTGCTCTAACTAGGTCAACAGTCACCCTTCACTTCCTTTAGAGCACCATAGGCCTTCAAGAGTGTGGAAGGAGCAAGCAAACTGCCACTTCCTTGTCACACTGAGCAAAATCCTTGTGAGCAATGATGTGTAACAACATGAAACATATATTCTGAAAAACCCCTGAAAAAAGACATCTGGCCGACCCTCAATGGATCTCATCCACAGAGAGAATAGAATAACTGATCTGAAAGTCACTGGTCTTGGCATTGTGATCGATTATGTGCCTTGCTCTTTTGGTTTTGTTGAGGCTGACATCCATAATAGTGAGCTGTGATTGGCTGTTACTGGAAAGACAGGAAAATGCCATGCAGCACAGTGCTGGTTCAAAATGAAACCAATAGTACTAGATTTCTTTATGTTACTAATTATGTCTCCTGAAAATGGGTAGTAAGTTGGGAAATAATTCGATAAAAGGAAACATGATAAATGTACTATTTATCAGAGTGGGCATGGTGGCTCATGCCTATAATCCCAGCACTTTGGGAGTCTGAGGTGGGTGGATCACGAGGTCAAGAGATAGAGACCATCCTGGCCAACCAACATGGTGAAACCCCATCTCTACTAAAACTACAAAAATTAGCTGAGTGTAGTGGTGCATGCCTGTAGTCCCAGCTACTTGGGAGGCTGAGGCAGGAGAATCACCTGAACCTGGGAGGCGGAGGTTGTAGAGCCGAGATCATGCCACTGCACTCCAGTCTGGGTAACAGAGTGAGACTCCATCTCAAAAAAAAAAAAGTACTATTATCTATAAGAGGCAAATTAGCATGTGCAAAAGCCCTGCCTGACATGGGGGCAGAGGTTAGTGAGTTCCAGAAACTGAAGGAAACCAAGGTGTTAAGAGCACAGTGAGCAAGGGGGAAGAGGGTGGGAGATGAGGCCAAGAGGGACCAGACCCTACATGGATGTGTCGACCACGTTAAGAAACTTGGGTTTGAACATCCTTGTCCAACAGTAGAGGAATGGGGTAGTAAATTAGGTTATTGCAGCACCACAGAATTCTACCCATCACTGATTCCCAAAGTATGTTCTAAACAGTTTTTAGTGTGACAGTTTTTCATAGTGTAAAAAGAAAACATTTCACGTAAATATTAATTTGGAGAATATGTGTCAAATCCTCATCTTTTAAAAAAGCATTTTACAATATTATAGGCTTTCAGAAATACTACAGTGAAGAAATTTGTTTACTTTTATAATTTCCCAAACTTATTTGACTTCAGTGATGTTTTATTATCCCCAAGTAATGTCAATTAAATCTCAAGAAAATAGCATTCTGTAGAATATATTTTGGTAAATATTGCTATACATTCATTATAGATGATCACATATGGGAAGCCTATAGAAAAATGAAAAACATACCATGATACAACTATATAAAAATATACATGTATGCAAAAGTTATATTTAACTCAAAAACATCTGCTGCTTAGGATGACAGATTTATCAGTGATTTATTTATTTCTTTAAGTCTTCTTTAACACTGATAATAAATCATTTTTTCAATTAAAAATTATAAATTAGTCAAAAGCAATGAGAGCCATATTTTTTTAACTTATTTGAATTTTTGCCAATTCAATCAATCCATGGGTGGCTGCACAAATTTCACTCCATTAGTGAAATTTCACATTCATTATTATGAGGAAGAAACTAGTCATCATAATACCAGTTCTAATCCCTTGCTGGCAGGTTAATCTAATTAACTTCTCTTAATTGGATGAGTTAATTTAAACTAAAATGCAATTTGATTCATACCATGTTTCACTCCAGACATCACCATAGGATACATGGAATTCTCCGAACTCTTCCAATCCCATTACTACTCAGAAAGCCATTTCAAAGAGCATTTCACAGGCAGAGATCAAAACCTTTCTAAAACGTAAGTGTTGGGGCCAGAAATTAAGTCACTGTATTTTCAGTAATTCATTCATTTATTTATTCAACAAATACTTATTGAGAGCACTAGGCAATGCCTAAGAATATAAAAATTAAAAAGAAAATCATTATCCACAATGAATTCTCAGTAGGTGATACAGACATGCAAAAAGAAATAATGGAATATGGAATAAATTCCCTTACTCTGGTGTTTATTGGCATAACATTAGTTCAGAAAAGAGAAGCCAGTTGTTCCCAGCACAGGAAGAGTGGGTCAGAAAGGCTTCAAAGAGGATGAAATGTTTGAGTAGTATCTTCAAAAATGGGTTTGCCAGGCAGATGAGATTGAGAACACATCCCAGGTACACAGAAAAGAGTGTACAGAACATAGATGTGTAACCCAGCATGAATGCCAAGTGGGACCTAGTAAGAAGGCACAAAAACCTGCTGTGAATCTATCAAATAAGATAGAAATTAACACACGACCGTAAGTTTGGATTTTAGATGGCAACAGCCATTATAAAGCAACAGAAGATTCAGCAAACTAAAGAGAAAGAGTCAAATCTCAGTTGGTTGAAGAGCAAATGAGTGTTGGCGCCGGGGGCAGTGGCTCACGCCTGTAATCCCAGCACTTTGGGAGGCTGAGGTGGGCGGATCGCTTGGGCCCAGGAGTTCAAGACCAGCCCAAGCAATATGGCGGAACCCTGTCTCTACAAAAAATACAAAAATTATCCCCGCGTAGTGGCACCCGCCTGTAAGCCCAGTTACTCGGGAGGCTGAGGCTGGAGAATCACTTGAACCCAGGAGGTGGAGGTTGCAGTGAGATTGCACCACTGCACTCCAGCCTGGGTAACAGAAGGAGACTCCATCTCAAAAAATAAATAAATAAATAAAAATAAAAGTGTCGGGAAGCATACTCAGTAGACCCAGTCATTTGTGGGGCTCAGACATTTTGGCAAGTGATAGACTTAATTCATGTAATAAGCAGGTGTTTATCATGGAATTCTGCTGTGCATGTATTAATTTAAAAAATAAATATTTGGCTGGGCGTGATGGTTCACACCTGTAATCCCAGCACTTTGGGAGGCCGAGACAGGCAGATCACTTGAGGTCAGGAGTTCGAGAGCAGTCTGGCCAACAAGGTGAAACCCCGTTTCTACTAAAAAATACAAAAATTAGCCCCGCATGGTGGCGCACGCCTTTAGTCCCAGCTACCCAAGAGGCTGAGGTGGGAGAATTGTTTCAACCTGGGAGGCGGAGGTTGCAGTGAGCCAAGATTGTGCCATTGCACTCCAGCCTAGGTGACAGAGCGAGACCCCATCTCAATCAATCAATCAATCAATCAATCACTATTTTGTAACTGAATTTCCAATGTGTAGCATCAACAGCTACACAGCTACAACTACAGTATGAGTGATTCTTATAATTTCAGCAAGTCATCCTTTCATTTTTTAAAAAACAATAGTACTCAATGGCAGGTTGCAAATAAATCTTGATATCCTCAGATTAAATGCTATATAAAAATAAAGGATAATCCACTTCAAGTACAAAGATTCCTAAAGTGCAGAGCAAAGAAGCATGTGTTCTGAAATCTTCAATGGAACAAAAGGAGAGTGGTGCAGTTCACAGCAATGCTGCTCTCGGAATGTTTGTGGTGGCATTTCCCTAAGTGTTGCAGGACATTTTGTAAGTACGTTTACTCCTGCATGAAGAGACTAGGCTGTGCTCACACTTAAAGAAAGGTAAAGGGGAACATTATAGAATGGAAGAATTACAAGGGATCTGAAGTGTCATCTATCTAACCTCTATATTTGATGGATGAAGAAGCAGAATTAGAGAGGTTAAGTGAGTCACCCATGGTTTACACAGTGAGTCAGAGCTGAAACCAAGCCTGCAACCCAAGATCCCAGCTTCTAGTCATCTGGTGTATTTGTTTTTGCTGCACCCTCCTGACCTGTCCCAAAGGCCAAAACTAAGTCAGAAACAGAGCTAGAAGTCAGTTACAAGTTGAGTCAACAATGCGGTGATGCCATTACCCCTGGGCCTGTAACTGAGGGTACTTTTTGTAGTGAACGTGGGGGAGGGAAAATCACTCTGAACACCTGTGCTGTGCATACACTCACAACTCATGGAGCAAAGTTCCTCTTCCACCATTTCATAGTCAGTCAGTCAACGAATATTTCCTGGGGGCTACTCCATGCCAAGGACAGTGCTAGGCCTTGGAGATTACACTAAACCAGACAGAGCCTCTCCGCAGAATTACATTCTGGTTGGGGAAGACAGATAATAAACAAGTCAACTAATGAATACACGAGACAGTGGTAAGTCCTAGGCAGAGAAATAAAATGTGATGATGTAATAGAATGTGACAAGAGGGAAGGTGGGCACTGCCTCATCTTGGGTGGCCAGGGGAAGCCTCCTTCTTCTTATTAGTGGCTGGTGCGGAGGGCATGCAGTCAGGCATTAGGCATGAACGTTCACATGAGAATCCATGAAAGTGGCCTAAGCCTGATGTTCAAGGGATAAGGTCAATCAGAAGTCAAGGCAGGCATATGTGTGTCTACGTGCAGGGGGATTTCTGTCCACGTGTCACCAACAGCAGCGGGGAGAGAGTGGGCGGAGGGCAGTTCAAAAGAATTTTCTGTAACAGTTTGCTGCTGTTTCCTTTGGCTTCTATTAGGCTTAGCTACTTAATATGCAATGGTTTTCACCCTGTGGCCTTCCTTCCTTCCTTGAGGCTCTAATAATATTCAATTGTCCCCCTTTTTTCCACATGACTTCTTTCTTATTTTAACTGGATACAACTGTTCATAACCATGGGATGAAGTAAAGGTGATGGAGACTACTATCAAGATCCCCATCCTAATCATAAGCATTTCTAGGACCATGACAAATGTGGGAGAGCAGTGGAAATGCTGATTCAAGGGGCCTTCCAATAAACACAAATGGACTGAATCCAAAGTGAATGCAACACCATCACAGCTTCTTAAGGGAAAACAGCAAGGGGATGTTGGAATTAATTTGAGGCCTCTGACATTGAGAGAGTTGGAAGCAATACAAAACTCAAAAAGTCAATCTGCTTTGGGAATGTTAAAAAGAAACACTTGTTTGGAAAGAATTTTTAAGTGTGCAAAACGAAGACTATTTTCAGTGGAATCTGCTCAGTGAGCCTGACCACACACTGGGGGATGAGAGATGTATCGCTGATAGTAAAAACACAGTATAAAAGATGAAAAATGGTGCACCTGTATAGGGCACTTACCATGAATGGAGCTTGCAGGACCAGAATTTGCTCTGGGTGAGTCGGTGAGTGAGTGGGGAGTGAATGTGACGGCCTAGTAATGATTGTTCACTACTGTAGACTTTAGAAACACCTACACTTAGGCAACCCTAGATTTATAAAAAAGATTTTTCTTTCTTTAATAATAAATTGACTTTACCTTACTGTAACTTTTTTCTTTGTAACTTTCATTTTTTAGCCTTTTTGACTTTTATAAAAATATTTGGTTTAAAACACAAACACATTGTACAGTTGTACAAAACATTCGTCCTTTATATCCTTATTCTATATGCTTTTTTCTGTTTTTTAATTTTTTTAATGTAAACATTTTTGTTAAAAACCAGAACACAAAAGCACACATTAGCCTTGGCCTACACAGAGTCAGGATTATCAATATCATTGTCTTCCACATCCATATCTTATCCCAAAGGAAGTCTTCAGGGGCAGTAACATGTGTGAGCCGTCATCTCCTATGATAACAACACCTTCTTCTGGATACTTCCTGAAGGACCTGCCTGAAGCTGTTTTACAATTAACTTTTTAAAATATAAGTAGAAGGAGTACACTCTAACATAACGATAAATAGTATAGTAAATACGTAAACCAGTAACAGTCATTTATTAGCATTAGTAAGTATTATGTACTGTACATAATTATAGGTGCTTTTATATGACTGGTAGCATGGTAGGTTTGTTTACACCAGCATCACCACAAACACGTGAGTAATATATTGCCCTACAATATCATGATAGCTACGACATCACTAGGTGATAGGAATTTTTCAGCTCCATTATAATCTCATGGGACCAGTGTTGTATATGAGGTCTGTTGTTGACCCAAATGTCATTATTTGGCACATGACTGTAGTTATTTTGTGTTTTGTAATGTCTTTCCCTACTCCTCCTTAGTATCTAGATGGACTTTTAATGCTTTATTTTCCTTGTCTATGTAATATTTAGGAAAATTTTGGATGGCTAGCGGGAAAAGATTATATATCGCCCTAGTTTATCTTCCTGGATAGTTTTTTCTACCACTGCATCAAGCATCAGTAGTTTCTAAAGAGGGACTCTTCTCATGACCACAATGCACTGAAAACATGCCACCCCCAAAATTCCACCATCCTGCTGCACCCATGGAAGATGAAGTGACAATGATATAATCACCCTATAACAGTGAGTTGCAAAAGCCCAGCTCTCGAGACTAGGGAAACAGAAATACATCTGAGGAAACTCCAGCTGCAGAGTTCAGTGTGCCTTCCTATTCTGAAACCTTCATTTTCCTATCCCTTGTTTTGCTGAACCAAAATTTTGACTAAATTCTCTTTTGTTTCTCTGGGAAAGCTCCTAATAATGTATTCCATATGATCACTGCCCTTGGAATGGTTAATTTTTTGCTTAAAGCTAAGGCACTTTATCTTCATAGTATTTTAAATGTGAAAGTTTTCTGTCCTTTGAAGAGATTGGAGACGTAAATTTGGAAATAGTTTTTATGGTGTGATAATAATAATATATACCTTCTGCTCACAACTCTTCACCAAGGTGAAGGAGGAAATAAAAAATATTTTAGGTCAGATTTATAGTGTTTAGATTTTAATATATTCTTTAAATATAAACATGATATTTCAGATAATCACTGAAAATTGTCTCAGTTCAACTTTTTCCACTGCAATAAAGGAAGATTTAAGATTGTACACTTATACATGTGGTAAAATATATGATATCATATGTATATAAAGTATACAGAAGTAGATAAACATCTACAGCCTAAAGATGTAAAGCCTGAGATTATATATTTTAAATTTTTATAGCTCATCTAGAAATCTAATTTTATCATCTCAGATATCCTGGCTCAAAGATATGGAATTAAGAACCACGATTTTACATGGCTACATATATTTTATAACATACATATAGTAAATTGCATGTTTTGTTTTATTAAATATAATGACATATCATGCTAACTTAATGGAGATACAGTTGATTCTCATTATTTATGGATTCTGTATTTGTGAATTCCCTTGCTCACTAAAATTTTTTTATAACCCCCAAATCAATACAGCACTTTCGTGGACATTTGCAGACATGCGCAGAGCCGCATAAAATTTGAGTCACCCAATGCACACATTCCTAGCTGAGGTCAAACAAAGCAACACACTGTGTTCTTGTTTCAGCTCTTGTAGTATAAACAAGTGTCCTTTTTGCTGTGCTACGTTTTTTGCATTTTTGTGCTTTTTTTGCTGATTTCACTGTTTAAAATGGACCCCAAGTATAGTGCTAACATTCTGACTAGTGTTTCTAAGTGCAAGAAGGCTGAAATGTGCCTCAGGAGAAAATATGTATGTTAGATTAGCTTCATTCTGGAATTAACTTTTCAGGAATAGTGCTGTAGGCTCTAAGTTCAATGTTAATAAATCAACAATACATAAGTAATAACGTCTTTTTAAATAGAAATACACATAAAACAAGATTACGTATTGATCAGTTGAGGAACTGTTGTGACCAGAAGCTGTATTTACCCCAGATGGGATGTTTCAGTATTCACTAATTCAGTATTCATGGCAACTTTACAGACCATAACTACCATGAATAATGAGAAGCAACTGTATAACATTTTATTTCTTTATTTATTTACTTACTTACTTGCTTACTTATTTATTTTAGAGACAGGGTCTCACTCTGTCACCCAGGCTGGAGTACAGTAGTGTAATCATGGCACACCGCAGCCTTGAACTCCTGGGCTTCAGTGATCCTCCCCACCTCAGCCTCCAAGTAGCTGGGACTACAGGTATGCACCACCACATCTAGTAAATTTCTTTCTTTTTTCTTTTTTTAGAGACAAGGTCTCTCTATGTTGCCCAGGCTGGTCTTGAATTCCTGGGCTCAAGCAATCCTCCCATCTCAGCCTCCCAAAGTGTGGGGATTACAGGCATGAGCCACTGCGCCAAGCTGTATGACCTTTTTAAATGCCCATGTTAATACAAATGCTCTCCAGGGTGTCCATGCTTCCCGTCCTGAGTGCACAAAGATCCTGACTGTGGAGTTCTCTTTCCATAGAGCCTAATTTAGTGCTATTAATGTGGGTTTCCTTAAGCTCCTTATCAGGTCATGCATACCCAAAGGGCAGGGGGCCAGGAGGAAAGTAATGACCAGCAACCCTGGGTGCCTGGACGGTACTCCCTACACAGCACAGTCCTAGCCAGAGCTGTTACATGACAAGCCAAAAGCAGCTCACAGAGGCTGCATCCTGAAGGAGCCTCATTAGGACTGAGGCCAGGTTCCTACACCTGAACGGGGCAAGACAAGAAGGGACAGTCAAGAAGAGAAGCCAGGAGAATCAGAAAGTGAGGTTCAAAGGGAAGACACAAAGGCAGGATTGACAGGGACAATCGAGTCAGAGTTCAGGAATTTGCAGAGAAGTTGGATGTAGATCATGGCCTCTGGCCTGGAGGGAGAGAGGGGAAGAGCAAAACTGCTGACAGGGGTCGGGCACAGTGGCTCATGCCTGTAATCCCAGCATTTTAAGAGGCCCAGGCTGGAGTATCACTTGAGCTCAGGAGTTCAAGACAAGCCTGGTCAACGTGGCAAAACCCCGTCTCTACTAGAAAATATAAAAATTAGCCAGGCATTGTGGCAAGTGCCTGTAATCTCAGCTACTCAGGAGGCTGAGGCAGGAGAATTGCTTGAACCCAGGGGGTGAAGGTTGCAGTAAGCCAAGATTGTGCCTCTGCACTCCAGTCTTGGTGAAAGAGCAAGACTCTGTCTCCAAAAAAAAAAAAAAAAAAAAAAAAAAATAGTGGGCCGGGTGCGGTGGCTCAAGTCTGTAATCCCAGCACTTTGGGAGTCTGAGGCGGGCGGATCTCCTGAGGTCAAGAGCTCAAGACCAGCCTGGCCAACATGGTGAAACCCTGACTCTACTAAAAGTACAAAAATTAGCCAGGCGTGGTGGCACGTGCCTGTAGGCCCAGCTACTCGGGAGGCTGAGGCAGGAGAATCACTTGAACCAAGGAGGCAGAGGTTGCAGTGAGCTCAGATCATGCCATTGCACTCCAACCTGGACAACAAGAGTAAAACTCCATCTCAAAAAAAAGTGCTGACAGGGAGTGGACAATGATGATGATTCCTCTTAGAGGAGGTGAACAAATTCATCTCCAAGATTCCTGGGAGTCCATGATAATAGAGTGATAATAAGAAATAATGATACAGATGAGATGATCAGCTTTGTTTATTAAAAATCTTGCCATTGGAGTCCTTCAAAGATAAACTTGGGGACTATAGTTTTACTACTGTCTAGCATATGATAGTGTTTAGTAATATAAAATGTCTTTTTACTTGCTTGCCCTGTAACAAAAAGGGAAACAAAGATTTTTTAATGTCTGGTTATTTCCAGTGATTACAGTGTCTAGTCTTCTTTGTTATTTTTTTAAGCTTTTGTTATAAAATTTCTCAATCACACACAAATGTAGAGGAGAATAGTCTAGTAGACTCCCATGAACCCATCACCCAGCTTTAATCATTTTCAACATTTTAGTCCAGCTTTTTTAAACCCTTTATTTGACAGATTTTCATATATTTTTATTCAGCAAGTATTGATTGAGCAACTACAGGTCAGGCACTCTTCTAGTGCTGGAGATACATGTATAAAAAAAGAAAATAGCCAAAAAATACCTGCTCTCCAGGCCACAAGGAAGCTAAAGTGCTTACATTCACTGACTCAAACTTTCCTCCAACAGGCTTCTCACTGCTACATCTTCATCCTCTCCTTCTGCCTTCTTTCTAGTTTCTGTCTTGGGTTCATCTGGTTTGGTTTTAGCATATCTGTGTTCTTACCTAAACCACTCCAACTCTTCTTTGTAGAAAAATGTAGCGCTAAATTGATAAACTAAATACTTCACAGGGACCTTTAATGACTGACATGAATCTAAATTTGCCTACTAGAGAACTCTCTATGCATAGAGAAATGTTCCAAATCCTTATTTCTGGCCAAAGACCTGTGTATTATTTTTACTTTCCCAGATAATTACCTTTAACATTATTGGATTTTTCACATACAGTTAGATGATTTTCACACTGATAATTTGGGAATTACATTGCCCCTAAGTTAACCCTTTTCTACCTAAAATTAAATTTTGCTGCTACCCCAAAACATGAGGAAATTGAATGCCCCCAAGGGCTTTGTAGTTCAAGTCATAACACAGTGGTTTAACACCTATAGAACCCCTCTCTGATCTTTTGGGATTATTTTTATCAATAAAGTGAAAAAATGAGGGAGGGAAGAGGGAATACAGGAGAAAGGCATCACACTTTCCTGATATTTCTCAACATAACCAGCAACTACTTTCCATTCCTTTCAATGCAGCCACTAGGCCCTGAAATACAGTGCACAGATGGTGTTAGAAAGGACTCAGGCCTTGTGTGACCTTCCTGGTCAGTGATTCTTCCTGGCCCAAGTCCAAGAAAGACCTCCACCCATGACCGTGAAGTGAAAACTTATCTAACTCAGATACTACAACTCCAACCATCTCCAGGTGAAAGTAGTCCTTTGGACCAAGAGACTACAACCTTTCTCATATGTGATATTTTGTAAGGTGCCAATAATAGGCTCAGCAATGGGGACCCCAGGTCTGAACACAAAACTGTGAAAGAAATTATTGAACTCTGAGAATGTCACCTAATAGAGAGACTGCTGTGCTCAGAGTATGAGACATGGGTCCTAATCCCAACTGTACCACTGATTTGTTGTGTGACAACAGGTGAGTTTATCTGTCCACACTCCAGTTTCCTCACCCGTAGAAAGGGATACCCACCCTGCCAACTTTACCCATATATTATGAAGACAAGTTAGCAGATGACTTAGTGCTTAGAAAAGTTAAAGCACTTGGAAATGAAACACATTAGTATGCAGTCTCCTTCCCCATCCCCTTTCTACATCTCATTTTGTGTTTCTCTTGCTGAACCTCTCCAAGAAACCCTCTTAAGCAATGAAAGCAAAGCCTTCTCTTTGAGCATCAATTCTGTAATCCTCCAACTGTATTTGGAAGGGAAACAAATTCTCCACCATGTTAAAGGCCTGTTTGTCCTCCTCTTCCCCCTAACAAAAAGAAAAATTGCAATAACTATCACTATTAATATATATATATCACTATGTTTGTCACTATTAAGCATATATCAAGTAAGTGACTTGCATTGTCTCATTTGATCTCCACAAAAACCCTCTTTGATAAGTATGAGTAGCCCCATTTTACCAATGAGGAGACTGAAAATGAGTTTAAATAATATGCCCCATTCAAACATCCTAGGGACTTCCAAATCCCAGTGGTGGAAGAAGGAATCCCTTCATGTCAGAATTTCGGGCACTCTAGCAAGCCTGAAATCATGTTAATAGCAAGTTAGAGAACTTTAGTTGGAGGATTGGAAGGCTTGCTTTTCTGCATTATCCTTCAAACCTCCCCTCAGGGAGCACCTATGAAAATAAATCAGTTCCAGAGTTCTCACCCAAACTGCTTTCAGGTTAGACAGCCAAGGATTCCAGAACAAAAGTATCCAGTGCAATTTAAAAAGGGGAGAGGCACACAACAGGGAAGCATGTCAAAGTGTGCACAAACAAGCTCGCCCTCCACCACCAGGCGTATTTACAAGTGACCACGTAAATTGTGATTTAACGGTCCAGCATGTGGTATAAAATGTCAGCAACTTTCACAGAGAGAGAAGTCTGGTTTTTACACCCACACAGCACTGTACACTTGACTTGAGCGCCCCGAAAATTCCCCTAAGCATTTTTATCATTACGTATCACTCGTATCACTACACAGTTTAGTCAGCCAAACCATATCCTTTTCCAGCTTTAGATAAATTGCCTTCTGACAAACTGCACACAGACAAAATATCACGAAGTCCCCAAGTTGTAATCTCTACCCTGTTTTTCTACAGAGATGAGTAAGATTTTCCTATTTAGTTTTTTTAAGTACATAAGCAGCAGATGCATGTAATATACGAATATTGTCATTAGTGTGTTTACTCGCTTTCTTGAAATATATCTGAGTTTTATCACTACCTTCGCCCAGATTATGCCACTTGCCACAAGAAAATTACTGCACAAAGACATATTGGTTTAAAAAAAGAGGTGGTCATTTGCCTTTTCTGAACTCTCATTATAATGGATAAAGCTTTAGCTGTACTTTTGGGGAAAATGAACATCATCAAAAAGTGTAAGCCTTGTCATTTTTACCAAATGTCATTTTTACCGCTTTGTCATTTTTACCAAACTTACAGTCAACATTTAAACAAATCTTTTAATATACTGTAGAGAAGCGAACTTTATAAACCATTACAAAATGTTTAATCAGAATTCATTTTAGCCAATCTAGTAAGAGGTCAGCTCAGTTTTCTGTGCTGTAACAAAGCTACGTCTATTTTTAAGAGAATACAGTAACTAATACTTTATTCATCCAGCTAATATTAAACTTATGTTCAATAGCTATTAAGAAACATACTTAAGACTACGACTGCAGGTAGAAAAACACACACACAGTTTCTAAATACCCTGTACTTATTAGAGTTGCTAATCCAAAAAAAGTATTTGTCATGTAAATGAATATACACAGCTCTTTGTCAAGCTAACGAAACTTGTGATAAGTAACACACACACACAAACACACACACACTGGCAAAGCTAGCAACCACTGGCCAAGTAAACCAACAATAGAGCTAAGAACAGCAATAGAAATATCCCCGGACACCTAGTACCTAATAGTGCCCAGTGAATGGTAGAAACTCTGTGTTTGTTCACAAATACTAATGGGTTTTAACCTAATAGAAATGTCTTCGGGAGAATTGTAAATATGTTGGACATCAGAAGTAGGTCAGAGGCATCAATGTTGAACATTTTTCACATCACAGTTTTATTGTTTTAATTTCCTACTTGAAATTAATATACTACTTTTTGAAATTAGTGTTACGCCAGATGCTGAGTTTATTTTCACATCTTAAGTGTATGAGTTTTACTTTCAGTTTTTACCTAACGAGACACATGTCTTGATCAATATACATTAGTTCACGCAGTTGTCTACAAAGCCAGGTGCTTTCAAAATGATTATATTCTATATTTGTAGAGTACCTTAAGAGTTTTCCATTGCTTTCATGCCCATTATCTCATTTAATGCAAATAACAACCATGTGCATGAGAAGGACAGCATTATTGTCCCTGTTTTACAAGTAGGAAATGAGATCCAGAGAAGTCAAAGTGTCTGGGCCAATGTCACAGAAGTAATGAGTGGCGAAAGTGGGACTGGAATCTAGGCCTTCAGGGTTTTCCTTCAACATGCCACCCATACATAGTGCAACAAAACTACAAACCATAAAATTAATCCCAGAGAAGCTATTTCTACTATACCTCCATTCATTCAACAAGTGTCAGTCTAGCACCTACTATGCCAGATGCTGAACCAGAAAGAAAGATAAAAGCTCAACAACTCTACATGCTTTTTCAGGTGCTTTGTCTCTTTCTTGTTATCGTCATTTCCAGGAGTAGCCTGGACTTTCCTGCTTAAATTGTCCAAAGTAAATGTATTAGTCCATTTTCACACTGCTGATAAAGACATACCTGAAACTGGGAACAAAAAGAGGTTTAATTGGACTTACAGTTCCACATGGCTGGGGAGGCCTCAGAATCATGGCAGAAGGCAAAAGGCAGTTGTTTTTTTTTTTTTTTTTTTGAGACAGAGTCTCACTCTACCGCCCAGGCTGGAGTGTAATGGTGCGATCTCAGCTCACTGCAACTTCTGCCTCCTGGGTTCAAGTAATTCTCCTGCCTCAGCCTCCTGAGTAGCTGGTATTAAAGGCATCTGCCACCACACCCAGCTAATTTTTGTATTTTTAGTAGAGATGGGGTTTCACCATGTTGGTCAGGCTGGTCTCGAACTCCTGATCTCGTGATCCACCTGCCTCAGCCTCCCAAAGTGCTGGGATTACAGGCATGAGCCACCGCGCCTGCAAAAGGCACTTCTTACATGGTGGTAGCAAGAGAAAACTGAGAAAGAAACAAAAGTGGAAACCCCTGATAAATCCATCAGATCCTGTGAGACTTATATACTATCATGAGAATAGCATGGGAAAGACCAGCTCCCATGATTCAATTGCCTCCCCCTGGGTTCCTCCCACAACATGTGGGAATTCTGGGAGATATAATTCAAGTTGAGATTTGGGTGGGGACACAGCCAAACCATATCATTCCACCCCTGGCCCCTCCAAATCTCATGTTCTCACATTTCAAAACCAATCATGCCTTCCCAACAGTCCCCCAAAGTCTTAACTCATTTCAGCATTAACCCAAAAGTCCACAGTCCAAAGTCTCATCTGAGACAAGGCAAGTCCCTTCCACCTATGAGCCTGTAAAATCAAAAGCAAGCTAGTTACTTCCTAGATACAATGGGGGTACAGGTATTGGGTAAATGCAGCCATTCCAAATGGGAGAAATTGGCCAAAACAAAGGGGTTACAGGGCCCATGCAAGTCCTAAATCCAATGGGGCAGTCAATTTTTAAAGCTCCAAAATGATTTCCTTTGACTCCAGGTCTCACATCCAGGTCACACTGTTGCAAGAGATGGGTTCCCATGGTCTTGGGAAGTTCCACCCCTGTGGCTTTGCAGGGTACAGCCTCCCTCCTGGCTGCTTTCACAGGCTGGCGTTGAGTGTCTGCAGCTTTTCCAGGTGCACAGTGCAAGCTGACGGGACATTCTGGGGTCTGAAGGATGGTGGTCCTCTTCTCGCAGCTCCACTAGGCAGTGTCCCAGTAGGGACTTTGTGTAGGGGACTCAAACCCCACATTTCCCTTCCGCACTGCCCTAGCAGAGGTTCTCCACGAGGACCCTGCCCCTGCAGCAAACTTCTGCCTGGGCATCCAGGCATTTCCATACATCTGAAATCTAGGCGGAGGTTCCCAAACCTCAATTCTTGACTTCTGTGCACCCACAGGCTCAACACCACATGGCAGCTGCCAAGGCTTGGGGCTTCCACCCTCTGAAGCTGCAGCCCGAGCTCTGTGTTGGCCTTTTTCAGCCAAGGCTGGAGCGGCTGGGACACAGGGCACCAAGTCCCTAGGCTGTATACAGCATGGGGACCCTGGGCCTGGCCCACAAAACCACTTTTTCCTCCTGGGCCCCCGGGCCTGTGATGGGAAGGGCTGCCATGAAGGTCTCTGACATGGCCTGGAGACATTTTCCCCATGGTCTAGGGGATTAACAGGTTACTTGCTACTTATGCAAATTTCTGCAGCCGCCTTAAATTTCACCTTAAAAAAAAAATTGGTTTTTCTTTTCTACTGCATTGTCAGGCTGCAAATTTTCTGAACTTTTATCCTCTGTTTCCCTTTTAAAACAGAATGCTTTTAACAGCACCCAAGTCACCTTTTGAATGCTTTGCTGCTTAGGAATTTCTTCCACCAGATACCTTAAATCATCTCTTTCAAGTTCAAAGCTCCACAGATCTCTAGGGCAGGAGTAAAATGCCACCAGTCTCTTCGCTAAAACATAGCAAGAGTCACCTTTGTTCCAGTTCCCAACAAGTTCCTCATCTCCATCTGAGACCACCGCACCATGGACCTTATTGTTCATACCACTATCAGCATTTTTGTCAAAACCATTCAACAAGTCTCCAGGAGGTTCCAAACTTCCCAACATTTTCTTGTCTTCTGAGCCCTCCAAACTATTCCAACCTCTGCCTGTTACCCAGTTCCAAAGTTGCTTCCACATTTTTGGGTATCTTTCCAGCAGCACCTCACTGTGCTGGTACCAATTTACTGTATTACAGACTAATACAGTTTTCACACTG
Source organism: Homo sapiens (assembly GCF_000001405.40). Lineage (NCBI taxonomy): Eukaryota > Metazoa > Chordata > Mammalia > Primates > Hominidae > Homo > Homo sapiens. Next base: position 50,233,048 of record NC_000013.11, on the reverse strand, counting down.
CTGATAAAGACAGCCGAAACTGGGAACAAAAAGAGGTTTAATTGGGCTTACAGTTCCACGTGGCTGGGGAGGCCTCAGAATCATGGCAGGAGACAAAAGGCACTTCTTACATGGTGGCAGCAAGAGAAAAATGAGGAAGAAGCAAAAGTGGAAACCCCTGATAAACCCATCAGATCTCATGAGATTTATTCATGATCACAAGAATAGACCAGCCCCCATAATTCAATTACCTCCCCCCTGGGTCCCTCCAACAACACGTGGGAATTCTGGGAGTTACAATTCAAGTTGAGATTTGGGTGGGGACAGAGTCAAACCATATCAGTAAACATGACAAAGGCTTGTAGTCACAGCATGCAATTTCAGGCACTGTGATGAAGGCATCCAAAGGACACTTTTTAAGTCCTTCCTTAAATCTTTGGCCTGCTGAATACCACAGGGTAAAGTAGGGAGCTGTGACTCTGCTCTGCTCAGAAAACATGATTTAGTGGCACTGGAAGGTGATATATTTAATGTCATAAATGACTTTTCTTTCCCATCATCCATATGTCTAGACCACATATGTGACTCAGTATCCTCCTCCCAGCACCCATCTGCTGACTCTCTGGGTCCATGCAAATCACTGAATACCCCTCTTGCCCACCCAGGTCTGAACACCTAAGCAGAACTATTTACAGAGGTGCTTCCAAGAGGCCAGAAATGGCAATCTTATCCAAAATTTCTCCTTCCTGAAATATCACCATTCTAGTTTTATTATTTTATAATAAGTATTGATCTCTTCATTCCATTTATTTTAAAAATGTGAATGCTCTTAGAAAAAATAGTGTGGGAGTTTCTATTGCCTTCACGCAAATTTGTTTACTATGGGATTTACTTGTTTACCAGGAATTTCTAGAAAGAGAGGAGGAACAGGGCAATGTGACTTGAATGGGATCCTGAGAAAGTGGAGGCCCACAGAACATTCAGAGGCAGGTAGGAGACAGCAAGAGAAGGATTGCCACAGACAAAGCTCTCCAACTTCATGGCTTTGCCAAAAGGAACTCTGAAACTAGGTTTATTCTTGGCTCCTGAAGATATAATGCTCCCTGGGCAATTTTTCTTCTTTTGTTGTTGTTGTTGTTGTTTTGGGGTTTTTTGGATAAAAATATCCAAAGAAAATGAAATCGATGGCTCAAAAAAATATCTGCAATCATATGTTCAATGCAGCATTATTCAAAATACCCAAGATATGGGATTAACCTAAGCATCCATCAACAGATGAATGGATACAGATACATATATGCAATCGAATATTATTCTGCCATAAAAAAGAAGGAAATCCTGTCATTTGCAACAACATGGATGAACCTGGAAGACATTATGCTAAGTCAAATGAGCCAGACACAGAAAGACAAATACTGCATAACCCCAATTATATTTAGAATCTAAAAAAGTCAAACTCATAGAAACAGAGAGTAAAATGCTGGTTGCCAGGGCCAGGGGACTGGAGAAAGTGGGAGGATGTTGATCAAAAGGCACGAACTTTCAGTTTATAAGATGAACAAGGTCTGGGGATCTAATGTACAGCATGGGTGGTGATGAATGTGTTCATTAATTTGATTATGATAATCATTACAATGTATACTTATATCAAATCATCATGTTGTATAATTTTAATGTATTCACTCTTTATCTGTCCGTTAAATGCTTAAAAAGAAGCAAATAAGTGAACAAATATTTTTTAAAAGTTAATTTTTAATGTAAAATGAAACTCTGGCTTCCATGGGGGAAATGCATGAATAATTTTGAGTATGAAAATTTCCAGCTGCCTCTAACAATTAAACACTTAAAAAGAAACAAATAAATGAACAAATGTTTTTTTAAAAGTTCATTTTTACTGTAAAATGAAACTCTGGCTTCTACAAGGGAAATACATGAATAATTTTGGCAATGAAAATTTCCAGCTGCCTCTAAGAAATTTCTACCTGCATTACCATAAACTAAAATAAATAATCACTCCCAACACCTACCAATAAACATTCAGTTTTTCCATAAATCCACAATTTAGTCTAGGCCCTTGGAAACTTCTTTGATCCATTATTTTTCTTTTTCCTTCTTCTTTCCTTCGTTCCATATCTGATCTATCGCTGAAGACTGACTGTCCAAACCATCCAATTTGTTTTATTCCCTGTGATTCCATTCTTTTCATTTCACCCCTGGTTTACAGCTACCACCTCAAGATTGCATTTCCTGCCTCTGGTCCAGTGGTTCTCCACCTTAGCTTAGCCTGGGGAAATTGAAAAAATAAGGATATCTGAAAGCCACCCACAGAGATTCTGATTTAATTGGTCTGTGGTGCAGCCTGGGCATTAGGATTTGTTTGTTTTTAATTGTGGTAAAATACATATAACATAAAATTCACCATCTTAACCATTTTTAAGTGTACAGTTCGGTAGTGTTAAGTACACTCACACTGTTGTGCAATCTTCAGAACTCTTTTTATCTTGCAAAGCTGAAACTCCACATCCATTAAGCAATAACTCTCCATTTCCTCCTTCCCACAACCCCAAGCAATCACTGTTCCACTTTCTGTTTCTATGAATTTGACTACTCTAGGTACCTCATACAACTAGAATCCTACAGTTTTTATCTTTTTATGACTGGCTAATTCATTTAGCCTAATGTAGACATATGTATAGAATATGTACATACCATATTTTATCCACTCATCTGTCAATGAACATTTGGGTTGGGTTGCAATCAACATTCTTGGCTATTGTGAATAATGCTACTGTGAACATGACTATGTAAATATCTCTTCAAGACCCTGCTTTCAATTCTTTGGGGTATATACTCAGAGTGGATCGCTGCCTTTGGCCTTTCAAATGCCCATAAAAGGCAGCCATAATTTGCTCTGCTGTAGACAAATGACACATCAGGAATGACTTGAGAATATTCCACCTGGCCTCACTCCAGGATTTCTTTCATCTAAAGGGGATGAGCTTTCTCTTCCCCAAGGCTTTTTGAGTCTGGCATCACCCTTTCTTAAGTGTGGACAGTGTGCACAGCTACACACTGTTCCAATGCAATGGGAGCAGGGCTTGAGCTGAGACATAGATGTATCTTCACCAATGGAAAACACGGAGAAGGTAAGGACAGATCAGAAGAGGTGGCAAGCAAAACCCTGGCACTCTGGGTTGGAGGGAGAGTTCCTACATCAAGAATTTAAGGGCTTCAGAGCCCCTGAGCACTGAACAGATTATTATGTCCATTCCTCATTGATAATTAAAATTGCAAGCAGTTTTAAGGTTTAGACTGTAAAACGGGTAAAATGAAATCTTACCAAGTTTTGGTTTTCCCTATGATATATATCAATTTTGATGCTTTTATATACATACACATACACACATGAACATACACAAAAACATACAAGCATGTGTATTAACTATATATATATATATATATATAATGTTAAAACTTTTTCATGCCATTGTTTCCTTATTTGAGAGCCTCCTCTCTTGCCAGTGCCCACAGCCATTTTGACTTTGTCCCCTGGGTCACTCAATACTGTCTGTCCCTCTGATGAGGACAAGGATTAAAACCTAGTGGTTCAGGATCCAGACCCAACTCAAAGAAGCCTGAAGGACATTTTCCGGCCCTACACATACTCGACAGGGTCTAAGAATGAGACATTATGACATAGTCTTAATACTTTAAGTACTAAGTTCAGGGTACTCTCCCAGACATCACACCACAGGATCCCGACATGAGGAGACACTTAGACAAGGAAACTGAAATCCAGTCTAAAGTCACATGGCGGCTGGGCGCTCTGGCTTGCGCCTGTAATCCCAGCACTTTGGGAGGCTGAGGCAGGCAGATTGCTTGAGATCAGGAGTTCAAAACCAGCCTGGCCAACATAGTGAAACCCCGTTTCTACTAGAAATACAAAAATTAGCTGGTCGCGTTGGCGCATGCCTGTAATCCTAGCTACTTAGGAAGCTGAGGCAGGAGAATTGCTTGAACCCAGGAGGTGGAGGTTGCAGTGAGTTGAGATCACGCCACTGCACTCCAGCCTAGGTGACAGAGCAAGACCCTGTCTCAAAAATAAAATAAAATAAAATAGAGTCACATGGCAAATTAGTGTTGCAGCCTGGTGTCCTGCCTCAGACAACTGCTCTGGACCACTGGGCTGGTGGCTCAGATCCCCCGCCCCGGCTCTCCCATCTGCCTTTGAACAGCAGGGTTCAGTCTGCCCAGCCGCCAGCCAACTGCGCCTCAGTAATCTAAGCCCTACAGGAAATAGGAGCCTCAACCCCCCTTCTCACGACACTTGTAATCCAGAGGAGTAGAGAGGATGGACATAATGAAAAGAGACAGGAACACAAATTGTTTTAAATACATAATCATACACAAAACCAGTTGCAGCTGGTACATAGGGCAGTAGGGCTGCTGCAGGGGCAGGTGGAGCTGGTCAGAAAGAGGCAGGCTCTAAGTGGAAGGGGGCGGGGGAACATGGCTCAGAGAAAGGCATGCTACCCTCCCTTTGAGCAAGAAAAACAACTGTCATCTAGAAAAGTTCCAAATCCCGAGAAATACAACATGGAGAAAAGAGGTCTGTGGATCAGGAAGGGGGCATCTTCCCAGGACACATGATGGTAGTCTAGGCAAAGGTTGGCAATTGCTAAATGTCACAAACTCATCAGTGGGCTTTTAGATTTCTATCTAGAGGCAACCAGAAGCCATGGAGACAGTGGCTTTTCTGTAGGGGTACACTGGGTCATAGTTCCCCTATGAGCCCTAAGAACTGGCCCACTTTGAGGGTGGCCTGTAGTGAGGCCAATATTTAAATAGATTCTTCAGTGTAATAAATAATAGGGTAATGATAGGGTCTAAAAGCATCAAAATAATCTTATACAAAAGGGAAACATTTTTAAAATTAACCTAAAATCTAAATAGGGTAGGAAAGCAGGTTACCTCAAACATATCCTTTCCTGGCTTTGAACTCTCCACACACATTCAAGTCAGCAAGACCTAGAGAGACGAGGCATCTCGACAGAGGGAACAGAAGATTCGAGTCTGCTCCTGATTGTCAGACCAGGTCAAGTTCTCCAAGGGGACTCCTCGCTTCTAAATATTCCTCCCACTTGTGGCTGTTTGCTCTCTTGTTCCTGGATGGTAAATTCTTCCAGGGTAAGAACCTGTCTGTCTTATTCTTAGTCAAATGCCGCCCCCCGCCCCCACCTACCCACCCACCCACCAGCAGTTTCCACAGGCCCGGCACATCCTAAGTGCTCCATAATTATTTGTTAATTGATTTTCTGAATTGCTGAGCGAGTCACATTCCCTCTTTGAACCTCAGTTTCTTTATTTATCATCTTGAAAGTCTGAGCTATATCTGATAGTCCAAGAATTTAACTCACTATGTTTGTGGCTAGCATTTCCCCAAAGGCAATGGGCTGAGATGAGGCACGCCCAAGACTGGAGAGAGCCAGAGGCCCTACTGCAGCCTCCACCATGTGTCACAGTCCCCAACACCAATCTCAAGGGTAAACCTCAGGGAGATGCAGGGGACACACGAGAGGCCAGGAACCAATGGGGAAAGACTCAATTGCAAGTTAGGAGACCTAGATCTAGCCCTGGTTCTGTTACTCCTATCTGTGACCCCGAGAAAGTCACTGTAGGCCTCGTATTTCCTAATCCATAAAATGACTGGGTAAGTCCCAATGAAATTTCCCTCCAGATCTCAGATCTTTTTTGTTTTATTTCTCTTCAGACCCAAAGTTGTTCTGTCAGAGCCCTGCCAGCCATAAAAGAGACTTGAGCCTGCTGTTATTGTTAATATTCTCAGGATCTCCTGAGCTCCAGATTGGCACATTTTCTTGAGGATATGAATGATTGAATCAACCAGAAGGAAAGAGACTCAGTTTCCTCTAACCTAAGCCACATTAGCCTAACAGAAACACATGAAAAATGTAAGGGCTTCAGTAGGGAAAATTTTGAATATCCAATATAATCCCTCCCCAAGCTGGAGTAACTGCACTTTTCAGTTTTTGCATCTGTGTTGTCACTGGGGAGTTATCTGGCTATATCTGTGTTTTAACATCTGTCAGCTAAATCAGAGAACTAAATGCAAAAATTGTAGGTCTCAGAAGCACCATGTGGTTTTTGACACTCCCTGAATGACACAGGGTCAAGAAAGCAATAAAGGAATTGCCATGAGACCCAATATAACATTTTCATCAGCAACATGGCCCTTGTTCCAAAAAGCCTTTGCTCCAAAAAGAAAGAATATGTACCCATTTCCTCCAGAACCATATTTGGAAATCTCAAGGGAGAAGACCATACAAACTGAAGCATCTGGGATGAACAAATGCCTTTCTATTTAAAGAGCATCATGTCTATAGACATAACAGAACCAACACCCATCAGCATCTACTCCAGGTATGAGTAAGCATCAACTTAAAGTGAGATATGTGTGCTTTGATATCTGGGATGCAATATTGCAGGTATCTCAGCTATGTGGACATAAATTTATGAAGGACTGGTTCCTAGGGTCCTATGGCTTTAACCGAAGGTCACTCTTTCAGCTTCTTTTGTTTTACAGATAAAGAAATTGAGCTGAAAGGTGGTGGAGTGACAGTTCAGCTCCAACAGTCTAATGCACGTTGACAGCAGGATGAGAAATCACAGATTTCTCAGGATATCATATAAAAACTGAGTTAGCAAATCACTCTTCCCCATGCAAAGTATAATGTGGTGTCAATGTCTCACAACCCCAGGGAGGCTACCAGCAAATTCACATGACAAGTCTTCCACTGGGACAAGGGTAACATCTCCCTCCCTAAAAGAAACCAAAGTTTTAATATTACCTACTAATTCTATGCAGGATCTCTCTTGGCATAAGAATATGAATGTGATAGCTAAAGTCAGGCTTCTGTTTCAAAGGCTGTTTGCTTAAATGAGGGTTTCTGGGTCTCTTGGTTTTTCACACATTTTGAACTCCACACCTGATAGCCATATTCAGTAGAAGGCCTTGCTTAAATGCTTATTCCAGACCCATGAGAATTCCATATGAATGTTTTCATTGTTCTTCCATCTTTGGACAACTAAAGCTCATTCACTCACTTTGACATGTAATTGTTTATATGAAGTCCTTGCTACAAAGCATTCATTGTTGTAAGCTCTTTACATGTGTGGCCTCAATTTAATCCTCATGACAGTCTTACGGGGTAAGTACAATTTTGTCATCCCATTTTACAGATATGGAAACCAAAGGGACAGACAGGTTAACTTACCCAAGGTTAAGTAACTCACCAAGCTGATAACTGATTGAGTCAGGATTTGAACTCAGGCTTTTCTCCACTAGAAAGTAAGCTCCATGAGAACAGACACTGTTTTATTCACTACTGTATTCTTAGCCATCCACATGGTACCTCAGATATAGTAGGTGCTCAATAAATATTTGTTGAATGAATACACTACATCCTCCTCAAACCAAAAGAATGACCCAGCATCACAAGCATCGACTTGAACCAAGAGTAAATTGCATAGAGGAGCATTTCAGGAGAAAATTCTTCATGCAACCGCCAGGCTTTGCACAAAGAATGCCAAGTCCCATTGTGTCTGCCTGAGAAGAACTGGGAGAAATCCTTTTGACCTATTTCTTCCAAGCTGCCCCTGAGCCCCCCCTTCTCCCAGGCCACCCTTATTAGGTCACTGCTGAAACTGGGTCAGTGTTTAAACACTGCAGTCAGCTTATAATGCTTTAATCATTAAAGTTTACTCTATTATCTGCACATTAAAGAAAGAAACTACTACCTCAAATCACAGCACCCAGAATCACCTTTAGGCTTTTCTACAAAACCATGCTAAGACACAGATTTAGAGTTGCCTCTTTTTTACTACAAATCAGCTCTTCCAGAACTGGACTGAAGCACACGAGGCCTCATCGCTCCACTCCTAACCCTTCTTCACAGGGCTGCCTAGCTCTTGTCTTCTGCCATTCTCCCAGGCTCCTTTCTAAATTAAAATTTTGGATTACCCAGACTCTAATTCTTATTTAAAATAAAACCTAAATTACTACCTTATGTTTGGGGCAAGTCAACACCCCGTCTGGCATCTCTCATTTCTGTGTGAGATTTGAACAAACCCACCCGGCACAAGTGGAAAATTGGTCTTGCATCACATACTCTGTTGGGATCACCACATTTGGAATTCTAGGTTTATTCTCCCACAGAGTCAAATTTAGCCCAACCCTAGAGAACGGCTCTGTGCACTCTGACATTCAAAATAATATTTGCTAAAAAGCGTGGGGGTTTGCAGGCAACTTGAGCTGCAGCAAGAGGCATGTTATTACTGACTCAACTCCTACATGGGTTCCATCTTAGTCATCAGACACATGGTCACGTCCTCAGCTTAATTTCACAACCTACCCCCTTTTTTTTCAATCCAACCACAGAGGACACAGGTAGGTTTTGCATAGTTGTTGTTTTGTTTTATGAAAGCCAAAGCATAAGTAAGCCATTATGATTATAGTATTTTATTTTAAGGAAATCTCACCCAAGGTGAGACAAAACTTATGTACAGCTATGCCTTGGATAAATGGGAGTAATGATGATTGCTCCACAGTGACCAGGTCTGAATAAGGAAGTAGCAATCTTAAATATTCTCTATGGTTTAAAACCAAATTTCCTACCTGAACTTGATTTCCCATCGGATTGGTCTCTCCTGCCAGTTTTTACCATTCACCAGCCACCAGGCAGACATCACTGATAAGGATAATTTTTCTTTGGCTGTAAAGATTGAGCCTCATTCAGGTTACCTCAAGGAAAAAGTCGATTTATTTTAAAGATAAATGGCCTAGGTCTGGCTCAGAAACTATCAGGATCCCAGGCAGTTACTTACTTCTTTTCTTTCTTTAATCACATCTCTCTCTACATGTGAGTTTCATTTTTTTCCCTTTACCAACTGATACCTTGCACATGACCAAAATGGCTGCCTTAGCTATCAGTCTACCTATGACCTTTTTGGTTGGCTGGCATAGGCTTCAGTTTCCCATCTTCTGATTCTGAAGGACTCATAATATCTGTGTAGGCCAGTGCACACAGAACCTGGTAACTGGTCAGTCTGAGCTGTAGACATTTCTGGATGTGAAGTCAAGGGACCACCCAAGTCTAATAGCTGGGGAAGGTATGGAACAGGGGTAGGCTGAAGGAACAGACAGGGTGAAATTGTGTTGTATATAACACGATTATTAAAGACAACAGGGACTGAGGGTGAGCAAGCAATACTGGGCATCTCTAGTACAAATGTATAAAAATGTTTGTTCTCATTGAGGGCACACTTGATGACAGCCATCATTTAAAATTAAGATTTCATATATTTAATACTACTATTTTTTTAACCCTCCCTTCTTCTTAAGAGTAAAATTGAACAAGCTGGGCAAAAATTTTAAGTAGTAAGTCTAATAATGCTTTGAAAGGCTGAAAGTCTTTCATCAATGCAGGATAATGTATGAACTCCTGACTTTTTCAGAAAGCTATTTGTCAGTGAACATCATTATGTCCCCTCCAAATTATCCCAACATTACAAAGAACCTAAAACGTGTAAGATGTACACAGTTTGAAATAAAATCAATAAAAAATGGTTAATGTTTCTCACCACCTTTGTTTTACAGACTGCACCTACCTCCTGCAGCTCATAAATGCTCAGAAAATAAGAACGTCCACTGGCAATTCTATCAGTTTGTGCATGCCAATTCTTGACACTCTCCCCAGTTTTCTTTCTGATATTAAGAATAATGTTTACAATGTGATAACAGCACATTCCCAGTGTGAATGTGGCTAACAACCATAAAAGCAAACACCTAGGGCCATCTCTGTTGAATACACTTTACAGGATTGGTCCCCATGGGATAAAGTAGCCCAGTGCTCAGTGAGGGAACTGTAGTATAAGTATCCATTGACCTGCAGCTGAACTTACCACTTGCTGTTTTTCTCTTATAATCTAAATCTGGAAATGTGCTGTCTGGTCAGCAGTGCACTACCAAGTCATTCAGCAAAATGCTCCAGATGCCATAAAAGCGTGCCTGGATGTTAGAAAATGAACTTGTAAAATATAGTCTCAGGATTGTGCAAAGGCTGTATTTCAGACAGCCAAAATGCTTCTGCCAAGACACCTTTGTCACGCAGCCAGGCAGCAGCTGTGTGTATTGTAGACGCTGTGGCTGTGAGTCTGTCTGTGGAGTCGCAGCCGGCCCTGCCTCTGACCTGCGTTGTCACTGAGCACCCTCACTAGGACAACATTCTGAATCCATCTCACTGGTCACTGGCAGCTGAGCTAGGGCCAGTTTCTCCGAAACTCCGAAAGTTTCAAATCGACGTTCTCTGTGGTTTAATTTCGCAAGACACATCACCACTCTCCAACCATCGGCAAAGGGAAAACACCCAAATCTTATATGACACATCTTACACGATTTGAAAAAGAGAAAGGCAACTTTTTGAAAGACACTGTAGGCACTATTTTGAAGGAATAATCGTGTTTTTAAAAATACCATGTATTCACTTGTTAAAGCTGATCTTTTTTTTTTTTTCCAGACCTGGGTCTTGGTTTTAATTTAATCTTAGGTTGATTAGTTGGTTGTTTTAGTTGGTGGTTTTGTCTTTTGTTTTTTAACAAATACTTTAGGTTTTTTTTTTAGTACAGCTACCTCTGTATTTATCAGCATCTATAAATTATATTCTTTATCCTCCATAAACTTTTTTGTTAATTCCACCTCTTAATTTTGTTCTCAACTCAACTTCTGTCCCCCACCACCACCCCATCACTTTTTGCCTTTGGTATTTGTTAGCCTTTTAACTGGTTAAAAGGCTATTCAGTTAGCCTTGTAACTGGTCTCCCACTCCACCACTGCTCCCAAAATCCATTCCATATGTTGCATTTAGAGTATCATTTGTTTATTTTGAGATGGGGTCTTATTTTGTCACCCAGGAGTACAGTCATACTCACTGTATGTAGGAGCATGGTCACAGCTCACTGCAGCCTTCAACTCCTGGTCACAAAGGATCTTCCCAGCATCCCGAGTGGCTGGGACTACAGGTGCACACCACAGGGTCTCTCTGTTATGCTCAAGCTGGTCTCAAACTCCAGGGCTCAAACAATCCTCCTGCCTCAGCCTCCTAAAGTGCTGGGATTACAGGTGTGAGCCACCGCACCTGGCCCAGAGTATTGTTTTTAATACATATCTAGCCCAGACACCGCCATGCTTAAAAGTTTTCAATGCCTTCCTAGCTCCCTTTCTACTTCTCAGAGTAATCTCACATCTTCCCTCTCCAACTGCCCATGCAGCACCTGCCTCCACACCTCAGGCCTCAGTGGTCTTTTGTCAGTTCCTCCCAACTCCTTGTCCCCTTCAGACATGGGAACATCCCAATGCCATTCCCCCTGCTGGAAAAGCCCATCCCTCCTCTTCACCAAAGGTTCTCCTACAGGTCCTTCCTCTTGGCTTCACTGCCCTGCCTCAGAAACCTTCCCCAATTGCCAACTCAGGTGAGATCCTGTTATATGCTCTCAAAACATCCTGTTCTTCATCATACTCACTATAATAATGGTAATACATCATGCATGCAATTCACTGTTGAATGTGTGGTTTTGTGCCTGGCTTCACCCTAGTCTCTCCCAGATGCCTGACATGACAGGCACTCAGTAAATACCTGCCACTTGTGGAGTACATCACCTTTACATGATATGATAAAAGTTTAAAAGGACAACTCACTATGTTTCACACATGTTGGTTTGGAAGGGTCTGAGAAAGAGACTCTTTTTTTTCTAATTTTAATTTTAGGTTTAGGGGTACATGTGAAGGTTTGTGACATAGATAAACATGTGTCATGAGGGTTTGGTGTACATATTATTACATCACCACTGATGAGAACGCTCTTTCCTCAGTGCTTCCTGTCACCCTGGACATAAATTACCCAAGTCTGGCTGAGAAGCTGACCGGTGGAACTTACAGTACAAAACTCAACTAGCCAAACTATGCAAGAAATCACAGGTTTCTAAAGTTAGAAGGAGCTTCAAGATTGTATTTATCTCGAGGAGTTCATGTCGAATAATACAATAGGCTCTTAGTTATATTTTTCCTCTGTCATTTATTTTTTTTAAACGGGGATAACTCTGTTGCCCAGGCTGGAGTGTAGTGGTGTGATCTCAATTCACTGCAACCTTCACCTCCCACCTCAAGCCATTCTGCTGCCTCAGCCTCCCAAGTAGCTGGGATTACAGGAACCTGCTACTTTGCCTGGCTAATTTTTTTGTATTTTTAGTAGAGATGGTGTTTCACCACATTGGTCAGGCTGATCTCAAACTCCTGACCTCAAGTGGTCCTCCGCCTCGTCCTCCCAAAGTGCTGGGATTACAGGTGCAAACCACCGCGCCTGGCCAGCCTTTTTTCTAAGCAATCTTTTTATTTTAGAACACTTAGATGATTGTGATGGTAGTACACAGTTCTCTTACATGAGCTTCCCCTTAGTATGGTTTATTTGTCACCATTAATGAGCCAATATTGATGCATTATTATCAACGAAAGTAGAGACTTTACCCAAAATTCCTCAGTTATCACTAATGTCCTTTTTCTAACCCGGGATCCCATCCAGGATACCACATTTCATTTTTTTGTCATTTCCTTTGGCTGTTCTTGGTTGTGACAGGTTCTCAGGTTTTCTTTGGTTTTGATGACCTTAACAGTTTTGAGTATTAATGATCAGGTATTTTGTATACTGTCTCTCAATTGGTTGTTTAAAAATTGAGATATAACTCACATGTCATAAAACTGACCCTTTAAAGTATACAATGCAGTAGTTTTTAATACATTTATATAGTTGTACAACTGTCACCACTATCTAATTCCAAAATACTCTCATCATATCCAAATAAAACCCGATACCCATTAGCAGTCACTCACTATATCCCTATTGCCCAGCCCCTATCAACCATTAATCTGCTTTCTATCTTTATAGATGTGCCTATTCTGAACTTTTCAGATAAATGGCATCATATGACATGTGTCTGACTTTTTTCACTTAGCATAATGTATTCAAGGTTCACCCATGTTGTAGCAGATATGAGGACTTAATTCCTTTTTATGGCTGCATAATATTCCATCATATGGATATACAACACTTTAGTCATCACTTGATGGACATACGGTTGTTTTTACTTTTTGGCTATAATAAATAGTGCTGCTATCGACATTGGTGTACAAGCTTTTGTGTGGACATATATTTTCAGTTCTCTTGGGTATATATGTAGAAGTGGAATTGTTGAGTTGTATAGCAACTCTGTGTTTAAGTTTTTGAGGAACTACCAAACTGTTCTCCAAAGTAAATGCAACATTTTCATTCCCACCAGCAATGTATGAGAGTTCCAACTTCTACACATCCTTATCAATACTTGCTAATGTTTGTCTTTTCTATTTTACCTATTCTGGTAGGTATTAGGCAATATCACATTGCAGTCTTGAATCGCATTTTCCCAGTATCTAATGATGTCCAGCATCTTTTCATGTGCTTATTGGTCATTCATATACTTCTTTGAAGAATGTCTATTCAAATGTATTGTCCATTTTTAAAATTGGGTTGTCTTTTCATTGTTAAGTTGTAACAGTTTTTCATATTCTGGCTACAGCTTTATCAGATGTGAAAACATTTGCAAACGTTTTTCCAATTGTGTGAGTTTATTTTCACCTTCTTGATAGTGTCCTTTGAAATTCAAAAGTTTTAACTTTTGATTAAGTTCAGTTTATCTATATTTTCTCTGCTTATACTTTGGCTGTCATATCTGAAACCATTACCTAATCCAAAGTCACAAAAATTTAAACCTATTTTTTTCTATGAGAATTATATTTTTAGCTCTCATAGTTAGGTTTTTGATATCTATTTTTAGTTATTTTTCACATATTGTACAAGGTAAGGATCTAACTTCATTCTTTTGCATATCAATAGCAAGTTATTCCTGCACCATTTGTTGAAAATACTATTCTATCTCCAGTGAATTGTCTTGGCACCCTTGTCAAAAATCAATTGACCATAAATGTCTGAGTTCATTTCTGGACTCTCAGTTCTATTCCATTGATCTCTGTATGTATGCTTATACCACATAATCTTGATTACTGCAGCTGTGTATTAAATTTCAAAATTGGGAAGTGTGAATTATCTTTGTTTTACTTTGTCAATCTTGTTTTGGCTACTCTAAATCCCTTGCATTTCCATATAAATTTTAGGATCAGCTTGTTAATATCTGGGGGAAAAAAACCACTGAACTTTTAAGGATAACACTAAAACTGTAGATAAAATAGGAGAGAATGACCATCTTAACAATGTAACAATGTTAAGTCTTCCAATCCATAAACCTGAAATATTGCTCCATTTATTTAGGTGTTCTTTAATTCATTACAACGTTTTGTACTTTTAAAGATAAAAGTCTTGTACTTCCTTTGTGAAATTTATTCCTAAGTATTTTATCCTTTTTTATCCTCTTTTAAATGGAATTCCTTTCCAACCTGGGCAATATAGTGACACCTCGTCTCTACAAAAACATTTAAAAATTAGTCAGTCAGGGTCGTGTGCACCTGTATTCCCAGCTACTCCTAAGGCTGAGGCAGGAGGATTGCTTGAACCTGGGAGGCAGAGGTTTGCAGTGAGCCAAGATCGTGCCACTGCATTCCAGCCTGAGCAACAGAGGTAGACCCTGTCAAAAACATAAAAAAGGAATTGCTTTATTAAATTATTTTGAATGATTTATTGATAGTGTATAAAAATACAATTGACCTTTGAACAACTAGGAATTGGAGTACTGACCCCCTTTCACAGTCAAAAATCTGCATGTAACTTTTGACTCCCCAAAAACTTAACTACTACTAATAGCCTGCTGTTGAAGGAGTTCAAGACTAGCCTGGGCAACATTGCAAGACCCTGTCTGTACAAAAAAGAAAAAAGAAAACTTAGCCAGGTGTGGTGGCACACACCTGTAATCCCAGCACTTTGGGAGGACAAGGCAAGCAGATTACTTGAGCCCAGGAGTTCCAGACCACCCTGGGAAAAATGGTGAAACCCTGTCTCTACAAAAAAATATAAAAAACTGGCCAGGCATGGTGGCAGGCCCCTGTAGTCCCAGCTATCGGGGAGGCTGAGGTTGGGAGGATCACTTGAGCCCAGAATCTCAAGGTTGCAGTGAGCCATGATTCCACCACTGCACTCCAGCCTAGGTGACAGAGCAAGACCCTGTCTCTAAAAATAAGAAGAAAAGAATAAAAAAGAAAATCACAAGAGAAAATATATTTATTATTCATTAAGTGAAAGTAGATTATCTTAAAAGTCTTTATTGTCTGCATGTTGAGTAAGCTGAGGAGGAGAGAAAAAGGAGGTGTTGGTCTTGCTATCTCAGGGATGGCAGAGGTAGAAGAAAATCATATAAGTGAACACACAGTTCAAACCTATATTGTTGAAGAGTCAACTGTACAATTGATTTTTGCATATCCATCTTGTGTCCTGTAAATTTGCTGAACTGTTTTATTTGCTCTAATAATTTTTATTAGATATAAGATCATGCTGTCTACAAAGAGAGATCATTTTAATTCTTTCCTCCCAATGTGAATGCCAATTTCTTTTTCTTGCCTAAGTACTCTGGCTAGAACTTCCAGGACAATGTCAAATAAAAGCAGTGAAAGTGGATATCCTTGTTTGATCCTAATCTTAGGAGGGAAGTTTTCAATCTATCATTATTGAGTATAAGTATTAAGTATAATGTTAGTTTTGGGCTTTTTGTAGATGTTCTTTATCAGTTTGAGGAAGTCCCCTTCTGTTCCTAGTTTGTTGAATGTTTTTATTATGAAAGGGTACTGGATTTTGTCAAATGCTTTTCCTGCATCTATTGAAATGATCATAAAATTTTTTAACTTTATTCTATTAATGACACATATATTGATTGATTGATTTCAACATGTTGAACCAGCCTTGCATTCCTAGAATACATCTCACCTACTAATGAGTATATAAACCTTTTTATATGCTTCTGGATTTGGTTTGCTTGTGTTTTGTTGAGGATGTTTGCATTTATACTCATAGGAATTACTGGTCTATAGTTTTCTTTTTTTGTAATGTCTTTGTCCAGTTTTGGTATTAGAATGAGTGGATAAGTGGGGTTTTTCTGGAAATGTTTGTGAAGAATTGGTGTTCTTTAAACATATGGTAAAATTTACTGATGAAGCCACGCAGGCCTAGGCTTTTCTTTGTGGGAAGTTTTCTGATTATTTACCCAAACTCTTTCTTTGTTATAGATCTACTCATATTTTCTATTTCTTGAGTCTATTTCAGTAGATTGTGCCTAAGAATTTGTCCAATTTATCTAGGTTATCTAGCTTGTTGACATACAATTATTCATAGTGTTCCTGTATATTCCTTTTTATTTCTATAAGGTTGGTAGTAATGTCTTGCCTTTCATTCCTGAGTGCAGTAATTTGAGTCTTCTCTCTCCTCTTCTTGGTCAATCTAGACAAAAGTTCATTAATTTTGTTGATCTTTCAGAGAACTAACTTTTGGTTTTGCTAATTTTCTCTATTGTTTTTCTGGCCTCTGTTTCCATTATTTCCACTGTAATCTTTATTAATTCCTTTCTTTTGTTTGTTTTGGGTTCAGTTTGCTTTTCTTTTTCTAGTTTCTTAAGGAATTAGGTTATTCCAATTAGGTTAAGATTTTTTCTTCTTTTTTAATACAGGAATTTATAGCTGTAAATTTCCCTTTAAGCACTGTTTTTGTTGCAGCACATAAATTCTGGTATGTTGTGTCTTTGTTTTCATTCATCTCAAAGCATTTTCTTATGTCCTTTGTAACTGCTTCTTTTACCTTTTAGATATTTATCAGTGTGTTGTTTAATTTCCACATATTTGTGAGTTTCACAAATGTCTTTTTGTTACTAATTTATAATTGCATTCCATTGTGGTCAGAGAACATGCTTTGTATGATTTCAATCCTTTTAAACTTATTGAGATGCTATATGGCTTGACATATGCTCCATGTTCCATGTGCATTTTGAGAAGAAAGTATGTTATGCTCTTTTGGGGTGGAGTGCTCTATAGATGTCTGTTACATCTACTTGGTTTATAGCGTTGCTCAATTCTGTCATTGTTGATCTTGTGTCTAGTTGTTCTATCTATTATTGATAGTACAGTATTAAAGTCTCTGACTATATATTGTTAGATTTTTCTAATTCTTCCTTTAATTCTGTCAGGTTTTGCTTCATGTATTTTGGGGCTCTGTGGCTATGTAACATTCTTATGTCTTCTGGATATACTGACCTTTTTAATCAATATAAAATACCCTTTTTTGTACCTGGTAGCAATTTTTGTCTTACAATCTACTTTGTCTCATAGTAGCAAAGCCACTCCAGCTCTTTTGTTTACAATTTGTGTGGTATGTCTTTCTCCACCCTTTAACTTTGAACCTTTTTGTGGTTTTAAATCTAAAGTATGTCTCTTGCAGATGCCATATAGTTTAATCATGATTTTTTTGCCTCCCAATATCTGTCTTTAATTGGAATGTTCTATCTGTTTATATTTAATGTATTTACTGATAAGGTAAAATTTAGTTATTTGTTTTCTATATACATATGTTAGGTCTTTTTTGTTCCTCTATTCCTCCATTACTACCTTTTCTTGCTAAATAATATTTTCTAACACAGCATTTTAATTCTCTGTTCTTCTTTGACTATTTTTTAACTTAATTGTTTAGTTGTTGCCCTGCAAATTACAATACCTTAACTTATAACAATATAGTTTAGATTAATATCAACTTAATTTCAACAGCATATAAAAACATTGCTCTTATTTAACACCATTTTCCCCTTCACTATTGTGCTGTTGTCATGCAAATTACCTCTTTATATATTTTATGCCCATCAACACAGTTATATAATCATTGCTTTATGCAATTATTGCTTAAATCTGTTAGAAAAAAGTTATAAATAAAAACTACATTTAAACATTTATATTTACTTATATTGTTACCTTTACTGGTGGTGCTCTTTATTTCTTCATATGAATTTTAGTTACTGTCTGGTGTCCTTTCATTTCAGCCTGAAGGAGTCCCTGTAGTATTTCTTATAGGAAAGGTCTGATAGTAACAAATTCTGTTTTTCTTTATCTGGGAATGTCTTAATTTCACCTCCATCTTTCAAGGATAGTTGTTTATTCTTGTTTGACAGTCTGTCTTTCAACAATTTAAACATATCATCTCAGTGCCTTCTGGGATCCAGGGTTTCCAATGAGAAATCAGCTGTTGATTTTATTGAAAGTCCCTTGTAAATGATGAGTCACTTCTCTCTTGCTACTTTCCAGATTCTCTTTATCTTTGGCTTTTGATAGTATGATAATGATCTGTCAACCCTAGATTATGATCTGGGGTTTTTTTTAGGTATTTATCTTATGTGGAGTTCACTGAGCTTTGGGGATATGTAGATTAATATTTTTCCTCAAATTTGGGAGGTTTGGGGCCATTATTTCTTAAAATATTTTTTCTTCTCTTCTCTAACTCTCTCCTGAACTGAGACTCCCATTATGTATATGTTGGCACTTTTGATGATGTCCCATAAGTCTCTGAGTTTTTTCATTTTTCACCATTCTTTTTGCTTTCTGCTTCTCAGACTGAATCTCAATTGACTTATCTTCAAGTTTGCTCATTCTGCCTTCTGCTTACTCAACTTTGCTTCTGAAGTGAATTTTTTATTTCAATTATTAAAAATTTCAACTCAATAATTTCTATTTGCCCCTTTTATCATTTCTATCTTTCTTTAATATTCTCTACTTGGTGAGATATTGTTCTCATATATTCCTTTAGTTCCTGAAATATATTTAAAATAGCTAATTTTTAGTCTTTTTTCAGAAAGTCCAAACTTCTTTGGGAACAGTTTCTGTGGTCTGCTTTTTTTCCCTGATACTTTGTTATTTGTTTATCTCATAATTTTCTGTTGAAAACTATATATTTTAACTAATATAATAAGGAAAGCCTGGAATACAAATTCCCCTCCTTCCCTGTGGTTTCTGCTTGTTACTGTTTGCTGGTGGTAGTATTGGTAGTGGTTTAGTGACTTTTTTGAACTAATTCTGTAGTCTGTATATTTTGTAATGTTTTGCCACTGAAATCTCTGCTCAGTTACAATAGTGGTCAGCTAATGATTAGACACAGACTTCCTTAGATGTCTGGAATCAATGAGTTTACCAGTCTTTGCTGAAGAACTCTGCATGTCTAGGCATGCTTTCAACAGGCAATGCTAAAACAGGCCATTTATAACTCTGCCTTAGCCTTCACTTCCTGCTTGTGCAGAACCTGTTGATTAGCCATAAAAGCAAAAAGCCAAAGGTGGGACCTTTGAGGCCTTTCCTGAGTATGGGCTCTAGGCTTGTAAACAACCCCACACGTGCATGTGACCTTTTAGGTTCTGAGGAATATGCTGGAGCCTTCCAAAGACCCCTATGAACATATCATTCCCCAGCATTTTCTTTTAAGCCTTTTGGTTAGCCTACTGTTTGCCACAACTATTATTCAGTGCTTCAGGCAGTTGAAATTTCAACATTTGCTTCTCATCATTTTGAACAAACACCCCTAAGGAAAAGCCTGTTCACATTAGATGACCTCTGAGTCGGGTCAAATAAAGACAGCCCCATAAGTGGGATGTTCCAGAGAACAATCAGACAAGTCAAATAATAAAAGTCTCTAGGAATGGGGATTTGAAGGAACTCCAACCCTATTCTTCCCTCTCATGTGGCTACCAGCCTGCTGGTTTTCATCGTGATTTATGGGCTGTTGATTTTCAAGGCTACTATGGAGTTGGAGAAGGAGGGGATTGTAATAGGACAAGTTAAAGCACCACAAAGCTCTGTATTTTTTACCAAAAATCAGCCATTTTTCTTGAATAAATGCTCCCTGGATTGCTGCAAGACCTTAGCTCTAAGAAGCTCAATGTATCACAAGTAAAATAAATACACAGACTCAAACACCAAGACACATTATAATCAAGTTGTTGAAAACAAATGATAATGGGAAAATCTTTAAAGCAGCCAGAGAAAAGGGATATATTACAGATAGGAAAGCAATAACTTGAAGTACCACTGATTTCTCACAAAAACAATGCAAAAAAAGCTATAACCTAAAATTCTATGTCTAATTCTATATCCAATTTTAAAACTCCTTCAAAAATAAAGACAGATTCAGACAAAAGAAAGCTGAGAGAATGTATTGCCAAACATACTTCAGGTGGAAGATATACACGTAAATAATACAAATGATTCTTTTCTAATTTATTAATTCATAAAAATAATTATTTAAATAAAAATAATTATGATGTATTATATAATACATAAATCTCTGAACTCCTCTCTCTGTGGTTTTTCTTTAATCCAGCATGGCATGATAAACTAATAGACATTTCCAGGTGAGGTCACAGCAGAGAACAGAGACACTAGTTCTACACTGGGGCCAAAAAAACTCAAGAGAAATTCATGGCAAGCAGATGTTCTCTCTATTACCCACATAAACTTTATACTTCTTAGGTCTTTGATCTCCTTACCCTCCTCTTCTCTCATTAGAAATAACTTCCCCCTCCCCTCTCTGCTTTTCTAAGATCTGACTTTCTTTCAGGGTCCAATTCAAATCCTTCCTCCTTTACGCAGCTTTTCTAGGCTTATCCAAGGACAGCTAGCTAGTTAATGGCAGTTGCACAATTAGAACCTGGTCCTTCTCAAACTTCTTCAGGTGGTAGGTGTCATGAAAGTAACAGCATCTTTGCAAAACACTATTAAATACTGCTACACTTAGGTTTTTTTAAAGTTAATGTGTTATGCTTAATTGGATATTTTATTTTATTTTATTCCACGTTTTTGCCTGTGACACAGCCCTCAGGAGATCCTGAGAACATGTGCCCTCAGTCAGATCTTTCTTACACTAGATTCTAGTACAGAAACAAACACCAAAGCTTTAAAAAGTATTGGGAGAAAAGCATACATAATTCTGGGAAAGTGTTTTTCTTAAAATCAAGAAAAGACACTTATTTTTCCAATATTTTAGTGGCAAAACAACTTGGTCTTGCCAGAAGAACATCAGTGTTCTACAGTTCATTTTCTTTCTCTCTCTCTCTTTTTTTTTTTTTTTTTTTGAGACGGAGTCTTGCTCTGTCACCCACGCTGGGGTGCAGTGGCACGATCTTGGTTCACTACAACCTCCGCCTCCTGGGATCAAGCGATTCTCCTGCCTCAGACTCCTGAGTAGCTGGGACTACAGGCGCGTGCCACCACGCCCAGCTAATTTTTGTATTTTTAATAGAGACAGGGTTTCACCATATTGGCCAGGATGGTCTCGATCTCTTGACCTCGTGATCTGCCCGCCTCAACCTCCCAAAGTAATGGGATTACAGGCATGAGCCACCGCGCCTGGCCCTGCAGTTCATTTTAAAGATCATTGTACTGTATGCCATCCTAAAATTCTCCTTCACTTTCCATGACTTAAGGTTCAGGTGAGGTTCAACCCCATCCTGATCTCCAAGGAGATTTGCAGAAAAATAATTTTCTCAGTATTATATGGATCTACAATAAAGTGTACTCTTTGTCATCTGTCATGTCTGTGTCATGTTTCATTTTAGAACAAAGATACCTTAGATTTATAGCCTAGGACATAGCTAATTCCAATATCCTAGGTGTAAACCCTCTTAGTTACTCCATTAGATTCTCTAGTCTCAGACTACTTTCTATACTCTGCCTCTTAACACATGTGTTCAAATTAAACAGAAAAATTCCTGATGTGTTCTTGCCTGGTGGTCCAAATTTTTAAAAATAGAAAAAGAAAAGCCTTATGTGGAGAAAAGAAGCCATTTCCACAGGCATTCTCCTAATATGGCACTAACAAAGGATCCAGGGGCTGAAATATGGCTATATCTAGAGCACCCGTGGATCTCTAGGGGTCTGTAAAGTACTCCCTTACCTCATGGTGCTTGGCACCCAAAGAGGGGCCAAAATGTTTGCTACTCATTCCTGAAGGAAATCCACCGTTGTCACCTGAGGCCTGATGAATCACACATCACACGACTCAGCAATGCACTATGGTTTAAGCTACAACCAACTGCAAAGAAAAGCAACTCCATGTTCTCCATAGAGGAGACAAGGACACAAGGGTCAGACTGATTCTCTGAGGTAAGCTAGGCCCTTTTGGAAGAGCTACTGATTCAGAATTCTGCCAGTATTCAGAAGTTGGAATACAGCTGGTCTCTTAGTCACCGATAAGGGTAGAACAAAAAGAAATGAGTGTAAACTTCACCTAGAGAAATATAAGTTAGACCAAAGGACAAATCTGTGGAAGACTCTCAGCAGGATACAATGCTCATGTGTGTGCCAAGCATTTTTAAATTAGTCAACTGTCCTCACCAGAGGCTGTGGCTAACTAAACATC
Source organism: Homo sapiens (assembly GCF_000001405.40). Taxonomy (NCBI): domain Eukaryota; kingdom Metazoa; phylum Chordata; class Mammalia; order Primates; family Hominidae; genus Homo; species Homo sapiens. Next base: position 50,210,585 of record NC_000013.11, on the reverse strand, counting down.
ATATCACCATATCCAGGCTGGGCATGGTGGCTCACGCCTGTAATCCCAGCACTTTGGGAGGCCAAGATGGGCAGACTGCTTGAGGTCAGGAGTTCAAGACAAGCCTGACCAACATGGTGAAACCCTGTCTCTACAAAAAATACAAAAATTAGCCAAGTGCGGTGGTGCACACCTGTAGTCCCAGTTACTTGAGAGGCTGAGGCATGAGAATTGCTTGAACCCAGGAGGCCGAGGTTGCAGTGAGCCGCGATCCTGCCACTGCATTCCAGCTTGGGTGACAGAGTGAGACCCTGTCTCAAAAAAAAAAAAGCATATCACTATATCCAGAAATGGTGATAAATAATATATAAGTAATACCACCATTCAATATATTCTTTAATATATTCTCATACATTCTTAACATATTCTCATATAAGTTGAATTTCAATAATATATTCAAGAATGTATTATTATGCCTTCAAGAATATATTACTGTAACTTCAAGAAAATATTGTTATGACTGGGGAACTAATATAAAAGTCTTGTTCAACCCAAAAATGGTTCCTGGGATATTTCTATACAATGTAAGAATTCAGAAATTTGGTTTTAAATGACTACTGAAATAAACCTTGTGAGGTAAGCAAGCTACATGAAGACAAATAAACCAGTGGGATTTTTTTTAAGTATGTTTATTCAAGTTGGGGAAAAGCCACATAATTCACTATATGTCAAGCCTAAACTTAGATTTTTCATCATCATCTGACAATATGTGGCAAGCACAGTTTTTGCAAAACAGTCAAACTCCCAATCAGTAATAAGGAATCTTTTAACTCAAGGTTGCATATTGTTCTTTGGCTAAAAATAGTAGAAAATCTCAATCCTTTAAATACAGAATAATCTCTCTGATCTCTCTAACTTATTTTACTTCCTGTGATCACATAATACTGAATATCTATTACGTGCCTAGTATGTGGAAAGCTTTTCTCAGCATCAAACCAAAATTTTAAATATCAAGAAAAAACAAAAAACCCTCTTAAAACTTTTTACGCTCTAAGAGGGAAGAGAAATAAAAAATAAACAAATTTTAAAAAGACTTTTTAACTCTTTAGCATGTTTTGAAAATCACATTATACGTTTTAGCATGATGTTATTAACTAATTTGTATGTATTTGTTCCCTGTCATAGTTAGTAGGAATATTTTCTCAAACTTCTGAGAATATTTAAAATCCATATTCAAATGATTTTTTTAGGAGCCTAAGACTTTACAAGAACACATTTTAGAACTGACTCTAGTCACCACAAACAAATTCAGTGATGTGTACACGCGCATGCATGAATACATACAACAGTTATGCTCCAGACACCACTCACTCTCCACAACTCCTCACTCCTCGACCTTCTACCCCCAGCCCCCTGCCCCTGGGGACGCCTGATCTCCAGTCTGGGAAAGGAAAGTGCCTCCTCCACATCCTCTCCCAGGGTCTCTCCCCAGACCTGAGTCGGTGGGGAGAAATGCTGACTCACAGACACAGCCGGTTAGCAGCTCTCACTTCCCCAGCCCTGCTGAGCTGAGCAACCCCAGGGAGCGTGGAGAAATTGTTGGTACACTCTCCAGAAGACTGTGGGAAGAAACACCCCTAAGCCTTGAGCCTGGAGTCTGGCGGGCTGCAGGAGCTACCAGCAGAACCTCAGGCACAAGGGATCCACATGTTCACAGCTGCCACGGGGAAGACAGAAAAGAAAGGAAATGAAAGGTCAAGAGGACAGAGAAAGTGAAGGGAGAAGAAGGGAAAAGAAAGAATTGCATAAGGTGGAGTGGTCAAAAGTGGACTGCCCACCCTTTCCTGAGATTTTCTTCCCTGCCCCTCCCCTAGCTGAAGGCCCCTCTGCAGGATGCCCCGGTCCGGAGGCAGCCAGCCAACCAGGCAGTGTCTCCCTGATTTCAGCTGACTAAAATATGTTGGCCTGAAGCCTATAAACTTGTGTGTTTTTGATTGCTCACCAGATTCTCATCCAAACGCCTTTCACTTTTTCACTCCACAAAGGAGAACATGTCATGGAAGTGACTTGCCTAAGAACATACTTCAAGCTATCTCTTCACCAAGAGAACTCTAAGTTAGACAAAAGGACGAATCTGTGGAAGGCTGTCAGCAGGATACAATGCTCATGTGTGTGCCAAGCATTTTTTAAATTAGCCAACTGTCCTCACCAGAGGCTGTGACTGACAAAAAATCATATCACCATATCCAGGCTGGGCGCGGAGGCTCACGCCTGTAATCCCAGCACTTTGGGAGGCCGAGACAGGCAGATTGGTTGACGTCAGGAGTTCAAGACCAGCCTGGCCAACATGGTGAAACCCCATCTCTGTCAACGAGACCCAAGGGTAAGCTACTGCTCTGCCCTGGATAACACCCCACTTATAATAATCTATAATTCTATATACCTTAGGACACTGAGGCCACGTTTCATCATCCCAGAAATTTAAATAGTGTTAACAATAAAAAGAAAACACTCCTTTTAGTTCTCAAAAGCAATTGTATGATTCAAGTTGTAAGTTTCAGAACAGGCAAAACTAATACATGATAGGAAAAAATATGATCAACAGCTTTGGGGGTGAGGGGATGGGGGTTGACTAGGGAGGAACATGAAGGAACTTTCTGGAATGATGGTAATGTATATGTTCTATACCTTAATAGTGGTTTGGGTTACACAGCTGTATTCATTTATCAAACCTCTTTCAGTGGTACCTTTAAGATATGTGCATTTCAGTGTATGTAGATTTGACATCAAAGGGAAAAAACCATGGAAAATATTTATTTAAATCTAGTTAGAGATATGCATGCTGAAGTGTCTAAGGATGAATCTGCAACTTACTTTTAAATATATTCCAAAAATAATATGTGTTGATGAATGGATAGAGGGATAGGTAGATGAATATCTACATGTGATGAAACACTATAGTAAAATGTTAATTATAGAATCTAAATGATAATCCAGCTGGGTTGTTCACTGTCAAATTGTTCCAACTTTTCTGTAAGTTTGAAAATTTTATTATAAAATGTCGGTTTAAAGCATTTGAGAATTATTGATGGGTATGAGATTTTATATTTAGGTATTATGAAGACAGGTGTTACATCTGACTTTCATATCTATATGATATATACATATTAGTAATGGCAAAAACTGTGATTACTTTTGCACCAGCCTAATAGAATACAACCTACTTGTATATATGCCACAGATACACACACACTCATATATTCCAGTTTTATAGTAAAAAATTCCAGTTTTATATTAAAATAATAGAGTAATTTAAAAGGCATCATATGAATTAACAAACTGAGCATCAAGTAGATTTTATTTTATCACATAGACAGACTTCTGTCAATATGAGACATTTTATCTGTTAATTCAGTTTTACACATAAAAACCATGCACAGAAATACATACACTGATCACCAAGCTTATGGACAGGTATTGTAAAGACCTGCTATTAATATATCATGTTAGAAGCAGGGCAGTAAAAACAGTTCCCTTACATCTCCCCTGTGTCTATCCCTATATGACATTTCTGCATTACTAACGCCTCTAGATTAGATTACAAGAAGCAGCAATTTAGAAAACCAACTTAAAGCAGATAGATGAATAGGTAGATGAGAGAGACAGAGATTAAATTCTTATTGGATATTAATAACTTGGCCTTTATTTATGACTGGCCTCCCTCCTAAGGATTTGAGGTACTTCCAATAAAAATATGTGCAATAATTGATAAAATATAATAAGAAGAGAGCATCAGGACTAGGGAAAATATAAGTAAGAGTGGTAATTTTAGACCAAGAAAAAGAAAAACACAAATTATATGCAACAAGGGAGCCTAGGATAACAGCTACATTTGAACATAATATTTGTCTCTGAATCACAGAGAAAAGAAACTATCAATTATGCTGAACTTTCTAATTTAATATTTAATTCAATGTTTTAAAGCAATTTTGTCCTTGAAACTTTTGGAGAATATTCAGCGATATCACTGACAGCCCTCTCAACACCATTCCTACAGAAATAAGATTTAGTAAAAGGTATTCTATATCTGTTTCTCAACAAATTGTTGAATAAAAAATCTAGAGCACAATAATGGTTATCCCAAAGGCAAGAACTTCTAGTAAAGGAAATTCCGGGTAATACAAATATAGATAACCTCCAAGGGTGGTCAGAGTAGATAGAAGTAAATAAAATAAAAGTAAATAAAATAAGATTTTATCTCATAGTCTATGCCCGATAAATGAGAAAAATATGACAACAATTTTTTCTTTCAAAGTTCTATAATGTAATAGATGCTCTTTCTCTGAACACCATTCCCAATCCCCCCATCACCTGCTTCTCTCCCCTACCCTGGCCAATCTTGGGAAAGAGGGTACCCTAGCCACCTTGTTTGTTCTACTTGTGGACATGTGGTTACAGGATCAGGGATGCTCAGAAGGCTGGCTCTGCAAAGAGAGAGCTGAACAAATTTGAAACACGGAGAAGCAGAAACTAAAGGTGGAGACAGACATCCTTCTGACCTTCGGGTCCTCTTCCTGGTCTCCTTGAGGCCTAGGGACTTTCTTCCAGAGAGTTCTGTGAGATAACACCATTGTGGCCTTTTAATAAACCTCCTGTTTTACTAAAATGCAACCAATGAATATTTAATTTCAGGAGCAGCTTAGACACATATTCCAAGAATGGAAATTTCTGTCAGTTTGGCTTGATTCAAGCATAGAACTTGTAGTGTCTAGCGGAAAGGATGTATTCTAAACCATCTTCCATAAATATCACGTTTCTCAGCCAACCTTTGATGAAAGTGATGAAGAGCAGACAATTCAAGATGGTTTGCTCTTGCAGGGCCTGGAATGCTGGTGCTCTGAGCTGATCCATATGCTTCAAAAATCTCACAAGCAGATGGTGAGGTATTGATCTTTTTTGAAAACTAGGTAGACTGCTCTGGACTCATCCAGATGGACTCAGACCCATGAATTTAATCAAAGTCAGCAACCTAGGGAAGAACAGGGCTGACTGGGTAGAATGGGCATTAAACTGTTTTGGTAGCAAAAGGTCATCCTTAAGCTTTATCAAATGTAAGCTTCTTCATCAAAAGTGTGGAGGTTTATTATGTCAGAGTCTAAAATGGGGCCAACTGTTCAAGAACTATGGAATTGGGAAAACCAAATCTTCCAGATGTCAAGTGTCCATCAAGAGATTCCAAAGGCAATTTTCATATCATTCATTGTTATTTTTATTATTAAAATGCTTATGGCAAAAAAATTCAGAAAATATGGCAAAATAGTTTTTAATAGAAGGTAATTAAGGCCAGGCATGGTGGCTCATGCCTGTAATCCCACCACTTTGGGAGACCAAGGTGGGAGGATCACTTGAGGCCAGGGGTTCAACGCCAGCCTGGGCAACAAAGTGAGACCCCGTTTCTACAAAAAATGCACAGATTAGTCGGGCATGGTAGTGCAAACCTGTAGTCCCAGCTACTTGGGAGGCTGAGTTGGGAGGATTACTTAAGCCCAGGAGTTTGAGGCTGCTGTGAGCTATGATCCCACCACTGTACTCCAGCTTGAGTGCCAGAGCGAGACACTGTCTCTAAAAGAAAAAGAAGAGGGTAATTAATAACCCAATCTTCTAGGATAATTACTGTCATTTTTTTGCCATATTTCCATCCAGTAAAAAGTGTTTCATTTATTTATAAAGCTATTTTGTAAACTTAACAAAATATTATAAATATGTCAATGTCAATACATTTTACAGGATCATTTTAATAACCATGTAATATTCCAGTAGATGGCCATGCCATCATACTTTATTTAAACAGTCCCCTGCCACTGGGTGTTTAAATGATTTCTGGGGTTTGGCTACTATAAAAGATACTGAAATGAACACTTTTATACATAAATCTATATTTACTTGTCCAATCATCTCCTTAGGATAAATTCCCAAAGCTCTTCAAAATTTGATGTTCCACTCATTAGAAGGAGTTTTTCATTGGTAAGAAGTGTATAATAAGATAGAATCAGATACATTTTTGAGTGATTCTTCCATACTCTTTTCTGCAGCATGACTTCTTAAACTTAGCATTCTAAACTTAGTTTTCCAGGGTTTTTGGGTTTCTTGTGGGCACCAGGCATCCTCTTCAAATCAGAAGCCTAATGACCACACCCATATTTACTCAAATAAGATGCCCTTAGCCAACTAGAAGCGACGAGTAAACTGAAAAGCCCTTCCTTTCTCTGCAGTCTGCTTAATGCCCTACTTTCAAATGTATAATTTTGTGTGTGAATGAGCCCAAGAACCCCTGGGTCAAAAGTACAAGTGAGAAGAAATGGCTGCTTTTGGAGCACCAGGGATGGTGTTAGATTCACTCAATATAGTCTACGACATTGGTCCATACAATGGAGATGCTAGTAAAGATAGCCCCAAATATTTATCCTATCATCTGACATTTAGCAGTGTTAAATTATGTTTATACATTAATTAGGCAAGTAATTATACAACTACCCCAAGGGGACTGACCCATGGGGAAATAATTCTTGCAGTCATCATCAGATAAAACCTTAGCACGCAGAGAATTATCATAGCCACTGCATTCTCAAAATACATGCAGATGATGAGATTATCAAATGGCAGCTATATATGCAACAGACACCTTAGGGGGAAGGATGGAAACATATGACATCTGTTGATTTGGCCTCCAACTAAGGAACAGAATCTGGAGAAAACTGGTTCTTGTTGTATAAGCCCTGATGCACAGAGATGATCCTCCCCTTTCTGACTGAGAAAAAAAAAAAGTGTCAAATTACCCTGACTTCTTCCAAATTCCCTGTTGTGATTTGAATTGTGTCTCCCAAAAATCCATATGTCAAAGTCCTAACCTCCAGTCAGAATGTGACCTTATTTGGAAATAGGGCCATTGCAGAAGCAATTAGTTAAGTTAGGATGATGTCATATTGGAGTAGAGAGGGCCAGTATGACCCAGTGTGACTGGTGTCCTTATAAAAAATGGAGAATTTGGACACAGAGACATACACATATAGAAGTAAGATGATGTGAAGAAACACAGAAAGAAGATAACCACCAGAAACGAAGAGAGGCACAGAACACATTTCTCCCTCACAGTCCTCAGAAGGAAGCAATCCTGCCAATGCTCTGATTTAGACTTCTGGCCTCCAGAACTGTAAGACAATACATTTCTGTAGTTCCAAACCACCCAGTTTGGTACTTTGTGGCAGCCTGAGCAAACCAATGCATCTCTTTAGCCCCCTTTAACATCAGAAAGAAGAAAGGTGTGAAACACTGAAAAAATAAAATAATTCACTTTCCAAAATCCTGGTCTGTTTGAAGACAAAAAATGTTAAGCCACAGAAATCAAATCGTAGCATCAGATTTATTTATTTATTTATTTATTTATTTTTATTTTTTTTCTTTGAGATCAGGTCTCACTCTGTCGCCCAGATTTGAGTACAGTGGAGCAATCACAGCTCACTGCAACCTCTGCCTCCCAGGTTCAAGTGATCACACACCTCAGCCTTACAAGTAGCTGGGACTACAGGCACATGCTCAACAATTTTTTTTTTTTTTTTTTTTTTTGTAGACTCAAGGTCTCATTATGTTGCTCAGGTTAGTCTCAAACTCCTGGGTTCAAGAGCTCTCCCCACTTTGGCCTTTCAAAATGCTAGGATTACAGGAGTGAGCCACCACATCAGGCAGCTATTTGTTTAGGACCCAGAATAGAAAAATTCCTATCACTGGGAAATGAAATAATTTGCTCGCAGAGCTATTAGGCGAAAGGGCTAAGGTCTGACACGAAGCTGTTCAAAGACAGTCACTCTACTATGTGTTGCCTTTGACAGGCCTTCCCCTCCCTTTGCACTCCAGCTCCATTTCCCTTTGCCTCTCCTCTGCCCTCAGATACACAAGGCCCCCATGCTGCCCTCAGCCACAGCCCCTACTCCAGCACCCTATCCAAGCCAAGCCAGCCTCCCCCAGAGAACCACATGTTCCAAACAAAATGCACCCTCTGCCACTTCATTTCTCCTTGATCCACAAACAAAACTCCTGGGCCTTCAGAATGGGATCGTTGCTAGATTTTCAGAAGAAAGCAATCTGAATACCTCAAGCAATTTACACAAAAGTGTATATAATGCCCGAGGAGTTTGTAAGCCAAAGAATCTCTACTTGGCAGAATTTATGGGGCAAATGACTTCAGTAAAGTGCATTTTGGTGTTACTTGATGGCTCTGAGTGACTGTCCCCACTCTCAGGGATCTAAAGCATAGTCAGGGACCTGTGAAGCCATTAGGCTGTCCCCTAAATGCTTTCCTCAACCTCACTCATCCTTTTGTCCTTGTTAAAATGTGTGTCCCTGGGAAATTTGCATCTCAGGGTGCTGGCCATCTGAGTGTCTGAACTTAAAAATGGCTCTATCAGATTGGCTGTGATATCAGAATATAGAGCTGAGCTGCAATAGTTTTCCATTTTATTCCTCAGCAAACGGGAGCTCTTTCCAGGAGGACGAAAAGTGTCACTACCCCAGGTTGGAGGGAGAGGGAGAGATGCCACCAAGAAGAGGGTCACAAGACAGCACATCCAAAAGGACTCAAGGTCATGCTTAGCCTGTCCCAACATTTTGCCTAACACAGAAATAACAATTTTAGCCAGAGCTTTGTCTCTCGAGTGCTTTTAAGATGTCGTGGTAATTGCAGCTTTATTGAACATTTTCAATGTCTCGGCACTTTTTAAGTATTAACTCATTTCATCCTTACAAGCTTAAACAGTGGCTGCTGTTATCCCTCTTTCATAAATGGAAAAAGAGAGCCACCAAAGGGCTAAGTAATTTGCCAATTAGGGAGTAAAACCAGTCTCTAAGCCCAGGCAGGCAACTACACAGGCTCCTGCTCTAACCACTGTTCTAGGCAAGGAAGCCTCGTATGTGACGTCAGGTATAATTATTTCAGCAAAAATACAGAGTGGTAAATGGAAGCATCTGCCAGCCCATGTGAGATACAGGAAATGTTCCCACTTGATGCCCAAAGCAGACATCAGAAGTTCTGACCAGCTAGCCCTCCAGAGCCAGCAGTCCCACCATCGGATCCCAGGTACACAAGTCCCACTGGGATGATACCTAGGAATGACTACCATAGCCCTGCCTGTGACTTGGTTTAAACAGCTAGGCAAACCTAAAAAATATAACTTTGGTCTGGAGAACTCAGGCTATTCCTTGTGGATCTGATTCCAGCTGCCGCTTTCCACTGTATTTCACTAGGGATGGCTGAGCCGAGCTCCCAACGCAGCCATACCTTAGTCATGGAACCAGGAGGCCTCCTCCCTGCCCACCTCTGGAGCACTCCCTGGAGGCAGTCCAAATAGCTTATCTCAACTGTCACACTAAGGGAAATGAATTCCAAACAGAACAGGAAAAAAAATTTCTCAAATGTCTGCTCTCCTTCCAGGATTTAACAGGCCTGATACAAGAAAGTAAAAATAACAAAATTAAATGTGTGAAATTCTAGGGAGTATAATGCTGCCAACACATTGTTTTATTTTGTTGTTTAAACCATAAATTCTTAATCTGCTTGTGCCTTTTCACTTCGGTAAGGGAGAATTAAAATATGTCAGTGCCTGACTATTAAAAAAGCAGCGTCTGAATTTAAAAATGGCTCTATCAGATTGGCTGTGATTTCAGAATATAGAGCTGAGCTGCAATCATTTTCAATTTTATTCCTCAGCAAACAGGGAAGCTCTAAACATTTCTCTCACACACACAGAAGTCTGATCCTAGAGATACAAGACAGAACAGAGTGCTGTGAAGTGAAGGCCTCTGCCAGACAGGGCTAGCTCAGCCTTTCAGAGACGACATGAGAGCTGCCGCCAGTGCTCCTCAGAGTCCAGCTCAAGCAAGCCCACCCAGGCCACAAGAGAGAAGGCACTGGAGTTCCCACCTCCAGAGGCCAGCAAGCCCCTTCCAAGCATTAAGGCCCAGAGGTCACCCCATCCCCCAAGGAAGGGTATTCCATTAGCTGCCAGAAAGCCTGATGAGCTCAAGTGTGCAAGACATAAGAAGGGATACAGCAGCAGGATGTCCCTCCAGAGGATGGGGACAGTCCTTCCCAAGAGAAAGCATAGGTCAGCAGGACAGGGAGCTTGAAAGAGGGGGCTGGAAAGAGGAGAGAAGGATTGGGCGTGAGCAAGAAAGAGAGGCACGGGATGGGGGAGCTCCAGCTCCAGCCAAGAGGGACAGCATGTCTTCTCCCAAAGAAGTATATCTGAGCATGTTTTCTCCCAAAGAAATATATCTATCTGTGGGGAATTAGATAATGAGTATGTTGGATAAAGTCATAACCCTTGATCCTTCTATACCAAGCAGGTACATCAACCACCCAAATCCATCATGATCCTATGTGGGTTCTGCCTAAGGAAGACTTTCAAGGCAGGAGGCCCTTGAGGAAGAACAGAATCATCATGTCATCATCCAGGGTCCTCTATCTCTGGCAAAGACTGGCCTGATGAATGGGATCAGAGCTGGAGGCCTGGGTATCTTTTGACTGCAAGAGTTAGGGGTGGCGGGGTCGATACAGTCCTGCGGCAGCCAAGACATCCCCAACCTGTCCCTGAATAACAGACAAGTCTACATTTCCTGAAATTCTGTATCACTGTATTGGCAATAAACACCTAGAGAAGTAAGAAAGGAGGAGCTCCTACAACACAAGGCTACCATTGCTGCCTTCTGCACTTGTTCTTTTTGCTCTCCTCTCTGTTCACTCGTTTGTAGTAAATAGCTCTTAAATCTTTAAAACAAAAATTAAATAGAGAAAGAAATCATACAGAATCATAGAGACAAAGTAAAACAGTGGTTGCCAGGGGCTGGCAAAGTAGATAATGGGAAGTTAGTGTTTAATGGGTACAGAGTTTCAGCTTTACGAGATGAAAAGAGTGTTGGAGATGGATGGTGGGGATGGTTGCCCAATAATGTGAATGTACTTGATGCCACTCAACTGTATGCTTACAAAGGGTTAAAATGGTATATTTTATGTTATGCATATTTTACAACAATTTTTTTTAAGTTAATGGGGCCGGGCACGGTGGCTCACACCTGTAATCCCAGCACTTTGGGAGGCCGAGATGAGCGGATCACTTGAGGTCGGGAGTTCAAGACCAGCCTGGCCAACATGACAAAACCCTGTCTCTACTGAAAATACAAAAATTAGCCTGTAGTCCCAGCTACTTGGGAAGCTGAGGCTTGAGAATCACTTGAATCTGGGAGGTGGAGGTTGCAGTGAGCCGAGATCATGCCACTGCACTCCAGCCTGGGCAACAGAGCAAGACTCTAAGAAAAAAAAAAAAAGTTAATGGTATTTGCTAGTCTTCAAGGTCAATAAAGAAAAGTGAAGGGTAACCAGGTAAATGTGTCCCACTCTACAGCTAATTTTGAGGAGACCAGAAACCTAAGGGCAAGAAGGAGTATTGGCAACTGTTAAAAGGAAAGAAAAGTAGACTCTATCCCAGGAGCCTGCAGCAGAGAAGAAAAACAAAAACCAAAACATTTGAGAGGCAGGATGAGCATCTGAACTGGCCCGGTCCTGGAGTTTGGAGTAGATAGACCTTTGAGTGATGTAGAGACATAGAGGCCACACATTCCTCCAGGCCTGCCCCATCACAAGGCCATCCCTCTCACTCTTCATTGTCTTTTCCAAAATATTGCTGTTCTTGCCTTCCTCAGTAGTCTCTTCTTTTGAACTACAGGCTATCCTGTAACACCATCACTTTCCCATCCTCTCCCACAGTGTGCCTGAGAGCCTTAATATCTGGTTTGCCGTTTCCTGGACTCTTGCCAGTTAATGGGGTAATTTCAACATTCATGTTGATGACTTAGCCAATCTCATTTCCTCTGTTTCCATATGGCCATCTTCATCTTTGGTAACCCATTCCTGAGGCCACACCCTGCAATAATAACAATAGTCATGACTATATATCAGAACTTGCCAAGTGGCAGGCACCATGCTAGTAAATTCACATCATTTTCCGTAACCCTCACAGATAATGTAAAGTCAGGCTATAGCACTCCTAGGTAGAGATGGCCCAGTGTCACAGAGATAATGACTAGATAGGGGCTAGGATTCTAAACCTGCTGCTCAGACTCCCAAGTCCATGCTCTCCTCTCTTTATAGCACAGCCTCAGAACACATCTGAAATATAAACCCTGAAACTCCCGGTCTCTGACCATACACTCTTGCCTTGACCTCTTCCACCAAACCTCTTCCTTGGCCTCATCAAATGTCCAACCTCTCAATGCTTGCTTTTATTCCAAATTTATCAATCCTTCCTGATGTTCTTCCTTCCATACCTGTGGCCAGAGGAAATGCTGAGAAAATCCTCATAAGACTGTTTCTTTGGCTCAGTGCCCATGCAATGAACTCCCTCCCTTTGATCATCAGGCTACTGATTAAATTAGTAAAATCCTCTAGGCCTAAAATTGTAAGCAATGCTATAATGGTGATATAAGTGCTGAACTTTAATAAGTGTGATAGATTGGTTGGAACCAAGTGGAGAGAAAACAGCTGATGGCAGGTGGCACATGATAAGAACCATGGCTATTCCCAGTTGGTCTCATAAAAATGAGGCCCCATGCTTCCTCTCAGGGCTGTTTGATCCAGCAAGAGTGCATTCTGACCGTGATGTCACTGCTGGCATCCACTGAAAGACATGCTCTCTCCCTCCATCTTGAAGACGGTGACTCAACACCCTAGGGTTTCCACAAGTGGCTGGAAAAAATTCTCACTCCCTTTACCATCCATCAACATGCACCCACTGCCACTGAGTGATTGTGACAGTAAAGTGTGCCCTTCAGTAGAGACCTCCCTTCCCTCTTCAAGACTAAGGCTTGCAGGAGGAGTTGAGGAGGGAAACAAAGTAGAATTCTGTAGTTTAATGTGAAAGCATAGGTAAGCATGTATGTTCTTTGTCATTAGACAAAGAATATGACAGACAAAAATGCAAAAGCATATGAGATAGACCTATATGTAACAAGTTCTGAACTCTTGGTCATCAATAATTCAGAGCCTATCCTAGTCAATCGCTTCAACAACACTCTCAACATCTCCATTCTCTTGCCCTCTTGCCCAGTCCTTCTGCTCACCCTTGACATTCCACAGCAACTCTGTTTTCTCCAATTCTGAATATTCTGCCACTGTTGGAAAAGAAAATCATAAAACTATGTTGATTATCTAAATTACGTTTTAAAGCTCAAACCTCAGTTCTGCCCTGCATATTCCTGTATTGTGTTTCCTTACAGCAGCATTTCCAAATTTGTTCCATGTTGCTCAAGTTCCCTACCCCAACCCTAGCCCCTTGACCCTCACAAGACAACACAGCTTCCTAATGTCCAAGAAAAAAAAAGCAGTCATCCACAATTTTTATCCCTTTCAAGTTTTACTTCCACTTACCTTCCCCACTTCTTGTTCAAAAAGAAAGTACCCCACTTCTATCCAGGGCCAGTCAATCCATCAGCATGTTGATCCTGGCCTTCCTCTTCTAGGATGTTTCATGAACTCCAGACTTCTTCATCCAAAAAAAATCAATCACTAAAGCAAGCCTTCCCTCAGTTCTACATACTCATCAAACCACCGCCCTATGGCTGCCCTTCCATGAGTACCCACCTGTTTTTGGTACTCATGCCCTCCACTGCCTCACCTCCCCATTCATCCCTCAATTTGTCATAATTTAGCTCCCAATCCTACTCCTATGTTGAAAATTCCCTGGCAAAAGTTAACAATTTCCTAATTGTCAAACTCAGTCTTTATTTCTCCTCCAAAGGTCTTAATCTTTCTGAAGCTACAGTATGGATGGACATGGGTAAGGTGGTACAAGGAGGATTAAGCATGGACATTGGAGTCAGTGGCCTGGGTACAGTCCTGTTTCCACCAATTACAAACTGTTTAACCTTAAGTTGAATTATTTGACCTATCTGCACCTCAGTTTCCTCATCCTTAAAATAGAAATGATGCTAATAATAGCTTCTAGTGCTTAAGGCTTACTAGCTAATTGGGTAGAGAAAGATGCAATATGAGATAGTGAAAGCTGGATTGGTGGGGGCCGGCAGGGGGACAGTCAGAGTAACAGGGATGTAATCTTAGCTACAGAATCTTGTGTAATCACAAGATCTCTGGGTCTCATTTTTAAATAGGCTGGGTGCCATGGTTTGAATGTTTGTGTCCCTCTGATGTTTGTGTCCTCCAAGTAGGAGGATTGTTTGACCCCAGAAGTTTGACAGCAGCCTGGCCAACGTAGTGAGACCCAAAAAAAATTAGCCCGGCATGGTAGAATGTGCCTGTAGTCCCAGCTACTCAGCAGGGTGATGTGGGAGGAAGGCTTGAGCCCAGGAGTTCCATGTAGTAGTTCAATGTCACTCTAAAATTCATGTTGAAACTTAATCCTCAATGCAACAATATTAAGAGGTACAGCCTTTACAATATGATTAGGCCATAAGGGCTCTGCCTCAAGGATAGGATTAGTGCCCTTATAAAAAGACTCAAGGGAGTAGTTTGGTCCCTTTGCCCCTTCCACCATGTGAGAATGCAGCAAGAAGGTGCAAGCCCTCACCAGACACCAAATTCTGCTGGTACTTTGATCTTGGATTTTCCAGCCTCCAGAACTATGAGAAATAAATTTCTATTCTTTATAAATTACCCAGTGTGTAATATTTTATTATAGCAGCAGGAACAGAATAAGACACTGGATGATCACCAAAGTTATTCCTGGCCCTAAACACTTATATGACCCATTAAACAGTTTGGCAACAATTTGAGAAAATGTACAAATGAGTGCTAGATGAGCAGTACAAGTGATCAAGGATTCAGGGGAAGGGATGAATACTATGAGAAGCAAGTTTAAAGGAGGTTGGGCAGGTAAAAACATTGGTGGACCTAAAAGACAGGAAAGATTTTGATAGATGTGAAAGAGAGGAAAAAGATTTCCAGGTTTGACAAGCAAAACAACAACAAAGGCATGGAGTGATTCGAGGTGCACCAGAAAGACCTCCCTGACAAAAAGATTTTCCCCATCATTTGTCAATAGATTCTGAATATTAGCTAATGGTTTTGAAGTTATTATTTGACCACAAATAAATTGCTATTTACAGTTGATAAGGATGAATGTGACCTCTGCCCTGCAGCCATTTGAAGTAATTTGTAGACTGGACACAGTGGCTCATGCCTGTAATCCCAGAACTTCGGGAGGCCGAGGCAGGAGGATCACTTGAACCCAGAAGTTCTAGACCAGCCTGGTCAACATAGTGAAGCTCTGTCCCTGCAAAAAAGAAAAAATTAGCCCAGCATGGTGGCATGTGCCCGTAGTCCCAGCTACTCAGGAGGCTAAAATGGGAGGATGGCTTGAGCCCAGGGGTTCAATGTAGTAGTGAGCTATCATTGTGCCACTGCACTCGGGCCTGGGCAGCAGAGCAAGACCCTCTCTTGGGTCTTTGGTTATTAAAAATAACCATAATAATAATAATAATCTGTAGAAGAATGTTTAATAAAAGATGTATACTAGGGTAGTAATAGTTGTTTCAAGGCAATGGATTGTAAGTGACTTTTATTATGTTTATCTGTATTTTTCTAAAAGGAATATGAATTGTTATTTGTAATGGGAAAGAATAAAAGCATGTTTTTTTTTAACTTTTAAATACAATTAAGGAGGTGGTAACATCTTAAGTCATTAATGATTAATAGTGGGAGGGACTAGGTGACAGGGCTGGTACATAGCAAAAGAAGGAGATGCCAGAGGCACTGAGAGAGCTGTTGAAAATGGAGATAGCAAAGCAGTGACAACATTATTTTCCTACCTCATACATTTGCCCATACAACATCCTATTTTAACTTCTAAAAGTCCATTTCATTCTTGCTTAGCCCCAATTTTACTTCTACCACCCAAAAGGATTCAAGGATGTTATTTAAAAGATCCCTTTTTAAGTGCTGATATACAAAGGGTAATGCAACTGAGATAAAAGCGTGGTGCCTTTTCAGTTGCTGTATATCTGCCAGTCATTCTTCACCACAGTCCCTACTCTCAGGTCTGTGGAACCCTGGAGTAGTGAGGAGTGGAAGGGTGGACAAGGTGACTCATAGTTACAAGCGTGATGGTGATAGTTTTTTATATACATTAAAATGTATTTTTAATTCATTCTCCCCTATGAATCAGGTTCTCTGCAGCCTTTTCACCAATATGGCCTCAGAGAAAGGGAAAAAGCAACTCCTCAGGAAGGAGAATGAAATAACTTAAAACTATTTTCTACCAAACAGAAGGGAAAAGAAAAGCTCATGGTGATGGGTAAGAAGACGTTAAAAAGATGGAGACATAAGCAGGAAAACATGGTTTCTTTGCCTTGGACCTAAATCTCAAATTGAGAGGTTTTAGGTGAAGGTTAAGGGAAAAGTCAAAAGTAGAGGATTTTTCTATTTAAAAATGGGCAAAATATCTTAATAGACATTTCTCAAAAGAAGACTTACAAATGGCCAACAGCTACATGAAAAAAAATGCTCAAAATCACTAATCATCAGAGAAATGAAAATCAAAACCACAATGAGATATCACTTCACACCCATTAGAATGGCTTTTATCAAAAAGACAAGAGACAAGAAATGTTGGCAAGGATGTGGAGAAAAAGAAACCCTTGTACACTGTTGGTGGAAATGTAAATTAGCATAGCCATTATGAAAACAGTATGCAGGCTCCTCAAAAAATTAAAAATAGAACTACCATATGATCCAGCAATCCCACTCCTGGGTATACATCCAAAGGAAATGAAATCAGTATGTCAAAGAGATATCTGTACTCTCATGCTAACTGCGGCATTATATAGTATTTCCATTTACAGATACAATAGACACAAATAGGCTGGGTGTGGTGGCTCAGGTCTGTCATCTCAGCACTTTGGGAGACTGAGTCTGGAAGATCACTTGAGGCCAGGAGTTCAAGACCAGTCTGGGCAACACAGTAAGACCCCAGTCTCTAAAAAAAAAATTGTTTTAATTAGCCAGGCGTGGTGGCTAGTGTCTATAGTTCCACCTACATGGGAGGCTGAGCTGGGAAGATCACTTGAGCTCAGAGCTTTGAGGCTGCAGTGAGCTATGATTGTGCCACTGCACTCCGGCCTGGGCTTCCAACCTGGGTAACAGAGCAAGACCCTGTCTCTAAAACAAACAAAAAGACATAAATAACTTCAATTGCAAGAATAATAGTAAAATGTACTTAAATAATTAAAAAGTGGTGAGTTTTGAGTACTACCTTTCTTTTTAATATTGTAAGTTTATATAACTTATCTAATAATGGTTGCATATAACAAGTGACTTGCAGAATTCCCCTAAACTTAACAATCAGCTCTGAAAAGCAAGCGTGAGCCAGTAGATCATGCTACTGCTTAAGAGCTCACACCCATTTACCACAGATATCATCTCGAAGAGGCAAGTGGAAGGAAAATTGAACAACTGAGTCATTTCCCCAAAATAAATTAACTTATCATTAATGATAAAGGTAAGTGGCTACTGCCACCTCTGCTGCCACCACTTTCAACCTCAAAGGTTCAGGAAGAGATGAAATCAGTTACCAAAACGTTACAGAAACTATTTTTTTTTATATCTGAATTTTAGTGTGTGTCAGTTAGAAATTCTGTGCCAAGTATGGAATCCTTCAATGGAGGTAGCTTATGTGGGTAGAGGTTTATTGCATTCACATGTCAAACAATAAGGCTTATTACTTCATGGTCAGAAAATAGCTGCCTCAGCTCCAGGCAATACATTTGTTTTCAAGCCAAGATGAAGGGGCAAGCAGCACAGCAGTTTCTCTGCTCTTTTATTAAGAGCACAAAAGCTTTCCCAGGAGTCTTCCTTCCCCATTCCCTTCTTCCCAGTGGACTTCTGCTGCTTAAATCTTACTGGTCAGAACAAGGTTACTCAGCCACCCCTAGCTGCAGGGAAGCTATCCTTATCCTTAATAGAAGATATTCTGATTGGCTGAAACCAGTCAAGATCCATTGCCCGGGCTGAGTACATTGCTGCCAATATATGAACAAACTCTGGGTTCTGTTAGGGAGGAAGACTTGGGTAATGGAGAATGGGCAAGCTGGCAGCAGAGTCTGGTGCAGTTTAAGTCAATATTTCTAACCCCAATTTACACAGCAGATAAAAAGTAGAAGGACTATTTTAAGTGGAAAAGAGCCAAGATTGGCATTTGCTTGCCAGAGCATAAGATGGAAATGCAGGAAGAGCCTGGGAAGTGTCTCTCATATCTAAGGCAGAATGCTACCAGGGGTACAAACGAGTAGGGCCTGGACATCTTAGCTGCTGCTGGACCTCCAGGTCCCACCGGCCATCATGCTGACTGAACAGCCACTGTAAGAACAGGAAATGGGGTACAGACAATGAAGTCCAATGTTAAAGAGGTTTCCCTGTCCAGGAAAACAAAGGAACAATAGACTCCTACGCTTAATATTTTAAGAGTTTTGTGGTGCTTTCTGAGGACCTGAGGCCCACTTGCTCTTCCCTTAGGACATAGCTCATGTTTCATAAAGCTGGGGCGAGCAGTAGGACTGAGAAGAAAAGTGAGAAGATTCCTCCTTCCCTGCCTCTAATGAACAAACCTTGGGACTAGCAAAGGTTAATTACTTGCCTGATCCAGGCTTATTCCTTGAAAAGGAGCTGAATGACTAAACATTTGTGAACATTGAGTCGCACAGCCCATCAGCAAATGGAGCCTGCCCTACTCTAACCAGGCACATGACCATCACCTGGCCAATGGACTAATTGTAGGACTGATGCTGGATTCAGAAAAAAAGCAAGTCAGAGCTGTTCAGGAGGCTACAGGGGCTGGGGGAGTGAGAATTACAACTAAACAGGACTTAAATGTAAAATTAAAAGTTCCATGTTAGCTTTTCTGAAATAAAATATAAGTCTTTTACTTGAATAAGCTGAATAAATGCAAATGATATCAGGCAGAAAAGATCTGAGATTTGTCTATCCACTGCAAAAATTACACATGTGAATTGTTTATTCTTCTAGTGAAACATATCTAATGCTTTTCCCCTCTCATAATATTAACTTGTTTAAAGAACATTTATACGATAACATCTTGAGTTCTTTGTTTTCTAGGTTTCTCAACCAAAGTTCTCTTCTTGAAGTCTTTGTGAAAAAAAAAAATTGCTGCCTCTTTAAACTAGTGCTCAGGCATGAAAATGTTTAACTAATTTCATTTTCTTGATAAAGTTTATCTGTGATCAGAATTGAGTCATACCAAAAATACTTCTATAAGATTTGACCTTTTACTTAAATCCCACATCGAGATAATATACTCAAAATGGTTATCAATAAGACCTTTGTTTTTTAAAGCACATCTAAAATAAATCACTTTTTAAAAGCAGAAAACTGTTTTCAATTAAGTCTTTTACAGGCAATCAGCTTGAAAGTTATACTTGCCCTTGTATTTTTTATGTATATAAATTATGCCCAAGAGTGCCATGATAGCAGCATTATGCTAACTATGCCTTACCTTTGTATTTACTTCTTGTCAAAATAAGCTTTACAAATTAATTGGTTTTAGAGTGCTTTATGACCAATAATGACTGCATTATACTAGTGCCAGAGTAAAAGCAATGCAAGCAGCAACTACTTTTTCTTGTTATTGAGAAACACCTAGTCTAATTAGATAAGGATAATTAATTCTTAATTTCTTCTGATGAAGAGTTTTCTTGCAGTAGAACAACTTTACCCCATTCCAACAATGTTTATCATTTAGAAAAGCTTTAAAGAGACTTCTGCTTGAGTCTCTGACCCAAGTAATCCTGTGATACCTACACAGGGCTAACTACTAGTCTTGGCCTCCTGTATGTTTTAACCACCTCACCCTTTCATCAATGAATCCTATCTGCTCTTCAGATGCTGGGAGCATACTAGATAAGTAGATAATTTTAAAAGTATCCATTCAAAAATAGGCATTTCATGCCTATAATCCCAGCATTTTGAGAGGTTGAGGCAGGAGGATTGCTTGAGCCCAGGAGTTTGAAATGCCTGGACAACACAGCAAGATCATGTCTCTGGCTTTAAAAAAAAAAAAAAAGGCATTTCTCTTATTTTTTAAGTTTCCCATTTTTCCCCATTTGCTTTCGCCCTAGATCCCATCCATGTCAGTGGCTGCTTTTATTAGTGGCAGATTTTGCATTTTCCTTAGAGATTTACTAAGAATATCCTAGAGGAGCAAAATTCAGAACTAAACAAGAAAAAAAGAACAAAATCCAGGAATACAATAATTATATATATATTTTAATCTAAATTACTATATAATGAGTTTGCTGCTTCTAAAATTAGTGATAAGGGGCAGTTTTTTAAAAATTAGATCAAGGTTGGAAGAGATGTTTACCCAAAGGACCTAGAGATGAGAGAAGAGTCAGCGTTTGGAAAAAGCTGAGAATCTCATTAGCCCAAAGGGGTGAGTACAAGGCAGGAAAGGAAAAGCAAAGCTGAACTTTGAGAAGTTGGATAGATAGGAGCAAAGAGCAGTCCAGGATAGGGTCTCGAACAACTAGGACACCCTTTTCCAGTCCCCAACCACATAGAGGAAGGGGAAGAAGAGAAGAACAGTGACCAAGCTGAAAGTCTGAATTGAACGCACAAAAAACAGCAATAAGAATGACCATAGACTTCAGGTAAAGCCATTCTTCCTCTCAAGTCTTTCTTTTGGACCAGTTACTGGGCCCAAGATCTCTGAGAAGTTTTGCCACAGAAGTAACATCAGTACAACATGTTAGCATCCCGGTTAACTGGATTAAGAATATTAGGAGCTACATCTCCAGCCCTCTTGGATAAGCCACCTGCAAATGAAAGAGCCCCATACCTAGAACTTGCCACCCAAAAGATATGTCCCTGTGCTGTGGCCCAAACAGCTCCACCAACTGGACGAACCTATAACTTGTTGACAGCTTTCTCTCTCTGGTTCTCAGATGAGGAATGATGATAAAACAAAACCAAAAGACATCTTACTGAGGAAGATCAGCTCCAGTGGATTTCTCTGAGACAACCCAAGTTAGATGGAGCTAATGGGAAAAAACACAGGAATTCTTTAAACTATCATTCAAGCAAAACATCTCTCCTAACTGTTCCTTTTAAAGTAGCTAGACCTGTTAGAGATTTTATTGAGTGGATATAAGCACTTTCTACAGAAACATTTTTTTTAAAGTACATCACCTTTTCATAGAACAGAGGAAGAGCTGTCACATCAGTTGCTGATGCCAAGCACAGCAATATAAAGTATATCCCCTACGAGTTAGATGAAGCAGAGGAAAGGGATCAAGAGATTAATATACCTCTTTGACAAAAGCACCCAAAATAAATAATTTTATTATTTATTGCAATTCTCTAATGCCTTATTTTTCACTGAGCTCTAAAAACATGATCATATCCATCAAGTAATACCCATATATATGCATGGGAATTCAATTGTAATTTACATGTTCCTATACTCTCCATGGATGCTGTGATGGTTAATTTTAATGTGTCAACTTGACTGGGCCATACGGTGCCTGGACATTTGGCCAAACACTCTTTTGAGTGTGTCTATAAGAATGTTTGTGGGTGAGATTAACATTTGAATTGGTAGAGTGAGTAAAGCAGATCACCCTCCCTAATGTATGTGGGCTTCATCCAATCAGTTGAAGACTGAACAGAACAAAAAGGCTGAATGAGAGAGAATTCCTTCTGTCTGACTACCTTCAAGCTGGGACATCAGTCTTTTCCTGCTTTTGGACTCAAACTGAAATATCAGCTCTTCCTCAGTCTTGAGCCTGCAGGGAAGTTTTAGAGTAAAACTTAAGACCCATCAGCTCTCCTGGGTCCCAGTTTAACAACTCACCCTGCAAATCTTTGGACTTTTGGGACTTGTCAAGTTCTACAATCACATGAGCCAATTCCTTATAATGAATGTATTTATATACAGAGAGAGAGAGATATGTGTATGTATGTATATATGGAGAACCTATATCGCTCCTATTGTTTCTGTTCTGTGGAAAGCCCTGAATAATACAGATGCATCTATAAATTTATAGCAAAGCTGTGTAAAGGATAAAGATATGCTAAATCATCTTAGTCATTTTCCTCTCCCCTAGAGCCCTGTGTCCTGCTCTCATCCTGCTAGGAGTAACTCAAAGAATAATTTGGGGTAGAAGTCATCCTCAGACTGGAAAGCAATGAGGCACAGCACCACTACCATGCTCAGAATTAACACCTAAATTTACTACCTTTATATATGGCCTTCTGGAAGCAAATGGTTTTAAACAACTTTATTTCTAAGGAGAGACCAAAAGGAGAAGTGAGGAGTGTGGCTGTGGGCCCACTGTTTGGTAAATACTGTAACAGTAACTGTATACCTCTCCTCATAGTGACCTTACTAATTTAATGAAAGTGTGAAGGCAGATGGATCTGGTTTGCAGGGTCTTAGATGACTTTATTGAACACATCATATCAAAGTGAGAACAAGCAATATGTCTCAAGCCAAGATCAAAGAGTTTTAAATAAGCAAAATATTCCTACTAATACGAAAATTTCATTTACCAAAATTCTGGAGCAATGTGGCTTATTCTCACAAGAAAACCCACCAGAGCTAGACAGAACATGTTCCAGAGGACTGCATACACCAGGGAAGGTCAGTGTGGTGTGCAGGGGCACAAAGGATGAGAGAACCACCCAGAGTGAGGACACTGTAGGCAGAGCAAGAGAGAGATTTTCATAGCTGTCATGAGCGGAAACTGGCAAGAAGGAAAGAGGTGTCAAGGAACTGTTTAGGAAGCTTTCTGTATCCTTTCACTATATAAAATCCCTATGCAAAGCCTCCTAAAAATAAAACTTACAGCAAATATTTACATTATTCTTCAAAGTTTCTCAAGTTGGACTGTTGTTTCTTTGAATGTTAAACTACAAAGAGACTGAGCCCATACCAGGAGACCTGGCTTTGTCGGTTACACTGCATTAGACAAAGTCCATCTTCAGATTGCAACATCTTTCCCAATGCCCATCAGCACAGACCTTTCCCATCACTATAACAACCTACAATCCACTGTAAACAGTGTGGTCATCATCAAGAAAAGTGAAAGAATTGAGCTTTGGTATTTTGTGTTGTCTATTTCAGAAGTCTTTCCTTATTTTTGTCATTCTTAGTACCTTAGTATCTCAGCACCCATCAACTAACTCTAAAAACAAGACAAAACAAAAAAAAAAAGCAAATTGGGTTATGTCCAACATTTTGGCTCCAGGCATGGCTATAGGTTTCCTCTGCAATGTCTCAGACCAATAGAAAGATTACATAGACGCTATATAGCAAATGTAGAGAAGGTTACAAATCCCAGCTTAACCTACAATTTCATCACCTGAGAAAACTAGAAAATATTTTAGGTTAAAAAAGAAAAGGAAAACAGACTGTAACCAGTCTGTGAATTACCTATCACAAAAGACACTATAAAGAGGAATCAGACACTACTGTTGTATAATATCTTAGGTCACAGTTACATTCAAAAGTCAGCACTTAGGACTAAAATTACATATCTTCAAAATTAACCCTTGAAAATCCCTAAGGAAGGCACCATGTTGGAGATACATTTCTCAGTTAAGTCCAACACATCCAGATTTTCCTCCAAAGTTGGAACAAATGACTATGACTTTGGTTGAGACCAGAGAACTAGCTTCCACTTAGAGACATGTGGTATTGCCTCTCGGCCTTTTGGCTAAGATCGTGTATAGAAACTATGGCAACAAGTTGTATCAATAAATATTAGAATTATACTTGGCACAATGAAAACGTCACACTCTGAGCAGCACATGGGAACAAAAATGATAAAGGTAACAACAGGTTCTTTTCTATCATCTTCTGCATACTCTAGGGAAAACACTCACTGGCTGGAATGGAAAGCAAAATTATATCATATAACGGAATTTGTTTAAGCTACACATACATTTTTTGGAGACTTGACTGTATTCTGAAGGAAAAAAGCATGGAAAAGAAGGAACATCAAACTGGTGGACTTGACCTGAATACCCACTGTCGCTCACTCTAAATCTGTTTGGATGTTTAGCCTCACAGCAAATGCACCTGGCTGAAAGTCTATAAAGAAACCATTCTGTCCTTAGAGTCTCAGAATTATCCTTAAGGTAGAGAAAGGAGACAGTGCCTCCAGAGTTGATGTTGCCCCAGAAGTTAATTTAAGAAAACACCTGAAGGAGGAGCCAAGATGGCCGAATAGGAACAGCTCCGGTCTACAGCTCCCAGCGTGAGCAACGCAGAAGACGGGTGATTTCTGCATTTCCATCTGAGGTACCAGGTTCATCTCACTAGGGAGTGCCAGACAGTGGGTGCAGGTCAGTGGGTGCGCCCACCGTGCGCGAGCCGAAGCAGGGTAAGGCATTGCCTCACTTGGGAAGCGCAAGGGGTCAGGGAGTTCCCTTTCCGAGTCAAAGAAAGGGGTGACGGACTCACCTGGAAAATCGGGTCACTCCCACCCGAATACTGCGCTTTTCGGACCAGCTTAAAAAACGGTGCACCACCAGATTATATCCCGCACCTGGCTCGGAGGGTGCTACGCCCACGGAGTCTCGCTGATTGCTAGCACAGCAGTCCGAGATCAAACTGCAAGGCGGCAGCGAGGCTGGGGGAGGGGCGCCCGCCATTGCCCAGGCTTGCTTAGGTAAACAAAGCAGCCAGGAAGCTCGAACTGGGTGGAGCCCACCACAGCTCAAGGAGGCCTGCCTGCCTCTGTAGGCTCCACCTCTGGGGGCAGGGCACAGACAAACAAAAAGGCAGCAGTAACCTCTGCAGACTTAAATGTCCCTGTCTGACAGCTTTGAAGAGAGCAGTGGTTCTCCCAGCACGCAGCTGGAGATCTGAGAACGGGCAGACTGCCTCCTCAAGTGGGTCCCTGACCCCTGACCCCCGAGCAGCCTAACTGGGAGGCACCCCCCAGCAGGGGCACACTGACACCTCACACGGCAGGGTATTCCAACAGACCTGCAGCTGAGGGTCCTGTCTGTTAGAAGGAAAACTAACAAACAGAAGGGACATCCACACCAAAAACCCATCTGTACATCACCATCATCAAAGACCAAAAGTAGATAAAACCACAAAGATGGGGAAAAAAACAGAACAGAAAAACGGGAAACTCTAAAACGCAGAGCGCTTCTCCTCCTCCAAAGGAACGCAGTTCCTCACCAGCAACGGAACAAAGCTGGATGGAGAATGACTTTGACGAGCTGAGAGAAGAAGGCTTCAGACGATCAAATTACTCTGAGCTACTGGAGGACATTCAAACCAAAGGCAAAGAAGTTGAAAACTTTGAAAAAAATTTAGAAGAATGTATAACTAGAATAACCAATACAGAGAAGTGCTTAAAGGAGATGATGGAGATGAAAACCAAGGCTCGAGAACTACGTGAAGAATGCAGAAGCCTCAGGAGCCGATGCGATCAATTGGAAGAAAGGGTATCAGCGATGGAAGATCAAATTAATGAAATGAAGCGAGAAGGGAAGTTTAGAGAAAAAAGAATAAAAAGAAATGAGCAAAGCCTCCAAGAAATATGGGACTATGTGAAAAGACCAAATCTACATCTGATTGGTGTACCTGAAATTGATGGGGAGAATGGAACCAAGTTGGAAAACACTCTGCAGGATATTACCCAGGAGAACTTCCCCAATCTAGCAAGGCAGGCCAACGTTCAGATTCAGGAAATACAGAGAACGCCACAAAGATACTCCTCGAGAAGAGCAACTCCAAGACACATAATTGTCAGATTCACCAAAGTTGAAATGAAGGAAAAAATGTTAAGGGCAGCCAGAGAGAAAGGTCGGGTTACCCTCAAAGGGAAGCCCATCAGACTAACAGTAGATCTCTCGGCAGAAACCCTACAAGCCAGAAGAGAGTGGGGGCCAATATTCAACATTCTTAAAGAAAAGAATTTTCAACCCAGAATTTCATATCCAGCCAAACTAAGCTTCATAAGTGAAGGAGAAATAAAATACTTTACAGACAAGCAAATGCTGAGAGATTTTGTCACCACCAGGCCTGCCCTAAAAGAGCTCCTGAAGGAAGCGCTAAACATGGAAAGGAACAACTGGTACCAGCCGCTGCAAAATCATGCCAAAATGTAAAGACCATCGAGACGAGGAAGAAACTGCATCAACTGACGAGCAAAATAACCAGCTAACATCATAATGACAGGATCAAATTCACACATAACCATATTAACTTTAAATGTAAATGGACTAAATGCTCCAATTAAAAGACACAGACTGGCAAATTGGATAAAGAGTCAAGACCCATCAGTGTGCTGTATTCAGGAAACCCATCTCATGTGCAGAGACACACATAGGCTCAAAATAAAAGGATGGAGGAAGATCTACCAAGCAAATGGAAAACAAAAAAAAGGCAGGGGTTGCAATCCTAGTCTCTGATAAAATAGACTTTAAACCAACAAAGATCAAAAGAGACAAAGAAGGCCATTACATAATGGTAAAGGGATCAATTCAACAAGAAGAGCTAACTATCCTAAATATATATGCACCCAATACAGGAGCACCCAGATTCATAAAGCAAGTCCTGAGTGACCTTCAAAGAGACTTAGACTCCCACACATTAATAATGGGAGACTTTAACACCCCACTGTCAACATTAGACAGATCAACAAGACAGAAAGTCAACAAGGATACCCAGGAATTGAACTCAGCTCTGCACCAAGCAGACCTAATAGACATCTACAGAACTCTCCACCCCAAATCAACAGAATATACATTTTTTTCAGCACCACACCACACCTATTCCAAAATTGACCACATACTTGGAAGTAAAGCTCTCCTCAGCAAATGTAAAAGAACAGAGATTATAACAAACTATCTCTCAGACCACAGTGCAATCAAACTAGAACTCAGAATTAAGA
The DNA here is from genome assembly GCF_000001405.40 of Homo sapiens. NCBI lineage: Eukaryota > Metazoa > Chordata > Mammalia > Primates > Hominidae > Homo > Homo sapiens. The sequence goes on along the minus strand of NC_000013.11, from coordinate 50,183,621 downwards.
ATCTCACTCAAAACCGCTCAACTACATGGAAACTGAACAACCTGCTCCTGAATGACTACTGGATACATAACAAAATGAAGGCAGAAATAAAGATGTTCTTTGAAACCAATGAGAACAAAGACACAACATACCAGAATCTCTGGGACGCATTCAAAGCAGTGTGTAGAGGGAAATTTATAGCACTAAATGCCCACAACAGAAAGCAGGAAAGATCCAAAATTGACACCCTAACATCACAATTAAAAGAACTAGAAAAGCAAGAGCAAACACATTCAAAAGCTAGCAGAAGGCAAGAAATAACTAAAATCAGAGCAGAACTGAAGGAAATAGAGAAACAAAAAACCCTTCAAAAAATTAATGAATCCAGGAGCTGGTTTTTTGAAAGGATCAACAAAATTGATAGACCGCTAGCAAGACTAATAAAGAAAAAAAGAGAGAAGAATCAAATAGACACAATAAAAAATGATAAGGGGGATATCACCACTGATCCCACAGAAATACAAACTACCATCAGAGAATACTACAAACACCTCTACGCAAATAAACTAGAAAATCTAGAAGAAATGGATAAATTCCTCGACACATACACTCTCCCAAGACTAAACCAGGAAGAAGTTGAATCTCTGAATAGATCAATAACAGGAGCTGAAATTGTGGCAATAATCAATAGTTTACCAACCAAAAAGAGTCCAGGACCAGATGGATTCACAGCCGAATTCTACCAGAGGTACAAGGAGGAACTGGTACCATTCCTTCTGAAACTATTCCAATCAATAGAAAAAGAGGGAATCCTCCCTAACTCTTTTTATGAGGCCAGCATCATTCTGATACCAAAGCCGGGCAGAGACACAACCAAAAAAGAGAATTTTAGACCAATATCCTTGATGAACATTGATGCAAAAATCCTCAATAAAATACTGGCAAAACGAATCCAGCAGCACATCAAAAAGCTTATCCACCATGATCAAGTGGGCTTCATCCCTGGGATGCAAGGCTGGTTCAATATATGCAAATCAATAAATGTAATCCAGCATATAAACAGAGCCAAAGACAAAAACCACATGATTATCTCAATAGATGCAGAAAAGGCCTTTGACAAAATTCAACAACCCTTCATGCTAAAAACTCTCAATAAATTAGGTATTGATGGGACGTATTTCAAAATAATAAGAGCTATCTATGACAAACCCACAGCCAATATCATACTAAATGGGCAAAAACTGGAAGCATTCCCTTTGAAAACTGGCACAAGACAGGGATGCCCTCTCTCACCACTCCTATTCAACATAGTGTTGGAAGTTCTGGCCAGGGCAATTAGGCAGGAGAAGGAAATAAAGGGTATTCAATTAGGAAAAGAGGAAGTCAAATTGTCCCTGTTTGCAGACGACATGATTGTATGTCTAGAAAACCCCACTGTCTCAGCCCAAAATCTCCTTAAGCTGATAAGCAACTTCAGCAAAGTCTCAGGATACAAAATCAATGTACAAAAATCACAAGCATTCTTATACACCAACAACAGACAAACAGAGAGCCAAATCATGAGTGAACTCCCATTCACAATTGCTTCAAAGAGAATAAAATACCTAGGAATCCAACTTACAAGGGATGTGAAGGACCTCTTCAAGGAGAACTACAAACCACTGCTCAAGGAAATAAAAGAGGATACAAACAAATGGAAGAACATTCCATGCTCATGGGTAGGAAGAATCAATATCATGAAAATGGCCATACTGCCCAAGGTAATTTTATAGATTCAATGCCATCCCCATCAAGCTACCAATGACTTTCATCACAGAATTGGAAAAAACTACTTTAAAGTTCATATGGAACCAAAAAAGAGCCTGCATCGCCAAGGCAATCCTAAGCCAAAAGAACAAAGCTGGAGGCATCACACTACCTGACTTCAAACTATACTACAAGGCTACAGTAACCAAAACAGCATGGTACTGGTACCAAAACAGAGATATAGACCAATGGAACAGAACAGAGCTCTCAGAAATAATGCCGCATATCTACAACTATCTGATCTTTGACAAACCTGAGAAAAACAAGCAATGGGGAAAGGATTCCCTATTTAATAAATGGTGCTGGGAAAACTGGCTAGCCATATGTAGAAAGCTGAAACTGGATCCCTTCCTTACACCTTATACAAAAATCAATTCAAGATGGATTAAAGACTTAAACATTAGACCTAAAACCATAAAAACCCTAGAAGAAAACCTAGGCAATACCATTCAGGACATAGGCATGGGCAAGGACTTCATGTCTAAAACACCAAAAGCAATGGCAATAAAAGACAAAATTGACAAATGGGATCTAATTAAACTAAAGAGCTTCTGCACAGCAAAAGAAACTACCATCAGAGTGAACAGGCAACCTACAACATGGGAGAAAATTTTCGCAACCTACTCATCTGACGAAGGGCTAATATCCAGAATCTACAATGAACTCAAACAAATTTACAAGAAAAAAACAAACAACCCCATCAAAAAGTGGGCAAAGGACATGAACAGACACTTCTCAAAAGAAGACATTTATGCAGCCAAAAAACACATGAAAAAATGCTCATCATCACTGGCCATCAGAGAAATGCAAATCAAAACCACAATGAGATACCATCTCACACCAGTTAGAATGGCAATCATTAAAAAGTCAGGAAACAACAGGTGCTGGAGAGGATGTGGAGAAATAGGAACACTTTTACACTGTTGGTGGGACTGTAAACTAGTTCAACCATTGTGGAAGTCAGTGTGGCGATTCCTCAGGGATCTAGAACTAGAAATACCATTTGACCCAGCCATCCCATTACTGTGTATATACCCAAAGGACTATAAATCATGCTGCTATAAAGACACATGCACACGTATGTTTATTGCGGCATTATTCACAATAGCAAAGACTTGGAACCAACCCAAATGTCCAACAATGATAGACTGGATTAAGAAAATGTGGCACATATACACCATGGAATACTATGCAGCCATAAAAAATGATGAGTTCATGTCCTTTGTAGGGACATGGATGAAATTGGAAATCATCATTCTCAGTAAACTATCGCAAGAACAAAAAACCAAACACCGCATATTCTCACTCATAGGTGGGAATTGAACAATGAGATCACATGGACACAGGAAGGGGAATATCACACTCTGGGGACTGTGGTGGGGTGGGGGGAGGGGGGAGGGATAGCATTGGGAGATATACCTAATGCTAGATGACGAGTTAGTGGGTGCAGCGCACCAGCATGGCACATGTATACATATGTAACTAACCTGCACAATGTGCACATGTACCCTAAAACTTAAAGTATAATAAAAAAAAAAAAACCCTAACCAAAAAAAAAAAAAAAGAAGAAAACACCTAAGAAAAGCCACAGTCTGTTTTCCACTGACTTAACAGGTAGTTGTGGCCATATGAAGGCCAGAAATGACAATGGGAACAGACACAAGCCATGTTTTTAAAAACTGAGAAGTTAAAAGAGAGCACTTCCCAGTTTCAGAGTCAAGAGTTCGCAATTCATCCTAACAATGCTAGAACAAGGAGATGTGACATGAGCATACTTTAAACACCTTAGTTTATAAAGTATTAGAAACCCAGCTGGGGCACTGAGCAGCTGCTCTTCTAAGAAAGCTCTTTGGGGCTGGGAATGGTGGCTCATGCCTGTAATCCCAGCATTTTGGGAGGCCAATCTGGGTGGATCACTTGAGGCCAGGAGTTCAAGATCAGCTTGGCCAACATGGCAAAACTCTGTCTCCACTAAAAGTACAAAAATTAGCCAGGTGCAGTGGTTCATGCCTGTAGTCCCAGCTACTCAGGAGGCTGAGGCAGGAGAATCACTTGAACCTGGGAGTTGGAGGTTGCAATGAGCTGAGACGGCACCACTGTGTGAGACTCTGTCTCCAAAAAAAAAAAAAAAAAAAAAAAAAACTCTTTGGCAACCTATGACCATCAGCCCTATCCTAGCATCAAGACCGGCAGAGGCAGGTATCTATGTCTGCATTTGAGAGAAGTTATATAGGAATCTGGTTCAGAAGCATCCTTTGTAGTTCCCATTCTCTGTCCTTCAATTGCCATCAGTTCAGTGCAGCCTTGAAATGTAATCCCCAAACTAGCCCTTGTCTTTTCCCCTGAGTTAGCAAGAAAAAGCAGAGCAACAATGGAACCATGATAAGGAGAGGAAAGGAGATGAAGAATTAAGGTCTGAAGAGGTAAACAGACATGGAGGCTGCACCAGAAATGGCCTAGCATGACTGCCACCCACTGCTGCATTCATGTACTCACTCAACAAATACTGATTGGGTGTCTAATATGTGCACAATATTCTCTTGAGCATTTCTCATGTTAGACTGTCTTAAAGGGGGATTACTTCCAGCACCTTTTTTATTAAGGCTCACTGCCTCATCTTGGGAGTAAGCATGGGCTTTTCTTTATGGAGAGTCATGCTACTTACCCCACCTTCACACAATCAGAGGCTCCTAGCCTGGGAGGTAATGAAAAGAAGAGGAGAATTGAACCACAGCTGTAGGAGAATTGCCTCAGATATGGTCAGCTTCCCAAATCAAAGCAGGGACTGAGTTCATGGCATTTGGTGTCCCCCCTACCCACCCAAAAAACAAACAAACAAACAAACAAAAAATCTTCATCTTCCCTGCAGATCCCTGGAGGGACAGTTTTAGAAGAGAAATCTGAGAACACTTAGGGAAGTCAATGAGGGTAATTTATAGTAATACAAGAGATTTTTGAGTTCAGAGATCGACAACAGCATCTATAAGATTTCAACCCAAGTTGACACATACAGCAAGGGTTGTATGGTGAGACAGATGGAGGATCCATTTCGTCTTCTGTTAGAAGAAAGATGCCTGCTGTCCAAGGGCTATTTCTCAAATAGCCCTTATTCTCCCTGTGGTTGAGCAAATGAAGAAAATGTTGTTCCAAAGCCACCAAATTCATCTTTTCTTTGGTCGAGCAAAAATGTGCCCATTTGTGACAGTGCAGGTTTAGGCAGTTCAAAAACAAGATCACAGGCAAGGAAATCCAGCCGTGATTTTCTGAAAGCCATCCTCAAGACTGAAGCTAGGGTCTGTCTTGGCTGTCCTTGACATTTTATTTGTCTATCTTTCTTTTTTGTCAAAAACTGTATCTATTTTTTTAAAGTAATAGCCCCAACAAGATAATGACCTGATGTAACTGTACCTACATGAGACAATGCTGAGAGCAGAAAATCCAAGAGTACCCAGACCAGGGCTCCAAGCAGAGTGTCCTGCTGAAAGCAGACGATAATGCCTCTCTCATCTCAGGTAATGTTTTGTTCCAAAAACACTCCACTCAAGTAGTCTTGTTATTTTATTTTATTTTTTTTTTAATTTTTTTTTTTTGAGACAGGATCTTGCTCTGTTGCTCAGGCTGGAGTACAGTGGCACGATCATAGCTCACTGCAGCCTCGACCTCCCAGGCTCAAGTGATCCTCCCACCTCAGCCTCCCAAGTAGCTTGGACTACAGGTACAGGCATGCGCCACGACGCCCTGCTAATTTTTTAATTTTTTGTAGAGACGGGGTTTCACCATGTTGCCAAGGCTGGTCTTGAACTCCTGACCTCAAGTAATCCTCCCACCTTGATCTCCCAAAGTGCTGGGATTACAGGCGTGAGCCACCACCCCCGGCCTTGTCTGGTTATTTGTCTCATTAAATGAAGCACTAAATCATGGTAAAACCATAAAGCACAGTGCAAAATAACTTCTCATTATTATTATTCCATTGCCTTGAGTCTGATTTGGAAAAATCATTTTAATGGTACGAACACTGAGAAACAGAACTGCCAATTACCTTACTCTAACCCATAGTTTATTAGTTATGTGCTTATAGCAGAGGAAAAAGTTATGTACAGACCCGTTTAAGAGCCTAAAATACAAAGTTTGAGGTGAAGGGGAAGAGGAAGATTTGGAATAAAAGAGGACAGACTTCCAATCCCTTCTATGTGGATTTCCAGGGAAGTGACAAGCGGAATACAAAAACAGGGAAAAGCTTTTATCAGTACTGGAAACTAGAGAGGGCATATACACTGTGAAAAATGTTGAGGAATTTCTGGATGCACTGCAGAGGCACAGAGCCCTGACCCCACCTCCTACCCCCAACACACAATTCCTTCCCACACACATATACATACAGAAGTCAGTGGAAGAGACCCTGATAGAAGGCCACTAGCACTTCCTTACATGGAAGGTGGGTGCAGACCAAGGGGTGGGCAGTCACATGATGTCCACCTAGAGACTTCCCTTGGAAGGGGGGCCGCATGGTCATTTAGGCAGAGGAGTAGAGTTCCTGGCAGAGATGGTCCGTCTGCCCCAAAATAAAGTTGCCAACGATGTCAGTCTAAAACTGCTTCTTCACTCTCTGCACCCCCATTCCCACAGGTTCTGGACTTCTGATGAAGTGATGCAAATTTACATCAAATGTAAATATTCCCTGTTCTTGTCATTTGAACCTGAAGGATTTGTGCAGTTCCCCATATCAATTTCTGCTAGATCTCACCTCAACTCCTACTTTATTACAAGATAGTAAGCAATAACACAGCTTTGTCTATAAGGATGAACAAATACAGTAAAAGCCTGTATAGCCAACCTGCACTAAATGACTATACATTTAACCAGTGCTCCCTATGTCCTCAGGGAAACATACTGGCTGATACCAGGCATGCTCAGTGCTCCTGGATCGCAGCCTCCTCCCTCGTAAGCCTGTAGGCTTCTACTCCCAGCAATTGCATGGTTCGCTTACCAACAGGCAATTGATAGAAAAGTTGTGCCACTTGTATTTGTTATTATAATCATATTTAATTAAATATGTTGTCTGATGAATGTGACAATAAAAATAGTTACATTAAAAATTAGGTTGAATCCTTTTAAAGAATCAATACAGATATGTTGCTAAGATAATCTGCTCTTAAACTGTATATGACAAGTGTTAATGGCAGGGAAAAATAGTAAAAATACACCAGGATTCTTTACTCATTGTATCACAGTGTCTTTAAGATCTTGCTCCTGTCTAAAGAAACTGAAACTGGAAATCATAGGTAATTCATAATGAGTATGGTTTATGAAAGAGAGATGATTTGAATAATTAGTGGACCCATTTTGGAAGAAAATGTCTTGATCCTAAAGGATTGGTTAATAGAATGCACATTGGAGTTTTATTTTAAAAGATGTGTCTATATTGTTTTTATGATTCTACACCTTAACCAGCTTCTTTAGATTAACCAAGCAACTACTGATTCTGAGCACAAGATGTAAGAAGGCTACTCCCAAGAAGCCTACTCACAAGAAGGCTACTCCCAAAAACAAATCAACAGAGCTATTAAAAGAGATTATGGTTTGGCTGGGCACAGTGGCTCATGCCTGTAATCCCAGCATTTTGGGAGGCCAAGGCAGGTGGATCACTTGAGGTCAGGAGTTCCAGACCAGCCTGGCCAACATGATAAAACCCCATTTCTACTAAAAATACAAAAACTAGTTGGGTGTGGTGGCACATGCCTGTAATCCCAGCTTCTTGGGAGGCTGAGGCGCTGCAATCGCTTAAACCTGGGAGGCAGAAGCTGTAATGAGCCCAGATCGTGTGACTGCACTCCAGCTGGGCAACAAAGCAAGACTCCATCTCAAAAAAAGATATTATGGTTCAAACAGAGAGGATAGACCTGAAAAAAATAGTAGAAAATGCTTCCCTTTGATTTCCTACAAGGGAGAGAAGAAATTTTAAAATGTTTGGAAACTAATTTGCCAAATGATCATCTTCTTACTGACTAACTCAACGAATGAACAATTCACTGAGCAATCATCTGGCAAATCCTTTACACAGGGTTTAGAGCAATTTCTCATAGCCATTGCACCAGGGCACAGGAAGGTGCAGAAGCAGGAGCAATAGGGACAGAGGCAAAAGTAATTAAGACAAAAAACAGTGCTTTAAAAAATAAACAAACAAATGGAAAACACTTGACCATCCCGTAGAAAATGTTGACCATTCTAAAAATTCTCAGAGTCTGGAATGTGAAAAACAGGCAAAGTTCATATTAAACAGCAGTTGGCCAATGCATGCCCAGGAAGAGAACAGCAGTGATGACAGGGACAAAGTAAAAAATATAAACCTCAATTTTTCAGCAAAATCATTATTTGGTCAAGTGATTTTTGCAGAATTAGCTTTGGTGAGCTGGTCATTTACCAAATGGTCTTTGGTATATTCATGTTGGGTGAAGTAGCCAGCTTCCAAGGTAAAAAGGAGAGCCTTCTGGCTTGAGCGAAGGAATCACTTAACTCCAAAGTCAGTTCCATAGGGTAAGGGACAATATCTATTTGGTTTACTCTGCACTTACCCCAAGGCCCAACACATACCAGACACTCAAAAACTATGTTTCATGAATAAATGTTGAAGACTAATAATTAACAGAAAGGTTTTATACATAGGTCAGGGCCCAGAGAGGCAAGAGCCTTGAGTGTTATGCTGTGCATGCTGCGACTTACCCTATCTGTAAAAAGGAACTCATTGAAGGCTTCTGAGCAGCAAAGTAACATGACTGAAAGAAGTGGCAGGAAGAGTAACCTGTTTTTAATTAGCAGAATACACTTAAAGAGAAGAAACTGCAACCCAAATGTCTCTCAGTGGATGAATGAATAAACAAAATGTGGCATAGACATATAATGGAATATTATTCAGCCTTAAAAAGGAAGGAAATTCTGACACATGCTACAACATAGATGAACTTTGAGGACATTATGCAAAGTGAAACAAGCCAGCCACAAAAGGACCTATATTGTATACTTCCACTTATATGAGGTACTTTGAGTAGTTAAATTCATAGAGATAGAAAGTAGAATAGTGGCTGCCAGAAGCTGGGAGGAGGGGAAATAGGTAATTAGTGTTTAATGGGTACAGAGTTTCTGTTTAGGAAGATGAAACATTTCTCGAGATGGATGATGGTGATGGTTGCAGAACAATGGGAATATACTTAGTGCCACTGAACTGTGCACTTCAAAATGGTTAAAATGGTCAATTTTATGTTATGTGTATTCTACCACAATACAAATAATCTGGAAGTCAAAGAGAACATGGCTAGATTGGAAAATTGCATTTTTCTATATGACCAGAGCAAACAGTTTTAAGGGTACAAGAGTTGAGTTAGAGTGATCATCAGCAAGTCATGAAGGGCCCTAGCAACTCTGATTAAGGGTGTGGACTTGGTACTGATATTTGAGTAATTCTAACTAAAATGTTCCTACTCACTAATAGGGGGTAAAAGAGGAGAAAACGCTAATAGGATGATTCAAGAAGCTATGTCATTCATGCGTGGTCTAATCCAGGGTCTTGGTAATAGAAACAGAAAGGAAGAAAAGAATGGTTATCATAGGCATCACAAAGGAAGTATAGATACTATTTTGATTGATTGGATCGGGGAAGGGGTTGAGAACAAGGAAACATCAAAGTTTTTCACCTGGGGAACTGGAAAATAAATGGTAACATTAAAAGAAAAGGTATGGCCTTAAAGGAAGATGTGGTTTATAGGTAAAAGCGATGATTTCCCTATTTGACATGTTACATAGGAGGTGACAATGGAAAATCAAAACAGAGAAGTCTAGTAAGCAGCTGGAGATGTCAGAAAATGATGAACAAAGTATAACTAGTTCAAACTACCAAAGGTAGGCTGAGGACAGACCCCTTACCATATAGCAGCTGGTAAATTAATAATAGTCTTCAAATATGGTGGTGAACAAACTGTCTTCATTGAAAATGACTGATTACTAAGAAAGTTGTTGAAAAGGTAATAAAATAACACTACGTACATCCTTCTGCCTAAAATTAGGCCCAGTTTTATTTAGATGAAGTACAATGTCCTCTATATCTCATGGACAATGTCCTGGAATCACATCGCTTACTGAAATACTTTTTGAAATATATGTCCTCGGATGGAGAAGTGGAATCAAAAGAGAAAACTTCAGAATCTATGCTATCAACTTTTCTTTTTTTTTATCCTCAAATGAGTTATGTTTGCCTCGCACTAATAACTTTTATTTCACTCAAATTAGAGCAATAATCTTCCACACATAAGTATCTTCCCTGCCCAATAATTCAAAGAAAAAAATCCAAAATGATTAGTAAAGAAAAATATAAGAATTAACAGACCCTTTAAATTTGTTTTAAATATTTTGAAGATTTAAAAAGTGTTTAAAGTTTGTAATTCCTAGTAGGAAAACATTATCTGAATGAATACCCTAATGGCAAACCACTGTAAAATGCTTCAGCTGCATTTGGGGGAGAGGGGTAGGGATTATCTTCAAAGCACCCCAGCTCTCTTGATGAGAAGGTCAGAGGTACATTGGTTTGTATTATTGCGACATCCATAATGTGATCTAGGTTGCTTTTCCTTCAGCAAGGGCTTTATTTATCAGAAGGGCGTTATGCTTGACCTCCAAATTTGGCTGACAATTTACTGATGAGATTCATAACCTTTGGGTTGCTCTGGTACTTTGACATATTTGCTGGGTTCTGAGCCACATCCTGGAAGGCCACCATAACTTCTGGATCCTGCATGGCTGCAAGAACCTCTGGATCACTAAGAATTTCATTGAGTCCAGGCATTCCGGCCATTCCAGGTATGCCCCCTCCCATTCCAGCCATTCCTCCAGGAAAATTACCAGGCATTCCCCCAGGAAAGCCACCTGGAAAAGAGCCATACTGAGCTCCTGACTGTCATCTGGCTTCTTCCTCCCTCTGGGCTCTCTCATGCTCTTTTCGAGCCTTCTTAACTCGTTCTATTCTTTCTTTGATCTCTCACTCTTCACGTTTTCGCTCATACTTTCTCTGATGTTCTGCAATTTTCTGTGCCCTAGGTTGAACTTCTTTCAGCATTGCACTAGCATCTTCATCATAATCGAATTTACAGGCAAGGGCAAGATCATGGGCTGCTTCTTCCCAGTGGCCTAGAAGTCTGTGTGCTTTCCCCCGCCTCTTGTAAGGCTGAGCTGAATCAGGATTTATTTCAATGGCTCTGTCACAGTCTCGGATGGCTGCATTTGGCTTCTGTAATTTGACGAAGACACTGGCCCTCTTGGCATACAAAATGGCCAAGCGAGGATTCAGCTTGATGGCATCTGTGAATAAGTCAATGGCTTTCTGGAGTTCACCATCATTTAGGGCTTCAATAGCAGCCACTTTTTTATCATTTGCCTGATCCATCACCTCCTCTGTTATCTCCGCATTTTCATCTCCCATTTCTTGAGGAGCATCAGTGTCTGGTTCAATCACACCTTCTTTATCAATTTCTAGATCACTTTCCTCACTTGATGGTTCGTCTGCCTTTAAGTCTTCCTCCACCTTACTATCAGGTTTTTCTTCCTTGGTATTTTCTTCTGATTTAGCTTTCTGAGTAGCAGTACCTCCCATGCTCTCCACCCACTCCCTCAGGAAGCGCATTTCCTGGGTGTGCAGAATGCTTGGATCCTTCTTACACATTTTCACAAAGGCCCGAAGCTCGTTCACTTTGCGGGGGTCCATGGTAGGGAGATGGTGGGCGAAGCCGGGGGGCTGCGGCCCGGTTCCAGGCCCAGGCGCTGGCTCGGCGTGACAGCGCAGAAGGGGGCGGCTGCCTATGCTATCAACTTTTCAAGCCAGGTTTCTCAATCCAGTTTTCTGAAATATTCAACCTGAGGTTGCCTAGTCTAGTATCAATATGCATTCATTCTAACAATATAATGTACAAAGGACTGTAAATACCCTATCCTTTGGTGATACTGTCATTCAACAAACATGTACTAAGAGCTCACTACAGATCCAGAGGCAGAATTAAGAGTGCCAGGAATGCAAAGAGGAATGCCACATATCCCATGCCTTAGAAAACCTCACAGTCTAGAGGGGAAAACAGGGTGAATGAAGCACTGACCCTGACCGAGCACACTTAGAACCTGATCCAGGTTCCTGGAAAAGTCTCCTAATACAAATGCTCACTTATAATGTTTACCTTAGTTTTTAGAAAGATTTGATCATATTAGTCGCTTGATTATAGAAAACCATTTTTTTGTTTTGTTTTTTCATTTTCTTTTGTTTTGAGATGGAGTCTCACTCTGTCTCCCAGGCTGGAGTGCAGTGGCGCGATCTCGGCTCACTGCAACCTCCGCCTCCCGGGTTCAAGCGATTCTCCTGCCTCAGCCTCCCGAGTAGCTGGGACTGCAGGCACGCATCACCACCCCCAGCTAATTTTTGTATTTTTAGTAGAGATGGGGTTTCACCATGTTGGCCAGGATGGTCTCCATCTCTTCACCTCGTGATCTGCCCGCCTCGGCCTCCCAAAGTGCTGGGATTATAGGCATGAGCCACCGCGCCCGGCCGATTATAGTAAACTGTTAAATCCAATTGTTACATCCTTGGATACATATGTAATATGTAATTATTATAATTATTACTTTAGATTATAGCGAGAGATAGGCAGTTAGCAAGAAAGGAAGGAATGAGCTATCAAGTTACCAAATTATTTTGAAGTTCCTCCCTACTTGAATTTTTAAAACTTTTTCTTTGATTAACCCACAATCAAAAACACTACTCAGTCCCTCCAGCTTTTGCAACTTTTACTGTCTATGTTCTTCAATCCAGCATGTAAAAAAGAAAGATTGATTCATTCTATGAACTAATTATTTCATTAATGTATCCTCAGATATCATGTCGGCTCCTCGAGGATAAGAATCACATCTTACTTTTCTTTTGTGACTCCTATGAGCCTAGAATGGTTCTTATAAATATTTACTTAATCTAATTAAAATAAATTATGTGCTTTAAAATCCTATTACATCATACTGTAGAACACTGCCAAATCAGTAATTAAACATGCCATCCTTGCTTAGTGCCAAATGATTTTTTCATTTTTTGTTGTTTTTTAATATCCAAAGTGTTACTTTTCTTTCTCACAGCTAGTTCCTACAACTCTGGAATTTACAGTATTTTCATATTTCCATAATGACACCTGCTGGTAGGAGAAGAATGGATGAACTGCAGGGATTTTATTCAACTACTTATAACCAGCCATTGTCCAGTCTGAAACAACTAATGTTCCTGCATATACAAAGAGTAAATCTCAATGACTCCAAATACCCAAGTACTAAAAATTTGAAAGAATAAGACAAGTGCTGTTTCAGTACTATTTTCCAACCAGAATTAAAATTTATTCCCATAATCTCTGTCCAAAACAAAATTGCTGCAATTAAGAGTAGTTATTAACAAAGGCCTCAAAATTATCAATTCAATTCTGTTAAATATTTTACTCCATTTGTAAATTGGCATTTAAATATGACTATTAAAGAGATTATCATTATAAGGAATAAGTTCTAGTATTTGATACTACAGTAGGGAAATTATAGTTAATGATAATTTATTGTATATTTCAAAATAACTAGAAGAGAAGAATTGCAATGTTCCCAACACAAAGAAAAAATAAATGTTTGAGGTGACAGATACCCCAATTACCCTGATTTGATCATTACACATTGTATACACATATCAAAAATCATATGTACCCCAAAAACACAACTATTAAAAATGAATAAGAAAATTTTAAAACAGATTATCATTCTCTGAAACTTTTTCTGTTCTTTCATATAATTAATTACTAGATCAAGGTTTAAGCGGACCAGAAGACAATGGATGGGACATTTGCTTCAGTGGTAACCTGCATATCATCTTGCCCTTGAGGAGCAAGTGAGGAGAAGCAGCAAGGCCAGCCACTCTGGAAACACTGCTGGATGCTGACTATGCCAGGTCTCCCGCAATACCCAAATAAGAGATGTGGCTGCTGGGTTCACCTGTCCTACACTGCAAGCTTCAAGAGGGATATGATGAGGCCGGGTACAGTGGCTCACAACTGTAATCCCAGCAGTTTGGGAGGCTGAGGGAGGAGGATTGCTTGAGTCCAGGAGTTCAAGATCAGCCTAGGCAACATAGTAAGACCCCAAGTCTACAAAAACATAAAACTGAAAAATTAGCCCGGTGGTAGTGCACAGCTGTAGTCCCAGTTACTCAGGAGGTACTGAGGTGGGAAGATCAGCTGAGCCCAGGAGGTCAAGGATAAGGCTGCAGTGAGCCACGATCACACCACTGCACTCCAGCTTGGGTGACAGAGTAAGACACTGTCCCAAAGAAAAAAAAAAAGAGGGAAAGGACTATGCATCCTCAGTGCTAGCACACTACCTGACACCTGACACAGAGTAAGCACCAATGAGTATTTTTAAACAAAGCGTGTGTGTAGGTAGGGACAGGGCTGGGGTTGGAGAGAAGGGTGTCAACAGATTTGATCCTGGGTAGACCTTGCCCAGACACCAAAATGTTAACCAGATTAGGTGGGTTCATTCTGACAATACCTGAGTGAGCTTATTTGACTCAATAGTTTAGAAAGCAGGCAAATTAACCAGATGGCCCCCAAATAAAATATGGATAATCTATATGCATAAAGGTTTTGTATACAGTTAATAGGTAAATGTATAACTCATCATGACACATATTACACAGACTTTTTCTTATTTCACTCACAATCCCTCTTCTGATGAGAAATCAGTCATGTGTGCTGGTGACAGGCGTCTTCAAACAATGTTTCTTCCTAACTGCCTGCAGGATAACGTCCAGACAGGCACTCACTCAGCTGACAGTTGACTTGTGGCTGTTTTGTCTTTGCAAGTATGCTAACTTCTCAGACTTCCCTGGACTTGCTTTGGTTTGACTTCTTTCACTCAGAGGAATCACTTGTGAGCAAAGTGTGAAACAGACTGCTTCTGATTCCCCATTTCAAAATGACTCCTATTCCTCCACAACAGCAGGCTAAGGGACATAATTATCAGGCTATTCATCAAAAGCTGCAATTTTCTTTTTCTTTTTTCTTTCTCTTTTTTTTTTTTTTTTTTTTGAGATGATGTCTCACTCTGTCACCCAGGCTGGAGTACAGTGGCGCAATCTCGGCTCACTGCAACTTCTGCCTCCTGGGTTCAAGCAATTCTCCTGCCTCAGCCTCCCAAGTAGCTGGGATTACAGGTGCCTGCCACCACGTGTGGCTAATTTTTGTATTTTTAGTAGAGACGGGGTTTCACCATGTTGGCCAGGCTGGTCTCGAACTCTTGACTTCAGGTGATCCATCCGCCTCGGCCTCCCAAACTGCTGGGATTACAGCTGTGAGCCACCGCGCCCAGCAAAAAGCTGCAATTTTGTTTCAAAAAGGAAAATCCTTTGGGCACTTTAAAAGGCTTTTTTTACTCCTACTGAATGTAGACTGTAAATCAATTCAATAAATGCTACAAACACCTACTATGTACTAGCCATGGCGGGCACTGAAAAAAGTAGTCTTGTGTCTTGTCCTTAAAGAAAAGAGTTCATAGTCCAGTATCATAGGTATTAACCCAGTCTGCTATGATGACTAAATCATACCCTGACAGCAAGTCAGTATTTAGCTAACCTGGGGTTCCCGTCCCATCCCCACCTCATAGAGGCTATCGCTGGTACATATAGCCAAAGCACACATATTGGAAAGAATGTGCTGCTCCAGGCTCATTAGGACACCCGTGAATGCCAAATCCTAGTTCCCAGACTCCTACATTTCAAGGGAATCCAGCACCTGGCCCAGGGCTTTGTTCATCAATATTTTTGATTGAAGAATGAAGCCATGTCAAAAAACTGCAGTGATTCAGAATAATGTAATCCTTGGGTCATACCAAATGAGTGTGTGTGTGTGTGTGTGTGTGTGTAGTGGCAGACACACTAAATTGGAATACTTTCAGCCCAATACTCTACACAGCTGATGAAGGCACTGCATACTTTGTTTTACATCTAGAGAAAACACCATTGTGATTCATTTTGTCTCGGGTTTATTAAAGACAAGAATCCCAGGGGAAACCCCAACTCTCTACCTACTACCCTCAGATCAAAATTCATTTTGAAAGGACAACGCATTTCCTCACCTGGGTCCCTGACCTAAGATAAATCTGTAAACCATCAGAGAGAGCTCAAGTGAAAAAAGGAAATTATATTTATTGAGTGTTTATCACATGCCAAGAAGTACACTGAGGGTTCCTTTAAGTCTCAACAATTCTGTGATGGATCAACATCCAAACTTGACAGCTGAGGACACCAAAATTCACAGAGGCTAAGAAACAAGCTGAAGTTACACAGCTCCTAGTGGTAGAATCAAGGCTGCTTCTTCCACTACAGCATGTTGCTTCCTCATCTCACAGGTACTGTCAGACTGCTATGAATATGTCCACAACATTGGTATGAAACAGGGCAAGTCCAGGCTTTATGAAACCTAAAGCATATGCAAATTTTGTGTCCCTCTTTAAGAAAAAATACATAAAATTAGATACAAATAATGAACATTTATTGAGAATGAGTACAGAAATCACACAACTTACAAACTTTTTTAAAGCTGGCAAATACCACAAATATTTTCTTTCAACTTATACTTATGGCATCCTTTTTGTTTCCTCTATCTCTTTCTTTCTTTTTTCTTTTTTTATTATTATACTTTAAGTTCTAGGATACATGTGCACAATGTGCAGGTTTGTTACATAGGTATACATGTGCCATGGTGGTTTGCCACACCCATCAACTCATCATTGACATTAGGTATTTCTCCTAATGCTATCTCTCCCCCAGCCCCCCACCCCCTAACAGGCCCCAATGTGTGTTGTTCCCCACCCTGTGTCCAAGTGTTCTCATTGTTCAGTTCCCACCTATGAGTGAGAACATGCAGTGTTTGGTTTTCTGTCTTTGTGATAGTTTGCTGAGAATGATGGTTTCCAGCTTCATCCATGTCCCTATAAAGGACATGAACTCATCCTTTTTACGGCTGCATAGTATTCCATGGTGTATATGTGCCACATTTTCTTAATCCAGTCTATCATTGATGGACATTTGGGTTGGTTCCAAGTCTTTGCTATTGTGAATAGTGCCACATTAAACAAACGTGTGCATGTGTCTTTATAGCAGCATGATTTATAATCCTTTGGGTATATACCCAGTAATGGGATTGCTGGGTCAAATGGTATTTCTAGTTCTAGATCCTTGAGGAAATGCCACACTGTCATCCATAATGGTTGAACTAGTTTACACCCCCACCAACAGTGTAAAAACGTTCCTATTTCTCCACAACCTCTCCAGCATCTGTTGTTTCCTGACTTTTTAATGATCGCCATTGTAATTGGCATGAGATGGTATCTCATTGTGGTTTTGATTTGCATTTCTCTGATGACCAGTGATGATGAGCATTTTTTCATATGTCTGTTGGCTGCATAAATGTCTTCTTTTGAGAAGTGTCTGTTCATAACCTTTGCCCACTTTTTGATGGGGTTGTTTGTTTTTTTCTTGTAAATTTGTTTAAATTCTTTGTAGATTCTGGATATTAGCCCTTTGTCAGATGGGTAGATTGCAAAAATTTTCTCCCAATCTGTAAGTTGCCTGTTCACTCTGATGGTAGTTTCTTTTGCTGTGCAGAAGCTCTTTAGTTTAATTAGATCCCATTTGTCTATTTTGGCTTTTGTTGCCATTGCTTTTGGTGTTTTAGTCATGAAGTCTTTGCCCATGCCTATGTCCTGAATGGTATTGCCTAGGTTTTCTTCTAGGGTTTTTATGATTTTAGGTCTTACATTTAAGTCTTTAATCCATCTTGAGTTAATTTTCATATAAGGTGTAAGGAAGGGATCCAGTTTCAGCTTTCTACATATGGCTAGCCAGTTTTCCCAGCACCATTTATTAAATAGGGAATCCTTTCCCCATTTCTTGTTTTTGTCAGGTTTATCAAAGATCAGATGGTTGTAGATGTGTGGTATTATTTCTGAGGCCTCTGTTCTGTTCCATTGGTCTATACTCTGTTTTGGTACCAGTACCATGCTGTTTTGGTTACTGTAGGCTTGCAGTATAGTTTGAAGTCAGGTAGCATGATGCCTCCAGCTTTGTTCTTTTTGCTTAGGATTGTCTTGGCTATGCGGGCTCTTTTTTGGTTCCATATGAACTTTAAAGTAGTTTTTCCAATTCTGTGAAGAAAGTCATTGGTAGCTTGATGGGGATGGCATTGAATCTATAAATTACTTTGGGCAGTATGGCCATTTTCATGATACTGATTCTTCCTACCCATGAGCATGGAATGTTCTTCCATTTGTTTGTGTCCTCTTTTATTTCGTTGAGCAGCGGTTTGTAGTTCTCCTTGACGAGGTCCTTCACATACCTTGTAAGTTGGATTCCTAGGTATTTTATTCTCTTTGTAGTGATTGTTACACTATGGCTTTCAACAGGAATATGTCCTTCCTGTCATATCTGTTTTGTTTTCTTTTTATCTTTTTTTTTTTTTTTTTTCTGAGACAGGGTCTCACTCTGTCACCCAGGCTGGAGTGCAGTGGCGCAATCTTGGCTCACTGCAACCTCCGCCTCCCAAGTTCAAGCAAATCTCCTACCTCAGCCTCCCAAGTAGCTGGTATTACAGGCGCCCACCACCACACCCAGCTAATTTTTGTATTTTTAGTAGAGACAGCGTTTCACCATGTTGACCAGTCTGGTCTCAAACTCCTGACCTCAGGTTATCCACCTGCTTCGGCTACCCAAAGTGCTGAGATTACAGCTGTGAGCCACCGTGCCCAGCTATTTTTGTTTTTTTATAGATTCAGGAGGTACATGTACAGGTTTGTTACTTGGGTATATTGTGTGATGCTGGGGTTTGGGCTTCTAATGAACCCATTACCCAAATCATATCTGAATTTTGATATGAACAGTAATTCTGAAAAAAAAATACACAATTAACCTGAAATTAAGGCATATACGAGAACAATTCAAACGTTCCTACACTGCACTAAGCTACATAAGAGAAATTCATTGAATTCCTCTTATACTATATACCGTGACTTATTGATGAAAATGTGTGACAGTTTGTCATGGAATGCTTGTTTCTCAGAGCATGTCTCTTGCTTTAGTGGCAATTTTGCACACTTTCCTCTGGAACCATCAGGCTGTCTCAGGACAAGATGCAACAGATGCAATAAGATACATATATGAGATCCAGAATAGGAGGCAGAAATCATGTGTCTTCTCACACAGACATTCTTGCTCCATGCCTTCAGGCTCGTGCCCTACAAACATAGGGATTCTGACAAAATCAATTCCACACTATTCTCAACAAAAAAGAAAATTAAAAGTATGTATATACACACACAAATACACACACATAGTGAGTTTATAATTGTATACTCAGTATCACTGCATATATTCCAAACAGGAGAGAATATATTTGGCTGGCATCAATTCTTCTGCTCACAATTTTATGTCTACAGAGGTAAGAATTTCCTACATTTGAGCTTCTCAAACCTTGTTTCCAGCCTCATTTTTCTCCACTACCCCATATTTCTAGGATGAGTGCCATAGGACTGGCTCCTAGCCTTAGGACCTATGGCCTTCACCTTTGCTCCCCATCCATGCTGGTGAGCTGTCCAATGGGTGGTAAGAATATTCCTACAAGCCATTCCTCACCCAGATGACTATGAAAGGGACTGCAAACTACATTAAAATATCACACTAAAATACATGTATCCCCAATTCAACTTCCTCTAGCCAGATCCAAAACGTGCCCATCACTCAGATACTATCTGACAGGAGGCGAATGATGACGGTGAGGAAGTCAGAATGGAAAAAGAAAGTGATCTTCAGTGACAGCACTTAACACATCTTGGTTTTGCAAAATTTAGAAATACACATGACCATGTGAACATACTGCTAGCCTTCGTTATATTGCCCGAGACTGGCTGCTGGTATGTAGTAGATCATATTATAGGAAAACAGAGTTGGAAGAGAAATAATCCAAGGGCTGAGAGGACATTTGATGGGTCTAATAGGGTCTCTATATATCAAAGACTCGGTTCAAAGCAGACACTGTGTAAGGGAAGAAAAGTTCTTCTTAAAGAGTAAATGTCGTTCTTAAAGAGTAAAAGTAAATGTTAAAGGGTTAAAATTGGCCAGACGCGGTGGCTCACACCTGTAATCCTAGCACTTTGGGAGGCCGAGGCAGGTGGATCACCTGAGGTTAGGAGTTCAAGACCAGCCTGGCCAACATAGCGAAAACCCGTCTCTACCAACAATACAAAAATTAGCCAGGTATGGTGGCAGGCACCTATAATCCTAGCTACTTGGGAGGCTGAGGCAGTAGAATTGCTTGAACCCAGGGGACAGAGGTTGCAGTGAGCTGAAATCACGCCACTTCACTCCAGCCTGGGTGAAAGAGTGTAACTCTGTCTCAAAAAAAAAAAAAAAAAAAAGAGTTGAAATCACCTATGTCTCAATAATTTTAACAAACTACAGTAAACCAACTGAGAATCTCCTACAAATGTGACCTCCACAATCCACTCTAAAAGAAACCAACACAGCACAGTTCAATAATTAAGATCAGCCTTTTGGCCTTTTTTCCCCTCATGTTGGTAGTTTCCTATCTTGTACACATGCTTATAAAGGGGCACTTTGTGGAGAAGCTAGCAATACTATTGTCCCATATATTATTTTTAAGAGCCTAAAATAGACTGCAAGGTTATTGTTGTCTGCCCATCCCCCCTTTGTCAGCTCATCAAAGCTTAAATGTCTAGTTTCAGGAAAGGCAAATTGGTTTTCATCAAGGCCTGAAAAAACAAATATGATCCCTCACAAAAAGACAGTGTGAGGTCCCTGTATTGTATTGGATATAGCCTGGAGAGTCGACCCTTCAAAGGAAAATATCCATTAATTTCAGCTCCAAAGGACACACGAATTGACCCTACAGGATTTTCAGCCTTCATTTACATGCCTTATACAAACAACTGCCTCTTTCCCCTCCTGTTGCTACCTGAATTGGGTAGGATGGGCCAGGAGCTTGAGAATGCCTCTCTGTCCAGATACAGATACTCTGCAAACAAATCCTACAATCTTGCAACCCAAGAAAGAATCTCTCTCCTAATGTCTAAACATAAATGTACAACACAAGCTTTTCTAACATCTGTGAAGTTGAAAACAAACAAAAAATACTTGCCATGCTTGCTTAAGACTCTACACCAAAATCACATCACAAATTCTCTTGCCATACACTGGTTCACCAAAAAAGGAAACTAACAATATTTAGTTCCTGGCTACTATGTGCCAAGAACTTTCATATATGCTTCATGCATACCCTTTTGAGGTAAATACTATTATCTATATTTTAAAGATAAGGAAACTGAGGCTCACAGAGATGAAGACATTTTTCCCAAGATCTTGCAGCTGTGAAGGGGCAGGGGTGGTATTCAAACAGAAGACATGACAGCTTTTGAAGTGTACCTACAGCATAAGGTGGGAAGGCCATGGACTTTGGGTTTAGCTCACGGCTTGTACACGACAGCAGTATGATTTGAGACAGATGGCTGGGCCCCTTTCCTCATCCTAAGGATAAGAGTAACACTCACCTCAGAGGTATTGCAACAGCTGAATGAGTCGTGGATGTAAAAGGCTAGCAGTTAAAAGATGTTCAAGAATTTGTATTACTTTCCCTTCCTCTCAAGCTCCTTGGAAGCAGAGGCCATACCTTTTTTTTTTTTTTCCGCACACCCAGCCCTTAGCAAATATCTGTGAAATAAACTCTGCCGTGTCCAGTGTTGGTGACAGCTGATGTGGTGTTTTCAAAGCAATACTAGCAACATTATGCCCGCAACATTAAAATTCTCATTTCAACAGATTGCTTGCATGAAATATCCCAAATGACAATGCAAACAGAGTAGGAAATAGGTGGGAAAAGAACTTTAAAATGTATTAAACCATCGCTTCCAGCATCTCTTTTATTTAAAAAAAAAAAAAGAAAAGAAAAGAATTTAAGCCAATGGAATGTAGGTGAAACAGTAATTAAGTTACCGAACAAACATTTTAAGCAGCTTCATGACCCTGCAAGAGGCATGAGTGGCTAGTGGGCCAGGATTACATCTGACCCAGTAAGGTGGTCCAATGGGGCCAGACTTCTAGGCTTCCAGGCCAGCTTCTAGCACACTAACCCAAGCATCAAAATGCTGGAGCCAGCCCCCAGCCTTAAATGAAGGCAACACTAATATAAGAAATAGGGTTCGGCTTACAGATATATGTTTTGGCAAGAATTGGTCCACTTCTCTTCATTTCCACTTCAACCATCCTAGTCTAAGCCACCATTATCTGTAGCCTGGAATTCTGCAATAGCTTCTCTAACTGATCTCCTGCTCCTGACCTTGACCTCTATCATCCATTCTCATACTGCAGCCAGAGATAGCTTTTAAAAACACAAATCAGACCATGTCAGTCCCCTGGCCTCCCACAGTTCTTAGAATCAAAACCAAATTCTTCATTATGGTCTGGAAGGCCTAACGGAATCTGGCCTCTGCTTATCTCTTTATTTAGAGAATAAATGAGCAAATGAATGCATGAGAGTGATACAGCAATGCTCCACCTATCTTGGATGAAGCCCAGAATGTCTTGCATAAGAGGGGTGACTGCTACTGCTGTCATTTAACCTTTTTGGAATGTCTTGAGCACTCCGGGCTGTGTACAAAACACAATGATAATTCAATCCCTCAATCCCAGTTTTGTACACTGGGCTGTGTACAAAACACAAAGATAATTCAATACATTTCAAGAGCTGTATTCCAAGAGGTTGTTTTCCAAACATGGAAAGAAGAGAAGGGTCTTGCTTGGCAACACTTATTTCATTCTCTTTTTACTTCTTCAGACTTAGACAGTGGTGTGCAAAGAGCCATGAACAACTGTGAGGAAAAAAAAAAAAACTAGGAATACTAGAAAAAAGTAGATGTATGACTAGGAGGAGGGCGGAGAGAGAAATCAGTAAAAAGATAAGGAATGGGGCATGGGGGTGAGAGAAGGGAAGAAGCAATGAGGAGGAAAGGGAGAATCTATATATGACTTTCTGTCTTCTGTGGCAGCCATTTGACTGGGACTTATCCAAAAAAACAGAAATCAAGGTAAGCCTTTGGGCCTTGGAAGACCTATGACTATCTAGGAATGGAATTTAGTAGCTAGAAGACTACATACGTACACTTGGCTCTCTGAGCGGATGGATGAACAGAAGGCAAGAGTTATGGTTGGAAAATATTCCACCATGACTGTTTTCATTCACCTCCATTTCTGAAAATAATTTTCCCATCAGTCCTCAAGTTTCCGTAGACACTGACTGTACATGAACAACATTGCATAAGGAAGTAAGAGATGGGTAAGACTCCTTCCATTCTCCCTATTCCCCTTCTTACAGAGTTTTGGAGTCATCCACCAATAAAGTAAGAGAAGCAAGCTACAGGAATTTTAGCTCTTTAAATAACCCTGCTGTTCCTTCCTTTTTCTAAACTTCTAAAGCATTTATGTGTCATATACTGTCTTTTCTCATTATTTAACTGGTTCAAGTGCCTTATGTGTCTTAATAAATTATAAGTTCCTTGAGGGTAGAAACCATGTATTATTTCTTTCATTTGCATCCCCCACAGTGCTCAGCACAGGATCAGAAACATCAAAAACATTCAGGAAACACTCACTGGTCTAAATATGATCAAGAGCTTTATGGGATTGCCAGTTTATTTATTTTCAATTTTAAAATTTGTCTTTATTGCCCCTCCCAAAAAATCCTCTCTCAAGGATATGAAAATTTGTATCCTGACATTAGGGAAGAAACTGAGAAAGAATTACAGTTGAAATGTCAACAATAAATTCATAAATGGATGCACTCTACTTCCTCATCTGAATAGATGGTCTACCACGCCAAAAAACATCCTGATACCTCATGATGTGAGCAGTACTAATAATAGTTTATCCTGTTGCCATGTAAACACTGAGGAGCTAGCCCATTAATAAATGTGCTGGAAATACTGATCCTGTTCTAAAAATATCACTTCCTTTTCTCTTCAAGAAGCAATTTTCCAGGTTAATACAAATATGCAAGGAGAAGTGCTGAAGTTCTTCAGGGCCACCTGGAACTCTTGTAGATCCATTAGCTGGATGTCCCAAGTTCTTCTCACACTGTGAGAACTGGACTGAGCTGTCACTGCCATTGCCGACTTACTAAACCCTCCAAAAATGCAGCAGAGTCTGAGGTCGTGATGACCACTCCTTCATGGATCCATGGCACAAATCATGAAATGAGAGAATTATTTCCCTTGAGTTTGAACTTGGCCTCAGAACTTCTCTTGAACCCCTTGACACCCTCAAGCAGCCTTGATCAAGCAGAATAAAGACTTCACAGGAAGTCTTTTCCCCATACCTGAGCTAAGGCCTTCTGATCTCCCATAAAGAGCTACTGTGAAGATCAAACTCCAAATTAGGCTGTGAAATGACCTATATTTGTCTTCTGTGACCCTTAAGCTCTCTTAACAAGAGTTATCCCCCTTGTTTCTAAACTGCCAAAGTTTCATGCTGTATGTCTTCCCCTGGCCTACCTCCCATGAATGTTCTCAGGATCTTTCTTCCTCCAACCTGGTTCTCTGTTAAGACCCTTCTTTCTTAGTTCCAAAGATAACTGCTCATTTAGGCTGACAAACTCACCAAATGTGCAAATGCTCCACAGGAACATATTTGCATTTTTGAAAGTCCCTTCTGGAAACAATGGCCGGAATGACACCAATGGGGGAAATTTCAGACCTTAATGTGAATTGGCTAGAGGAGAAATTTGGGGACCTGAAAGAGAAACTGCTCTCAGTCATATCTCCTTAATTTTCTGTCAACCCTTTTTCAACCAGTGACTGACCTGGGTCTTTTCTAGATCCATTTCAGCAAGCCTACTTAACCACCGTATAAGAACATAACCCATAAAACACCCTCAAATTCCCAACAGAAGCTAAGGTAGCTGAAAAAAGAAGTACCTGATTTCCATGGGCACATGTTAAGTGGAAAAGTTTGCTCCCTTCACCCAAAAAAAATCTTGCCTCTGCAAGCACTAGCCTGGTACCTTCCAGAAGGTGAATAAATTAACTTGCCAATACCACTTAAGGCAAATGGCTTAATGTTTTCACCAGATCTGACCAGGCCCCAACAACAAGGAGTGGGTGGAGATGAGCGTGTATTTTCATTTATTTCACGAGCCCTATTCTCTGTGGACTTGTAGTTTCTAAACCTAGGTACAAAAAAAAGCTTTAACTGCATGAGTAACTTTTGTTTTGTGGTACATTATTGTTCACTTTCAATAATGTAACTCAAAAATGACTTATAGGATTACAAGAATATGGTATAAAATTTCTAATACAATTCAATGACCCTTAAGCAAAAACATGATCACCATCAACTGAAGTTATCCTATACAATGGCAGGAAACTGTCAAGCCCAATTATGTGAAAATGCAAGAGAAATGTTTAGACAAGCTCCTCACCAAGACTTTCCATTGCTCATACAATAGAGGAGGATTAAGATCAAAACTATAATATTATATCAGTTTTATGATTATAAAATATGCTATTCAAGTTAGTTCAACGTAGCATTGTCTGTCCTAGTACATATATTAGGATAACATTATAATGTATTTCTAAGAGGCAAATCACAGAAGCCACTTACCAATCAAAATGTGTAACTCCAGGTGAAGCTAGACAAAATTATTGATACAAATTTTCTCCAGAAGAGTGATTTAGGAATGCAAAATACTCTAGACACACCACCCATCCACAGTTGGTGTGTCTTGCTTTATTAGATGCAATCCATTTCCTCAGACACTTGTTCAATTGAGGTCTTGTAAAACTATTAGATTAGCATTGGGCATATAGTAAGTGCACAAAGAAATTTGTTGTTGTTGTTGTTGTTGTTGTTGTTGTTGTTGTTGTTTTGAGACGGAGTCTCGCTCTGTCACCTAGGCTGGAGTGCAGTGACGCGATCTTGGTTCACTACAAGCTCTGCCTCCCGGGTTCACGCCATTCTCCTGCCTCAGCCTCCCGAGTAGCTGGGACTACAAGGGCCTACCCCCGTGCCCAGCTAATTTTTTTTTGTATTTTTAGTAGAGACAGGGTTTCATGAAAGAATGAATGAGTGAATTGTTGGATAGACTAAGTATCTTCAATAAATGCAGAAAATGCCAGTGTAGAACCATATTACACTTTCTTCAAAAATGCTATTCTACTCTGCTTGTTAATTATCTCCTTAAGATAATTTCACTTTTTTAAATGTTTTAAGGCATTTGTTTTACTAGCAATGAATTAAATGTTAGTTAAGAATCTGCACGTCTAATCCATTTAGATATAGCATGTATTTTCTTCCTAGTTCATACATCTCATAAAATGCAAAAAAAAAGTATAATCCTGCTAGCATAAGTCATTAGCAGACAAAGATAAAAACTCATGAGCTCTGTGTTTTATTTTATCTCACATTCTGCTTCATAGTCCAACCAAGTTTCATAATGAAAATTTTTCTCAGCCGACGCCTCAAATGCTTTATTCTTCAAATACAATTGATTTGACCAATATCGCTGTGGTTTGGAAATGTTTTTCTTCCTGTTGGTCTCTGCCATGATCTCCTCTGGATATAGTTCAATTAGATGCCTTCTCACTTTTTCACAAGTTGCCTGTTATTGTAAAAGTTTGGGAAAACTTTGAAAAAGAACTATAAAACGTTTTCACTGTCAATAGAAAAAAATGGATTGCTTGAGCCAGACACAGCTCCCCATAGAGCTAACCTTTTGATCCTGGAATCCTTTCATGCGCTTAAGTCTTCACTAGCGTCAATGGGAGTGTTGTGTATGCAAGGGCAGCAGGATCAAGTTCAGTCTCTTCTTTAGTACTCTGTAGCCAAGTGGGGTAGCCAGCTGAATCTGGTTTAGTTAAAAAAAAAAAAAAAAAAAAAAAAACACAACACTTTCCTGATGCTTTGAAGTTTTTTGGGCAGTGTAATAATATCAGGATTTGTAGGACGTTATTTTGCATAATCCTTAATAAGATATTCTTATGGCTTCAAAAAGTTAGTGGGTTAAGAGAAGCAAGAACCTCCAGCACTCATAGGAAATATTTTTTTAAGTTCTGGGTAGAAATGGCTCAAAATGCATCTCGGGAAGATACATAATTATAAGACTGTCCAAATGTGTGTTCAGGCAGGAATGCACCTAAAACTATTCTTCATAGATGGATTTCTACTCTATCTTTAAAAGATAGAGATATAATATAATAATCTCTCAAAAGCTCTGATGAAAACAAAGAAGCTTGCTGGAGGATTCTACTATGTGTGTGGATTAAGTAACTCTGTGACTAATCCAACTATTTGAATCAAAACAAGGCATTCCTTTAGAATCTTTATCACTCTAACCTCACACTCACTCACTGATGAGGACTTTTTTCCAGGCAAGGTCAAAGGGCTGACCAAGGTGATTCTGCACCACCAAATAGAAAGGAGGCTGGAGAAGGGAGAAGTGCAGCGGCAGGATACAGAAGCCACAAAATCTCTCTGCTGGAAGCCAGTTCACCTTATTATTACCAAGAAACTGAGGTTCACTTTCTGGCATTTTGGCCTGAGCATTAAAATTTTAAATTAACACCATTGAACACAACCTACTCTTTTTTTTAATGAGCATTTTATTGTCACTTTGTGGAAGGGTACTGAAACCTCTGATTTAGTATAATCATATGATTATGATTTATTCATATTGGGAATTCAGCAGCATGGGCAACAACAACTCGGGTCTGGGGGGAAAAAAAACAGCCTCACTAAATAAGGGATGGTCCCACCACTAAATATGGGGTTAGGAGTGAGTTTCTCTTTGGTTAAATACACATGCACACATATTTCAGTAGCACGACAAAGCGAAAACAAACAGAATAAAGGTGAACATTGTACTTGGTAGTTGGAAATGAAGTGTGTCATTTTAATATATATGAATAACTGATTTTTCCCCACTTTTTGGAATCCAGATGTTGGTAATCTTTGCCTCAGAATGACGATTGCCTTTTTAAGAAATCTCTTAAAACTTTAGTAGTGGTCCTCACACAAAAAGACACTGGGTCTGGGCACGGTGGCTCATGCCTGTAATCCCAGCAATTAGGGAGGTTGAGGCAGGCAGATTACCTGAGGTCAGGATTTCGAGACCAGCCTTGCCAACATGGTGAAATTCTGTCTCTACTAAAAATACAAAAAAAAAAAAAAAAAAAATTAGCCAGGTGTGGTGGCGCATGCCTGTTATCCCAGCTACTCGGGAGGCTGAGGCAGGAGAATCGCTTGGACCTGGGAGGTGGAGGTTGCAGTGAGCTGAGATCGTACCACTGCACTCCTGCCTGGGTGACAGAGTGAGACTTCATCTCCAAACAAAAAAAAAAAGACACCGACCTAGAGGTAAAAATATTCAAATTCCCTACGTTGCTACCTCTGACAAATGAGAACTACGGGTCCACACAAGTTCACTTATCAGTATACCCACCTAAAAGATGCATCTTTCCCTGTTTGGGGGCATATGATAGAATTATAAAAGTAAATGACTTCATTAAGATAAAATAGGTCTCTGGTGTTTCAAGACAAAACCACTGGACAAAGAACAGACAATGCATAAAAGAAATACCTAATGGCCAATAAATATACAAAGAGATGCTCAGCCTTGCTTGTAATGTAAATAATGCAAGGAAAACCAGTACAGCAATTTTTCTATCAGGATGGCAAACTCTAAAAGACTGACAGCAATGTAGGCATGCAGGGGAATGTGCGGAAACAAACACCTTTGTGTATTGCTGATGATAATGTAAATTTGTATGACTTGAGCATAAACTCAGCCAACTCAGCAAGTTTATCACTATCAAATTGTTAAATGTTTCCACCTTTTGACCCAACTTTTAAGGTTTCCTTAAACAGATAATTGTACATGTGAACAAAGAAGATGCAAAAACATATTAATTGCCATGTGATTTATAATAGTGAAAAACAGAAAATAAATTATGTCCACTAATAGAAGATTGGTTAAATAAATTATTGCTCATTCATTCAACCATTGGTTGAGGGCCTACTGAGTGCCAGATAGTATTCTATATACAATATATATAATGCATCCATTAAAATAATGATGTAGATCTATAGTGATTAGTATGGAAAAGGTTACAAAAGTTTGTATTGTATTTTTTCATTTTGTAAGAGTATGTATATATTTACTTATATATATTTATATGTGAATATATATGCATTGAGAATCATCTGTAAAGATGACCACCAATATGTTATATTACCCATGGTTATCTCTAGGATTGTTGTTGTTAGTATTGATCTTTATGAGAGTCATCTGTAAGGATGATCACCAATATGTTATACTACTAGTGGTTATCTCTGGGACTGTTGTTATTATTGATCTTTATATTTTTCAATACTGCTTGAATATTTTTACAATAAAGCTATATAATCTTCATACTCTAAAAATATTAGGAAAATTTTTGAAGGAAAAAAGAAACCTTTTGGTCAATTTAATCTTATTAATATGCAGGAGAAAATACCACACAGCCACAGAATTCCAGAAATCCAGCTGCAGTTCTAAGAAGTAAGACGCAAAAGCAGATGCTTGCCCACAGGATGAGGTAAACAGGGACGAAGCACAACGGTTCCATAGAGCTGAAATGCACAATGCAGCTGAATGTACTCTACTAAACTCGAAATCCAGGCCAGCAAAGTCTCCGAAGACTGCAAAGGCTAAAAACTAATAACAATAAACATATCATACACAGGGCTTTTATATAACTTGGAGGTCATTTGCATTGAAACATTGGTCCTTTAACAGTCTATAATGTTCCTAACTCTACATATTATTCCTCTTCCTTTAAAAAATAATTTTCCATGCACCCTCCCCATCCTCTTAATCCTACAAGACAGTTTTCAGTCTGAGCAGGTGGGGAATGCATATCCCAGTTTAAAGGCTAAAATACACTTGGCTTTACCTGATTTATGTTTATCTTAGCCAGAGTATCAAGTGCATATCAATAGCACTATCGTAATGCACATATATTTCCTTATTCTGCCATAATAAGTAGAATCAACAGGATGTGCATTGTAAAGGTAGATAGAGAAACCATAACACAGAGTGATATACCAGACAGAACTCATGCTAGAAATTCTCCCATGAATCTGAATACATGAATAGCTGGCTCAATATGAGCAACAACACAGAAACCTACAATCATATCCGATCTTTTTTCTGCTAGGAATGAACATTCACAGATTTCTCATGTTAAATGCTTGCAGCAATTTCTTAAAAGCCAGGACTTCCACTGTGAGAGGTGTACTACATATTCAACTTTGAATTTTTTAAGTTTTTGTTATGCTGTTATTTAATCTTACTGGGTTACATTACATTTTTCTACCTTGTACTATGTATGCACATAAAACAGCTGCTTTCTGAAATCCATATAAACTTCTGCTCCAGGTCTTTAAGATGGAATCAAATCCCAGCAGTAAGCAAACACCTTGCTTTTCACGGTTTTTACGATAAAAATTGAAAACGAAACTTGAAGACATTTGGTTCAGTCAAACGGAACAAACAAAGCAAGTACTATAGTCTGGTGTCTTTTATTAGGCCAACTTTGAGTTCTGAACACTCAGCTCTCTTGACTACACAGGAGTCTTAAGAACACGTGTTCATATGCACATGTATCTAACTTTACCATGGACTCATAAAATGCATCAAACATTCTACTTTTGTTACTTTCAAAAAACTGTTTTAAGGAATCAGGATAACCAGCCAGGGGATTTTTAAAAACTGAGAAAAATCTTCCGTGGCATATGACCTTTCTGATTAGAGAAAGGGCATATACAGAGGGTTGGCCAAGCTTCAGGTGGCCATTGTTAGTGAAGCCAAAAGACTTCAGTTAACTGTGTTACCTGTGCCAGAAGCACCAGGCTCCCTCTGGTTTCTCCAACTTACTCCCCATTTGTTATATTCTTTAGGCAAAAACTCCAACCTGAAGTACTCTGCTAGTGTTCGTAAAAACAAATTAGGCTGTATAGATCTGAGTGTCTTGCAAAAGCAAAGAAAATTTAGGAAGTCCCAAAAATATCAGACTGACCTATGTATTTTTCGGACATTCACCAAGTTAGTGAGAATAGGTCTGGTTACCCCTATTGGGCAAGGAAATGGTAACAGTTCAGGTTTCTGGGATTTACATTAATAGTTCAAAGTTAGACAGTGGAGTGGGAGACAGAGTGCAAGTCCTCTCCTTGCCTGCCAAAGCACGTCCTCACTGTGGTTGCTTCTTTAAGAATCTTTGTGAATGAAGCATTAAATGAAATGATTAAAAGAGAAAGAATACACCATGTTCATTATTCTGACGCTGCACAGTAAAAGTTACTTTCATTTTCTTTAATCACATTTTTGTAGAATGGTATCAGAAGTTTAAAACAGTCTAATCTCAAACTTCTTAAATAGTTGAAAGAAAAATCTCTAGGATAACAACTGAAGTAGTATAATCTTTTCTTATAACTGTTCAGGAATAAAAGGTTTATGTTTGCTTGTGTGTGTGTGTGTGTGTGTGTGTGTGTGTGTTCATAATCAGTGATTCATACTGAATCAATACCTTTTGTGGTTTTATTGAAATAATATGTTTGAAGTAATCAAGAAAATTTTTAACCTCGATTCAAATTTCAATACTTAAAGCTTAGTAAATTATTTATAACTTCTGTGCATTCAAAGGGAACAACCAAAAGATGAAAAGATAACCTATGGAATGGGAGAATTCACAAATCATATATCTGATAAGGGGTTAATATCCAGAATATCTAAGAAACTTGTGTTTTTACAACAACAACAAAAAAAACACCTGATTTAAAAATGTACAAAAGACTTGAATAGACATTTCTCCAAAAAAGATACACAAATGACCAACAAGCACAGGAAAAGATACTCAGCATCACTAATCATAAGAGAAATGCAAATCAAAACCACAATAAGATATCACTTCACACTCATTAAGATGGTCACTATCAAAAGAACAGAAAATAACAAGTATTAGTGAGGATGGGGAGAAATTGGAATCTTTGTGCACTGTTGGTGGGAATGTAAAATGGTGCAGTCATTATGAAAAACTGTATGGAGTTCCCTCAAAAAGATTAAAAATAGAACTACCATATAATCCACAAAGATATTACGCAAAGCAAAGCAAGCCAGTCTCAAAGGACAAATATTGTATTATTCCACTCAAATGAAGTATATAAAGTAGTTAAAATCATACAAACAGAAAGTAGAAAGGGAGTTCCTAAGGGCTGGCAGGGAGGAGAGAGGGAATCGGTGTTTAGTGGATATAGTTTCTGTTTTGCGTATTGAAAAAGGTCTAGAGATCTGCTGCACAACAATATGAATATACTTAACACTAGTGAAATATACATTGTAAATGGTTAAAATGGGCAGGCACAGTGGCTCATGCCTGTAATCCCAGCAGTTTTGGAGGCCAAGGCAGGAGGATCGCTTGAGACCAGGAGTTCAAGATCAGCCTTGGCAACATGGAGAGACCCCATTTGTACAAAAAATTAAAAAATTCGCCAGGCCTGGGGGCATGTGCCTGCAGTCCCAGCTACTCAGGAGGCTGTGGTGGAAGGAGGATCACTTGACCCCAGGAGGTCAAGGCTGCAGTGAGCCATGTTCGTACCACTACACTCTAGCCTGGGCAACAGAGTGAGACCCTGTTTCAATTTAAAAAAAAAAAAGAAAAGTTAAGATAGTAAATTTAATATTGTGGAATTTTTTACCACAATTTAAAAAACGCTTCAATCTAAAAAAAAAAAGGAATGTATTGTCAACATCTTTTAGGTTATGTCTAAATAATGAACTAAATTTAAAAAACAGAGTTCAATTCTTTGAAAAATATTTTACTAACATATTGTTTGACAAAAATAATAAATGCACTGAGATGTTTTTGTTAACATGATTATATTATACTTAAATTCTTGTGGTAAGTATAATACTATATTTATGTCATGGCAATATAATTTTGGGATTATTAAGCCTAGAAGTCCAGAAAAACTCATCCACTGTGTTAAACTAAATGATCTCTCCAACATTCCATCTGAGTCCAAAATCCCATAATCCTTATCCATTTATTAATAAGAACTAAATGGAACACTTCTTCCATTTTTTAGAGACACACATACACTTCTATATCTCAAAAGCTTAAAGGAGCAGTTTACATGAACACATAGAAGGTATAGTGTTGAGGAAAAACGTTTGAAGTCTTAAAAAAAAATTACAAGGGCACTTCATATTTCATAGGCCTCACCCTTACTCACTGAAATATTCTTTGAGGGAGATCTTATGTATGTTTTAGCTGGTTGAATTTTTTAACCTCCTTCCCATCCCTGCTCCAATCACTACTTACCACCAAATAACAATTAGATATCAAGAAAACTAAGCCTGTGACAAGGTGAACACTGGCTCTGCCTCTGCTGAAACAGTCAAAGGCATGAACTAGCCTGGCTCTTCTCCATATCTTTTCTGGCTGAGGTCCAGTTGGCTTGGTGTAGACTCAAAGGACCAGCAAAGAGCTTCCACAGGTCATCTGGTTGATTCTCCAGTAACTTAGGCAAGCCTCCACCTATCTAAACCATCCCTTCCACACCAGTCCCTGTCTTATTTCCAAAGATCTCCAGAAAAAGAGATGCCATGGTAATGCATTCTAATGTTTAACAAACCTCACCACTGGGAAATCCTTTATTTCCAAGCTAGCTCCCCGCTGCAGAAGTTAAAGATAATTTCCTTTTGTTCTCTTCTCAGCGGCAGGAGAACAGCTGGTCGCCAGTCTCCATATAATAACCTTTCATATACTTGAAAACTTTTATTAAGCCACCCACTAGTTTCTCTTTTCCAAGCTGAATAATCCTAGCTCCTTTAACCTTTCTTCATAAGTCTTATTTTTCCAACCTTTTAATCAGTTTTGTTCTCCCCACTGTATTCTCTTCTTGCTCTAATTTATGTAAAAGCCCTAGACTACTGGAAGTGAAATCTGAGCTGTTAAGGCACTGAAGTGGACTGGAGAGGTAGTTCGAGGCCTGTGAAGCAGGAGCTAGAGATGGCAAGCTGGGATGACACAGAAAAAACTGGAGAAAGAATTCACATAGTCAAGATAGTCTTAGGAGTGGTCTTAACAGCCATTCTGAATTTCCCCTGATTTCTTGCAGAGTCATCATATTTCCGAAGCTGTCATTGGATAACATTACATCCAGCTTTAAATTCTGTGAATGTCAGTCTTGACCAACATTTGGAGAACATGTTTTCCAAGGCACCCTTCAGTACAACTTTAGACTGCAATAAAATAGGTCATACTGGCTGACTCAGAAGAATGCAAATCTCCAGTAACTCATCAGCTAATAAATGCGGAACACAAATATTAAACAAACACCAAGACACATGATTTGACTCTATCCCAGTCTTTCATCAAGAGATAGGGCATAATAATGTCTGAGACAAACATTCCTTGTTCTGAGATGGTCTGACACGCACTGCAGTTTTGATCTAAATCCCAGGTGGCAGAAAGTCCTGAAAATGTCAAGGTGTTTAAGAGCACCCTGAGTTCCTGCGCCCCAAAGGAAGCGTGCCATTTGTAACTCACCAAGAGTTTTCTTTACGAGTGTTTTTTTTTCTATTTTTATTAAATAAGAATCCATGAATAAATGTATTCAGATGCATAAAGTTAAACTTTTTACTCTTGATTATGACAGGAGAGTACAGAGAAAGAAAAAAGGAAGGAAAGATAGAAGAAAAGACAGAAGGAAAGAAGAAAGGAAGGTGGGAAGGAAGGAGGGAGGGAGATGGGAGGAAAACAAGGAAATAAAGAGGAAGAAAGAAAGTTGGGTTTTGCAAAATTAAAAATGAAACCTTTCCTACTTTGTGGCCTCAATAAGGTTAAACATCTTGGCAAAATTCTACTTCTATTACGCCCATTTTAACAAAGACAAAGTGGAGTGTTTTAAAGTTCTCATTTCTCAAATACAGTATTTCTACCCCAGTCATTTTTTTAGGGCATAATTTTTCCCCAAACAGAGTTTAGTTTGTATTTCTCAACTGTAAATCAAATTATATTCTTCAGGACCAAAGCAGGCTGCCTTAACAGTTGTATGCATGTCCCTGCATACATCTGTGAGTTGTGTGTGTATTTAAAATGTGTCTTTAATTAACCATCCCATTGTGTTCAACGAGTTGGTCTTAGCCACTGATTGAAAGGCACTGAGTTGCTTATCAAAAACAAATTGTTGCCATCTGTATAATAAATGACGAATGGTATTAACACCATAATGAAATTCAGAAATCAAGATTGATAAGGAGAGGGATATTTTTGATACCCAAAGTTTGCTTTTTTCCCCCCTTCCAACCTCCAGGTACTGAAAGAAAGTCGGACAGCAAATTGCACAGATGGGCTCTTACCTCCTGCTGCAGAGCAGGAGGTAGTGAAGGTCTTGACAGGGACATTTACATTGCAATGTAGAATCCAGGGGTGCCAGATGTAGAGTGGGCTCCTTTTATGTGTCTTCTGGCCTGACTCCTCTGACTCCCACCACTGTAAACTGAAGTGGATAGCACAGGACCTGGCACATAGTCGACATAGCCATGTTCAAATAAGCATTTGCTGAGTAAATGAAGACAAAAAGTCAGTTTCTGAATCTCATGTTATATTGGCACCAATATTTTTCTGTAGATGGAAAAATTAAGACAGAGGAATAAAAGGCCTATCTGTACAGCACAAACTGAATGCAGTGACAAGGTGATCTTTTTATCCAGTTGTATTGTGATCATCTGATCTAATGAAGATGTCATGGAGTGTTAGGAGCCCACTTTGAACTGCTTGGTTACAGTGCTATTTATTAGAAGTATATAAAGCATGTATTGTCATGACCTAAGTTACCTGCCTAGAGTAATTCAGGATACTAATTGCACAGGGCCAAGAATCTAATGCAAGCATCCTGCATTAGGGTTGTACCTGTTCCCCATTATATCATGATCTCGGTTCCTTTGTGACTAGTTATGGCTGTATTCCATTGTCATAAACTGAACCCCCACAGTGGAGTGCTATATTAAAATGGTATTGGCCATATATCAAAACATTGCCTATTTGTGAACTTTCTTTCCTTAAAAAAAAAGCATAGCAATAACTGAAGTGTATCTTCAGAGTCACAAAATCTAAAGATCAAGAAACTTACAACTAAAATGTAACACATGATTTGTCTTCATGGATTTAATGAATGGCTTATTACTAATGGTGGTAAATCAACAATGACTCTTTCCCTAGGACCAGGGGCCCTACCCACTGATCTTGGGCACTTTTCTCCTCCCTCCCTAACAAGGATTTTTAGACGCTCAATCAAAACAGACTCTAGTTCCTGGAATACAAATCACAACGTTCGATAATATGTTACCATTCCCAAAGGACTTTATATTTTAATAAGAGAGGAAATCTAAGTCAGCTAGTTTCTAAATTTAAGAAAAGGAATAAATTATTAATCTATGAGTTCATCATGACAAATAAAAATAGAAATACCGTATAGTGGAACTTATAACTTCCCAGGATTCTTTACAAAGTCTCATTAGAAAAGTCAAAGATGATCAAGGCACCAGAGAATCTGGATGACCTTTTTCCCCATACTCTGAAAGGAATGTCCTGGACTCAAATTGAGATAAAAACTGGTACAATAATGATGAAAAATGTGCCTTAAGTTTTGACTAGTTCAGAGTGGGAAAAGGTCAGAGAAGGGCCTCTCATACACATTTTACAGGAATGTAAAACAGGATGACCTTTCTGTAGGGAAACTGGCAATATCAAAAGCCACACGTACGTCCCAGTGGACTCAGGACTTCATCCTAGGGAAATAATCAAAGATGCACCCAAAGATTTGGATACAAGATATTATGCAACCCTTTTTAAAACAAAATAAAATAACTTCAACCAACCACAATGTCCAGCAATAGGTGATTGATTAAATAAAAACAGACATCCGGTCGGGTGCGGTGGCTCATGTCTGTAATCCCAACACTTTGGGAGGCTGAAGCAGGTGGTTCATGAGGTCAGGAGTTCAAGACAAGCCTGGCCAATGTGGTGAAACCCCATCTCTACTAAAAAATACAAAAAAATTAGCCGGGCATGGTGGCATGCACCTGTAATCCCAGCTGCTCAGGAGGCTGAGGCAGGAGAATCGCTTGAACCCATGAGGCAGAGGTTGCAGCGAGCCAAGATCACACCACTGCACTCCAGCCTGGGCAATAGAGCTAGACTCCATCAAGAAAAAAAAAAAAAAAAACAGACATCCATAGTGGGAATCACTGTGGAGCCATTACTGTGAACTAGCTAGGGCAGTAGATATTAACTAGAAAATACCTCCTCACTCCCAGTAATGCAGCATGAAAGATCACAGAGTGCAGAGTAGTGTGAATGGAATGGCCTGATTTAAGTAAAAAACTCTCACATATGGCCATACATACATATTTAAATACTTACATCTATTACATTTATGAACTTACACCTATTACACGTATATACTTACATCTATTACATGTATATACTTACATCTATTACGGACCTTAAGAATATACCTCAAACTATAAATGGACTTCCCTACAGGGAATGTGACTGAGAAAGAGAGAGTGGGTTGGCAGAATGCAGGGAGAGAGAAAGTTTAATTTTCTGCTTCATAAAATAAAACTACATATATATAATTATAATTATATATAAGTATATGTAATTCAAAAACAAAAATTAAAAGCCTTTAAAAACCATCTTTTGGAATAAAGACATGGGAAGCAACTCACAATGTTTCCCCAAGTGAAAAAAACAGAAACAGCCGGGCGCGGTGGCTCACGCCTGTAATCTGAGCACTTTGGGAGGCTGAAGCAGACAAATCACTTGAGGTCAGGAGTTTCAGACCAGCCTAGCCAATATGGTGAAACCCCATCTCTACTAAAAATACAAAAATTAGCCAGCCATGGTGCCACGCTCCTGTAATCCCAGCTACTCAGGAGGCTGAGGCAGGAGAATCGTTTGAACTTGGGAAGCAGAGGTTGCAGTGAGCCGAGATCACATCATTGCACTCCAGCCTGGGCATTGCAGTGAGACTCCCTCTAAAAAAAAACAAAAAGAAAACAAACAAAAAACAAACAAACAAATGATAGAAAAACTATGATTCCAACTTTGTAAAAATAAATCATACATGGCATAGAATATAAGAGAAATACAGAGAACCAAAAGGAATGGAAACATCAAAATATTGCTAGTTAGTTCTGAGTGGTGAGATTAAGATCGATTTTTTTTGAGTTTTATAAACTTTCTCAGTGAACATGGATTACCAGTATAACGGATAAAAACATTAAATATTATTAAGACACAAATTTTTAAAAACTGTAGGTTCAATAAGTTGATGGCATTTGCTTTTCTAATACTGTTAGGACTTCAACCTTCTGACATTGACATTTGCTTTTAAATACTAAGCAGGGTTACTCTGAAGCTTAAGATGTCAAATTTTTACAGATGAGTTTGCAATTTAGCTCACTATGTTGTGCATGTTCTAATAAAGACCTAAACTGTTCAATGATGGTAGAGACCTTATGTAGCAGGCCAACAAAACTGAAGTCCAAAGAGTTAAAGTGATTTTCCAAAAGCACAAATCTTTTCATTTAATGGAAGAGCTGAGAGGAGAATGATTCTAACTCCCAGTCCAGTGTTTTTCCATGACATGATGCAGCTATGTTTCGGATGAGAATCACTGAAACCACAACAAAAATAGCACTTTAAGAAATGTACAGCATAATGGTCAATGGATAAAATTTGTATGTAGCTTCACAGAGAACTGTTAAGTCCAGCAAAATACCAGGTTCCACTATCAAAATGCCACTGGCTTTTCTGAGAATTATATCTAGAGAAATGATTAGATTTGACCTAAAAGGATACTTAAGGGAACTTAATTTTTATTCTAATAGTAACACAATTCAAAGCTGAAATGAACACATCTGGTTTCATTTTCTTTACTGATTAGGATAACTAGAGATTCTGAGACATCATGCATGACTCTGTCCTTTATTTGATATGCAAATAAATTCCTGGCTTGAGTGTAAATCTTCTACTTTCAGTGGTGCCCCTCATAACTAATTATTTTTTATATCCCTTCCTGGGTCCAAAAAAAAAAAAAAAAAAAAGCTTGAGGTATAGTTATTCAATAAGAAAGGCATCCTTCCCACAAAATGCCTACAGGCACAATTCTCCAAAAAAGGAGAAAAAAAGTAGGCCTTAATTAATTAGAATCCAGATCACTGGGATAATTGCCAGTTCTGCTTTGTTTCCACCCTTCCCCAAAGGTTGTGACCCAAATCCAAGGATAAAAGGCCAAATGGAGGGAAGGAGGGGACCACATGGCAGAGGGGTCAATTTCTATTGTAACTATGAAGCAGACCCATTTATTAAGAGCCACGTAATGTGTTAAATGATATTCAAAGATTACCAGAATCAGGTTGTTCTCAATGGGACCAGACCCCAGAAACTATTCTCACACTGCCTGACTCACATTAAACATCCCCTACACACATACACACCCTCCAAAACAAACAAAAACATCCATAACCTTCATCCCTCTCATTAATCAATCGAGTTTGATATAACAGGATATTGGGCACTTTCACCTTTGCTAATGAAAACTTTGCTTTGTACCACAAAGCCAAACATGTTTTCTTTTTTTTTTTTTGAGACGGAGTCACTCTGTCACCCAGGCTGGAGTGCAATGGCGCAATCTCGGTTCACTGCAACCTTTGCCTCCCGGGTTCAAATGATTCTCCTGCCTCAGCCTCCTGAGTAGCTGGGATTACAGGAGTGAGCCACCACGTGTGGCTAATTTTTGTATTTTTAGTAGAGATGGGGTTTCACCATGTTGGCCAGACTGGTCTTGAACTCCAGACCTCAGGTGATCTGCCCTCCTCACCCTTCCAAAGTGCTGGGATTACAGGTGTGAGCCACCGAGCCCAGCCAAACATGTCATTCTTGATCTCAGCGATGAACTACAATTGCTTGGGACATGTCGCAAGCAATCCTCATACTTACAGGGGCTTAATGCCTATCTTTTCTTCACAGGACATCCCGTCCTAGTTGCGAACTATGCACATAATTGACTGACAGATTCAGAGAACAAGAGTGTGGCTATGCATTCATTCATGTCAGGCAACATGACGTTTTAAGAAATGGGGACCTGGAAGCCCCTCTCCCTCAGTTTTATTTCATCAGACCTAGATATAAATGATAGTTCCATCTGAACTAGAGAAAGACACCAAGAAGAAAACTTGGTAATGGGGTACAAATATATCCCTTTCCACAGTCAAGTATCATAGTCTCACTTCACAATATTCCTAAATTTGAGGCGGAGGAAGTATAATCCAGAATATACAGTACCTTAATTTATTTAAGCAAGCAGAGATTAAATCAATGGGGAAGAAGTGATCCACAAATCACAATTAACTGCTGTTTAACTTTTAAAGTAAATAAACAAACTTGCCAGCTCATATAGCCAGATTTTTATTTATTTATTTATTTATTTTAGAGAGACAGGGTCTCACTCTGTCATCCAGGCTGGAGTACAGTGGCACAATCATAGCTCATTGCAGCCTCCAACTCTTGGGCTCTAGTGATCCTCCCATCTCAGC
This sequence comes from Homo sapiens, assembly GCF_000001405.40. NCBI lineage: Eukaryota > Metazoa > Chordata > Mammalia > Primates > Hominidae > Homo > Homo sapiens. The sequence continues at coordinate 50,143,026 of NC_000013.11, read as the reverse complement.
CTCCTGAGTAGCTGGGCCTACAGGTGTGCACCACCACGCCCAGCTCTTTTTTGTTGTTTTGTTTTGTTTTGTTTTGTTTTGTTTTGTTTTGTTTTGTTTTTGAGATGGAGTCTTACTCTGTCGCCCAGGCTGGAGTGCAGTGAGGCAATCTCGGCTCACTGCAAGCTCCGCCTCCTGGGTTCACGCCATTCTCCTGCCTCAGCCTCCCCAGCAGCTAGAATTATGGGCGCCCACCACCACACCCGGCTAATTTTTTGTATTTTTAGTAGAGACTGGGTTTCACCATGTTAGCCAAGATGCTCTTGATCTCCTGACCTTGTGATCCGCCCGCCTCAACCTCCCAAAGTGCTGGAGTTACAGGCGTGAGCCACCACACCCAACCTCATTTTTTTTTAAGTTTTTGTAGAGATAGGGTCTAACTATGTTGCCCAGGCTGGTCTTGAACTCCTGACCTCGGGCCAACCTCCAACCTCGGAATTGGTGCTAGGATTACAGACATGAGCCACTGTGCCCGGCCAGATTTTTAAAAATATGTTCTGCAACCTACTTGTATGAGATAAGGGCAGATGAACAGCATTCAGAATAACAGCAGAATTATAATCAAATAGGCGACTGCCAGGTTATGCCACTAAATTTGTATTAAGCCCAATCCCTATACTTTCTACATGCCTGATGCTCCAGAGTAACAATTGTCATTCATAACCCATTGAAGTTCACAGCAGTAATTGTGGTATCCTAAAATGCCTATTAAAAAAGTCAACTAGATTAAATTATATTTAGTATAGTTATACCAATCAATATATCTCATATTTTTTATCATATGTTAACTAATTATAAACTGGCAAGTCACACGTAACGCATCTAATTAGTCAAAAATAGTTCAATACTGACCGTTTAAAACCACACCTGTCTTAGTACAAATATGACAAGTAAAACAGAGATACAGAGCCACACTGACAACCAGGAAGCTATCAGTGCTGCACTGTCTCATCATCCGATATTACATACCGAAATATTTAAGTATTTCCAAATTTTTCCATCAATCCAGATAGCACATCCCTAAATAAACATCAACAATGTCCTAAGTGCAGAAATCAAGCTGGTTTTTCTTATCCTGGATTCCAGAATGTTCTGACCACTGCCCTACCACCACCACCCTCTCCCACACACAGACATTTTCACCCTTTGAGACACTGCAGTGTGAGGAAGAGAATGGAGAAAGAAAGGGAAGTCTCATGACTTCTGAAGTTGAAAGAGGAATTATGTTCTGAAAAGGAGAAAGAAGATGACAGTTTTGCTTAATTCAAATATTGAGTAAATATTGTTGCTTAATCATTTTTTAAAAGAAACATTAGTGGCTATTTTTTTGGCACAACTGTTTTTAAATTTAATTTATAAGGATGACACCATGATGTAATTGAAACTTGTATCACACACAAAAATCACTTTGCCCCTCACGCATAACAACATCCTGCTCCCCCAAACCCAAATCATACCTTTCATAATACGGCCTTAACCTGTGTCCTTAAATACAAAGCAACCTAAATGCTAAAGTGAAGAGCCTAACACAGCTAAACTGGGAAAAACATGAGGTGGAAATGTATCTCCCTTGGAAAAGTAAGTAAAATGTATGTTAAGGAAATGGGTAATTCAGGGAACCCAAATATTCAAACAAATTCCCAGATGTTTGTGCTGCTGTCTGAACGTTTTAAAGAGGAAACAGCTTTTCATTACTTCATGAATCCTCCCTCATTGTGAAGACGATTTCAAAGCCTCCAGCATTTAAAAGGGAAAGTCCGTTCTCAGAGTCGTCGGATTCCCGCTGTGTCTCAGGCACCACAATGTTCCAGAAACTCACGGAAAAAGCTCAGGCCTGTAAACATGTCTGATCTGGATCTCCCACTCCTAAGTCTGTGTTTATATATTGATAATTAAGATGGATTTATGAAGCTCAAATAATATCACATTTCATATTTCTCTAATCAGTATCTCAAAACAATTCAAACAACAGTTATTTTAACATTAACAGCATGGGGAGGACAGCCACGAATCCCCACACCTTCCCCTGGCCATCACATGCTTGCACCGGGAAGTTGTAACTAGCTCTGGCAGTGCCAATGAACAAACGCGGTTAAAAATCAAGCAGAAAACGGCTGAATGTGCACGCTCAGCTACATGATTTTCACTGTCTAAAACTGGGAAAAAAAATCTCAAACAATTTTCACCCAATTTGGCTTGCCTTTCTCGTCTGTAAATTGCAATACTGCCAAGTTACAAGTAAAATATTCTGCCAATTTCTCAGTTTTGTGAGCAAAGAAAAAAAAGAAAGCATACTTTCCCTAATGGAATAAAGTGTGTGTCTCTGTGTTTGTGTGTGTCTGTGTGTGTGTGTGTGTGTGTGTATTTATATTTGATTAATTCAACATCATATGGGACTCCTGTCCAAATTTTTCAAAATACACATACACACACATACTTTGTGTCAGATCATGAAAAGTAAATCTCAAATCCAGATTGAACTCAGAGGGACTAGGAGAAATATTGTTTGTACCTCACTTTCTACTATTGTGCAAGTTAGATAGGATCTACCACTCTTCTAGATCTTTATTCTAACATGACTCATATCACAAATGTGATCGAGTGACTAGTTTTAGCCTCCACAAAAATGAATTTAACTTCTAGAAAAGGTCCCCAAAGCAAATTGACAGCCAAAGACAGTTTCAATTCAGAAGTGCTGGTAGTCATGGTGGTAGAGGTTCTAGGGTAATGTCTCATTGAGATGCGAGGATGAGGCTCTGAACTCAGGAAGGAAACACTCAAAATGTCCTGCAGGCATTATGAACAGCAGCCACTGAATCCACTAATATCCTTCCTCAGACTTCACTGCTTTTTAAAGACAGCAAAATATTGAGATAGATTTTTAATTGTAAATTCTGAAAAACAGCCACACCCAAGACTTTAATACCTCTCTTTCTTCTCAAAGTTAGGAAAGTGGTATGCTCAGTGTCAAATAACTAATGCTCATTAAAAATGGTCAGAATGCCGTTGCAGATGAAAAGTGAAGCTCTGGTGTGTGAAACAAGAACCCAAATGCATTGTCCACAATGTCTACTTCAGTACAGCCATTCTAGAATTTGCCCATGTGCATCAAAAGCCTTAAAAAGTAGCATGCCGTCCAGGCACAATGGCTCACACCTGTAATCCAGCACTTTGGGAGGCTAAGGCGGGCAGATCACTTGAGCCCAGGAGTTTGAGACCAGCCTGGGCAACATGGTGAGACCCCCATCTCTACAAAAAATGCAAAAATAGCAGTGTGTGGTGGCGCATGCCTGTGGTCTCAGCTACTCTGGAGACTGAGGTGAGAAGATCACCTGAGCCCAGGAGGTTGAGGCTGCAGTGAGCTGTGATCACACTCCACTGCACCCCAGACTGGGCAACAGAGTGAGACCCTGTCTAAAAAAAAAAAAGTAGCATGCCATTGTACCCCATAAATAGATACGCCTACTGTGTATGTACCCACAACAATTAAAAATAAAAATAAAAAAATAAGTAGCATGCCATAAATACTAAACAGACACACACTCAGACTACAGGATACTCAATGTAGCACTATTCATAATAGAAAAAAGAGGGGAAATAAGTCAAACTTTCAACAATAAGAACATGTGCCGTAAAACTTAAAGTGTAATAATAATAAAATAAAATAAAATAAAAAATTTAAAAAATAAATAAATAAATAATAAATAAAAGAAATTTGTTAGACAAAATGTGGTACATTCTTCCATCGGTGATGATACAGAAATTTAAAAATCATGTTCTAGAACAATATTTAACAACATAAAATATTTGCATATATTATGTAGTCATAAAAGCAAGTTAAAACATATTTGGATGTTATATATGTTATCCTGCTTCATAAAGACATGAACGGAGGGATAGACATCAATGACAGCATTATCTCTGGGTGATGGCAGGGAAAGTAAATTTTATTTCCTTCGTTAGGTTTTCCTGTATTTTCCAAACTTTCTACAATGACAATACATTATTTATATAATTAGATGAATAATTTTATTTTTAAAATTAGCCGTGTGTGATCCTTACAAGAAAATTGTTTTCTTTTTCCCTCTTGGTCCTATCCCACCACTCACCCCCTAAAATGCAGCCTGAATTTCACCAAGTTTCCTGAACTCAGGTGGGTACTTTTCCTGATTATGTCAAATGGAAACAGTCCTAGAGGAAATTGGACTGTAAAAACCAAATGCTTCATAAGCTCATGTTCAAAGAAGGCAAGTAAGGACCGTGAGTGGCCAGAAGAATCTGGTGATGAAAATGAGCTATTAAATGGATTCATTACCTTGGTTTTCACTAATGAAAATGTTAGCGGCTTTGTGTTCCTCAATTACATTTAGAGGCAAAATGATGGCATTTCATTCATTTATTCAGTCAGTCATCATATACTTACTGTGCACCTCAGATGTGGCTGCCTATTTCCAGACCTGGAATACACAGAAGGCAAGACTTGATGCCAGGCCCCTCAGTCTACTGAATGCATGGCTGTTCTGGTGGTTGTCAGGGCGTCCCTCCTCCTCATCCATCTTCTTCAGCTACTGCAGTTCTTTATATACTAGATTTTTGTTAAAGTTTCATTTGAATAAAACATTCCTTTGCTTAGAAAAAATATGTTCAGAACTTTTTACTGTACTTTTTGTTTTTTTGAGACAGGGTCTCACTCTGTTGCCCAGGCTGGAGGGCAGTGGTGCTATCTCAGCTCACTGAAGCCTTGACCTCTCAGGCTCAAGTGATCCTCCCATCTCAGCCCCAGAATAGCTGAGACTATAGCCACGTGCTACTGCACCCAGCTAATTGTTGTATTTTTTGTTGTATTTGTTGTATTTTTGTGGTTTTGCCATGTTGTCCAGGCTGGTCTTGAACTCCTGTCTTTGCTGTACTCTTATTGGATCGACTAGATGCCCTAGAAATGAGTGGCATCCACTGACAGTTTTAAATGAACTCAGGGGTAAAACTATTAGCCAAAATGCCCCCCGCCATATAATGTTTTATAATTTATGTTGCCTATATCTACTTTGAAGACTTCCCATCAACCTTTCCCATCCATGGCACACTGAATTATCTAAATCTGTTTGAATCCTTAATCTATGCTAGTAGAATATAACCACATCCTTGTCAACATTGTCAGAGGCTGTAAAGCTGTTTTTCTCTAGGCCACCTCACTTTAATCAAGTGGTCTAGCTCTCTTTCCCCAATGCCTGTGTAAGCAGACTTTACAAGAACTATTGGAAAACTTTAAAATGAAGAGTTGGGGCCAGGCACAGTAGCTCACACCTATAATCCCAGCACTCTGGGAGGCTGCTTGAGCCTAGGAGTTTGAGACTAGCCTGGGCAACACAGGGAGACCCCGTCTCTACAGAAAATCAAAATATTAGCCTGGCATGGTAGCGCATACCTGTGGTCCCAGCTACTTGAGAGGCTGAGATGGGACGATCGATTGAGCCCAGGAGGTTGAGGCTGCAGTGAGCCATGATAGCACCACCGCACTCCAGTCTGTGCAACAGAGACCTTGGGCATCTGTTACAGCACATTTTTATAATTTACCTAAATAGGTATGTCTCTCACCCACTAGACTTGGAGGTCCTTGTTGGATAAGGAATTTGCCCTTATCCTGTATCTCTGTATCTACAGGCTCAGAAATCTCTGTATCTATAGGCTTGGCATAATTCTACTATTTCCAATAAATGTTTGGTGTTAAATTAATAAAAGAAAAGCAACAATAATAATTTGTCAAAATCTAATCCTATCGAACTAGGATTTTTTTTCTACCAATAGATTATTATGACACACCTGTTATTAGGGTTCATATGCTTTTTCTCCTATAAAATTAAATTAAGCTAAACAATTAAAAAGCACTGTAAAAAAACTTTTTTACAGTGCTTTGGGTTTTAAGAGTGTTCTATGAGGTGAATAGTATAAGAATAGTCACCCAGCTGTTTTAATTGAGGAAACAAGCCAAGGAGGGATAAAATGACTAACAAGTACTCACAATTTTTAGTATTTTCATAGTCAAGGATGTAGTGTAGCATAGTGAAAAGAACTTTGTCTTTATTGCTGGGTTTGAATTGGAGCTCTGTCATTTACAAGCTGTATGACCTTGAACAAGCTATTTAATTTTTCTGAGGCTCACTTTTTTTCTGCGCATGTTCTGCATATACAGGGACAGACAGCAGGCTCATCTGAAGGATTAAATGAATCTAGGAGAGTGTTTGGCACACGGCAGAAGCCAAGCAAGTCTTGTTTTCCTTCCTTCCTGATCGGCTGTCTCCAGTAGCAAGGACTCAGTTTGTCTTGATCAACGTTATATCCTCAGCACACAGCACGGTCCTTGGCAGGCAGAAGATGTTCAACAGATATTTGCTGAATTGATTGATTGATGTAATCCTAGGATTTTCGTTTTAAGTAAAAAGCTTTTACTTGTACCTATAAAATTTTATCAACTTATAACATTATAACATGACCATAATCCCTTCTCCAGTCACAAACCTCACATGGCCTACATGATAATGACAGCTGCCTTTAGTCACAACCCAGGGAAAGTGACCTAAGGGAATTTCCACTTAAGTGTAAGGCTAGACACGCATGTGTTTCTCTGTGTAATAAAGCAAAACTAATGGATAAGCATCTCTTTATTCTGAAAATTTTCTAGCAAGCAACGGTAAAGAGACATTAATTGCATTCTGTTAATTTAATTTGTATAAAGCATTCTTGATGTTTATTTTGATCTCCTTAATTTTTTATATTGGCAACCCTAAAATATAATTTATAGAGATATTATAAGTTCATCCAAGCCTATTTTTTTATAGGAATTTAAAATTTGCAAATGTGAATTCTCTTAATATGATTCCTTTTTAGACTCATCACCCTCTGGGTTGGGAAGGCACTCCATGAGAAAAGGGAAGAGAACACAGGCTTGAAGTCAGATGGGTCTGCCACTTACTCCCCAAGTGGCCTTGCATAACCTCACTGAACCTCATTTTTCTAATCTAAAAAATGGAAATAAAAATACCGACTTGATGGAGTTGTCATGAGCATTAAAAGAGACAATATATGTCAAGGGCCTATGGAACAGCAGGCATTCAAGGAATTGCTGTTCCCTCCTGCCCCTACCAATAATGCTACAAAAGGATTCAATTAAAAGCATCATGCCTGAGTATTTTCATAATTAATCACTGTAACATCAAACTAGCACTTTTTTTAGTCTAGTTAGTTGCAAGATCTTTCTTTTGTCTCTCTGGCAGAGTTAGTAGCCTTTGACAATCCTGAGCCCTAGAAATATTGTGAAGGCCTTAACATTTCCAGAGGGGACTTTTTTAAGTCTCATCAGTTGCAAGAACTTTCTTTTGTCTTTCTAGCACAGTTATTAATTCAGGGCAATTCTGAGCCCCAGAAATACTGTGTTTGCAGGAGGATTTTGAATGCCATATAAGAATAAGGGCTCAGTCAATACACAAAAGCCGTTCTTCTATGAATCATCTCCCAGATTTCTTCATGGGACCTCCCCAAGCTACCTTGAACTAAATGCCCCAACCCTATAACCCAACTTCCTGAGAGCATAAAGCCTGCTCTCTATTCTCCAGTGAATTCGAATGTCTCATATATATTTCTCTGTATCTTCCACTGGATGGTAAATTGTGAGGACTGGACAGTGTCTTGTTCACTATGTATGATTTAATCTCCAACACAATTCTCTAACTACAATATTCTTACAAAACGTTCTGCTAGATGAGTTCTCTTGAAAGTACTTTTTAGTTGCATATTGTTATTTTAAAGTCTGCAGTATTAATCATGTGTAATAGCACAGGGATATATGTGGTGCCTGGCAAGGAAACATCAGCTCCCTTGATAAAAGTGAATCCTTCAAATCTTCACACCAGAAGGAAACCTAGGGGGCATCGGATCTAACACAGCCCTCGGCTTCACCTGCTGTGCACCATGAAAGCCCCATGATGAACTATTCACCCCGGGTCCCCCTCTCAGGGCCCAGGCTCCTCTCCTCAAGCTGTCTCTCTGCTCCCCCAGCAGGTCCTCTGCCCTCTAAGTTTCAAGGATACTGAAGTTCTTGTAAGTAGCCCCAAATAGCCATGCTCCCTTCACCTTGGATCTACCCAGGTATCTTTTTCATGGCATCCTTTAATTGCTTTTATTCTCTTAAGATAAAAATTGGATTGTAAGCTGTAAGGACAAGAACTGTCTTCTTCACCGTCCTATTCCTGTGCCTGACATGCAGTGGTCTCTCAATAAATATCTGTTAACTGAATGACTTCCTTTTGGCAAGATTTTCAGAAACACTTGACTAAAGAGTAAACGGAAAGCAAATGAGAAAGAAGCTTAAAATACAAGAAGTTTAGCCAGGAAAATACAGATTTCCGATCCCAGTTTGGTCGCAAGGAACTCTGGCCTTGTCCCACCTTGAGACTGAGCATCCTGTCTTCTTAGAACAGGCAGCAGAACTTCTTGGGCCTCTTTTTCACTGGGAGAGAGTTTTCCCAATGCCTCCAGATCCCCACCCTTCACACATATCGGCCCAGGTCCTGTCTCCTGGTCATTTTCATGCCTTTCTGCAGGCCACGTGGGACCCTCCCTACCAAGTGGGCCAGCTAGGCCTTTCCCTCCACACTCTTCCTACAGGGAAGCCCACCTCCCTAGCAGAGCACAAGACCCCTCCTGACCGGCCCAGGAGTGTGGAGAACACACAACGTCCCAAGAAAGAGGCACATGTGTGAGCAGGGGATGAATCTTTTCCAGGCCTGTAACCCACCTTTTGTCTGTGACCAGCTGTGTGAGGAAGAGAAGAAGAAAGTCCAAATTCACTTTACAGGCAAAAATACTTAGAGGATTCTGAGAAGGTAATCGGCCTTGAGTTAACAGATTGTAGAGTTGGGAAACTTGTGTAATTCTTTTTGTGAACCTGAACCTCAGTTCAGGTTTTCAGAAGAAACCTGAACCTCAGTTAACCCCTGCTCAGAGGCCACTGGGGCCTGGAAACGCCCTTGTGAATGCTCCATCTAGGCCGTAGCCTGAGGCTTCCCTGCCACTGGACCATGGGCGGAGGCTCTCTCTGAGGGGTAGGCCGGCCCCGATTTGAACGACCTTGGGCCAGATTGTGTCCCGCACCCAGAAGGCGAAGGCGGCTGCACCGCAGTGGCTGGGAGCGCCGGGTCAGGCAAGGTTTTACGGCTCCGAGCGGCGTCCCGGACCCACACCCCAAAGGCTTCTGTTAACTGACAGAGACCCGAAAGATCCACAACTAGAATACAGAATTCCCTCCGCCCCTGATCCCTTCCCCGCGAAGCTCTAGAAGCGGTTTCCCCTGCGCGCCCCTTGCTCCGGGCAGAGCGGAGCAAACGCCTCCAGCTTCGCTGCTGCGCCAGAGCCCGCGTGGACTTCCCTCGGCCGCCGTTCCTTCGTGCCCCTGGCGGGGTCGCGAGGCCGTCCCCTCTGCCCCGCTGCCGAGCGCCCCTCGGTGCCGGGACACCAGAGGATCCAGGGAGCCGAGACCGCCCCGACCCTAGACATCCAAAGGGGAGAGCCCTTAGAATTATTCCCTGGCCGCAGGGCTTGGGTGGAGGCTGGGGGTCCACTTCAAGACTCGGTTTCCAATAATAATAGCATGTCCTGGTCACGCTGATGCCAGGACCCCACAGAAGGCAAGCGATTGATTCCGCGGGCCCTTCAGGCGTGGCGTCCAATTTGCGCAAAGCACAGTAATCCAAGACTTTCGCGCACTGAGGACTTTAAGGGGGCGCTGGACCGAGACCCATCTTTTCTGAGCAGCTCCGGGCGGGCTTAGAATTTTTTCTCCCAATTCTAACCAGGATGCACGGCTCTGAACTTACAGTGACCTCCGCTCAGTGTTCTTGGCTCTGCACGGGCGGGAACCCGCTCAGGACTCAGGAATATTCACACTAGCACCAGGGGCTTGCAGACCACTGGAGTGGAGGGCGAGAAAATAGCTGTATATGTTCGCATAAGGTGTATTTTTCTAAACTAGCTAAATAGATCTCAAAAAAAGAAAGTCCTGGTCCGGAAGCCAAGACTGCGCCCCTCGATCTGTCCAGATTCGCTAAGGGCGCCTGAGTGATGAGACGATATTGATGCCCCAAGTTTTCATAAGCAGGGCGCTTTGAACTTGGGTGTCATGTGCAAGATGCACGCACAGTGCCCACGCACTCATCTCCGCCGGAGCCGCGTACTAATTAGGTGCGACTATCCTCCCGCTCTCTCAGCAGGGCAGCTGGGCTCCAAGAGCCTGAACCCTGCGGCACACACCAAGGTCACCCGCTGAGACTTGCCTTGTCATTGGGAGAAGGGGCAAAAAGACTGTGAGGAGCATTTAAAACAATTTGAGGCGGGAAAGCCTATAAGGGGAGGCAAACTGGAGGAATTCTCTTCTATTTAAAGAGTAGTGCAAAGTTGCCAGGAAACTCGCTACTGTCTATTTACTCCCCGAGAATGGGCCTCAAAGAAAATAAGCCAGGACCAGGTGACCCAGTGGGATCCGCGAAGCGGCTCCAGGAGACTCTCCTCTCCAGCGACTCCGCACCGGGACAAAAGGATCAGGCAGATGGGTTTTCTCCACCCGTGAGTGCTACAAACTCTTTCTCCATTTTCTCATTTGATTTTTAAAGGAAAAAAAAGTGCACCCGTCTCTCTTAAAAGTGGAGAACTGAATAGCCTCAATATAAAATTGGCGCTCTGAAAGAGACAAGGTCTAGAAAGATCAGTCTGCCGGCGAAGCCTGCTGTAGCAGAAATGCTAGAAGCAAACGAGTGCTGACAAATTTCGTTTTTACTGTGGAAACTCGTAAACGAAATCAGGTGGTAATAGTTACCTATTGGAACCATCAAAAAATTCGAGTTAATTTAATGTGTTTTGGATTTAGAATACGTAATCACCATTATTTTTATTTTGCCTAGATAGTTCCATTAAGGTTTAATAAGCTATTAAAGTTCCCTGGATAAATTTTGTGTGTGTGTGTGTGTGTGTGTGTGTGTGTGTGTTTTTAAGTAAGTGGAGGTTACCTGAACCACAAGAGAAGTTTCAGCATAATTTTTTAGCCACTGGGAAGTCTGTATTTCCTGCCAAAATTTTCAAGGATGGGAATTAGAAAATGGTGTGAGGGAGACTAAATACTCATCAAGCACCTATATATATAGGTACCCTGATAGGGCTAGCTTTACAAATTTCATTTCATATTAATAATTATCCACCAATAAGAGTTCTTCTTTAAAATACCGAAACCTCCTTCTTCTGCGCCCAGACCTCAGATGGACAATTTCCATAATTTTATTTAATTCAAAAGAATTTCGTTATTGATACTTCCTTCTTTGAAGTGACATAATTGCCAAGGTTAATGGGGAAATCCATGCTTAGTGGTATTAAAGTCTGTTTTAACTCATTACATCGTTAATGTTAATCCTTGTGTGGAAAAAAAAAAAGTGAAGGTGAGCCTTAGCACATGCTGGATTTCTCCTAACTCTTTGGGTCCCTGTAAAAATAGATCCCTATAACTGTTTGAAAGGGGAGGGAACTTGTAACTTGTGAGGAGAGCACCGTCACTAAACTCGATGTGCAAAAAAGAGAATATGCAAAGCAAAACTTTTCCGTCGCTGCAGATCAAAGGAACCGAAAACATGACCCATTTTGTGAGGGCTATGCAAACACTGTGGCTTATATTGACCATTAATAAACGCTGGGCTAGACTAGCGGGATACACACACACACACACACACACACACACACACACACAAACTGGATACGATGGACTCCAGTACCCGGAGCTTTAAAAGGGATGGGGGATGGGGGCGGGGAGGGAAAGGAGTTGACAACCAGATGAAGTGGGGAAAAGGAGGGGAGAAGAATACATTCAGCAACTGCAGCAGGTAGGTAAATCATAAAAAAATCAGTTCCTGCAACTAATGAAAAAAACAATCTCACTATAGTCTGGGGAAAATGGTTCTCTGACGCAAGCCTGATGGTGAGTCTATTTGTCATGTTTCTTTTCCGGACTATCAAAAAAGTTATTTCGAGATTCAGCCAATTGTTTTGACTAGCAGACAGAAAACCGGACCAAGCGTTTCCTGATGTAACGCACCGGCCGCGGCAGGGCCCAGCGCGGAGAGCGCCCGGAGCTGCCCTCCCGGGGCTGCTCAGAAAAGATGCTCCCTACGGCCCTGGGAGAGGCGAGCCCGAGATCGGCCGGAGAGGACTGCCTGTGTTCTGTGTGGCGCCTGACTGCAGCCTTCCTTTGGAGGAATACGCCTTCAGTTTTCTTCTGGAAGGGGAAATGGGCGCAGCTCTCCACGCGGCGACCAAGATTCCCAGTCGCTTGACAAACTTGGAAACTCTGGGACGTTCTAAACTGAGTTTCCCTCGTTCAGCAGAGTTCCTTGTTATCTACTTTACCAGTGTTAAAGGGCTGCAGACCGAGGGGTGCTATTTGAGACGATTTTTTTTTCCACGTCGACTGGAGAAGCGCCGCCGCCAGTTCCGAAGACGACTTGCCGACCTCAGCGCCCCGGGCTCGGCGAGGCGCACCGCCCGCCCCTCCGCACCCGCCCAGCCCCGCTCACGGAGGGAGCCGGCGAGGGAGTATCTTATCCAGCGGCCAGAGCTCGGTGCCAGGGCGCTCTCCTGACATAACCCTGTCCAGGGGGGCCGAGACGTGCAATAGCCACCGCGAGGCTCCCCAGCTGCCAGCCCCATCCTATTCCCGCCAGCGTCTTCCCTGGAAGAGCCCCCAGTAGCAGAAACTCTGGCCTCACACCTCCCGGTGCTCCCGGCTTTTCCGGCCCTTTCCGGGATCCCCACACCCCCACCCCGTTTCTCCCCTGAGTCGGGACCGAACACTGGCAACATTCCCCACGCCCATCCAGCCGCGCCATTTTAACCCCTTAGAGGTTTCCACTGCCGAAGGAGCCGGCCACAAGGAAGGTCCATCTTCCCCACCACTCTCCCTGCTCCGCCACCCCGGGCCCCGCCTGGGTCCTCGCCCGAGGCAGCCTAGAGGGGATTAGGAAATAACCCAGTGGTGGGCGGGGGTGGGAGGCAAGCTACCTCCGGACTCTGGAAACTTTGGCAAAGTCTCGGGAACACTTGTGCTCCCCCAGGATAGTTCTTTTCGCCTCGCGGCGAGCGCGGGATGTTCGAGTTTCTTGGCACCAATTGCAAAGAGCCTCTCCCTCTCCCCAGATCCTTTAAGGACATGTGATCTGCAGCCTCAAACTTTCTCCTTTGGTCAAAAAGCCTCGTCAGCCACTGCCAGAGACCCCAGGCGAGGCCAGGAAGGGAGCGCGCTGGTGTGGGGTCAACCCCAAGCCTGGCGCGCAGAGGTCGACTGAGGCCCTGCGGGTCGAGATCCCGCGCGTTGTTTGCAGGAGAAGCCCCAGGGGACCCGCGCGGGGCGTGTTGCCCCAGCTGAAACAGGCGTTCCCTTTTCCAGATCATATTCCCCATAAAATCTAAAGCCAGATGCATCGTTTAGGCAACTTCCCATTTCACCGAGAAAGGCACGGATCTGTTTCCAAATTGGACTCTAAATCGAGGTTTCTGATGCTGGTTCCAATGGGGTGAGCAAGGCTGGCCTTTCGATAGCTCTTGGGGACTGCCCAGACGCATAACGTTTTAGGTACTGAAGTCTGAACCTAGCCCAGGCAAAGCATCATTTGTGAACGCAGAGAAAAAAAAAAAAAGGTGGCGTGCAGAATAAAGGCAACCACGGGCTTTCACATCCGTGTGCGTCCTTTTTGTTTAAACAAAGGAGAGTAGAAAACATCAACTTCATAATTTTAGACGGACAGTTTAGCAAGATAACCCAATCGAACCTGTTTCACAAAAATATATTACAAAGGAAAAAAAGAACTTGCAAGAAAGTGAGAAAAGTGGCTTCGTATGAAACCAAAGGGCGAGCATGGTGAAAGTAGGCATTTTTATAGTCTGTTAAGTCAAAAACAGCTTTTGCTAAGTATTTTCAAAGAGGAAATAGAAGGCTTTTTCTAAGAGAAGTGCCTAGGAGTCTATTTCACCTGTAGCTCGCCTCTCAGCATCGTATAGAGAAATTTGGGCGGAGTGGGCCGCCCTTTTTACAGTTGGGACTTTCTGGTATTTGCCGTTGTGGTAAAGAGGGGAGGAATAAAAACCAACAAAGCTAGTCTGGGATTGACTACTGCCTGTTACCGGCAAAACATTAGCAGGAAACCAAGACTGCCTTCCCGAGGTTCGCCTAAGCGAACTCCATCGTGCATCTTTGAAAATTACAGCTGTTTTTGAGTCCTGTTAGTAAAATGAATAATCTGCGATGCATAGGCTAAACAATGCAAACAGGTACACAATTACAAGTCTCCCAGGTTTAAAGAGCGAGGGGGCGCAGTGCGAAGATGCGTCCGAGCAGCCAGAGGTGTAATAGTCCTTGGCTGCGCCTTGCGTCAGGTGCCAGTGAGAGGAAGCACAGAACTATTTACTCATAGAGAATACTGCATTTCCACATTGGACTCATTTAGGATCACCAGATTTTAATACCTGCCAAAATCCACAAATATTGCCACAACAAAATGTGTTATTAAATAGAATAAAGTTAAGTGTTTATTGGGCTTAAAGATGGGGCTCTTCGACCGTTTGGCTACATAAATGTGCTAGAGCAACAGAGCGAGCGGCTCGCAGGCCAATCTGCCAGTGTTGGTTCGCTGGGAAAGGGGGCGAAACCGAGGACACTTTTAAGCTGACCAGATTGGGGTTGGCTGCCCTACCTGCGGGGTGGCTGTGGGGAGTTACCCTCAGCTCTGAAGATGCCTCCCCTTAACTGAAAACGTCTTTGGCCGGTAAAGCCGCCCACGCGGGCCGCGCCTCTTCCAAGTCTGCGCAGGCCGCCTTTGTCCCTGCAGTGACTGCCGCGAGGGCAAGGAGCGAGCGCGGAGAATGTCACCAGAGTTTATTGAAGTGTTTATAAGCCGAGAACTCTGGTTTTTGCGGGGAGGCGGAGTGCTTATCCAACTTCACTGGAGCAAAAATTCTGTGGGCCTAGAATCCCAGGAGGCCTCTGCGCACCCTCGCTGGGCGAGCCGGAGTCCCGGCCTCTCCCGAGGATACGAAGCCGGGGGTCAAAGCTTGCCCCCGCGCCATACTCCTTTGCCTCGTCGAACTTTCAGCACGGTCCCATTCAGTCTGGAATTTCAGCTCAAGACCCGGGCCAAAAGTTCCCTGCGGAGTTGGTATATTAACATCCGCGTTCGCTTTTCCAAGGGGGTTGAGGGGCTCCGGACAACTTCTAGCAGCTCCCGGGCGCCCTCCAGGGACCGCCCCCACCCAGTTTCTGCGCAGCTCGGGCCCCCACCGTCGCCTCGCGACCTCAGATCTTGGCCTCCCACGGCCGCGCTCAGGGAAGCTATTGCAACTGATGCGCCCCGGGTGCTTTCGTTTTGCTTTCGCTCCCTCCTCTCCGCAGCTGGGAAGACTGCGCAAGAACAAAGTAGGGGCGAAAAGCGCGTGTCCTGACAGTGTGTCGGGGACACTGCAGCTTGGCGCGAAGCTAGGGCGGGGAAATGAAGGCTGAGGCCCGAGGCCTCTGTATCTCTGCCTCTCGCAGGTGTGGGACGGGCCAGGGGGCCCTGCCTTGTTTTCTTCATGCAAGGAAAAGTGGTTTGTAGATATTCAAAACAAAATTGGCGCAGAAACGAATTCGCCGTCTTAGGAGTGCTGTGGCAGGGCACAGCAGAAGCAGGAAGACGGGCGGCCAGGGCCTTTGCCTAAATTGGAAGGAAACCAGGAGCGAGCGCGCCAGCTCCCGCACCAGGCTCTGAGTACCGTTAGGTGTGAGGGGACCAAAGCGCCGTCCGGTTCGCTGGGGGGTCGACTAAGCTCCGCGTTTTGGAAGCCCAGCAAACACTGCACAGGTTCGCTTTACTTCCTCTCGCCTTCTTTAGAACGAGTGCACACATTGGCAGCTGACGATCCCACCACCTAGTCTCCCTCTTAAAAGAGGGCAGGCAAGCCTGGAAAGGTTTCCCAAATAGAGGCAAACTTATTGCTGTCTTGACTGGCCCAGCGAAAGCGCTCTCAGCACTGGCTGAGCCCAGTGCCCAGCCAGGAAGCTCGGCTCGGGTTGCGCGAGTCCTTGAAGAGTCCCCCACGGCCTGCAGTTGGCCCGAATGAGGGTCTGTGCGCGGGAACGGTTTCCCCAAACCCCTTAAGTAATAACATAACCCTTCCAGACTGTTCATCACACTGTTCAGCTGCCAGGAAAGGTGCGACGCGCTTCTTGCCCTCGTCCCAGCTCAGCTCTAGTTTCTTCCGCCAGTGAGCTGAGAAGCCAAATTATTTTATTCCCACCCTGTAAAGTTAAACTGCAATATACATAAATCACTCAGGGAAGCTGCTAAGATAAATAACACTCAAATGAGCTACTTGCACTTGGTATTGTTGTAAGGCCTTCCTCTGGTGTTTACCGCCCTCCTTGTTTACATGAAGCTCAGGAACAGCGGCTTTAGGCCGGTAGGGAGCTCAGTTTCATTTCAAGGGTATGGCAAGGCCTATCATTTCGTCATAAGGCTTTGAAGGAAAGTTCGTCTGTTTTTGTCTCACATCTAACTTCCAGTAACTTCTCAAAAACTATATTCTTCCAACTGTAGCTCCGGTCTGCAAACTCCCTTCTCCCTAGCTGTCCGGGAAGGGGGACTCGAGCTCGCGCAACGCCCCGCTGCACCTGCGGAGGAGGGAGAGCGTCTGGGTGCGCCATGGAACGCCCGCACCGCGCTTCCCGCGCTCCGCCCGCCTGCCCGCGAACGGCTGCGAGCCACCCCCGCATCCCTCACACCTCTGCCCTCCCCAGTCGTGCGCGGGAGAGGGGGCTAGCACCGCAATGCCTGGAAGAGCGGCCGCGCGAGGGGCCTGGGGACAGGACAGCCTCCCGGCTCCGAGGCGAGGCCCGAATGCGCGCACACTCGGCGAGCGGGGCGGCGACTGGGGAGCCGGAGACGAGAGAGGGCGGAAGTGCGGGACGCCCCGCAGCACTCCCACAGGTCGCGGAGCCCGAGATCCTCGTCGGGTGGCGAGGGCGTGGGTGCCCACGCTATGCGTGACGCCTGAGCCGCGGCCCGAGCCCACGAGCTGGGTGAGGCCGCTGCCGCCGCCGCCGCCACGAAGCCTGGCGGGCGGCGCGGAGCCCCGGGGAGCTGGTTTTCCCGGGCGGGCACGTGACGGGGTTGGCAGCGTTCGGGCCCCGGCTGGGAGGGGGAAGAAGCGGGGAGCAGAAGGCCGCGGGCGGGCGGCTGGCGCGCTGTGTACTTAGGTCGTGTGCTGGGGCTTTTCTCTCCCAGGAGCCGGCGGGGGGAGGGGAGGGGGAGGGGCCACCGCTCCGCCTTCTCCTTTTCGCAATGTTGACGCAATCTATAAATAGTGGAACAAAAGGACCAACTTCCTCGGAGCTTTGCTGAAACTGCACAAAAAATCGAGCCGGGGGGTTCCCTGGTCCCCGGCGATGGGGCGGGGAGCGCTGCGCCGGGGGAGGGGGCGGGCGCGGCGGCGCGGGCCCCGCCGAGGGGGGACACCTGGCTGAGGCACAGCTGCCGCCGTGCCTTTCCGCGCGAGCCCAGAGCTCCGATCCCTGCGCGGGCTCGAGAGCTCGCCCCGAACGGGGGTCTTCCTCCTCCGCCGTTGACAGGTCAGTCCGTACCGCCCCTTTCAACACTGTGGGCTTTCTTTTTCCTCCCCCGAGCCTCCACTTTTAGAAGGGAACTGAGAGGAAAAATAGAACGAGGCGCTGCAGCAACAGCCAGCAAATCTGCAACCCCAGCAGTCCACACGGCAGGGGTGGCCGAGGGGGCTCAAGGAGGCGGTCCCCGCCTGGCCCCTCGTCGTATGGCCGGTGCCTGCGCCGCAGCCAAAGACGGAGGACTGGCGTGCGCCACCCGGGCGGTAGGGAGAGCGGAGGCGCGGGCCGCCTTGCTGGGGTCGAGGAGGGGCTCCCGGCTGCTTCTCTCGCCCGTGGGCCGACCCCCGGAGGCTACGCGTCAGGGCCCGGAGGCCGCTGCATGCGCCTCGCTCCCTCCGAGCTCGGACCCGGCGCCTCAGCTTCGTCCTCTAACTGCTGTGGGAGGATGGAGCAGAGAAGCGCTGTCGCTGCACGCCGCCGTGCCCCCTGGCTCTGGTGCCCACGCAGCCAGCAAGCACTGAGCTGGGGGGCAGGGTGGAACCGGGGCACGCTCGCTTCTCGGAGCCTCGGACCTGAGCGCGAGCGCCCGCCGCGCCGCCGTGGCGGTTCCACAGGGCGCGGGGAGGGGGCGGAGCTGGCGCTGTTGACAGCGGTGCCGGAGCGGGGAGGGCGAAAGTTGGGGAGAGGGGGCGGGGGAGAGGTGGGAGTCGGGGCTGGGGGAGAGAGCGCGCGCGCGGGCTTCGGCGGGGAGAGGGGGGCCGGGTCATGTGATGTACAGACACCCCCGCTACAGGCTGGCTGCAGGGGTGACGTCACCACCCTTGACTGCAGGGGGTGGCACTTCCGCTCCCTCCCCAGCTGCTCCCCAGCCCCTGGCACCGCCGGCTGGAGCCCTTTCGCAGTTTGAGTGGGCAGAGGGAGAGAGGGGTTTTCCTTCTGGCCCCAGCCCGACTGCTTCTCCCGCCGCCCGGAGTCCCCGCCCTGGGACCGGAATGGGAGCCGCGGCCGCCCCCTCCCGACGCGTCCCATTGTGTGAGCGGGCGGCGCAGGGCGGAGGCTGGTGCCGGCCCCCCGCAACTCTGCGCTCCCGAGGGGGCGGGGGCGGACCCCGCGCAGTCAAGGCCAGGTCCAGCCGCCCGCCGGCTCCTCCTTCCCCAGAGCGCCGTCCGCGCGCGGGAAGTCCGACGCTGTCGACTCGGTCCGGACACCGCGGCCTCGCCCGCGTCCCTGGGGCGCCGGGTGGTGAGAGACCCGCTGGGCCGTGTGGGCCCGCAGTCCAGCCCAGCGGGTGTGTGGTTGGAGTCTGTCACAGAGCCCCGAGGGACGCGATCCCAGCAGTCGTTACGCGCTATTTGGGGAAACTCGGGGTTTTGGTGACTCAGCGCGGTGAGCGCTATTTATAGGTAGATGCGTTAGGAGAAGGGAAATAAGCTTCGCTCGAATCCGTCCATTCGTCCGCCCGAGGACTGCAAAGAGCTCCGTTTGGAGGCAACAACTGAAAGACTTCTGAAAAAGATTTGGCAGTTAGAGCCTGTGGTATAAGACATAGCAGGCCTCGCCAGGAGACTAGTTACAACAGTTCGTCTCAAAAAGTTAGAACGTTTTCTGGAGTAGATGGAGGATTTTAGGGACACGTCATGACCCGTAGAGTGTCTTTTTGGGTGTTAGTGTGTGAACCACGAGCAATAATTCAGGTGAAAACCGAGCAGTCCTCCCAGTAGATCGCAGTCTATCAAGAACTGCGTTGTTAGTTGCAGGATTTGTAAAATACATAACATCATATGTGGATAGGTATTAAAAAACTGAATGATGTTGAAAGTTGCTATGCAATATTCTGTAACAGGAAGGTGTGTGTGGCATTTATCTAGAATAAAAAATGTGGAGATTGTAAATTACATGTTTACAATCCAATTTCTCCCTCCCGAAAAGCACTATGAAAAAAAGGCCTTTGATTCTTCAACAGTGTATAAATGCTACACAAACAGTTTTGGCTTCACTTTATGATTTTGATTCTTTTTTCCCACCTCCACCCCAGTTTGTAAATCCAGGAGGTAGATGTTAAGAGAGAGCAATTGCCAGGTTAGCTGCAGGGAGGCAAGAGGCCAGGTCGGGCAGGGCTTTGTATATACCCTGCATGCTGAAGAATTTGGACTTTAGCCTGAGACCTACAAGTTTTGGGGGAAACACATACCTTTTGAGGAAAATAAAAAGCAATGGGCTCTTTCTCTAGGAAAAAAAAATGCGCTTACATACCTATACTAAAATTTTGCATACAATTTTAGGGGGGTTACTTGCTTTATGAGTAAATTCCTATTCTGCCTCAGGACTAAAACATAGGAAAGGGAGAGCCATGAAAGGAGTTTTGGAAATGTCATATTGAGGTGTACACTGGTTGAAGTCCTGGAGACTTGAAGATGGAATGTAAAACAGCCTGTGACCTAAGTAACAATCAATTAGGACCACCGCTGTGTACCTAGGGATAGTGGGGATAGAGAAAAGAGGAATTCAAGGAAGTAATTAAATTGGTGGAATTCTGTTGGTGGAATGGGAAAACTGGTTGGCTGTAAAGGGCAAGAGCAAGAGATACCCAGATTTCTGGTTTAGGGTGTGGACTAAAAGGAGAAGTAGGCCTCAAGTCTAGGGGAAGGAACTCTGTTTTGTCCCTGTAGAATCTGAAGTATCAGAGAACTACTGGGGGAGCAGGGGGTGTTGAAGTAGTTTGGCTCTCTGGAGTCATTAAAATGTAGGTGATAGCTAAAGCAGTGGGAGGGGCTTAGATGGACCACAAAGGGTGCCCTGTAAGAAGTGGTCTGAGGAGGGAACCCTGGGAACACCCATATTCAGGGGAAGAAGGGGAGCAGAAGGAATCTTTGAAGAACCGTGATGAGTGACTAAAGACAGAGCAGTGTCCGTAGCATATAACTGATGAATAAAATCCTGCTTCCTTGATAATAGAAACATGTTGCTGCTTTGTTCCCTTTATATGACTGAAAAAGCTGTGTTCTCTTTCAGTGAAAAAGAAACCATAATTGTCTTTCTGGAGATTTGAATTTAGAAGGACAGTGAAGATAGGAGAGGATGAAATCTTGCTTCTCCCTTTTTTTGAAACTAGAGATACCTAAGGAAGAAGAAAAGGAGAAATGGAAGAAATCAAACTTTGTCTTTCCCCTGCTCAGTCTCTAAGCCCTCAAGGAAAGGTGTTGGGATAGACTGAGTCCCCATGATGGTGTTTTTTGCACTTCAAAAGCACACTTAATCTCCAACAGTTAGTAGCAGAAGGTGCTAAACTCACAGTCTGGCTAAGGAAATAAGGAAGCGTGGAAGGAAAGGGTTTTCCTTTGCCTCTTCCATTTCCTTCCTTCCAACAGGTTAACCCGTTACAGTTAACCTGACTAGGGATTTATTGGAAGCAGTGACTTAAGTACAGAAACCACCCCA
The DNA here is from genome assembly GCF_000001405.40 of Homo sapiens. Taxonomy (NCBI): domain Eukaryota; kingdom Metazoa; phylum Chordata; class Mammalia; order Primates; family Hominidae; genus Homo; species Homo sapiens. The sequence continues at coordinate 50,121,872 of NC_000013.11, read as the reverse complement.
AAATTTAGTGGCTTAAAACAACATTACCTTGCCTAGTAGAGAAAACTTGTTTCTAATCCACTGGATGACAGCTGGGGCAGCTCAAAGGCTGGAGCTGGCATCATCTGAAGGCTTGTCCACTTGCTTGTCTAGTGGTTAATACTGACTGATGGCTGGGGCTATCAGCCAGAACACCTACACATGGCCTCTCCATGTGGTCTGGCTGCCTCACAACAGGGTGGCTAGTTCCACAGGTCCTAAGACTGAGAGCCAGATGGAAACTGTATCACAGAGTCTCACTCTGTCACCCAGGCTGGAGTGCAGTGGCGCGATCTCAGTTCACTGCAACCTATGCCTCCTAGGTTCAAGTGATTCTCCTGCCTCAGCATCCTGAGCAGCTGGGACTACAAGCACGTGCCACCACGCCTGGCTGATTTTTGTATTTTTAATAGAGAGGGGGTTTCACCGTGTTAGCCAGGATGGTCTCGATCTCCTGACCTTGTGATCCGCCCGCCTCGGCCTCCCAAAGTGTTTGGATTACAGGCGTGAGCCATCACACCTGGTAAAACTGTATCATTTTTTATAACCTAGTCTTAGAAGCCATGCAGCATCATATCCATCACTTCCGTTTGTTAAAAGCAAATTACTAAGGCCATATGTGTTCTGGGGAGGGGAATTAGACTCCACCTTTTAATGGTAGGAGTGTCAATTTGCAACATGTTTAAAATCACCACATGTAACTTCTGATAAATAGATTTATAAACAGTACATTTGTACATTAGAAAAGTTTAAACATAAGAAACCTAATAAATACCCTCTTTTTTATATTAGAATGAAATATAAAAACCCAAACATTTAAATGTTCCAGCAAAGCTAATCCTGAGCCAACTTGAGTAGGCAGTCTGTCTCATAATCTTCCTGCACCTTTCTTCTCCCTGTGTCCATTCCCTCCAGGTCAGGCCTCCTGTGCACACATACCCTTCTCTCCCAAACTAGGTAGGACATTCACAGTAGCTGTACCTCCACGGTGATGAAAACTTTTTTCTTTGCCCTCCATGAGTTATCCCAACTTTGGACCTCATAGGATCGCTGGCAATCAATGGCATAATGTCCTTCTCAAAATTAAAAAGCAAAATGCTATGGAGAATATTCCAGTAAGTAATTTTATAATAATAATTAAAACAAAATGACATTTCCCAAAAGGGACAATATGCTTTTAGATGTTACGATATTGACTTTATTGGGGCTTGTTTATTCATCAAAATCAGTAATTCTAAAGGAACAGTTGAGGCTTTTAAGTATTTTATAAGAGTATGCATGTTTCCTATGAAGGCGACGTAACACTTGATTATTACAATAAAAAAATGGATACTTCTCCCACCTTTATAATGCAGACTGATTTATTTTTATTTTAAACCAGCATATATAATTATTTGTTTGGTAGAGAGACTCAAGAGTTATCGCTCTAAAAAACTGAAAATACTACTTTTCATTGAATAATCAAGGTTAAATAATCTTTTCTTATAACCTAGTATCTTGTAAAATTCTCCCTAAGCTGATATTAACTTATACATCTTTGGTGTTTTTTGTTTTTTTTAAGAAATATTAAATGTGCTTCCTCTATGACTTAGAAATAGAAATAGTGCTTAGGCCATTTTAATAATTTGTACTTTCCTAAAGGCTAATCCCTCTAATTTTGGTAATTTTGCATATTTATATTTATGTTGAGTCAAAATCACACTGTAAGTTCATACTGTAGAATATGAGTTTTTAAATAAGTACGTCCAGATAAGGAGCAAATATATATTTATGAACCCTTTATTTTTTGGTGTATTACTTAATGATGTTTGAAGTAGCTTTTTTAAAAAATAAAATGAAGAAACTATACCTTTGTTTTTAAAGTTTCTCATACAGTAATGATTTAACAACAACAACAAAAAAAGGATGCAGCATTCAGGATAAACTGATAGACTTTGCTATCAGATCTAAACTGTACTTACTTCTCTGTGAGCTCATAGCTACCACGGAGGCAGCCCAAAGGAGCTTAAGTAAACACTAAAATTACATAATGCGGTTCTGAAGGAGCAACAACCCCAACCAAACTGTGCCATATAGTTTCACAGATGCTGTTTTTCTGTATGCCAGAATGCTCTCCTATCTATAGAATGACTTCACAGTAATGATAACGTGAAAGAAAATTGGAAGTGGGCCAGTCTGTCTCCAGACATTTTGAATGAAGGCAGGGTTGAGGAAATTATTTTAAAGTAATTATGCAGTGAGTTTTTTAAAACCTTATAAACTAAGCATTTAGTAGCACTTTGGAAAGTGTAGTGAAACTGGCACATGGAGAAATAAATTCAATACAGAAAATATGATACCAGGATCACATAGCTTAGGGTCTTAAAAAAAGAAAATATGATCTTGCTAGCTAATAGTAATAATGCGGCCGGGCGCGGTGGCTCACGCCTGTAATCCCAGCACTTTGGGAGGCCGAGGCGGGCGGATCACGAGGTCAGGAGATCGAGACCATCCTGGCTAACACGGTGAAACCCCGTCTCTACTAAAAATACAAAAAATTAGCCGGGCGAGGTGGCGGGCGCCTGTAGTCCCAGCTACTCGGGAGGCTGAGGCAGGAGAATGGCGTGAACCCCAGGGGGCGGAGCCTGCAGTGAGCCGAGATTGCGCCACTGCACTCCAGCCTGGGCGACAGCGAGACTCCGTCTCAAAAAAAAAAAAAAAAAAAAAAAAATAGTAATAATGCTCTGTCTACAAATACATTAAGAACTAAATGCAATCTTCTTAAGTAAAAAAACAAAGAATTACAAGTCCTTAAGGTAGTAAAGTTATTCCTATGAATATGTGAGTAAAAATTCAACTTTGCCTAATTAAATTACAGAAAGAGACCCCTCCCCCGTCAGATTGACAAAGATTGAAAATAAGTGCTGATAACCAGTGCCACTAAGAGTGCAATAAAACTTTCAGTCTTGTCTGGGCGAGGTGGCTCACGCCTGTAATCCCAGCACTTTGAGAGGCCGTGGCGGGCGGATCACGAGGACAGGAGTTTGAGACCAGCCTGGCCAACATGGTGAAACTCCATCTGTACTAAAAAAAATATAAAAATTAGCCGGGCAGGGTGGCCTGTGCCTGTAATCCCAGCTACTCGGGAGGCTGAGGCAGGAGAATCACTTGAACCCGGGAGGTGGAGGTTGCAGTGAGCCAAGATCGTGCCACTGCACTGCAGCCTGGGCAACAGAGCAACACTTGGTCTCAAAAGAAAAAAAAAAGAAAAAAAAAACTTTCAGTCTTATCTATTACCTTTCTGGGGTCTTAAAAATGTCCAATTCTTTGACACAGTAGTTGCACTAACAGGAACCAATTTGAAGGAGATAATCAGATATGAAATCACAGATTTATGCATATTCACTAGAGTATCTATACAGAGGAAACAATCTGAATATTCAGCAGTGGGAGAGTGGTTTAATAAACCATGGTGTATCAATCTAACAAAATATGTATCTATTAAAAATACTTAATGACACAAATATTAATGTTTAATATACACTAAGATTTTTAGTTTATAAAACTTTCTCATTTATTTAAAAATGCATAGGAAATGCATATATAATATATATGTAAAATGCATAGGAAAAGGGTGGAAAAAGTACACCAAAATGTACTCTGTGATTATGGTCATTTTTACCTTTGTATATTTTCTAAAATGAGCACATATTATTTTAACAATCAGGAAAAAAATCATTAAAGCTAAAAGATTTTCTTCTGAATATTTAAATCAAATGACATATTTACAACTTTACAGCACAAGGATAGTTAATAAAGTAACATAACTTATTAGTTACTTTTCATAAGTAACTTTTCATTTGGCATAGTTATAACAGTATCTGCCAGTGAATAATCTCTGCTTACTAAAATAATGTATAGGCAAATATAGAGTATTATGCAAGGGTATAATCTGAGGTTTCACATTTTGGTGGAAAAGTTGTTCGGGCAAATGTTGGTAGAATCTGTAAATTCATCTGTAAAGCTATTGTGCATTAGCTATTTTATAAATTTTACAATAGTATTTTTAAAATTTATTATTTTTAATTGTGGCAAAAGTTATAAATGGTAAATATAAATTTACCATCTTCACCATTTTTAAGGGTACAGTTCAGTAGTGTTAAGTATATTCACATTGTTGTGTATAATGCTATTTTATGGATAATGGCTATTGATTTTATAAAAATACATGCTCATTTATAAATAATTCAAACAATATAGAAAGTTACAGGAAAGTTTTTAAATCTCCTCAGATCCTAGATTTTACCATCAAAATAAATGAATATCAGTTTAGGATATATTTCTATGCATTTATACAGATAAGATCATTTTATTTAAGATGAGAACATCACAGTACTTTTTTTTTTTTTTTTTTTGAGACGAGTCTCGCTCTGTTGCCCAAGCTGGAGTGCAGTGGCGCAGTCTCGGCTCACTGCAAGCTCCCTGCTTCCCGGGTTCACACCATTCTCCTGCCTCAGTCTCCCAAGTAGCTGGGACTACAGGCGCCCGTCACCAAGCCCAGCTAATTTTTTTTTTTTTTGTATTTTTAGTAGAGACGGGGTTTCGCTGTGTTAGCCAGGATGGTCTCAATCTCCTGACCTCGTGATCTGCCCACCTCGGCCTCCCAAAGTGCTGGGATTACAGGCATGACCCACCGCGCCCAGCCGAGAACATCACAGTACTTTTAAATTGGAAAGTATTAAATTTAAAATTATTCTAATTTGGTGGAAGAGAAATGGAAGGAACTGCTGAATTTTTGAAAATGTTTCGTCATCACAAGAGAGCTTAGTTCCTAAAATACCCAAGATTTTAAAAATTAAGGCTTTAGAGACTTTTTAATCCGTATGTTTCAAATTCAGAAATGCCAGCAGACTCTGCTATGAAAAATATATATTTATTGGTTATGTTATTATTTTTACAAAGTCAAGTTTTAAGGTTTATTTGTTTTGTAACTTTCATTTCTTTAGTTATCTCATCTTGATCTGTACTTAAAAATCCAGAGCTTACAACATGCCTTGCTTCTCTATATCTTCCTTATTAATTTTGATTCATCACTTAGTCATCTGCTCTTTACTAAGAAGTTTTTTTTCCCCTACATGGACTCATAGATGCTATATTTGCCTTTTTCGTTAATTCGTGAACGGTACTTATTTAGATATAATAGTTTTGGGTCATGCTGGCTTTGCCTTAAAACTGTGCAGACATTTTTCCTTTGTTTTCTGGCTTCGAATATTGCTTAGAGGAAGTCTAAGGCCAGCTTGATTTCCTCCCTCTTGTAAGTGATTTAGTTTTCTGCCAAGAGATTTGAAAAGTTTTTTCTTCATTCTTTATGAGCATATGCCTCAATGTTGAATATACGTCCATTTTACATTGAACATTTTATTCTGCAGACTTGTTTATTTTGTGGAAATTCTCCTCTATTACATCTTTAAGTGCCTTTTCTGATTCATTTGTTGCATTATATATGCAGGGAGATGGATCAGCTTATATTATGTCAGCTTTGTCTTACTTCCACATTATCTTCTTTGCAATTTCTTTGGTCTACTTTTCTACTACATTCATTACAATTTATTAATTTCTAGAATTTCTTAAATTCATTTATTAACTAGAATTTGAGTACCTACTATATATGCCAGGCACCAGTGATAAATATGATCACATCCCTGCCTTTATGAAGCTTACATTTCAGTTGAGGATGGAAGAGGAAGAAATAAACTTGTAGTGATAAGAAAAAGAAATGGAGGTAAGGAATTGGGGCGGGTTGGGGGTGGGTACAGAGAGGATTGTGCATTTTAGATAGAGTAGTTAGGGCAGGCATCTCTAAGAGGACATTTGAGAATAGGCCTGAGTGAAGTAAGGCAGTGAGCTAGGCAAAGACCTGGGCAGTCCAGGTATGAGAAGAGCACATACAAAGGCCCTGAGGTGGAAAAGCAGTGTGTTCAAGAGAGAGTGATTGGAGCCAAACGAGTAACGGGAAGCAGGTGGGAGATGAGACTAGAGAAATGGGTAGGCCAGATCACCAAAGGAGCTGTACACCCTAGGAAAGAATTTGATGTTTGTTCTAAGTGTGATGAGGAGCAGGCAGATGGTTTATGCCATAGAAGAACCACTCTGGCTGCTGTTAAGTATTTCAAGAGCAATCACTGAGTATAAGAGATTGGTTAAATGGGTGTTGCAGGACTGAAAAAAGCGAAAAGAGAGCACTGAGATAACAGAGTAACTTGGGGAAGCAGCTACTGCCCCTGGTACTGGGTAAACACAGAAAGACCTCAAGTTCTTAGAACCCAGGAGCTAGGAGGAGGGACTTGGCAGAGCTGGAACTCTGACCTCCGACAAGGAAGTGCTGCCCATCTGCTGCTGGTACTCCTGAGAGGGTCTGTTGGGACTGGTCTAGGAGAGCCAAACATAGTTGCAATTTTGAGCTAACTACCATTGTCAGGGTGAAGGCCCACAGCTGGGGCAACACTGACAGGTACAGAAGGCCTATGAGGGAGGGCAAGTTATTTTCCCTTCTTCTTGACTTCTAGTTTTCCTCTACTACTCTATATTGATGAAACATAGCAGGAATTCAGCTGGCAAAGTAAAAATATAGTTTGCAGAGTCCCAGTCCCAGCATCACAAAGCAGTGTTTATGGAAAGGTTTATTGCTGAAAGATAACAGCTTAATAACTGGGATAAAGAGGAATTAAGGACGATTTCTACATGTTTGCCCATAGTAACTAGAAATTATGCCATATATTGACATGAGGGAAGACTTAGGGAGAAGTAAAATGTGGAGGAGAAGAAAATCAAGAGATTTATTTTAAATGTGCTAACTTTGAGGTTCTCTTTAGACATTTGAGCGGAGTTGCTGGACAAGCAGTTGTATGTGAGTCCAGAGCTCCACAGAGGGATCAGGGATAGAATATAAATGTTAGGAGTCCTATGATGGTAGACAGTATTTAACACCAAGAGATTGAAGACATGACCTTGGAGGGAAATGTTGATGGTGGGTATGAGGAATATGTCTGGGACTCGCAGACATTTGAGAAGAGGAAAATGATCTGTCAATAAGGTAGTTGGTAATCTCAACAAGAGCACTTTAAGTGGTGCTGTGGAGACAATAATCCAAACTGGAATGGATTCAAGAGATAATGTAAGGAAGTGAAGATTGCAATTATAGAGTCTTTGAAGAACTTTGATATAAAGGGCCTTCTGTTCCCTTTGTAAGCAGATGTGGATATGGACTGTAGGGTGATGAGGGAGAAACTGAGGATGCAGGATATGGAGGGGATAATCACAGGAACAAAATGTTTGAATATGCAAGAGAAGATGGGACCTAGGACACAGTAGAGGGGCTTGCCTTAGATAATAGCAAGGATAGTTGATCTTTGTAACAGGAAGAAAGTATATTTGAGTACAGATAAAAGCACATTGGTAGATTTGATATGGGAAGATAAGTTTCTCTTGTAACAACTTCTATTTATCAATGAAACAAGATTTGAAGTGAGGAGCATAGAGATGTGGGAGATTTAGGAGAGAAGACATGGGACATAATCATGTTGAAGAAGAAAAGAATGAATTCATTAGGGGAATGTTCTGGGACTGCCAGTCTTCCTTCTTGGTGAGAATTTGACTTTTCCAGCTATGTCTTATTTCATTTCTTGCTGTTCCAAATTTATTTTGAAATAATTGCATTCTTTTGGCCTCTGTTGCCTTAGGTTGTGGACATTTTCTTTTTCTAGCTGATTCTAGTAATGCTTTTAAAGGAGTTCTTATTGTTGTTTTTCCAGTATACAAAGTATACTGTTGTATACTTCTTGTAAAGTATATGTGCAGAGAGATTCTATGGTCTGCTTTCACTCCCCATTTTATCTAGAAGTCTAGAAATGTGTTGTTTACTTATTTATTTAACTATCTATTTATTTATGAGACAAGGTCTCACTCTATTGCCCAGGCAGGAGTGCAGTGGCACAATCACACTTCCTTGCAGCCTCGACCTCCTGGGCTTAAGTGATCCTCCCACCTCGGCCTCTCAAAGTACTGGGATTATAGGGATGAGCCACTGCATCCAGCCCTAGAATCATGTTTTTAAATGGGGGACTACACTTCATATTTTTTTCAGATCACCTTATGTATAGAAATATAACAAAAGGAGTCATATTAATATTATGTATTATAATAGCCACCATTTACTGAGTGCCTGTGAGCCAGGCACTATGCTAGGCACTTTACATACATGATCTCCAAAACTTATAATGACCCTACAAGGTAAATCTTATTTCCAGTTACTTCCACAAGAAACCTTTTTTACTGATCGTAAAATCTTACCTGAACCTCACATAGCTGATCAAAATGAACAAGGTAAGGACAAATTTTTCTTTTTTGTGTGTCAAAACTTAGCATTTAAGGCCAGGTACAGTGGCTCACACCTGTAATCCCAGCATTTTGGGAGGCCAAGGCAGGAGGATCACTTGAGGCCAGGAGTTCAAGACCAGCCTGGGCAACATAGCGAAACCCCATCTCTACTAAAAATACAAAAAAAATTAGCCAGGCTTGGTGGCGTGTGCCTGTAATCCCAGCTACTTGAAAGGCTGAGGCAGAAGAGTCCCTTGAACCCCAGAGTCAGAGGTTGCAGTGAGCCGAGATCGCGGCACTGCACTCCAGTCTGGATGACAGAATGAGACTCCGTCTCAAAAAAAAAAATAAAAATACAAAATAATAGTTTGCAAAAATGCACCACACAAACCAGCTTTTTAATGTCATATTATATTGTTAAATTCTTGGTGGGAGAGTTGCTGACAGACTCAAGGAACTTGGTAAATTAATTGAGGTATCCCTTCTCTAATTATCTTCATCATCAACTAATATACTGAAAGCCTGCTATGTCAGAATACTTAGTACATTGTATTAAACCATTATAATTTTATAAGTTGTAGGATATGTATGCGTTTTTTTGGAAATTTCATTATTTGGATTTAAGTAATATCAACTTTTCTCTTGGTCAACAATGTACACACACATACACATACACACATATGTTTATACTCGTGATGATACTGAAAACATATCATTAGGATACAAACACGTATCTGATTATAGAAGTAGTACATGGTAAGTGAAGAAAGTGTGAAAATAGGTTAAAATAAAGAAAAAAAAATTTAAAGGACACCAGGAAAAAATAACCAATAGTTCCTTTATTTAGAGGCAACTGTTGAGAGTTGACATATTTCCAGGCAGTTGTTTAAGCTGATGAAGTTTAAATTGCTTGTGTACACTGCCTTTTTATATGACAACGTATCATAAATGTTTCCTCAAATGTATCATAAATTGAAAACTCCTCAAAAGTTTCAGTGTCTGCATAATGTTCCTTGTAAGTGGTTATTTATTTTCTTTACTTACAAATAATATTGCCATGAGCTTTTTTATGCATAAATCTATTTTCCTAAACTAGAATAAATTCCTAGAAATGAGCTAAAAGGTCAGCATTTTTAAGCTTCATTATCTGGTAAAAATTTTGCTGTAAAAAATTAAATTTCTCTTTTAATTCTGTATATATTTTAATATCAAAAATAAATCTAAGGAGAAAAATTTATGTGGACTACCTTTTAAAGTTGAGAGTCATATTCAAATTTAGACTCAAGGTTTTTGTTTTGATTTTATTCTTAATATTTTAACTTTTAAGGAAAAGTCTGCTCTTCAGAACCAAACAGTGTTGCCTCCCAACTCAGCATCAGTTTAATCTCACATGTATACCATTAATTCATGGAATAAAATGACAAAAGCAAGTGAAAAAATAAAATAGTTATCAACTGTAATCTAGTCAGTTCCATTACTCAGTATTATTTAAATAAGACAAAGAAATGAGTTGGGTTCTCCCCTAGAATGTTTAAAGTTGTACTGAGTATGATACAGAATTTTCAGGAAACATAGGATCTCTATACATCTTTTATGACTCTGATCATTATCATTCCATTGTGCCCAGTACCACTCCTCCAAATAATAATAATAATAATGAAGACAGACAGATTTAAAGTAAGTTCAAACTCTTTGGTCTAATTTTCAGTACTTTCTATAATCTGGTCTCCTCCAACCTCAAATGTAGCATATTGTAGTAGAAAGTAAAGAGTGCTGAATTTGGGAAGTAAGCAAACCTAGATAACATGAGTAGCAATGCTGGGATTGAAACTTTAGGTGAGATATTTAACTTTCCAGGGTGTTAGTTTCCTTTGCAAAACAATGGATTTTGATTAAATGATCTCTAAAATCCCTCCAAACTTTAAAATTCACTGTTTATGCATCTTTCTTGCCTACCCCCAGTATAAGAATTTGAACCTACATCTATCCGATTCCCCAAGTCTGTGCTCATAAACTTTGAATGTGCTGCTGGCCACTTTTCCCCCTTAAGCCTTATTTTAGCTGCAGAACCTTTTTTTTACTTGACCTATGAAACATGACAGAAAATTATTTATCTTGAAATTTTGTAATATGCCACAGTTTCATTGATAGAAATAATTAGAAAAATGTAAAACAAAAAAAAAATGAACTAATTTTAAAATCTGAGTTTGGGTCTCTTAACTTAGTCTCCCAGAAAAGCATCACAAAACTAAATACCCAGAAAAATGCAATAAAACTGCAGGATTAAGAGTTATGATTTGGGAGGGAGTATAATCCAATATATTTACAAATTTGTAGCCAATAGTATGAATAACTTCTATTTCTTAGCTTTGCCCAGAAAATCAATTATTCCTCCAAATAGTTTGGATCTCTAGTATATTCAACTTTTTTTTTTTTTTTTCCTGAGATGGTATCTCACTCTGTTGCCCAGGCTGGAGTGAAGTGGCAGGATCTCGGCTCACTGCAACCTCCGCCTCCCAGGCTCAAGTGATCCTCCCACCTCAACCTCCTGAGTAGCTTGGATTACAGGCGCATGCCACCATGCCCCACTAATTTTTTTAGTTTTTTTTTGTAGAGCCGGGATCTCGCTGTGTGCCCCAGGCTGGTCAAGAACTCCTGGACCCAAGCGATCCACCTGCGTTGGTTTCCCAAAGTGCTGAGATTACAGGTGTGAGCCACCGCACCTGGCCAACAATATTTTCATTTATTATCCTTTGAAAAATATTATTATTAACTGCTAACTGGCCACCAATGCTGTAGCTTGGAAAACTAATACATTCATTTAGTATGTACAAAATTACAGGTTGTATTAAAATTCAAGATGTGAAAATTGAGGAATGCTTCTATGCTTTTTCATACTATACATGTCATTTCAGAAACTCTGAAAGTACATGCCTCTCTCTAGCCCTTTCACTGCCATAAAGATCTCAACATAAAATGAGGGTCAAGGAAAGTATTCTGTTACAGTGTCAATCTGAAAACTATCAAACTCAGTATTTTTGGTCTGGTTTTGATATACATAAATAAAATACATATGTATACAGATTTTATATAACCATATTTACATATATCACATTTTTTCTTTGAAAGTAATGTTTAAAATTGTAAACAGAATGTGTTAACTAGAGAAATGTTGGAAACCACAAAAGTATTGTCATCTGTAATCCCACCAGCCAGAGAAAAACCAATGTTAACATTCATGTTTCCTTCCTGTATTTAAAATATATAGTTGCTAATTACTACATATAGTTTTATATCTTATTTTTGTCACTCAGTAGTTTATAATGACCATTTTTTCATGTTACTGAATAGTTTTGAAAACCTGTTTTTAACATCTGCATAGCTTTCCAACATATAGATATACCAAAATTTATTTATCAATCTCATTTTTAAACATTTAGATTGTTCCTCAATTTCTGCAATTATGTAAAGATATTTTTAGAATCCATACTCGTCAACTAATAGTCAAAATACTATTGTTGGCTCTCCTGTCTTGTTCCTTTGTGGCAGGGGATGGGGGAGTTGTTATTCCTTTTACTCATGTACTCCGGCCTATACATGGCTTTCTCGCAACATGAAAACTCCACTCTGGACAATGTTATACAGCCTGTCCCTTCTCCTTTCTAAAACAGTATCATCCCTGAGTGAGGTCCATATTTCTGCAGCTCTCCTGCAGCAAAAGAATGTGAATTAAAGCCAATTCATGCCTGTATAAAGTCTGGATAGTGTATTTTTTAACTTTAACCAAAGTTGAAATCCAGGAGATTAAAACCCCACCAGCAGACAGACAAAAAATCATTTGTTAGCTATACCAAAAATATGACTTAGCACCACATACGTAGAGACAAGGAGTGTGTGTTAACTATGACTTAGCTGATTTTGCCATGATCCTGAATGTGCTATTATATGAATTGTTATTACATTGAAACATTATAAACATACAATTAGGAAAAGTAAAATTTAAGGTTTTTAACTGGTAAATTCACTGAAAAACTATAAAATCTGCTGTCTAGTTTTTGACTTTTTATAGTATTATTTCAATAACTATCACATTCTGTATTAGCTTTGATATTATTTCTCCACTCATGGAGTAAAGTATAGAAATCAGAGAAGTGACACAGTGTTTTAAAATTACTCTAACTAGCCGGGCACTGTGGCACACACATGTAGTCCTTACTACTCAGGAGGCTGAGGCAGGAGGATAACTTGAGCCCAGTAAGTCGGGGCTGCAGTGAGCCGATCACACCTCTGCATTCCAGCCTTGGTGACAAAGCAAGACTTCATCTCAAAAAAACGAATAAATAAAATAATAATAATAAAACTACTCTAAAAAACCTTGGGTAAGTTTAAAATCCTTTCAATTTAATAGCTTGTTTGGGAGAAGAGTATAACCTCTCTTGTGCCTTGGTGAGAGTTAAACATTTTTTTAAAATAATTTCAAGTTTCTATGAAGCACTTGCGCTTCTGTAATATCAACTTGAAATCTGAAGAAATGCTCATGTTAAGAATTATTTCAAATAGGCTGGTCGCGGAGGTTCATACCTGTAATCCCAGCACTTTGGGAGGCTGAGGTGGGCGGATCACCTGAGGTCAGGAGTTTGAGACCAGCCTGATCAACACTGAGAAACCCCGTCTCTACTAAAAATAACAAAATTAGCGGGTGGTGGCGGCGGGGCGGGGCGGGGGCGGCGCCTGTAATCCCAGCTACCCCGGAGGCTGAGGCAGGAGAATCACTTGAACCCAGGAGGCAGAGGTTGTGGTGAGCCAAGATCGTGCCAGTGCACTCCAGCCTGGGCAAAAAGAGCGAAACTGTGTCTCAAAATAAAAGAGAAAACAAAAAAAATTATTTTGGCCGGGCGCAGTGGCTCATGCCTGTAATCCCAGCACTTTGGGAGGCCAAGGCGGGCAGATCACGAGGTCAAGAGATTTAGACCATCCTGACCAACATGTTAAAACCCTATCTCTATAAAAATACAAAAAAAAAATTAGCTGGGCATGGTGGTGCGTGCCTGTAGTCCCCGCTACTAGGGAGGCAGAGGCAGTAGAATCGCTTGAGCTCCGAAGGCGGAGGTTGCAGTGAGCTGAGATTGCACCACTGCACTCCAGCCTGGCTACAGAGGGAGACTCCCTCTCAAAAAAAAAAAATATATATATATATATTTCTACCATTAGCTCTGGACATTGTAGTCATAGATGGGAGAATGTTTAGTGAAAAAAGGAAACTTTTGAAGTGATATAATCCAACTCTCATTTTACAGATGAGAAACATGAAGCGCAGATATGTTAAATTAAATATCTTTACTGCTCAGAGCACTTTTTTTTTTTTTTTTTTGGAGAAAGGGAGGGGCTTCTAATACTATTATGGCCTACTGCCTGCCTGTAGATAAAAGGTAATAGGAAGACTATGTAGCCATCACTATTGGACAAACCCAAGAAAGATATCTTATTTTGATCATAAGTATATATTTTCCCCTCAAGATTCTTGTTGGAGGATCCATTCCACCTTTATCTATTACCACAGACACAAAAGGGAAGTTCCTTTACACAAATCAATAATCATCCACAATAAAACCCATGAGAGAAGCTGGAGTTAGTTGGCAAAGCCACAGCATTTTACCACTCCTGGGAGGAACATTTACCTATATCCATATGTATGCATACCTGTAGCCTCTCAGTTGTGCTTCAGAAAAATCCCAGTTGCATACATTACAGTGTGTGACCACTGGAGTTGTGTATCACAGGGACACTTCATATATGTTTTATAGATCAAATTAATGACGGCAGGCTAATTGCCATAATAGATCATCCCCAAAATATATAGTGGCTCAAAGTTGTTCTTGCAAAACAAGTTTACTTTACTATTTCTTTAGTAGTTTCCAAGGTCTTACTGTACCTAAGCATTTAGGACCTAACTTCCAAGGTTTCCTTGGAGGGGTCAGTCTGTTGGGAGTTTTTTAGGGACAGGAGCTTAAAGTAGTTGATTTCTTTAGTTGACTTAAAGAGCTTAAAGTAGTTGACATCCATTCTCATTCCACTAGCTAGAGCTTAGTCATATGCCCACATCTAACTGCAAGAGAGGCTAGGAAATGAAATTTATCTGTACGGCCATGAAGTGAGAACATGGATTTTGATGTCTAGCTGGCTGTCATTGCTTACTTGAGTGCCCCCCTCCCTCCCAAATTCCTAAGTGGTTACCAAAAAATAAATTAGCTGACACAATTATGCTTCAAATAGAAAAAGTTAATAGTGAAACAAAGGGACTTTTATTTAAGAATTAACCTCTATCGTTTACCTCCTTTAGGCAGAATTGTTAATTTTGCATACCAATAGTCAACTGGCAACTGAAATCTCAAAATGAGGAAAAAGCAAATTTTTACAAGCATTACCTTTACATACATATTTAGATGGAGTTTGGCTTGGTTTTCTTATTCCATTACTAGTCAAATTCACAACTCAGACTTATAGCTCCTTACTTGTTTTAGGGGCTACCCTATTATTAAATGATGTTTGAAAAATACTCAACTTTTTACAACAAAGATAGCAGTTCCACAAATGAAAACAGCAGTAAGTTAGGTCTGTTTGTTTCCTTTGGATAAGTTGTTATAATCCTCAAACTGTACTCAACTATTCAGTTTTTCATAGAAGCACTGCATGGTTGCACTTCTGAAATCAAAAACAGGAAGTATGCCATATAAATGTCAGTAAAACTAAAACTCAGTTCTATGGTTTGATGTTTCTCTTCCTGCTGTATTTTCATATTATGTATGATTTTATGTGTACTTAGAATGACTGCGTAAAGGCAAACACTAATCTTACCTGATTTGTTTTCTTTGACAGCCTAACACAGTTTTAGGTTGGGTATGGGGGGCATGGAGGAAACCTGTGAAATAACCTAATATTGTAACTTTCATGGAGGGAAAGGAAAGGGCCAAGAAACTGCTGTTAATTTGGCATTGTTAGAAATTGCTTTTATGTATAGGCTGCCCAACTTTATTATTGCCAGAATACAGTATAGATAAAGAGGGCAGAGTCTTTTAACTATTTAAAAATCTACTACAGAAAAAAACTGTTACACTTTGTCTTATTTTGACACCTAAGCAATTCTTGAATGTGTTCCACTACCTTAATTCCTTCATGAGACAATTAAGGAGTGGCCTAAATACTGTGAAAATCCAGGATATCCCTGCTTGTTCTCTGTGAAGAAGTAGGAGTCTTCTTATAGTTAATTAATATTTCCAATATAACACCATTCCACAGAAATTTCTATAGAAATTCCAAGAAAATATTTAAACTGACCAGTCCAGAAGTTTTACGTTACTTCAAATATTTCTGGAGAAATGTTACGAACACATAGGTGTCTCTGTAACTTTAAAATGTTTTTCTTTAGGAAACTGTTTCTCTTTAGTTTGTACTTAAATTGAACACTGAAGGAACAATTTACAGTCACATACTATAGGAGTGAAGTAACAAAAAATAGAGCCTGTCTAAACTCCCTTGAAAGACCACACTGACCCAGAAAATATGGCTTAAAAGACAAAAAGGTACCCCGATTGTTTACTGTCTTTTTTTTTTGCAGCATATGAGGCACTGTTGAGTGGCACATACAATATATATAACATTTGAGGCATTATCTTTTGATTGAAAATACAGAAGAGATATGGGTGTATGTGAGAAGTAACATAAATAAGGGTAGGTTAATGAAGTGCAAACTATACATAATTGCTAAAGGGATGTGGAAAATCAAGTGATTTAAATCTAGATTGATATTGGGTAGAAGTCTGCTGGAATAGGCAAATCTTTTTTTTTTTTTTTTGGAGACGGAGTTTTGCTCTTTTGCCCAGGCTGGAGTGAAGTGGCGTGATCTCAGCTCACTGCAACCTCTGCCCCCCTGGGCTCAAGTGATTCTCCTGCCTCAGTCTCCCAAGTAGCTGGGATTACAGGCGCCTGCCACCACGCCCGGCTAATTTTTGTACTTTTAGTAGAGATGGGGTTTCGCTATGTTGAGACTGGTCTCAAACTCCTGACCTCAGGTGATCCACCTGTCTCAGTCTCCCAAAGTGCTGGGATTACAGGCGTGAGTCACTGCGCCCAGCCAGCAAATCTTATGTAGAATTTTTAAGGAGTGGTGAATTTGGATTGCCAGAGAGAAAAGATAACCATTCATTCATTCATCAAAGATTTATTGAGTGCTTACTGTGTGCCAGGCACTGTTCTAAAGACACAGCAGCAAACAAAACTGTTATAGAACAGGATAAGGCAGGTCATCTCCCAGATACGACACTTTGATAGGAACACAAAATACAAATAGGAGAGTAGAAAGAGATGAAATACAAAGAGAAAGAGCTGATATTGGGCTTATATTAATATTGAAAGGCCTTACATGCTAGATATTCTAAATGGGAGAAACATGCTGGAAAGATACTTGGCATGAATGAACTTATGTCCCTATGTTCAGAACAGACTGCTTTCCCTTCTCTGTTGGTTGGCTCTTCTAGCCTCCTAGGAACTTTTATAATCACCAGTATGATCCAATATAAATACTGCACATATGAAGGTTCCCAGTTGAGGAGTTTGGAAGCAAAAAGGGAAAGAATGGCTGGCAAAGGCTTCAATCTTCTGTCTCCTTTTATCTTCCCAATGGCTAGTAGAAAATACTATCATCAATCTCTTCCTTGCAACAATCTCCCATTTGATATTTGTCTGCATTGTGACTCAATTCCTGAAGGTTCTGTTCTTCATTCCTTTCTGGTAGAATCACTGAAAAGAAAGGAGATTACATTTACATTTGCTTTCTAGTCAATCAGGTTTTTCTTATTCGCCCAGCAACACTTCTCTACAGAGAGTTTGATGAAAAGTATTTTATGTTTTATATAGGCTAGTGGAGACATGGGTATGGCAGGATGGGAGGGTAGGGAAAATATCAAGAGGCTATAGTCTTGATATATAGTACTCTTGATATAGTACAAGCTTGATATTTAATAGCTTGAATTAAATGGGCAATTTTAAAAATGAAAAGAAACATATCTGCAGTGCCTTACAAAGAAGTAACTATAAGAAGTAACAAGTTTAGTGATCATTTACCTATAGGGAAGAAATAAAATAAGGAAATGAACCTAAGATTGTAAACTTAAAGGTCCAAAAACTTGTGTTGTCACCAACAACAGCCAAGAAATTTGGAAGAAATACCTTGAAGGAAAAAAATAATGTCAGATCTAAGTGGGATATTACTAGAAGACAGAGGAGAAGCTTTCTTGATAAGCTATCTGGCCTGTTGATGTACATATGAAAGTCATCATCATACAGAAATTGAGTCCAGGCGCAGTGGCTCATGCCTGTAATCCCAGCACTTTGGGAGGTCTTGAGCTCAGGAGTTCGAGACCAGCCTGGGCAACATGGCAAGACCCCATCAATACAAAAAATTTTAAAAAGTTAGCCAGGCATGGTGACACACCCTTGTAGTCCCAGCTACTCTGGAGGCTTAGGCGGGAGGATCACCTGAGCCCAGGAGTTGGAGGTTGAAGTAAGCCTGCACTCCAGCCTAGGCAACACAACAAGACCCTGTTTCGTTAAAATAAATAAATAAAAGAAAGAAAAATTGATTGACATTCTATGGACTAATGAGGGAATGGAATGAAGATCAAATGGTTGTATATGAACTTTGATTGCAAGATAAGCTACCAATTACTGACAAAAAAAATTGAGTAACATACTGCATGATTCCACATATATCAGTTCTAGAAAATGCAAACTGGTCTCTAGTGACAGAAAACAGGCCAGTGGTTTCCTGGGGAGAGAGGTAAGAGGAGGCAAGGATTATAAAGAGGCAAGGGGAACTCTTAGGAATGATGGCTATCATCAGTTGTATTTCTTCCTTTCTAACTTGAATGCGATTTATTTCTTTTTCTTGCCTGATTGCCCTGGACAGAACCTCTGATGTTGAATGAAAGTGGTCAGAGCAGATATCTTTGTATTATTCTTTATCTTACGGGGAAAGGGAAAGCATGCAGTTTTTCATCATTATGCATAAGGCTATCTGTAGGATTTTTATAGATGTCCTTTATCTGGTTGAGAAAGTACCCTTCTATTCCTAGTTTGCTAACAGGTTTGGTTTTTTTTTTGTTTTTTTTGTTTTTTTTGTTTTTGGTTTTTTAAAATCAGGAACAAATATACGATTTTGTCAGATTTTTTGGGTGTCTATTGAAATGATCAGATTTTCTTTTTTAGCTTAATATAGTGACTTACAATGATTAATTTTTTAATTTAAAGCAATGACATATTTTTGGGATAAACCTCATCCAGTAATATTAACTTTCTTATATTTTGTTGGATTTGACTTGTTAAAGTTTCGTTGAGAATTATTACATCCATGTTCAAGAGGGAAACTGGGCTATAGTTTTCTTTTCTTGTAATGGCTTTGTGTGGTTTAGGTATCAGGGTAATGCTGGCCCCCAAAAATAAACTGAGACGTATTCCTTCCTCTTCAGTTTTCTGGAAGATTTGTATATAATTGGTATACACAGTGTTATCCCTAAGTGTCTGGAAGAATCCACTAGTGTTTCTTTGTGAGAATATTTTTAACTATTAATTTTTTAAAAATAGATACATAGCTTTGGAAGTTATCTATTTCTTTTTCTTTTTTTTTTCTTTTTTTTCTTTTTTTTTTCTTTTTTTTCTTTTTTTTTTTTTTTTTGAGACAGGGTCTCACTCTTTCACCCAGGCTGGAATGCAGTGGCATAATCAGGGCTCAATCTCGCAAGCTCAAGCGATCCTCCCGCCTTAGCCCCCCAAGTAGCTGGGACTACAGTCATGCACCACCACACCCAGCTAAATTTTTTTGTATTTTTAGTAGAGATGGGGTTTCTTCACATTGCCCAGGCTGGTCTCGAACTCCTGGACTTAAGTGATCTGCCCACCTCAAACTCCCAAAATGCTGGGATTACAGGTGTGAGCCACTGCACCTGGCTGTACTTCTTTTTGAGTAAGCTTTGGTAGTTATGTCTTTCAAGGAATTTGACCATTTCATCTAAGTTGTTGAATTTTATTTGCTTAAGGTTTTTCATAATATTCCCTTGCTATTCTTTAAGTATCTGTAGAATTTGTCATATTTCACCTCTCATTCCTGATATTGGTAATATGTGTCTTCTCTCTTTTTTTTTTTTTTTTCCTGATCAGCGTGGCAAAAGATTTATCAATTTTATTTATCTCAAAGAACCAGGGTTTGGTTTCATTAATACTCTCAATTTATTTTGTTTTCCATTTCATTTATTTCTACTTTGATCTTTATTATTTCTTTTGTTTCTTTGTGTTTAATTTGTTCTTCTTTTCTAATTTCTTAAGGTGGAAGCTCATTAACTTGAGACTTTTTATATTTTCTAATATAAGCATTTTGCTTATGTCTTCCTACATACTGCTTTAGTGGCATGCCACAAAATTTGATATGCTTTGTTTTCATTTTCATTCAGCTCAAAATGCCTTCTAATTTTACTGCACTCCTATTTTAATCAATGGGTTATTAGAAGGTTATTTAGTAGCATGTTATTTTGTTTCCAAACATTTGGGGATTTTCCAGACAGCTTTCTGTTATTGATTTCTAATTTTAATTCTACTGTAGTCAGAAGACATACTCTGCATTATCTGAATCCTTTAAAATTTACTGAGACATGTTTTATGGCCTAGAACAGGGGCAGGCAAACTTCTCTAAAGGGTCAGACAGTAAATATTTTAAACTCTGTGGGCCACATATGATCTTTGTCACATATTTTCTTTTCTTCTTAAAGAAATCTTTCAAAATGTAAAAACCATTTTTAGTTCATGGACTATACAAAAACAGACTACATTTGGCCTCAGGGCCATAGTTTGATAACCTCTGGCCTAGAATATGATCGATTTGGGTAAATGTTTCATGTATACTTTGAAGAGAATATATATTCTATTACAGGTTGAGTATCCCTTATCCAAAATGCTTGGGACCAGAAGTGTTTCAGATTTCAAAGTTTTTTGGATTTTCTGAACATTTATATATATATATATAATAAGAGATCCTGGGAATAGGACCCAACGTATTGGGTCATGTTGGTGCTCAAAAAATTTTGGATTTTGGAGCATTTTGTATTTCAGATTAGGGATGCTCAACCTGTACTGTTAATTTGGTTACAGTGTTGCTTGAGTTTACTATATCCTTGTAAGTTTCTACTTGTTTTAGCAATCATTTAAAGAGGGGTATTGAAATCTCTAACTATGGATTTGTCTGTTTTTCCTTGCACTTCTGTCAGTTTTTGATTTACATATTTTGAAGCTTTTATTATTTGAGACAAAACCATGTAGGATTATTGTATCCTTCTGATTAACCAGCCCTTTTATTATTATAAAATGGCCTTCTTTATTCCTGGTAATATTATTTGCTCTGAAATCTACTTTATTTCATGTTAATATAGCCACACCAGTTTTCTTTTGACTAATGCCAGCATCAGTATGATATATCTTTTTCCATCCTTTTACCTTTTTTTTTTTTTTTTTTTTTTTTTGAGACAGAGTCTCACTCTGTCTCAAAGTGACTGTACTTTGAGTCACTCCAGGCTGGAGTACAGTGGCGTGATCACCACTCCCTATAGCCTTGACTTCCTGGGTTCAAGCTATCCTCCCACCTCAGCCTCCCAAGTAGCTGGGACTACAGGTGTGCACCACCACACTTGGCTAATTTTTTGTGGAGACAGGATCTCACCATATTGCCCAGGCTGGTCTCAGACTCATGGGCTCAAGTGATCCTCTTGCCTCAACCTCCCAAAGTGCTGGGATTACAGGCATGAGCCACTGTGCCTGGTCATCCTTTTATTCTTAATGTTATTATGTCTTTGTGTGTAAAATGTGTTTCTTTTTCTTTTTTTTTTTTTTTTTTTTGAGACGGAATCTCGTTTTGTCTCCCAGGCTGGAGTGCAGTGGCATGATCTCTGCTCACTGCAACCTCTGCCTCCTGCATTCGTCCAATTCTTCTGCCTCAGCCTCCCAAGTAGCTGGGATTACAGGCACCCATCACCATGCCTGGCTAATTTTTGTATTTTTAGTAGGGACGAGATTTCGCCATGTTGGCCAGGCTGGTCTTGAACTCCTGACTTCCGGTGATCTACCTGCCTTGACCTCCCAAAGTGCTGGGAGCCATCACACCCAGCCTAAAATGTGTTTTTTTATTGAGAGTATATAGTTGGATCTTGTTTTTTATTTTCCTTTCCCCCACCATCCAAAATTTTTTGTTTCGTTTTGTTTTGTTCTAAGACAGGGTCTCACTCTGTCGCCCAGGGTGGAGTGCAGTGGCACGATCATGGCTCACTGGAGCCTTGACTTCCTGGGCTCAAGCGATCCTCTTGCCTCAGCCTCCCAAGTAGCTGGGACTACAGGCATGTACCACCACACCCAACTAATTTTTTTTTTTAATTTTTTATAGAGATGGAGTTTCACTTGTTGCCCAGGCTGGTCTTGAACTCCTAGGCTCAAGTGATCTGCCCTCCTTGGCCTCCCAAAGTGCTGGGATTACAGGGATGAGCCACTGCGCCCAGGCCAAAATCTTTTTAATAAGATAGAGGATCCAGGGTTAGTTTTTGTAGCCTTGGCTGGCCCATCAGCCTCTGATGTGCTTGAATTTCTGGTCCCTGGAGTGGACACAGGGCTTAGTGTGGCTATGCTGGGTTCCCAGGGCCTTGCTGAAATGCCAGTACACTTCTTGGCCCTTGTGAGGCCCAGAGAGCAGGATGGTGCCACAGCCTTTGAGGGTGTCCAGGGTCAGCTGGTCAAAGGTGAGAATCTTGTCCCCAGCCTTGGGGATTTGGCTGCAGGCCCAACTGCTCATGTGCAGTGCACACACCTTCAGTTTGGGCACCTCCTGAACATGGTCCCCACAACCACAGCTGTTTTGTTTTCCTGGCCAGGAAGCTTCATCTTCCAGATCATCCAGGAAAGAGACAGAGATGGCCATTTGGTGCAACTCATAAATAACCTCTTCACCACAACTTGGTTGAAGGTAGAGTTTCTTCTGGCCAGAAACATATACAGCTTAACCAACAGCCTTCAGTAGATGTCCTGGCTCTTGGGTTCCTGGTGTTGAACCTTTCAGTCATTGTTGTGGCAGGAGTCAACTTCCGTGATGGTGCCTCCTGTTCATCCAGGTCCAAAAGCAGTCTTGCTTTTTATCTGACAATCTTTGCCTTTTAAGTGGGATATTTAGATAATATGCATTTAATGTGATTGCTGATATGATTACAGTCTATTGCCTTGCCATTTTTCTATTAGTTTCACTACTTATTTGTTCCTTTTTCCACCTTCTTTTGGGTTGAGTATTTTTTTGTGATTCTATCTTATCTCCTTTGTTGACTTATTAGCTATAACTGTTTTGTTATTCTACTGGTTGCCCTAGGGCAGTATACATCTTCACCCTACCACAGTCTACCTTCAGTCTACCTGATGGTAAAGAGTTGTTTTCGTATGTCTGAAAACATCTTTATTTTGCCTTTGTTTTTTGAATGATATTTTGCTGAGGTTAACATTTTTTTCTTTCAGTACTTTATGTTCTACTGTCTCTTCACTTGCAATGTTTCTAATGAGAAATCTGCTGTCAACCTTATCTTTGTTACTCTATAACATGTGGCTGTTTTCCATATTTTTTATAATTGGCTTTGAATAATTTGATTATGACATTCCTTGGTGTAGTTTTCTTCTTGTTGAGCTTCTTGGATCTGTGAGTTAATAGTTTTTGTCCAATTTGAAAATTCTGGCCATTACTTTTTCAAATATCCCTTTTGTATCTGCCTCTCCTCTCCTTTGATGCCTCTGATTATGTTTACATAAGGATTCTGTAAGTTTGTCCCATAGCTCACTGATGCTTTTGTCATTCTTTTTTCTCTTTCATTTTTGAGTAGTTTCTTTTGCTATATCCTTCAAGTTCACTAACCTTTTCTTCTGCCATGTCTAATCTGCTACAAATACCATTAGTAGATCTCAGATATTGTAGTTTTCATCCCTAGAACTGCATTGAGTTTTTAAAAATGTCTTTCATGTCTCTACTTTCTGAAAATATAGAATATAGCTATAATAATGTTCAATGTCTTTACTAGTTCTAACATCTTTCTCTGCTTAAGGTCACTTTCAGATGATTGATTGTTTTCATCATTGTGGATTATTTTTTCTGGCTTCTTTGTGTGCCTGGCAAGGCATTGTGAATTTTATCTGTTGGCTGCTGGATAGTCTTCTGTTCCTCTAAATGTTCCTGAGTTTTGTCCTGGGATGCAGTTAAGTTACTTGGGAAAGTTTGATTCTTTGGGTCTTATTCTTGTGATTTGTCAAGGAGTGCTCAGTCTATAGCTCATTACATAAGGAATAATAATGCAATATAGCTAAATAATATACTTCAAGGCAATCTTTAAGTTTACACTTAAGTCTAATCTTAAAAGACTGCAAAAGACTTACTAAATGATCTTAGCAACAAATTTAATCCTCTAATAAAAAACATGAAAATAATAATTTCTGAAAAAAATATTCACTTTCATTAAAAACTGCAAAGCACTAGAAAGAAAAAGTGAGAGGGAGAGAAACTGAGAACAGTGGGTACTTCACAGATTAATTTTGTGAGTAAAGATGACTTCTGTTTAAGAATTGGTCTCTACTATATGAATGTATTTCATTCTGAGGATAATGGTTAAAAACAGAGACATTAGGGGCAGACAGACTTGGATGCACATCAGACTCCTCCACACATTATAACTCAACATGTATAAGCCTCAATTATCTCATCTATAAAATGCCATGTTCTTTTACAGGGTAATCTAAAAGAACAAAAACTGTTAATTTCACCAACTAAAATATACAGAAAAAAAAGGAACTTAACTATTCCCTGATAAGCAAGCAAACTATACATCTAAATTATACATCCAAATATTCTCCCCTTTTCTGGCTCCCTCACAATTTTCAAACGGTTTTGAATGAATCAACAAACATTCACAATTTTAAAAAACACATCTCTAGTGAGACTGTATGATTCAAACCCTATACACATATTATCCTTGCTTTTTTCCTTTTGATACAGCTATTATTCTATCTATATCAGGTTAGTAACACTTAATTCTAGAGGCCCATAATTTTTCATTTGAATATAAAAGATAATGGTATCTCAAATAGATTCCAATGCTAAAATTAAATTCCATGTAACTCTTTACGTACAGACAGCATACTGTTGAATAGAAGCAGTCCAAAGTGAATTACTGCTTGAACCCACAACTGACAACATAAGCCCATTATTCTTGAACAAATCTTACTTGAAAAAATCAGGTTAAATCATTTCCATTCCTAAAGCATGTATTAGCTTTTATGGCCAAATATGACTTTTTCAAGAAGACAGTACAAAAGCTGTATGAATCCCTTTTGTTTTATTCTACCAATCGCCTGTTTCAGCATTGTTACGTATTAGCAATTTTTGTTTTGCCTAATAACTGGAACTGAAAACTTACCAAACAAAATAAACTGGGGTCACTCTGTAAATCTTGACTTGGTTTTAGGTTTTTAAAAAGTAATGCAACTCATAATTTGGTAAGCATATTAGAATACCACTAGATAGGAATCTTCAATAATTAGAAATCAAGAACTTCTGCTAATTCATTTTTGTGACCTACACTCTTTTCTACCAATGAAGGCTTCATTTCAGAAGTATTGATTTGCTTATTTTTACTCCAGTTTTTTCATATTCCAGCAGCCTTTTTCATGTATCCTATCTATTCCTTTCTAAAATTCTGTTGTTCTGATCTCTGAGCTTTATGTCCCAAGCTTGAGAAACAACAACAAAAAACTCTAATAGTCTACTTTGTATCTTGAAGAGTACTAAAATATTCTTAACCTTTTAATTCTGAGAACTGGGGTGGTTGGGAGTTACCCCCAAAAAAGGTAAGAAGAAGAAGAAAGGAAAGGTGAAGGGAAGGAGAGAGGGAGGGAGAAAAAAGAGACCGTTCTTAGGATGGCTTAAAGTGGTTTTGTGGGGGCAGGTAGGAGTAAGTCTTATCTCTTGTTATATGTAACTCTTTTCCTTTTGGTGTAATTGGAAAGACCCTCAACTAGGAGTTAAGAGACTCAGACTTTAGTTCCAATTTTGCTACTGTCCTTCAATGTAATAACCAATCTCCTGAAATGGGATCAGGCATGAAGAACAAAATTATTACAGCTGGGCCGGGCCACAGTGGCTCACACCTGTAATCCCAGCATTTTGGGAAGCCGAGGCAGGTGGATCATGAGGTCAAGAGATCGAGACCAGCCTGGCCAACACGGTGAAACCCCATCTCTACTAAAAACACAAAATTAGCTGGGCGTGGTGGCACGCACCTGTAGTCCCAGCTACTCGGGAGGCTGAGGCAGGAGAATCACTTGAACCCAGGAGGCGCAGGTTGCAGTGAGCCGAGATAGCGCCACTGCACTCCAGCCTTACAACAGAGCGAGACTCCTCTCAAAAAAAAAAAAAAAATTTATTACACCTGAGAGGGTTTACAAGTCTCTGGAGTCATAATGCATGGATAGTTGAAAAGTTGATACTCTTTGGAAAGGTGGGGCTATGGCCCTAGCCAGCACATGAAATCATTCTCTTTATTTGTACAATAAGATTGTCTCATAGCATTAATAATGATGAAGTATGCTTGATTACTAGAGCAAATATAATATAAAAGGATACTTCTAAATTTTTACTCTGTGAATTTCAGTTTCTGTGACACTCACATTTGAAGAGGGTGAACATCAATCAGTCTACTCCTTGACATACACTACTATAAATAGCCTTGGCTAAACCGTAAAAGAAAAATGAAGGCCGGGTATGGTGGTTCACGCCTGTAATCCCAGCACTTTGGGAGGCCGAGGCAGGCGCATCACCCGAGGTCAGGAGTTCAAGATCAGCCTGGCCAACATGGCAAAACCCCATCTCTAATAAAATACAAAAATTAGCCAGGCATGGTGGCACATGCCTGTAATCCCAGCTATTCGGGAGGCTGAGGCATGAGAATCGCTTGAACCCGGGAGGCAGAGGTTGCAGTGAGCTGAGATCATGCCACTGCACTCCAGCCTGGGTGACAGAGCAAGACTTCGTCTCAAAATTGCCAAAGTTAAGGGGATCAACCTCCCTCAGAGATTTTGAAAAAATGTATAATCATTGTATTTTACTAAATATAGGAACATTATGGTATGTAACACTACATTTACATTAAATTTAAGACAAAACATGAAGCTAAAAAGAATTCTAGCTTGGGACCAAGTTTTTAAGGCAATTGTTCACTCCTCTCTGCTACTAACCATACTTTTGTGGAAAAGTTTGAGGTAGAGTGACTTTGATGACTATTCAAGATTGGTATATTAATACCTCTACTAGTTACAAAGATGAATGGTGGTGATGGTTACAACATAATGGATGTATTTAATACCACTGAACTGTACACTTAAAAATGGTTAAGTTGATAAACTTCATGAGTATTTTGCCACAGTTTTAAAATTTATGGAAAAAAACCTCTACTAAAGTTCAGTATTATCAACAAATATAGACTATTGTAAGAGTTTTTTATTTAATTTGAATATGCATTTCTGAATTGACTACTATATCCTGTATTCAGCTCATGAATCATCTCTTACTGTGCTCATGAAAACTATACTTGATTCCAAGTTTTAAAAATACCCATCATTCTTTTTGTGAAGAAGGACCTGTGACTAACAGTTCTCACTTTTGTGGCTGTCAGCATGCCTGCATCAGTCAATACCTGCAACACTGTCCATTGTCCAGGATTCCAATCCTGGATGGAATGCACATAAACAAGCCTGTTAGAAATGGCCCTAAAATAAAGATAAATAGGATCTCTATGAAGCCCCTCCTAGAAAATCTACTTCTAAGAATCCTAAGAAAATAAGTAAGGCAAAAATTTAGCTATTATGCTGGGCGTGGTGGCACACACCTGTAATCCCAACACTTTGGGAGGCTGAGGCGGGCAGATCACCTGAGGTCAGAAGTTCAAGACCAGCCTGGCCAACATGGTGAAACCCCATCTCTACTAAAAATACAAAAATTATCCGGGCGTGGTGGCACACGCCTGTAATCCCCACACTTTGGGAGGCCGAGGCGGGCAGATCACCCAAAGTCAGAAGTTCAAGACCAGCCTGTCCAACATGGTGAAATCCTGTCTCTACTAAAAATACAAAAATTAGCCGGGCATGGTGGCATACGCCTGTAGTCCCAGCTACTCAGGAGGCTGAGGCAGCAGAATTGCTTGAACCTGGGAGGCAGAGGTTGCAGTGAGCCAAGATTGTGCCATTGCACTCCAGCCTGGGCGACAAGAACGAAACTGTCTAAAAAAAAAAAATAGCTATTAGGTTTTTCGTTTTACCAGTTGAAGAAACTTGGGTGGAATCAATATAAATGCCCCAAAATAAGGAACTGCTTAAATTATAGTACATCCTTATATTCCATAAGAAAATACTTATTTAGATGTTAAAGTGTACAACTGAATATTGCTAGGAAAAAAATATATGAACAACAAACAGATTTAAGCAAAAAGTTTAATAACAAAGGGTGTTGGGGGTAGGTATTTCTGGCTGATGGGATTATTTTTTCCTACATCCTGCTTATTTGTATTTTCTTTAATATCGACTACTTATAATAAGAAAAAAACAAGTTTTCTGAAATACTTATTCAACATGAGTTTATCATTCACTTATTAATTCAACAAATATTTGCATTTGTTGGATTAATTCAGACATAGTCCTTACCCTCATGTCTCTTAATTTACGAGGAAAAAAAAAAGGCATGATGAACAATCTTGGGAATTTTTTACTCCTTTCTTTCATTCTTATTAATTACCCAGTCATTCCATTTTGTTGAGGACTCTGGCCCTTTGCTGACAGTATCTGCCTCCCCTGCATTTTCTGCCATCACCTCCCACTTCAGTGTCCATATGGAAAACCCATTGAAAAACTATGAACTCTGACTCCATAAAACCACTTCATTCAGTAATCCATACCCAAAGCTACACCCTCTATCTTCTGATAACCAAGAAATTATTCTACAGCCTTAAGAGTCCAATATATTGATCTCTGACTACAACTACTTATCCTTGCAGTTTTTTTACTCCATTACTCCCTAAATACCTGCTTTCTTACCTAATTTTGATACCCATTCCTCATTTCTTCAAACTACAATCTCATTTCTTCAAACTACAATCTCCCACATGCTTTGTGTCTTTTCCTATCCAGCCTAGGTTCTCAGGTACATCACCCTCTTCTGCTAACAACCTTCCTCCCTCATTAATTCCCTCTCCCATTACCTAGAGCATATATTTTGTACCATCTTACTTCAACTCAAACTTGCTACTTCAGCTCTACCCTTACCTCTTTTATGACTCCTTTATCAGAAAAAAAATAAAAACTAAAACTATTAGCTATGAATTCCCTCAACTTCCTGCTCTAGATTTACAAGTTATACATAAAACCATCTTACCTGTTCCCTTCTAGTCTCAGAGGAAAAGGTATCCTTTCTCTTTTCTGGGTTAATTCCTTTACCTGCACCCTTATCTCCTACTAGATCTCACTATACCTTTCTAATTTCTCCTCTCTGATGACTCTGTCCCCATACTTTATAAAAATGTTAAGTTCTCTTCTCTTGTAGATCTCCTACTCTATTCTGTAACCTCCTCCCTAAAATTATCATCTTTTGTTTTTAAGAAAATGTCAAGAGCCTTGAAATAATACACATTTATTGTAACCATTCTCTTTTTTTTTTTTTTTTTTTTTTGAGACGGGGCTTCGCTTTTGTTGCCCAGGCTGGAGTGCAATGCCGCAATCTCGGCTCACCACAACCTCTGCCTCCCAGGTTCAAGCAATTCTCCTGCCTCAGCCTCCTGAGTAGCTGGGATTACAGGCATGTGTCACCATGCCCAGCTAATTTTGTATTTTTAGTAGAGACAGGGTTTCTTCATGTTGGTCAGACTGGTTTCAAACTCCCGACCTCAGGTGATCTGCCTGCTTGGGCCTCCCAAAGTGCTGGGATTACAGGCAAGAGCCACTGCACCCAGCCCCTTTCCCTATTTTAATATACTTTTCAACTCAACACAAACAGAATTCTGCCACCATTGTTTCATTGAAAGTGTTCTGGCAAACATTACTAATGACAGAACTGCCAAATCCTTTTATCTTTTTCAGTTTACTTGGCCTGTCTTTACCTTCTGACACTCCTGACTTCTTTCCTTTTGAAACCTCTCTACCACTGGCTCCTTTAACTCTGAGCTCTGTTGGTGTTCCTGCCCCTCTCTCAGCCATTCCTTCTCAGTCTTTTGCTGCTTCCTCTTACTTTGCCCATTTACTAATTTTGGTTCTCATTTCCTCTATGTTTAGTCTCTATGAGCAATGGCATCCATTTCCCTCATAATCTGAACTACCACCTATTTAGTGATATCCATTTCCAGCCCAGGCCTTTCTCCTAAGCCTCAGTCGTATATATTGAGCTCCTTACTGAACTTCCCTACTTAGGTATCCCATGAGTGCTTAATCTTTCATATTCAAAATGTCCTCACTGGACTTGTCATCTCCCTCTCATGTCCCAGCGTTCCATCTCACACCCATAAACATACACACACACACACACACACACACACACACACACACACACACACTCTCTCTCTCTCTCTCTCTCTCTCAAAAGCCATGAGCCTCCTCCACTTGTCCCTGTCCTGGTTAATGATACCACCATTGTACTCTACAACCAGGCCAGGGACCAGGGAGGCATTACAGATTTTTCCCTCATCTTCTATCCCAACCATCACTACCCTAGTCCAAAAACTCATGATTTCCCACCATGACTATAAAACCACACAAAATACTTCCATTTAAATAACAATAATAAAGAGCATTTTTACAACATTCCCCCTAGTATTTCAATTATGAAATGACAACAGATTACCTTATTAGCAAACCATGAAGGCTATACAGAAACATATATAGCTTACACTATTCTCAGCATTTAAAACCCTTGTTTATCCCAGTACCTAATACTGTTCAGCACATGGCAGCTTGTTGCTTATCAGTTCACTTCTGAATAAAGTGAATGTGGCATATTTAAAGATATCCATAATAATTATTAAGCTGCATGTTAAGCAGTCCGGCAGTCAATAATATGATATATAACAAAATACAATTATTACACCTTGTTAGTTCACCAGAATCTCTTTAAAATGCACCACACATACCCATAAATCAGGAAGTAGAACTGCTATAAATGAGCTTCCATTAACTCCCACCCTACTGTCATGGATAATACTTAACCTATTTATGCTCCCTCAGTTTCTAACCATTCCTCACCCCAAAATGATGAAAGTAAATAAACCCTCATGGCCCCCTTAGAGTAAAAATAGTGTATCCTTAGGTGCAGAGGGACTTTGCCTCTCTAAGTCTTTCCTACTTTGCTCTCTGATGACTGAAAGATGAAACCTTCTGTCCCACAAGATATCAAACTGTAATTTTCCTGAAGAGAAACAAAGTACAGTATTCAATAAGGCTAAATGGATGAAGTTCAATCATGCTAATATACATAAAAGACAAACACGGAGCCTTCTTTGGTCAACTGGGAAAGGAGATGAGGAGAGAGGTATATTGTTAAGAGGCCTTCAGAAGCAATGCCTTCCAATCATTCCTGATTTTTTTCTGTTTTCTTTAATGCACATGTATTCTATAATTAGGGGAGAAAATGTTCAAAAGCAAGTCCACAGGTCTAGTTTGAAGGGCAAATAAGCTGGGTGCAGTGGCTCATGCCTATAATCCCAGCAGTTTGGGAGGCTGAGGCAGGAGGATCACTTGAGATCAGGAGTTTGAGACCAGCCTGGCCAACATGCAGAAACCCTGTCTGTACTAAAAATACAAAAAAAAAAAAAAAAAAAAATTAGCTGGGCATGGTGGCTTGCGCCTATAATTCCAGCTACTTGGGAAGCTGAGGAACGAGAATTGCTTGAACCGGGGAGGCAGAGGTTGCAGTGACCTGAGATCACGCCCCTGCACTCCAGCCTGCATGATACAGCAATTCTCTGTCTAAAAAAATTGTAATAATAATTTTAAAAAGGCAAATAAAAGCTATATACAAAGTAAATTACATCAAGTGGTTTAAAAGAAACCTTGAACTTAATTTAACTGTATATACTAACATTTTTTACATCTAAAAACTTAAACTTTAGGAATTTCAATTTTCTATAAAAGAAAGTAAACGAGCATAAATAAAGGTAGAGGGAGAATTGTTAGATTCAGTCATACGCTATAAAAATTTCTTATCAGGAAAGGGTTTTATATCTACTATATTAGTAGTCT
This sequence comes from Homo sapiens, assembly GCF_000001405.40. Taxonomy (NCBI): domain Eukaryota; kingdom Metazoa; phylum Chordata; class Mammalia; order Primates; family Hominidae; genus Homo; species Homo sapiens. The sequence continues at coordinate 50,090,114 of NC_000013.11, read as the reverse complement.
TTTAGTTTATTAAAAGTATTGCAGTTTGGTCATGGTCAGCTTTGGGTTGTTTTGCCAATGGCATAAACATCTAATTATTAAAAAACAAAAAACCTCCATGCTGATAAAAATACATCCTCCAATAAGGGGGGAAAAGTTATTTGATTAAATACATATGATATTTTTCTACATGGAAAGTTGAAATGAATTTAATGTTCTGTTTCACATCAAACCTATCTTATTTTTAAAAGAGTTTCCTTAAAATTAGGTAAACAGTTTGTATATACTGTCCCAAGTTCACTTGGTCAAAAGTTAACAGTACGGGGTCATCAAGTAAATTAAACATTAACAGCAAAAATTAAAGGACTTAAATTAAAAACACAGGGTCTAATCCTATGATGAAAAAATAAGGAAAAAGTATTCCCATAAGAGCTATAAACTGCTCACCTATTTAAAATAAATTACTTCTTCAGAGCTGCCTTAAAAGGTTAATTTATTTTAAACATATAAGAATTTCCTAGCCAAAAGGGATTTGTACTATAAGAAATACATTTTACATATTAAGAATAGAAATGTAGTATGAGGCTCAACTGTCTTAGACAACTGATCACACATCCGCAGTCATATCTCCTACAGACCAGTCTCAATTTTACTCCAGTTTATTAAAAATAAATAAGACATGAATGTAATAGATTCCTGGTTCCCTATCCTCCACAACTTCCAGTTCATCCCAACTCAATAAAGTCTCTGAGAAAGTCATAAGTTGTAATTTTTAAGTTTTTTACTCCTGTAGTTTATGTTAAAACTTTTAAAACTTTCTTTTGATACATTTCCAATACATCCATTTCCATTATTTATGAGTCCCTGTTACGACCTAAAATTGTTCTTAAAATACAAAAATTGTAATGGATAGGACAAAAAGTTAATACCCACCCATGGTATATTTCAGACTATATATAGTATATATATGTAATTAATACCATTCTGGGTGTCACTGTTTGAGAGGGGCCTTGTTAAACAAGAATAACCAGAAGAAGGAAACCAAGATGGTGAAGGGTTTAAGAGCATAAAACAATTAAAGACACATTAAAGAAGCCATTAAAGGATGTTTGGGAGTGGGAATTCTGCTGTCATCATGATTCAAAAAAATAATGATCATATTTAAAGGGTTACTGTAGGTAGGTGAGAATAAATTTGTTCTCAGTAGCCTCAGGGGACACTTAGACAATGGGTGGCAGTAAGAAGAGACATATTTTAACTCTTAAGATTCTATGATTCCAATCCTGAATAGGCTAAATTTCCTTTATTAAGCTCTCACAAAGTATATATTATTTCAAAAGCAGTGTTTCAAAACACCATATTTAATATCTCATTTAAGGCCAACATTTTAACATTAATTTTAGAAAGAAGATTAACAAAAACAAATGGGTTTATCCCTTTCCAGGAATCATTATTGGTACGTGAAAAAAAAAAATCCATACTTCCCAGCCAGGTGCAGTGGCTCACGCCACTTTGGGAAGCCAAGGCAGGCGGATCACCTGAGGCCAGGAGTTCAAAACCAGCCTGGCCAACATGGCAAAACCCCATCTCTACTAAAAATACAAAAATTAGATGCCTGGTGGTACGTGTTGTACCAGCTACTTGGGAGGCTGCAGCAGGAGAACTGCTTGAACCCGGGAGGCAGAGGTTGCAGTGAGCCGAGATCACACCACTGTACTCCAGCCTGGAGAACAGAGTGAGACTCTGTCTCAACAACAAAATAAAAAAGGTCATACTTCCTCAATAAATGTTGACCATTATTAGTCGTAAATGAATTTTAGTTTAGTTCCATGATTTGTGGTCAAGGATACTGTAAGCAAAATAACTCCTCATATAGGAAAAAAAATCTTAACTCAGTATATTCAGAGAATCAAAGTTGAAAATGCTATATATGAATCTGTTCTAACCACTTCTAGAAATTGGAGCTCTAAACCATGTAAATTTCCTAAAACAAGTACATTTCCTGATGTGTGTATAAATTTTCCCCCATGTAACTAATATTGGTATCCTTTAAAAAAAAAAATCACAAAAAGTTTCTTGCTCACAAAACATTTATAGATAATTAAGTACCTGTATTGATCTTCCATTAAAATAATCTACCAACTGCAAAATAAATCTGTTTCTAAACAGTTTATTCTCTTAAGCTGATACCTAAGTAAAGCATATAATTATATACTGTTTAAATAACCTCTGAGGAGAATTTTCTAATTGTTTTTAATCTGTCAATTAGCTACAGGGAGAAGAAATTATCCAAGATACTTGACAGAACAAAGATATTGTCAACATAACTGTAAATCAAAAGGTTGCGTTTTATAAAGGGAATGTAGATGGGTAAATTTTTGGGAAAAGCTCATCACATTCTTACCAAGAAATTTCAGTAAATTGTGTAGGAATATAATTTCAGTAGTAGATAAGATGCTATATCTAATTAAATAGTTGTCCATCTTGAGGTCTGACACTTCACAGACCTTTAAAAAAGATAAAGAAGTACTTTTTATGGATTTGTTAAGCAAAAAATTACAGAACAGCTCAGGCAACATGACGAAACCCCACCTCTACCAAAAAATACAAAAAATTAGGTGGGTGTGGTGGCGGGCACCTGTGGTCCCAGCTACTCGGGAGGCTGAGGTGGGAGGATCACTTGAGCCCAGAAGACAGAGGTTAAAGTGAGCCGAGATCACTCCACTGAACTCCAGCCTAGGAGACAGAGACCCCAACTCCAAAAAAAAAAAAAAAAGAAAAAAAGAAAAATACCTAGGTGGTATTAAAAAATGTATACACACACACACACACACACACTTAATTACTACCATAACCACACATCAACACACATACAAAATGACTGTTCACATCCTTTATTAGTTTCCTAATGCCTTAAAATTACCTTAAACAAATTACCATAAACTTAGTGGCTTAAAACAACAGAAATGTATTATCTTACAGTTCTGGAGGTCAGAAATTCAAAATGGGTCTTAGCGGGCTAAAATAGAGATGTCGGCATGGCTGCATTCCTAAAGAGTCTGTTTTCTTGCCTTTTTCAGCTTCTAGAGCTCATGAACTATTCTTTGGCTCATGGCCTCCTTCCACCTTCAGAGTCAGCAATGGCTTTCTCACATCTCATCATTGACACGGATTCTTCTGCTTCCCCTTTACACACTTAAAGGACCATGTAATTAGGCCTCCTCAGGTGATCCAGAATAATCTATTTTCAGATCATCTGAGTAGCAACCCTAATTTTTATCTGCAACTTGAATTATCTCTCACCGTGTAACATAACATATTCACAAATCCCAGAGAGATTAGGACATGTACATCTTTGGACATCTTTGGTAGGCCATTATTCTGCCTACCATATGTATGAATAATTTTTCCTTTACTTTTCTTCAGGAACTCCATGGACCATCATCCACCTCTGAAACTATATGCAAACTATTCACATACATGCATGATTCTAGAGAAAGGGTCTATAACTTTCAACACATTTTCAAAGTTTAAGAATCACTGAGCTGGGTGCAGTGGCACTTGCCTACAGTCCCTGCTACTTGTAAGGCTGAATGGACGATCACTTGAGTCCAGGAGTTTGAAGCCAGCCTGGGCAATATAGAGAGACCCTGTCTCTTAAAAAAACAAAAATCACTGGACTAGCTGATAGAACACCAATGTTCCTTAAAAGAATAGTTTGGCAGTGTCAACACTGCAAAATTTTAGTTTGACTTTTTGATATGTATATTTTTAACTATAATCATAAAACCTTGATATGGGTTGAAAGTTTTTTTCTTGTATTTTTCCTCTGTGTGTTTTTTATAGACTGTGTATATGGAGAGAGAGAGAAAAAGAAAACTCACCCATGTACAAGAGCAAGCAAATGATATAGATGTTCTTTGAACTCTTTTTAATATTGTAACTTTTTGTAAATTTGAAATTATTTCCAAAAAAAGTTGTATTTTTTAAATTAAGTCCCATCTCAGAGAAACAAGACCAACACGAAAATAAAAGGAAGTTGAAAACCCTGCTAAGCAAAGTTTTTAATACATTCAGTAGTATATACTGTTTTCAAGGTACTGTCTGCATTCTTTCTTTCTTTTTTTTTTCTCGAGACAGAGTCTTGCTCAGTGGCCCAGGCTGGAGTGCAGTGGCGCGATCTCGGCTCACTGCAAGCTCCGCCTCCCAGGTTCATGCCATTCTCCTGCCTCAGCCTCCCGAGTAGCTGGGACTACAGGCGCCTGCCACCACGCTCAGCTAATTTTTTTGTATTTTTAGTAGAGACGGGGTTTCACCATGTTAGCCAGGATGGTCTCGATCTCCTGACCTCGTGATCCGCCTGCCTCGGCCTCCCAAAGTGCTGGGATTACAGGCGTGAGCCACCGCGCCCGGCCTGCATTCTTTCTTGAAAGATGAACAGACCTATAGCTTTCACAGTTTTATCTAAATAAGTTAATATGTTGAAGCCAACATTGCATCAGTTGTAGCTTACTCATTATAAACTTCAGCAGGAGGGAAAAAAAGCATAGAAATTACAAGACCTCTGTTCTTCACACTACCCATATTTAGCATCCATTAGCTGGTGATTGCATTTCAGTTTCCAAGAGCAAAACCCCAGATTTTAAATTATGACTTCAGTTCTACTCTTATTGACAAGTAAAGAGGGGTATGCAGAGACACAAACTAACTGTGAGTGGAAAGGGGTGGGGGAGGGATGATTAACTCTTGACTGTATTGAAGAAAGCAAGCTGACACTTCTGCCCTAATTGAGCACCTAAGTAATTGAGTTCTTTCTTCTTATAAAGTACATTACTTTGTAGGGTATTAAAGTTCCAGGCAGGAATTCTTACTAGTTTTAACCCACGAATTTGATGGTCTAAAGTAAAAGCACTTTTCCCGTTTTTCCTTTGAAATTTAACTCAGGAATTTGCACCCCCTTGTGGTCAAATATAAAATTCTTAGTTTTCAAAAGACCGTTTTTTACAATCGGGCTCTCTGTTCAGGCATAGGAACTACTGTATGTTAGTTGATTTTGTTTTCTCCCATTTTAGCAAATCAAGAAGCTTTCATGAAAGATTTTTTCTTAAATAAGACTTTAAACACAATTAGACTTAAATCTTCTAAAAGTGACTTACACATAAACTTTAGTCTCTGCAAAATAGAGATAATTGCACCCACTTAATGAGTTACATGATGATTCGATGGAAAAATGCATGTACATGCTTAGCCCAGTGTCTGACACATATTAGGTCTTCAATAAATGTTATCATTTATCATCATCACTTTAGAATTCTCTTGACATATTATATCTAAAAGGGGACTAAGATAAAAAATTCTACAGTGAGGAAACCAGATTGTGCTACTTACCTATTTGTAAGTTCTAGTACAATTTTACACATGTCTCCCAAATATACCACTTATCCAGACCCCCCCTAGCTGATTGTCCCCACAGGTACATTATATTTTTAAAGTACAAACAATATGTGGTTATCCCTGAATGCTAGAAATTTGGATGATTTTTACTTTATATATATTTTAGATGGGCCTCGGTTTTTTAACCTTAACAATCAGAAAAAGCAATAAATCTATTCCATTTCCAGGTATTATTCTTATGAGATGGTAAAATAAATTAACATCCTTATTTGCCTAACAGGGATCATTATTCATATTTGGGAAAAATCATTTGTCAGTTTGATTTATCATTTTAAGGAGCTCTTGAATAAGAATGCTAACCCCGCCCAGCGCGGTGGCTCACGCCTATAATCCCAGCACTTTGGGAGGCAAAGGCAGACAGATCACGAGGTCAGGAGTTGGAGACCAGCCTGACCAACATGGTGAAACCCCGTCTCTACTAAAAATACAAAAATTAGCCGGGCGTGGTGGCGCGCACCTGTAATCCCAGCTACATGGGAGGCTGAGGCAGGAGAACTGCTTGAACCCGGGAGGCAGAGGTTGCAGTGATCCAACCAGCCTGGGCAACAGAGTGAGGCTCCCTCTCAGAAAAAAAAAGAAAAAAAATGCTGACCCCTAAAGGCACTAACTGTAGTTTGATTTTTGAACAACCATTAAAGAAGCCAGTTTAAAAGATCAATGACTGACTGACAATAACAAACATTTACTAATATGCCAAGCACTGTTGAAATTCCTTTAATATGTTAGCTCATTTACATCCTTACAACAGTCCAATGAGGTATTAATAGTACTTGTTTTACAAAAGGTCCAACAGATAATTTACCCAACAAGGCACAGCTAGTAAGTAGTGGAGCTGGGATTCACCCAGGCAGCTCGGTTCCAGAGTCGACCCACTTAAGTAGTGCAAAAAAGTACCAGAGATTAAGTAGTGTATTTATACTACTCTGCCACGTTACTTCTTGCTGATCTCAAATTGCTAAAATCCATTTCTTTTCCAAGACACTTAAATAATGCAAACCATGCTACCCTTCTCCCACTTCCTTATTAGTACTTCAGGCACTTTCATATCTACTCTCTTATTTAACATTCACAATGAAGGTTTTAAAATATTTACAACTTTATAGGGCTCCACGCGGTGGCTCACGCCTGTAATCCCAACACTTTGGGAGGCCGAGGCGGGCGGATCGCGAGGTCAAGAGATCGAGACCCTTCTGGCCAACATGGTGAAACCCCGTCTCTATTAAAAGTACAAAAATTAGCTGGGCGTGGTGGCACTTGCCTGTAGTCCCAGCTACTCGGGAGGCTGAGGCAGGAGAATTGCTTGAACCCGGGAGGCGGAGGCTGCAGTGAGCCGAGATCGCGCCACTGCACTCCAGCCTGGCGACAGAGCGAGGCTCCGTCTCAAAAAAAAAAAAAAATTACAACTTTATTATCGTTAATTGTCCTATCAGAGTGCCCATTTTTTTTGAAGGTAGACAGGTTTGCCTAGATATGGTGCTTCTACTTACCAGTTCTAAGACTTTGGGGCAGATTTCTTAATCTGAACCTCAGGTGTCCTCATCTGTAAAGTGAAGATAATACCTACTTCATAAGGCTGTTGTGAGCAATAAACACGATTAATTCGTAAATCATTTATTTAGCACAGTGCCCAGCACACAGTACACAGTCAATACGTGGTAGCTGTCAGTATACCAACGTGTTGCACAACAGAAACTCGTCTTTGCTGGATTCAGTTCACTTATCACGCCATTAAAAAAAAAAATCATCCTAAGTGACACAGAAAAACTGCCCATTCCTATCTCAAAAAGTTTATGAACAAGTTAAGACGGTAAGAGAAACTGAATTCAATGAAAGCGCCTTCGCAACAGGCAGCTTAGGACCGGGAAGAAGGGCTTCAGCAAACTTAATCATTAACTCTAGGCAGGCGCGCGCGCACACACACACACACCGTTGAAGAAGGAGACCACGCCTCCTGTGTGGGCTCAGGTTGAATCGTACAGCGTGGTAGAGAACTCCAGGGCTGCTGAATCTGACAGATGTGGATTCATCCACTTCTGTGCCACCTGTGCTGTCTTGGGCAAATTACTTAACGTCTCTGAGCCTAGGTTTCCTGGTCTTCAAAACGAGAACAGTAATAGTTCCTACCTGGTAAAGTTGTTCCGAGGCTTAAGTGCGATAACCCCTGTAAAGCGCTGGAGAACGGCAAAAGCTCTACAAGCCGGCAGGGCGGTTTTAAATGCACGTGTATCCATATACAAGGTCTCATTGATACATTCCGTTGTTTGGAGTTTAGACACTGGCTGTAAGACGTTTTTCTTTTCTCCTAAGCAGGACCCGTATTTGTTTACCTCCAACGTAGACTAAATGCCTGTGGGCTGGTAGCTATAAGACGACCCCTCGGCCCCACAACCTCTAAGTTCACTTCACCTCCGCGGCTTTGCAAAAGCGCTACACGCACGCGCAAGAAGCAAGAGGACTGCAACCGAAGAAGCAAAGGGAGAGCCGTGCACCACGATGATTCTGCGCATGTGCCTGGCGGGAGGAGGGGGGAGGGTTGGAGTTTGCGCATGCGTAAAAATGTCGGGAAAGCAAGAGAAGGGGGGTTAAGAGGCGGTATTGACAGCTGTGGAGGCAGCCCGCGTTCCCGGCATTCCCTGGGGCGGCGGGGTTGGCTCTAACGAATTTGAATGAGGAGCCTCAGCGCTTTCGGCGCCATTTTCGAGTGATGCCTGATCTCATCAATCTAGCGGGAGAGACAGGATAACCTGTCCGAGAGTATAGCGCCACTATGACTCCGCCGGAAAAATTACTTTAAAAATCGCCAAAAATTACTTGGAGCAAAGGGCAGTCGGCGGAGCTTCGCCAAGGCTGGCGCAGTCGGTAAGAGCCTGAAGAAGTAGCAGAGCGGGACTCGGGAGGTGGCAGTGGTGGGACCCGCAGGCAGTGGTGGGTGCAGGGAGTGGGCGCGGGGTCTACTCTCACTTAATCGCGAAAAATCCGAGGAAGTAGGGTTAGGGGCAACTTGGGCGTCTGCGAGTGGGCGGCGGCGGGCGGAATGTGGCGGGAGCGCGGAGAGACGGGGCTGTGGGGGGAGGGGAGCTGCAGTTTGAGCGGGACGCGGACCGGCTGCGGCGGAGCAGCCGCCGCCCAGCGGATCTGTCAGCAAGACCCCCCGCCCGGGACCGGAGCCGGGGACGGCGCACTGCGGGGTCTCTGCAGGCGGCCGCTCCTTGACAGGAGGACTGGACGCGCGCCCCTCCCCCATTTCCGAACCGGGCCGCCTTTTCTCGCCGTTTTCTCGACCCGGTGATGGCCGTCATCTCGTGACAAGAAACTTAAGGTCGACAGAAAATTCAGGACCCGGAGTCATGGGTCCCTCCGGTGGGTCGTGGCAACAGTCCCCCCCGCCACCGCCCGGCACCCATCTATCTATATTGTCTTTTGACGCTGAAGCGTGAGGTGCCCCAGGAAAGAGTTTCCCAAGCCCTGGCTGCCCTCCCCCGGCGCGCTGGGTCCCGGTGAGGTCTCTAGGTAGGTAGGACTGGCCGCGGCTCGCGCTTCCAAGATGGGGCAGGGGCAGGCTTTTGAGGTTGTAGCGGGCTCTTAGGAAAGATGCTGGACTTTAGCTTCTTTCTGGGGATTTTTGTCATTTGCTCTCGCAGCGTTGTCCTTTCTCAAAGGGGAGGAGTGTTCACGGGTGAGATGAAAGATGGGGCTTCGAGCTAACGATTTCCTTCTCGTGGCTATTTCCTCCGAGTCGCACTTTCTTAGAAGACTTTTTTCTTCTCCGGTGTTTGAAACATGTCGCAAGGAAAAAAGCAATCTGTGAAACTATTAATGTTTTCCTCCCCCAAAAGTCTTTACCCGGACAACTTAACGGTAATTTTGCGATCCCCACCTTTTCTTGACGCTGAGGAGGAGGGACGAGAGTTGTTATTTGTCTTTCCCTTCGGTGATTTTTTTTTTCCCCCTTAGCTGGTGGTTTCTATCAATTCTTACTCCACAGCTCTTGAGTGATGTGAGCCAGTGACGGCATTAACTTTAGGTAATACTTCTATGGCCTTTGTAAAAATCCCGCGTTAAGGATGTATTAGATCTTGAGTTCTTTTCCGCGCTGGAGGCACCACTAGATTAACCCTTTGCCGGTGTATTGCGTGTGGGGCGCACGGCTCTGGGTTGCAAATATTCCGGAGATGCTTTCTGCAGCAGCTATTCTGTTCAGTTGTTCGCAAAGAGGAATAACGCTTCCTGGGAACCGCGGTGACACGCTTCTTTAGGACTGCCTGCCTACAGAGTTTTTCCCCGTGGAATTGATGTAACGATTGATTTATTTCTTATATTCTATGAAGACTGGGGGACCCGCCCTCGCTTAGAATGTTTCCCGGAGGAGAATAGAAGAGTGCAATGTGATGTTTTTCAAATTGTGTCTAACGGAGCTCCCTAAACTCTGGACTTGTTACCCCCTGATTGGCTGGAAGGAAGCGGGCCTGGGGGGTTTGAATGTTGAACGCTAAACTATAATTCTCGACTTTACGAAAAAATATACTTTTAGCCAGAGAACCACGGAAATAGCTACGAAACGTTAGGACGAGAGTTTAGAAAAAAAGTTGGTTTTTAATAGTTTTTTTTCCTCTCAGAAAGGATTTTCGTGTGGTTCTCAAATGTATATTAAAAGTAAAACTGAAGAGGCTGTTTTCGCAAAATTATGTTTCTGCTGGTTGAAATTAACAAGACTTTTATATATTTGTCACTGTTCTTTATTGGTTAAAAACTGAGTGAAAAATTTAGTTTTTTTCCTTTGATAGGAATTTTTCACCTTAAACTACATATATTTGTTGGATGCAGATTACCGGACAGTTGTTTCTTTTATTTTGATGCAAAGAAACTAATTTTCTTAAGGTTCACGAATGATCTTTTTAACATTTTCCATAAAAATTGAACATCTTATTTAAAAAACTTTTCGCATCTAGTGAAAATATACATTTTGCTAATTCAGTAACTGCAGTGAACTAAAACTTTAATTTACAAAACATTTATGTTTCTTAATTTAGACAACAGGTAAGCACAGGTGCGTATCTATTATTTAGTTCCTTTGATAAATTCATTATGAAGAAATATATTGTATACAACAGTGTGGGTGTGCTGTTTTTTATCTGGTTGATTTTCAGTTGATTTTTGTTCGATGTTGCCTGAGACAGCCTCAGTATATTTCCATTTATTACCGAGCTTGTCATTCCATTTAATTGCATCTTGATAAAAGGCAGGTGTCGTTTTCAAAGAACAGCGGCAAACTAACTGATAAACAGCTGTAGATGCTTTGAGAAACAATTGTTTTAATTTAATAGACGTTTATATTCTTTTATGAATAGTAGTTAAATTTTGAAGCTTATAGTGTGTATGTTCGCATTAAGTCAAATACGCATTGTTAAAAAATATTCAAATAAAAAATCTTATGGCTTTTATAAATCTCTGTAGGGCTGTAAATATAATTTACATTAGTAAGTGGAATAGCTGAGTTTATAATTCATACTATTTTGTACTGCCCTCATAACAAGAATTGTGATAACAGATCCCTTTTCATTACCTTTGTTCAAAGCTATTTATTTTGGGTCATCTTATGAAAATTTCATAGAAGGTGCTAATTATCTTCTCTATAAAATTTGATTTAATGAAATTTTAGGAGATCTCATTTCTATTTTAAACGTAATTATACCTAAAGTACCAGAACTCCTGGGTTTTGCTTTTTACTGATGGTTTTTGTTTTGAGTTTTGTATTCTCATTCAAATTACGTGAGTTTTGGGAAGAGTTGGGGGCAAGCTTTAAATTCCACCAGGCTGGTTAAGTATAACCATACATTTTTAGCACTTTGGTTTATGGGATTTTTTGTTTGTTTAGGGGGTAATGGGTAAAGGATTGTTTGTTTAATAAGCCATTTTTAAAAGAAGTGATTCCTTTATTTAAAATACATCACTTCAAATTTGAGAATACACTAGCGCCTAAATAAAATCCACAGCATTCAAAATATTTTCACTTTTATGTGATGCTATATAAGAGGAAGATTTTGGTTTTAGACTTGTGGGCATATAGGTATAAGTTACAACATATGTGTATTTTTTAATGTTTATGTGCACTTATCCATATTTCTCTGTAGAAATTGACAGTTGTAATTTATTTTGTATTACAAAGTCATTTATTACCATAGGAAAGCAACTGCGGGGTGTGGTGTTGCTATAATAGGTCACCCCTTTTTAAAGTTATGTTTACCTATTGTGGGGGAAAGGGGACTGGTAAGGTATCAGTCTTCCTGGTAGCATTGATTTTCATTTGTTTGCCCCCACACTATTTTTAAAAATTCAAATAAAAGTGCAGTTTCAGACTTTTTAAAAAAATACTGTTGACCTGTCTTAGTTGTACATTCAGAAAATGTAGCCTCGGGTGTTTGTATGTAACACTGCATATTTTTTCTAATCAGATTAATATGAGTTTTAATGTTTAGCATGAACTACAGCTAAGGATAAAAATTTTAAAGTAGCTTTCATAGTCTAGATTCCTGGTTTCATCATGCTTTATGTAGTACATTTTCGTTTGTTTTGTTTTGTGGAGACTTGTGTGTATTTTTGTTTGTTTGTTTGTTTATTGGTAGGTAGTAACTATTTGGAATGTCACAGAATACTTAAAGCCAGAAATATGGGTCAGTTGATTTGGTTTACAAAATGAAAAAAAATTCCCAGAGACTGTATTAGATAATTATTATATATGACACATTAGCTTTCTTCAAAAGAAGATGATAAATTTATAGTTTCAAAAAATTATTCTATAAAAATTTCTCTTATTTTAAAATATTACCTAAAATTGGCTCTTGTGTTTTTTTTCTTCTGTCTAATGAAGCTTAAAAATTCACATATTAATTTCTTTTTAACCCCTTTTTAGAAGACACAGATTTTAGGTCTGATTATAACTAGAAAACACATCTTAGAAAAAATTGTCATATATATAGTTTCGTGGGGGTTTTTGGTTTTGTTTTGTTTTTAATTCAGCAAACTTTGAAACATTGTATGCCAGGCAACTAATTTTGGCACATAATTAGAGCTCAACTATGACTTGCTGAAATTTTGTAGCCCCAAATCTCATAACACCAAAGGAAATCAGTAATAAAATACCACTTTATTTCAAATAAGCATTGAAAATGAGATTAAGCATTTAATTTTTGGAAGTGACAGTATTAGAACTTTAATGTCATGATTGTCTTAAGAGTAACAGGATAGATTTTTAGAATATCACATTACTATTATATGTTTATTTATCTCGTAGATCATATAAATATTACTTTCTGGTGGGGAACTGAATGTTTTTTATTTTTTTGCCTCGGTTGGTTTTTTGTTTTTATTTTTTGATCTGTATTAGAGATGCTTTAAAGGATCTTCCTTTTAGAAAGACAAGTTTTAAATATTGAAATTGATATTAAATATATATTTGAATATTATTAATATTTCTTATCAAATTATAAGAAGTTTACTATACCTTTGGTTAATCCTGCCTTATTTCAGTAAAGAAAATTTGTACTGGAATAACTTGTAGTGGTTTCTAAGAATAAATAGTAAGCTCTATTTTGTAATAGATTTTAGATTTGAGTTTTACTATTTGAAGGTTTTTTAATATTGCCTTTTTTATCATACACATTGGTTTATTATTTTATTTATATCCAGACCTCTTTTGCTTCTTATTGGTTAGTATTTTTCATCTCCCTACTATTTAAAAACTTAACATTTGGCATGTAGTACATTTTGTTTTCTACTATTTTCCTTCTATGATTTTTAAACTTAAGATACCTTAATTTTCAGAGTGCTCAAATATAGAAAACTGTCTGTCTTTTGAGGAAGACTGTGTATAAATGACGGTAATTTTTTAAAATGTCATGGTATTTGGATTGGTGTTTATGAGTTATGGATGATTGTGTGGGTTTTGTCATTAAACAATCAAATATTTGGCAACAGAGGAATAAAGGTTTTTTTAGGTTTTACTCTTTCATTTTCCTAAGCTATTCTTAAATATAACTGGAAAATTTATTCAGAGCATTATGATTTACATGTAATACATGATACACCTTTGGTAATTTAATATTTTTATACAGTCGATTGCCACTGAATCATTATAATTCAGAAAGGTGAAAGAAATGAAAAAAAACACTTAACATATATTCAGTTACATCTCTTAGAAACATTAAAAAACCATTTGGTCCAGTAGTGGTCCATTTATTATTTGTAAATATGTTAACTTGTTAAAAAAAAAAAAACTCCACATTTTGGTCTGTTAGGACTGTAATGTATTAAAATATTTGGAAATACTGATACTTTTCACTTAGGCTTGGCAGTAGACTAAAGTTGAAAATAATGGTAAATTCTTAGCCAGGCATGGTGGCAGGCACCTGTAATCCCAGCTACTCGGGAGGCTGAGGCAGGAGAATCCCTTGAATCCAGAAGGCAGAGGTTGCAGTGATCCTATATCGCACCATTGCTCTCCAGCCTGGTCAACAAGAGCAAAACTTCGTCTCAAAAAAAAAAAAAAAAAAAAAGAATGGTAAATTCTGTCATCATTAAAACATTTGATAATTTGGAGAGAAAGTAAAATTTCGTCCCTGTCCCTTCAGTAACTTTTTAAACTGTGTGGATTTTATGAGTTTTACAAGTACAAACTACATTTCTGATATTTTCTTTATGAACTCCTCTTGTACCAGTCCTCTAACAGCTACCCGCATACACACTCACCCATACTACTTTGAACATGAATGCCCTAAAGAGAAATGAAAGCAGAAACATATTAATCTGATTTGTTTGAAGAGGCTTCGGATGATAAAGCATATCACAGGTGTTTCTAATCAAGTTATTTCTATTTTTAAAACATTTTCAAGTTAGAGCTTCTCTGAACATTGGCAAGATTAGGGTCATTTTGAAGACCATACCTCTGTGTTCAGGGATCAACTGTGGAACTGCAGGAGATGGAAATCTGTTGAGTGTCTTCATGCTATAATACATGACATTTTTATTGCAGGTTTTGACCTGTAGCAGAGAACCAATTCTGGAGAACAGCCTCACTTCTTTGATTGAATACTTACATAATGCATTGGAACATGACATGAGATTAAGGTATACTAACAAATTTTAAAACCATATAATTTTATGTCTTTGCAATATAATCGGACTAGACAATTGGTAAAGTTGAAATTTTTACGTGAACTAAAATCAATAAGTAATTACTCATAAACAGAAATCATCATATGAAGTGGCCATAAGCTGAGTTGTCTAGCTTACTAAAACTCCAGATTTTTTTTTTATACAGGTAATGTTCTTCTCAGCATCCTAAGGTCTAACTCCAACTGAATTTATTCCAAAAATATGTATTTATAGTAATTTTTATTTTCTTAAGGTTATTACAGTGTACTCAGTAAAATATGAACTTTTCATCTTATAAAATGGAGAGTTTAAATCAAATGGAATTTAGTGCTTAGCTGTTTGACAGGTGGAAGAGTAGTAGGTAGAGCCTGCAAAATTAGGTAAAATTGATGAGAATATTTTAAGAAAATGTAAAGTATTCCAAGTACTGCCCTAACCAAAAGTGGCAATATGGTCGAAACTGAAAAAACCACTTTCTTAAGCAGAAATTACTAGTATCTTACTCAACATACACTGAGTAAAATATTTCAGTTGTTAATATCAAAAGTTGCAGACTCTAAAAATAAAATTGTAGAATCCCTAAACCTCCAGTGATTTTTATAGTTTTAGTTGAAAATTTCAGACAGTATTTAACTAATACAACTTTCATTTTCTAAAATGGTAATCTGGTATAGTGAAAATGAACTTATTGAACAGTATTACTAAGTATTACTTGGTTAATTCTTTCATAGTAAAGTATTAATCTTATATGTACATATATGTGTGCGTTTATTTGTGTAAAAACTATTTGCTAAAGTAAGGTTTACTAACATAATACAATTTTTTTTAATTTTTTCACCTAAAAATATTTATATACTTAGAGGAAATGTCAAAGGTTTGTTTTCATGAGAAAATTATTATTTAGTCTTAAGAATGAAGTATATCATCACGATCATAGAACTGCTTTTAACTTCCAACAATGTAAAATTTTTAAAGATGAATTCTGAGGTGTGTTTAAGAGTGAATGTTGAAATACATATCAAAATACTAAAAACTGAAATTTGATATTTCTATATTGGATATTAGGTAGATAAACCAGGAATGAATCAATTAACAGTTGAAGTTAAATAAAATGTAAAGATGTTTAGAAATCAGAGTTTAACATAAGGGTGAAGTTTAGATACTTTTATATTGGTGTCATACTGTAATGTGGTTCAGATAAATATGAGGTATGGAATGTCTTCATATGTTTGATTTGAGATTTTTATGAAAAAGCAGCTTAGTTTGAATAAAATGAAAATAAATACAATTTTTCCCTCACTGACTTAACAGCTATTTTTCAGGTTAGAGAACATTAAGATGAAAAGTGGAAAATACAGTTACCTGAGTATCTGGGAAAAAAAATCCAGGTTCAGTTTGTCACTTTCAATGCAGGTATCTTTAGAACAGCCTTAATGAGTTAAATAGGAAAAGAGAGACAGCATTTGAGTTTATATGGTAGATAAGATATAAATCCACAGAGTCGTCCAAATTTAGAGAGTTTGTGATTTGTGATCTTTGAAGATATCAAAACTTATTTTGAACACAAATATTTAGCATCATATAATTGTTCTTCCTATAGTTATTATACTGGGTTATAAACTTCTAATAATTTAGCTTAGTAAATAATTTCATATCTAAAAGAATCAATACAAATATTAACAGTTTACTTGTATTTGGTCAATTCTTACAGGGTGAGAAACTTTAACCTAATTAGGAGTATGGGTTATTTTAGGAGGCCAATTAACAAAGAGTTCAACTGCTGTGTATGATTGGCTCTCTTTTAACTACCCCTTGTAAGACATTTTGTAAAGATTTTGACCGTTTTAAATTTGCAAACCTGATTATCTAAATTTAAGCCTTGATGTGTAGTTAATTATGTTGGAATTTGGGGGAAGAGATTTATTGTGTTAATTTTTATCTTTTTTTCAGTGATTTGTATCTCATTTTTTCAATATTTATGTTTTTGGCTAAATGCACAATCAGGGTTAAATAACATTCACTTTTGGGAAAAATTCTTAGCTGTCCCTAAAATACAGTTATACCATCATTGTTCCTGTCTTACTGAAATAGTTTTTTTAGTATAGAAAGAATATTTGAATAAACTAGAATAGAGGTAACTTAACATATCTACATATGAAGGAACTTAAAATTATTATTTGTCAGAGATGTATAATGCTAGTTTATAAGGATATGTTACATTTTAGGCAGTTTGTCAGCTATGACATTTTAATAGAGGTTTTATATATTGATGAGAATTTGTTAAATAATAGATACAATTAACTTTTTAAATAAAAGTTTTAAAAATATTTATTTGAAGCAGTTTTGTTCATGTGTGTATTTTGTGTTTTTTCTTAAACTAGCAAATAACATCCTTAACCTCTTTCAGTTTTTCTTCAAATGAGATCTAATGTATCAGAATTATATTTTCTGATAAGCATTTTTCAAAGGGTAATATTTAATTAATGTGAAGGTTTAAAATTAAATACATTTTGAAGTGAAATTTCTATTCACAGCACCACAAACCACACTTTTGATACTTCATTAACATATTATTTGACTTAGTTTTACTTTCCTATTTTCATGGTTAGAATCTTAGAGGAGAAATGTGAAGCATGTTTCACATGTGGCTGCTGAGACTGATTAATCCCACTGGTTAATAGTTTATTAATCCATTACTGTTTCTAAGTGTCTGAATTTTTAAAAATCTTGCTTGAGGATTTGCTGTTAGTCTTTTTTATTTTATAGCCTTCATACAAAACAAATATATTTAAAGTATCTTGTTATCCTCTGGTCTTCAGAATTATTTTTATTATTATTAACATTTTTTGTTCCTCATTGAGTTGCTAAGCAGAAAATTTTTTCAATTGTGATAAAAATAGAAGATTGGGGTTGGGTTTTGATTTGTTACAAAATATCTAAATTTAAAATATTGTTACTGTTTCATACTTTTATTTTAAAATGTCTCAAACTTAGCCTTCTTGATTAGGTATTATTATTTAAACTTACTTGCCAGTTCTAGCCTATGTGGGTTTTTCTTTTTAATAGTTTATAGATCTCCAAATTTTTCTGACTTTTTATATTTTTCTGAATCACAAGTTGCTTAAGGTTCTAAAAGATGAGTTGCATTTACAGTTAAAGCTGTAAGTCTATAAATAGCATCACATTACATTTAAAGGTAATTGAACAGTGAATATTTCTATTTCTGTTACTCATCAATTAATACTATGTACTTACTAAGTTTTTAACTTTGTATTGCACATTTAAAATAGGTAAATTGCATATGGAAGTTTTTTTAATGGGATTTATGCAAAAACAGTATGGACTAAAATCTTATTTCTTTGCTAATAGTGTCTAAAGTCAAACATATGGTGGTGATTAGATATGGGGCACTTGGGAGCTAGAGGCATTTTGTAAGCAAAATAAAGTGTCATTTCTTGATTGGAGTTTTACACTTTCTTATTTTCCAGGAGAATAGGTAGGGAAGTTACTCTCAATGAATTTACCCCAACATTGGTTAAAACTCTTCAGAGAATTTTGATAATTGAGCGGTTAAATCTAGACTTACAAGGGGAAGATTATTATATATGTCATTAATTTCCTTTTCCTTGCATACATTATAGGTTCCCTTTATAATCAAAACACCAATTTTGTCTTTTTTCTCTCCCCACCCCACTTTTTAAAGAAAAATTATTTTAAAAATAATTTTATCATATAGTGATATAAGCAGACCTTGAGAGGTAGATTGATGTCTGAACCATTTTTCCTCTGTGTGTCAGTTTGATATTCTTTTCTCAGCTTGCTGTTTAAGAAGCAGCAGCAGCAACAGCAACAGCAGTGAATAAACAAGTTATCACCACAGCCCTTGTTCTTACCCCTTACAGCTGGGAGCAGAGGCTGGGAGATCGATGCTGCTTGTCAGCTGTTGTGCAGAATAACATCAATATGCAATAATGGTGGCCAAAGGAGCCTGCACCCATCCGTTTTTACAAACCCAGGTGGGAAGAGCCCAACTGTCACTGTACCACATACACAGTATAGAGAATACATTCTTTAGCAGAAAGGTTGCAGCATAAAGAGAACAGTAGATGCTTGTAGTTCTTAGACTCTATTATTTTTTACTATTTCTCTGTGGCTTTAGTTCATTTAATTTTTATTCAGTTAATTCCATCCATTAGAATGGAAAACCTGTCTTGCTTCTGGAGGTATATATAGTATGTTTCATGTATATATGGTATGTTTCATGTTTTCACTTTTAAGCAGGTAGACTGAAAAAAATTATAATTAGTTGCTGATATCACAAGTTAGGTAATATATTGAGGATAGAAAAGAAAAGCTGGCTATGGCCACACAGGAGTGTTTCTTTCACTTTTGGACTACATTATCTTTGTTTTATAAAAGCCCAGTCTAACAAGACCGAATTCTTGTTGATTTCACTATAATAAAAGAAAGAAAACAACATTCTATATTAACTTAGTGTTGTAAATAACTAAAAGCAGGCAACAGATGAAAACTTATGTCTTTTTTCTTACTACTAAACTGCTTACTTTTTCTATTTACCATTTCTCACTGAAATATCTTTTATCTGAACTTTTTATCTAGAAAGCTTAGATTATTCTAAATCTTTTGGAAACAGGACTTTGTAATTTCAAATAATATAGAAGAATGTTTTTATTTTTATAATTTGAATTTGCGCCGATTTTTATAACCTAAATATTCTATTTTTTTTCTTCCTTTTACATCTAATTTCAATAGGTTAGAGTTACAGGGAAGTGTGAATGTTGGATTTCTATAAATGTTCTGAATTTATTTGTAGCGGTCTTGGTGGGAAACTACTAATGCCTTTTTTTTTTTTTTTTTTTTTTTTTTTAGTGTATAAAGCCAAATGTCCCATTTAAAGTTTGACATTTGCAATAGCATTCTATTTAAAAGGTAATCATATAGTTGCTTTCTGGTCACCTTCATTAAAATCACTCCTGATCACTCTCACTCTTAATATTTTCCTGTGCCAATCACAGTAAATTCAGAATATTAGTTCCCTGGTAATATTACTAAAAAAAGCTTTGTCATAGTATGTGTCTAGTTATCTGAAAAAATAAATGAGCCCACAACCTTTCTTGGCATTGTGAAGTCAAGCATATTCAGCCATAAATTGAGGTTACTTTTTTGTTGTTGTTGACTAATGCTAGAGGTTTTTAAAAAAAAGTTTATGTAATTTAACAGATAACATATTAATTACTGTTACCTCCCCTAACTAAAACATGAGTTACATAATCCTCTCTATTGAAAGCACCTCATTTTTAATCATTACTTACTGCTTAGTTGCCTGCAAACCACCTGTATGAGAATAACCTAGAATTTAAAAAATAAAATAAAAACATTTTTCCAGACCTGGAATTTGCATTTTTTTACAAGCTTTAAGAGATTTTTCTTAGGAGCACCACATTTGTGAGAAGCACTGCCCAAAATGAACTTGGAGGAGGGATTGTTCATACCCACAAACTATCTACTTTTCCTGCATCTTTTTTTCCCCTCTTTGGTCATCTTGGATCTAAGCTTAATATTTAATTAGGAATCTTATCATTTCTAGATTAAGTTCTTGAATCTTAAATTCGGCTGATTAAAAAATAGATTAAGTCTTGGTATTTCCTCAGTCACATGAGGAAAATCTGTGTTATCAGAGCTTTGTTTTCATGTAAGTGCCTTGGGCCAAATTTCAGTCTATTCTCTTTGTTTGGAACATTAGTATACCTATGTTAAACCAATACTTGATGAAAACCAAAGGAATTGATCACTTATGAATTTTTAAATTTTCATATAGATAGTGGCTGTTTTTCTTAAATATGCTTCCAAATGTTGGAGGAAATATAAAATGAGGAACTCTTCATATGCTGCTTGTGGGAGCATTTAGCAATATCTTTGTAAAGTTGAAGATACAATAGGCTTGAACCCAACAATTTTATTCCTAGATGCTCTAGGTAAACTCAAGACATGTAGAAAAAAGTCTTGGTTATTTTTAATAGGAAAAAAATGAAAGCAATGTAAATGTTAAGCAAGAAGAGAATGGCAAATTGTGACATAGTCATGTGATGAACTGTAAAGCTACTAAAATGAGAGCTGTGTTTATCATCATGGGTGAATATCCTACTTCAGCAAACAAATAAGTTGCATAAAGGTTATATACAGAGTAACGTATATAAAATATGTATGATATTATACCATTTATCAAAAGCTTGAAAGCAATGATAAAGTTTAAATTCTTGAATTGGTAGTAATAGTGTAAAAACATAGGAAATAAATATCAAATTCAAGATTATGCTTGCATCTTTGGAAAGAATGGAATGGAATCAGGGTATAGCTCACAAAGGACATCATCTGTATGTGTAATCAATTTTCATAAAAAACAAAGGGAAGTAAGTATGGCATAGTTTTAGATTTCAGTACAGCTGGATTGGGAGTCCAGAGATAGGATATGGAGGTTCATTTTGGTATTCCCTTGATTTTTCTGTGAATTTTGAAGCAAATGATTTTGAAATTTTTAAAAACATGCTGTTCTTTTTCTGTTAAGATTAGTCTACAATAAAGCGTATACTTGCAGTGCTCTGTTAAGAACATGGATGAATTTGTCATATCCTTTCTATTCTGTATCTTATAGTAAGTGCTTAACTATTAGTTGATGTAACAACTACAACTTAGAATCATGACCCACAGAAGCCAAACATGCTAACCAACTCAGATTACTAGCATATCTTTAAAAATGTCATATATTCCTTCCTTTGTGTACTTGGAATTGTGCAATATACAATACATGGATTATAGATGATGCAATTTTATGTGTGTGAGAGAGATTAATCAGTCTTGGAATATGATCTTGAATTTATCTTAAAATATCTGCAAATATATGATGTCCTCCAGAAGCTCATTGGGCTCCAAGTTAGAGTTTTAGCTTTGACTAAAATTTTTGACTTAAACTTCAAGAGGGCAATTGTAATAGAATAGCAAATTTTAAAAGCCAGTGATAAGCAGGATGTAGTGGCATGCAGGCCTGTAATCCCAGCTACTTGCGAGGCTGAGGCAGGAGGATAGCTTAAACTCAAGAGTTTGAGGTTGCAGTGAGTTAGGATCACACCATTGCACTCCAGCCTGGGTGATAGAGCAAGACCCCATGTCTTAACAAAAAAACTAACAAGAATGCTGCACTGGGCTGAAACATACAAATGCTGCTGGGTGTTTATAATCTGATTGTTCTGTGCTGTATAAGGATCAGAATACAGCGGTGGCAACCTCAGTTGAAATGTTCTAACTTATATAATGTGCTGAAATTTTTAAAGTCTTCCCTCTTTTTCCTAGGTTTAATAATGATAGAATGAAGACCACAATAAAAGAGACCTCTACTTAGCTCAGCAATTCTTACCTTGTAAGTATTAACTCTGAGTCTCCCTATTACTGTTTGGTGTCATGTTCTGGTTTATTTCTGATTTTTTTCCCTGCTTATCCTATTATGGTAACTTTCTAACCTCTCCTAGCCCCTCTACACGTTGAGATTTGATGTTAATTAATAGTTTAGAGCAAGAATAATGCCATTGCCTTGGTAAGTTATTTAGGGAAGTATTTTATACCCAGGCCCTATAATCTCCAAGTCTGAGAATCACAATTTTGAGCCCTTTTCCTTCAAAGGAATTAACAAATAGGTAATTGTCTTTTTTAGTACTCATTATTCAGGTTTATTGGTCTTATGGTTTTATAAATTGAGAGTATTCTCTCCACTTGAGAAATGATTTTGTAAAGTCTGTTTTTAATTTCATTAGGTTACACTTGAGACTTCTTTGTGAAGAGCTTAACATTTAGCTGTTAAAACTTGAGGAGGTGGCCGGGCGCGGTGGCTCACGCCTTGTAATCCCAGCACTTTGGGAGGCCGAGGTGGGCGGATCACGAGGTCAGGAGGTCGAGACCATCCTGGCTAGCACGGTGAAACCACGTCTCTACTGAAAATAAAAAAATTAGCCGGGCGTGGTAGCGGGCGCCTGTAGTCCCAGCTACTCGGGAGGCTGAGGCAGGAGAATGGCATGAACCCGGGAGGCGGAGCTTGCAGTGAGCCGAGATCACGCCACTGCACTCCAGCCTGGGAGACAGAGCGAGACTCCGTCTCAAAAAAAAAAAAAAAACAACTTGAGGAGGTGGGAGAAACATGAAGGCAATCCCTTTTCCTTCCCTTTCTTTTGTTGGTTTTTTTTTTTTTCATTTATTCAGTACATATTTATTGAGTATCTACCATGTTCCTAGTACTTTTCTAGGAGCCAAAGATATAGCAGTGAACAAAACAGATAAACAAGTAAGTACATAAATTAAACGATTTCTGACATGGATTCAAAGTCAGAGGTTTTGGGTGGGGGCCAGGACCATGCATCTTTAGCAAGCTCTCCCTGAGTAGGATGGCAGCAGATGATCTGTGGTCCATGCATAGTGTAAAGAAACCGCTCCGAAGAGCCAGGGAGCAGTGTCCAGCTGCAAGTCCTCCTTTCTTCTGTCAGGGAAGTTTGCAGAAGTGAATCAGTGGATAGCAACACCAAAGTGATACCTTCAGGGTAGACAGGAAGGTAGTCTGTTTAGTTGAAGGTCAGGAGTAGTCACCTTAATTATTCAAGACATCATTTCTCGCCCTGGATTGCCCCATCGCCTCCCAAGCTAAACCTCAGATATTTCCTGCAAATATCAAAAAGAGGATTTTTCTCCTTTTTCCTTCCTTTTATATATATACATGCATACCTCTTTTTTAGAATAAGAAACATTTTTCCCCAATTCATTTAACTTTTGAGACACTTAGAAATTCTGAAAGAATAATTTTAACAAGTTAACTGAAATTAATATTATGCCTCTAGAAAAACTCACAAGATCAAGGGCATATAAAATGCGCAGGATACTTATTTCCATAAAAGTATTCGAGACCTTAAAATCAGTTACCAAAAAATGTCATTTCCATCCATTCCTTGAGCTAATTCTGCATCTCTAAAGAAAAACTCAAGCGCAAGACTTTCTATTCTTGATGTTGAGGGCATGTCTCTGTTTAAATGAAACTAGTGCTTCAGATGCTTTTATTACATTATCTCACAGTGACTCAAATAATGTGTATATGTTGGGGATGGCCTTATGATCATAGACGATCAGCCATTGAACTCAATAAGGTGAGAATTTTTAAGTGGGGGATCAATTAAATGTTGAAAACTGTTAATAATAAGCCAGTTTGCAAAGTAGTAGTCAAATGCCACAGGTCACTTTCTTTTTCTAATTTTCTCCCGGTTACATTTTTGTCTCTGGAAAATTAGAATGGAAATATCTGCAGATCCCTAAAGAATCCTATATAGTACAGGCTTGGATTCCTTAATTAGTGCCTTGGAAGCCAGCTCAGCCCTTCTTCAACTTAACTCTTTAAAAAAAGAAGTCTTTTTAATTCGTACTACACTCAGAATGGAGGGCAGTCCACTTTTCAACAAGAAATAGGTATCATTGAATTCTAACAGATACATAAGCACAGATAATATCACATTCTTCATTTCATCTCCTTTATAAATTTCTAAGCTAGCAGTCTTTCTTGGATACTCTCCAGCATCTTTTAAACATAGGCCATTTATCATATTTCATAGTTGGAATGCTTTCTGTTGTCTGTTCTAGGTAGATTCCCCTTAATCTTAGATTCTAAAATGGTGATGTTTCCAATTAAACAATACCCAGAATAATAGGTACATAGTGACTGGCAATAGTCAGTGATGCTGTGTGTGATTGTGTGTTCCCCTTCTATCATTTTTTTAATGTTTGTTTAATGCCATTTATTTTTTAAGATGGGATATATATTTTAATTAGCTGGGCGTCGTGGCGGGTGCCTGTAGTCCCAGCTACTCAGGAGGCTGAGGCAGGGGAATGCCGTGAACCCGGAGGGCAGAGCTTGCAGTGAACCGAGATCACACCACTGCACTCCAGCCTGGGCGACCGAGTGAGACTCCATCTCAAAAAAAAAAAAAAAAAAAAAAAAAAAAAAAAAAAAAAAGATGGGATATATATATATATACACACATATATTTTATATATAATATATATTTACATATATATAATATATATTTACATATGTTATATATAATATATATTTACATATATAATATATATTTACATATGTTATATATAATATATATTTACATATATAATATATATTTACATATGTTATATATAATATATATTTACATATATATAATATATATTTTATATATAATATATATTTACATATATATAATATATATTTACATATATTATATATAATATATATTACATATAATATATATTTACATATATTTTATATATAATATATATTTACATATATAGATATATTTTAGATATCTATATATAGATCGATTTTAGATATCTAGATAGATAGATGTATTTTCTTTTTTTTTTTTTTTTGAGATGGAGTTTCGCTCTTGTTGCCCAGGCTAGAGTGCAATGGCATGATCTCGGCCCACCACAACCTCCACCTCCCAAGTTCAAGTGATTCTCCTGCCTCAGCCTCCTGAGTAGCTGGGGTTACAGGCATGCACCACCACGCCTGGCTAATTTTGTTTTTTGTTTTTTGTTTTTGTGTAGACAGGGTTTCTCTGTGTTGGTCAGGCTGGTCTCGAACTCCTGACCTCAGGTGATCTGCCCGCCTCAGCCTCCCAAAGTGCTGGGATTACAGGCGTGAGCCACCTTGCCCTGCCTAAGATGGGATTTTTTTTAAAGCTGTTCATTTGTGGAATGTGGATGTTCTAGAAGTTGTAGAACAGTGATGTTCATGTATACAATCCTGTCAAACAATGGCAGTTTGGGGTTCATTTTTACAAATTAAATATAGAGATGGAGTATTTTTCAAGTTTATTTTTCAATTTAGAGATCTTAAACTTTCGCTGCTTAACAAAAAATTCAGAAATAATTATATGTCTTTATTTCTTTTTCTTTTTTGAATTATTTTTATTTTTCACATTGCATTTTCGAATACAGACACTTAAATTATATATTTCTGTTTGTAAATGTAAACATATGTTTACCTGCAAATGTAAATACATGTTGACATCTGTTATGTAAATTTAAATATATATTTGGTGCTTAAAAAAATCTCAAAACATTGTCAGCAGTTAAGAATATTACATCTCTCTTTTTAATAATCTACAATAAAAATCTTAAAACATTGACTTTATAAATAGGGAAAGAAAAGATGAAGCAGAATATTCACCAGTGCTGTCAATGTTAGTTCCATAAACAAAAATGATAGAGATAAATTACTTCCTAATTCCAAAGACTTATTAAATTTGGCTGCTATCAAGAGCAAGCCTAGTAAAAAGAAATAACAAAAACTATTTCTCACATATGACTAGTTATCAATATAAGTTTTTAGAAGTATTATCAGGTTAGCAATAAAAGCAATGGTATGTAATCATCAGCCTAGAAAATATTGTCAATTGTAAATTATAAAATGTACAAACGTAGGACTGACTGAAAATACTGCAAAAAAAATCAATGTTTTTATCAGTGGAGCAGTAAGTAATTGATATATGGCAAATGATATAAAATCTGTTGTGCTTTCAATAAAACCATAATGATGTAATTATATTATGCACTAGACATAGCCAAAGTTTCTCTTATTTTTAATTATTGTGATAGAAATTTACTCTTGTGTAAATTGCTGTATACCTGTGTCACTGATGAGGAAATTCTAATTATCTTGAATAGTTTTAAAAATGGGAATGTTTCTGGGAGAAAGGAATTCCCCAAAAGAGAAAAAATAAATTGCTCTTTTGGCAGTTGGATTAGTGGTGAAAGAGTGTTATAACCCAAAAAATTCATAAAGGTACCAGCTATTGTCAGCATTTGGTAGTAAAGAGAATGTCTTATAAACCTATTGATATGATGAAGTGCCATTAATTTAGTAAATATATAAAATCTAGGCTCTTATGTATTCTATAATTTATGAATATAGAGAAAGTTCACAATATGCTGCAGCTGTTTTTCATTGTTCAAATAATTGCTATTTTTGAGAATTAGACATTTAATAAAAATGCCAGGTGTTCCTTGTCCTCATTCTTCCATATTTGTCTTATATATGTTTAGCAAAATAATTGAGTTAAATATGAGCTTTTATGCTTAAGCGATGGCTGTGTTTTCGCTCTTAATAAAATTGCACCATAAAATTTGATTTTTAGTGCCAAAATTATAAAAAGGGGTTGGGCTTGTTTCCTCAACCTGAACAACTTCTTACCTTCAAGATGGATGATTCAAAGAGGAATAATAGGGAATTTCTTAGTATGAAGTTACTTGGTTGTTTTCTTAGGAAAACAAAAGGTAGAATTTAACAGCATGGGGCCTGATTTAAATAGAAAATAAATGTACAGATATAATCAACTCTGCTGTCATGGGGATTTCAAGTTATAAATGCAATAAGTAACATCCCCTGACTTATTCTATGTACTTTTGCCCTAATCTACTACCTATTAGTCTGAAACTTGAGTTTTTAAATTTAATCTCTATGTAAAAGAGGAATAAATTGAATGCATAATTAAAATATATGTTGTCAATTATCACACCTTTTTGCCTAGACTATAAGCTTCATTTTTCCTGTTATATCCACTAAATTAATTTATGCTTGTTTTTCCATTAAAACAAGTTACTTTGGCTGGGTGCAGTGACTCCCGCCTGTAATCCTAGCACTTTGGGAGGCTGAGGTGGGCAGATCATGAGGTCAGGAGTTCGAGACCAGCCTGTCCAACATGGTGAAAACCTGTCTCTACTAAAAATACAAAAATTAGCCGGGCATGGTGGCCGGCACCTGTAGTCCCAGTTGCTTGGGAGGCTGAGGCAGGAGAATTGCTTGAAACCAGAAGGCAGAGGTTGCTGTGAACCGAGATCGCGTCACTGCACTCCTGCCTGGGCGAAAGAGTGAAACTCTGTCTCAAAAATAAATAAATAAATAAATAAATAAATAAATAAATAAATAAATAAATAACAAAAATTAGCCAGGCATGGTGGCGTGCACCTGTAATCCCAGCTACTCAGGAGGCTGAGGCAGGAGAACTGCTTAAACCTGGAAGGCAGAGGTTGCAGTGAGCTGAGATTGCACCATTGCACTCCAGCCTGGGTGACAGAGCAAGACTCCATCTCAAAAAGAAAATAAAAAGAAAAAAACAAGTTACTTTAAAATGTCTTATAAAATCTGTTTCTTATAGTAAAACTATTTGTAGCTAATGAAAATGAAGTTTTGATACATTTAACAGTATTACCACTAAGAATGCCATCCTTTCAAGTACTCTACCACTGGTCAAATTTCAGAACCTCAGTTTAAAATTTTTGGGGAGGCCAGATATGGTGGCTCATGCCTGTAATCCCAGCACTTTGGGAGGCTGAGGCAGGTGGATTACTTGAGGTCAGGAGTTCAAGACCAGCCTGGCCAACATGGTGAAACCCAGTCTCTACTAAAAATAGAAAAATTAGCCAGGCATGGTGGCGGGTGCCTGTAATCTCAGCTACTGGGGAGGCTGAGGCAGGAGAATAGCATGTATGCTGGTAGAGGTTGCAGTGAGCCAAAATCAAGCCACTGCACTCCAGCCTAGGCAACTAAGAGCGAGACTCCATCTCAAAAAGTATGTTTAGGGAAACAGTTGGGCATGGTGGCTCACACTTGTAATCCCAGCACTTTGGGAGGTCGAGACGGGTGGATCACTTCAGGTCAGGAGTTCAAGACCAGTCTGGCCAACATGGTGAAACCTCGTCTCTACTAAAAATACAGAAATTAGCCAGTCATGGTGGCAAGTGCCTGTAATCCCAGCTACTTGGGAGGCTGAGGTGAGAGAATAGTTTGAACCTGGGAGGTGGAGGCTGCAGTGAGCCGAGATCCCACCACTGCACTCCAGCCTGGGCAACAGCACGAGACTCCATCTCAAAAAAATAAATAAAGTGTTTAGGGAAACAATATCTGAATTAAAATTCAGTACACCTCAGTTTTAAATTATTACTTTTAGTTTTTATATCCTTAGTTCAGCTGTTTCTTTATGCCTCTAGTATTTGGTGCCCTGTAGTCGGAACTTAAAACTGGCAATCTGTCCTCCAAATCCTTAACAAGACAAAATAAGTAAAGTACACTAAATTTTTCTAAGTCAATTTTATTTTAAATTGAACTTTATTAATTTTATTTTGACCCTAGAATATTAGAATTAGAATCATAGTAAACAAATGTTTTCCTTTACGTTATAAATTACATTTATGTTAATTAACATAAAATAAGTTTCTCATCAGAGGGCAGGTTTCAACTTAGTACAGTAAGTCCTCACTTAAAGTAATGAATAGATTCTTGGAAACTGCAGCTTTAAGCTAAATGACATAGAATAAAACCAGTTTCACCATAGGCTAATTGATATAAACAAGAGTTAAGTTCCTATAGCCTATTTCTGGTCACAAAGAACATCACCTTCTAAATAAAGATCCAACACATTTCTGGTATTAAACATTGTGAAATAAATGTGAGTTAAACATACATTTAAGAAAGTTTAATAGAAACAAGATCATCATTTACCCAATTTTTGATGAGTCAGCGATGATGGTCATAGTGGTGGTGAGTTAAAATAAGGAATAAATGTTTGTAAAGCAGAAATTGTAAGGAGCACCTTCTACTACCATGTTGTTCAAAAACAAGCAATAACAAATATGGCATGCTTGCTGAGCACTTTCATACTACATCATTTGTTGTTGTGCATTTGTATGATGATTGTATATTTGACAAGTTTTTATTTTGCAGTAATTTACATTCATTCATTTTCCAACCCACTTACTCCACTTTGGGGTTGCAGGTGGCTGGAGCCTATCCTAGAAGCTCAGGATGCGAGGTGGGAACCAACCCTGGATAGGATGCCATTCTATCACAGGGTGTCCTCCTACCCCGACACTCAGCCATACTGAGACAATTTAGATGTGCTAACTAACATAACATGCACATCTTTGGGATGTGGGAGAAAACCCATGCAGACATGGGGAGAACGTGGAAACTCCACACACTGTGGCCCCAGACAGAAATCTCTATATTTTTCCTCTTCAGTATTAAAAATGAAACAATGTTGAATGAAACATCATTTGAAGATCTGTTTATAACTTTGTTCTCTGGCCCTAGATCTACTGTCTAAAAATTGTTTTTATGTCTTTTCTCTAAGCTGTACATTCTGAGGTCCTTCCACTGTTGCCATATAGCATTAATTTCTAGACCATATTTTTTCTAGACCATATTAATTTCTAGACCAATATTTTCTGGATACCCTACTTTGGATCTGTTACATTTTGTTAGTATTCCTTTTTAAATAATTGTATTTAGAATTAATTGCAATATACTTAATGTAGTATAGGTACAAAACACACTGCATCTATGAATAAAGTTCTATAGTGCAGTCTGATTGCACTAGCTTTTTTTTTCATCAATACTATCGGGTCATGTTGAGCTGCAGTTCACTGAAACACTTAAGTGTGTTAGAATTTCAAATCCTGTAAATTTAGATTCAGTAGGCATTTGTTGAACACCTGTTCACTACTAGATGTGCTTGTATAAATTTCTGCTGTTTATTTTACTGATAGTAAGTTTAAAATGTAGAAATTGACCAGTAGATTTATTGTACTGAGGATGATTCTGTAGTTTAGGAGACATGACTAGAATTTCAATGAGAACAGATTGTAAGGACAGAAATAAATAAATAAAAAGAATTTCTAAATGATTTTGTTAAATGCAATAACAACTTTATGTAAACTACAGATGAACTGATAATAGAGCACATGTAAGAAAATGTCTAAAAAATGTTATTGGAAATAAAATTAGAGCTGTAAATCATTAACAAGGAAAAAACATTAACTTATATACAATTTATTTTTTCCATATTTCTTAAAATATATTAAATTCTAACATAGAAAACCAACTTAAGAGATTTAAAGATTCCCATCTACTCAGATTTATTATATTCAAGTTGAATTATTAAGCAAGACATTTAATTTACTTATTTTGTCTCACCTTTCAATATAACTACTTTTTTTTTGTTGGAAGATTATAAGAATGGAGAGTTCTGGTATATCAAAGGCCCACAGCCCAGAATATAAACCACCAGACTTGGAACTATGGTTGTTGTGTAAAGGATAAGGACTGAATGATTCTGTCTTCAGAATATTTTTGTATTTTTTTTTTTAGAAGCTCTTTTCTTTGGCTCTACATCTAGCCATTAGGGCTCTTTCTGTATCTGGTTAGGCAAAGTGGCTTTTCTTTCAGCCAGCAAACGTAAAAGCAGAGATTTAAGGGATGGAGTCATGATGATATTTCCAGTGGACTAAGATAAAGGATTGAAGAAATGGCATGGTCTATACTAGTAAAGATTTCCTCACAGCTAGTCCATTTTGAATGGAGAGATAAGTATGGAATAGGGAACCAGTTATCTGCCCAACACAGTACCTAATAATGAGAATAATTTTCTGTATTCAAAGGTTCTTAGTGGTTGTTAATGTCTTAAAAGAGACCATTTAACTGGAATGGAAGTGTTTTCTTTGGAGAAAAGCAGGAAACATTGGATAGATCTTAATTATACAGACCTTGATACTTAGGCAGAAAGTAGAGATTCTACTTAGGAAACTAGAAATTACTTTTTTTTTTTTTTTTTTTGAAACAAGGTTTTGCTCTGTCACCTGGGCTGGAGTGGAGTTCAGTGCAGTGGCATGATTATGGCTCAGTGCTGCATCAAACTCCTGGGCTCAAGTGATTCCTCCCACTTCAGCTCCTGAGTAGCTGGTATTACAGATGCCCAGCTGATTTTTAAATTTTTTGTGTGGGGGTGGCTAAATGATGAGAGCACATGGACACATAGAGGGGAACAACGCACACTGTGGCCTTTTGGAGGATAGAGGGTGGGAGGATGGAGAGGACCAAGAAAAATAACTAATGGGTACTAGGCTTAATACCTGGGTAACGAAATAATCTGTGCAACAAACTCCCATGACAGGCCTGGCATGGTGGCTCACGCCTGTAGTCCCAGCACTTTGGGAGGCTGAGGTGGGTGTATCACTTGAGGTCAGGAGTTTAAGACCAGCCTGGCCAACATGGCAAAACCCCATCTCTACTAAAAATACAAAAAAGTTAGCCCGACTTGGTGGCGCTGGCCTGTAATCCCAGCTACTCGGGAGGCTGAGGCAGGAGAATCACTTGAACCTGGGAGGTGGAGGTCACAGAGAGCCGAGATTGAGCCACAGCACCCCAGCCTGGGCAACAGAGTGCAACTCTGTCTCAAAAAAAAAAAAGCAAACAAAAAAAAAAACTCCCATGATAAAAGTTTACCTACATAACAAACCTGCAGTTGTACCACTGAACTTAAAATAAAAGTTAAAAAATAATAATAATAATTTTTTTTTGTAGAGATGGGGTGTTGCTATGGTGCCCAGGCTGGTCTCTCAAATTCCTGGGCTCAAGCAATCCTCCGACCTCAGCCTCCAAAAGTGCTGGGATTACAGGCATGAGCTACCTCGTCCAGCCTAGATACATTCTTGAATATGTAACTTTGGGAAGATTTATTAATTGATTAAGGACTAGGAGGTCCAGCTAAAATGCAATTGGATTTATAAGGTACTTAAATCCAGATTTAAGGTATGAAATCAAGAATGGCGAAGAAATCAATGAACTGAGGTCTTAAAGAATCAATTCATTTTATTGACTAGCTGAATACAAGGGATGATTGACACAAGATGAAAATTGAGTGTTAAGAAAGAATAACAATGGGCAAGTATGAATGATTAGGACATAAAAGGGAGCAAAAGAAGAATGTAAGAAAAAATGTAAATAGCATATTTATCAAACCTTTTTATATTGCATTTCTTGACTAACATGATATATTTGTAATTTAGTCATACTTAGTATTTAGGAAGTAAAGTCATCAAATAAAATATGAATGTTTGATTTCTAAGAAGTTTAACTTTTTGTATAAGGAAATGATTATAAGAGAATCTAATATTAAAATAACATTTGGGGGGCTTATATATATAGTCTGACTTTCTGGAATAAATTTTCCAGATTGAAATCTACTTCATACACAGTTTTTAAGCAATCTTTCAGTCATTTTTTCATCAGAAGAAATCAAGGCAGTTTAGAAACAGTAAAACTTTATATTTGCCTAAACTCAACAACTAGGTTTTTTATATTATAAAACAGTCATGTTGGATTAAATCTGATTATTATTTTATTGAATGCGTATTCCTAACACTGAATTTTAAAGCTATCTTCTCTAGTTAATAGAGCCTTTTTGTTTTTAAGTATTTATATTCCAGAAACAAGAATCAAGCAAAAGCACATTTTAATCTTTCCTGTAAATGTTATATATTTGGACACTTTATAAGACTTCATAGTAGGGTAATAAAAAAATTACCATGTTTCGCCAGGCATGGTGGCTCATACCTGTAATCCCAGCACTTTGCGACACCAAGGCGGGAGGATCATTTGAGGCCAGGAGTTTGAGACCAACCTGGCCAACATGATGAAACCACGTCTGTAAAAAAAAAAAAAATACAAACCTTAGCTGGGCGTGGTGGCACAGGCCTGTAGTCCCAGCTACTTGGGAGGCTGAGGTGGAAGGATAGCTTGAGCCTGGGAGAAGGAGGTTGCAGTGAGCTGAGATCACGCTACTGTACTCCAGCCTAGGTGACAAAAGAAGACTCTGTCTTAAAAAAAAAAAAAAAATTACCATGTTTAGTGAAATTGTCATGCATTTATTTTAGACCCCATAACTCAGGCCTTTACGTAAAGGTATTGAAGAATAGCTATTTATAAATTTTCTGTCTGGTATAATACTGACATACTGTGTATTATTCCACTGTCATTGAGCAAGGATAGTCATTCTGTGGCCGAGGCACTGTATATACACAGTTCCTTAGAGCTTCAAGTGCAGAATAGAAGTAAGGCATATTTGGAGGAAGTAATTACCATTACAGATTGTGTTGATGCTGGATTGAAAGTAAAATTAAATGTTCAGAAAACCTAAAGTAACATAGTGCCATACAAGGACATGTCTAAACAACAAACTAGCAAAACCATATTGATGGCATGTATTAGTATCTGAATATCCCTATCATGTGAGTAGAAATAGTCTAAACTTATAGACTCAAGGAAATTTTAAATTTAAAATAGTCCCTTTTTGAAGGCATAGTATAAAACCTACTTTGGCAGCCCCTAAGGCGAAGATAAGTGGAAAGGAAAAATCAAACCATACCACACTGGGAGGAGATTATTATTATCGAACACAAGAAAAGAAAGAGATATATCCTCTCTATGTGCTTGGAATTGTTCCACTGAATCTTTCAATTTGTTAATACATTTAAATCAAGAATTTTCATATTTTTTTCTGGAGAATTATAATAAATATTTTAATAGTTCAAATGTTTCAGGCTTTCAAATATAAATCAGATAGTTAGAAATAAAAGGAAAATAGACAAGGAAAAAGTCTTCCTCCATGGTGGTTTACTAAAACATCAGTGATAAAATTGCAGTGTTATTACAGATAGCAACAGTCTTTAAGAGATAAAATTATGCTGAGATAAATTGTAGCACTTTTGCTGATAAGAATCATGCAACAGAGAGGAAGATTAAAGATGCAGGAGAATATCTAAAGGAATATCCTTAAGTAAGTAAGTGAAGATCAAAGAGAAGGAATTTGTCTTATGAACAGTGAGGGTTCATTGATACTAGAAAGAAGTAAGAGTTGTATGCACACAGATACATGTTAGATTTGGTGGGAACTGAGGAAATTTCTGATAGTTTCTGTTTTCTCAGTGAAAGTAAAAATGAAAGGGAAAGTGTTGGAAGTTTGAAAGAAGAGAGGGGACACAGCTGTCTGATGTGTTTCTAGGAGAATTAGAGAATGAATGGACCGAGATTGCCAGAAAGCCCTTAAACCAATTTTAGTTACAAAAGATAATAGTAAAGAAAAATTATCTCTTCACAGATGACACAATCATGTATCTGGAAAACCCTTAAGATTCCACCAAAAACGGTTAGAACTAATGAATTTAACAAAGTTGTATGATACAAAATCACACAAAAATCAATCGTGTGTCTGTTCACTAACAATGTACAATTCAAAAAGGAAATTAAAACAATTCCATTTATAAAACATCAAAAAGAATAAAATATTTGGGGATAAACGTAACCAAGGAGGTAAAAGACTTATGTACAGCAACTACAAAAAAAAATTGCTGAAAGAAATTAAAGACAATAAATAAATGGAAAGGCATCCCACATTTATGGATTGGAAGACTTAATATTGTTAAAATGACAGTACTACCCAAAATGATCTACAAAGTGAATGCAATTCCTATCAAAATCCTAAATTTTGTTTAACAGAAATGGGAAAAATTTATTCTCACATTCATATGGAATCTCAAAGGACATGAAATAACCAAAACAAATTTTAAAAAGAAAGTCGGAGGTCTCACTACCTGATTTCAAAACCTCCTACAAAGCATAAAGCTAGACATAGAGATTCATGAAAATAGACCCGAGGGCCCACAAATAAACCCTTGCATATATTTTCAAGTGATTTTCACCAAAGGTGCCAAGAAGTACCAAAGATCCTCATTCAGTAAAGAAAGGACTCTTCAACAAACGGTATTGGGAAAATTGGATATCCACACCAGAAAAGAACAAAGTTGGATCCTTACCATACACCATATACAAAAAGTAACTAAAAATTAATTTCTAACTCAAAGACCTAAGCATAAGAGTTAAAAAATACAAAACTCTTAGAAGAAAACAAAGGGCAAAAGCTTCAAGACATTGGATTTGGCAGTGATTTCTCAGATATGACACCAAAAGCACAGACAAAACAAGTAGATCAATTGGACTTCATCAAAATTTAAAACTTCTGGCCAGGCACCGTGGCTCACACCTGTAATCCCAGCACTTTGGGAGGCCGAGGCATGTGAATCACCAAGTTAGGAGTTTGAGACCAGCCTGGCCAACGTGGTGAAACAACACAAAAATTGGCCGGGCATGGTGGCGGGAACCTGTAGTCCCAGCTACTCGGGAGGCTGAGGCAGGAGAATTGCTTGAACCTGGGAGGCGGAGATTGCAGTGAGCCGAGATTGTGCCACTGCACTCCACCCCGGGCAACAGAATGGGACTCCATCTCAAAAAAAAAAAAATTAAACTTCTGTGCATCAAAGGACACTATTACCGTGAAAAGTCAGTCCACAGAATCAGAGAAAATATTTGCAAATCATGTATCTAATAAGAGATTAATATCCAGAATGTATAAACTCAATAAAAAGTAAACAACCCAGTCAAAAAATGGGCAAAGGACTTAAATAGACATTTCTCCAAAGAAGATATACAATTGGCCAGCAAACACAAGATGCTCAACATCACTATTCATTAGGAAAATGGAAGTGAAAACCACAATGAGATACCACTTCATTTTCATTAGAATGGCTATTATCAAAAACAAAAACAGAAAATAACATGTTGGCAACGATGGGAGAAGTTGTAAATTGCTGGTGAGAATGTAAAATGCTGTAGCCACTGTAGAACACAGTATGGCAGTTTCTCAAAAAAATGAAAAATAGAATTACTGTAAGATCCAGCAATTCCACTTGGACATATACCCAAAATAATTGAAAGAAGGATTTCAAAGATATTTGTACACCATGTTCATGGCAGCATTATTCATAATAGTCCAAAGACAGAAACAACCTAAATGCCCATCATCACATGAATGGACAAACAAAATGTATACACACACAATGGAAAACTATTCAACTGTAAAGAGGAAAATTTTGTTGCATGCTACAACATGGATGAATCTTGAAAAAGTTATGCTAAGTGAAGTAAGCCAGACACAAAAGGACAAATACTGTATGATTCCACTTACATGAGATAACTAGAATAGGCAAATTCATAGAGACAGAAAGTAGAATGGTGATTTCCTGAGGCTGAGGGGCAGAGGAGATGGACAGTTAGTGTTTAAGCAGTATCACTTGGGGAAGATGAAAAAGTTCTGGAGATGGAGGGTTGCACAACAGGGCAAACATATTTATACCACAGAAGCATGCACTTAAGACTGGTTAAAATGGTGACTTTTATGTATATTGAACCACAATTTTAAAAATACAATTGACCCTTGAACAATGTGAGGATTAGAGGCGCCAATCCCCATGCAGTTGAAAATCTATGTATAACTTTTGGCTTCCCTAAAACTCAACTACAGATAGCCTACTGTTGACCAGAAGCCTTACCAATAACATAAAGTCAATAACATATTCTGTATGTTATGCATATCATATACCATATTAAAGTAAGCTAAAGAAAATATATTTACTATTGATTAAATGGAAGTGGATCATCATACAGGCCTTCATCTTCACTGTTTTCACATTGAGCAGGCTGAGGAAGAAAAGGGGTTGGTTTTGCTGTCTCTGGAGTGGAAGAGGTGGAGGAGGTGGGAGAGGAGGCAGGAAAGGCCAGGCACAGTTGGTGTAACTTTACAGAAATAATCGTAATTTCTGCCTGACTTTTTTGCTTTTTTTATTTTTCTAAAAAGTGTTTTTATATATTAACAATCGTCTGTCCACCTTTTGCTTTAGTTTCAGTGCCCATATTATAGAAGAGTCCATGTCATAAAAGAAATCAAAAGTAGTCTTGAATAATTGCAACCCTTCTGCCAGACTCTCTAATGTCAGTGCCAGCAGTATATGTCTGGCACTGCTTCTATGTTGTCTTCCTCATCATCTGGCACTAGTGCAGAACCGATCATCTCGATCAAGTTGTCTGTTAATTTCTATGGTGTGGTGTCTGTTAGCTGTTGAATTTCTCAAAGATCCATATCTTGAAACCCTTCGGCCTTCCCCAACCATACCTTTTTTTGTCATAACCACAGTCTCTTTCATGATTTCCTCGATTGTCTCTGTCATAAATCCTGTGAAGTCATACACATCATCTGGACACAGTTTTCTCCAGGAATGTGTTTAAGACTTGATGGCATTCACAGCTTTTTCTGTAACAACAGTGGCATAATCAGTGGTGTAATTCTTCCAGACTTTCATGTTATTCTATCAGGGTTCTCTTCCACAGCGTTGATAGTCATTCCCACAGAGTACAATGTATAATGAGCTGTAAAGGTCCTTATGACCCTAATACAGAGGATGAAATAAAGACATTGTGTGGGGGCACGTAGACCACCTCAGTGCTTTTGGTGTTGAACTTGTGGTTCTGGGTGGCCGGGAGTATTGTCCAATATCAAAAGAACTTTAAAAGGCAGTCCCTTATTGGCAAGGTACTTCCTGACTTTGGGAACAAAGCATTGATGGAACCAATCCAGAAAAAGCATTCTCGTTCATACCTTCTTGTTGTACAACCAAAAGACTGGCTGCTGGTGTTTTTTCCCTTTGAGGCTCAGGGATTAGCAGCTTTATGGCTAAGGGCAGCAAACCGACTGCATTTGCACAGAACAGTAGAGTTTGCCTATCTCTTCCTGCCTTAAATCCTGGTGCTTGCTTTTCTTCCTTACTAATAAATGTCCTTTGTGGCATTTTCTTCCAGAATAGGGCATATTTATCAGCATTAAAAACCCATCCTGGGCTGGGCATGGTGGCTCACACCTGTAATCCCAGCACTTTGGGAGGCCGAGGCAGGCGGATCACGAGGTCAGGAGATTGAGACCATCCTGGCTAACATGGTGAAACCCCGTCTCTACTAAAAATACAAAAAATTCGCCAGGCGTGGTGGCAGGCGCCTGTAGTCTCAGCTTCTCGGGAGGCTAAGACAGGAGAATGGCATGAACCCAGGAGGCGGAGCTTGCAGTGAGCCTAGATGGCACCACTGCACTCCAGCCTGGGCGACAGAGCAAGACTCCATCTCAAAAAAAAAAAAAAAAAAAACCTGTCCTTTCTCCCCAGCGATTTTCTTAATGGTGTCTGGGAACTCATCTGCTGCCTCAAAGCCGCTTCTCCTGTTATCTTGACATTTTTAAAACCAAACGTCTTTCTGAAACTCAAACCATCCTTTGCTGGCACTAAATTCTTCAGCTTAAGATCCTTCACTTTAAGTTGTCTTAAAATGACTTTACTCTTTCTGAAAAGAGACTGTCTATCTGGTATACTACCAACTAGTGTAATAACTGGGACAGTGCCTGGCACATAGTAGATATTCAATAAAATATTTGTTAAATAATTTACAGGCACCTTTTATATTTGAAAAAAATTATGTTTAAGTTTTTATCTGGAAAATGTATGTGATGAGGGGGACCCTGAAGGACAATTCCTTAATATAATTGATAAATACAAATATATGTTATATATTTCTCAAGTGAATGCAAACGGATTTATCTTGGTTACATGTTAAAAATTGTGCAGGTCAGGATGGGCGCAGTGGCTCACCCCTGTAATCTCAGCACTTTGGGAGGCCAAGGCAGGTGGATCACCTGAGGTCAGGAGTTCAAGACCAGCCTGACTAACATGGTGAAACCCTGTCCGTCTCAAAAAATAAAAAAAAAGTGCAGGTCAGGCATGGTGGCTCTTGCCTGTAATTTTAGGACTTTGGGAGGCCAAGGCAGGAGGATTGCTTGAGGCCAGGAGTTCAAGACATCCTAGGCAACATAGCAAGACCTTGTCTCTACAATAAAATAAAAATGTAAAGAGCTGTGCATGGTGGTGTGTGCACTTGTAGTCCCAGCTACTTGGGAGGCTAAGGTGGACTGATCACTTAAGCCCAGGAGGTCAAGGCTGCAGTGAGCTACGATCATGGCACTGTACCCCATCCTGGGCAACAGAGTACCCTGAGATGAGAAGTAAAACAAATCCTGTAGCTCTTGATCTTCCTATTCCCTACCTATTTCCGGTCCATTTACCAGGTAAGGAAGTATACTCCTAAAGTTTCCACTTACTCAGATGTAGAAATGAATTTCTTTTTCTCTAAAAGA
Source organism: Homo sapiens (assembly GCF_000001405.40). Lineage (NCBI taxonomy): Eukaryota > Metazoa > Chordata > Mammalia > Primates > Hominidae > Homo > Homo sapiens. Next base: position 50,050,527 of record NC_000013.11, on the reverse strand, counting down.
TACGGAAACTACTCTCTTAAAAAAAGAAAAAATAAAAATTTAAAAAACGTTGTGCAGAAACTTGAGACAATAAGGAGCAGAGTTATATGTGAAATCCAGGTTGCTTAGATAGGAGATTAGCTACATATATTTTTTATTAATGGGAAAAATACTCAGAAAAATTTCATATGGAATGTGACCCTGTGCTTTGTATAAGTAATTAGATATTAGAATGGAAGAGCAAATTTTAGTGCTTTGGTTGTGTACATCACCTTACTATTCTGTAATAGATGTAACTTTAGCATAGTCATTTTAATGATGAGAACATGGGGCAAAAAAGATTGTCCAGGCTTGAATGGTGGCACCACTAGAGTGGTGGCAATTTTCTGATATCTTTTAGAGAAAAGGAATTTCATTTCTACATCTGAGAAAGTGGAAACTAGGAGTTTCTTCCTTACCTGGTAAATGGGCCAGAAACAGGGAATAGGAAGATTAAGAGCTATGGGATTTGTTTTATTTCTCATCTCAGGGTACCAAATTAACTCATCATCCCAAGGATTCATATTTTAGAATTACTTAAGGATTCATATTTTAGAATTACTGTATCAAATGATATCCAACTCTAAGAGAACTTCTAGTATGAAGATCAATGTTGAAAGTAAAATATTTAGATTATTAATAACAAATTATTTAAGGGAGAATTAGTTTGTTTAGAGCTTTTTTTCTTAACTATATTTGGAATTAAAATGTCTTAATTAGATATTTAATAAAATTAACATTTAGAATTAAAGTATTTTTCTTTAAAAGTATATTTGCATTTTGCTAGCTTAAGTTTATTGAAACTGAGCTCTTGTATGTCATTTCATGTTTTTCCCTTGATGTGAAGTCTTACCTATTTGATGAAGATGTCTTTTGAAAGGTGTACTGCAAGGAACAAAATGTTTGTAAATTCTCCTTTTACCAAGGTAAAGATCAAATTTTATAAATTTACTTGTTTGTTTATACAAGGAAAAATAACTTCATATATTGAATATATTCAAAAGTTTAAGCATTTAGTTGTATTGCCCTGTTAAGTTGGCATAGCAAATAAATGCTTTTCTTTTCCTCATTTTATTCTTTGTGTTTCCTAACCTATAGCACTGTGCTGGGCACAGAATGGACTTCAGTTAAGTTTTTGATGTAGAAATGTTTTATTATTCTACTTAAAATCTCCTTAAAAATAATTATGCATATTACATCAATGTTATAATGTTTAAACATAGATTTTTTTACATGCATTCTTTTTTTCCTGAAAGAAAATATTTTTTATATTCTTTAGGCGCGAATGTGTGTTTAAAAAAAATAAAACCTTGGAGTAAAGTAGCAGCACATAATGGTTTGTGGATTTTGAAAAGGTGCAGGCCATATTGTGCTGCCTCAAAAATACAAGGATCTGATCTTCTGAAGAAAATATATTTCTTTTTATTCATAGCTCTTATGATAGCAATGTCAGCAGTGCCTTAGCAGCACGTAAATATTGGCGTTAAGATTCTAAAATTATCTCCAGTATTAACTGTGCTGCTGAAGTAAGGTTGACCATACTCTACAGTTGTGTTTTAATGTATATTAATGTTACTAATGTGTTTTCAGTTTTATTGATAGTCTTTTCAGTATTATTGATAATCTTGTTATTTTTAGTATGATTCTGTAAAAATGAATTAATACTAATTTTTCAGATGTATCATCTCTTAAAATACTGTAATTGCAATTTAATAATTGTATTGAATGCCATCAAGTTTTTTTAAAAAGCTTATGCAGCATTAGAGGAATTTATTTTAATGCACATTTATATTCAACATAGACATTAATTCAGATTTTTACTTGGGATAAAACAAATTCTAGTTTTCCCTTTGTTTTGAAATTACTTTTAAAATATGTCTTTACAGATAAATATAAAATATATTAAGCATTTTGAACAGAGCTTAGAAGACAATATTTAGTACTGTTTCTGAATATTTCTTTATATCTGAAGGGGAAAAGCCATCAAAATATGTGAATTAAATACCTAAAATTCTGGTTGTCAAAACGTCACACTTAACCATAACTTTAAAGGTAGAAAAACCCTTACAAGTGACCAACCCACTCATTGGATAGCTAAGGAAACACAAAACTCAAATAATTTGCTACACATCACAGATTGGGGTCTTAGTCTTATGTCTTCTAACTTTATAATGGTATACTATTTTTTTCATGTTTTTATTAAAATGTTTTCTTAAATCCTTAGCCAAAGATTTTTGTTTGATAAGTCAAAAATAAGGTCTTGTTTACTTTGTTTACTTTTTTGTATTCAAGATTTAACTCAGAGTAAGACCAAATTATCATTGTAGTTTTATTGATATAAAATGTCAACATAATTTAATTTTTTTTTTTACTTTTTTGTATTTTTAAAATTTTTTATTAAAAATAAAAGTAGACAGCCAGGTGCGGTGGCTCACGCACTTTGGGAAGCCGAGGCAGGCGGATCACCAGGTCAGGAGATCAAGACCATCCTGGCTAACACGGTGAAACCCCATCTCTATTAAAAATACAAAAAAAATAGCCAGGCGTGGTGGCGGGCGCCTGTAGTCCCAGCTACTCGGGAGGCTGAGGCAGGAGAATGGCATGAACCTGGGAGGCGGAGCTTCCAGTGAGCTGAGATCGCACCACTGCACTCCAGCCTGGGTGACAGAGGGAGACTCTGTCTCAACAAAAAAAAAAAAAGAAAAGAAAAGTAGAGCTGGGCACAGTGGCTCAAGCCTGTAATCCCAGCACTTTGGGAGGCCGAGGAGGGTGGATGACGTGAGGTCAGGAGTTCGAGACCAACCTGACCGACATGGTGAAACCCCATCTCTACTAAAAATACAAAAAATTAGCCGGGCGTGGTGGCACATGCCTGTAGTCCCAGCTACTCGGGAGACTAAAGCAGGAGAATTGTTTGAACCGGGGAGGCGGAGGTTGTAATGAGCCCAGATCGCGCCATTGCAATCCAGCCTGGACAACAAGAGTGAAACTCCATCTCAAAAAAATAAATTAAAATGTAAAAATTAAAACTAAATAAATAAATAAAAATAGAGACAGGGTCTCACTATGCTGCCCAGGCTGGTTTCAAACTCCTGGGCTCAAGCAGTCTTGCCTTAGCCTTCCACTGTGCTGGGATTATAGGCATGAGCCACCACCCCTGGCCTAATTTAATTAAAATCTGAACAAAAGGCCGGGCACGGTGGTGGCTTATGCCTGTAATCTCAGGCCAAGGCAGGTGGATCATGTGAGGTCAGGAGTTCGAGACCAGCCTGGGCAATGTGGTGAAACCCTGTCTCTACTAAAAATAAAAAATTAGCCAGGTGTGGTGGCGGGCGTCTGTAATCCCAGCTACTTGGGAGGCTGGGGCAGGAGAATCACTTGAACCCGGGAGAATCACTTGAATTCCAGTCTGGGCAACAGAGCGAGACTCCATCTTAACGGCAACAACAACAAAAATCTGAACAGAAATGCTCTATTTACGTTCTTTTCCTTATCTGTAGTGTTTTAAAGTCATTAAACTTAAAAATGATGTTCAGGAGAAGATGAGTGTATTTGCATAGTCTGTCATAACTCTGGTATTATTTTGTACAAGGAGTGTGTTAGGGTTTTCAGTTGTAACCATGCAGAAAATCTACAAAATAAAAGCAGTTGTTAATTAGTCCTTTACAATCAGAATTGTCTATTTTGGAAATTTATGAAGTACTTCAGATGTAATTTAAGAAATTGTATTTGAGCCAAGCGTGGTGGCTCACACCTGTTATCCCAGCACTTTAGGAGCCTGAGGCAGGTGGATCACAAGGTCAAGAGTTCGAGACCAGCCTGACCAACATGGTGAAACCCCATCTCAACTAAAAATACAAAACTTAGCTGGGCGTGGTGGCGCGCGCCTGTAATCCCAGCTACTCAGGAGGCTGAGTCAGGAGAATTACTTGAATCTAGGAGGTGGAGGTTGCAGTGAGCCGAGATCACGCCACTGCACTCCAGCCTGGAAAGGAGGGGAAAGGGAAAGGAAAGGGGAAAGGGAAAGGGAAAGGGGATTGTATTCGAGGCTGGGCACGGTGGCTCACGCCTGTAATCCCAGCACTTTGGGAGGCCGAGGCGGGTGGATCCTCTGAGGTCAGGAGTTCTAGACCAGCTTGGCGAACATGGCAAAACCCCGTCTCCACTAAAAATGCAAAAATTAGCCAGGCATGGTGGCCGGGGCCTGTAATCCCAGCTACATGGGAGGCTGAGGCAGCAGAATCGCCTTAACCCTGGAGGCAGAGGTTGTAATGAGCCGAGATCATGCCACTGCACTCCAGACTAGGCGACACAGTGAGACTGTCTCAACAACAACAAAAAAGAAATTGTATTCAAAAGCTTAAGGACCTTTTTGTTTAAATTCTAATTTGAAGATCAAATATTATATTAAAGTTCTCATTTTTTATCCAGCAATATTTTGTTCCCAATATACCATACATAGTGGATAGAACTAAATGCCAGCGTTTGCATGGAAACACTGTCTTGGTGCTTTTAAAAATCATTTATCAATCTCTTAACTTGTTTTATTTCCTTTCAACCATTGCATGAAAGACTTCACCAAATATATAATTTTTGATTCCACTAAAAATATTCCAGGACTTAACACAAATGCTTAGAATATTTATTGAATGAATTACAAAGTTTACCCAATACTGTCTAATATTTTTTAGAACAACCCAGGAGTTAGGTGTTTTTTGTTTCTTTTTCTTTGTATTCCTAAATGTATCTGAAGTCAGGTTTTAGAAAATTATATTCAATCTGTCTTCTAAATGACAAGAAAAAATTTGCATTTTACATTTACCAGATGATTCTTTATATCTTTAAGTGCTCTTAAGTGTGATGAAGGATCATTTGCAGCTTTTATAGCTAAATGAAGACTTTTCTTATTTTTAATCCTGACAATGAATTAAAGGAAAATTGAAATATTTGAGAAGTAAGAAAATATAGGAAAAGTGTTGCATTAAAACTTATAGTATGTACATTCCAGTCTCTTCTTAGAGAAGAGGAGGTGGCCTGTCGATATCTAATGAAAAATAACATTTAGGAAACTCTCAACAGTGCTGGATGTTTTATTTGTAGAGTTATAATTTTGAAACACATAAGGAGCCAGCAGTAAAATGAAAGTTTATACCTTTTAGTGTTAATCTTATTTTGGCTTTTTGTTTTGCAAAACAAACTGCACATAGTTATATAGGGGTATATATTAAGTTTTCATTTTTTCTTGTTTGGAAAAAAATACTAATCTTTTTCATTTAGGTTTCTTTTTTAATTGATGCCAAAGAGTTCCAATATTGAACATCTTAAGTCTGTTACTTGGATTACGGATTGAGTTTGGAGCTTACTCAGAGGACTACAGGAGAGTATCCAGGAAGTAGCAAGAAATGTATTTCAGTCATTCTATTTGCATCTTATATTCAAGTACAAATCTCTCAAGATCACACATTAATATGTGATAGTAGATTTGAAAACTTAGCCTAGCTGTAGACTAAATTCCGTATTTAACATTAAAGATTTTCTTCAGTCAGTTATGTATCTTTTTGGTTAATATAGAGTTATAGGTGTTTTTAAGCCACTAAGTGTCATTACTGTTACATGCATCAGTTAGCCCTACTTGGATTAGCAAGATTATGCTTTCATAAACTATTCTTTCTCTAAATTAATATATTTATATATTTAGAAGTTGACATTCTAAATCAAATTGTGTTTTTTTCCTTTTGCAGGTGGATAATTACTGTACCTTCCTCATGGAAAAAGTTTTATTTAAAGTGTTATTTCTCATTGAATACTATCAAAAAGGAAAAAAAAATGACCTAAACTTTTGAGATAGATTTGGCTCTAGTAAGTATTTAGTTATATCACTTGCATATCTGGGAGAAGAAATAAGAGACTATCATCAGTACATTCCCATCTACTAAAAAAATTTATTTTACACATGTCAAGGGATTACTTATAACTTCCATTTTATTACTAATAGCTTGAACCCTTTTAATGAAGACCTAACTCCTCCACCAGAAATTTAAGTTTATGTTCTTACTTTGTTTACTTATAAAATACATCTCAGGTATTTCGGATGTCTTTTTTTTTTCTAAGCCTATATGAAATGAAAAATATATTGGCAAAATAAATGTTTAAACCTTTTACGTTAAAATTACTTTGAAAGATGAAAAGTTAGTGCTGTTTTTGTCTACGTTATACTGAAATTAAATGTTTATAATTTATATTTTGGGTTTATGTATAAATCATGGAATTTATGCAAAAATATGAGTAGTACAGATTCTCCTCTAATTCTGTAGGACTTTGAATAATGTGATATTTTTCTTATAATTGGACCCTTGTGTTTTGAAGAAATGCCAACTGCTTGAAGAATCTCCTTGTTATTTGTATTATTTGCTATAGGGTTAGATGTTGAGAAATTCTGCTGACAAAAAATTTTAAGCCAGTTTTACACTAAATGTTCCTCAGTCTGATTAATTTGTTATTGGATGTATTCTGTATCTTTCTTTTGTAATTTGTAACTTTTATCCACTTAGCACGAATGATTCTATTAAAGAAAATCATTAGGAAGTGGTAGAAACTTTAAATCGCCCCAGAGTTTGCCTGTTTCCATATTTTATTATCTTATAATCTTCGGGAGTGCTTACACTTATGGAGCTAACATTTTCAGAGATACAGCTTCTTATAGTAACACTAAAACTTTCTTCCTCTTTGGACTGAATACCTATAATTATAACTATATGGTAGTTTAAGTTTCCTTGTGATTAGTCAAAAATACCATTTTAGTATGAAGCAATGAAGTCTATTATTTGTTGTCCCATAATTGAGAAAGCTTAAATACACCTTTTATTAAGAGTTTGTAAATTCTAGCTTAGTCTACACAGATTTTTATATCAATTTGTTTATATTTTTATTAATGTCATTTCTGGAAGTGTGAAAATGTTAATGTTCAACAAGCAACATTAAAAATAGATTTGAAACATTTATATATAGAGAGGTACACATTTATTTACTGTTTAGGTACTGAAGATTATCACTTAATAAAAAATATATATCCCAGCCCCCTTGAAGCTTATTAATCTTGGGGGTAGAGGAGTGAGTGATGGAATGAATGGACAAAAAAGCTGGTAGGTACTATATTTGGTATGTCAGAGAGTGACAAGTTCTGTGGAGAAAATAAAGCAGGGAAAGTGAGAATGATGTGATAAAGGTGTTTGTAAGGCAGAAGAGAGATATTTTTAAATAGTATGGTCAGGAACTACCCTACAGAGAGGACATTTGAACAAAGACCTAGAAACAATAAGGGAGCAAACCATGTAGGTACCTGGGAGAAGACCCTTCTGAGCAGATGAAATAGCAAATACAAAGACCCTGAGGCTGAAGCATTTTTTGTGTGTACATGGAACAGCAAAGAGGCACATGTAGCTGTGATCAAATATAAACAGGAAGAATAGTAGCTTATAGGATCAGAGAGTTGATAGGGGCCATATCTTGTAGCTGTTTAAGCTACAAGATATCTGAGCTACAGATTCAGTTTTTCATACTTTGTTTTGAGTGAGTGTCGCTCTGTTGCCCGTGCTAGAGTGCAATGGCATGATTCTCGGCTCACTGCAACCTCCGCCTCCTGGGTCCAAGCAATTCTCCTGCTTCACCCTCCCGAGTAGCTGGGATTGCAGGCACCCACCACCATGTCCAGCTAATTTTTTTGTATTTTTAGTAGAGATGGGGTTTCGCCATATTGGCCAGGCTGGTCTCTAGAACTCCTGACCTCGTGATTCGCCCACCTCGGCCTCCCAAAGTGCTGGAATTACATGTGTGAGCCACCAAGCCCGGCCCAGTTTTTCATACTTCTTTAAGATAGTTTTGACAGGTATATGTGCCTTAGCCTATTTGATGTCGGCAGATAGGACAGAATATTTTTATGAATCTGATTTGAGATTAGACCCCCCATCAGACCAACTTAGAATACAAACAGTGTTTAAGTGGGGGGTTAATAGGTATTGTGTGATGATCAGGACTTTGCAAATTTTGCATTGATGGCTTTGAAAGTGTTTTCTGCGTGATCAATTTAGGTGGATCCAAAACTAATGACTCCAAGAAACACTGAATTTGCTCATGTTTGTCATATACCCAAATGAACCACAGTGTTTTTGATTACTTCATCCTTGAAATTTCTACTATAATTAAGTACTTCGTTGTTTTTCACTTATTTCTATTTAGCAGCATTTTAACTAGTTCTTTGCCTCTAGCTGTTTTTGTTGTTGTTTTTGAGAGTCTCACTCGGTTGCTCAAACTGGAGTGCAGTGGTACCATCTCAGCTCACCGCAACCTCTGCCTCCCGGGTTCAAGCGATTCTCCTGCCTCAGTCTCCTGCATAGCTGGGATTACAGGCATCTGCCACCACACCCAGCTAATTTTTGTATTTTTAGTAGAGACGGTGTTTCACTGTGTTAGCCAGGCTGATCTCAAACTCCTGACCTCGTGATCCACCCACCTCGGCTCCCAAACTGCTGGGATTACAGGCGTGAGCCACCGTGCCCGGGTCACCTCTAGCTGTTTTAAACTAACAATTTCATCTTCTATATAGTATACACTACTTTTTTAATCTTCCTAACTTTTTTTTTCCTATAGTATACAATTTAAATTTCTTTCTTTGATGTCTTGTGGTCTTGTCCCAACATTTTCTATGTTGTTTAATTTTTCTTCAAATGAACTAGTCCTAATCCATTTTTCTTTCTCTTTGCCTTTATTTATGCCATTTCATCACTCCAGTTCTCCCCCAACTAATGCCTGTACATTTTTTTTAGTAAGGCAGAATTTCTCATGTGCACTGTTTCTTGACCTTAACAGTCTAATATTAACCATCCTTCCAATGGAATGAACATATGATACCTGTAGCTCATAACCTTTTTCTCTACTTTCGCACACCTGAGGTATATAACGTTTCTATCATTGTTTCTCATTTATTCATATAGGTTAACCTTTTAAATGTATTAGCAATATGAAAAAAAAGTTAAATTTAAGAAACTTCAAAACAGTAGCCTAAACATCAGGTCCCAAGGTTCAGATATTAATTTTATGCTGACAAGTTATATAGTTGACTTTTTAAATTCTTCAAATAGTTATGTATGAACCAGTTACAATATATCCTTAAGATTTATAAACATTAAAAGAATAATTATCTCAGTTTTCCAATATTGTAAAAGCAATTAACAGATACACTTTTTAAAGAAGTAATCCATATGTTTGTTATGGTATTGTTTATAAAGCATTCAATAATAAAAGGCTGATGAAATAACATGTTCAGTAGGATACTGTGCAGCTACTTAAAATAGCAAGTGAATATTTAATGAGCTAAAAAGCTGTTCATTATTGAATAAGTAAAAGATTATCAAATAGTTGAATAGATTCACCAGAATAATTCATATGCTAAACTGTTTTACTGGTTTACTCTGGGTGAGAGATAAATCTTATAGGGGTGGGAGGAATCTTCTTGATTATAAATAAGCATGTATGATTTCTGTGATGGGCAAACTTTGTTTTTTGAAAAGGAGAGAGAGAAATCCTTGAAAAATAAAAGTGATTATTTGAAGCAACCTTACATCCATATAATGATTTACTTTTGGAAACCTATAAAAGGGAATCCTACTGTGTTGAGGAACTTTAGACATGATAATGAATTAACTGTCATGGAAGAAAAATTTCAAAATCAGATAAGTTTAAAATCAGCTTCAGAGGAACAGCGTGCTTTAAGTTCTCAAAGTAATATTGAAAAGGAATTCAAGAATTACTTCTTGAGTTCGTGGTTGAGAGATTTCACTGTCATTTCCCCACTCTTCAAGCCCCCCCAGACCTCAAAAAAAGGTAAGTGTAAGAAAAGGGATATTTAAATCTCTTTTAATTTGAAACTATATTAGTAAACAAACTAAAGAAATACAAATCTGGTTTATTTTATAGTGATAAAGATTTGATAATGCAATGAAACTTCCATATACAAAAATTAAGCATTTTTCTGTTAAGTTTAATTTTTCGTAGCATAAAAGTACTATATAGACATAGAAACCTCAGGAAGAGCAAAAAAAAATTATTTAAAAATCATTTTTATCATCCAAAAGCAGTTGTTATTAGCCTTATATATACACCCTTCTAGTTGCATATTTGGATTAGTGAATTTATTTCTCAATCCAATTCGTTACTGTGCCAGGGACTAGAAAGATTATATTTCCTCTAGAGAAGAGGTTTAGTGCTATGCTTCTGGCTCAGAAATATTTTCTTTAGATTTGAGTTTTATCTAAAAATTACCACTAACTTTATATCTATTCCATAGTATTGTAATGTAAAAATGCCTAGGATTAGAATTTTTCCTCAAGATTGAGGATACAGGAAGATGCATCTTGTTTACTCTGGATTCCTCCTCTACCATATCCGCATGTCATCCCCAAGGATACCTTTTCATAGTGAAAACAATTTGAGGCAAGGGAGGTCATGAAGTATTCTGAGCAGGAGAGTAAGAAAAATAACTTCTGAAATACGTGTACTGGTCAGAATTTGCTTAAAGAGAGAAATCTGGCCGTGGTGGCTCACACCTGTAATCCCAGCACTTTGGGAGGCTGAGGCTGGCGAATCACCAGAGTTCAAGAGTTCAAGACCAGCCTGGGCAACATGGCGAGACCCCATCTCTACTAAAAATACAAAAATTAGCCGTGCATGGTGGTGCACGCCTGTAGTCCCTGCTACGTGGTGGGGGGCTGAGGCAGGAGAATTGCTTGAACCTGGGAGGTGGAGGTTGCAGTGGGCTAAGATGGCACCACTGCACTCCAGCCTGGGTGAGAGAGCAAGACCCTGCCTCAGAAAAAAAAAAAAAAAAAATCTAAGACCTGTATATCAAATTTTGAGTTTGTTTCTTCTTTTGTACCTCAATAGTTACATTTATCAAAAAGCTGAGCTGTTGTAAAATTGTGGAATTCACATTGGATATTCAAAAACATTTCTTACTATTAATGACAACCAATAGTTATGGATATTTCATTTTAAACATGGTTATAAAATGTAAACATGACACTAATAAGCTCAATAAATGTTTGGCCTGTCTAGTATAATAAATATGTTTTTGTCAGAATTTGACCCATTTATGATGTAAGCAAAAATGATATGTCTTAATCCATTTGTCTCACACACTAATTTTATAATTTAAAAGAGCAATAGTAGTTTCATTCAGAAAGACAGGTTTAAGGCCAGGTGCAGTGGCTCACACCCATAATCCCAGCATTTTGGATCACCTGAGGTCAGGAGTTCAAGACCAGCCTGGCCAAGGTGGTGAAACCCCGTCTCTACTAAAAATACAAACGTGGCAGGCGCGTGTAATCCCATCTACTTGGGAGGCTGAGACAGGAGAATCGCTTGAACCCGGGGGGCGGAGGTTGCAGTGAATCGAGATCCCACCACTGCACTCCAGCCTGCGCGACAGAGTGAGACTCCGTTTCAAAAAAAAAAAAAAAAAAAAAAAAAGTTTAGAACCAGAGAAACAGCTGGGCTAACAGAATAAACTATATTATTTTGGAAGTCTAAAAGTCTGGCTATTTTGGAAGAAGGATGTTTGCTGCCAAAACAGGCCTATGGTTCAGATTTGAAGTCAAACCCTCTGTTATGACCACTTTTGTCAGCATTTTAATGGGTGCTGGGCAAAAGCGAAACTCCGTCTCAAAATAAAATGACTCAAAGCCTCAGGTCCATAGTAGTTAAGCTGTTGTGCCATTTTTGAATTAATGATTTTTAGATGTGTTTAGATAACCTCCAAAACCGGAGGAATTTGGAGCTTTTTGTTTGTTTGTTTGTTTCGGTTTTGGGTTTTGTTTTGGTTTTTTGTTTTGTTTTGTGACAGGGTCTTGCTGTATTGGGAGTGCAGTGGCACAATCATGGCTCACTACAGCCTCGATCTCCTGGGCTCAAGTGATTTTCCCCACCCAGCCTCCTGAGTAGTTGGGACTACAGGCATGCACCACCCACACCCGGCTAATTTTTAGAATTTTTTGTTAGTGATATGGTCTCACTTTGTCGCCCAGGCATGTCTGCTTCTGGGTTCAAGCAGTCCTCCCGCCTCAGTCTCCCAAGGTGCTGAGATTACGGCATGAGGCACCATGCCTGGCCTGAATTTGGAGCTTTAAGAATGGGTAACTTGTTCTTTCTAGAAAGTTCTACATAGGTATAACTTCAGGAAGAAATTGTAATGCTTTTAAAATACTCCCTATATTCTATTCATTAAGAAACCAAATCCCTTTGATGTTTCTTTATTTTCAATGATACCAGATGGTCTTGGTGTCTGTATACTCAAGTTGGAGAATTTAATTAAGAGTTTATAGGTAAGGGTTCAGCAAATTTCAAAGCTAGCATGCAAATTATTTATTTTGGCTAAACTGTTATTTGCTGATAAACATTTGTTCCCCCAGACCATTGTTAATTGGCAGTCTTGGTATGTAGCTCATATCAGGCCACATGTAGAGTATGTAGATGAATGTGAACCAACTAGAGTGAACTCAGAGAATGGAAACCATATGAGGTGTTTGAATGTCATGAGGAGTGGCTAGAGGTACTGAGAAGCCTGCTTGAAAAAGAAAAAAAATAATAATCTTGAGACTTGTTTATTCTTTATTGCACAAGAGGACAAAACTGGGCAAATCAAGTTTCAGGGAGGCAAATATAAACTCCAAAGCAAGGGTTTTCTACTAGTAGTGGATGTGTACATTATAGAAATGACTGCCTTACAGGACCTTAAAATGGGTAAAATGGGAAAAACACTCTTAATCAAGATAATAAGGCATTTTTTGAAGTGAAGCAAATCACCATATCAGCTTGAACAAATCCTAGCTTTAAAAATGTAAGGCAGAGCCACGCACGGTGGCTCAAACGCCTGTAATATCAGCATTTTGGGAGGCCGAGGGGCGGATCAGGAGGTCAGGAGTTTGAGACCAGCCTGACCAACATAGTGAAACTCAGTCTCTACTAAAAATACAAAAAATTAGCCGGGTGTGGTGGCTCACGCCTATAATCCCAGGTAATCAGGAGGCTGAGACAGGAGAATAGCTTGAACCCAGGAGGCGGAGGTTGCAGTGAGCAGAGATCGCGCCACTGCACTCCAGCCTGGGTGACAGAGCGAGACTGTCTCAAATATATATATGCAATGAAAATACTAGGAGTAGAGACATAATTTTTAAATATCTTTAGAGATATTTAAAGCTTTTGTAAGTTAGCGCTTGTCTTAAGAAGATTTCTTGGAGGCAGTAGGAAACCCAGTGTAGAACTGGATTATTAAGTAGTCATTTCCCTTTTAAGACCATAAAAGCAAATAAAGGTGAAGAATCTGGATAAACAGGAAGGAATCAATTCCACAAGGATATATAACCATATACTTTTGGGGAGAATTGAGTTAGTAGTATCAAAGGAGGATTTTTTGATGTTTATATTCTAGGACGCTTAGACATTAATGAGACTACGGAGCCATAGCTTAGGTTTAGAAATACTACCCTTGGAATTCTTGTTCTGTAGTAAATAGGAATTTAGCTTCAATTAGAGGTGTGTGTGTGTGTGTGTGTTTCCCACTACCAGGCACATAATAGGTGTTCAGTTATTGATTAAAAGAAATGTCTTTAATTTCTTCAGTCTTCTCTGAAATTGGCAGTGGGTCAGTTGATTCTGGCATCATATATGCAGAAAATACTCATTCTGTACTGTCTTTGCCAGTCTTTTGAACCTAAATTATTGTTGAGAGTTGATTAAACAATATCACTTGGTTGAAAAGATTGTTTTTAATTCATCCTTTAATGCAGGCTCTTCAGTTTTCAAGTACTTTTTAGACTACCCTGGTTCTCTTCCAAATTATAAGATTATTGATATGAGAAAGAATTGTAAATGAACATCAGCCCTGACACATTTGTTAATATTTATTTGCCCCTCTGGAACATAGGCCAGTAAATTTTTATTATTTTATGTGATTATTATAGTGAAAAGGACCCAAACCATCAAATAAAAACATTTTAATAGTTACCTGAAAGGGTTGTTGATTTTTCTAAAGTGTATATGGAAAACTCAAGGTTTACATGCTATTATTAGCGGTAGAAATAGTAACTGCTAACACATTTAGTGTTTATCCTTTGCCAGCAACTTTCACATTTATAAACTCATTTAGTCCTCACAGCCACCCTCAGAGAGGTCCGTTGTTATCCATATGGGTAAGGAAACCAAGTCACAGAGAAATAGCATGCCTCATGTCACGTAACCAGCAGGCCAGCGAGTCCAGATTCAAGCTCAGATGGTTTGACTTTGAAGTTTACGCTTTTAGGAATTATATCTACAGCTTCTATCCTATAGCCAACAAGAGGCAGAGGAGACAAAACTACATAAATAAATGCTCAAAATGATAGTGATACCTTCCTTTTAGGTAGTACTTTTAGTTTCCAAAGTACTTTTAGTCTTACTTTATTGTCTCGTTTAATGCTGGTGTCTTGTTTAATACTAGTTTAATGCTGCTTTTATGCCCAGGTCTTCACACATTGTACTGACTGCTTCCATTGAAATAGAAATCAGAGATAGTATGATAGGCTTTTGAGAACTTGTTTTAGAAGGGAAAAAAAATTAGAGACTAATAACACACTGACATTTTTACAACTTATTTTTTGTAATGTCTTAAAGATAGGTTTGTATGTGAAAATACTAAGTACAAGTTATCTTCTCATTCTCCACTGGTCCCACCGCCAGGGAGTCATGCAATGAGAAATATATTTGAGTAACATTGGAGATGAGGTGTATATGTGTTCATGTCATGTGTGTATTTGTGGTACATGGATATACATACAGACAAATGAATTTAATTAGAGTCCTTAATGTAATGGCATAGTTCCCTGAGAAAACTACCTTCACCCTACTGTCCAGAGTAAGTCTACACAATGTACAGGTCATACTTGGTCGTTTTTAAAGCATTAAAGCACCAGGCCAGACACCGTGGCTCACACCTGTAATCCCAGCACTTTGGGAGTCTGAGGTGGGTGGATCATCTGAGGTTGGGAGTTCGAGACTAGCCTGACCAACATGGTGAAACCCTGTCTCCACTAAAAATAAAAAAATTAGCCGGTTATGGTGGTGCATGCCTGTAATCCCAGCTACTCAGGAGGCTGAGGCCAGAGAATCGCTTGAACTGGGGAGGTAGAGGTTGCAGTGAGCCAAGATCATGCCACCGCACTCCAGCCTTGGCAACAGAGTGGGAATCTGTCTCAAAAAAAAAATATATATATATATACGTGTATATATACACGTATATATATGTATATATATACGTGTATATATACACGTATATATATACACGTATATATACGTGTATATATACACGTATATATATACACATATATATACGTGTATATATATATATGCGCACACCAAATGTCACTTAAGGACACTGTCCCTCTGGATGTTTACCAAAATCTAGAAGAGAAAATACACCTTTTGCAACTAAAAGGCTGCAAACTAAATAATCCAAATTCTAGACATAGAATTTTCTTAATATTTCATGTCAATTTAAAGATCTGGACTTATGACAAGGCTTAATAACAATCACTAATTTCATTCTATCTCTTCTAGAGCAATAATGGTAGTGTAGCAAATTCCTATTCATCCTTCAGTTTTTTAGGTATTACCTCAAAAGGGCAACCCCATCTCCCACATATATACACTTGTGTTAAAAATTAATAACTGCTGGCTGGGCACAGTGGCTCACGCCTGTAATCGCAGCCCTTTGGGAGGCCAAGGCAGGAGGATCACCTGAGGTCTGGAGTTCGAGACCAGCCTGGCCAACATGGTGAAACCCCATCTCTACTAAAAATACAAAAATTAGCCAGGCATGGTGGTGCATGCCTGTAATCCCAGCTACTTGGGAGGCTGAGGCATGAGAATCACTTGAACCCAGGAGGCGGAGGTTGCAGTGAGCTGAAACCATGCCATTGCACTTCACCTGGGCAACAAGAGCGGAAGTCCATCTCAAAAAAAATAAATAAATAACTGCCTTTTCTGTACTATCACCCTTAAAACAGTCTCATTATTGCTTATGTTAAATCATCACATGATTTACATGCTTCTATATTTCCCTGCTATTAGCCTGTAAGGCTAATAAGCTTGAGCCCAGAGGCTGTCTTATTGAACTCAGGTCATTTGGTGACTAGTAAATAGGCTGGTAACCTCATATACATTCAGTAATATGTTAATTCTCTGATTAAAAAATACATTGATATCAGTATTGGTATGGCTACTCAGAAATTATCTTTTCAGTAGAATTCTAGCCTCAATTAGATCAAATTTATAGATCATCAACATCACAGTTTCATTAAAGGATCAGAGGAAAAAAATGAGAAGCATGAAATGGTACTTGCCAAGTACAATAATGTAGTTTTGTGTCTAAGATAAGTCTTTGTAAGGGCTCTATTTCTCACTGAGATAATGTGCCAGCTGAGGAATAAATTTTACAACACTTCTTTTACCTCCTTGGTAACAAGGACAAGAGAAACCTTGACAATATATCTGATGTAAATCTTAAGTCTCTTAGCAGACTAAAATGGATTCCCAGATGTTTTTTCTGAGATGTTGCAAGAAGGCACTGCAGAGGTCAGGAATTCCAGTTAGTTTTGCTACTAGCTCAAGATACAGGGTTTTTAAGGTATTAATTTGTAATACTTTCTAAAAGTATTTAATTGCTGTTTTTTCCATTTCATCATCCATCTGGTTGGCCCTATGGTTTCTCTACAGTTTATTCCTTAAGAAAACTTCAAAATCCAAGGCAACCTTGCTTAGGCTGATGAATTCAAATTAGCTTGTATGTTAGAATCCAACAAGAACAGGAATTAATAACTTCCTCTTTCTACCTCATTAAGAAACTATTTCATTTGTATCTGTCCCACCTGAATTGTAAGGCATGACCCTTTTTCCTAGCATTGCGTTTGTGTTTTTCCCAGCATCTGAATTCTACCTGCCCACCCAGACCCACAGTACTCTGCTTCTGGATCTTGCCTACCTAAATCCATAGCATTCAAATGCTTTGCCCTGAAATCATCTGGCTTTTGGACTACACTGGGAAATCATCTGGCTTCTGGACGACTTTGTATAGGGACCCAAGTACATTTCCAAATTAGGCCTTCCATAGAGAGAACTCCTTTTTAAAAAAGTAGTTGAGAATTCCCTTTTTTTTTTTTTTTTTTTTTTTTAGACAGTCTTGCTCTGTCACTCAGGCTAGAGTGCAGTGGCCTGATCTTGGCTCGCTGCAATCTCTGCCTCCCGGGTTCAAACAATTCTCCTGCGTCAGCCTCCCAAGTAGCTGGGATTACAGACACACACCACCGCGCCCAGCTAATTTTTGTACATTTAGTAGAGACGGGTTTCGCCATGTTGGCCAGGCTGGCCTCGAACTCCTGACCTTGTGATCCACCTGCCTCGGCCTCCCAAAGTGCTGGGATTACAGGCATGAGCCACTGTGCCCAGCCTAGTATTATAATCTTTTATATAAAATTGTGCTGCTTATTTTTCATTTTAATGTATTCATTTAGAATGTATAATTTTACAATTTGTGGTATCTACTATATTTTAGCTAAACAGTTTTCTTCCATATATAAAGAAAACAAAATGAAAACATCTGACACAGTAGATGATATCTATTTGAATTAATAATGATTCAATCTGACTTATTTAGCATGGCAGTTTTAAAAGATAAATCTTAAGAATCCTATTTCCAATAAACAATCTTAATCTTAGGGCCTTCTCTGTTTTTCAAAGTATTTACTTTTCATATTCAGTATTTTTGTATTTAGCTTCTCTCAGTTGAAAAGATAAAAGTTCTCATAGAAATAGTAAAGTGAATTTTTTAGATTAAATAATCCTTTTTCTAATCTTTCAATTATCTTACTTGCTGTTATGGGGGAAAATGCTTTAACCATAGGAATGTCTAAAGAAATAACTTAGAATTCATTGAAGAATTCATACAAGAATTAAGAATAATATGCAAAAAGTAAAAATATAAATTAGAAGTGAAAATGTTCATTAGATTAATTTGATGATTCTTATGTTGAGAATCTATAAGTTATTTTCTGCATTGCCCTCATTTTTAAAGTCTCAAACTGGTCAATTATGTGTGTATAGCTATTCATTCATCCAACATGTCTCTTTGTTCAGAGGCACTTGCCTCTGTTGCTAGTCTCTTCAGTTTCATCAGGATGCATTTTATTAAGATAACAGTTGAGCATGTACAAGAAGCTAAAGCTTACCCACACGTTTAGAAGGCCATGAAATGAAACAGAATAAAAGATTATAATGTGTTATAATAAAATTCATATTTGTGATTATGCTAAAGAAGTATTTAGGTAGCTTGGTAACTTTGCCCGAGAAATGACAGTGTAAACAGAAGCTTAAACTGTTCCTGTCCCAGAGAAGTTAATTGTGGTCATATTCAAATACTTGAGAATTGGCTCTGTCATTGCTTAGTTGAAAGACCTTAAGTTACTGTCTTTCTCTAAGCCTTTAAATTTTAAATAAGATATTGAACTTGGCTCTGTCTTGTCCCAAATTTTTATAATCCTAGAAGAGAGTCAGCCTTCAATATATTCATTTTAGAGATATTTAGTATACTGACATATTACTTAAAATAGCAGATGGGAAAAATTAAATATAATCTCATAGATTTATGTGGAAAATTCAACATCATCTTAGAGTTCTGGAAATTGTGTTTAACTTTACCATTTATAGAAACTATGTTAGATTTCATTTCTCTTACTCTTTGTCAGATCGACACCTTGACTGTGTGAGACGTGATTAACAAAAAGGAAAACTACCCCCACTGGAAGTTGTTAAAGGAAAGGCAATGCAAATGAAAAAAAAGAAAAAGAATTTCTAAAAGTTTTATCAGACAAAAATTTAATTGAATCAATGGGGCAATCTGGAGTTCTGGATGATTCTGTTAATTGAAGTTTACAATCACTTTTATTTTATTTTTATTTATTTACTTATTTTGAGACAGAGTCTCACTCTGTTACCAGGCTGGAATGCAGTGGCGCGATCTCAGCTTACTGCAACCTCCGCCTCCCTGGACCAAGCGATTCTCATGTCTCAGCTTCCTGAGTAGCTGGGATTACATGCGTGCACCACCACACCCAGCTGATTTTTTTTTTTTTTTTCTTTTTGAGACAGAGTCTTGCTCTGTCGCCCAGGCTGGAGTGCAGTGGCGTGATCTTGGCTCACTGCAAGCTCCGTCTCCTGGGTTCACGCCATTCTCCTGCTTCAGCCTCCCGAGTACCTGGAACTACAGGCACCCATTACCACACCTGGCTAATTTTTTGTATTTTTAGTAGAGACGGGGTTTCACCGTGTTAGCCAAGATGGTCTCAATCTCCTGACCTTGAGACCATCCTGACCTTGTGATCTGCCCGTCTCAACCTCCCAAAGTGCTGGGATTACAGGCATGAACCACCGCGCCCGGCCGTTTTTTTGTTATTTTTATAGAGACGGGGTTTCACCATGTTGGCCAGGCTGGTCTCGAACTCCTGACCTCAGGTGACCCGCCCGCCTCGGCCCTCCAAAGTGCTGGGATTACAGGCATCAGCCACTGCACCTGGCCTAGTTTTTAAAAAAATTTTATTTAACACCTGTAAAGCTTCTGGAGTATAATCATTTTAAACCTTGTTTGAATATTTTCTAAAACATTAATAAAAATGGTAATATTTCAATATATTTTCTTGCCTTAATAAAGTATATGCTGAATATCATTACATTTTATAAATAAAGACATACCTTATTATCAAGTCTTATGTAATACAGTAGTGTCTCCCATTTTCCATGTAGTTACACACAGTCAACTGAAGTCTGGAAATATTAAATGGAAAACTCCAGAAATAAACAACGTTTAAGTTTCAAATTGTGTGTCATTCTGAGTAGCATGATGAAATCTTGCACCATCTTGCCTAGGATCGCAGTCATCCCTTTGTCCATTGTTTCTATGCCGTAGATACTATCTGCCTGTTAGTTACTTAGTAGCCATCATGGTTATCAGACCCACTGCCCCAGGATTACAGTGCTTGTGTTCATATAATCCTTATTTAATTCATAATCCTTATTTAATTCATAATGGCCCCAAACCACAAGAGTAGTGATGCTTGCATTTTGTTAAATTGTTTTATTTTACTATTATTCTTGTTAATCTTACTGTACCTAATTTACAAATAAAACTTTATCATATATATTTTTAGGAAAGCACATAGTATATATATATAAAGTTACATACTATCCACAGTTTCAGGCATTTACTAGGGGTCTTGGAAGGTATCTCCTGTGAATAAGGGTGAACTACTATATTCTGTAATGTAGGTATAGAGGTTTTAAAAATTGTGCTGAATGTGTTTTAAGCCAAGGATGTTTGATGTTTGATTGCAATTTTTCCTAAGATTGACTTTTTTTTTTTTTTTTGGAAGTAGAATGCTAGTGACTAATGCAGGTTAACTAAAGCTTCAACTTGAATAATCTTCATTTCCTTTAAGCAAAATTTCACTTCATTCCAAACTGAACAAAATTACATTGTATTTATGATTTCACTACACATTTGAAAGATGCACACTCTAAAGGATTCAAATTACAAACCTTTTCCGTTATAACCTAGTGGTTGTTAGCAAGGCTATGTATTTGTAAATGTCTCCTACTGCCAGAAATTGTTTGTTTCAGAGGGGATTGGATTATCAAGAATGGCTGCTGCTTTTGTTCATGGCTGTGTTGTGTATAAGTGATAGAGTTGGACAGTTTTATTCATATGCACATCTACTTTTTAATAGCATGATGATCTGAGGTGATAATTTGAGGCTTCAAGTTCTGAAAAGAAGAATGAATATAGTTTTATTTAATCAAAAATAGTTATTGTTAAAATACTACTTTTAAATGCCTGAAGCGTTTCCTGCTTGCATTTTTAAAGTGACATTATCTTTATTATTAAGGGCCTACTCTAGGTGCGGTACTTCACTATAGTTTATAAAAGATGGTCCCTGTCAGCAAAGAACTGTAACCTGTATGAGAATATTATACTAACATACAAGAAACAAGTAGAGAATAATGGAATGTAAACTCTGGCTTGCTAACTTAAGTGTGGTAGAAGCTTGAAGGAAATGTGGACTTAAACTTATCAGAGAAGACTTATAAGAGGATATGAAAGGTGAGCTGGGCTGAAAAAGTGGTTAAGATTGATTATGTGAAATGAAGGAATGATAACTTGCGAGTGCAGAAAACAACATGAACCAAGACATGATGAAGTAGCAAGGAGTAAAGTAGATACAGTATAATGAAGGCAAAGAGTAGATACTAGGGAATTGGTAGGGAAATGAGTATAATCATGTTTGAGATTGTTTTCCTTCCTTTGCATAATTTACCCTCATTTCTAATCAAAGAAAACAAGGGTATTCAGATTGCCTGCAGCCCTTCAAGAGCCATGGTGTGTTGCTTTGAAGAAAAAAAAACAAAAAACTTGTAAGAAATACTGGAAGGAAACCTAGGCATAAATAAGTTTACCCTAAATAATTGGGAGTCTGTGGCTTTTAACTCAGCAAATCAGGTGAGAAATCTTGAGAGGAAAGAGTTGCCTAGGCAAAATGCTATATCTAGGATATTTTTTGCCTTAAGTAAGATTGACTTTACCACTATGGGAGTAATTGTCAATGAATACCATAATAACTGTTGTTAAGCCAAAGAGAAATAATACTTTTTCAAACCTCACTCAGATTTTCATCCAAGCCTTAACTCAAGTTATTTACTCCTAGAATGTCCTTTCCTTCATCTTCAATTGTCTAAAACTTAAGCTATTTACCCCCTACATGAAATTTTTCCAGTTCACTTTTCCTCCTCAGCCAAAAATACCATTTCTCTCATTTAAGCTTCCATACCTGACTTAGAACAAATGCATGCTGTCTTATGGGAAGGGGCCATCTTATTCTTTATCGTATATTCTGCAAGCCTAGTCTAGTGTCTTAAACATAGTAGGTGTAAAATAAGTGACCATTGATTGCTGAAAATCAGGAGTAATACCTTTATGGTAAAGTGGTAGAAAGGCTGCATACCTGCTAGATAAATACAGAAATATGCAGGTTATTTTCTGATAATTTAGGAGTGCCCTCTACCTTTTACTACTTCACTGATCAGAGCTCTTCTCATTCTGTGTGAGCTATTAACATTCATTCCTCAGGTCTCAGGTACCTTAAAATGTCATTTTTTTTTTTTTTTCAGCAAAACCAGCAAAGTGTGGGTAGGGGTATGAATAATCAGGCCTGTGAAATTTTGTTATCTTTTGGGGGGTCATTAGTGATCTAAATGATCATTTCTAACCTTTCCAATGAAGTGTGAAATTCTATAAAGTTTAACTGTTATTTTTGGGCCTTTATTTGTGTATCTCTGAGGAGATAGGAGGTGGTAGTAGAATAAAGAATCCTTACATTTAAAAATACTTTTCAAGAAATGCCATTACCGTAATCACAGAAACAAAAGCATTGAGGATCTGCTGTAATTCTTTAAGGTAACTCTAAAATTAATGGAATGTTTTTGAATGCCTAAACTTACTGGAGCCACCTTATTGAGTGATATAGGCTTTCTCATAAACTTTCTTGGACAATTTTATAGGAGACCAAATGCCTTTCCTCCTTCTCCCAGCTCGGCCCTTCAAAAAGAAACCAAGCCACACCAAAACTTTCAAAAAAATCTAAGAAGGCAAAGAAATTTGTGGATCAAATAAGTACCATTTGTTTACTGCTATGACATTTAAGTCATATTTATAATAAGGATTCATTTTTATGTACCCTTATATAGCATTTATATAAAATTTATAGGACATTTCTGTTTTCCAGAACCCAATGTATAAATTACATTGATTGAAAAGCCTGTTGCTGTTGGTTTTGGTTTGGCTTTGAGGGTGGTTTACATATTTGTTATATCTACCTTTTAACCAAAAGTCAAGAATTCAACCAGCAATTAAATAATAATTCCTGTGGTAAAGCACTTTCCCTTCTATATTGATTTTCTTTATGACCTGTTTTCCAGGTGTAAATTTTGATACCACCATTGCCGCCTTCCCCTCAAAAAAGGTGAGAACTGACTAAACTACTGGTACTTAGACCATGTGGAGAAGGAACTGAAAATGGAAACAGAAACACGTCTGTACAGAGCAGAGTGTCAGATAATAGCTCATTTTAGTAGAGGGCAATAAATGCCACATGAGATGATCACCTCAGCAGAAAACTGTAAGTAACTGGGGACTTACAGGAGAATTGAACAGTTGTTTCTGCTGACTCAGTAAAAAGTCTTCATTTTATAATTTGTGGCCTGCATGCTTGTAAATTAAAATGCATTGAGTTGTCAAGTAATGGACTTGTCTGGTTTGTAGGTAGGAATTTAAGCCAAAATTGAATGCAACATTCCCCCAGAAGTAACCTGGGATCTGTGCCATAAAACCTAAGGCAAAGGTTACATGAATTTGTATTACTAGGTTAGAACTAGGCTATTGAGCCTTTGCCTAGAAAACCAATTAGAGGATTTTGGTCTTGATATAGCAGGGAATAGGGAGGCATTATAGCCTATTGATTTGTTTGGAATTAAATGTGGCAATACTATATATAGAAATGTCTAAGAAATAAAATATGGTAGCAAGGAAACTGGGCATGTGACTACTGTAGTAATCTAGGGGTGAAGAAACCTGAACAGCAATAGTGGCAGGAGAATGGAGGTGAAAGAATAAATTTAAGATATTTCAAAGGAAAAAGTTGTTGAATATCATGATGGGTTGGATAAAAGGGAGGTGTAAAAGATTATACATTTTCTATACTGGAAGACAATGGAGTTACCAATGAAAGAAAGGAGATAGTTAAGAAACTAGTTTAAGGCCGGGTGCGATGGCTCATGCCTGTAATCTTAACACTTTGGGAAGCAGAGGTGGGTGGATCCCTTGAGGTCAGGAGTTCGAGACCAGCCTGGCAAACATGGTGAAACCCCACCTCTACTAAAAATACAAAAATCAGTCAGACGTGGTGGCTCATGCCTGTAATCCCAGCTACTCAGGAGGCTGAGGCAGGAGAATCGCTTGAACCTGGGCAGTGGAGGCTGCAGTGAGCCGAGATCATGCCACTGCACTCCAGCCTGGGTGACAGAGTGACTCTGTCAAAAAAAAAAGAAAAGAAACTAGTTTAAGAGGGGGAAAATATGTTCCATTTCTGCAATGTATTTAAGGTGATATTTAGGCGTTCAGCTTGAAATGTCTTCATTTAAGGTGGCTGGATATACAGAACTGGAATTCTATGTAAAAGTCAGGCTGGAGAGGTAAATTTGGCAGTTACATAAGGCTGATAAGGGTAGAAAAGCTGACTGAAGCTCTTTATGAAGGACAGTCGGTCCCTTTCTTTTAGAAAAAATATGAACACACATTTATGTAAATAAACTATATCATTAGTATGTAATCTTAAACATTTCTAGAATTGAATAAGAACTCTCCCTTTTTTCCTTAGAGTGTCATATCTCAAGCGTGTGCCTGTTAGAAAATCCCTACGCTTATATCAATTATAAGAGTCAATGACTGAAATGTGTTAATACTCTTAAACCTTACCTTCTCTCAATAAAACCAAGATCTTTCCCAGTATTAGGCTAAGGGAATGAAATTGAGAACTTAAAGTCCAAATAATTCAGTCAGTTAAAACTTTATAAAATTGACCTGGCTTTAATTTCTCAAATGGAAAGCAAGTAATTGAATTGGGGGAAGTGTGCTAGTCTCCAGTTTCAAGAAACAGTACAGCACAAAGACCTGGCATTCTAGCTGAAGAGCTGTAATAATAAACAGAAATTTGAAAACCAGGAAGACAAGTTTTCCAAGAGTGCAACTGTGGCATTTCAAAGGAGATTTAACAAGAAATTCCGGAAGATGGCCAAAAATAGGTTTAGATAATTGAGATTCTTTATTTGAATACTTGTTTTTGATGGAGAAACATACTTAAGAGGAAATGAAGGTTCTGTCTAAGGTCTGAAACTTTTTTTCACCCTAAAGCAGGTTTGCTTCTGAAGAAAACTATTAGCAAAAAAAAAAATCAAATAGGAATTCAGTGCTGCTTAGATTGTAGGAGTTTAAAAAGTGACCAATGCAACCATTTTTAGAAAATTAATTGAAAGGAACTATTTTTGTTTTCTAGGAGCAAAACCTTGTTTTCTAGGATTCCTATTTGTAAAGTTAAAGTATCTCTCTGTTTACCCAGTTATTACTTGCCATGAAAAAATAGCCTCCCAGCATCAGACAGAAATACAATGTTACTCTACATCTTTAATTGTTTTTTATTCCAGTCATAAAGCAGCTTCTGAAATTGATTTTTAATATGGTCTATTTTAATGATATGTAAGGAAACCTAGAATGTTAATCTGCATTTCAAATTAGCCTTGTAAAACCTCAGTAATATGTCTTCTGGATATATCAGGATCTTTTGGACCATTTTACCTTGATTATTGAACCAATTGATTAATCCAAATTCAGTAAACTTAAAATGACCTCAAATTGGGTTACCCAGAACTAGGAATATTTCTGTATTCCATCCTACTTACATCTGATTTACATGCCTGGTCTGCTAACTTCTTTCTTTTCATGACTCCTAAGTTATGGAGGTAAGTGAAGATTTACTATCAATTATAGTCATGTGACACTCATTTTGAACTTACATTCTCTTAGTTTTTTTAATTTTAAGCATGCTGGTAGCATTACATTGTTCTTAGCAAATTAAGTATATCCCAATTTTAACTGGACTATTCTCTGCTTAAACATATAATTTTGTGTAATCTGCAACAAGTTTATATCCCCATATACATCTATATTTTCATCTCCTTTCCATATGGCATTACCCAAATAAACTTCTTTTTTTTCTTTAATGGAGTCTCACTTCTTTGCCCAGGCTGGAGGGCAATGGTGCAATCTCAGCTTACTACAACCTCTGCCTCCCAGATTCAAGCGATTCTCCTGCCTCAGCCTCCCCAGTAGCTGAAATTGCAGGTGCCTCCCACCAAACCTGGCTAATTTTTGTATTTTTAGTAGAGACGGGGTTTCACCATGTTGGTCAGGTTGGTCTCGAACTCTTGACCTCAAGTGATCCTCCCACCTCGGCCTCCCAAAGTGCTGGGATTACAGGCGCGAGCCACTGCGCCTGGCCCCAAGTAAACTAATTGAAAATACTCTGGGGTAGTTTCTGTAATCTGTAACTTGAGTCAACTCTTTCAGATTGTATTATTTAAATTATCCTCTTCCATCTTTGAATCTACTATAAATCTTGTTTTTCCAAGCATCTATTCACTGAGACTATAGTTTCCAAATGTTTCAGTTCAGTTCACTTGAGCTTGTTAGATGCCCAGCACTATGGGGGAGTATGACATAGACCACTATAGCAGTCTCAGTCCTCATCTTAAAAGAACTCATGGAACCTTAAACATTGCAGCCAGATTTCCTTGGAGGTCTCTTATTACAGAAAGCGTAGACCATGTGCAGTGGCACACGCCTGTAATCCCAACACTTTGGGAGGGTGAGGTGGAAGGATTGCTTGAGCCCAGAAGTTTAAGACCAGCCTGGGCAACATAGTAAGACTTCATCTTTACAAAAAAAATTAAAAATTAGCCAGGCATGGTGGCATGCACTTGCAGTCCCAGGTACTCAGGAGGCTGAGGCTAGAGGATAGCTTGGGCTCTGGATTTTGAGGTTACAGTGAGCCATGGTAGCACCACTGCACTCTAGCTGGGTGACAGGGTGAAATCCTGCTTAAAAAAAAAAAAAGGGTAAAACAAATCTCTCCTATTTGGCCTCATACTCATGAACCTGAAGAAATTCACATTCTTTCCAGAAGTGTTGTGAGATGATGAAGAATAATATGAAATGAAACACTTATTTGGTATGTTTTACCCTACTGATAAAAAGCCATTTGTTTAATAAAAAGCCATTTGCTTTAATGATTTCTGGATTTTGAGGTGTTGGTGTGAAATCTGAAGGTACAGAAGACTACCTACCTAAAAGCCTTGTGTGGTTAGGCAAGTCTTAAACACATTTTAGTTTTGGGAGCAAGGTCCTATTTATTTTGCTACATGTTTAGTTCTGTTTTTATTCTGTGCCATGCGTAATATCATTTTCCATTTTCACCCATGTAAGATTTTAGCTTTTTATCCATGAAAATATTTTTGTGATTGGATCTCATAGTTTAGTTAAATATTAAGGTATTTTCGATGATGAAGTGTTTTGATAAAATTTGTACTTTTCATTTATAATAGGCCCAAAAGAAATCCTTTTTTTTTTTTTTTTTTTTTTGAGACAGAGTCCCACTCTGTCACCTAGGCTGGAGTGCAATGGCATGATCTCGGCGGAGGCTGCAACCTCCGCCTTCCAGACTCAAGCAGTTCTCCTGCCTCAGCCTTCCAAGTAACTGGGGACTACAGGCACGTGCCACCATGCCCAGCCAATTTTTGTAATTTTTGGTGGAGACGGGGTTTCACCATGTTGGCCAGGCTGGTCTCCTGACCTCAGGTGATCCGCCTACCGCAGCCTCCCAGAGTGCTAGGATTACAGACGTGAGCCACCTCACCCAGCCAGAAATCCTAGTAAGTCTTGAGGTATATAGTTCTACAGCAAAGCCGGTAATTGTGATTTTTGGGGTTTTTTGTTGTTGATGTTGTTTTTAAATCATAGACAGATGGGGGTCTCACTGTTGCTCAGGCTGATCTCGAACTCCTGGGCTCAAGGATCCTTCCGCCTTGACCTCTCAAAATGCTGGGATTATAACCACCAGGCCAGCCCAGTACTTACGTTTTTTACTAGGTCATTGATATTCCAGAAAGCTAAGTATTTTTAGTAATTTTAAAATGTCCTATCTTTATTTCTGAGCATTTGTTTAAAAATGCTAAGTCTGATGCCACATTGCTGTCTCCCATGGGTCCTTTGGTTCCAGGAAGGTAATACAATTTCATAAATTTATTTTTGAAGATTTCCTCACGGTAGCTTCTACGTTGCTAAACTTGCCATTACAGTCAACTTCCCTAGCACAGAGGAAAAATAGCAGTAGAATATAAGAGATTGAGTGCTCTTAGCAAATCTTTTATTACCCCAGCATAGTCTCTAGTGGTGTAATTCTCTATTGATGTGAACATTTCTATTACTTATGATAGAGAATCAGTACAAAAGTTTATAAAGCAAAGCTGAAGTTTGTCACTTGTAAATGGTATAAAGGACAAATTAGAAACAGATTTTGATTTCCTAAACCATGTATTTCTCAAGCTGCTTTCTTGTGACCATTTTATACTACTTCAGGCTCCTGATTTCAAATACATTTTTAAAGCACCTAAATAGGCCAGGCATAGTGGCTCACACCTGTAATCCCAGCACTTTGGGAGACTGAGGCGGGCGGATCACCTGAGGTCAGGAGTTCGAGGCCAGCCTAGGCAACATGGTGAAACACCATCTCTACCAAAAATACAAAAAATTAGGTGGGCGTGATGGCACATGCCTGTAGTCCCAGCTACTCAGGAGGCTGAGATGGGAGGATCGCTTGAGCCTGGGAGATGGAGGTTGCAGTGAGCTGAAATCGCACCACTGCACTCCAACCTGGGTAACAGAGTGAGACCCTGTCTCAAAAAAAAAAAAAAGCAGCCTAAATTAATCTTGACTTTACCATACCCTAAGAACTCTTTGTAATTACAACTTGTATATTAAATCCAAGAGTAAAATTAAGCATTAGAGCTGTTTTTCAGAAAAGATTTGTAGGGAGAACTTCTAATCACTTATAAGGTAAATTATTGAGGTTCAAGAATCATAAGCTAAAATCTTGGTGCCTTGGCTAGGCATGGTGGCTCACACTTGTAATCCCAGTGCTCTGGGAGGCCAAAGTGGGAGAATCACTTAAGGCCAGGAGTTCGAGACCAGCCTGGACAACATGTGAGACCTCGTCTCTACAAAAAATAAAAAACAATTACCCTGGCATGGTGGTATGCGCCTGTAGTCCCAGCTACTTGGGAGACTGAGGTGGGAGGATCACTTGAGCCCAAGAGTTTGAGGCTGCATGAGTTATGATTACACCAGAATTCACTACAGCTTCCAACTCCTGCACTCCAGCCTGGTGACAGAGTATTATATAAAGAGTATTAAATAAATAAATAAAATATTTGGTGCCTTGTCAGAAATGAAACTGTGATTGATAAAAACATGCTGGGGCCAGGCACGGTGGCTCACGCCTGTAATCTCAGCACTTTGGGAGGCCGAGGCGGGCTGATCACGAGGTCAAGAGATTGAGACCATCCTGGCCAACATGATGAAACCCCATCTCTACTAAAAATACAAAAATTAGCTGGGCGCGGTTTCGCCTGCCTGTAATCCCAGCTACTCGGGAGGCTGAGGTAGGAGAATCACTTGTACCCAGGAGGTGGGGGTTGCAGTGAGCCGAGATCGCACCTTTGCACTCCAGCTTGGGCAACAAGAGCGAAACTCCGTCTAAAAAAATAAATAAATAAATAAATGCTGAAACAAACATAAGTGGGAAAATACGGAAGGCCCAACTATTTATTTACATATAATATTTCTACATATTTATGGGGTACACGTGGCATTTTGTTGCATGCATAGAAGGTGTAATGATCAAGTCAGGGTACTTAGGGTATCCATCAGTTTGATCAATTTTTTTTTTTTTGAGACAGTCTTCCTCTGTCACCCAAGCTAGTGTGCAGTGGCGCAATCTCGGCTCATAAGCATTCATGAAGAAGAGAAAGGGAAAGATGTATTGAAGGTAGAACATATACCAAAGCACCAAGTACATGGAGTTGTCTAGAGAGCAGCAGGCATTATGGCTTAAGCACAGTTGGGGCCTGGTTGCCCAGAGACGGCATGGCAGCAGATGAAGCCAAGAGTTAGGCTGAGTGTAGATTTGGCTAACATGTATGCCCTAAATACGTAATGAAACAAGAAAAATGGCAATTTCTCTTTAAAAGAGGATAGACAACTTCATTTCTTTATCTGAGATTGCTCTGGTATGATGATAGTCTCTGGTTTTGGTGTTTCATTCGTGATGAGCACTTCAGGGCTTTTTATCCTTTCAAAGCTATAGCATTCAGTTTTGTCTTCAGAAGATACTGTTCTAGTGCTGACCAAATGAAAGCCTTCCTTTAATAAAGTGTCAATCAGTAAGCCGAGGACATTTGTTCCGTTGGCCAATTTTCGGTTATCAGGTTTTATAGAAACATACCTAGGACACACAAAAAGAAGCTTAATTATAAAGCATCCCTTTAATAACTAGCAAAACTATACACATAAATTTGACTTACAACCTCAAAGGCATCATACCTTCTCAAGACAGATTTTTTTTTTGAAATTTCATTTACTTTACAAATCCAAATGAGTGATTTTTTTTTTTTTTCTTTTGAGATGGAGTCTTACTCTGTCACCCAGACTGGTGTGTAGTGGTGTGATCTTGGCTCTCAGCAACCTCTGCCTCCCAGGTTTAGGCTATTCTCTTGCCTCAGCCTCCTAAGCAGGTGGGATTACAGGCGCACACCACCATGCCCGGCTAATTTTTGTATTTTTAGTAAAGATTGAGTTTCACCATGTTGGCCAGGCTGGTCTCAAACTCCTGACCTCAAGTGATCCACCCATCTCGGCCTCCCAAAGTGCTGGGATTACATGCATGAGCCACCGTGCTAGGCTACCAAATCAGTAATCAGGTGCTGAAAATCGAGACCTTGCTGTGATTCTGAAAGTCATTTCAATTCCATATTTAGAAGTAAACCAACACTCATCAATTTTTGAGAGATCACTTTCTAAAGAAAACATTTGATCAAACAAATTGTATTAATTTTTATATAACTATTTCCAATTTTGTTTTGAATTTGCTATTAATTAGTTGATTGAATCAAATATTTTAATGAATGCTGTGCACTTACAATTTCCCCTCCAGATCTAATCTTATCAATTATTAGCACTGACATTATGGATTTTCCTTTGCGACTTACTCCTATGAAATTTACCTTTTTTTAAGTGAAATTTTGCAGATATGAAATGTCAAGATTTTATTGTCACTTTTTACGCAATAACTCTCCATTGTCAAAGAGCACAACTTGGGGTCAAAAGCCTCTGGAGAGTGGAAAGGGCAAAATCTTCTATTCACTGAGGTGCTCCACAGAACAAATGCAGTACACAGAACCAATTCAAGAAAAATGCACATGAGGAGGCGGAGCTTGCAGTGAGCCAAGATGGCGCCATTGCACTCCAGCCTGGGTGACAGAGCGAGACTCCGTCTCAAAAAAAAAAACAAAAGAAAAAAAGAAAAAAATGCACATGAACTTTTCAGATTAGCTATCTGTTGGCTTTAATAATGTCAGCATAGGCTGGGCGTAGTGCCTCATGCCTGTAATCCCAGCATTTTGGGAAGCCGAGGCTGGTGGATCACCTGAGCTCGGGAGTTTGAGACCAGCCTGACCAACATGGTGAAACTCCGTCTCTACTAAAAATACAAAAATTAGCTAGGTGTGGTGGTGCATACCTGTAATCCCAGCTACTCGGGAGGCTGAGGCAGGAGAATCACTTGAACCCCAGAGGCGGAGGTTGTGGTGAGCCGAGATCACGCCATTGCATACCAGCCTGGGCAACAAGAGTGAAACTCCATCTCAATAATAACAATAATGTCAGCATAACACATCTGCATGGATACAGCTTTATGACTCCGTCCTTATCTGCCATCAAAAATGTTTTCATAAAGCTCTTTGTGTCCTCCCACCATTAGTTTATGAGATGTGAAGAAAAAGCTAACTTAGATTAGTTCAGGCAGAAACCTAAACTATCTGTAGTTTTAAGGGATAAAATGATGCTTGGGGACATCCCTAACCTTCTTCTAATGATCATGCTTGAAGTAGAGTGGTTTTTGTAGTTCACATTTAGAAACTCATTCTAAGCAAAGAAACCAATAGTAAAATCTAAGAATTACCAAACTACAAAGCACATCTCAAAAAAAGTTTATTATGTTTGATACAACAGATTCTCAATATTAGCAAATCATTCCACTTACCCCCAAGCGCCAGATCTTGACTGTACAGTCTAAAAACATTTGTCAAAGTGAGAAAAATGTTACAGAACATCTCATAAAAGAATTAAGATACAAATAGTATATACAGATAGTAGATTGTAACAAAGTGGAACGTACTTGCAAGACATCACCTAGCTAAAATACTTGATTCCCTATGAGGACAAACTGAAAAATAAAATATTTCAAGCACACAAAGAAAGGACAAAATAGGGGAAACCAATGGGAAATATAAAGTTTAAACTTATTTTTAACATTTAAAAGCAACTACACTTTTCCATTTGAGCCAGTTCAAAAAGGAGAAGTCAAATAAAGACTTTAGAATCCTGTGACCAACTATAATTTGAGCTTGATAACATGAATGGCATCTGAAAGATGCAAGCCAAGTATTTCTAGTACTGTGACCTTGAGAGATAATAACTGAGCAACCTGCTAGGTTAACCTTGAGGGGTAAATCATATTGATAGAACAAACTGAATAAAGTGAATGATACACCAGACAATTAGGCACCAATTAGGCTCACTTCTCCATTTTCCAAACCTACCAAAAAATATCTGAATAGACAGATAGATTCAGACCAGGGAGTGAGCAAAAAATAAAAATGATTGCTAATTAGGCAATTATATACTAAAAGTGGACCTTTTAAGGCCAGAGTTTTCATCCCAATCACCAGAGATCCCCATAATTTCACCGTATTCAGATTGGCTATCTCTACTTTTAAATTGGCACTGTCTAAAAATTCACAAACATTTATGGAATGGTAAAAATTTTGAGCTTCAAACAATTGAATACCATTTGGTGATGCAAGAAAATGCTAATTTTAAAAATAGCTTCTGATTTTGGAATTATGGAAGTCTAAATATAATGTTTTCTCACTTTAAAATGGAAAAAACTTTCGTGCTGTTTCTAAAACACAACATAAAAAGGGAAAACCATTTGGCACTGTGTACACACAGGAACATCCCAGTTTTAGTTTTTAATCATGTTTTTCAAGGAAACAATTACTTTCTCCAAATGCATGGTTTTTAAAGAGTACTTCGTATTTCCAGGACATCTTCTTTTGACCTAGTGTGTTTCTTCTTAAAAATCAATGACAGTTTTGTCTCTAGGTTTCTGACTTTTTGAAGCATGATCCCCAAAGAGGTCATAATCACTCATATTTTAAAAACCAAAAAAAATTTCATTTTTGTTAAAGTATCCCATCAATGAAAATAAAGTTGTACAGAGGTTTGAGATAAAGATAAGGTATTAGATTTTCTTCACAATCAGCCTACTAGCTTGACTGGCTCTCTTTTCCCAAAATGACATTTCAAACTCTTTTGAAGGACAGGAAGTTATAAAATGTAAACAATTAAGAATTGTCATACTCGGTTATTCTACCTAGTGTCCTCCAGTTGGTAAGCAAGACCAAGGAGTGTGTCGCTAAGAGAGAGAGACACTGGTATCCTTCCTGTTGGCTACTGCTCAAGTTAAGAAAATATCTTAAAATACGCCTACCTTTACCAAAAAAAAAAAAAAAAGTATATTTTAAATGATACCAATAAAGAACACATGCAGGCTTTTCTTTTCCTCCTAAAAATTAAAGCCAGCTTTCACAGTTGGTAAAATAATGGTAGGACAGCATTAAGACATTTTACGGGGGGAAAAATGTTTGTGACAGCAGAGTGGAAATCAGCGTTAGGATCCAGCCAAGAACAACAGAGGGAGTAAGTGAAGAATTGACTCAGGAGCAACTATCCTTAACATACTGACAGCCTATCCCAATATTTTGAGTTGTTTAAGAGCCAAGGCTGTAACAGGATACCAAATTTGCCATGAGATATATCTGTCTTTAAGGGTGTTTAAAAATAAAGTCAGCTGAAGGAAAAACAGTAGTTGAATCATAAAACTGAAAGAACAACTTATATAGTGTGTAAGGAACTCAAGAGAAACCAGTGAGCGAGCCTTTATGTGAACCACTGAAACAATCTCTTAAAAATAAGGCAATTCTTTTCTAAGTCAAATTCATTAGCAATGGAACATAATCTACAAAATTATTTTCTCCCATGATTTGAATGTCCATAGTCTCAGTTTTTTCTGGGCAGTCTTCATTTATTCCTTTTGTCCCACCTAATAATAGCCCCTTTCACTCTAAAAAGTATCCCAGTTTGGAAAATAATTATTTGGTCATTCTACCCAACTCCACTGGTTACCCCAAAACATTATTTTGAATAATCATCTTTTCCAGAAGTTACAGGCCTGAGGAACTTCAAGTTTTTAGAGAAAACATCACAAACTGGTATACAAGAGAAATACTGCAAAGTACAAAATACCTGACTCCAGTTTGGTTATCAGTAGTGCTGTCAGAACCACACTGGAAAACCAGGTCATGGTAAGAAGGTCTTTGTGGAGGCAGTGGAAGTAAGGTCATCTGAGGAGGGAAAAAGTTACCATTCCAGGTCGGCGCTGAAGGTTGTTCTGTAAACACTGTAATCCTCCCTGTTAGCATCTCAATTGTTTTGCTGCAAGAGCCAAACACCCTGAAAAAAGCTTGAGTGTTCCGGCTTAGGAAATGTACCTCCACAAGAGCAGGTCTTGGCTGTAGCAGGTATGGGTTTAAGAGATCAACTAGAGAACGAAGTTCATAGAAAAGAGCCTCTCTCTGAAGCCTAAGATAGTCTGAAAATTCAGTGGGTAATAAAAGCTGGTGAGTTCTCAAAAAATCTAAGATGAAACTAAACAAATCACCATCTCTGTCTACAAAAATCTGGCCACCAACCATCTTGAATTCTTGGTCTCTGCCATCTAACATGCGTGCCAAACGAGAAGCAGGAAACTGCTTTATCGTAGAAAACCTTGTCGTGAATATCTTCCCTCCCACATTCAAAGTGACCAGTTCCTGACTACTCATTCTTCCCTCACTTCAAACTAGAGGCTACCATCAGCCACACTTAGGAAATCAACCTATAACCATAAATGTTGCTAGTTATACATGATTATGCAGTGGAGGGGAGGGAAGAATAACAAAAACCAGACTTAGATTCCCAGGAAACTACTGTAAGGTAAATAGTGTATCCATGGCTGTGTTTGCAAATTCGAGTTGCCTGGGAACTTGCAGTATACAAAATGAAAAAGCAACAGATGAGGAACTAAATAGCTTAAGGAAAACTGCCAATATATCTGAAGATAGACATCAAATAGATCCCTTTCCTGTCTTACATTTAAAAACTTATCCATGAAAACCTAGTAAAACTATATATATATATATATATATATATATATATATATATATATATATATATATATATATTTTTTTTTTTTTTTTTTTTATTACTGGGAGGGGAAAAGCATTCTCCCTCCCCATACCTGTCTACCACGCAGAGGCTAGACTTAAACGTTTTTCTTAATTTCTTATGATCTCCTTAGAAATTTAGTGGCTAAATCATGAATTACATGTTAGGAATGAGACAGCCTGGCAAGCTCAATTTGACTATTCTCATAGCTAGAAGGAAATCATTTCTTCTGTGCTTTAAATTTAGTTGCCACCTTTTATCCTGTCCCCATTTTCATTACCTCCTCTCAACCAAATTAGAGGAGGACTGAGGTAAAGAACTCTTATTTTCAGAAAGTCTATTCCACTTAATGGGCTTTCAAGGAATATCTTACTCTATGACACAAATAAGGCAGACTAGAGAGCAGTTATAAGGTTACTTCTTTGTTATATGAATTCTAAGCAAGGTGTTTATTCCATGAGAGGGTATCTTTATCTCTTGTGAGCAGACAGAACAGCATTAGTGTTCAGCTGATTACTTTGTAATAGCTGACAGACTGTTTTATCTGTTGTCAAATTAGTCTTAACTACACTAAACATTCTTTCTGTAAGCAAGTGGATTGGTTTGGTTGTACACTTGCCATCTTTCGAACAAAACAACACATAGCTGCCAGAAAAAAGGTAGTCTTCCCATTTCCTGCTCTTGCCATGTGTTCTATATATACATATATATGTATATATATGTATGTGTACATATGTGTGTGTGTGTGTGTATATATATATATATATTTTTTTTTTTTTTTTTTTTTTTTTTTTTTTTGGTAGAGACTGGGTCTTGCTATGTTTACGAAGCTGGTTTCGAACTGGAACTCCTAGCCTCAAATAATCCTCCCACATCACTGTCCTAGAATGCTGAGATTATAGACATGAGCCACCCTGCCCAGCCAGCTGATCCTTTTTTTTAACCTATCTATGCTTTTGCTTGCATAGCCACTTAACATTTCTAGTTGATCATCTTTGGTGAAAACTACAAAAACAAAGGAGAAAAGGGCAGATTGAAAGCTCCACTCTCCTAAAAATGTAAACTTATCACAAGAAAATGCCAGGTTTTGTATGTACCATTCACATTTTGGTGATAATTAACTCTCTGTAGAAAATTTTGGAAATCTAATTAATTAGTACCTTCAATACCTTTAGTTGTCTCCCACACACGCGTGTGTGTGTGAAATCTTCTACAATATCTTCCCTTTTTTAGACCATGTTCACTGTCAAAAAGGTGCTTTAAGAGCAGTCTTTGGCTGGGCACGGTGGCTCACACCTGTAATCCCAGCACTTTGGGAGGCCGAGGCAGGCGGATCACGAGGTCAGGAGATCAAGACCATCTTGGCTAACAGGATGGTCTTAAGGGACAGTGAAACCCTGTCTCAACTAAAAATACAAAAAATTAGCTGGGCGTGGTGGCACGCGCCTGTAATCCCAGCTACTCAGGAGGCTAAGGCAGGATAATCACTTGAACCTGGGAGGTAGAGGCTGCAGTGAGCCAAGATTGCATCACTGCACTCCAGCCTGGGCGACAGAGCAAGACTCCATCTCAAAAAAAAAAAAAAAAAAAAAAGTGATCTTTACTGCATGCTTGAAGAACAATCACTACTATACTACCTATACTTCCATCAATACAATATTAGATCATATGATCTCTCACCTATTTTTATCACAGCATAAATACAACCAACATTTGGGGTGGATGCTTATTTCAAAAGCACTCTTTTAAACAAAAAAAGGTTCAGGCCTATACTACTAAATTTCACTTTTATCTTTATGCTACCTAATTTGAACATGTATAGATTATTTTTGGAAGGAATACTTTTGGAGGAAAATATGTGACTAGAATCGTTGACCAAATCTGAATTACCACTCTCTATTCTCTAACAATTTCTAACAAAAGAAAACTGCATACTTGAAACAGATTTTATAATAGTTTATATTTGCACACAAATTCTGCCACATTGTTCAGTACCACCAAAGTAAAATTCTTGAATCTTTCATTGAAAATGAAAAACCCATCTGTCACCTGTTCCCAGTAAAAAACTGATTGTTCTATGAAATCGGCTGTTTTAGTCAGATAGGAACTGAAGTTTGAAAGACAGCCTTTCCAAGTTGCCAGGTCATCAAATAATGACCATTCTAGGAACATGGTAGGACCAAAGACAATGACAAGGCCAAGCAGAAGGATTAGCAAAAATAACTTATAAAAGCTCCAGGGAATCTTGCTAATGAATGTGCCAGTGTCTTGAGGCAAAGAAAGTTTATCCACATCGACTAGTTTTATGTCTTCCCACTGACTGGTATCAAAGTTCTTCATTAAAGGGCTTGCAGGCAAATTAGAGGGAGGTAAAGGAGTTTCCTTGATTACTTTGATTTTCTCTCTAAACTCCTGCATCTGTTGCAGAAATACAATGGGTTCTGACACATCTTTGAAAGCCTCAGCAATGTTAAAGGCCATCCGTTGCTCCTGCAAGATGGTGTTGAGTTTGTTGATCTCTGGGTCATATGCTTGCATAACAGCAAGTTTCATGGTCTCAAAGTCAGACAGAATTTCATTCTTCTTTTGATCCAGTGTGTGTTGTAACTTCTCAAAAAATTCCTTCACTTTATCTGAATCTTTAGTCAGTAACTGTAGGGATTTCCTCTTACTAGTTTCCAAGGTATCCAAGCGAGAAAGAGCATCTCCCCGACGCCAGGTCTCAAAGCTCTGGAAGAGGGACTCAAAGGCATCCCTTTCCTGAGCATAGGCATCTTCAATAGAACAGAAGACATGTTTGGTGTGCTCCCCACGAGTAGCACAGATCCCACAAATCAGCTGCATATCAGTCAGGCAGAAAATGTTGAGAGGCTGCCCCAAGTGTCCTTTGCATACTGGCATTTTGGGAGAGATCTTGATCTTGTTATACTTTTCCACAATACCCTTCAGGGAGTAATTAACCTGCAGGCTATTAATTCCAGTAGCTGAAGTTTCCTTACGGCATGTAGGACACTTGAATGGAGCTGGTCTCCACAAGGAATTCCGCACACTCCCTTCTAAGATACCTTCTAAGCATTTTTTGCAGAAGTTGTGGGAGCAAGGCAAAACCCGTGGATCATCAAACAGACTACAACAAATAGGGCATGTGAGATCTTCTTCAAGCAGCTCCATCACATCCTACCAGAAAAAAAAAAAATTATTTTACTCCAATAACCGTCACCACTAGGACTATGTAATAATTAGAAGAAATCTGCCTTCACGTTAAAATGATTTTTCACTGAAATAACCAGCCAAACAAAGTAGTGAGAAATTTGGTAAGGGAATGCACACCAAAGCAAATTTAATCCACTGAGACTAGAACATGCTCCTTTAATAGTAGGGCATCCTATACACAAGGCCTTTGTGTGGGCTTTCCAACAACAGTCTTTGGCTAAGACAAGACTCAGGACTAGGACAACTGCAAGTTGAGCCAGCAGGACCCAAGCAATTGTTTTAAAACAGAGCTGACTACTGACAAAAACAAGGCTATTCAGTGTCTGTAACAGAATGAGCTCTTTACTCTGGGCCCACAAATATGAAATGGTATGTTATATAAAAGAAAGAAGCACAGAAATATAAATCCAAACATGTACTCTCATGTAGACTTTATTATGAATTGGCATATTTTTGTTTCAAAGGCAAGATTACAATTTTTAAAATCACAGGTAAAAGCACAAGATGAGAGTTGCAATTCACTCTTCTAGGTAGAGAACTAAATGAGGTTTTTTGTTGTTTTTAAACCACCAGAACAGTAACAGAAGCCATTTTGTATTATCTAGAATCATCAATTTTCACAATGTGGTGGGCAGAAACCTGGATGTCCCTCTTTCAGGGCATCTGTGAGATCAAAACTATTTTCGTAATGACACTAAGATGTTACTTGCTTTTTGCACCATGTCAACATTTGTACCAATGGTGTAAAAGCAATGGTGTGTAGACACTGCTGAAGCCTTAGGAGGGATCGAGCAAAGCTGTAAGAAGCGCTGAATTGTATTCTTCATCACCACCCAAATTGGGGTTGGAGTACCGGTTTCACTTAAGAATGTTCTTGATGCAGCAGTAAAAATTATTCATTTTATTAAGTCTTGAGCCTGTGTACAGTTTTTTAATATATTGCGTGACAAAATAGGCAGTACGCACAAAGCACTTCTGCATACCGGCAGATGTTGTCTGGAGAAAAAGCACTTAAGTGAAGAGCGGCAAGTTAAACCAGCTGCTTTTTTTCATGGAACACCATTTTTACCTTCTGAAAGAACAAATGATAAACTATGGCTATTCAGACTTAGCTACCTGACATTTTCTGGGGAAAAAAAATGAGCTTGCTACTTCAAAGAAAACAATTGACAGTATCTCTTGCTAATGAAAAGGCTGGGTTTTATGTAAAAATTAGAATTTTGGAAAACATTTGATATTTATGAGCCTGACAGCTTCCCATTAATTAAAGACTTTTATGATGAGATGGGCAGTGATATTAATGAATGTGAGGATTTTCTGAGGGGAAAGGAGTACTGTATAATGAAATGTGTCAATATTTGGAGATCTGCAAAACACAGTGAATACTATTTCAAGTCACTAATGCATGTTACAAATCAGGCATGGGTAAAAGATCCATTT
Organism: Homo sapiens; assembly: GCF_000001405.40. Classification (NCBI taxonomy): domain Eukaryota; kingdom Metazoa; phylum Chordata; class Mammalia; order Primates; family Hominidae; genus Homo; species Homo sapiens. The sequence goes on along the minus strand of NC_000013.11, from coordinate 50,010,458 downwards.
GAAGTTCACGAAAGACCAACAGGTTCATAAACAATTTCAGATTCCATACTCCAACAAAGAAACTAGCACTTGCTGAGTTTTTGTATAGTATCACAAGAAGATTCAGGCTGGGAGCAGTGGCTCACGCCTGTAATCCTAACACTCTGGAAGGCTGCAGAGAGTGGACCGCTTGACCTCAGGAGTTCACGACCAGTACGGGCAACATAGCAAAACTCCACCTCTACAAAAAAAATACCAAAAAAATTAGCCAGCCATGGTGGCATGCGCCTGTAGTCCCAACTACTCGGGAGGCTGAGGTATGAGAATCCCTTGAGCCCAGGAGGCAGAGGCTGCAGTGAGCCGAGATAGCACCACTGCACTCCAGCCTGGGCAACAGAGAGAGACCTTGCCTCAGGAAAAAAAAAAAAAAAAAAAAAAAGATTAAATTACCTGAAAAGGCTATTTAAATAATATTCCTTCCTTTACCAACTACATATCTGTGTAAGCCTAGATTTTTGTGTATTTCCTTTTCTTTTCTTTTTTTCTTAAGAGATGGGGTGTCTCACTCTGTCACCCAAGCTGGAGTGCACTGGCATGATCATAGCTCACTGCAGCCTTGAAATACTGGGCTCAAGTGAGATCCTCCCAAGTAACTACAGACTGCAGGTGTGCACCACCATGCCTTGCTAATTTTTAGTTTTAGTGTTTTTTGTTGTTGTTGTTTTTTTTTTTTTTTTTTTTTTGAGACGGAGTCTGACTCTGTCACCCAGGCTGGAGTGCAGTGGTGCTATCTTGGCTCACTGCAACCTCCACCTCCCGAGTTCAAGTGATTCTCCTGCCTCAGCCTCCCAAGTAGCTGGGCCTACAGGCACATACCACCACACGCAGGTAATTTTTGTATTTTTAGTAGAAACGGGGTTTCACCACGTTGGCCAGGCTGGTCTTGAACTCCTGACCTCAGGTGATCCATCCGCCTCAGCCTCCCAAAGTGCTGGGATTACAGGCGTGAGCCACCGCGCCTGGCCGTGGATTTTTTTATAGACAGGGTCTCACTATGTTGCCCAGGCAGGTCTAGAAATCCAGCCCTCAGGCAATCGTCCCACCTCCACCTCCCAAAGTGCTGGAATTACAGGCATGAGCCACCACACCCAGCCTTCTTCGTTTATTTCAACCAAAATAATATATTCCAACAGGTTAAATACAGAAGCAGACAAAAGACTCCAGCTGTCTTCTATTAAATAGCCATTCATTACAGGCCTCTATTGCAATGCCATGCTTCTCTTAATTTTGTTTTGGAAAATAGTTATTTTCCTAAATTATTTGTTAACTTGTAATGGGTTTATCATTGTTATTTTACGTGAGTATTTTTTAAAAATTGTTTTAATTTCTAATAGAGTAAATATCGACAGTACAAACATAAAGTTCTTGGGATTCTCTTTTTTTTTTTTTTTTTTTTTTTGAGACAGCTTTTTCACCCAGGCTGGAGTACAGCAGTGCAATCTCAGTCCCCTGCAACTTCTGCCTCTTGGACTCAAGCCATCCTCCTGCCTCAACCTCCAAGTAGCTGGGACTACAGGCACGCACCATCACACTCAGCTAATTTTTTTTTTCTTTGTAGTTTTTTTTTGTAGAGATGAGGTCTCACCATATTGCCTAGGCTAGTCTCAAATTGCTGGGCTCAAGTGATCCTCCCACCTCAGACTGCCAAAACACTGAGATTACAGGCCAGGATTCTCAATTTTTAAGAGTGTAAAAGTGTCCTAAGACCAAAATATTTGAGATCCCTAATACAGGCAATACCATTTCTCAATGCAGGTTTATTATTTTTAATTCTTATTTTGAGAGACAGGGTCTTGCTCTGTTGTCCAGGCTGGACTACAGTGGCCTAATTATAGCTTACTGCAGCCTCAAACTTCTGGGCTCAAGCAATCCTCCTGCCTCAGATTCCTAAGTAGCTAAGACTACAGGCATGCACCACCACGCCTGGCTACTTTTTTTTTTGTAGAGACCAGGTCTTACTAGCTGGCCTCAAGCAATCCTCCTGCCTCAGCCTCGCAAAGCACTGAGATCACAGGTGTGAGCCACTGCATCAGGCCACAAGTTTATTTTAAATATACATTCATCTCTATAGTTGTAAAACCAAAGAGTACTACATATTTCTACATTCAGTTTACTCAGGGATATATGCACATATCACATTATCAACAATATCACATTATCAACAATAACATATGACTTAATCGGTAGGCCATCTATGATAAAAAGTGAATACTTGGCCGGGCACGGGTGGCTCATGCCTGTAATCCCAGCACTTTGGGAGGCCGAGGCAGGCGGATCACGAGGTCAGGAGATCAAGACCATCCTGGCTAACACAGTAAAACCCCGTCTCTACTAAAAATACAAAAAAATTAGCTGGGCGTGGTGGCAGGCACCTGTAGTTCCAGCTACTTGGGAGGCTGAGGCAGGAGAATGGTGTGACCCCAGGAGGCAGAGCTTGCAGTTAGCCGAGACAGCGCCACTGCACTCCAGCCTGGGCAACACAGCAATACTCTGTCTCAAAAAAAAAAAAGCGAATACTTTTTTAACAGTAATTTCAACAGCCATACATGACTGGACTATATCTAGAAGGTAAACAGTATTTAAAGGACAAGCTGAGCTTGCAGGGTTAATTAGTTTATGGCTTTTTTTTTTTTTTTTGAGACTAAGTCTCACTCTTGTCACCCAGGCTGGAGTGCAATGGTGTGATCTTGGCTCACTGCAACCTCCGCCTCCCGGGTTCAAGCAATTCTCCTGCCTCAGCCTCCAGAGTAGCTGGGATTTACAGGCACCTGCCACCACGCCCAGCTAATTTTTGTATTTTTAGTAGAAACGGGGTTTCACCATGTTGGCCAAGCTGGTCTCAAACTCCTGACCCCAGGCAATCCACCCGCCTCCCAAACTGCTGGGATTACAGGGGTGAGCCACCGTGCCTGGCGTTTTTTTTTTTTTTTTGAGACAGAGTCTCACTGTTGCCCAGGCTGGGGTGCAGTGGTGCAATCTCGGCTCACTGCAATCTCTGCTGCCCAGGTTCAAGCAATTCTCCTGCCTCAGCCTCCCGAGTAGCTGGGATTACAGGCACCGGCCACCACGCCCGGCTAATTTTGTTGTATTTTTAATAGACACGGGGTTTCACCATCTTGGACAGGCTGGTCTTGAACTCCTGACCTCATGATCCACCTGCCTCAGCCTCCCAAAGTGCTGGGATTATAGGCGTGAGCCACCACGCTGGGCCCTATTTTTTTGGGTTTTTTTTTTTTTGAGACAGAGTCTCACTTCGTCACCCAGGCTGGAGTGCAGTGGCACAATCTCGGCTCACTGCAACCTCTGCCTCCCGGGTTCAAGCGGTTCCTCTGCCTCAGCCTCCTGAGTAGCTGGGAACTACAGGCGCCCACCACCATGCCCAGCTAACTTTTGTATTTTTTGCTGGAGACAGGGTTTCACCATGTTGCCCAGGCTGGTCTCAACCTCCTGACCTCGGGTGATCCGCCCACCTCAGCCTCCCAGAGTGCTGGGATTACAGGTGTGAGCCACCACGCCCAGCCAGTTTATGGTTTTATAGTAGATTGTAAGATACATGTATTTATAATACATAACATAGGGAGAACTAAAGCAAAGATTATTCTGTCTCAAATTTAGTGTCATATTGCAAAAAAAGGTGTAATTAGCTGATTTTTCTGAAAAATCCTTTGTGATATGACAAATCATATAACCTCTGAAAAGCATTGGAAAGAGAATGGCTATAAAGACTCAACTTAGTTTGTCTTCTGAAAGAGATTACCACACAGCTGTAAGACACACAAACTTTCAGAACAATGAAGTCAAACTTTTGATGATCTGCCAACCCCAGTCCTGCTCCACACTTTTCACTTCCATTACTATCATCTTTTGCCTAAGAATTCTACACAAAGGCCAGATTTTTGAGAAGGCAATAGAAACAGGAAAGTGGTAAGGGCAACACTCAATAAAAGAAACCTAATTTACTCATCCTTGCAATGTTAATACTTCCAGAGAATACTATCCAAGCATATTAAATAAGAAGAAAACAAAGAATATACCAAGTGATTGGGTGGGATGAGGAGGAGAAAAAGGGCACCAAAGGCAAAGAGAAACTATGAAGAAAATTGAGGATACAACGACAGGGGCCAAGAAGAATTTTCAGGCAAACAAATGTGATCAAAAGTGAAAAGGAAAATGTCACACACAGGAAAACTTAGAAATAATAAACAGTCATCCCAAGGTCATGATCAACATACAGCTCTTAAAATGAACCAGAGGGGAAAAAATACTATTTGGAAAGTATCTTCAAAAAAATTGCATCAAAATTACAATAGATCCTCTAATTTCATTTTTAGTGACTTAACTTACAAATTTTGGTTGATAATTTAAAGATTCTTATTTTCATTCACTTTAAAATCTACATATTTCTGGCCAAGCGCGGTGGTTTACGCCTGTAATCCCAGCACTTTGGGAGGCCGCCGAGGTGGGCAGATGAGGTCGGGAGTTCGAGACCAGCCTGGCCCACATGGAGAAACCCCGTCTCTACTAAAAATACAAAATTAGCCAGGCGTGGTGGCGCATGCCTGTAATCCCAGCTACTCAGGAGGCAGAGGCAGGAGAATCGCTTGAACCCGTGAGGCCAGAGGTTGCCGTGAGCCATGATCGCACAAGAGTGAAACTCCATCACAAAAAAAAAAAAAAAACTAAATATTTCCTTTTCTCTTCTTCCTTTCTTCCTTTAGTTTTATGCCTTCTCTCTTTTTTTTTTAGAGATGGAGTCTTGCACTGTTGCCCATGCTGGAGTGCAGTGGTGTAATCACAACTCACTGCAACCTCCGCCTCCTGGGTTCAAGTGATTCTCCTGCCTTAGTCTCCCCGAGTAGCTGGGATTACACGCGCCTACAACCATGCCAGGCTAATTTTTGTATTTTTAGTAGAGACAGGGTTTCGCCATGTTGGCCAGGCTGATCTCGAACTCCTGACCTCAGGTGATCCACCCGCCTCGGCCTCCCAAAGTTCTGGGATTATAGTTGTGAGCCACCATGCCCTGCCTATGCCTTCTCTTTATAATCAAAACTTTCTCTAAGACAAAACTATGTGACCACTTCCACAAGTGACTAATACCTGATCCAAGAAACCATGGTAGACATCTTTGTTGCCTCCAAAGTTTTGAAGGATAATTTAAGTTAAAGCCTTTAATATCATAAATAAAAGGTACTCTTCACAGCAAAATAACTTACAAAATCTTAAAGTATGGCTAACACAAAATCTGAAGTAATCAACCCAGCTTACTCCTTTGACATGAACAAAAAAGGATACATCCCCTCCACCTCTTTTTCGGGGTTTCTGGTTGTTTTTTTTTCTTTTGAGAGGGAGTCTCGCTCTTGTTACCCAGGCTGGAGTGCAATGGCACCATCTCGGCTCACTGCAACCTCTGCCTCCTGGGTTCAAGCGATTCTCCTGCCTCAGCCTCCTGAGTAGCTGGGATTACAGGTGCCCGCCACCACACCCGGCTAATTTTTGTATTTTTAGTAGAGACAGGGTTTCACCATGTTGGTCAGGCTGGTCTCAAACTCCTGACCTCAGGTAATCCGCCCTCCTTGGCCTCCCTAAGTGTTGGGATTACAGGCGTGAGCCACCGCACCTGGCCCTTTTTTTTTTTTTAAGACAGGGTCTCGGGCTGTCACCCAGACTGAAGTGCAGTGGCGCCATCTTGGCTCACTGGCAACCTCCCCACCAGCAACCTCTGCCTCCTAGGCTCAAGCAATTCTCTTGCGTCAGCCTCCCGTGTAGCTCGGATTACAGGCATGCACCACTACCACCTGGCTAATTTTTGTGTTTTTAGTAGAGACAGGGTTTCATTATGTTGGCCGGGCTGGTCTTGAACTCCTCACCTCAAATGATTCACCTGCCTCAGCCTCCTAAAGTGCTGGGATTACAGGCGTGAGCCAGTGTGCCCAGTCTGTTTTGTTGTTTTTTTTGAGGGAGTATCACTCTGTTGCCCAGGCTGGAATGCAGTGACCCTAACACAGCTCACTGTAGCTTTGACCTCCCCAGGCTCAGGTGATCCTCCCACCTCAGCCTCATGAGTAGCTGTAAGGTACTACAGGTACATGCTACCATTCCCAGTTAATTTTTGTACTTTTTTTGTATAGATGATGTTTCAGCATGTTGCCCAGGCTGGTCTCAAACTCCTGAGCTCAAGCAGTCGGGACTCAGCCTCCCAAAGTGCTGATTATACAGGCAAGAGCCACTGCACTTGGCCTCAAGCTAGTTTTTTTCCTAATATAGAAGTCAAAAAACTTTATGTAAACAAAATTATTATTCACTGTTCAAATTTCAACTTAAAGTCAGATTAAGCACATAAAGGCAAACAAGTTTTCCAAAATTCATCTCTTCCTTTGAATATTTCTGAATACTTAGAAAAGTCTTAAATTTTGAAGCACAAATACCAATTAAAAACTTCCCAAATGTTTTATACCAACAATTTTAAAAGCTGACAACTTTTTAAAGTATCCAGAAAGGTGGTAGTAGACACTAGTTGCGGAAAAAAGTCAAACTTGTTCTCCTGCCATATTGATGTTTTCTAACATACTTTTAAATTTACATACAATGAAATTCACTTTTTGATTTACAGTTTTATTTTTAACAAAGTTGCATACCACCACTATGAGTTTATTTTTTTGAACAAATTGTCAAGCTATCCACAAAGAAGAAGGATTACAAAAAGTGCTTTATGAATCCTACCTCAATTAGTATCTGGCAACAACAGCTTCTATAAATGAGAACCATAACACAACCACTAAAATAATAAAAATGGAAAAGCCAATACTTACAAAGTAAACGTGTCATAATAGAGTTTATATATATGTATTGGACTTCTTCCTTCTAGAATTCTTTTAAGAGATCAACCCAAAATGATTATACTGCAGAAAGTACTCATTCATTCACTCTGAAACAAAAGTTCATTTTCTCCTTATAAAACCTATTAGTAAAAGAAACTTTCCTACTAAGGTTTTAAATTCCACTGGCTGTTAGCAATATAAAGTTGTTCAAAATATTACCCATGTTTTTTGTTTTTTTTCATTTCCCATTAGGGAACAAAAAGAAAAGCCAATAAATATATCACGCTTTTATCTTAAGGATTTAACTCAAATTTCCATCCTGTTTTGAGGCATCTTTGAAGGCAAGAATTTCAAAACAGTACCTAAGTATCTATCAGGTGGCTAGACAGCAAACATTGAAACTCACTTCATAGACATTAAATTATGCTAAGCTTTACTGAACTGAGACAGCCACAAATGTTACTTTGAAATAATTCCTATAATAAAATGGCTCATTAAAAAAAATCATTTCCTCTCAGCACACTAGTTAATCTTATTTTCAAATAGTGTACTATATTCTCCCATCTCAGCCTCCAGAGTAGCTGGGACTACAGGCATGAGCCACTGCACCTTACTATACTGTAGTATGAGATCCATTAGGCCAGGTGCATTGGCTCATGCATGTAATCCCAGCACTTTGGAAGGCTGAGCCAGGTGGATCATGAGGTCAGGAGTTCAAGATCAGCCTGGCCAAGATGGTGAAACCCTGTCTCTACTAAAAATACAAAAATTAGCCGGGAGCAGTGGCAGACACCTGTAATCCCAGCTACTCGGGAGGCTGAGGCAGGAAAATCACTTGAACCCAGGCGGCAGAGGTTGCAGTGAGTCAAGATCGCACCACTGCACTCCAGCCTAGATGACAGAGTGAGACTCCATCTCAAAAAGAAAAAAAAAAAAGAGAGATCCATTAATAAATGTTTTCTTGAAACTAAGTAAGGGTCTAATTAACAACTATTAAAATCTAGGTAGAGGATGTAAGAATACTTTAATATTCTTCTTGAGTTTTCTCTGTTTGAACATTTTCACAATAAAATGGGTGGAAAAACTAAAGAGCCAATTATTAAAAAACCATATTGAGTTTAGAAAGTAAAACTTTGAAAACATTAGCTAAATATAAGCCTCATAAGAAGTTTAATCTGCTGTAGTATGGTTTGTTTTTGTTTTTGTTTTTTTGAGACAGTCTTGCTCTGTCACCCAGGCTGGAGTGCAATGGTGCGATCTCGTCTCACTGCAGCCTCCTCTTCCTGGGTTCAAGCAATTCTCCTGCCTCATCCTCCCAAGTAGCTGAGATTACAGGTGCCTGCCACCACGTCAGGCTCATTTTTATGTTTTTAATAGAGACGGGGTTTCGCCATGTTGGCCAGGCTGGACTCAAACTCCTGGCCACAAGTATCTTCCTGCCTTGGCCTCCCAAAGTGCTGGGATTACAAGCATAAGCCATCATGCCCAGCCTATGGTTTCATCTTTCATAAATTTTTTTTTTTAATGTATTACTGGAAGTCTCTGAATCCAGACCTGTGAGGAGACTGACATACTTGTCTGGCTCTCAGTCTGTAACCTCTGACAAACCACTTATACATACTAGTTTCTCTCCTCATTTGTATAGCTATTTTAAAAGGTATATGAAAAGTATTTACAAAGTTTTTATTTTAAATACTCTGTATCAATGTGTTATTACTCTTCATTCTTTTAGAGACTGTCCCGGTGACTTATATGATCAAAACAGGACAAAGTAAGATACAGAGATCAGATTTCAGATATAATCTCTAAAAATGAAAATTAATGTATTACACATAGCACCTCTGGCATATATATGATCAAAACAGGACAAAGTAAGAAATATCAGATTTCAATACCTCTAAAAATGAAAATTAATATATTACATATAGTATCTAAAATAATTGTTATGTGGCTCTTGCAAACAATATAAAAGTTACCTATGTGTCCATATAAGACAGTAAGTAACCAACCTTTTCTGGCATTATCCTAGAATAAACAGTAGTTAAAATTTCCAAGATATTTCTAGCAGAGATCCTGACAAGGCAAAATAGAGCTAGTACAGAATGTTCACTAGCTTGGTAAGTTCACTTACTCAGAAAGTTCACAAAGGGTTGTCAGACTAAGGTGAAATTCTCAGAAATATAAACCAGGTCACTCATTACCTCGCTAGTTCAGAGCACTAAGAAAAACTTTTTCCTTTTCCTTCATTCTCTTCTCCATACCATAGTTTAGCCTGGACTCTTTCCTGCCTTTTTTTTTTTTTTTTTTGGGACAGAGTTTTGCTCTTGTCACCCAGGCTGGAGTGCAATGGTGTGATCTTGGCTCACTGGAACCTCCGCCTCCTGGGTTCAAGTGATTCTCCTGCCTTAGCCTCCCAAGTAGCTGGTATTACAGGCACTTGCCACCATGCCCAGCTAATTTTTTGTATTTTTAGTAGAGACAGGGTTTTACCATTTTGGCCAGGCTGGTCTCGAGCTCCTGACCTCAGGTGATCCGCCCACCTCAGCCTCCCAAAGTGCTGCGATTACAGGCCTGAGCCACTGCACCCGGCCAGGTGCTGTTATTCTAGAAGGTATGATAAATAGTTTATAAAAGACACATAAAAGTAAGTTTCAGAGATCTGCTCATGTCTATAGTTAACACCACTGTACTGTACACTTAGAAATCTGTGTAGAGGATAGGTCTCATGTTAAATGTTCTTACCACAATTAAAACCATAAAATATTGACACCATACTGAAACCGAAGTTATCCATGCAACTAGCTTTTGTGTCTTCTTAAATTATAAAATTAGTTTTTATTATAGAAAATTCAGAAAATAGAGAGAAAAAGCCACCCATAATCACATCAGCAAGAAATCACCACTACTATTATTTTGGTGTCTTTATTCCAATCCCATGTGTCCGTGCATGTGCACACATTTTAACAGAACTGGTAGCATAATACAATTTTGTATCCTATCCCCTTATTTTATTACATGCCTTTCCCCCATCATGATATGTTCTAGAAAAACATGACAGTCCATGTTGTGGATATGCTTTCTTATTGCTCATTTATGGGTTTGTTCTTGTTGCTGTGTTGTTTTGTTTGTGGGTTGTTGTGTTTTTTTGGTATTGTAACATTTAGGTAAACACCTTATAGAGAAAAGTCTTGCTCCACAGCTCTAATTACTTCCTTAGACAATTCCTTTAAATGTACTTCTGGGTCAAACAGTAAGGACATTTTTAAGGCTGTTGAAAAGATGACTAGGTTTCTCTCTAGAAAGGGTTTATATCACTTTATGAACTCTAACCAATGATGTATTAGAGTGGTCCACCTCTCTATGCAGTTCCTAACCTTAAATAAAACCATAGTTTTATAGGACTTAGTAAAAAACAATAAGACACACTTGTTACCATACCTACCCGAGTTTAAAATATAAAAGTTTAAGGCAGTTAACATTAGTCTGCATCTGTGTCTTACCAATATATATGTATAGGCAATAAATGGTAATAAAAGTTATGGGGTAGGAATAGAAATACTGGGCTTAAAAGCATCTTAGAAATCATCTAAACACCTAATTTTAGGAGTCAAAAAAACTAAGACACCCCCAGCACTCAAGAAGTGGAGACTCATCAGTTGTACACAGCAAACTAGGCATCACAGCCTGAGTTTTCTAATTCTTAGACCTTAGCAATATCTAGAAAGGGACTCAAGAACTCAGTATTCTTATTCATAAAATGAAGGGGTTTAATCATAAGCTCTCTAAAATCCCTTCTAAAATTTTGCAGTTTTTACAAACTAGGTTTAACAGGCTCTCTAGTGAAGGGGAAAGCACAGAACCTGCTTTTGAGTACCTGTGTTCAAGCACCAGTTTTATCCTTCATAAAATTAGGATTTTTATATCTGGGAATGGTGCCACACACTTGTAGTCCCAGCTACTCTGAAGGCTGAAGCAGGAGGATCACTTGAGCCCAGTTCAAGACCAGCCTGGGGAACACAGTTGAGAATCCCATCTCTTGGAAAAAAATTTAAAAATGATTTTTATAGTATTTACCTCATAATGAAATGGCTCCATTGCCTGGGGGATACACCCGTGGTTGTCTCGAGCCAAGAAAGAATTCAGGACATGGACACACACAAGGAGTGGGTTTAGGAGCGGAAAATTTAATAGGGAAAGGTTCCTCACGCTGAGAAATATCACCCAAGAGAGGGTCTCCGGGTTTGGGGTGAAACGCAATCGATTTTGTACAGAGGCTTGAGGAGGTGGTGATTTACATAGGGCCCAGGGGACTGGTTTGACCAGGTGAATCATTTACATAGCCCGTCTAAAGACTGGCCCTCCCACCCTAATTTTTTGTTATGCAAATGTAGCTTCTACCTGGGGCCGCCATGACACCTGCACCCGTGGTTTTACCTAGTGATCGCCAAGACGCCCACATAGGGTGACAAGGAAAAGGGAGCGGCCCAGACGCCCACATAGGGTGACAAGGAAAAGGGAGTGAGAAACCCCATATTGAATGTACCTGGCTTCCAGATACAGCAGGCTACATTTACATATAAAAGCTTCTAGCCTGCATATTTTTGCTTGCAGCTTGACTTTTCAGGCTTTCTGTTAGAAAATAAATGGTTTGGGGGCTTTTTTTTTTTTTTTGGTAGAGTCTCGCTCTGTTGCCCAGTCTGGAGTGCAGTGGCGCGATCTTGGCTCACTGCAACCTCTGCGTCCCGGTTCAAGTGGTTCTTCTGCCTCAGCCTCCCGAGTAGCTGGGATTACAGGTGCACGCACCCCCACGCCCAGCTAATTTTTGTATTGTTAGTAAAGATGGGATTTCACCATATTGGTCAGGCTGGTCTTGAACTCCTGACCTCAAGTGATCCACCCACCTCAGCCTCCCAAAGTCACCGGCCAGGAGCTGCTTTTTATTAAAGGAAAATTCCACCGAGAACTCTTTTACCCTTTCTAGCTGCCTAAAAGTAATTTCTCAACTCCTGTGTGATGTGTGAGAATTCCATAAACTACGAAACTATACAAACATAAATAAGGTTTAATTACATATGGCAAACTCTACACATTTAAGGTGTTATTTTGGAGCATCAGTGTATCAAGCAAGAAAAGGTTCTAAACTTGAACTGTGATTTCAAGGCAAGGCAAAACAAATATTACATAAGGTATCAGGTACAAAGCAGTGTCATGAAAATGAGCATATCTGAACAAAAGCTGTGACAGAATTAAGGCCAGATAACCTATCATAAATGTATAGAATGAACAGAACAGCCCGGTTTTAGGAAAGGACTTCCCAGGGAGGTTTAGTAAGCCAGCTGGGAGAAAGGAAAAAAAACGTATTTTTAGGGAGGGATAGGGACGCTCCCATTGTGCAAGAAGGAAGTATAGCCGGTTAACAGCTCCATCAAGTTCTACTAGAAGGAGTGCCTATGTAAATGAAATTCTGCTTTTAAAGTGCCTATTATATAAAGGTCTCTAGAAAACTCAAGCCCTGTTCTACAAGCCCTAGCAGCCTGACAATTCACTAAGCATAGGAGAAGGGAAAAAAAAGTAGGAAAAAAGTGTGGAAGCCCCTTTCTTCCTTTGTAATATGAATGTTTGGCTATATTTAAGATAAATACCACATAAATAATTGCTAAACGTGAATTCTGTTTTTCTAAGTTTTAACAAAATATGCAAAGAACAAAGACCACCAATGAAAGTGGATGGGAACATACGTATTCTACACACAGTTCCATTTTGGAAGGTTCTAGGGCCTATTGAAATTGGGTGTTTAAAAAAAAAAGATAACACAGGAAAATTATTGTAGTTTACCTCTGTCTCCTACAAGCTGATGTATTTGGCAGGGTTACTATTTCCCAGGGCAAAGCAGGTCTTTTTTTTCACGTTTTGACTAACGAACTAGAGGCTACTGCAAAGAAAGAAGAAAAAGAACAGTATTAACGCATTTATTTGCACAGCACCCCAATCTTGACCCTCAATTTTTTCAATCGCCCCCACAAATAAAGCCCGGCTGTTTAGACCTGGTGAACCGCCAGGAGCCTGGAGCTCTTTGTATTAAGCAGCTTCTCGGTTAGGGCGCCCTCCCCCGGCGCCATGCAACCAAACGCTGGCGGCGCGCTGTAACCTAAGGCCCACACCCGTCTTTTCTTTTCTAGGGGATGTGGAGACGCTGGTAGCGGGGCCAGGAAGGCTCCGGACGGAGCAGGTTTTCTGGACCACAGACACACTGCCCCGGCGCCCTCCGCAGGCCGCTCCTCCCCAGGCCCATGACAGTGCCCCGCTGGTTTCTGCCGCGCTGCCGGACTGGAGCTCAGACGGCCTTCGCCAGCCCCCCCAACCCACGCAGATCCCTGCTGACCTGGGCAACTCCCCACCCTCGCTGAAGGTTCGAGGACCACCCCGCTTTCCCGAGAGGAGCCGGGCGGCGGGTACTTATCTCCGACCTCCGGCTAGTGGGAAAGGCCGCGCGACCGCCCGTCCTCCAACTACAGGGACCGCACGGTACGCGCCAAGCACAGCCCCAAAATGGACTCGCGGCTCCGGCTAGCTCCGCCCCCTTCCCTCTCCCGCTTCCCCTTCCCCTCCCGTCCCTTCCCCCTCCCCTCCCGTCCCTTCCCCCTCCCCTCCCGTCCCTTCCCCCCTCCCCCTCCCTTTCCCCTCCCCCTCCCCCTCCCTTTCCCCTCCCCCTCCCCCTCCCTTCCCCGTCGCCCGCCTCCGCCTGCACCTCCGGCCCCGCCTCCCCGTCCCGCTTCGCCTGTGTCCCGCCTCCCCGGCCGCGCCTCGCCTTGGCGGAGGGAGCCGGGTGGTGAGACCGCGTTCCTTCCGGCGTCTCCAACCGCCGCCTGCTCCCGCCGTCCACCCGCGCGGGCCGCCTGGGACGGGGAGGGCCGGGCTGCGGGCTTTTCTCCCTTCCAGAGTCCTGCGCCCGCCCAAAGCCCCCCCGCAGAGGCTGGGCAGCGGCTCCGGGAAGTGGACGCCGTTTGCCCAGACGGTGGGCTCGACTGAAGCGGCGCGGTCCCGGGTGGGGCCGCCCGGGAAGAAAGTCTCCCAGTTAAGCTGCCGTGCAATTAAGATGGTTGGGTTTGGATTGTTGTACTTTTTTTTTTGTTCGTTGCATTTTTAGGAACAAAAAAAAAAGCCCAACCCTTCACACCACTTCATCCGCATCTCAAGACCAGAAGCCGACCCCAGCGGCTTGGGGAAATGGAGCCCCGCACCCCACAAGGGGGAGGGTGGGACGGGCACCTCCGCACTGCGCGGCCTGCGGAGTCACCGATTCGCGTTGGGAGCGCGCCAGGAGCGCCAGGGCTCTAGCCGGGGGCTCCGGGCAAGGCGCAACCAGAAAAGGGTTCAGTATCCCCCATCACCCCCACCCCCAACCGTACCCTCTTTCTTTGCGGGCTTTAGGCAGGACACCAGAGACCCAATTCTATTTAAAATTCTCTTTTAAGAAAAGGAACGCCTGTTTTTGCCTTTGGGGGAAAGGATGAACTTTCAAATTGGCTTTAAATTATCCACCACTAACAGTTACTCAGTCGATAACCTGACTATTCTGACGTCCACCTCCCGTTTGAGGACCTTGCCCAATAGCAAACGTACTAAGCACTTAACCAGTGAACGGTGTGAAGGATGCAAACATGGATGATGAAGGAATGGCTCCTCCAGAATTTACGATCTTGGGAGAAGTGAGGCGAGTATAGAATCTCAGAACACGCTGTAGGATTGAGTTCGATCCCAGTTGAGGAAGTTTGGGTTTGGGGAGGAAATAGGTTATTTTGGAGAAACGGTATTCAAAACCTACCATAAATAGCAGTACAGCCCGTTGACTAATAATGCTTAGCCCAACCCCCGTAAAAAGCCCCTGGCCACATCCGTCTCCTGAGATTCCCACTTCTCTGTGTGCATCTCCCTTCCTGCTATAAGAAACCTAACTTTGCCTTCGTAGAACACTTCTTTTAATTTCTGTCATTCAGTCTCATAACACTGTGTAAAAGAAATTATGATCTTCATCCTATATAGATGAGAAAACAGGTGAAGTGACTTTTCCAAGGTACAAAAGCAAGAGGCAGAGCTGAGGCTAAAGGCAGCTTCCAGATATGGGCTCTTTCTACAGCACCATAACTGTCAGTGACAAAACTGCACCCCAGTACCTTACTAAATTTAGTGTTTTTAGGCCAGGCACGGTGGCTCACGCCTGTAATCCCAGCACTTTGGGAGGTCGAGGCGGGCAGATCACCTGAGGTCAGGAGTTCCAGACCGGACTGACCAACATGGTGAAACCTGGTCTCTACTAAAAATACAAAAATTAGCCGGTCATGGTGCCGTATGCCTGTAGTCCCAGCTACTTGAGAGGCTGAGGCAGGAGAATAGCTTGAACCCGGGAGATGGAGGTTGCAGTGAGCCGAGATCCTACCACTGCACTCCAGCCTGGGCAACAGAGCAAGACTCCGTCTCAATAACTAAATTAATTAATTAATTTAGTGTTTCTAAAAAAACAAAGTGATCTGTAGAAACATCTCATTTATTTGTTGTCATTGTGTGTTGATTGATTTTGAGACAGGGTCTATCTCTGTCCCCCAGGCTGGAGTGCAGTAGCATGATCATGGCTCACTACAGCCTCAAGCCCCTGGGCCCAAGTTATCCTCCTCCCTTAGCCTCCCAAGTAGCTGGGACCACAGACATGCGCCACCACGCCTGGCTAATTTTATTTTTTGTAAAGATAGAGTCTCACTATGTTGCCCAGGCTGGTGTCAAACTCCTGGGCTCAAGTGTTCCTCAGGCCTCAGCCTCCCAAAGTGCTGGGATTACAGGCGTGAGCCACCACACCCAGCCATATGGAAACATTTCAGATATCCTAATATTAAAATGATATTTCACAAGACTGGACAGTTATTAACTCATGTGAAAGGAAAATCTTGGGGCCCCAAAATCACTAAGCTAAAGGAAAAAGTCAAGCTTCGGAGAACTGCTTAGGGCAAACCTGCCTCCCATTCTATTCAAAGTCATCCCTCTGCTCACTGAGATAAATGAATATCTGATTGCCTCCTTTGGAAAGGGTAACCAGAAACTCAAAAGAATGCAGTGATTTGCCTCTTATCTCCCTAAAACCTGGAAGCCCGCCCCCTGTTTTGAGTTGTCCCACCTTTGCTTCAAGTCGTCCCACCTTTTCTGGACTGAACCAGTGTTCATCTTACACACGCTGATTGATGTCTCGTGTCTTCCTAAAATGTACAAAACCAAACTGCTCTGACCACCTCGGGTTCTGACCTCCTGAAGCTGTATCATGGGCACGCATCCTCAACCGTGGCAAAATAAACTTTCTAAATTAACTGGGACATGGCTCAGATTTTTAGGGTTCACACGCAAAACCCACAAATTATCCTTAATATAATTATATAATATATATTTATGTAGTTAGATCTGGTTGGTGGTAGATACTAATACACTTTTGCCCAACTAAGTGTAAAACACATTAAATCTGTATAGCAATCTCTAGACTATTACACAAAATTAACTACTAACTAGAAAACACAGTATATTAAATTCTCTTAAGTGTGGAAAAATGGAGAAGGAAGAATAACCTTTTCTCTCCTCCCGTGGTCCTAATACACAGAACAGCGACTGGGAAACTGCCACTAGAAAAAGATGACTGTCCAACTAAAACCTGCATACACAGCTACATCCTTCCCTGGAAGAGCACAGTGGAACTAGATCCTAGTACAGATAGCACAGGGATTGTCAACATTCTTGTCACACTGAAATTTCCTTCTACTGATCTCCAAGTAAGTAACTAACAGCTGAAACTTGGAATTTATATATCAGCACAGCACGAAGACTATAGATATATCTAGTCTTATGTAAGTTTCATATTGTGTGATAAATGTATTGCCCCCCCCGCCCCCGAATGCCGGCCCCTTGAGAAATATATTTTTACAGGGTAGAATTTCTAATATATATAAAATGCATAATGTTAAATAATGTTTATATATTAATATGTTATATACTAATATTAAATATAAAATATACTGCATATTATATTTTTAATATAAAATGTATATTATTGCATTGATTTACTTCCTGGTGTTGTTTTCATTCCTGGGCCTTGACAAAGATAAAAACTTCTCAGCCTTCCTCCCCACCTACCCAGACAGAAATGATCAGATGTTCCATAACAAAAGGGACAGTGCCAAATTTAGTGTACACTGAAATGTAAATTGTCAGAGTGAGGAACATCTAATAACAAAGCCTGGAGCAACTGTGCATAGGGGAAGGGGTCTGGTAAGCCTCCCTAGATACAATGGAACTTTTTTATTATTATTCTATCCTTCCATTTAGCTGCCAGAGTCATAGATGCAAGCCCCAACATTCCCCAGTGAGAATTCCTGCCACTAAAAGACACTGACAGTGCAAGATGTAGAGAAAAGAGCATAGGCTTTGGAATCAGTTCTGCATCCAAACTCTAGCTCTGCCATTTACTAGTTGTTAAAGTTACTTAGCATCTCTAAGCCTCGGTTTCCTCATTTGTAAAATGGAAATCATGATACATTTGATCATGAAAATTAGGTAACATATAAAGCAACCAACATTGCGTCTGATGTATAGTAGGTGTTTAATAAGTAATTGGTGCTGTTATATGCAAAAAGAAAACCATGCTCATTTGTAAGCATGATTTCCCTAGATTTGTAAACTTAGGACTCAAGTACAATAGTCTTAAGCAGAGCTAAACTGCCTATGCAGTAAAAGAAGCTAGCACCATAATTTCTGCTTTTCTGCATCTAGCCCAGGGTGGCTTTTCAAAAGCATATATCCCTCTGCTTTTATACCTCTTCCCCTGTGCTTGGAGAAAGGAGAGAAAAACAATAAACATCAAACTCAATGAAAGAAAGACCTTACTGTTTTTTGGGTTTTTTAAAGTTCTGTATTTTTGGAGAAATTGAACATTCAAATATTCCATTAAAAGGAAGGTAAAAATGTATTTATCACAAAACACAGGAACTTACCTAAGACTTGATGAAATTAAAGGGAATTAGTCCCTAGTTTGAGGAAAATTCCAGACTCTCTATATTTCAGTTGCACAGTGAAGAGTATGCATTAAATGGAGACAACAGCAAGATCAGTTTCTTTGAAAGAGAATGAGAGACACTTAAGCAATAGTAAACTTGACGTTTAGTTATACTATTTCTGTAGATAGAAAAGCTGTAAGAATAAAGTAAAATAGGTCAGAGGTAATTAAGGTAATACTAGTATATGCTTATAATTTTATACTCACTCAAATTTTATAATTCTCAGGATTGTGCTAGGCATCAAAGGTAATTCCCATTCGGCTAAGAGACACAAGGTCGGGCACAGTGGTTCACATGTGTAATCCCAGCACTTTGGGAGGCCAAGGCAGGTGGATCACCTGAGGTCAGTAGTTCGAGACCAGCCTGGCCAACATAGCAAAACCCCGTCTCTACTAAAAATACAAAAAGTAGCTGGGCATGGTGGCGGGCGCCTGTAATCCCAGCTACTCGGGAGGCTGAGGCAGGAGAATCACTTGAACCCAGGAGGCAGAGGTTGCCGTGAGCCAAGATCACACCATTGCACTCCAGCCTGGGCAACGGGAACGAAACTCCGTCTCAAAAAAAAAAAAGGGACACAAGTACTGTTACTAAGTACATAATAGTCGTTGTTTAAAACCCAAAATAAGTGATGAAGACAAGGCCAGAGGAAGGCACTAGAAGCATAAGGGAAGATTTCATAAGGGAGGTGGGTGGGAGTTGAACTGCATCTTTAAAAATCACAAGATTTGAAGAAGAGAAAGAGGAAGAGCTTTCAAGGTGAGGAACACACCACAAGCTCAGGGTGGAGATGAGGAGCATGGCCTGCTTTGGAAATAATGTTTGAAGCCAAATATTGAAATGGTTTACATGTCAGAACAAAGAGCTGAACTTCATTTTGTAGGAAGTGGGGAGCCACTGAATAATATGCATGAATGAAAACAAAATTTTAGAAAGATTGATCTGATGACTAGGTCCAAGATTTAAAGAGAAGAAATTTATTTATTTATTTATTTATTTATTTATTTTGAGACAAGCTCTCGCTCTATTGCCCAGTTGCAGCTCACTGCAGCCTAGGTCTCATGGGCTCAATGGATCCTCCCACCTCAGCCTCCCTAGCCTACAGGTACCCTCTGCCACACCTAGCTAATTTTTGTATTTTTTTGTAGAGATGGTGTTTTGCCATGTTGCCTAGGCTAGTCTCAAACTCACAGACTCCAATGATCCACCCGCTTTGGCCAATCAAAGTGCTGGAATTACAGGTATGAGCCACTGTGCCAAACCAAGAAATTTATTTTCATATTTTGAGATTTGTTATTGAAAATTACAGATTTTTAAAAATGCAATAACATATAAAAGTACATCATATATGGTTCAGTCTTACTGAACCATTTAATATAATATTTTGTCAAAGTACTCAATTTATAAATAAAATATAAAAATCATTAATTGTGACAAATATTTTCCTAAAATCTTCCAAAAGGAAACTATATATGTGTGAATACATATAATTTGCTTGTATATCAATCATATGTATAATTTATCTTTCTTTTTTTCTCAGACAGAGTCTTGCTCTGTCACCCAGGCTGGAGTGTAATGGTGCAATCTTGGCTCACTGCAACCCCCGTCTCCCAGGTTCACGCGATTCTCCTGCCTCAGCCTGCCAAGGTTTACAGGTGCCTGCCACCACCCCTGGATAATTATTTGTATTTTTAGTAGAGATGGGATTTCGACATGTTGGCCAGGCTGGTCTTGAACTCCTGACCTCAGGTGATCCACCCACCTTGGCCTCCCAAAGTGCTGGGATTACAGGCATGAGTCACTGCGCCCAGCCAATTTATCTTGTTAGAATGATTGTAACTGTATTCTGTAAAAGGCCGGTGTTAATAGATTGCTTAGCTACATTTTAGAGTATGCTTCACTAGAGCCTTAAAAATCATTACATATATATCCTCTGAAATGTATTATTGCTTTGATATTTTAACAATGATTAATTACATTCAATTATGACAATTAAATGTTTTTCTAAATTCCCATATATGTAGAATTTTATTTTTTACAAACAGTAACTTTATGAGGGCCTTAAGAAATGATTAATTTAGGCTGAGTGTGATGGCTCACGCTGGTAATCCCAGCACTTTGGGAGGCTGAGGTGGGCGGATCACCTGAGGTCAGGAGTTCGAGACCAGCCTGACAACATGGAGAAACCCCGTCCCTACTAAAAATACAAAAAAGTTAGCTGGGTGTGGTGGCGCATGCCTGTAATCCCAGCTACTCGGGAGGCTGAGGCAGGAGAATCACTTGAACCTGGGAGGCGGAGGTTGTGGTGAGCCGAGATCACTCCACTGCACTCCAGCCTGGGCAACAAGAGCGAAACTCCATCTCAAAAATAAAAATAAAAATAAAAAATAAATGATTAATTCAGCTAAAGACTAATAGATACTGTATATTTGCAATTGTTGGAGAGCTCGATTTGTATAAATTGTTTATTTTGAATCTTTCTGAGCTCACTCACCATTATGTGCTAATTTTTACCCTGAGAAGTGTCAATTATGATAACATTTTGGATTAGAAAACTACTTTCATCCTGTTTTATGGGAGATTTTTAGAGCATTTTTAGAGCATTCTATAAATAAGGATACATCATGGATAGGGGTTCTGCAGTTTTCAGTAGCTGGTAGATACCTGTACCTTAAGCACACTCTTTGTCTTAAATAAAGACAATAGACCAATGCATAGAATTTTTGTTCTGAGGATCTAGACTTTATCAGATACTTCCTATACAGCATTGCATAAGACATAGATGCTTCATTGTTTTTAACATGAGCCCAGTTGAGTCTCTCTAATATTAAAGCATTGGGTAATAAATGCCTTGTTAAAATGTGTTTATCTTATAATGGTCTTGTTTGTAACACTATCTGGATTGTTGCTAGAATGCCCCCAGATCTCCAGAAGTGTGGAATTTGATCTAAAGCAACCCACACCCCTCCCAGTCAGGCAAAAGACACAGATAATTCAGAAGATGGTTGAAACTAATTATACAATATCAGTGCATTTTAAGCATTTTGTGAATGTCATTGGCCTCCATGTTGCTAACTCCAACAGATATTTTTTCAGTTCTCATTTTCCTTGATCTTTTGGTAGCCTTCAACTCTGAGTACCACTGCCTCCTTTTTAAAAGGCCCTCTTTTCCTCTGCCATTAGTAACACTAAACTCACTCCTGGCTTTTCTTCTTCAGACTCAGGAATACTTGCTGGGTCATCCTTTTCTACCCAGCATTTAAATTCTGGAATTCAAACGCTCAGTTTTAGGACCCTCCTAGGAGTTCAGTGATCATTTATTGACTCTTACAATCCCTGTCAAAAACACAAACTGTTTGCCTATTGTTACTCTATTTTTAAATGATGAAAACTGAATTTTAATACTTGAGAGGCATGTCACTTCTTCCTCTCCCACAATCCTTACTCTGTGTAGGCATTTGGGTTAGCCCTTGTGTTACCCGAGGCTCATACTGCTTCCAGCAGCAGGGCTCCTGCACCCTTAGTTCCTTCCCTAACGAGGCCCTCACCAGCCACCTCCCATCCCCATCCTCCAACCATAGCACAACTGACAGTCTCAGGTGAGCTTTCCCAGATGTTTCTGGCCAATTAACAGACCCTGTTAATCATCTCATACCATCTAATACTGCTCTTCCATCATGCACTCTGCAGTTTGTTAAATTTATTTGTGTAATTATTTGATTAATGTTTGTCTCCCCACTTGACTGTAAACCCCATAAGAGCTGGGATTGTGTGTGTGTGTTTGTGTGTGTGTGTGTTTTCTCATCATTGCATTACTAGCACCTAACCCAGTGATTTCATGAATGTCTTAAGGAAGTAAGAGTCTCCTATTTCACGGTATTGATGTATTTCAGACTTCTAAAAATTTGCTGTTGAGACCAGCTGAAATGGTAAGTACTCTGAATTTTAATTTACTCAAAATAGGCACTTCAATACATTTTACTTTATCAAAACAAAGTAGCTTTCCATCCTTTCTTTACACAGCAAGTATTACCATACTCCTATAGTCAAACTCTTCCTAGAGTTTACACAGAAGTGCTGGTAGTCTTCATTTTCACAGAACAACATAGCATAACTCTTAAAATGAGGAGAATTTCCTGAAGAGTCATCAGAGAATTATTATTATTATTGTTATTATTTTAAGACAGAGTCTCGCTCTGTCACCAGGCTGGAGTGCAGTGGTGAGATCTCAGCTCACTGCAGCCTCCACCTCCCGGGTTAAAGCGATTCTCCAGCTTCAGTCTCCCAAGTAGCTGGGATTACAGGCACGCACCACCACACTTGGCTAATGTCTGATGTGCTCTCACTAAGGTAAGAGTCTATTTATGCCTGGGAGATAGAGGAAGCCTACAGTCTGGAAGCCCAAAGCAGTGCTCAGGCCCAGTTTACTGGAGTATTTGTAGCAAAGTGATGCTTAATTCTCATTTGCTAGTGTTCTCTATTCATCCGTTTTCCTTGGGGGATCTTGGGTTTGGTTGTGTGTGGCTACAGCGTAGGGATGAGATTCTATCATCTTTGTGTTAGGCGGCTGTAGTGCCTTTGTTTTCGTTTTTGTTTTGTTTTTTGTTTTTGTTTTTATTTTTGTTTTGAGACAAAGTCTCCCTCTGTTGCCCAGACTGGAGTGTAGTGGTGCAATCTCGGCTCACTGCAACCTCCGCCTCCCAAGGGCAAGTGATTCTCCTGCTTCAGCCTCCGAAGTAGCTGGGATTATAGGTGTATCCCACCATGCCTGGCTAATTTTTGCATTTTTAGTAGAGACAGGGTTTCACCATGTTGGCCAGGGTGGTCTTGAACTCCTGATCCCAGGTGATCTGCCCGCCTTGGCCTCCCAAAGTGCTGGGATTACAGACCTGAGCCACCATGCCTGGCCTATAGTGCCTTCTTTTTTTTTTTTTTAACACAGAGTCTCGCTCTGTCACCCAGGCTGGAGTGCAGTGGCACAATCTCAGCTTACTGCAACCTCCGCCTCCTGGGTTCAAGCGATTCTCCTGCCTCAGCCTCCCAAGTAGCTGGGATTACAGGCATGTGCCACCATACCTGGCTAATTTTTTGTATTTTTAGTAGAGACGGGGTTTCACCATGTTAGCCAATATGGTCTCAATCTCCTGACCTCGTGATCCACCCACCTCAGCCTCCCAAAGTGCTGGGATTACAGGCATGAGCCACTGCACCTGGCCTTTATGGTGTCTTCTTAAGGTGAATAGCACCTCACCCTGATTTTTAACATGTAGCATTTTGCATTGCACTATATCTACTGAAGATGTTAATCACTTCTGCATCTTTCCATAGCTTTCAACATGATACTTTTCAATGGCTGCATAATTTCATTAATACACCTAAATGTAAGGTGTATGTAAAGGAAAAAGACAGTGAAATCCTTGTGTGGTTATTCATACAAGTCCCTATTTAGGGAGCAAATGATTATGTGGGGCCAGGATATCATGGCTGTTAAATGACTGCCCATGTGACACTGGGCAGGGAGTGCCTCTGATACTAGGCAGGCTAGAGATGATGTTTTTGGAACCAGGAGGGAAAAGCTAGAAAAAGTGGCATAAATATAGGAAAAGAATAGGAATTTCAAGAATTGAGTATAGTCTTAAATGTTGACCAAAAAAAAGTAAATTGAGCCCTGAAAAATGATAGAATTTTCCAATTAGGTTACTAATGATTTTACCAGCCTGGCCAACATGGTGAAACCCCATCTCTACTAAAAATACAAAAACATTAACGAAGTGTTGGCACACGCCTGTAATCCCAGCTACTCAGGAGGCGAGGCAAAAAAGTCACTTGAACCTGGGAGGCAGAGGTGATAGTAAGCCGAGATTGCGCCACTGCACTCTAGACCGGGTGACAGAGCAAGACTCTGTTTCAAAAAAAAAAAGAAAAAAAAATCAATTATGTTACTAATGATTTTAGGAAAAGAAATTTTATCTCTGTTTTGGGGCCAGAGGTAGGGAAAGGGAAAGGGTTAAAATTAAGTATTTACTGGCCAGACGAGGTAGCTCACATCTGTAATCCCAGCAGTTTGGGAGGCTGAGGTGGGCAGATCACAAGGTCAGGAGTTCGAGACCAGCCTGGCCAATATGGTGAAACCCCCGTCTCTACTAAAAATACAAAAATTAGCCAGGCATGGTGTCACATGCCTGTAGTCCTAGCTACTCGGGAGGCTGAGGCAGGAGAATCACTTGAACCCGGGAGGCGGAGGTTGCAGTGAGCCAAGATCGTGCCACCGCACTCCAGCCTGGGCAACAGAGCGAGACTCCACCTCAAAAAAATAAAAATAAAAAAAATAAGTATTTACTATCTGCCAGGGACTATGTTGGAAATTTTTCTTGCATTACCTCATTTTACAAGTCACAGTGGGGAAACTGAGGGTTGGAGTAGTTCATTAACCTGCCCACAGTCACATAGGGCAGGTTACCCAGGTCAGTCTTCATTCCACTGCAGTCAGAAGTGAATGAAGATTAAGGAAGCAGAGACAAGGAGTATGAACAATTCTTTCTGGAAGAATGATGGGGAAAGAAGAGAAAGGATTGATAAAGTATAGTGACAGATAATCTCTGCTTTTATAATAAAAATAAAGCTCAGCTCCTCTGAGGTTGACACTGAAAAAGAGTAACTGCAGGGGCCAGAAGCAGAGAGACCAACAAACCCTGGCCCCTGCCCTGGAGATTCATCTTTCTCCCGAGACTCTCCCTCTGATGATTTTGGCTCCATCGAAGCCTCCTTGGGTCATTTCTTCCTTCATATCTGAGGTACAGGCAATGGGATGACAAAAGGCATTTTTCAACATCTCTCCACAACTAAGTCAAAGCTGAAAAGTTTAAAGGACTTTTCTGAACATGAGGGCAATGTTTCCCAACCTTTTGAGGTCATAGAAACTGCTCTGGACACCAGTTTAAATATACAGAATCTTGGGGGACATGGATTTTGAAGGTCTGCAGTGGGAGCCTGGGAAAAGGTATTTTAAAGTAATACCGGTTACCCTTAAATTTCTGCAAGTTCTAGTATCACTGTGCTGGCAAGTAACAAAGAGAAATAAACACAGTAGCATAAAGCCTGGCATGTAGCCTGGCTCACAAAAAAAAAAGACCTGCTTATAACCCCATTCTGGAGTCCTCACCTGCCCCTGCAGGTTTGATGCTATCTTGACACATGCTGGCTATTTTTATCTCCTAGAAAACAATCTAGGCCCCACAGATGGAGGCCCTTTGCCAAATTATAAGGTGGTGGGGGAGGAAGGGAAGAGGCTTCTTCACTCAATAATTTTTCCTTTTCTTTTTCTTTTTCTTTTTTCCTTTTTTTTTTTTTTTATGGAGTTTCACTGTTGTCGCCCAGGCTGGAGTGCAATGGCCCAATCTCAGCTCACTGCAACCTCCACCTCCCGGGTTCAAGCGATTCTCCTGCCTCAGCCTCCCGAGTAGCCAGGATTATAGGCACCCACCACCACACCCTAATTTTTTGTATTTTTAGTAGAGATGGGGTTTCACCATGTTGACCAGGCTGGTCTTGAACTCCTGACCTCAAGTGATTCACTCGCCTTGGCTTCCCAAAGCATTGGGATTATAGGCATGGGCCACCGTGCCTGGCCACTCAATATTTTTCAAAGACCAGGTTGTTAGTCTTTTTATTTTTTGAGACAGTGTCTTGCTCAGTTGCCCAGGCTGGAGTGCAGTGGTGCAGTCATAGCTCACTGCAGCTTCTAACTCCTGGGCTCAAGTGATCCACCTTCCTCAGCCTCCTGAGTAGCTGGGACTACAGGTGCATGTCACCAGGACCAGCTAATTTTTTTTTAACTTTTTTTTTTTTTTTTTTGTAGAGACAAGGTCTCACTAGGTGGTCCAGGCTGGTCTCAAACTTCTGGCCTCAAGCAATCCTCCCACCTTGGCCTCCCAAAGTGCTGGGATTATAGGCATGAGCCACTGTGCCCAGCAGTTGTTAGTTCTTTACCAGCACATGATGTAAGTCTTCCCGACACAGACAAGGTCTAGCTTGGCCCGCCAGACTGCTTCTGCCTTGTTGTCCCTCCAGCAGTGAGTGGCAGAATGATGGCAGCCAGCTTTCTCCCACAGGCTGCTCAGTCTGACTACGCATTAGTATTAGGGAAGGTGACCATACATGTTCAGGTTTGCCTGGGAAGAGTCCTGACCACACCTTTGAGCCCAGACTCTCCTCCACTTAGTCTTTCATTTTCATTTATTAATTCCCAGTTTGGATGATAAATTACATAGTCACCCCGTCTGTGAACAAAAGAGCTAGAACAAAAATACAACTCCACAAAAGCAAGAAGTGGACTGCCAACAACTTAATAACTTCCATGGATCAAGGAAATCATGCTGTGACACCACACACATCATTTCAACTCATCCTCACAGCAACCCCACAAGGGAATTTTGGAGACATGAATTTTGCAGATAAGGAAAGTAACAGGGTGAAGTGAGTTGGCCAGGGTCATCCAACTATGAGGAACAGAGGTAGGGTCAAAGATCCATCTGCATGAGCCCAGCTCCTGCTCTAGATGGGCCTACCTGCCTCCTCAGGGCATGTGGTCACCTCACCCACCAATTACTGACTGCGTTAAGAAATAGAATTTTACCAAGAAAGTTGCTTGATTTCAACATGAAAGAAATACTCTCAATATTCATATTTTTCATCTTAAATTTGAAAGTAGAAATCTGCTTTCTGCAGCTGTCTAATTCAGCTCTTGTTTCTGTAACCTAGTTTGAAAGAAGCAACTAAAGAAAGAAACTTTGAAAGAAGCTTCCAAAAGAAGCAACCAAGTCTACAAAGGCACAGTTTGACTCAAATGGATCCAACTGATTAGCAAATGGAAAATAACATGGAGGAATATATTTTGCATGACAAGCATAGCAGCTCCAAGTCATCCCTAATGAAGCCAAAAATTTAAGTGCAACCCAGAGAATGGATGGTTCAGAATCTTTTTTTTTTTTGAGATGGAGTCTCGCTCTGTCACCTAGGCTGGAGTGCGGTGGCATGATCTCGGCTCACTGCAAGCTCCGCCTCCTGGGTTCACGCCATTCTCCTGCCTCAGCCTTCCGGGTAGCTGGGACTACAGGTGCCTGCCACCACGCCCGGCTAATTTTTTGTATTTTTAGTAGAGACGGGGTTTCACCGTGTTAGCTAGGATGGTCTCAATCTCCTGACCTCGTGATCTGCCCGCCTCAGCCTCCCAAAGTGCTGGAATTACAGGCGTGAGCCACCGCGCCCGGCCCAGAATCTTTTTTAAATTTTTTATTATTATTATTTTTTCTGAGATGGAGTCCGGCTCTGTGGCCAGGCTGGAGTGCAGTGGCACAATCTCAGCTCACTGCAACCTCTGACTCCCAGGTACAAGTGATTCTCCTGCCTCAGCCTCCTGAGTAGCTGGGATAACAGGCACGTGCCACCACGCCCAGCTAATTTTTGTATTTTTAGTAGAGACGGGGTTTCACCATGTTGGCCAGGATGGTCTCGATCTGCCTACCTTGGCCTCCCAATGTACTGGGATTACAGGCGTGAGCCACCGTACCCGGCCCAGAATCTTTGCCTTTTGTTTGCATAGTTTAATCTTCTAAACCAGTTGCTTTCCCAGAAAAGGTGACTTAAAGTCATAGCCTTTGTGTTCATCACCATACTCTCCATAGTTTTACAAATTATTCAGTTTATTTTTAAAAGGGGTAATTTTTAAAATTTTTATTTTTAATTCCGAAGCATTCCTTTTAATACATTCTCTTGAGGGAAAAAAAAAATCACACATAGTGATTGTGTGTGGTAGTGATTATGTGTGGCCTAAGTGGCAATTGATCAATACCCCAATCTCAAGCCTGTACATTGTTACTGGTTGACTGGTTGGTTGCCTGGTGGGCTTTTTGTCCTTCCAGATGTTTTTCTACCTTCTGCCTTTTCCAATAAAGCTTCCATTATAGGCGTATTTTCCTTCTTCCCTGCATACCCCACAGAAGGAAAGCTGCTAAAATCTCAGAGCCGGAAAGTTCCAAGGGGGCTGCAGCAGCCCCTCTCTCCTAGTTTTTGTTCACCCTTACTAAGAGCAAGGCAGCTCAAGTCAGATTGCTGCATGTGCATTTTGACTCCATCATTGAGCAAGTTCATTTATTCACTATTCATTCAGCAACATTTGAGCACTTCTCTCTTCCTCCATGGCCACCATTCTAGCCCATGCCACCATGATTTATTGTTTCTGTCTTTGATGCTGAGCCTGTCTCCCTACAGCCACATGGTCCTTCTACACAATCATATCACTGCTCTGCTTACATCCCTTCCCCAGCTTCCCACCCACTTAGTCCAAGTCCAAGTCCCTTGGTTGGGAGCCAACAGATTCCTACAGGTCTGCCATCTCCCCAACCCATGGCCAAGCCATCTCTGACTTCTGCCTGTGCGCTCTACTCTAGCCACATCGGCCTCCTTGCTATTCCTCAAACATGCCAAACTCGCCTCTTCCTTAGCAACTTGGCATTTTTTTTTCCCTCTGCCTAGAATGTTCTTCCTCCAAAGTCTACCTGGCTCACTCCTTCCTCTCCTTCAGTTGTTCTGCTCAGATGTCACCTTCACGGGAAAGTCTTCCTGGCCATCCTATTACAAATGGTGGCCTCTCACTGCCTCACAGCACTCCCTGGTCTCCTTTCCTGCTTCATTTTTCTCCATGCCACTTATCGCCACCTGACATACTTTGTATTTCTTTGATTACTGTCTCCTCCCACTAGAATGTGAGCTCTGTACAGAAGCAATATGCTAGCAGCTATAAGAGTGTCTGGCACATGGCAGGCCCTCAGTAAATATTAGTTGAATGAATGAATGAAGAGTTTGCATGCAGCAATGGGGAGCCAGATCAGGTACGGCCTTGTAAGTCCTGGAAAAGACTTTGGGTTTTATTTTAAATATGAAGAGAAGCCATTGGAGAGCACATCATCTGATATACAGTTTAGAAAGATCACTCTGGGCTAGGAGTGGTGGCTCATGCCTGTAATTTCAACGCTATGGGAGACTGAGGCAGGAGGATCACTATAGGCCAGTAGTTCAAGGCCAGCCTAGCAGCCATGCACGGTGGCTCACACCTGTAATCCCAGCACTTTGGGAGGCCAAGGTGGGCAGATCACCTGAGGTCAGAAGTTCGAGACCAGCCTGGGCAACATGGTGAAACCCCAACTCTACTAAAAATACAAAAATTAGCCAGGCATAGTGGTGGGCGCTGGTAGTCCCAGCTACTCAGGAGGCTGAAGCAGGAAAATCACTTGAACCCGGGAGGCAGAGGTTGCAGTGAGCCAAGATCACACCACTGCACTCCAGCCTGGGCAAAAGAGCAAGACTCCATCTCAGAAAACAAAACAAAACAAAACAAAAAACCAGCCTAGGAAACATAGCGGGACTGCATCTCTACAAAAAATTAAAAATTAGCCAGGTGTGGTGGTATGCACCTGTAGCCTAAGCTGCTTGAAAGGCTAAAGTGAGAGGACCACTTGAGCCCAGGAGATTGAAGCTGCAATGAGCTATGACCACACCACTGCACTGCAGCCTGGGCAATAGACTTAGACCCTGTCTCAAAAAACAAACAAACAACAACAACTAAAAAAACCCACCCTGCCCATTGTGTGGAAGGAAGATGGTACTAAGGGTAAGAGTGGCCCCGGGGGACAGTTTGGAGGCTAATGCGACATCTAAGCAAGAAAGATAATGAGGACTTGAGCTAGGGTAGGAAAAAAGGTCATATTTTAAAAATATATTTTGGAGTTATAGCTGACAGAACTTGTTAATAAATTGGAGGAGGGGCCAAAGAGGAAAAGAGAAATGGAGGATAACTTCCAGGCTTGGGGCCTCAATACTGAATCTCCCTGAGCCTGTTTACTGTTCTGTAAAATGAGGGTAACTGGGCCCCCCCACCATGGGATCTCTGTGAGGAAGGAGGTAGAGGATATAGACTGCCCATACTGACAGGCACATGGTAAACCCTCAGTGCACAGTAGCTCTTATCATTGCCCCAGTGATGACTGTATTTCCCCTGCTTCATCCATAAATAGGATTACAGAAATAACCACCCCATAGAGACTGGGGAAAAAAACTTCTTGTAGAGTGTACCCTCCCCTCCTAAGGGATAGACTTGTACTTTAACAGAATACTTAACAGTAGTGTTGAAACATGTTATTTGCACACAGATAAATAAAAGGATTCCTCATATTTCAAAAGAAGTGTAACACTGTTTTAAGTAGTGTTTGTCCATTCAATACTTAATAGCAGGAGTAACTAAAAGCTGAAATTACAAACCCCTGCTGATTAAAAATAAATCAAAACATAAGATATAAAGCACATGTGAAATAATAATGATTTTTTTTTTTTTTTTTGAGACGGAGTCTCGCTCTTGTCACCAGGCAGGAGTGCAGTAGCACGATCTTGGCTCACTGCAACCTCCACCTCCCAGGTTCAAGCGATTCTCCTGACTCAGCCTCCCGAGTAGCTGGGACTACAGGCACCGTGGCACCATGCCCAACTAATTTTTGTATTTTTAGTGGAGACAGGGTTTCACCATGTTGGACAGGATGGTCTCGATTTCTTGACCTCATGATCCACCCACCTCAGCCTCCCAAAGTGCCAGGATTACAGGCATGAGCCCCCGCGCCTGGCCATAATAACGATTTTTTTTTTTTAGATGGAGTTTCGCACTTGTTGCCCAGGCTGGAGTGCAATGGCATAATCTCAGCTCACCACAACCTCTGCATCCTGGGTTCAAGTGATTCTCCTGCCTCAGCCTCCTGAGTAACTGGGATTACAGGCATGCACCACCATTCCTGGCTTTTTTTTTTTTTTTTTTTTTTTTTTTTTTTTGTATTTTTAGTAGAGACAGGGTTTCTCCATGTTGGTCAGGGTGGTCTTGAACTCCTGACCTTAGGTGATCCGCCCACCTTGGCCTCCCAAAGTGCTGGGATTGCAGGGGTAAGCCACCGCGCCCCGCCGCAACAATGACTTTTTTAAAAAACAGGCATTTACTGCATTTTCGTACACTAGAAGCTAAAATACCATGCTGTCCAGTTCAAAACAGGACACCTGGCAACCCTGTTCCTAACAGCTTTCTGCAAAGCCAACACCCAGTGCTTTCTGGCTGCATTGGCCTGTCCTCATTTCCCCCTGGAAAACTTGTTTTAAACAGTACAGATAACATTCTGCCTCTATTACAATTAGCAGCTTCTCTCACCAGGTTATCTAGTGTGGCAAGTGCTAGTGCGGAGTCACTTAGTATCTTCTTTCAAAACCTCCCAGTGGCTGCCTTCAGGTAGCATGTGAAAAGCTGCTCATGGGGAATTCAGCAGCTGCTTCAGGCCCTCCAGGGCATTTCTTGCTGGCATCTTCTGCCTCACCAGATCGCCCTGATTATTAGTGATCTGGGCCCCCTACCTAATGGAAAACCAGCCACTCTTCTTCCCAGCCCCAATGGATATTGATGAGGGGTCCTTAAATCTGGGATCCTTTCCCCTCCTTGCCCAATAATTGAACTCCTAAAATCCTTTTACTACCTGGGAATCTGCAAAGACAACCTTGAATTTGAACTGGAGCTAGAAGGACTTCCTCCGAACGAATTTGCCCATAGATGACTCTCTGGTACATGGTCTCTGTTGTTCAACTTTCTCTATTCTGAAGTCTAGAAGACACCCTTGCTTCTGAAAGTGGGGCCTAAGAACCTGCAGCCTCACCAGGGAGCTTGGTAGAAATCCAGAATCTGAGGCAGGATTCTAGACTTATTGGATCAGATTCTGCATTTCAACAAGATTCCCCAGTGACCCCCAGGCATCTTCAAATTTGAGAGGCCAGGAAAGTGCTCAGGCCCTGCCCTTCCCTTCCCGTTGGCTGGGGAGAATTCCTGTAATTTGCCCTGTTTACGGGTCCTTAATCTCCAACTTCACTGTCCTCGCTTTCCAAAGAATCCTGAGTGGCTTCCTTCCAACACCTTATCTGTCTTCCCCCACGCCCCTGAAGCCAGGGCCTCTTTTCTTCAAGGCCACCCCCCAACTCATCTCAGGCTGAGGCTCCTCTCTTGAGGCCATATCCCATGGTAGCATTTCTTTGAGGGCTGCTTTTCTGCCGTTTTTCTCCCCAGGTAGGGCCTCTAAAACCGATGGAAGTGAAGTGCTACACCTCAGAGCTGCTTTAGCCCTTAGAGCTGGCCAGGGTCTGAGTGGGCCTCTCACAGGGCCACAGGACTGCCCTTTCCCCCAGCATGCCTAGAAGCTGAGACCACTCACACCACATGAACATGCTATCCTTGTTCCTCTTTCCTGCCAGCCTCAACACAACCAGAATACAGCCCAATAATGGCTGCCTACAAATGGGAGGCACCCAGGGAAGGGAGGGGGTGCTGATTAAGAACCAGCCTGGAGGAGGATCATGGTTTCTCTGAAACAAGAAGGAGGTGAGGGTTGATGCGGAAGGTATATTAGAAATGCTTCAAGCACTTGATGCTTTGAGGGTTTGGGGATTTGAGTTTGGGTTTGTTTTTTAAGCTTAACAATGTGAAAAAGATGTCAAATAACTTTTCTGAACTGTGGCAATCAGAGCCTTGTCCAGAATCATAACTTAATGGCTTTTTGGCTCTCAATTTGATGGTCAGTTTGGCTAACCAACACTTTTTAATTCTGTGTTATTTATTACTCAGTTGATCCCCCCCATAATATGTTAAAAGCCTACTTCCAACCTGTTAAAATGTACCCTTGGAGTGCTGTCCAGATTCACCATTAAAATAGTGTCTTTCCAGTCTTATGTATTTTATTCAGCAGTTACTACAGTACTTTTTTTTTTTTTTTTGACAGGATCTCATTCTGTTGCCCAGGCTGGAGTCCAGTGGTGTGATCACAGCTCACTGAAGCTTTGACCTCCTAGGCTCAAGCTATCTTCCTGCCTCAGGCTCCTGAGTAGCTGGGACTATAGGCACATGCCACTATACCTGGCTAATTTTTAATTTTTTGTAGAAACTGGGTCTCGCTATGTTGCCCAGGCTGGTCTCGAACTCCTGGGTTCAAGCATTCCTGACACTTTGGCCTCCCAAAGTGCTGGGATTACAGGCATGAGATGCCATGCCTGGCCATATTTTTATTTTTAAATCTTTCTATTTAAATAAGGAGAGGGAGAGAGAGAGAAAGCTCTAGGTGCATTTTTTCCAAATGGACACCTTGCCATGTTTTCAACACACATCTAAAGCCTGAATTGAGAGTATAATTTTTCTGTAGATACATCACCTTGAGGAATTTTATAAACTTCAGTTTCCTCATCTGAGAAATGAGGTAGTTGGATTAGATGAACTGGCTCATCAAGTGAGTATAAGGAGCCTTCCAAATTTAAGAATTATTAACATTTCCCGGAAGACTAACCAGGCAATTTTTCTTCTTTAGGTTTGACTTTCTGAGATGTCATGGCTTAGTATTCTTTAAGCAAATTCTGGAATGTTCTTGTCCCTTTGGAATAATTGTAATGTGGATTTGTTCTGTGCAACTGATGATATTCTAATGTGTTTGGGCAGGTTTAAGTCTAAATTTCCAAAGTCTCACACCTGTGGTTTTACCAAAAAGGTACTGCTCAAGGAAACCAGTGATGGGCAAAGGATGCATGGTATAGCTATGATGCAAGAGCGCCCTCTGCAGGCCATGCGAAGATGAGTCTCTTTCTTAAAGGGTAGCTTTTCCGCTCTTTGTGTAGAGTACAACCCTTCCCTTCCTCCTGTAGCATTCTCATCAAGAAACATTTGTTTAGTGCTTACCCTGAGCTAGGCACAGTGTGCTTAGGGCTGGGAACACAAAAATAAAAGCATCCTAGGCTTAAAGGATCTCACGGTCTAATGGGGTACATCCCAATCAGATCATTATAATGCAACCTGAGAGGTGTGTCACTGGAGCTGTGCCTCATGTCCCCATTAGTTTGCAATCACAAGTTGCACACAAGAGCCGAAATCAAACTGTACAGTACAATGCTTTTTTGTTAGGAGAGAAGGACTGGTGACTCACCCTAGCATTTTCTCTTTGCACAGAAACAGATGCCCTGCCCAGAAGCAACACGGCTAATGGGTGCCACCGTGGAGACCCAGGCAACCTGAGAGTAGTCCTGACAGCCAGACCTCCAGGGTGGAAATGGGAAGGTCTACAGAGAAAGGTCAGGATTTAACAGGGAAATGGAGGAGGGCAAGAATGGGGGTCAGGAGGTATCTACGCATTTTGATATGAAATTAAGAAGTTCATTTAAAATATACAACCAAGGCCCGTGACACTTTTTGTAACAAGATTCTAGCTTATCTTCCCACTAGATTTTGTTGGACTTTTTTCAAATTGTATCTGATTGTGTTTTTCAAACTAGGCCAGGAGGGCCCCTCAACTTCTAAAATACAAAAATTCTTTCTGCTCCTCTTTTCAAATCTTCTCAGATTCTGGACACACCCAGAAATTCCATGTGCCTTTTTACTCCCTTAATCCTGTTAACTTTTTGTCTCTTCTTAGCAATGACTTCCTTTCATTTTAGAGAAAGTTCTGCTGGTAACATACTGTATAAGCCAGGAGAGAAAAAGAACTTGAAAGAGGAACACATTTTTCTTCATTTTTTTTTTTTCAAAAAAGGTAAGGGAAAAAAATAAAGGAAGTGGAGAAATATACTACTCAGTACAGTTGTCAAACAAATTTCTTGGAACCATGGCCTACAAGAATACCTATCTTAACTGCATTGCACTAGAAACCACATTTTCATATTCCTTTTGTGATAATTCTAAGATAATGAATTAGATGTTAGCCATTGTTTTCCAGAATAGAATTTCTGGAGTTACTGGTAGTTCAGGGAATTTTAGTCACAAGATATATATTTTCTGTACCTTTGTGTGTGTGTATATGTGTGTATGCATATATACTTATATACATGCACATATATACACATACACACAAACATGCATGTGCTATAGCTTTTGAATGGAGATATATGTGTGTGTACACACACACACATTCATTCATTCATTTATATCATACAGCTTCTCTGAAGAGCAACAGGAGAAAAATGCAGGAAATATAAAGGCAACCTGGGGTCAGTCCTATGCAGTGAGCTCTTTGAGGTCTCCATCAGAAATAAAAGATTTCAGTCTTTTTTGGCTGGGCACAGTGGCTCACACCTGTAATCCTAACACCTTGGGAGGCCAAGGTGGGAGGATTAACAAAAAATACAAAAATTAGCCGGGGGTGGTGGTGGGAGCCTGTAGTCCCAGCTACTTGGGAGGCTAAGATGGTAGGATCACCTGAGCCAGGGAGATGGAGGCTGCGGTGAGCCATGATCGCACCACTGCACACCAGCCTGGGTGACAGAGTGAGACCCTGTCCTAAAAAAAAAAAAAAAAAAAAATCAATCTTTTCATAGTTATTCAAATTAAAACAACAAAATAGAGATGTGAAGACTTGGCTCAGGAAGATTCAGTCATCTCAACAGTCACTGTAAAGAACTGCCATCAGACTCCTTTTGACTCTAAATGGCAAAGGATACCAACACTGTTCTTCCTAGGAAGCTAATCTATAGTTAAAATAGGCACATTGCATAGCTCTGTGTATCTACAGTGTTGTAATTGTCTAACAGAGTGGAGATACTAAATGTACTCAGTGCATAAAACACATTTTATTTAAAATAGAGAGGAAATTCCTGAGGGAACAATAAAATCAAGGATGTTACAGTAATTTCATGAGCCATCCAGATATAATTACCAACAAATAAAAATAAAATATTTCATAATGCTCTGTTTTATTTAAATATTGGCTTATAAGGCATTGTTCTGTTATTTTCTTTGGTTAAAACAAAGTTTTTAAAATCAATATCTCATACTTGTTAGTATGTATTAGTGGGAAACCTTTATAATAAAGTAATTTTATGTGCAAAAGCTGCCTAGTTTCCAGCTCTGGGGCATTCCGGGAGCACAAACCTCAGGGGCATCATTATGGCCCAAAAAACCTGGGGATTGAGTTGACGGGGCTTTACCCAAGAGGACCTAAAACAACACAGTTAAAGATGGAGAAACAGGCCGGGTACGGTGGCCTCCCACTTTGGGAGGCCAAGGTGGACAGATCACCTGAGATCCGGAGTTCGAGATCAGCCTGACCAACATGGAGAAATCCTATCTCTACTGAAAGTACAAAATTAGCCAGGTGTGGTGGCACATGCCTGTAATCCCAGGTACTCAGGAGGCTGAGGCAGGAGAATCGCTTGAACCCAGGGGGCAGAGGTTGCAGTGAGCCGAGATCACGCGATTGCACTCCAGCCTGGGCAATAAGAGCCAGACTCCGTCTCAAAAGAAAAAAAAAAAAGATGGAGAAACAGAAGCCCAGGGTTCAGCTGTTAAGAGAGGCCTGGCAAGGGACAGTCAATAATGGGAGAACAGTAGGGGTTAGAACCTAGATGCTGAGAATAAGATAAAACAAGGCTTCACAAGGCCTGAATCAACTAGAACTAAGTTTAAAACTAAAAGTATGGATGAGAAGATGTGCAAGACTATTCCTTGTCCCTCTTAAATTAGCAATTTAATTTACACTGAGAAATGTATGGCCATAAGGGACCAAAAAAATAATAATAATGTTGACATGATTGCCTTTTTTTTTTTTTTTGAGATGGAGTCTCACACTGTCACCCAGGTGGTGTGCAGTGGTGCGATCTCGGCTCACCGTAACCTCTGCCTCCCAGGTTCAAGCAATTCTCCTACTTCAGTCTCCCAAGCTAGGATTACAGGTGCCCACCACCACACCCAGCTAATTTTTTTTATTTTTAGTAGAGACGGGGTTTCACCAGGTTAGTCAGGCTGGTCTCGAACTCCTGACCTCAAGTGATCCACCCGCCTCAGCCTCCGAAAGTGCTGGGATTACAGGCGTGAGCTACTGCACCCGGATTGGCCGATTTCCTTCTCAAATTCTAGACATGTGGTGTGACAGCTCTTAATCACAAGCTATTTTATGGGTTTACCTGACAAAGCACTGTTACAGAGACTAGAAATACCCAAAGAAATACTGCATCCTCTCCGCAGACCTACATGGGAATCAGAAGGTGGACTGCTGAACAACAGATCAGCACAAGAAGTTCAAAGAATGAAGTTGCAATGTCATTAGGCTATGATAGCTTAGGCATCCATCTGACTATTGGAGTGTCTTATTCCCATACAGCATCTATATTAGGGCTAGATTTGCTACTGGGGCCCGAAATGCTGGCAGTCCTATGGTATTCAGAGCTGTAAAAAAAGAGGGAATCAAAAAGACTAGGAGTTCATTTCGACAGCCTTGGCAATGTATAGGATTTTGCGATTTTCTTTTGTAAATTGGAGATTCTTTTTTTCATGCATAAAACATTTTTCATAGAACTGTAAAAAGCTCCCAGACCCTTGGTGTGGGGCCTATACTATTCAATGGATAAACTGGCCCTCTCTGTCGTAGCCTCAAAGATGTAGGAAACAGCATTCCTGATAGAATTAAGGGAGTTGGAGGTGCTGGTTACTGGGAATAAGCCACGATGGAAGCTCCATGGGAGCAGAAGCAAAACTGTATCCCCAGCACCTACACAGGGCCTGGTTCCTAGTAGGGAAAGGTAAATATTTGAAAATGAATGAACAAATTACTAGATAAACCAGAAAGTGAAAGTAGAAGGGAGATGAGATAACTAGATTTAAGTAAACAAAACCTCAAGAAATCAGAATTCAAGAAATTATATCAAGTATAAAAGACTCTAGCAGGCTGGACGTGGTGGCCCACGCCTGTAATCCCAGCACTTTGGGAGGCCGAGGCGGGTGGATCAAGTTTGAGACCGGCCTGACAAACCTGGTGAAACCCCGTCTCTACTAAAAATACAAAAACTTAGCTGGGCATGCTGGAAGGTGCCTGTAATCCAGCTACTTGGGAAGCTGAGGCAGGGGAATCACTTGAACCCGGGAGGTGGAGGTTGTAGTGAGCCGAGATCACACCATTGCACTCCAGGCTGGGCGACAGAGTGAGACTCCACCTCCACCCCCCCAAAAAAAATAAAGGCTCTAGCATCTGGGAACCAGAATACAGGTCTAATCTTTCACAGTTCCTGCTGACCTAGGGTAGCATCACATTTCTAGACATTTCCCCAATATATTATTGTGAAAATTTGCAAACAGAGCAAAGTTGAAAAAATTTTATAGTGAACAGCATATACCTACCATGTAGACTACCACTAACATTTCACTATAGTTGGCTTATCACATGTCTGTACCTTTCTCTAAGCATTCGTCAATCCCTGTTTTTTTTTTTTTTGGGCGCATTTAAAAGTAAATTGTAGACATCAGTAGACTTCCGCCTAAATAACTCAGCATGTATATCATTGACTAGGTTAAATATTTGTTGACTTTTTTCTTTTGAAGTAAAATATGTATACAATGAAATGTATAAATCTTATGTGCTTGTGTGTAAATTTCCAAGTTTTAATAATAATAAATGCCTATACCTTTGTATCCCAAATTGCTATCGAGACATAGAACATTACTATCACTTCAGAAATTTCCTTTTTTTTTTTTTTAATTGAGACGGAGTCTTGTTCTGTCACCCAGGCTGGAGTGCGGTGGCACAATCTCGGCTCACTGCAGCCTCAACCTCGGGCTCAAGCAGTCCTCCTGCCTCAGCCTCCAGAGTAGCTTTTTTGTAGAGACAGGGTTTCACAATGTTGCCCAGGCTGGTCCTGAACTCCTGGGCTCCAGTAACCTGCCCACCTCTACCTCCCAAAGTGCTAGGATTATAGGACTGAGCCACCGCGCCCGGCCCCATAATTTTTTTTTTGAGACGGAGTTTTGCTCTTGTCGCCCAGGCTGGAGTGCAATGGCTTGATCTTGGCTCACTGCAACCTCCGCCTCCCGGGTTCAAGTGATTCTCCTGCCTCAGCCTCCCAAGTAGCTGGGATTACAGGCATGCTCACCACACCTGGCTAATTTTGTATTTTTAGTAGAGATGGAGTTTCTCCATGTTGGTCAGGCTGGTCTTGAACTCCCGACCTCAGGTGATCCGCCCACCTCAGCCTCCCAAAGTGCTGCAATTACAGGCATGAGCCACCACACCCAGCCGATAGGCCCCATAATTTTTTTAAGTCTTTTTTTTTTTTTTATTGCTGGGGGTACAGGACAAGGACAATAAAAATGTTGAATCTTCAATATATTCTGATTACAGCTTAAAATAGCTCAGGACAACTTGCAGGAGGTGTTACATCGGGGAAGCTATCATTGCGGGAGGTATTATACATCATCTTAAGAAATTATCTCAGGCCAAGCACAGTGGCTCACGCCTTTACTCTGGGAGGCTGAGGCAGGAGGATTGCTTGAAGCTAGGAATTCAAGACCAGCCTGGGTGACATGGCGAAACCCTGTCTCTACCAAAAATACAAAAATTACCCCACCATGGTGGCACACGGCTGTGGTCCCAGCTACCTGGGAGGCTTAGATGGGAAGATGGTTTGAGCCTGGGAGGCAGAGGTTGCAGTGAGCTGAGATTGTCCCATTGCACTCCAGCCTGGGCAACAGAGCCAGACCCTGTCTCAAAAAAAAAAAAAAAAAAGATCTCAAGTAATGAGATCTAGGAGAATGATTACGTGCTTACTTGCTATTCTCAAACTTCAGTCTCCAGTTGAAGAAAAGGCAAACATAAACATAGAGCCTCAGCAAACCTCTTTCCTGTTTCACATGCAACCTCCATTGACAGACACTCAGAAGGAATAGTGTTCACTGACACCCCCACCTTCTGTCCTATAACTCAAATGGCCTAGGGGCCTGCGACTGCTGGGCTCTAGACTGCTCTGGGGAGCTTTCTGTACTTTTTCTAATGCCTAGGCAAATTCAGTTCTTAAAACCAACAAGCCAATAAGTCTTTGTTCCCCTCAAATTATGTTTGAAGCAATTCAAAGTGCTAAGTATATATCTTAATAAAATAAAATTTATATTACCAGATTGGATCTTTATGTAATGAGCAGTTTGTTGTTGTTGTTGTTGTTTTTAATTGAGATGGAGTCTCGCTCTGTCGCCCAGGCTGGAGTGCAATGGTGCAATTTCAGCTCGCTGCAACCTCTGCCTCCTGGTTTCAAGCGATTTTTCGTGCCTCAGCCTCCCAAGTAGCTGGGATTACAGGTGCCTGCCACCATGCCCACCTAAGTTTTTTGTTTGTTTTTTTTTTTTTGAGATGGAGTCTCACTCTGTCGCCCAGGCTGGAGTGCTGTGGCGTGATCTCGGCTCACTGCAAGTTCCGCCTCCCGGGTTCACACCATTCTCCTGCCTCTACCTCCCGAGTAGCTGGGACTACAGGCACCCACCACCACGCCCGGCTAATTTTTTGTATTTTAAGTAGAGACGGGGTTTCACTGTGTTAGCCAGGATGGTCTCCATCTCCTGACCTCGTGGTCCGCCCGCCTCAGTCTCCCAAAGTGCTGAGATTACAGGTGTGAGCCACCGCGCCCAGCCAATGAGCAGTTTTCTATGCAACATTTCAGATGCAGCTTCTGGCTTTAGAACGTGGAACTTCAGTCTCATCTGTGCAGTACCTGGACATTGTGATATCATTAAAAAATACCGTATTAAAATACACTTTTAAAACTTTTATTATGGAAATTTTCAATCACACACAAAAATAGAATAATCAATCCTCCTGTACCCATCACCCAGCCCCAATAATGATCTTCTTAGGAAAATGCATTTTAAGATTCACCCATGTTTTTGTATGAATCAGTAATCTGTTCCTTTTTATTGCTGAGTAGTATTCCATTATATGGATTATCACAATTTATCATTTTCGATTGCTCATTTTGGGAAAATTATGTATAACTAGTCATATACATGTTTTTGTATGAATGTAAGCTTTCATTTCACTTGGATAAATACCTAGAAGTGAGATTGCTGGGTCACATAAGTATATGCTTAACTTTATAAGAAACTGCCAAATTTGTTTTTCCAAAGTGGCTGTACCATTTTGTATTTCCACCAGCAATGAATGACTCTGTTACTCCACATCAAGGCCAATATTTTGTATTCAGTTCTTTATTTTAGCCATTGTAATAGGTGCATAGTGGTATCCCATTGTGGTTTTAATTTGCATATCCTTCATGACTAATGATGTTGAATATCTTTCCCTATGTTTATTTGCCATCCATACATCTTCTTTGGGGAAGACAGACATTTGCACAGTTTTAAGTTTAATTATTTGTTTTATTATTGTTATGGCTAAAGAGTTCTTTATATATTCTAGATACAAACTCTTTATTGGATATGTGATTTGCAAATATTTTCTCCTTGTCTATGGCTTGTATTTTCATTCTCTTCACAGATTTTTATACAAAGCAAAAGTCTTTTTTTTTTTTTTTTTGAGACACAGTCTCGCACTTTCACCCAGGCTGGAGTGCAATGGCGCAATCTTGGCTCACTGCAAACTCTGCTTCCTGGGTTCAAGTGATTCTCCTGCTTCAGCCTCCCAAGTAGCTAGGATTACAGGCGCCTGCCACCATGCCCAGCTAATTTTTGTATTTTTAGTAGAGATGGTGTTTCACCATGTTGGCCAGGCTGGTCTCGAACTACTGACCTCGTGATCCACCCGCCTCAGCCTCCCAAAGTGCTGGGATTACAGACATGAGCCACCATGCTCAGCCCACAAAAGTCTTTAATTTTCGTAAAACTCAATTTCTCATTTTTTTCTTTGATGGGTTGTGCTTTTGGTGTCATATTTAAATACTCATAGTTGGCCGGACATGGTGGCTCACGCCTGTAATCCCAGCACTTTGGGAGGCCAAGGAGGGTGGATCACCTGAGGTCAGGAGTTCGAGACTAGCCTGGGCAACATGGTGAAACCCCGTCTCTACTAAAAATACAAAAATTAGCTGGGCCTGGTGGCGCATGCCTGTAATCTCAGCCTCTTGGGAGGCTCAGGCAGGAGAATCGCTTTAACCCGGGAAGCGGAGGTTGCAGTGAGCCTAGATCACGCCATTGCACTCTAGCCTGAGTGACTAGAGCGAAACTCCATCTCAAAAAAACAAACAAACATACCTCATAGTCAAACTCAAGGTCTCTTACACTTTCTCCTAGACGTTTTATAGTTTTATATTTTATATTTAGGTCTATAAACCACTTTGAAATAATTTTTGTATAAGGTATGAATTATGTGTTGAGGTTCCTTTTTTGCATATGGATGAAGAATCATTCTAGCACCATTTGTTGAAAAAACTGTTCCTTCTCTATTGAATTGCCTTTGAACTTTTGTCAAAAAATCTGTTGACTATATTTGTGTAAGTTTAATTTGGGCCGTTTATTCTGTTTAATGTATATACGTGTCTATTCTTTCAACAATACCATGCTGTCTTGATTACTATAGCTTTACAGTAAGCCTTAAAGTAGTGTGGGTCCTCCAAC
This sequence comes from Homo sapiens, assembly GCF_000001405.40. Classification (NCBI taxonomy): domain Eukaryota; kingdom Metazoa; phylum Chordata; class Mammalia; order Primates; family Hominidae; genus Homo; species Homo sapiens. The sequence goes on along the minus strand of NC_000013.11, from coordinate 49,968,087 downwards.
TTAGTTCTTTTGTTGTTGTTTTATTTAAAAAAAAAAATTGGGCCAGGTGTATTGGCTCATGCCTGTAATCCCAGCAGTCTGGGAGGCCAAGCTGGGCGGATCGCTTGAGGGCAGGAGTTTGAGACCAGCCTGGCCAACATGGTGAAACGCCCTCTCTATTAAAAATACAAAAATTACCCAAGTGTGGTGGTGGGTGCCTGTAATCCCAGCTACTTGGAAGGCTGAGGCAGGAGAATCACTTGAACCTGGGAGCCGGAAGTTGCAGTGAGCCAAGATTGCACCACTGCACTCCCGTCTGGGCAACAGAGGGAGACTGTCTCAAAAAAAAAAAACGAACAACAACAACAAAAAAAACCAAGAAACCAAAAACCAAAAAAAATTGGCTCCTGTAGTTTAATTACCTTTTCCATTTTATTTATTTATTTATTTATTTATTTATTTATTTATTTATTTATTTATTTATTTTTTAAATAGAGACAGGCTCTCTCTATGTTGCTGCCCAGGCTGGTCTCAAACTCTTGGGCTCAAGTGATCTGCCCACCTTGGCTTCCCAAAGTGCTGGGATTATAGGTATAAGCCACCACGCCCAGCTTCCATATAAATTTTGAATCAATTTGTCAGTATCTAAAAATGTGCCTGAGATTTCCTTGAGATTGTGCTGTTTGTGGAAGAATGACATCTTAATCATATTGAGCCTTCCAAGCCATATAGACACTTTATCTGTACATTTATTTAGATCTTCTTTATTTCATCAATGTTTTGTAGGTTTCAGCATATGGATGCTGTACATATGCCTTAAATTTATACCTAAGCTCTTAATTGTTAGTTGAGCTATTTTAAATGGTGCTGCCTTTTAAATTTCAAATTCTAATTTTTCATTGCTGTTATACAGGAATATATGATTGACTCTTTTTAATTAACCTTGTATCCTGTGACCTTGCTAAACTTGTATTAATCCAACAGTTTTATTGTAGATTCTTTAGGAATTTCTTCATAGATAATCATGCTGTCTGCAAATAGAGACCATTTTGTTTCTTCCTTTACAATTTGTATGCCTTTTATTTCTTTTTCTTGCCTTTCGCCATTAAGTATGATATTAGCAGTAGTTTTTTTTGTAGATGCCACTTAGATTAAGGAAGTGACCTTATATTCTTAGTTTCCAAGAAGTTTTTTGTGGAGTTTGTTGTTTGATTGGTTTAATCATGAATGGATGATGAATTTTGTCAAATGCTTTTTCTATACCTAATAAGAGCATTCTTTTTTCTTTTCATCTATTCTATTGATGAATTATATCAATTGATTTTCAGATGTTGAACCACCTTTAAATTCCTGGTATAAACTTTGTTTTTTTTTTTTGTTTTTTTTTTTTGAGATGGAGTCTCACTCTGTCGCCAGGCTGGAGTGCAATGGTGTGCTCTCGGCTCACTGCAACCTCCACCTCCCGGGTTCAAGCAATTCTCCTGCCTCAGCCTCCTGAGTAGCTGGGACTACAGGCATATGCCACCACGCCCAGCTAATTTTTGTATTTTTAGTAGAGATAGGGTTTCACCATATTGGCCAGGCTGGTCTCGAACTCCTGACCTCGTGATCCACCCACCTCAGCCTCCCAAAGTGTTGAGATTACAGGCATGAGCCACCGCACTCGACCCTCATTTGGTCCTTAATTAATAACCTTTAGTTTTTAGATCAGTTTTAGGTTTATAGCCAAATTGAGCAGAAAATACAGAGAGTTCCCATATACCCTGTTCCCCCACAACACAATCTCCCCAACTATCAGCATCCCATACCATAATGGTACACTTGTTACAACTGATGGCCCTACAATTACACATCATTATCACCCAAAGTCCATACTTTACAGTAGTGTTCGTTCTTGGTGTTATACTTTCTATGAATTTTGACAAATGTATAATGACATATTCACCATTGCAGTATTATACAGCATTGTTTCACTGCCCTAAAAAAGTCCCGTGTTTCACCTATTCATACCTCCCTTTCTCCCAACCCCTGACAACCACTGATCTTTTTATTGTCTCCATAGTTGTGTCTTTTCCAGAATGTCATATAGTTGGTGTCATACAGTATGCAGCCTTTTAGATCAGCTTATTTCACTCAGTGATAAGCATTTGTTTCTTCCATGTCTTTTTATGGCTTGATATCTCATTTCTTTTTACTGCTAAATAATATTCCATTGTCTAGATATACCTCAGTTTATTTATCATTCACTTACTGAAGGACATCTTGGTTGCTTCCAACTTTTGGCGACTATGAATAAAGCTTCTATGTACATCCATGTGCAGGTGTTTGTGTGGACACAAATTTTCAGTTTATTTGGGTAAATAATAAGGCGTGCATTGCTGGATCGTATGGTAAAAGTTTTATAACTTTTTAGTTTTATAAGAAGCTGCTGTCTTCTGAGGAAGCTGTACCATTTTGTATTCCCATCAGCAAGGATTAATATTCCTGTTGCTCCATGTCCTTGCCATTATTTGGTATTGTCAGTGTTTTGGATTTTAGTTATTCTAATACATGTGTAGTGATAGCCCATTGTTTTTATTTGCAATTCTCTAATGATGTAATATGTTTAAATCTTTTCATATGTTTACTTGCTATCTGTATATCTTCTTTGATTAGGTGTCTGTTCAGGTCTTTTGCCCATTTTTTAATTGGGCTGCTCATTTTCTTATTGTTGAATTTTAAGATTTCTTTGTGTATTTTGGATAAGAGTCCTTTGTCAGATGGTTCTTTTGCAAATATTTTCTCCCAGTCTGTGGCTTCTCTTCTCATTCTCTTGACGTTGTCTTTTGCAGAGCAGAAGTTTTAATTTTGTTGAAGTTCAGCTTATCAATTGTTTCTTTCATGAACTATAATTTTGGTATTGGATCTAAAAAGTTATCACCAGCCAGGCGCAGTGGCTCATGCCTGTAATCCCAGCACTTTGGGAGGCCAAGGCGGGCAGATCATGAGGTCAGGAGATCGAGACCATCCTGGCTAACACGGTGAAACCCCGTCTCTACTAAAAATGCAAAAAAAAATTAGCCAGGCATGGTGGCGGGCGCCTGTAGTCCCAGCTACTCGGGAGGCTGAGGCAGGAGAATGGCGTGAACCCAGGAGGCGGAGCTTGCAGTGAGCTGATATTGCACCACTGCACTCCAGCCTGGGCAACAGAGCGAGACTCCATCTCAAAAAAAAAAAAAATTATCACCATACCCATATATGTTAGTCTGTTTTGTGTTGCCCTGAAGGAATATGTAAGGCTGAATAATTTATAAAGAAAACAGGTTTATTTGGCTCACAGTTCCATAGGCTATACAAGAAGTGTAGTGCCAGCATCTGCTTCTGGTGAAACCTCAGGAAGTTTACAATCATGGCAGAAGGCAAAAGGGGAGCTAGTGTATCACATGGTGAGAGAGGGAGCAAGAGAGAGGGGAGGAGGTGCCGGGCTCTTTTAAAACTAGCTTTTGCATGAACTAATAGAGTGAGAACTCATGTATTATCTCAAGGAGGGCACCAAGCCATTCATGAGGGATCCACCCCCATGACCCAAATACCTCCCACCAGGTCCCACCTCCAACATTGGGGATCACATTTCAACATGAAATCTGGAGTGGATACACATCCAAACTGTATCAGCAAAGTCATCTAAGTTTTTCTCTGTTATTTTATAGGAGTTTTATAGTTTGCATTTTACATTTAGGTCTGTGATTCATTTTGAGTTAATTTTTGGGAAGGGTTTAAAGTCCATGTTTAAGTTTATTTTTTGCACATGGATGTCCAGTTGTTCCAGAACCATTTGTTGAAAAGACTATCTTTGCTCCATTGTATTGCCTTTTCTCCCTTGTTGAAGGTTAGTTGGCTCTGTTTATGTGGGTTTTTTTCTGGGCTCTCTGTTCTGTTTCATTGATCTATTTCACGAATATCACACTGTCTTGATTACTGCAGCTTTCTATAAGTCTTTTTTTTTTTTTTTTTTTTTTTTTAACTTGTTAGAAACCAGGTCTTTCTATGTTGCTCAGGCTGATCTTGAACTCCTGGGCTCAAATGATCCTCCTACCTCAGCCTTTTGAGTAGTCAGGATTATAGGTGTGAGCCACCATGCCTGACCTCTAGTAACTCTAGTAAGTTGGGTACTATCAGTCCTCTAACTGTTCTCCTCCTTTATTGTTGAGTTGGCTATTCTATGTCTTTGCCTCTTCACATAAACTTTAGAATCAGTTTATCAACATCAACTCCTGGGCTCAAGTGATCCTCCCACCTCAGACTTTAGAGTAGTCGGGATTATAGGTGTGAGCCACCATGCGGGACCTCTAGTAAGTCTAGTAAGTTGGGTACTATCAGTCCTCTAACTCTTCTCCTTTATTGTTGAGTTAGCTATTCTGTGTCTTTGCCTCTTCACATAAACTTTAGAATTAGTTTATCAACATCCACAAAGTAACTTGACTGGATTTTGATTGGGATTGCATTGAATCTATAGATCCAGTTCAGAACTGACATCTCAACAACACTGGGTCTTCCTATCCATGAACATGGACTATATCTCCATTTATTTAAGTCTTCTTTGATATTTTTCATCAGAGTTTTGTAGTTTTTCTTATATAGATCTTCCACATATTTTGTTAAGATTTATACCTATTTCTTTTCAGAAGGATATAAATGGTATTGTGTTTTTAATTTCAAATTCTGCTTGTTCATTGCTTACAGTGTATCAGAAGGCAATTGGCTTTTGTACATTAACTTTGTATCCTACAACCCTCTATAATTGCTTATTAGTTCAAGGAGGGTTGTTTGTTGATTCTTTTGGATTTCTACAATCATGTCATCTGCAAACAAAGATAATTTTACTTCTTCCTTCCCAATCTATATGCCTTTTATTTCTTTTTCTTGTGTTCTTGCATTAGCTAGGACTTCCAGTATGATGTTGAAAAGCAGTGGTGAGAAGGGACATATTTGCAATGTCCCTGATAGTGTGAGAAAATCTTCAAGTTTCTCACCATGAAGTATAATGTTAGCTGTAGGTTTTTTGGCAGATGTTCTTCATCAAGTTGAGCAAGTTCATCTCTATTCTCAATTTATTGTGAGTTTTTCCAATCATGAAATGTTTTTTTTTTGTCAAATGCTTTTTCTGCATCTATTTATATGACCATGTGATTTTTCTTCTTTAGCCTGTTGTTGTGATGGATTACATTAATTGATTTTCAAATGTTGAACTAGCCTTGCCTACCTTGGATAAATTCCACTTGACCATGATGTGTAATTCTTTCTTTACATTGTTGGATTCAACTTGCTAGTATTTTGTTCAGGATTTTTGAATCTATGTTCATGAGAGATATTACTCTATTGTTTTCTTTTCTTGTATTTTTTTTTTTCTGAGACAAGGACTCACTCTGCTGCCTAAACTAGAGTGCAGTGGCATGATCATAGCTCCCTGCAGGGTTGATCTCCTGGGCTCAAGTGATCCTCCCACTTCAGCTTTCCGAGTAGCTGGGACTACAGGTGTGTGCCACCATACCAGCTACTTTTTTTTTTTTTTTAAAGTAGAGATGAGGTCTTGCTATGTTGCCCAAGCTGGTCTTGAACTCCTGAACTCAAGTGATCCTCCCACCATAGCCTCCCAAAGTGTGGGATTACAGGTGTGAGCCACTGCACCCGGCTCTTGTAATGTCTTTGTCTAATTTGAATATTAGGGTAATGCCAGCCTCATAGAATGATTTAGGAAGTATCCCCTCTGCTTCTGTCTTCTGGAACAGATTGTATAGGATTGGTATAATTTCTTCCTTAAATGTTTGATAGAATTCACTAATGAATCCATGTGAGTCTGGTGATTTCTGTTTTGGAAGTTTATTAGTTATTAATCCAATTTTTTTAATCAATATAGGTTTATTAAAAGTATTGATTTCTTTTTGTGTTAATTTTGGCAGATTGTGTCTTTAAGTAGGTTATCAAATGTGTGGACATAGAGTTATTAATAATATTCCTTTATTATTCTTTTAGTGTCCATGGGATCTGTAGTGATGCTTCTCTTTCACTTCTGATATTAGTAATTGTGTCTTCTCTTTTTCTTAGTAAGCCTGGCTAGAGGTTTATCAACTATATTGATTTTTTTTAAACTAGATTTTGGTCGTGTTATTTTTCTCTATTGGTTTTCTGCTTCCAGTTTCATTGATTTCTGCTATAATTTTCATTTATTTTATTCTGCTTATTTGGATTTAATTTGCTCTTCTTTTTCTAGTTTCCTAAGGCAGAATATTGGATTAATTATTTTATTTTACTTTTTTCTTCGATGGCATGGTGGAGATGGCTGGTGTTGTATGAACTCAGATTCATGACAACTGAAGAAAGTTGCACCTTGGCCTTCTCTGAGCTAAAAGCTGAAAGCTGGATTAATGATTTTAAATCTTCTTTTCTAATATATGTATTCAATACTATAAATTTCTAAGCACTGCTTTTGCTGTATCTTAGACATTTTGATAAGTTATATTTTCATTTATTTCAAATATTTTTAACTCTCTTCATCAGACTTTTTCTTTCACTCATATATTACTTAGACGTATGTTGTTTAATCTGGGAGGCTGAGACAGGTGGATCACGAGGTCAGGAGATCGAGACCATCCTGGCTAACACGGTGAAACCCCGTCTCTACTAAAAAATACAAAAAAATTAGCCAGGCATGGTGGCGGGCGCCTGTAGTCCCAGATACTCAGGAGGCTGAGGCAGGAGAATGACGTGAACCCAGGAGGTGGAGCTTGCAGTGAGCCAAGATCGCACCACTGCACTCCAGCCTGGGTGACAGGGTGAGACTCTGTCTCAAAAAAAAAAAAAAAAATAGAAGTATGTTGTTTAATCTCCAGGTATTTGTGATTTTCAGCTATCTTTCTGATATCAATTTCTAGTTTAATTTCATGAGGTCTGAAAGCAGACACTATATGACTTCTTTTATATTTGTTGAGGTGTGTTTTATGGCCCAGAATGTGATCTGTCTTGGTGAATGCTCCATGTGATTTTGAGAAGAATTGTAATCTGCTGCCTGCTGCTGGATGAAATATTCTGTAGATGTCAATTATATACAGTTGATTGATAGTGTTGTTGAATTCAACTGTGTCCTTACTGGTTTTCTGCCTGCTGACTGTGTCCATTTCTGTTAGAGGAGTGTTAAAGTCTCCAACTATAATAGTAGATTCACCCAGGTCTTCTTGCAGTTTTATCAGTTTTTCCCTTACATATTTGGATGCCCTGCTGTTAGGTGAATACACATTAAGAATTATTGTGTCAGCGGGGTGCAGCGGCTCATGCCTGTAATCCCAGCACTTTGGGAGGCTGAGGCAGGCAGATCACCTGAGGTCAGAAGTTCAAGACCAGCCTAGCCCACATGGTGAAACCCAATTTTTACTAAAAACTACAAAAAATTAGCCAGGTGTGGTGGCAGGCGCCTGTAATCCCAGCTACTCAGGAGGCTGATACAGAATTGCTTGAACCCTGGAGGCAGAGGTTGCAGTGAGCCGAGATTGTGCCATTATACCATTGTACTTCAGCCTGGGTGACAGAGAAAAACTCTATCTCAAAAAAAAAAAAAAAAAAAGAATGATTATGTCTTCTTGGGGTATTGAATGCTGTTTCATTATGTAATTTCCCTCCTTATCCCTGATATCTGTCCTTGCTCTGAAGTTTGCTCTGCCTAAAATTAATATAGCTACTTCCACTTTCTCTTAATTAGTATAGGCATGGTATATCTTTCTTCATCCATTTACTTTTAATCTATATATGTTCTTATATTTCAAATGTGTTTCTTTCTTTCCCTTTTTTTTTTTTTTTTTTTTTTTTTTTTTTTGAGAAGGAGTCTCGCTCTTTTACCCAGGCGGGAGTGCAATGGTGTGATCTTGGCTCACTGCAGCCTCCGCCTCCCAGGTTCATGCAATTCTCCTGCCTCAGCCTTCTGAAAAGCTGGGATTACAGGTGCACACCACCACGCCTGGATAATTTTTGTATTTTTAGTAGAGATGGGGTTTCACCATGTTGGCCAGGCTGGTTTCAAACTCCTGACCTTGTAACCTGCCCACCTTGGCCTCCCAAAGTGTTGAGATTACAGGCGTGAGCCATTGTGCCTGGGATAAAATGTGTTTCTTGTAGACAACATATAGTTAGGTCTTGTTTTTAGATCTACTCAATCTTTGTCTTAGTAAAATTTAGATCATTAACATTTACAGTCATTATAGATATAGTTGGATTAATATATCATATTTGTTACTGCTTTCTATTTGTTGCCCTTGTTTTTTATTCCTGTTTTTGTTTTCCACTGTTTTTCTGCTTTTTGTGGTTTTAATTGAGCACTTTATATGATTCCATGTTCTCTTCCTTCCTGGCATGTCACTTATACTTCTTTTTTTACTTTCTTTAGTGGTTGCCCTAGAGTTTGCAGTATACATTTATAATTAATGCAAGTCCACTTTCAAATAACACTGTACTACATCATGGGTAGTATATCTTGTAATAATAAAATATCATTAATTCATCCCTCCTGTTTCTTGTATCACTGCTACAAAACATCACTTTAAAAAATTTAAGAAGATACAAATAAATGGAAAGACATCCCATGTTCATGGATTGGAAGGCTTAATATTGTTAAAATAACAATACTACCCAAAGTGATCTATAAATTAAATGCAATTCCCATCAAAATTCCAATGGCTTTTTGTTTTTGCAGAAAAAATTTAAAAACCCTGAAATGCATATAAAGTCTCAAAGAATCCCATATAGCCAAAAAAATCTTTAGGAAGAAAAACAAAGCTGGAGGTCTCATACTTCCTATTTTGAAAGATATCACAAAGCTACAGTAATCAAAATAGTATTATACTGACATAAAGACAGACACACAGACCAATGGAACAGAAGAATTAGCCCAGAAATAAGCCCTCACATATATTGTCAAATGATATTTGACGAGGGTGCCAAGGCCACAAAATGGGGGAGAGACTAGTCTCTTCAACAAATGATGTTGGGAAAACTGATTACGTCCAAATTTTAAAAAATGACTTTACACCATGTACAAAAATTAATTCAAAATGTGTTAAAGGCCTGAACATAAGACCTGAAACTATAAAACTCCTAGGAGAGACAAATGAAATGGTTTTGCTCCCAACCTCTCTGGTCATATTAGTCAGAGTGGCTGATGGAGTGGCAAGCTTGTGTAAAAACTCAAGTTTGGTCAAGAACATATTGGGCTAAGGGGTGTATTTTTCCAACAGGCAATCTGTCACTGGCCTTGAGTATCCCCATATATTTTTGCTAGGCATACCAAGAATGCAAAGCCCTGACCATTCTTTACCAGGGCCATTTCTCAAGATTGTGTTTGCAGCAAGCAAACCTGAAGGATGGGGTAATATCTCCCCGAAACAGCAGGCTGGCTTCCACTTGCCTTAAAAACAATGAATGCCCCAAACTCAGTGTTTCTTTCCTCTAATGCAACCAACTACATTCTAAGGCATCCATCACGAGCCCTTTGTGTCACTTCCAATAAGCTTTGTGGGGCATGGAGACTGACACAAACAAACACGAAGTTCTGAATACTACTTTTGCTGTGGGCAATAAAATCCTTTGTCTCTGACTCAGGAATCTTCTGTCTCCTGCCAGCATCCATGAAACCAAAACAGGCTAACTTGTTAGTTTATAAGTGGGGCAAAATCCCAGGCCTTGCACAGCTCTTGACAGTCCCACATTCTGTATTTAGCTGACTGCACTCTAACAGTTATTTAACTTGTTCTTTACCCCCATATTTTTTATAGACTGAAAAATAAATATAGAAATTTCATCAGATTCAGGTTCAGCTTTTAAGGCAGGAATACTTTGCAAGTGGTGCTGTTTTCTTATTGCATCACATTAGGAGACACAATGTCAGGTTTTCCACTTTTAGTGATACTAGGCTTATTCAGGTTATAGTTTTACCATACATTAATGATCCATTATTTCATTAGTTCCTTTAACCACTAGAATTCTTCAGTAATAGAGAACTTTCTATCATCAACTTTGTTGCCCTAAAATTACTTCAGCCCTTCAATCTAGGCAGCAGGGCACTCTTCCCTGGCTTCCTTGTTCCAGGGGGCCCTGTATTTTGGGGTATCTTCCTCACAGTTTTCTGAGTCTCCCTCTGATCCCTGGGACTGACAAGGGCTATCAGATCCATCCACGTGAGGTGCCCCCATCCCACACTGGGACCTGTGTGTGTCCTAGTTTCTGCTTTTTCCTTTTGGGGTAATCTACAACCCTCTATCCCATACTTGGGATGGACCAGATGCCCTGAGAAGATACAAAAATCAGAGCTGGAATCCAAAAAGGAGACCTGGAAAGTGAATTGCTCCTGTTGGCACAGTATTTCTTTCCAGAGATTGTGCAAGATTGGGTTGTCAAATGGTGATAACATGCTGATTTTTAATAACTCTTGGCTCTGGGCTACCTGTGGTTCACTATCAACCCTTGAGCTTGAGCCATGTGTGTGGATCTGTGTATCCTACAGCACCCCATGTACCTCATGTCACTGACACTCAATGCAGTCACCCCACAACACACAGGCTCTGCACCTCATGTCAGGCAATCCTTCAGGAGTGGCAGTGCCTATCTCCCTTGAAGGCTTTTGAGACCATGCCTCTACAATGTCAGTCAGCCCTTTTAATCAATATCCTCTCCTGCTTCCTATTAACTTGATGACATCATGATCTCCCTGGTTGATCTTAAGCTCTGCTGGTCAAATAACGGACATTCCTTGTGTAAAGAGGAGAGCCTCTCACCAATCCTCCCTACCAGTGATGGTGTGTGAAAGGTAGGTATGTGGTCAACAGAGGAACGTTCTAGGAATATAAAGTTTATAGTTTAAAGAGTTCAAGAGAAGACCTGGTCTTCTCTTGAAAAAATTCCCAAACAATAAATTTAGCATGACAAGAAAACAAAGTATTTTTCTTTTTTTCCTGCATAATCTGGGTAAACCCTGTGTTTGTGGTCATGATCGCAGTACCATAACCTGTGAGAGAGTCATTAGAAGCCAGTATTCTTGGGCAGCATGATGAAGGATGTAGCCTAATGAGTTTTGATGCAATCAGCATTAAATAAATGCAGGGCAAGAAGATCTATGTTGTTTCAATACATTAAGATAATGAAGAACCATGGTGGCATGTGAGTAATAACAGAATGCTACTTGTTTCTCACAGTGGGAGACATGAAACTAAACAGGAATGATACATTGACAATAAAGAACATGAAGAGATGGTTCCTGGACACTACAAGAAACCTGTGGTCCCAGCTACTCGAAGACTGAAGTGAGAGGATCACTTGAGCCCAGAAGGTCGATGCTACAGTGAGCCATGATCATGCCACTATACTCCAGCCTAGGTGACAGAGCGAGACTCCATCTCAGAAAAAAAAAAAAAAAAAAAAGGAAAGGAAAGAAGGAAGGAAGGGAAGGAAAGGAAGGGAAGGAAGGGAAGGAGGGAAGGAGAGAGGGAAGGAGGGAGGGAAGGAGGGAGGGACTGGAAGAGGAGAAGGAGGAGAAGGAGAGGGAGAAGGAGAGGAAAGAAGAAAGAAGAAGAAAGAGGAAGGAAGGAGGAGGAGGGAAGAGGAGGAGAAGGAAGAAGGAGAAGAAATGAGACAAAGGAGAAGAAAGGAGAAGAAAAAGGAAGAAGAGGAAGAGGAAGAAGAGGAAGCAGAAGCAGCAGCAGCAGCAAGAAGCAGCAGCACCAGCAGAAGCAGATGCAGAAGCAACAGCAGCAGAAGCAGCAGCTGAAGAAGCAGCAGCAAGAAAGGAGGAGGAGGAGGAAGGGGAGGAGGGGGAGGGGAATGGGGAGGAGGAGGAGGAGAAGGCAGCGGCGGCAGCAAGAGGGGACTGGTCCCAGCAGGGTAGGAATCTTTAGATGGTTATTAAGAAATGGAATGAATAAAATGGAAATTGATGCGGTTGGCTGCACATGGTGGCTCACACCTGTAATCCCAGCAATTTGGGAGGCTGAGGTAGGAGGATCGTTTGAGCCTAGGAGTTCAAGACTAGCCTGGCCAACATATTGAGACCCCCATCTGTAAAAAATAACAACAATAAAAAGGAAATTGATGGAGTTAAAACAAAGGTCTTAACGTAACACTACCCTGAAGGTTGGGTGAACCAAAGGGAGCCCCTTTTGGTCCTCCAACATTAAAGGGCCCCAAACCAGTTTGCTGTATTTCTCCCAGTTTGGAGAAATTTAAAAAGCTAAAAGGCAGCAGTTACAATGAAAAATCTGATCTGAATTTGCCTGGGGCAATAGTCGAGCAGACTAACCAAGATAAAGATTAACAAGAGGGCCAGGGTCCTTTGGGTCACCCCTTGGCTGGGTACCCAAAGACTTTTACACAAGAGAGGGTAAATGGTCTAGGGGTGGAGAAGAAAAGTTCCTGAAACTAAAACAGAAAAATGTAGGGGTCGATAGGACTATGAAAGTTGGTATATTTGAACACTTCATGTGAAGTAGTTGCATTTTTTATCTGATTTTATCATGGGAATGAACATTGTATCTGTGTGGGGGACTGTTTTCCCTACCTGGTACTGTAAAAGAGAAGGCATGTAAATCGTCCCTTCAAGCAATATTATTTGGACATGCTAAGCTGGAACCAGGGAGACTGCCCAGGCCCACACAGTGCAGAGTAGAAGCTACGGTGCTGGTAGGGACAAATTCTCCACTTGATAACCCTCTATGGAGCATTTCCTGGAGCTTATGGCAAAAGCCTGTGGGCACCTCCCAGCAACAACCACTGGGACTTTGGACTAGAGAATTTCCACTTGAAGGGCATTTACTGACTCGCAATGAAACATTTACTGAAGCCACCCCACTGATACCTGAAATAGGCATGCTGTCTCAGATGATGTCAGAGGAACATTCTAATGGGGATGGCAGTGCCCAGAAGAGTTCCATGACACAATGGAAATGGTTTATAGAGGATCATGCTACTCAAGGCATGCAGAGAATTTCTTTTCCCCTAGGACTGACTCTGGAACTGTGTGAGAAACTGCTGGATTCTACAGTGCCAAATAAACAACTTTCAACTGACCAAACAAGAGCTTCTTGGTTTATGGATGGCAATTCCAAGGCACAAAATGCTAGGAAGAACTGTTCTGTTTCTCAGTAAGAGAGACAGAAACTGGCTATGGGAAAGATTTCCTGGTGGGAAGGCCCTGAACATAGCTGGCAAGTGAGACTGATGCTGGCAGCCCTGGGGGACTACAAATGGAATAGGAATTCTTGATAGGAATAGACACTGACTCTAGTGCAGGCTTTGCTTATCCAATGGAAGATGAAAGTGTTCAGAGTGCCATAAAAAAAAAATTAAAAAAAATAAACAACAGAAGATATTTCAAGGATTTGGATGGCTGACCATCATTTCTTCTTCAGACAAAGGAACACACTGTACAGCCCATAATGCCCAACAATGGGCAGAGAGATATCCTCCTTAGAGTAATAGTTTGATAGATAAGTAGAATGGGCAATTAAAATATTGGTTGTCTAAAACCAGGGAAGATAAAAGCATGAAAGCCTGGCTTATACTCAACGTGGTTGAAACTAGAGTGCTCCTGTTAGATTTTTTCTCTGTTTTTCTGGTTGATCTGGGAAAAGGGAGTGGGGAGAATGCTGAGATGACTACGCAGGTCTCACCAAGAAAGGAGTACACTGGTAAAATGACAATACATTTTTCTTTCTTCTCAAAATCACCTCAAAAAATTTTTTCTCGGCCGGGCACAGTGGCTCAGCCTGTAATCCCCGCACTTCAGGAAGCCGAGGCAGGCAGATCATGAGGTCAGGAGATCGAGACCATCCCAGCTAACCTGGTGAAACCCCGTCTCTACTAAAAATACAAAAAATTAGCCGGGCGTGGTAGCGGGCGCCTGTAGTCCCAGCCACTCGGGAGGCTGAGGCAGGAGAATGGCGTGAACCGAGGAGGCAGAGCTTGCAGTGAGCCGAGATGATGCCACTGCACTCCAGCCTGGGCGACAGAGTGAGACACTGTCTCAAAAAGAAAAAAAAAAATTTTTTTTTCTCTCCCCTACCTGATGCGGTGGTCCCAAGACCACAGCTGCAACTACAAGTGCTAGAACAGCAAGGGTGAGTTCTAGGCAAAAAAGCCTATGTTTTTAAAGCTATGTCAAAATTTCTAAGGGCAGATGGGGGTGGATTGTGCCTTCACCCCATCTAGCAAAATTGGGGCTAAGAGTGAATGCAGCTATATTGCCTGGTGTTGAAAAGAGCTCACTAGTTCTGTACCTGTGTAACCTTACCCTATGTGAATGGGAGTGAGATACTTGCTAGACCTGTATTGAGGAGGAGATACTTGCTAGACTTGTATTGCTACCTGCAATCTAGACCAGCATAGTGGTGATTCTAATGTCCCTTCCAAAGGTGAAAAGGTTTGGGTATTAATGGACAGAAGGAAAAATAATAGCTGAGAGTAAATAAATAAATAAAGCTGGGCACATTGGCTCATGCCTCTAATCCCGAAACCTTGGGACATCAAGGCAGGAGGACTGCTTGAGCCCAGGAGTTTAAGACCAGCCTGGGCAACACTGGGAGACCTTATCTCTACAGGAAAAAAAAACAAAAACAAAAAGTAGCCAGGCATGGTAGTGCATACCTGTGGTCCCAGCTACTCAGGAGGCTGAGGTGGGAGGATCACTTGAGCCTGGGAGGTTGAAGCTGCAGTAAGCAGAGATCATGCCACTGCACTCCAGCCTATGTGACAGAGCCAGAACCTCTCTCAAATAAATAAATGAGTTATTAATTGAGGAAAATTCAATATCACATTAACAAGTCAAAAGAGTCTCAGGGCAAGAGATGACATTTTCTCGTAGCTCAATTATTCCAGATGCCTGAAAAGGTGAAGCTGTGTATTTACCGAGGCCACTTCTGCTTTTGGAACCTGACAAGATTGAGAGGAAACCTGTAAACCCGAGTGGCCTCATCCTGGGAATCATTCGAACAGTATAATGGGCTGGATTGATTATTAATGATTGTGTATGTATGTATACATAATCATTAATAAAACATATATTTTATGTAAAGGATCCATGGTTGAAAACCAGAGGATGGCGTGTGGTGTTACGCTATATATTGGTTTTTGTCCACAGTTCCTGGCTCCAACTCCCATAGTGCTTGTTACAGTTTTTTGTTAGAATATTGGGTGGGTTAGGGCTGGGCACGGTGGATCACACCTGTAATCCCAGCACTTTGGGAGGCCGAGGCAGGTGGATCACTTGAGGTCAAGAGTTCGAGACCAGCCTGGCCAACATGGATAAACCCCATCTGTACTAAAAATACAAAGTTAGCTGGGCATGGTGGCACGCACTTATAATCCCAGTTACTTGGGAGGCTGAGGCAGGAGAATTGCTTGAACCCTGGGGGTGGAGGTTGCAGTGAGCCAAGATTGTGCCACTGCACTCCAGCTTGGGCAACAGAGTGGGACTCCATCTCAAAATATATATATATATATATATATTTATATATGTGTGTGTGTGTGTGTGTGTATATATATACACACACACACACACATATATGGTGGGTTAAGACTCAGGGGCAGGCCTCTGACCTCCCACCCTCCTTCCACTCTAATGTTCCCCAACCTGTCTGATTATAGATCTTAAGACCTTCTCATGAGAGAGTACCACCCTATACCCTGGGGGAAGGAATGCTGATGTCATGAAGCTTCCATTACAACCCAAGAGGACAAGGTTCAGTGAGTTTCTGGATAGCTGGAGGTTTCTGGAGGGTGGTGCATCCAGGGAGGTGCATCCATAGAAGCTCCGCACCCCTTCCCGCATACCTTGCCCTACCTATCTCTTCATGTGTATTTTTTGTAATATCCTTTATAATAAACCCGTAAATGTAAAAACAAAACAAAAAACAACACAGTTTTCTCATATTATAGTTCTAGAGTTTAGAAGTCTAAGGTGGGTCTGAGAGGCTGTGTCAAAGGCATTTGAACCAGAGCAACTCCGTCTTGAATAGGGGCTGGGTAAATGAGGCTGAAACCTACTGGACTACATTTCCAGACAGGCATTCTAAGTCACAGGATGAGATAGAAGGTCGGCACAAGATACAGGTCATAAAGGCCTTGCTGATAAAACAGGTTGCAGTAAAGAAGCCAGCTAAAACCTACCAACACCAAGGTGGCAACAAGAGTGACCTTTGGTCGTCCTCACTGCTACACTCCCACCAGTGCCATGACAGTTTACAAATGCCATGGCAACATCCGGAAGTTATCCTATATGGTCTAAAAAGGGGAGGCATGAATAATCCACCCCTTGTTTAACATATAATCAAGAAATAACTATAAAAATGGGCAGCCAGCAGCCCTCAGGGCTGCAGTCTAAGGGGTAGCCATTCTTTATTCCTTTACTTTCTTTTTGAGATGGAGTCTCACTCTGTCGACCAGGCTGGAGTGCAGTGGCGCAATCTCAGCTCACTGCAGCCTCCACCTCCCAGGTTCAAGCGATTCTCCTGAATCAGCCTCCCAAGTAGCTGGGACTATAGGCATGCACCACCATGCCCAGCTGATTTTTGTATTTTTAGTAGAGACGGGGTTTCACAATGTTGCCCGGTCTGGTCTGGAACTCCTAACCCCAAGTGATCCACCCACCTTGGCCTCCCAAAGTGTTGGGATTACAGGAATGAGCCATCACGCCCAGCCAAGATGGGTGGATCACCTGAGGTCAGAAGTTCGAGACCAGCCTGGTCAAAATGGTGAAACCCCATCTCTACTAAAAATACAAAATTAGCCAGGCGTGATGGCTCATGCCTGTACTCCCAGCTACTTGGGAGGCTGAGGCAGGAGAATCGTTTGAACCTGGGAGGCAGAGGCTGCAGTGAGCCAAGATCACACCATTGCACTCCATCCTGGGCAACAAGAGTGAAACTCCATCTCAAAAAAAAAAAAAAAAAATCTCATAATGTTTTAGGAAAGTTTACAAATTTGCAAATTTGTGTTGGGCCACATTCAAAGCCATCCTGGGCCACATGCAGTCTGTGGGCCACAGGTTGGACAAGCTTGTTCTAGAGGCTGTCCACATTCCTTGTTCCACAACACTCCAACCCCTGCTTCCATCATTACATATCTGATCATCCTACCTCCCTCTTATAAGGACCCTTGTGATTGATTATATTGGGCTCACCAGGAATAATCTGAGATAATCTCTCCATCTCAAGATCCTTGACTTAATCATTTCTGCAAAGTCCCTTTTGCCATATATTCACAGGTTCTGTGGTTTAAGATGTGGAGATCTTTGGGGGTCATTATTCTGCCTAACAGGTGTGAATAATTATATTTTTTACCCCGATTTTTTTTTTAAGACAGAGTCTTACTCTGTTGCCAGGCTGGAGTGCAGTGGCACGATCTTGGCTCACTGCAATCTCCACCTCCCTGGTTCAAGTGATTCCCCTGCCTCAGCCTCCTGAGTAGCTGGGATTCCAGATGCCTGCAACTACTCCCAGCTTATTTTTTATATTTTAGTAGAGACAGGGTTACACCATGTTGGTCAGGATGGTCTCAATCTGACCTGGTGATCTACCCGCCTCGGCCTCCCAAAGTGCTGGGATTACAGGCATGAGCCACCGCACCCGGCCTTACCCCAATTTTTAAATAAGAAAAAAAAAAAATCTATGAGCAATAGATAATAGATTTCAAAACTGTGCAATGATAATGAAAAATAATTTGAAATTTGGCTTCTCTAAGCTTGTCAAAGGAAGTTATTTTAAGACTTTGTTCACTATTTGACATTATTGTAGAATTTTTTGGTTCAATGAAAAATTAAACACTGAAGTTAAAATATTGTAAAATTATATGACATATCTTTTCAATATATTGAAAAGTTGAATGAGCTCTTTTGTAAGTGCCAGAAAATGAGAATAATCTCATTAAAGTGAAGGATATTATCATGGAATTAATTAGCAAATTTACATTATTTTAAAATAACCTTTTCTTCAAGATTTTTAAATTTCACCCATCACCTGAGCATTGTACACTGTACCCAATGTGTAGCCTTTTATCCCTCACCCCTCTCCCACCCTTTCCCCTGAGTCCCTGAAGTCCATTTTATCATTTTTTATGTCTTTGCATTCTCATAGCTTAGCTCCCACCTATGAGTGAAAACATACAATGTTTGGTTTTCCAGTCCTGAGTTATTTCACTTAGAATAATGGTCTCCAATTCCATCCAGGTTGCTATAAATGCCATTATTTCATTCCTTTTTATGGCCGAGTAGTATTCTATGGTGCATATATATACATTTTCTTTATCCAGTTGTTGATCGATGGGCATTTGGGCTGGTTCCATATTTTTGCAATTGTGAATTGTGCTGCTATAAACAGGCATGTGCAAGTGTCTTTTTCTTGTAATGACTTCTTTTCCTCTGGGTAGATGCCTAGTAGTGGAATTGCTGGATCAAATGGTAGATCCACTTTTAGTTCTGTAAGGAATCTCCACACTGTTTTCCACAGTGGCTGTACTAGTTTACATTCCCACCAACAGTGTGAAAGTGTTCCCTTTTCACCACATCCATCTTTTTGATGGGACTGTTTGTTTATTTTCTTGCTGATTTGTTTGAGTTCCTTGTAGATTCTGGATATTAGTCCTTTGTTGGATGTATAGATTGTGAAAATTATCTCCCATTCTGTGGGTTGTCCATTTATTCTTCTAATTATTTTTGTTCTACAGAAGCTTTTTAGTTTAATTAAGTTCCATCTATTTATCTTTGTTTTTGTTGCATTTGCTTTTGGGTTCTTGGTCATGAAGTCTTTGCCTAAGTCAATGTCTACAAGGGTTTTTCTGATATTCTCTTCTAGAATTTTTATGGTTTCAGGTCTTAGATTTAAGTCTTTCATCTATCTTGAGTTGACTTTTGTATAAGGTGAGAGATGAGGATCTAGTTTCATTCTTCTACATGTGGCTTGCCAATTATCCCAGCATCATTTGTTCAATACGGTGTCCTTTCCCCACTTTATGTTTTTGTTTGCTTTGCCAAAGGTCAGTTGGCTATAAATATTTGGCTTTGTTTCTGGGTTCTCTATTCTGTTCCATTGGTCTATGTGCCTGTTTTTTTTTTTTTCAGACGGAGTCTTGCTCTGTTGCCCCGGCTGGAGTGCAATGGTGTGATCTTGGCTTACTGCAACCACCGCCTGCTGGGTTCAAGCAATTCTCCTGTCTCAGCCTCCTGAGTAGCTGAGATTATAGGCACGTGCCACCATGCCTGGCTAATTTTTTATATTTTTAGTAGAGATGGGGTTTCTCCATGTTGGCCAGACTGTTCTCGAACTCCTGACCTAGGTGATCTGCCCACCTCGGCCTCCCAAAGTGCTGGGATTACAGGTGTGAGCCATCACACCTGGCCTATGTGCCTGTTTTTATACCAGTACCATGCTGTTTTTGGTGACTATGGCCTTATAGTATAGTTTGAAATCAGGTAATGTGATGCCTCCAGATTTGTTCTTTTTGCTTAGTCTTGCTTTGCCTATGCAGGCTCTTTTTTGGTTCCATACAAATTTTAGGATTGTTTTTTCTAGTTCTGTGAAGAAGGATGGTGGTATTAATGGGAATTGCATTGAATTTGTAGATTGCTTTTGGCACTATGGTCATTTTCCCAATATTCCACACATCCATGAGCATGGGATGTGTTTCCATTTGTTTGTGTCATCCATGATTTCTTTCAGCAGTGTTTTGTAGTTTTCCTTGTAGAGGTCTTTCACCTCTTTGGTTAAGTATATTCTTAGGTATGTGATTTTTTTGCAGCTATTATAAAAGGGGTTGAGTTCTTGATTTGATTCTCAGCTTGGTCGCTGTTGGTGTATAGCTACTGATTTGTGTACATTAATTTTGTATCCTGAAACTTTGCTGAAGGAGCTCTTTGGATGAGTCTTTAGGGTTTTCTAGGCATACGATCATCAGCAAACAGTGATAGTTTGACTTCCTCTTTACCAATTTGGATGCCCTTTATTTCTTTCTCTTGTCTGATTGCTCTGGCTAGGACTCTGTCATTTTAGAAAGTTTATTTTGCAGGCCAGGCATGGCAACTTACACCTGTAATCCCAGGACTTTGGGAGGCCAAGGTGGGCAGATCACTTGAGGTCAGGAGTTGGAGACCAACCTGGCCAACATGGCAAAACCCCGTCTCTACTAAAAATACAAAAATTGGTCAGGTGTGGTGGTGCATGCCTGTAGTCCCAGCTACTCAGGAGGCTGAGGCAGGAGAATCGCTTGAACCCAGGAGGCAGAGGTTGCAGTGAGCCGAGATCATGCCATTGCACTCCAGTCTGGGCAACAGAGCGAGACTCCGTCTCAAAATTGCCAAGTTAAGGACGCACCCATCACACAGCCTCAGGAGGTCCTGATGATACGTGCCCAAGTGATCAGGGCACAGCTTGGTTTTATATATTTTAGGGAGACATGAGACATCAATCAAATACATTTAAGATATACACTGGTTCGGTCCAGAAAGGCAGGACAACTCCAAGGGTGGGGGGTCCAGTTACATGTAGATCATGTAGAAAAAAATTTTCTGATTGGCAATTGGTTGCAAGAGTTACTATGAATAGAAAGAACTGTCTGGGTTACATAAGAGGTTGTGGAGACCAAAGTTTTATCATGCAGATGAAGCCTCCAGGTAGCAGGTTTCAGAATAGATTGTAAATGTTTCTTATCAGACTTAAGGTCTGTGTCGATGTTAATGCTGGTCAGCTTTTCCTGAATTCCAAAAAGGAGAAGGGCATAATGATGCATGTCTGATCCCCCTCTTCCCATCATGGCCTGAACCAGTTTTTCAGGCTAACTTTGGAGTGCTCTGGCTGAGAAGAGGGAGTCCATTCAGACAGCTGGGGGAAGAAGGGGTCTTAGAATTTTATTTTTGATTTACACATTTAAAGATTTTTATAAACTTAAAATACTGAAGTGGGTGATTTATACATTTGAAATGAACATGGACCATGTTAGCTAACTCTGTAGGAATCCTTAAAACAAATAAAATACTAAAAAAAAAAAAAAACCAAAGATCTTGAGGTCATAAAACAATTTTTTTCTTTTTTTTTTTGAGACGGAGTCTCGCTCTGTCACCCAGGCTGGAGTGCAGTGGCACCATCTCGGCTCACTGCAACCTCTGCCTCCTGGGTTCACACCATTCTCCTGCCTCAGTCTCCCAAGTAGCTGGGACTACAGGCGTGTGCCACCACACCCGGCTAATTTTTTGTATATTTAGTAGAGATGGGGTTTCACTATATTGGCCAGGATGGTCTCGATCTCCTGACCTCGTGATCTACCTGCCTCGGCCTCCCAAAGTGCTAGGATTACAGGCGTGAGCCACCGCACCTGGCTGGCTTTACTACTGGCTTTTACAAAAGTAACTATAAAATGAATAGTCAATAGAAAAACTCACAGTGGTATTTCCAACCATAAATCATCCATACAGGTATTTTCAAAATCTTGGTATGATTTCTGACTATCCCTATTTACAAAGATTAAACTAAGAATGATTATTCTTTGTAGTCAAAATCTTTGTTAATTCAAGTTATAAAAAGTCTTGTATAATTTTCAACAAGGGTGGCAAAACAATCGAACAGGGGAAAGAATAGTCCTTTCAACAACTGGTGCAGAGATGATTGGATATCTATGTGCAAAAGAATGAAGTTGAACTCCTTCACACCATATGCAAAAATTAACTCAAAATGTACCAAAGACTTAACTGTAAGAACTAAAAGCATGTAACTCCTAGAAGAAAACAGAGGAGTAAATCTTTCTAATCTTGGATTAAATAATGGTTTCTTAGATATAACACTGATTAGTCAGGGTTCTCCAAAGAAAAAAACCAATAAAATACATACAGACATATAAGAGGAGATTTACTATGGGAATTGGCTCACTCAATTATGAAGACTGAGAAGTCCCACAATATGCTGTGTGCAATCTGGAGACCTAGGAAAGCTGGTGGTGTAATTCAGTTCCAGTCTGAAAACCCGAGAACCAGGGGAGTCACTGGTGTGGCTTCTAATCCAAGCCCTAAGGCCTGAGCCCTGAGGAGGGGGAGCATGCTGGTGTAAGTCTCCAAGGTCAAAGGCCCAAGTCAGGAGCACTGATGGCTGAGGGAAGATGATGGCATACCAGAAGGGGGAAAAGGAATTTGCTCTTCTCTCACCTTTTTGTTCTATTTGAGCCCTCAATGTATTGAATAATGCCTACTCATATGGGTGAGGGCACATCAACTTTCTCAGTTTACTGATTTTTTTTTTTTTTGACAGAGTCTCACTATGTCACCCAGGCTGGAGGGCAGTGGAGTGATCTCACCTCACTGCAAACTCCACCTCCCAGGTTCAAGTAATTCTCCTGCCTCAGCCTCCCGAGTAGCTGGGATTACAGGCATGCACCACCATGTCCAGCAAATTTTTTTGTATTTTTAGTAGAGACAGGGTCTCGCCATGTTGGCCAGGCTGGTCTTGAACTCCTGGCCTCAAGTGATCCACCTGCCTCAGCCTCCCAAAGTGCTGGGATTACAGGCATCCACCACCACATCCAGCTATTTTTTTTTTTTTTGGTATTTTTAATAGAGACAGGGTCTCGCCATGTTGGCCAGGCTGGTCTTGAACTCCTGGCCTCAAGTGATCCACCTGCCTCAGCCTCCCAAAGTGCTGAGATTACAGGTGTGAGCCACCATGCCTGGCTCAGTCAACTGATTTAAATGCTGATCTTTCATTTAAACACTCTCACAGAAATACCCAGAAATAATGTTTACCAGCTATGGGGCATCCCTTAACCCAGTCAAGTTGGCACATAAAACTAACCATCACAAGTACCAAAAGCACAGGTGACAAAAAAAAAACAGATAAATAAATCTCTGTCAAAATTAATGTTTGTGCTTCAAAGGCAAGAAAGTAAAAAAACACCTCATGGAATGGGAGAAAATATTTGCAAATCATTTATCTGATAAGTGGCTTATATCTAGAATATATCAAGACTCTTACAACTCAAGAACAACAAAAACAAAAATATCCCAATTTAAAAATGGACAAAGGATCTGAATAGGTATTGCTCCAAAAAAGATATACAAATCGCCACTAAGCACAGGAAAACATGCTCAGCACTGTGTGTCAATAGGGAAATGCAAATCAAAAAGACAATGAAATAACACTTCATACCTACCAGGATGGCTAAAATAAAAAAGACAGACGATAACAAGTGCTGACAAGAATGTAGAGAAATTAGAACTCTTGTACATTGCTAGTGGGATTGTAAAATGGCGCAGCCACTTTGAAAAAGTTTGTCAGTTCTTCAAACAATAGAGTCATTATTCGATCCAGCAATTTTGCTTCTAGATATACAATGAAGAGAATTTAAAACATATGTTCACTCAAAAACCTTGCAGCATTACTCATAATTGCCAAATAGCAACAACCCAAATGTCCATCAATAAATATATGGATAAACAAAATATGGTATATCCATATGGTAGAATATTATTTAACCATAAAAAGGAATAAAGTATTAGGAAGGAATAGATACTATAACATGGATGAACCCTGAAAACGTCATATTAAGTGAAAGAAGTTAGATAATGAAAAAGACCAAATACTGTACAATTCCAATTATATGAAATGTTCAGAATAGGTAAACCCACAGAGTCAGAAAGTAACTTAGTGGTTTTCAGGGGCTGGAGTAGGGAGGAATGGAAAGTAGCTGCTAGTAATATTAAGTTTATTTTTGGGGCGATGGCAATTGTACAACTCAGTGATATTCTATAAACCAATGGTTCATTCTATAACCATTAAACATATACTTTAAAAGGTTGAATTCTATGATATGTGAATTATATCTCAATAAAACTGTTATTTTTAAAAAATCTGTGGCTGGGCACGGTGGCTCATGCCTGTAATTCCAGCACTTTGGGAGGCTGAGGCAGGAGGATCACTTGAGGCCAGGAGTTAAAGACCAGCCTAGGCAACAAAATGAGACCCCCCCATCTCTACAAAAAATTTAAAAAATTAGCCAGGCGTGGTGGCAGGCACCTTAGTCCCAGCTACTTGGGAGGCTGAGGCAGGATGACAGCTTGAGTCCAGGAGTTCAAAGTTGCAGTGAGTTATGACTGTACCACTGCACTCCAGCCTGGGTGACAAAGTGAGACCCTATCTCTTAAAAAAAAAATTGTTTATAGAATTCCTTTATACGGCAACCTGCCCTAGTGCATTTAACGTGGAAATGTTTTTCTAAGAATTCAGTTTACATACTACTTTCTGGGTTGTGGATGAAATGAGGTGTAATTAGAATGTATTTACTTGACCGGGTGTGTTGGCTCACGCCTGTGATCCCAGCACTTTGGGAGGCCAAGGCGGGTGGATCACGAGGTCAAGAGATCGAGACCATCCTGGCCAACATGGTGAAACCCCGTCTCTACTAAAAATACAAAAATTAGCTGGTCGTGGTGGCATGCACCTGTAGTCTCAGCTACTCAAGAGGCTGAGATGGGAGAATCACTTGAACCTGGGAGGCGGAGGTTGCAGCAAGCCGATATTGGGCCACTGCACTCTAGCCTGGCAACAGAGCAAGACTCCGTCTCAAAAAACAAAACAAAACAAAAAAACATATTTACTTATTTGGGGGGCTTCGTTCATTTGTTGTTTTTATAAATATTTACAGAGTGCTCACTACATAGCAGACATCATTGAATTAAGAACATATAAAATGGAATTTTCCTTTTTTTCCTAAGAAATTGGAAAGATTAAAGTATCTTCCTAACTTCTCTCTTCCTTTCCAAGGCTTCACATATTTTTTTTAAGAATGTATTAAATGTTTGATGTGGACTGATATCTGCATTAGATGTAAGACATGATATCTACAAACAGGAAGTTTACCTACTTAAGAAGGGATGTAAAATAATTCTTAAAGCATTTGGGCCGGGCGCGGTGGCTCACGCCTGTAATCCCAGCACTTTGGGAGGCTGAGGCGGGCGGATCACGAGGTCAGGAGATCGAGATCATCCTGGCTAACACGGTGAAACCCCGTGTCTACTAAAAATAGAAAAAAAAATAGAAAAAAAAAATGGTGGCGGGCGCCTATAGTCCCAGCTACTCGGGAGGCTGAGGCAGGAGAATGGCGTGAACCCGGGAGGCGGAGCTTGTAGTGAGCCGAATCGCGCCACTGCACTCCAACCTGGGCGACAGAGTGAGACTCTGTCTCAAAAAAAAAGGATTTGGTTAAAAGTTTGGAATAGCTAAAAATAAGAAAAAAGTATTTTAATTATACTAAATTCTCTGCAAATCTATTCTGCTACACTAAAGTTCTCTTGGCCATAAACATATCCCTGGAGCTTCTTCTCACTAACTCTTGGTATTTCAAAGTTATTTCACGTTTTTGTTCTTGTTTTACAAATGGGGTCTTGCCACACTGCCTAGGCTGGAGTGCAGTGGCTATTCACAGGTGCCATCATAGCTCACTACAGCTTTGAACCCTTGGGCTCAAGTGATTCTCCCACCTCAGCCTTCCAAGTACCTGGGACTACACACATGTACTATCATACCCAACTCTCATAGGGTTGTTTCTTTTTTTTGTTGTTTTTTGTTTTGAGCATTTTTCGAACAATCCAGAGTTTCATAAACTTTCACCAACAATTTTAAGTAGTCCCACGTTCCCTATGACTCAGGTTACAGAATCTGTAAAGCATAGTGGCTTAGCAGTTGTCCCCAGAACTACACTAATTCTATCCAGCACCATATCTACAACCATAGACACACTTGCTTTAACAGAAGTATAGCAGTTCCTTCTCAACACAAAAGGCAGGTTTCTGACAGTCCCGGGGATATTCATCTGCAGGGCCATTATTGAGAAAATAGGTTTGAAGGGATTGTCACTATAGGTGGAGCCTTTTGAAAAACTTTATAAATATTTTTACATTCACAAAAATAAAATTATAGAGACTAAATGGCATTGTATCTATCCTAAATTAGTAATGTTGGGTACATTTTAATAATCCATGTGACCTTCCTTGTTACTAGAAATATTTTAGGGTCTTTCTCACAATTTCAACAAAATATTTATAATTTTGTTTGGTTGCAGATATTATATATACCCAGAAGTGTTTTTTTCTTCTGTCTGGTCCTTTCTGCAAATGTCGAGTACTTTTTCACTTTATAATCTGGAGATGGTGACTTCTTGCTCCTTGACCCCTACTGTACTTCAAAGACACAGAATCACTTGAATGCTTGAGATGCTTTGGGAAGCTTTTATTTGAACTATTTGGCACAGCTAAGTGTTCTCCAGCCTTTCTCCCATAATACCAGATTATGTAGCCTTATCTTTGGCCATGAAAACTTTGTACACACTTCTCATCAGCCCTTTCTACAAAGTCACAGGTTTAAATGCCCTCCTGTTAATAAGGAGCATAGATCCAAGGACGAACTTTACTTGTCCTCATCTTCCTTTATTTCTTTTGAAAATGCAAAAAACTACTTTGGTTTTGACCTTTGCTTTGTCTCCCTTTTGTATCCTCAGTATCTATTTTCGCTAATTATTGCCACAGTAGTACTTAGAATCTAAATTGGCAAGGAAAAGTACTTAGAAATACACTAGGGTACTTGCATTTCGAGTAAGGGAACTTGAGGTTGGGCAGGGATCACAGAAATCCCCTTGGTTTATGACAGTCTGCTTTATTTTCCATGGAAGGTAAGCAGAATAAGGTACAGTTCTAGGTTGAAAGTTTTTGGTAAATCACATTTTCTATTCTCTGAGACCTTTTTTATGTAGCACTTGCTATTGCTTTTTCTTCATTTTAAATATTAAAAAAATTGTTCTATTTTTATTTCTTTTGTACCTTTTTCAAATTCCTTTATTTTACCCCAGCTTCTTTTTCTTCCTAATGCCAAGTCTCTGCATTTTCCAAGTCTCCAACCTGGTTTACCTGTCTTAGCAATTAAAAGTACTATGTTGACCAGGCTGGTCTCAAACTCCTGACTTCAGGTGATTCGCCCTCCTCAGCCTCCCAAAGTGCGTTTCTACTAAAAATACAAAAATTAGCTGGTTGTGGTGGCGGGCGTCGGTAATCCCAGCTACTCAGGAGGCTGAGGCAGAAGAATCGATTGATCCCAGGAGACAGAGGCTGCAGTGAACTGAGATCGCACCATTGCACTCCAGCCTGGGCGACAAGAGTAAGACTCTGTCTCAAAAAAAAAAAAAAAGTACTAAACAGGCCAGGCAGGGTGGCTCATGCCTATAATCCCAGCGCTTCGGGAGGCCAAGGTGAGTGGATCCCTTGAGCCTAGGAGTTCAAGACCAGCCTGGGCAACATGGTGAAACCCCATCTCTATAAAAAACACAAAAAATTAGCCAGGCGTGGTGGTGCCACTGCACTCCAGTCTGGGCAACAGAGTGAGACCCTGTCTCAAAAAAAGAAAAAGAAGAAAAAAAGTACTAAATATCGTTTTTTTTTTCCGGTAGAGACAGCCTGTTAAGGACAAACCTGCAAAATATTAATATTCAAAGGCACCGCTAAGAGAACCAACTAATGGCAGTCTGTTGCAGTTACAAGGTTGACGTTATTTTCCTTATTTATTTTTGGTTGTTCAATCTAGGTAATATAACTTATAATTCAGGAAATCCAGATTAAATGAGCACAATTCATGCCAAGTAAATTTAAATGTCAGTCTCTGAGGAAAGGGGATAGAAGGAGACAAATACAAATTAGGAATGTATATTCATTTTTTATTTTTTTATTTTTTTTTTGAGATAGAGTCTTGCTCTGTCACCCAGGCTGGAGTGCAATGGCACGATCTTGGTTCACTGCAACCTCCGCCTCTGGGTTCAAGCGATTCTCCTGCCTCAGCCTCCCAAGTAGCTGGGATTACAGGCACACACTGCCATGCCCGGCTAATTTTTTTGTTTGTTTTTAGTAGAGACAGGGTTTCACCATGTTGCCCAGGCTGGTTTCGAACTCCTGAGCTCAGGCAGTCCATATCCCTCGGCCTCCCAAAGTGCTGGGATTACAGGCGTGAACCACCGCACCAGACCTAGGAATGTATTTTTAAATGTAACACCCTAGGAGGCAGTTTGCAGAGTGGTTAAGAACACAGACCCTAGAGCCAGAATGTCTGTTTGAATTTAGCTTCATCCTTCATTGACTGTGCAACTTTTGAGTACATTTCTTATTTTTTCTTCAGCTTCCTCATCTGTAAAGTGGAGGATAGTTTTTCCCTCACATGGTTGTTACAAAGACTAAATTAGTTTATTTTTAAAAAACACTTAGAACAGTGCCTGGCAATAATAAGCACTACATAAATGTCAATCACTATTAGTTACTCAAAATTATAATAATGAATTGGTCAAGGCTCCAGAAATATGTCAGTTTTTAGAAAAATGAGTTTTTGTTAATGTTTCTGATTTTTAAAAAGATCACAAATGTGGTTTGGATTAGTCTAAGGAAAAATGTTTTGTTTAATAACTGATTAATGAGTTTTTAAAAACTCATTTCGTATGACCCAGTACAGAATGGGAAATTCACTAACAGAAGACGTCCAGCTGGCATAAAAAACATTAAAGAAAATCTTAAGCATAATGCTAATCTCAACTCTGAAACACAAGCTTTACATTATTGTTCTCAGTTCTCGAGTTCCTGGCATGTCTTGGAAGCAGACAGACTCTTTTTTTGAAGTAGTCATTCTTTCTTATTGCTTATGACTTAGATAAATGACCTTGAGAAACTATTTTTGGCTTTATTTGTGATTGTTATTTAAAGCGATAGCTGTGAAAGAGTGTCAAAACATCTTTAACGTTGTGCTTTTCAAAAAGAGAGGATAATTCCTTTGAAAGTAATAATGAATGGATATTAGAATCCCAGATATTAGAAGGAAAAGTGAGCTCATGGATGGTGTTAATCTGCCAAGACAGGGAAGTCTGTTTCAGGAGCTAACCAGTTTTGCTAACTTCATTCTGCTGAGCACACTCGAGTTGCTAGGATGGGGGCAAAGTGCACCGGGCAGCGCCCCAGCAAATTACTTTTCCAGCTAGGAAAGACTATGGCCCTTCTGCCTCTCTATAGTAATGTCCAATTCACGGCCATTTAGTGTCTGGCTTTTCATTGAAGATGTGACTGACTTGAATGGCCTAAATGTTTATTACATATATAATACATGTACTTCTTTTAATAATATTTCTGAACAAAATTTTTACTTTATAACAACTAATTCTATTATATTTTGTCTATACATGCATTATGGCAGCTTATATCCAATGTGGAGATAAATGAAACACACAAAAAAGGGCAAATCTGCATTTTGAACTGAGAGCATGTTTAAGAGGATTATAGCATTAATTATAAGAGAAAGAATTTGAGAGGCAGTGTTAAAGCAAACTAAATATGGCCTGAGAAGGACTCTGTACTTCTGTATTTGAGTCCTTGTGTACGAACTGTAACCTAGGTTAATAGGCAGACAAGCTTGAAAACCTAATTTAGGAGTATGCACCTGTAACAATAGCTGAGTCTTGGCCAATCCCAGCGGCCATACTTCAACCAGTCATACACTGCTGATTGTTCAAACTGTGTTCAAATAAGGCAAACGCCCCCCTGTAACCAATGCAGCTGTTTCTGTATCTCACTGCTGATTTCTGTACGTCACTTCCCTCTTTTTGTCTAAAAATTTGTTCTGACCACGAGGCATCCCTGGAGTCTCTCTGAATCTGCTGTGATTCTGGGGGCTGCCCAGTCATTCACTGCTCAGTTTAACTCCTTTAAATTTAGTTCAGCTGAAGTTTTTCTTCTAACAGGAATCAGACTGGTAAGCCTTGAATCCTACCTGTTTATCTCCTGCTCACCTGAAGTTGTAAAGTTTAGTACCTCTAGGCCTATTTCTTCACCTATAAAATGGGGACAATACTGACCTTGAAATCTTGAAATAATTCAACTAGATATATATATATGAACGGTAGAAAAATTTTGTCTCTCCAATATTCTGTTAAAATTCTCACCCCCTGCCCCGCCCCCAGCACTTCCCTGGGGTTAAAAAAAAAAAAAAAAAAAAAAATCAAAGCACTTAATTCCCAGCATAACGATGAAGGTTTGTCATAAAAGAAAATTTCTTGTGTGAAATGATTACCAAGAAAGTACTGCATACGCAATGGGGGAAAAGACCAACCCTCAATCAGTTTAATAATCACCTTGGTTATTAAATTCTATGGTAACTTAATTTCAACGTACAAAACTTTCCCTTAGTATTGTAATGAAAACACCATTTATAGAAAGAGAACCAGGAACCTGAAAAATTCCCCTCATTGCATAGATAGAAATCCTCCTTAAAAAACATTTATAACTCGGGTCACTAAAAGTTACGTATGGGAAATCATTATTTAAGTAGTGGGCATTTTATGTCCAGTTTCCCAGGACTTGATGATCCATCCCTAGGGAAGCCTTCAGGATGAAACTGATCTGGGAACAGAGGTTTGAGCTAGGTTAATTCTAGAGGTCGTCCCAGACATTTCCAGATGCCAAGCGGTATCTTTTTTTTTTTTTTTTTTTTTTTGGAGACAGAGTCTCTGTTGCCCAGGCTGGAGGGCAGTGGCGCGATCTAGGCTCACTGTAACCTCCGCCTCCCGGGTTTAAGCGATTCTCGTGCCACAACCTCCTGAGTGGCTGGGATTACAGGCGTGCACCACCGCACCCAGCTAATTTTTGTATTTTTAGTAGAGACGGGGTTTCACCATGTTGGCCATCCTGGTCTTGAACTCCTGACCTCAGGTGATCCGCCCACCTCAGCCTCCCAAAGTGCTGGGATTACAGGCGTGAGCCACTGCACCCGGCCTGAAGATGTAAAATCTACCACGGAAGGATGATCTAAGTGGGGAAGGAGATGACAGGTGACAGCCTCCCGTGTGGAAGCAGAAAGTAGCGGACGGTAGGAGCCGAAGGCTTCCCTCGGGACCCAGCAGACTTCCCGCAGCCTCCTGGGTTCCCGTCACATTCCTCGGAACCCTCAGTGCACCAGACAGGGGGAGCTTGGAAGAGGCAGGTCAAGAATCGCCCCCGACCCCGCCCCAGCGTTCTGCTCCCAGGGCGGCCTCCCACGCGCCCCGGACCACGCAGCCCGATGGGCCAGGTAGGGCGCGTCTCTGCACCGAAAATGCATTAGGGCCCGCGTGAGCCCCGGTGAACATCCACAGTGCAGTCACTAACAGGCATTACTCCTGGGGCCCACGTGAGTCTATTTAGCATGTGAGGGAAACCAGCCACGGCAGGGAGACTGGGGCTCTCCGTGGTGGCAAAGCCTGCTCAACCTGGGCCCGCGGAGGGAAAACTCGGAAGTCATTTCCATTAGCTCCCCTTCCCCCAAACTGATTCGCTTCTGTCAATCCATCCCTAGAAATAATGTCGAGGCCGGGACCAAGGGGTGCTGCGTTTTAAAAATTCTGCATAGGAAAACCCCTGGAAGTACTGAGGGACAGACAGCCCCACTCACCTGTCAGCCCTGGGGGCGTGCGCGAAACCGCCCAAGGAGAAAAAACCAGCTGGTGCGCAGGCGCACGCCGTCCCACATCCGCAGGCCCGCAACGCCACGCCCCCTGCCACGCCTCCGCGCGCCACTAGCCCCACCCGTCTCCCCGGCCCAGCCCGGCCGCTCGCCCTGTCCGGTCTCTCCCCGGCCCCTTGATTCTCCGCGTCTTCCTCGCAGGCCAGCCTAAGCTCAGCCTGCATTGCGCCCTCCCGGCCTAGGGTGTCGCTGTACCGGCCTCCGAGCTCCACATAGACAAGTCCGGACCTCGGGCGGGGGCAGGAGACGGAGCTGAGCGGCGGGGGGCAGTGTCGCCTCGGTCTAGGGACGGCGGCGGAGTCGGTGGTCCCTGCGCGATGGCCACCTCGGTGTTGTGCTGCCTGCGGTGCTGCAGAGACGGGGGGACTGGCCACATCCCTCTGAAGGAGATGCCGGCCGTGCAGCTGGACACGCAGCACATGGGTAAGGGCCCTCCCTTCCCCAGACCCAACGGCTCACGGGGGCCGGGCGCGGCGGGCAGGGGGACCTTCAGGGTCAGAGGGTCCCCACGCTGCCCCGCCGCGCCGGCGACGCTGCGCCGACACCATTTCGTCTCGCAGATCTCTCCAGAAGCCGGCGGACTCCACCTGGGCCCGGTTCTGTGTTCAAGGCTGCGCAGCCCTCTCTGTGTCTGTCATCGCGAATGGGCGTGTGGACCTCCCATTTTCACAGGAATCTCGGAGGCTTCCTCCGGAGATGTCACACGTCCTCGGGCGAGGGGGCGGAGAGTGCCCTTCTGGCGCGCCCCAGTGAAAACCTACACATTTTCAGAATGCTTCTAGGTCCGGTCTTGCTCCTCCTCCTGCCCTGACTGTCGGTCCTGTCTCTTGAGCCCCATCATTTATAGGTTGAATCCTATATTATTGGAAGTAATTTTCCTCTCACCTCCTAAAGTCGAAACAAGGCAGACTGCAGAAGTCTGAAGTCGCACCTCAGGTCAGAACTTGCCATTTCAACTAAAACCTCCCATTGCCCGACTCCTTAGTCATTGTGAGAGGTACTGTAATTTCATCTGACTGGCCTCTTCCCAACAGGTCTAACTGTTGAAAAATAAAATAGCACTTTGCTCCTTTGCATCTTGCTTTATCCTTTTAATTCCAAATCCATATAATTTATCTAACATTCTTCCTCTCCCATCATAGCCTCTTTCACCACCTTATTATTTCTTAGACTTTTCCCAGGTAGTTTCATGCTTCTGGAATGTGGTTCTAGAAGGAGAGATTTCCCAATATAATTATTTCAGTTAGAGTACTGTCTTTTTGTGGATTATTTTATTCTAACTGTACTTCTGCACTTTTGATTTTTTACACGTTTCTGATTGTTTAAAGGACAGTGCATTGAAATAAAAAGGCACTTCTTAATATTTATGATAAAACTCTCTCGCCCAGTTTCCTTATAATTCTGGAAACACTCTGCCCACTGTATTTTTGTATAACACATACTAAATGTGATAACTATATAATCACCTTGTATGTGTGTATTTACTTTTAATTCTCAGATCTCCCAAATGTAGTACAGAACCTTAATACATAAGTAATCTTTAAATTATTTTTTATCCATCATTATTTATAGACGATGGAGTTCAAATTCTATAGTTTTCCTCAGAAAATATTTCCATTTCAGTTACTCATTTACTGAAGTGATATTTATTAAGCAATTATCAGGTGGCAGGCATTGTTATAAGTGCTGAGAATATAGTGAAGGACAACCATACATAATTCCTGGAACTCATGATCAACTGCAGCACTTCTTCCTATCTTTACTGTTAGACTCTTGAATTACTGCAGTCTCCTCTTTGGAGCATTCCTTTTCTCTGTCATCTGTTTCCTCTAGGAAGAGCTGGTCAGATATACTCATTCCACTGTGTTTTATTTCTCCAAAGCTGTCCAGCAACTGTCAGCTACTAACTGGATGAAATAGAGTAATGTCATCTCCAAATTTTCTAACTGCATGGAAGTTTTTTCTTCTTCTTTTCTTTTTTTTTTTTTTTTTTTTTTGAGACGGAGTTTCACTATTGTTGCCCAGGCTGGAGTGCTGTGGCACAATCTCCACTCACTGCAACCTCCGCCTCCCGGGTTCAAGCAATTCTTCTGCCTCAGCCTCTTGAGTAGCTGGGATTACAGGCGCCCACCATCAAGCCCGGCTAATTTTTGTATTTTTAGTAGAGACAGAGTTTCACCATGTTGGTCAGGCTGGTCTCGAACTGACCTCGTGATCTGCCTGCCTCTCAGCCTCCCAAAGTGCTGGGATTATAGGGGTGAGCCACCACGCCCGGCCAGGAAGTTTTTTCTTAGCCTGTCTTTCTATAAACTTAAATTATTCAATCACAGAGGAGCCTGATTTGAGAACCTGAATAAAATGAAAGAAAAGGGTTGTTGAGTTAGAAGAACATGTTTCAAGCATGAATTGATCTTGACTTGAAAATAGAAACACATGGATTTGGTGGTGTGAAAGATTATTATATTAAATAACCTAAAAAATGTGATTGCTTTTTTTTTTTTAACAAAATTGTCTGTATACTTCAAGTGATTCTCCGAGGGTTGTCACTTATTTTAGTGATGTTGTATTACTTAAAACCACTTTGGAATTCCTCTTTTGGAATTTTCTATGGCATAATTTTTGTAAGTATTATCATTGATGCCATATCTTTGGCTTTTAATTGTGAATCGACATTTTAGAAACAAATGACTTCCAAGGCAGCTACTTTGAAAGGGACACCGCTCATTTGGAAATTTATGTTTCTTAAAACATCCTCTGTGGCTATGTTTATGTGGCATTCTGGCTGTACTCAAATTTGCCTTGACCGTCTAAGCAGCACCAATCATTAAAAGTACAGATTCTAAAACCGTCTGTGTACTTAAGAGAAATGGGATAAGCTTAAAATGATTCCCTAATGACTCATAAACACCCTGAATATTCTTTCTTTCTTTTTTTTTCTTTTTTTTTTTTTTGAGAGGGAATCTCGCTCTGTCGCCCAGGCTGGAGTGCAGTGGCCTGATCTCAGCTCACTGCAACCTCCGCCTCCTGGGTTCAATTAATTCTCCTGTCTCAGCCTCCTGAGTAGCTGGGACTATAGGCGCCCACCACCATGCCTGGCTAATTTTTGTATTTTTAGTAGAGATGGGGGTTTCACCATGTTGGCCAGGCTGGTCTTGAACTCCTGACCTCAAGTAATCTGCCTGCCTCAGCCTCCCAAAGAGCTGGGATTACAGGTGTTAGCCACCTCGCCTGGCCAAGAGTGTTATATCCCATTGTGCTCTGCAAAAGTCCTGAGATTCTGATTGTAGTTGATTAGGTCATGTAGCAGTTCTTGACTCAGTTACTGTGGCCAAGAAATGTGGAGGGCACTGATTGCCTTAACCTAGATCAAATGTTGTACACCTGAAGCAGAGATTGAGTCAGCTTTCTTGGAACTGTTTTGATCTCCAGAGGGAAGTCTGTCGGGAGAGGGAGAACAGATACTGCATGTCCACTACAAAGTGCTTAGCACAGCATATTAATTCAACCTTTATCAGTTATTTGATGAGCAGCTGCTCAATGCCAAGCACTGCATGGTCTTTGCCATCAAGGAGGATGCTCTCCAGTTGAAATTACTGGAGGTATATGGAGTAGCCAGATGCAAATTATTTATAAAGGTACTTTCCCAGAATTTGGGGGTTAACTTTTTTAATTAGAAAAAAAAAGATGTTAATGAATTTTTAGTAATCATACAATAGGATCTCAGTTTTGCCTTGTTTAAGGGAGAGCATCTCTTAACCAGTTTAGAATTGTGTTAGAATCTGAAAATTTTGCATTTCTTTTATGTATTTGTACCAAATAATTTTGTTTAACTGTTAATTCAACCTTTTGTTACTATGACCTAATTTTATTTAACCCCTTCTGGAAGAGTCCCATACAGTTCGAATATTCAGATCTGCTTGGCTGGTACAGTTATTGCCAGCAAAGTGGTGGTAGTGGCCACAAGTATGGGGAGTTATGCATTGGTGTATGGGCTATTTCTTACATATTAGAATTATGTAATTCTGTGTATTCTTACATGTTAGAATTATGTATATTCTCTGATAGACATTTTCCTAAATCAAATTGGTACTAGGATCACATCAGGAGACAGTGTCTCTCTTTCTCACTCTCATCTATAGATGTCGTTTCATCTAAAAAATTTTCTACGAGAATAAAGTGCATGTAAGAATGTTAAAACCTTGTTTACATATTTGCAATGTGATTGAAGTAGCTATCTTAATAAACATTTTAAGATCCTAAAGTTAGCAGTTTGTCACTGTCAGGTATTTCAACATAGATGTGTGTTCTTTTTCATATTCCCTGTACTCTTCAGTTCTTACATGACTAATGCACAAGTATAGTAGCTTGTATTTAGTAGGCATTCAGGTGGCTTTTAGTAAATTGTTTTAATTCATTTGAATAGAATTGAAAACTACCAATTTACTAAAGTCTCTTGTGTTTATGTTTTGGTTTAAATTAAGAAATTTATGAAATCATCAAATTGGTTTCCTGGCTAAAAATTAAAAGAGTTAGTCTATTTCTACCTTAAAAGTGTTTTGAACGTTCAATATAATTCAGAGTTATTGCAGTTTACTTGAAACTGCTTAATTAAAACTTACTTCTCTCGCCCAGGCTAGAGTGCAGTGGTGCAATCTCAGTTCACTGCAACCTCTGCCTCCCAGGCTCAAGTGATCCTCCCACCTCGGCCTCCCAAGTAGCTGGGACTACAGGCTTGTGCCACCACACCAGCTAATTTTTGTATTTTTTATAGAGATGGGGTTTTGCAAGGTTGCCCAGGCTGGTCTCGACTTCCTGCACTCAAGCAGTCTGCCCACCTCGGCCTCCCAAAGTGCTGGGATTACAGGTACGAACCACTGTACCCAGCATGCTTAATTAAAACTTATACATACAAATGAATATTACTTATAAATGTTCTCTTAGGAAAAAATAGTGAATTAAATATTTAAAATAATTCAGCTATATTTCAAAGTACTTACAGTGTCCCTATTTTTTGTGGACTGAGTTAGAACTGAACAAATTAATCCTGATTGTTGGATTGAAAATAGAAAACTTGGCCAGGCGCGGTGCTTCACGCCTGTAATCCCAGAACTTTGGGAGGCCAAGGTGGGCGGATCACGAGGTCAGGAATTCAAGACCAGCCTGACCAATATGGTGAAACCCCCATCTCTACTAAAAATATAAAAATTTAGCCAGGTGTGGTGGTGCACACCTGTAGTCCCAGCTACTCGGGAGGCTGAGGCAGGAGAATCACTTGAACCCAGGAGGCAGAGGTTGCAGTGAGCCAAGACCGTGCCACTGCACTCCAGCCTGGGTGACAGAGCAAGACTCCGTCTCAAAAAAGAAAAGAAAAGAAAAGAAAATACAAAACTTTACATAGTGTCTGCATTTTTTG
Organism: Homo sapiens; assembly: GCF_000001405.40. Classification (NCBI taxonomy): domain Eukaryota; kingdom Metazoa; phylum Chordata; class Mammalia; order Primates; family Hominidae; genus Homo; species Homo sapiens. The sequence continues at coordinate 49,931,139 of NC_000013.11, read as the reverse complement.
TTTAGGAACAGATGTTGTTATTGTAAAGAATGGAAGAAGAATATGTGGAACAGGAGGTTGTTTAGCCAGCGCACCTTTACATCAAAACAAAAGCTATTTTGAATTCAAAATCCAGTCCACAGGTTGGTATAATGGTACTTTACTATTAAAAGTCCTAATTGTTCTAAATATTAAGAGTAATTTGTAACACATAAAAAAGATTCAGAAGGTAATATAAAAGCACCAAACTCTTAGAAGATCTGGGTCTTCCACCTCTTGTTGTGTGATCCTGGGTAAATTAGTTAATTTAGTTAAATTAGGTTCAGTTTTCTCATCTATAAAATGGGTATTACAGGAGCTGCCCATTCTGCCTCACAGGAACTCTATGTATGAAAGTGTTTTAAGACAAGACATGCTGCATAAATATAAGGCACTAGTATTTTTAATGGGATCCGGATGAACCCTCTTGTTTGGTCAAGCATATAAGGTCAAACATATAAGCAGCATATACTCTTGCTATTTATTTTAGGATTAAAGTCAATCTGTTGATTCTGAGTTTTTCTTTTTTTTTTTCTTTTTTGAGATGGAGTCTTGCTCTGTCACCCAGGCTGGAGTGCAGTGGCGCGGTCTTGACTCACGGCAACCTCCGCCTCCCGGGTTCAAGCAATTCTCTTGCCTCAGCCTCTTGAGTAGCTGGGATTACAGGCATGCACCACCATGCCCAGCTAATTTTTATATTTTCAGTAGAGACAGAGGTTTCACCATGTTGGTCAGGCTGATCTCAAACTCCTGATCTTGTGATCTGCCCTCGTCGGCCTCCCAAAGTGTTGGGATTACAGGCATGAGCCAGAGTTTTTCTCTTAACTCAGTTATTAAGATACCCTGATTCAGTGTTTTGAAGCAGTCATCAAATTCAGAATTCAGATAGAAGTCTGCAGTCTATATTTCTCTTTTTAAAATTTATGGAGTTTCTTGAACTGTAAAGCAATTCTATGTGATTATAATAGGTTAGTTAACTGTGCCTGTATTGTATATGGGAAAACTTTTAAAATAAAAGCTTTACTGTAAAGTGATCGGGCATAGTGGCTCACACCTGTAATCCCAACACTTTGGGAGGCCGAGGTGGGCAGATCACCTGAGGTCAGGAGTTCAAGACCAGCCTGGCCAACATGGCGAAACCCCATCTCTACTAAAGATACAAAAATCATCCAGGCATCGTGGTGGGCACCTGTAGTCCCAGTTACTCGGGAGGCTAAGGCAGGAGAATTGCCTGAACCCGGAAGACAGAGGCTGCAGTGAGCTGAGATTATGCCACTGCACTGCAGCCTGGGCAACAGAGTGAGACTCCGTCTCAAAAAAAAAAAAAGTGGCTGGGCGTGGTGGCTCACGCCTGTAACCCAGCACTTTGGGAGGCCGAGGGGGTGGATCACGAGGTCAGGCATTTGAGACCAGCCTGGTCAACATAGTGAAACCCCGTTTCTACTAAAAGTACAAAAAATTAGTCAGGCGTGGTGGTGGGCGCCTGTAATCCCAGCTACTCGGGAGGCTGAGGCAGGAGAATCGCTTGAACCCAGGAAGAAGAGGTTACAGTGAGCCGAGATCGTGCCACTGCGCTCCAGCCTGGGCAACAGTACAAGACTCTGTCTCAAAAAAACAAATACAAAAACAAAAACAAAACAAGCTTTATTGTAAATAAACTTCTAGTGAAATACTGCATCAGTAATGTGGGTAGAGAATAGGAAAATGAGAGTGGAGTAAATGAATCTTACTATTACTTGGCCAGCCTTGAATGATATAAAATTTCCCCCTAGGGCTTATTTTCTAAATTATTTTTACTTATTTATTTATTTATAGATGGGGTCTTGCTCTGTCACCCAGGCTGGAGTGCAGTGGCATGATTATAGCTCAGTGCAGCCTTGAGCTTCTAGGCTGAAGCAGTACTCCTGCCGCAGCCTTCCCAGTAGCTGAAACTACAGGCTCAAGCCACCGTGCCTAGCTCTAAATTAGTTTTAAATAATGATTTTCAATGGGGCATGGTGGCTTACACCTGTAATTCCAGCGCTTTGGGAGACTGAGGCAGGAGGGTTGCTCAAGGCCAGGAGTTTGAGACCAGCCTGGGCAAACATAGCACAACCCCATCTCTACAAAGAAAAGAAAAATTAGCTGGGTGTGGTGGCTTAAAATACTGGGTAAGAAAATGATTTTACACCTTATTGTTAATTTCTCCTCTCCATGATATTGCTTATGGTATATATTGTTTGTCACTCATTGTAGATGTAAAAACTGAAGACAGTACATTCCCACTTTTCAAAGGGAGAGCTTGAAATTGAACTCCAGGCCATTTAAATTCAATGTGTAGCTTTTAAAAAATCTTTTTGAGATAATAATAATGATGATGATGACAGCTAGCATTTTCTGAATACTTACTGTGTGCTTTACTTTCTCATGCTGTGGAGTACTTACACTGTTCAAGTGCTTTACTTGGATTATCTTGTTGTATCTTTTCATTACCTTGCAAGGTGAGTACTGTTAGAATCCTCAGTTCACAGATAAGGGAACAAAGAGAGGTTAGGTAATTTGCGCAAGATGATGTAGCAGAGTCAAGATTTAATCCTCATTTGCACTGTTCCAGGGCCCACTCTCTTATCTCCTAGGCTGTACTACATCTGTGGAGAACATAGTATAGTTTGCAAACTACTTTTATTTTATTTTATTTATTGAGACAGGGTCTGGCTTTGTCGCTCAGGCTGGAGTGCAGTGGAATGATCATGGATCACTGCAACCTCAACTTCCCTGGCTCCAACAATCCTCCCACCTCAGCCTCCTGAGTAGCTGGGGTTACAGGCACATGCTCCCATGCCCAACTAATTTTTGTATTTTTTGTAGAGACGGGGTTTGGGCATGTTGCCCAGGCTGGTGCAAACTACTTCTAAAAGAAGATTTTTTAAAAAGAGTAATAGAAAACAATTTAGTGTTAATACAGCACTTCCTTTAAAAAGTTTATACTCCCTTTTAAAATAACTCGATGGTTGTAGTCTTCAGATTTTGAGGGCATTTAAACTGTTATATTTTTAGGAATCTGGGGTATTGGTGTTGCAACTCAGAAGGTTAACTTGAATCAGATTCCTCTTGGCCGAGATATGCACAGTCTGGTGATGAGAAATGATGGAGCCCTTTACCACAACAATGAAGAGAAAAATAGGCTGCCAGCAAACAGTCTTCCGCAGGAAGGAGATGTGGTGGTGAGTTCCCTCATGGAGTTGCTTTCCACTGTAAATGACTAAATTTGAACTGCTTTTAGTATCTACAGCTTTGTCTGGGAGTTTGTGGTTTGAATTCCAAAGCAGTGGGATTGGATCTAATGAGATGGTGCATTTTCCAGGAGAGCACTTGGTGTAGATGTTGCACCCTACTCAACTGCCCCCTCCTTTTTAGAGCTGCCACTGGCTGGGAAAATCAGTGTGAACCCTTATTTCTACTCTGGAGAATTAATGACAGGCTGTCTGCTGATCACACATTCCTGTTTCTCTCACATTAGAGAAAACTTGGCCCACAATTCTAAAAGTTTGCTGAAGCTTATATTAGAAAATACTAGTTATTTTTAAGGCTGGATATCTCTTAGGGAAAATGTTCACATTTATTTCTTCTTCTTGTTTTTTTTTTTTTTCTTAGAGTCTCGCTCTGTCACCTAGGCTGTAGTGCAGTGGCATGATCTTGGCTCACTGCAACCTCTGCCTCCCAGGTTCAAGCTATTCTCCGGCCTCAGCCTCCCGAGTAGCTAGGATTACAGGCGCACACCACCAGGCCTGGCTGATTTTTTTTATTTTTAGTAGAGACGGGGTTTCGCCATGTTGGCCAGGCTGATCTCGAACTCCTGACCTCAAGTGATCCACCTGCCTCGGCCTCCCAAAGTGCTGGGATTACAGGCATGAGCCACCGCGCCTAGCCACACATGTATTTCTTAATTTGTTATGAAATTCTATTAAGAGAATTACAGCATTTTATCAGAAATGTTCATCTTCATTAAACTTAACCTAATTAAACTCTTCAGAGAACGGAACTCAAAATCCTAAAGCTTGATCGTAGAAAAGTTTTTTTTTTAGAAAGCAGAGGATAGTAAAAGTTACACGTTATTAAGACTTTTCTGTTTTTACTCCTAACTGGCTATATTTAACTCTTTACAAAGCTAGCACATTGAAAATGTAATCCAAAGATTTCTTTCTGTCTTTTCCAGATACTTCCTTCCACACTGCATTATCCAAAACCCCTCCCTATCCAGAGGTCAGGCCATTGATTTAGAACAGAGTCCTAGAGTCTCCTTCAGCCGAGGTGCCCTTGTACACTGAACCTTGGGTTCTCAATTCTGATATCAAGTTGAAAGGAATCTATGAATAATGAGAGAAGGATTCTAATAAGATGAAAAGATAAGAGAAATCCAGGTTAATTAATTATGAAAAGGTACAGTATTTTAGAAAGAATGAAGAAAGGTGTGGAAATTAAGATTTTTAATTACGGCCTGATCTTTCTTCTCTTTTTTGCAATTTAAAAAATATGAACAACTGTAAGTTTTTAATTGTTGGAAGTTTTTTTTCCAGAATTGACTAAAGAAAAAAAGGAGATGAAAGGCATAAGCCATTAAAAAAATCTGCTTTTTCCCATGCTTTTTGAATAGTTGGTTCTGTATTTGTAGATCATTGCCAGATGCCCATAATATGGAACATCCTTATTCAAATGGTAATTTCTTGAAAGAGAATCTTGAAGTCAAGTTGATGCTGTCAACCTGTTTACCCTAAAAGATGAAATTCAAACATAAGAAAGGATAATCAGTAACAAATGTTTTTCTTTGTTGATGAACTGAAACTTCTACCTGCCTTCCTATCTCATTTCATTCATTGTAATGTCTGATAGCACAGTGTGACAGACTGAAGAATGCCACTTTTAGTCTGTCAGTGTTGTTAAATTAGACTTCGAGTTTTCATATGAGCTCATTCTCATAAAAGGAGAACTAAAACTATGAAATACATGCAGAGCCAAGAAAAGAAAAACATTACCCTGCTATTTTAACTAGTTCAAACACTGGAGAACAAATTTTACCAAATTGTTAACAGTGGCATGCAATAAGTAGAATGGATTATAAGACAGGAAAAGCATTCTCATGTGTTTAGAATTTAAGTCATGTACCATTCTCTGAGGAGAAATCAAGAAAAATAAGCTGTGAACATCTAACCAAATGATTATATGATTATATTCATATGATAATCACCCAGTACAGCACGGCCTGCTACAGAACTAGAAAGACATACATGAAACAGTTTATGCTCACTTTCTCCTTTTTTTTTTTTTTGTTTTCAGATGGCCACTCGCTCTGTCACCCAGGCTGGAGTGCAGTGGCGCTATCTTGGCTCACTGCAAGCTACACCTCCTGGGTTCACGCCATACTCCTGCCTCAGCCTCCTGAGTAGCTGGGACTACAGGCGCCCGCCACCACGACTGGCTAATTTTTTTCATTTTTTACTAGAGACGGGTTTTCACTGTGTTAGCCAGGATGGTCTCCAACTCCTGACCTCATGATCTGCCCACCTCGGCCTCCCAAAGTGCTGGGATTACAGGCGTGAGCCACCGTGCCCGGCCTACTTTCTCCTTATACATATAATTCTGAAAAGTACAAATTTCATTCTAACATGCATGTATCAGTTTACTTTTAGAGAAGTCTTATAAACATTCTATGTAATAATAACAATAACAAACACTTCTAAGCATTTATTTATTGAGATGGAGTCTCACTCTGTTGCCCAGGCTGGATTGCAGTGGTGCCATCTCGGCTCACTGCAACCTCCACCTCCTGGATTCAAGCGATTCTCCCGTCTCAGCCTCTCTAGTAGCTGGGACTACAAGTGCGTGCCACCACGCCTGGCTAATTTTTGTATTTTTTAGTAGAGACGGGGTTTCACCATATTGGACAGGCTGGTCTCGAACTCCTGACCTCGTGATCCACCCACCTTGGCCTCCCAAAGTGATGGGATTACAGGCATGAGCCACCGTGCCCAGACCTAAGCATTTATTATGGGCACTGCTCTAAGTGCCTGGCAAGGATTAAATTGTTTAATGCTCATAATGGCCCTTTGAAATAGGTATTATTATTATTATTATTATTATTATTATTATTTATTTATTTTTTTTTTTTGAGATGGAGTTTTGCTCTTGTTGCCCAGGCTGAAGTGCAATGATGCAGTCTCGGCTTACTGCAACCTTCACCTCCCGGGTTCAAGCGGTTCTCCTGCCTCAGCCTCCTGAGTAGCTACAATTACAGGTGCCTGCCACCATTCCCAGCTAATTTTTTTGTGTTTTTAGTAGAGACAGGGTTTCACCATTTTGGCCAGGCTGGTCTGGAACTCCTGACCTCAAGTGATCTACCCACCTCGGCCTCCCAAAGTGCTGAGATTACAGGTGTGAGCCACCACGCCCGTACGGTAGTAGTATTATTATCCCCATTTTACAGATTAAGAGAAATTAAGTAACTTCTTATGTGAGTTAATTACAAGACTATATAGCTCAGCCAGATACTATGGCTCATGCCTGTAATCCTAGCACTTTGAGAGGCCAAGGCAGAAGGATCCCTTGAGCTCAGGAATTTGAGACCAGCCTGGGAAACATAGTGAGACCCCATCTCTACAAACAAACAAACAAATAAATAAATAAATAAAATTTAAAAAGAAAATTAGCCGGGCATAGTGGCATGCCCCTGTAGTTCTAGCTACTTGGAAGGCTGAGGTGGGAGAACTGCTTCAGCCTGGGAGATAAAGGCGGCAGTGAGCCGTGATCCTGCCGCTGCACTCCACCCAACCTGGGCCACACAGAGCAAGACCTTGTCTCTGGCCGGGTGCGGTGGCTCACGCCTGTAATCCCAGCACTTTGGGAGGCCGAGGTGGGCAGATCACCTGAGGTCAGGAGTTCGAGACCAGCCTGACCAACATGGAGAAACCCCGTCTCTACTAAAAAAAATACAAAAAATTAGCCAGGCGTAGTGGTGCATGCCTGTAATCCCAGCTACTCGGGAGGCTGAGGCAGGAGAATCACTTGAACCTGGGAGGCGGAGGTTGCAGTGAGCCGAGATTGCGCCATTGCACTCCAGCCTAGGCGACAAGAACGAAACTCTGCCTCAAAAAAAAAAAAAAAGACCTTGTCTCAAAAACAAAAACAAAAACCAAGATCATACCTGAAGCAGTCTAATTTCAGAATCTGTTCACTAACCTGCACACAATTATTAATAAAGACATAGAACACACAGTATATTTTGCTATCATTTTGGCAGAATCAAACCCAGTTTCTTCATCATAGAATAGATTAGGTTAGAAAACACTTGAACTGGCCCATCACAGTGGCACATGCCTGTAATCCCTGCACTTCGGGAGGCTGAGGCGGGCGTATCACACTGAGCCAAGGTCGCGCCACTGCGCTCCAGCCTGGGCGACAGAGTGAGACCCAGTCTCAAAAAAAAAAAGAAAGAAAATACTTGAACTAAACTATACTGAGGGTGGGACTTCTCACATCTTTCCTCACTTCTTTGGTACTGGGATTTTGCTACTGCAGGCTTGGGTTTAAAACTTGCTTGTTTGAGGCTGGGCGCGGTGGCCAACGCCTGTAATCTCCGCATTTTGGGAGACCGAGGCGGGCAGATCATTTGAGGTCAGGAGTTCAAGACCAGCCTGGCCAACATGGTGAAACCCCATCTCTACTAAAAATGCAAAAATTAGCCAGGCATGGTGGCGGGCGCCTGTAATCCCAGCTACTGGGGAGGCTAAGGCAGGAGAATCTCCTGAACCTGGGAAGTGGAGGTTGCAGTGAGCCAAGATCATGCCATTGCACTACAGCCTGGGTGACAGAACGAGACTCTGTCTCAAAAAAAAAACAAAAAACAAACTTGTTTGTTTGCAATCGGCCACTGGGGGATGAAAGTGCCTGGATTACAACCTCACTGATCTGAACTGCTAGATTTCTGGTAGTCCCATAATGAGAGTAACATACTTTCTTTTTTATGTAATTAAGTTTTTGTTTTTTAAAATGAAAACAGACTTTTTCATTAGAAAAGTGAATCCCAGCCATCAGCTAGCTTTATTACTATTATCTAAAGACATAAACTAAAGCGAAGCAAAGGCAATCTATGTACTATTTATCTTTCTCAGTATTCCTTAATTATTAATAATTGTTTAAGTTAACCCTGGCTTTGCTAAGAATTGAGAATCTTTCATACCACTTACCACATTAGCTTCTCTGGGCTTTTGCTGTCTTGCTTGTAAAGAGAGAGAATTTAAGACTAAGATGATCTATAAAATTTTTTTTTTTTACCTCTAAAAAGCTTTTAACTTGATAGAATGTATCCACAGTCAGAAATCCTGAAATCCTTGAAGTGGTTTGCTTCTTGGTCTATGATGACTTCTCTATTGAAAGATCTCTGCTGTCTTTCAAGGGAAAGATCTCTTTTTGTTATCAGTTAGTAGCTATTGTATAAAGTTTTAAAGAGAGATATGGTGATTAAGAGCAAGTGTTTAAAGAGAGGCATGGTGATTTAGAGAGAGGTATTGTGATTAAGAGCAAGGATTCTGAAACCATACTGTATGGATTTAAATCACAGCTTTTCCACTTCCTAGCTGTGCAACCTTAGGTAAATTACTTAATCTTTCTGTGCTTTAGCTTCATCTGTAAAATGGGGATAGTAATACTGTCTTGTTGTGAGGATTAAATGAGTAAATATGAACTGCCTAGAATAGTAGCACTATTGGTTTATAACATGGGCTAAGTCTTTTCTAGCCTTTTATTTATTTATATAAATAATTTATATTTATACAAATAAATATTTTATTTATATAATTATAAAATAATTATTTTAACAATAATTATTAATATCACTAATTGTGATTTTTTTCCATCAATAGTGTACCGAGTAATTTTATTACATTGTTTTTTAAATCATTTGAGCTACTATTTTTGTTTTTTAACTTGAAACTAATTACCAATTTTATTCAGTTGTGAACACCAGCTTTTCCTTGATAATACACTTGACACATTTGAAACCAGAGTAAAGAGATGTAGAAATGTGTTATTTCTTCCTGGAAATAAAATGTATAGAGACGTTTCTTCATAATTTGAAAACAGTGACAGGTAGTAAGTCCTGACAGTGAAAAAAACCTCATTGTTTTTCCTTCTTTAGATCAAATTCTGTAGAGAAAGAGCAGCGTTTTCTGTATGAGTGTAAAAGGTTTCTCTATTCATGGTATGTAGTACTTATATTATCTTAGCATTCAAAATATAAAATCCAGATTATACAAATATAATTCTAGGATTTAAACTGTTGGCTTTGTTTTACCTCTAATGTGGACTCTTGGGATGTTACCTGACTTTATCCCCCCTCATAATCACTACTCATTTTTTTAGCTCAGTTCAAGTAGGATTCTACCAAATTGTCAACCCTTAATGAAAATTGTTGTCAGCCTATGCTTAGCTTTTTGTGTTTCCATACTTCCCAGTCAATGCTTTCTGACGGCTCAGCTTTTATGGAACGTTTCTGTTTTTTCCTTCCTAGGGTATTACTTATGACCATGTCGAATTAAATGTATACTTGAATGGAAAAAACATGCATTGTCCAGCATCAGGTATACGAGGGACAGTGTATCCAGTTGTTTATGGTAAGCAAAAATATTTCTAATGTATTATTACATACATATTAACTTGTTTGGTGTGTGTATCAGTCTGTTTTCATGCTGCTATAAAGACATACCCAAGACTTGGTAATTTATAAAGGAAAGAGGTTTAATTGACTCACAGTTCCACAGAGCTGGGGAGGCCTCAGGAAACTTACAATCATGGCGGAAGGGGAAGCAAACACATCCTTCTTCACATGGCAATAGGAAGGAGAAGATTGAGCGAAGTTGGGGAAAGCCCCTTATGAAACCATCAGATCTTGTGAAAACTCACTCACTTTTACAAGAACAGCATGAGTGTAACCACCCCCATGATTCAATTACCTCCCACTGGGTCCCTCCACAACACATGGGGATAATGGGAACTATAATTCAAGACGAGATTTGGGTGGGGACACAGCCAAACCATATCAGCGTGTATGTTACTTTTATAGCTATCATCTAGAAATCTGGACACATTGTTAATAAGGACCTTTTTATTTTATTTATTTATTTATTGTTTGAAACGGAGTGTCACTCTGTCACCCAGGCTGGAGTGCAGTGACACGATCTCAGCTCACTGCAGCCTCCGCCTCCTGGGTTCAAGCGATTCTCCTGCCTCAGCCTCCCGAGTAACTGGGATTACAGGTGCCTGCCACCACGCCTGGCTACTTTTTGTATTTTTAGTAGAGATGGGGTTTCACCATGTTGGCCAGGCTGGTCTTAAACTCCTGACCTCAGATGATCCACCCACCTCAACCTCCCAAAGTGCTGGGATTACAGGTATAAGTCACCGTGCCCAGCCATAAGGACCTTTTTATATGGATTGTAGTCGGTAGGATATTACAATCCCACTTTGCAGGATTAAGGATAGTTTCTGTTCCCCATGTATTAAAATAAACTTGCTAAATACAATGATTACACTTAAATATGCAATAACCGTACTCCCTTTTTCAACATGTAGTTTTATGTTTTAGAAAGTTTCAAAAAGCTTTACTGAATTTAGAAAACTTTTTCTGCAAGTCATTGGGAATGATTGCATGGCCAGGAAACATAATTATAAATAATATTTTGGAATTAGAGATGGGAATTTTATGTAGACTGTACATTAATAACCCTTACAAAATTCCTTAAATGTTAATGCTCTTCTGAGGGAAATAGTGACTTAGAATTTTAATTTTAACTTTAATTTTTTGTTTTTTTGTTTTGTTTTGTTTTGTTTTGTTTTGTTTTGCGACAGAGTCTTGCTGTGTCCCCCAGGCTGGAGTGCAGTGGCCCGATCACAGCTCACTGCAGCCTCAAACTCCTGGGTTCAAGCAATCCTCCCACCTCAGCCACCCCAGTAGCTGGGACTACAAGTGTGCACCACTATTGGGATTACAGGCATGAACCACTGCATCCGGCCTACCTTAATTTTTATTATAGAAAATTCCAAACATGTACAGAAGTAAAAAGAATAGTATAATAAACCCTCATATACCCATCAGCCAGCTTCAAACAATTATCAACTTGTAACCAATCGGGTTTCATCTACACCCCCCCACCCCCAATGCTGCTATTGTTCTTCACTTACCCTCCTTGGGTTATTTTGAGGCAAATGCCAGGTAATATATAATTTTATTCATAAATGTTTTATTTGTATCTCGAAAAAAAGGTCTCTTTCTTTTTTTTTTTTTAGAAAAACATAACCACAATGTCTTTATCAATCCATTCTGCTTTATTTTTTATACTATCAACTTTTTTTTTTTTTTTTTTTTGAGACAGAGTCTCACTCTGTCACCCAGACTGGAGTGCAGTGTTGTGATCTTGGCTCACTGCTGCCTCCGCCTCCTGGGTTCAAGATATTCTCGTGCCTCAGCCTCCAGAGTAGCTGGGATTACAGGTGTGTATCACCACACCCAGCTAACTTTTGGGGTTTTTTTGTATTGTTTTGTTTTTTTTGAGACAGAGTCTCATTCCATCGCCAGACTGGAGTGCAGTGGCACGATCTTGGCTCACTGAAACCTCCGCCTCCCAGGTTCAAGCGATTCTCCTGCCTCAGCCTCCCGAGTAGATGGGACTACAAGCACGCACCACCACACCCAGCTAATTTTTGTATTTTTAGTAGAGATGGGGTTTCACCATGTTGGCCAGGATGGTCTTGATCTCTTGACCTTCTGTTCTGCCCGCCTCGGCCTTCCAAAGTGCTGGGATTATAGGTGTGAGCACCTGGCCAACTTTTATATTTTTACTAGAGATGGGGTTTCACCATGTTGGCCAGGCTGATCTCGAACTCCTGAGCTCAAGTGATCTGCCCACCTCGGCCTCCCAAAGTGCTGAGATTATAGGCATGAGCCACCGTGTCCAGCCTATTTTGTATTATCAACTTTAAGTAAACAGGTATATGATTTTTCTGCCTTTGGTTTTGTAAGTCTAAAAATATTTTCTCATTTAAGTTCTTAAATTTGGGTTATAATAAGAACTAATTAGGACTGGCGTGGTGGCTCACACCTATAATCCCAACACTTTGGGAGGCCGAAGCCGGTGGATCACTTGATGTCAGGAGTTTGAGACCAGCCTGGCCAACATGGTGAAACCCCATCTCTACTAAAAATACAAAAAATTAGCCAGACGTGGTAGCGCACTCCTGTAATCCCAGTTACATGGGAGGCTGAGACAGGAAAATCACTTGAACCCAGGAGATGGAGGTTGCAGTGAGCCGAGATCATGCCATTGCACTCCAGCCTGGGCGACAGAGCAAGACTTAGTCTCCACAAAAAAAAATAAAATAAAATAAAATTAAAAAAGAAAGAAAAATAACTAATTAGGCCAGGCACGGTGGCTCATGCCTGTAATCCCAGCAGTTTGGGAGGCCAAGACAGGTGGGTCACTTGAGGTCTGGAGTTCAAGACTAGCCTGGCCAACATGGTGAAACCGTGTGTGGTGGCACACACCTGTAATCGCAACTACTCAGGAGGGTGAGGCGGAGAATCACTTGAACCCAGGAGGCAGAGGTTGCAGTGAGCCGAGATCACACCACTGTGCTCCAGCCTGGGTGACAGAGCAAGACTCCATCTCAAAAAAAAGAAAAAAAAAAAAAAGAACTAATTTAATTACATTTGTTGTAGTTTACTATAAAAGCAGCACTGGTGCAATGACTCATGCCTGTAATCCCAGCACTTTGGGAGGCTGAGGTAAGAGTTGCTCGAGTCCAGGAGTTGAAGACCAGCCTTGAGCAACATAGTGAGAACACGTCTCGACAAAAAATTTTAAAATTATCCAGGTGTGGTTGTACGTGCCTGTAGTCCCAGCTACTTGAGAGGCTGAGCTGAGAGGATCTCTTGAGCCGGGGAGGTCAAGTCTCCTGTGAGCAGTGATCATCGTGCCGCTGCACTCCAGCCTTGGCACCAGAGTAAGACCCTGTCTCAAAAGCAAAATAAAATTAAAATACTAAAATAAAAATAGCAGTATCAATGATGACAAACTGGGATGTCAGAATTATACAATAACAAATATAAATAATAATATGATAATAGCCAAAGCTTGTGATTACCTTTTAGTTTAAGGTTTTCATTAGCCTTCTTTTCTCCTAAAATTACTTTTCAGTCATTTTACCTTCTGTGTCCTTGCATGTAAATGTGTGTTTTAAAACTCAATTTAGTGTTGCATATTGGGTAAGCCTAAAAGCAATTCCTTTATTTACTTGAGTAAATGGAAATTTAGCTTGATATTTGAAATAGGTTAGCCTGAGAAATAAAATAAATATCAGTAGAGTGACAGTTATACAAGTTAACTGTAGCAAATAAGTTTAATGCTCTAAACTGTTTCTTTTATTCAGCATTATTTGTAATGTACTAAGGTTATAGATACTAAATTATATTTCATAAATTGAACTCATAAATCAGTCCAATTAAACCAAGTGTTTTAATAGCCTGATCCTATCAAAGATAAACATAAAACTTAAATCCCTTTACTCTTTTGTCTTCCATCCCTAATCCTTGATCAATCCAATCATTCATTTTGTCTCTTCTTACACTCAGCCTGTAGAAAGAAAAAGACTGCATAACACTGAAGAAGTGTGGTTACAAAGTTACGACTTCCTGGCTGGGCGCAGTAGCTCACGCCTGTAATCCCAGCACTTTGGGAGGCTGAGGCAGGCGGATCACGAGGTCAGGAGATTGAGACCATCCTGGCTAACAGGGTGAAACCCCGTCTCTACTAAAAATACAAAAAATTAGCTGGGTGTGGTGGCGGGTGCCTGTGGTCCCAGCTACTTGGGAGGCTGAGGCAAGAGAATAGCGTGAACCGGGGAGGCGGAGCTTGCAGTGAGCCGAGATCATGCCACTGCACTCCAGCCTGGGTGACAGAGCGAGACTCTGTCTCAAAAAAGAAAACAACAAAACAAAACAAAAAAAAACAAAGTTATGACTTCTAGCCTAATCTGAGCTCTCAATAATTTTCAGCAATTCTTTGTGCATGTCTATGCATTCTGTGCTTCTTGCATTCTCTATTCATCCTCTGAAAATGCCTTGCCTTCTACCTTACAAAAAAAACAGGCAATCACAAGTGAACTCCAGCTTCCCTCTCTTCAGGTCCAATCCTGCCTTCTTTCCATCTCATCCCAGAAGTGGTACTCTGCATGTTGCAAACACTCTATCTGTAGTCTGGATTCCAAACTCCCCAAATCTGGAACGTCACTTTGTCAGTTATTTCATCGATATCTCATGTCATGGGCCTCCCTCTTCAGTGCTTATAAACATTCTAAGCCCCATCCCAAACGCCCTTCTTTGGGCATGCATCCCTCACTAGTCCTGTGTTTCCCCTTCCCTGGATGGCCACATTTCTTCTAGAATAACCTATATCTGCCATCTTTATTGTTTTTCTTTCTTTTTTTTTTTTAACATTTAGGTTCGGGGGTACATGTGAAGGTTTGTTACACAGGTAAACTGGTGTCACGGTGGGGGGTTTGTTGTATAGATTACTTGACTAGCTCAAGGGTAGAGCATTTGACACCTTTATTGTTATTGTTCGTTTGTTCTGCAACCCAATTCAGCTGCCATTACACCACTAATTGAAACCACCCTTGTTAAAATCACTGGTGACTTCATGAATGTCAAATCCAGTATTTACATTTTTTTCTGCATTTATGCTGAAATATAAAGTATATAGTAATGTGCATTAAACTTATATGTGCAATTTAACAAATAGCTATCAAGTGAACACTCACATTATTACCACTTAGATCAAGAAATAGAACATTTTCTTGGCCCAGATGCAGCCCGCACCACAGCTGCATTCCTCACCCAGGGGGAGTAATCACTATTGGGTGGCAGTGCTGATTATTTACTTGCTTTGCTTTACGGTCATGTTTTGTTTTGTCATCACCAGGGTCAAGGTAATGAACATATTCACCACCCCAAAGGTTTCCTTCTGCCTCTTATATCCTACTCACCACTCCCTACCCCAGCCCCAACCAAACAACCACTGATCTGCTTTCTGTCACTACAGATTAGCCCATATTTTCTAGAGTATTATATTAACAAAATCATATGGTCTTTTCTTTTGGTCTGGCTTCTTTCACTCAGCACAATTATTTGAAGATTCATTTATGCTGTAGCATATATCAATAATTCATCAGTTTTTATTGCTGAGAAGTGTAGCATTGTGTGGATATATCACAATTTCTTTATCCTTCACCAGTTGATGGACATTAGGGTTGTTTCCAGTGTGGGACTATTACAAATAAAGCTATTGTGAACGTTTGAAAATATGTCTTTGGATATACACATTCATTTCTCTTGAGTAAATACCGGTAAAAACATTTAGAAGCTGAGTAAGGCCTGCAGTCTAGTTCACAGTAGTGTACCAATGTCAGTTTCCTGGTTTGGATGTTGAGCTGTAGTCATGTAAGATGTTACCACTGGGGCAAAGTGTACAAAGGGTGCACTGGACTCTTAACATTTTTGCAACTTCCTGTGAATCTATACTTTTTCAAAGTTAAACATTTTTTTAAAAAGTAATATGTCTTAATTATATAAAATTGAGAAAATGCAGATAAGCAAATAAGAAAAAAATTACCCATATTCACATCCTCTTGAGAGAATTACTAATAATATTTTTATATATATCCTTCCAATGTTTTTGACAGATAGATTTTGATTTTTGTTGTGGCTGTTTTTACCCATAGGATTATGTTTTGTAACAGGGACAGCAGATATATTTATTCTTCTTACCTATTAATATTGTAGTATTATGGAGACAGTTTATTTTATTTTATAATTATGTATTCATTGAAATTAAAGTATTTGCTTCTAATTTATTTTCTTTCTTTTTGTATCCTTTAGTTGATGACAGTGCAATTTTGGATTGCCAGTTCAGTGAGTTTTATCATACGCCTCCACCTGGTTTTGAAAAAATATTATTTGAACAGCAAATCTTCTGAATGTATTTGTTTTTAAAACTTGTATTTCTGCACTGTTAAAAAATGTTCATCATTTAATAAAACTTTACCTGGCCTATAGATGAAAATATATTCTTAAAAATATGCTTGTTGATGCTGTCTAAGGAACCAATGTATTCAGTATACCACCCTGAAGTTGTGATTTAAAATACTTTATGTTTTGTGAAATGAAAATAAGCATTTGGGCAGTTTATTTAATTCTTATTTAAATAAATAGAATTATGGGTTTAATTAACAGTATAACATGACTATATATACATATATATTTAAAGGGAATTCTTTCTTACATAATATATTTGTTTTGATAGAGATGTAGAGTTGGGTGGGTGTTTTTGTCACTCTGAAGTTTAGACCTCATTAAATATTTGACATCTACAGTTGGATAATTTTGCCGCTTAGTGTCCTTTTTTATATACAATATAACAAAGTGAGAGAAATTTATATTACTGGCAATTTCATTTTTGGCAGTCTATTTCTGTATCATGTACCGCTTTTCTTAAAACTTAAATTGCTTATTTTGTTGTGTAATGTCATTGCTTTTGATTTGCTTTGTGAAAGGAGATAAACGTTTCAGTAATTGTCAGAGCATTTTGTTGCCTCAGGCTGTGTTACCTCAATTTCAGAGTAAGTAGTGGTTGATTAGTAATGTAGTATACACTGGCAGACATCTAGAATAGTATGATGCTTTACATTTAAATGAGGTTATTCTTTTAAGGACTTTTATTTGTATGTTTTCTGTAAGGAATAATAAAATAATTGTAATTAAGGAATATACCATACTATATTAAACACATTCTTCCTATTTTGTTAGTTATACACTAAATTCACATCACCCGTGATTATTTCAGTTCAGAGATAAGTGAATCCTCTTCATGACCCTGAGTCTTTGCCTGGTTCTTAAGAATCACTGTCCTTTAGTTAACGCCCTGTGACCTGAACCAATCACTCTATACATCTTTAGATACGTTGTCTGTTTTCAAATGAGCATGGCAAGGATGCATACATTTCCCTCCTTTATCAACTAGAAACAGTACATTGTTCAGGAAAACATGAGTGTTAGAATTAGAAAGAGATCCAAATTGTAGTTTTGCTGCTCATCCTATTTTCTCCTCTCCAAGTCTCAGATTCCCATTTATAAAAGGAGCAATCATACTGACATAAGATTCTATGATTAAATAAGGTAATACATATATAACACCTTAATAATCATAGGCACTTGCGCCAGGCGCGGTGGCTCACACCTGTAATCCCAGCACTTTGGGAGGCTGAGGCGGGAGGATCACAAGGTCAGGAGATCGAGACCATCGTGGCTAACATGGTGAAACCCTGGCTCTACTAAAAAAATACAAAAAAAATTAGCCAGGTGTGGTGGCGGGCGCCTGTAGTTCTAGCTACTCTGGAGGCTGAGGCAGGAGAATGGCTTGAACCCGGGAGACGGCGCTTGCAGTGAGCCGAGATTGCCCCACTGCACTCCAGCCTAGGCAACAGAGTGAGACTCTGTCTCAAAAAAAATTAAAATAAAATAAAATAAAAATCATAGGCACTTAGTAAGTGTAGTTTCCTGGATGGTAAAGTATCAGGGAAAGTGGTTTTCTTTCTTTTTTTTTTTTTCTCGTTTTTTTTTTGAGACAGAGTCTCACCTTGTCACCCAGGCTAGAGTGCAGTGGCACGATCTTGGCTCACTGCAACCTCTGCTTCCCAGGTTTAAGCGATTCTCTTGCCTCAGCCTCCCGAGTAGGTGGGACTACAGGTGCCCGCCACCACGCCCGTGTAATTTTTGTATTTTTAGTAGAGATGGGGTTTCACCATGTTGTCCAGGCTGGTCTCAAACTCCTGACCTCATGATCCACCTCCCTCAGCCTCCCAAAGTGCTGGAATTATAGGCGTAAGCCACCACACCCAGCCAGAAAGTGGTTCTCATGATGCTTCTCAGACCGGCAACATCAGCATCACTGGAACTTGTTAAAAATGGACACTCTCAGAACCCACACCAGACCCACCAAATCAGTTTGAGAACTGCCATTCAGTAGAGAATTATTTGCCTACTGTAAATTTTCTAAGGATTTATGATGGGCTATTTTTGACCCATAGGCTCAGAGAATCCTGCAAAATCCTTTTTTATTGTTTATTCTGCAGACAAAAATGTGACAATATGCTTTGAAAACATAGATATACTTGAGTAACATTTATTTACATAAATCCCAAATTCTACCTCTGAAGGTATATGAAATTTAACTATGTATGTATTATGCATTTTGTCTGGCTTTCTATCATAATTTTAATTTGTAAAGAATGTGCTTACTTGGGAAAGCAAATTAAAGTGACTACTGTTTGCTATCGTTATGATGTTATCTACCTCTTTTTAAAATTCTTTTAAAATTTAATTTAATTTTATTTTATTTTGAGACAGTCTCGCTCTATCACCAGGCTGGAGTGTAATGGCACAATCTCAGCTCACTGCAACCTCCACCTCCCGGGTTCAAGCAATTCTTCTGCCTCAGCCTCCCAAGTAGCTGGGACTACAGGCGCACGCCAACACGCCTGGCTAATTTTCACACTTTTAGTAGAGACGGGGTTTCACCATGTTGGCCAGAATGGTCTCGATCTCTTGACTTCGTGATCCGCCAGCCTCGGCCCCCCAGAGTGCTGGGATTACAAGCATGAGCCACTGTGCCCGGCCTCTACCTCTCATTTTTTTTTAAGCCAACCTTTTGAAAAATCATATTCTTTTCTGCCTCTAATTATACAACAGAGACATAGTACTAAAAATGATACTGAAGTTTATGTCCATGACAACAGTTTGGTGAAATCTAGGTGTGTTTTTATCTCCATACATATCAAATTTATCTTAAGAAAATTACATTGAGCTGGCCGTCCTTCCACAACCCATAACCTTAGTCTAATCATGAGAAATCAGACAAATTCAGAGGGGCATCCTATGAAACACTTAATGATGCTACTCAAAACTTTCAGGGTCACCAAAACATGGAAAGTCAGGGAAACTGCCACACCCAGGAGGAGCTTAAGAGGACATGACAAGTGTAATGTGGTAACTGGATAGGATGCTGGAGCAGAAGAACATTAGGTGAAAACTAAGGAAATCTGAATAAACCATGAACTTTAGTTAATAATGTATCATTATATCATTCATGAATTGTAACAAATGAACCATACTAACGTAAGATGTTAACAGGAGAAACTAGGAGAGTTTATATATGGGAACTCAATGCTGTCTTCTCTTTTTCTATAAATACAAACTGTTCTAAAAAACTAAGTTGACCGGAAGTGGTGGCTCACGCCTGTAATCCCAACACTTTGGGAGGCCGAGGCGGGTGGATCACCTGAGGTCAGGAGTTTGAGACCAGCCTGGCCAACATAGCAAAACCCCATCTCTACTAAAAAATACAAAAATTAGCCAGGAGAGGTGGCAGGCACCTGTATCCCAGCTGCTCGGGAGGCTGAGGCACGAGAATCACTTGAAACCGAGAGGCACAGATTGCAGTGAGCTGAGATTGTGCCACTGCACTCCAGCCTGGGTGACAGAGTGAGACTCCATCTCAATAAATAAATAAAGTCTATTTTAAAAAGTACATTGGGCCGGGCGTGGTGGCTCACACCTGTAATCCCAGCACTTTGGGAGGCCGAGGCGGGCGGATCATGAGGTCATGAGATCGAGACCATCTGGCTAACATGGTGAAACCCCGTCTCTACTAAAAAAATACAAAAAAAATAGCTGGGCGTGGTGGCGGGCGCCTGTAGTCCCAGCTACTTGGGAGGCTGAGGCAGAAGAATGGCGTGAACCTGGGAGGCGGAGCTTGCAGTGAGCCAAGATGGCGCCACTGCACTCCAGCCTGGACGACAGAGCAAGACTCTGTCTCAAAAAAAAAAAAAAAAAAATACATTGACTAAGAGAACTTTTTAAATAAAACCTTTTGTTAAGCCAATAGAATGATACTAATACAGTATAATACCCATACCTTAAATATATAATGATAGATAAATATAAATGTAGATAGGACATAAAACATTCTTGTATTTTAACATGCAAAGACTTGCATTTTTTCCTGGCTCAACGAGGCATTGTTCACTGTCTTGATTCTGCTTATTGCAAAAGTCCATTTGTCCATACTAGGGTAGTTTTTCATACTCAGACTGAAAATTAATCAATGATATATTTTCCATGTTATTTTAGTGATTTAAACTTTGGGAGATAGGTTAAATATGTGAAACGATGAAAATTTTATGAACAATCAGTTTACATATTAAAAACCAGAAAAAGAATTTGGTTTTTAACTGCCTTTGGCTCATCAGGCAAAATTACTGGGCTATGTTGTAACTTGGATTACAAACTATTATGGGTTAAAAATGGTATAAAATTATAATTTGAATTAAGGCTTTTCTAAATCATTAACAAAGACAAATGCATGGTGTTTTGCTCACATCTTTTTACTTTATGTTTACTTAATGTAAGTCTAGATAGTGACCAAAAGCATAGCTGGAGATGTAAGTGAAATCTTGAACGTGGTAAGAGACATTAAATCAATAATTTATTTTAGATAATACAATAACACTGAAAGAGTTGTGAGAAAAGAATCTGTAATCCAAACTGGAATTTTTCTATATGCAGGCATAACCAAGCATAGTACTCGTAAATGGAATATAATCAACTACTACTTATATTAATTTGCATTATTAATGCAACCTGGCAGGGAGACACTGTTGGGAGCGGACTGGGCTGTTCATATGGATGAGTGGAAACAATAGTAGAATCAATTAACTAGTATTCTTCCATTTACTGTGTCAGATATGAGACTGTCTTCTAACTTGCTCTTTTAAAATATTTGGGACCAAATTATTAAAGTAAATAGTGAATATGAACACAGAATAATGTTAGATGTAATCAGTGATTTAAATGAATCACACCATCCATCTTAAGAGTTCTACAGAAATTTAAAGGAAAAGTTGTCCCATTATTGGTTGAAATGTGTGACCTGTAGTCTCGGAGGAATCATTATAATACAGTCATTTAACAATTGAATCACCTATGTGTTGTGTTTCATAAATACAGTTATGTTGCTTAATGATGAGGATAGTTTCCGAGAAATGCACGTTAGGCAATTTCTTCATTGTAGGAACATCATAGAGTGAACTTACACAAACCTAGATGGTACACACCTACACACCTACAGCCTCCTACACACCTAAGCTATGTGGCATAACCCATTGCTCCTGGTCTACAAACCTGTGCAGCACGTCACTGTATGGCCTGCTGTGCACAACTGAAACACAACCACAAGTATTTGTGTATCCAAACATAGAAAAGATACAGTAAAAATATAGTATAAAAGATTTTTTAAAATATATGCTTGTATAGAGTACTTACCATAAATAAATGGAGCTTGCAAGACTGGAAATTGCTCTGGGTGAGTCAGTGAGTAAGTGGGGAGTGAATGTGAAGATCTAGGACATTGCTGTACACTACTACAGTCTTTATAAGCACTGCACACTTAAGCTGGACTAATTAATTAAAATTTTTTCTTCAATAATAAATTAACCTTAGCTTACTCTAACTTTTTTACTTTATAAACATTTAAACTGGGGCCAGGTGTGGTGGCTCACGCCTGTAGTCCCAGCACTTTGGGAGGCCGAGGCGGGCGGATCACGAGGTCAAGAGATCGAGACCATCCTGGCCAACATGGTGAAACCCCGTCTCTACTAAAAATACAAAAAAATTAGCCGAGCATGGTGGCAGGCACCTGTAGTCCCAGCTACTCAGGAGGTTGAGGCAGAAGAATTGCTTGAACCTGGAAGGCAGAGGTTGCAGTGAGCTGAGATCGCGCCACTGCACTCCAGCCTGGCAACAGAGAGAGACTCACTCTCAAAAAAAAAAAAAAAAAAAAAAGTTTAAACTTTTTTAACGTTTTTATTCTTTTGTATTAACGCTTCATTTACAACACAAACACATTGTATAGCTGTACAAAAATATTTTCTTTATATCCTTATTTTATAAGCTTCTTTTAATTTTTTTATTTTTTACTCTTTAATACTTTTTTATTAAAAACCAAGACATAAACACACACATTAGCCTAGGCCTACAAAGGGTCAGGATCATCAATATCACTGCCTTCCACCTCCACATCTTGTCCCACTGGAAGGTCTTCAGGGGCGATAACAGGCATGGAGCTGTCGCCGCCTATAGTAACAACGCCCTCTTTTGGACACCTCCTGAAGGACCTGCCTGATGCTGTTTTACAATTAACTTTTTATATATATGTAAGTAGGAGTACACTCTAATGACAAAAAATTATAGTACAGGTTGGTCCAATGGTAGTGGGTTATCAGAACTTATTAACATTTAGTGTCACTAAAGTTCGTATACAACCCCCCACTGCTAAATTTGAATGGCTTAAATTTTTTTTGGAATAAAACAGGCTGGGTGCAGTGGCTCACGCCTGTCATCCCAGCACTTTGGGAGGCCGAGGCAGGCACATCACTTGAGGTCAGGATTTCAAGACCAGTCTGGCCAATATGCTGAAACCACATCTCTACTAAAAATACAAAAATTAGTCGGGCCTGGTGGCACGCACCTATAATCCCAGCTACTCAGGAGACTGATGCAGAAGAATCACTTGAACCGGGAGGCAGGGGTTGCAGTGAGCCGAGATAGCGCCACTTGATTCCAGCCTGGGCGATAAAGCAAGACCCCGTCTTAAAAAAAGAATAATAGAGTATATACATAAATCAGTAACATAATTATGTACTATCATTATCAAGTATTATGTACTATACATAACTGTGTGTTTATACTTTTATATGACTGGCAGTGCAGTAGGTTTGTTTATACCAGCATCGCCACAAACATGAGTAACATGTTACACTAAGATGTCATGATGACTCTGATATCACTAGGCAACAGGAATTTTTCAGCTCCACTATAATCTTATGGGATATTTGTCATATATGCAGTCCATTGTTGACTGAAACACCAAGTGGTACATGACTGTACTTAAGATAGTCCCTGCCCTAAGGCTGGGCACGGTGGCTCACGCCTGTAATCGCAGCACTTTGGGAGGCCGAGGCGGGAGGATCACGAGGTCAGAAGATCAAGACCATCCTGGCGAACACAGTGAAATCCCATCTCTACTAAAAATACAAAAAAAAAAAAACCAAAAAAAAATTTAGCCAGGCATGGTGGCATGTGCCTGTAGTCCCAGCTACTCAGGAGGCTGAGGCAGGAGAATGGTGTGAACCTGGGAGGTGGAGCTTGCAGTGAGTCATGCAGTGAGCCAAGATTGCACCACTGCACAACAGCCTGGGCGACAGACCAAGACTCTGCCTCAAAAAAAAAAAAGATAGTCCCTGCCCTCAAGGAACTCTGCTGATAATTGTAATTCATTCTTAAGTATGGCTCTAGACTATCCAATATATATTAATAATTGAGAAAAGCAAGTTGTTAAAACATTTGTATGTGTAATTTTATCCATTAAAAAAACTAGAGCTTTACGCAGAGGAAAACGTATGAAGTAATGTATACCAAAATATTATATCTTGGGAATAAGAATACAGAGAACTAGCTCTTTCATATTTATCTGATCATTTTTCTACAGTTAACATGTATTAGCTCACACCTGTAAACCCAGCACTTTGGGAGGCCGAGGCAGGAGCCCAGGAGTTCAAGACCAGCCTGGGCAACATCGCTGCACCCTGTCTCTACAAAAAAAAAAAAAAATGTTTTTTAATTAGCTGGGCATGGTGGAACACATCTGTAGTTCCAGCTACTCGGGAGGCTGAGGTGGAAGAGTCACTTGAACCCTGGTGGTCAAAACTGCACTAAGCCATGATGGCACCCCTGCACTCCAGCCTAGGCAACAGAGCAGGACAAAAAAAAAATTTGGGGGTTCTTGAGTTTTAAAACTTTTTTTAAGTAAAAGGAAAGAAGCATGCTGTAATGAGGCCTGTATACTTAACGATGGTGAATTTTACATCCATAACTAAAAATTCAAAAAGCTACGGTAGTGGCCATGCGCTGTGGCTCACGCCTGTAAGCCAGCCACTTTGGGAGGCCGAGACAGGCAAATCACCTGAGGTCGGGAGTTCGAGATCAGCTTGACCAACATGGAGAAACCCTGTCTCTACTAAAAATACAAAATTAGCCAGGCGTGGTGGCACACGCCTGTAATCCCAGCTACTCGGGAGGCTGAGGCAGGAGAATCGCTTGAACCTGAAAGGGGGAGATTGCGGTGAGACAAGATTGCATCATTGGACTCCAGCCTGGGCAACAAGAGCAAAACTCCGTCTCAAAAAAAAAAAAAAAAGCAACTGTATAATTGCTTAGTTATAGGATACAATCTGTTTCATGGTGATTTATTTAGAAGGAAGGACCCAGACATGTTTGTCAATGGCATGCCAAGCAATAGAATATACCCAGTCTCTAGATCGGGAAGGGAATAGTGCCAGTGAAGCCCTGTGTGGTAAGCCAGTAATAGTAAATCCACGTTTTAATGTTTTTATTTTTTTCAGATGGAGTCTCACTCTGTCTCCCAGGCTGGAGTGCAGTGGTTTGATCTCGGTTCACTGCAAACACCACCTCCCAGGTTCAAGCAATACTCCTGCCTCAGCATCCGGAGTAGCTGGGATTACAGGCATGCACCACCATACCCAGCTAATTTTATTTTTTTGTATTTTTAGTAGAGGCGGGGTTTCACCATGTTGGCCAGACTGGACTCAAACTCCCGGCCTCAAGTGATCCACCCACCTTGGCCTCCCAAAGTGCTGGGATTACATGTGTGAGTCTCCGAGCCTGGCATACACCACATTTTAAGAAAGACACTGATGGCCGGGCACGGTGGCTCACGCCTGTAATCCCAGCACTTTGGGAGGCCAAGGCAGGTGGATCACGAGGTCAGGAGATCGAGACCATCCTGGCTAACACGGTGAAACCCCATCTCTACTAAAAATACAAAAAAATTAGCCGGGCGTGGGGGCGGGTGCCTGTAGTCCCAGCTACTCGAGAGGCTGAGGCAGGAGAATGGTGTGAACCCAGGAGGCGGAGCTTGCAGTGAGCCGAGATGGTGCCACTACACTCCAGTCTGGGCTGACAGAGCGAAACTCTGTCTCACAAAAAAAAAAAAAAAAAAAAAAAAAAGACACTGATAAACCAGTGAAGGCTATGTGACTGCTGAGGGTCTGCTTAATTGATCTATGAATGAATGAATAAATAATCTTTGAAAAACCTGAGAATGTTGGAAGAAAACACTCAATTCACTGGGTAACTGAAGTCAAAATGACTTGCAAAATGCTAATTATTATAGGAATAAGAGTGGAAAAAATGTTCAAAGAAATCCATAGATTGATGTGTGTGCTTCTTGTAAAGGTATCTGAGGAAAGACCGTTATGTATTCAGATATCTGATAGTTCATTGCTTGAAAAACATGAATAGATTCATTCTCTATTGCCCTGGAGGCTGAGAATTATTGAAATGTACCGGGAAGCCATTTTCAGCTTAAGATGGTAAAGAACTTTGCCATCAGTTCACTGCTGAAACTGTTGCCTTGCAACATAATGCAAACTTCCGGTCCCTTGAATTGTTCTAACAGGCTGTTTTTAAAAATGTAGGGTTTATTCTTATTCAGGTATCATGTCTTAGTCCATTTTGGGCTGCTAGAACACAATACCACAGATGAGGTAATATATAATATATGGAAGTTTGTATCTCACATGTCTGGAGGCTGGGAAGTCCAAGATAAAGATGCCAGCATTTGCTGAGGGCCTTCTTGCTGTGTCATCCCATGGTGGAAAGCATCATCACATGGTGAAAGGGAAAAGAGAAAGCAAGATGGGGCAAATCCACTCCCAAGGTAACAGCATTAATCTGTTTATGAGGGCCATGCCCGCATGACCCAAACACCTCCCATTAGGCTCCAACTCCCAACACTACCACAAAGGATCAAGTTTCCAGCACATGAACTGTGGGGATCACATTCAAGCTATAGCATATGGTGAAGCTAACAGATCAGGAGATGACTGCCCTTGAAAAAGTAGTTTGTAACTCACAGTTTCCAAGAGCTGGGGCATGCCACACCATGCAATGCCACGAGCAAGCGCTGGGATCCATCAAGAGGCAGAGAGGCGAGGAGAAAGCATGGCCACGAGTCTTTGTTGTGGTTTCCACAGGCAAGACAAGGTAAGCCAATTTAGGATTCACTTGCTTAAATAATTTCTCAGGCTCTGGGACATAGTGGTTGTGTCCCTATTTGTCTGGTACCTGGCACTGGGGTGACCAGGATGGGAATACTGACCTGGAGTCTAAGAGCCTGTATTATTTATGTGACTGTTCTTCATTAGCACCAATAAACAGCAGTTAATTATTCACCCACCATCATCCCTGGTTACATGGAGACAAGGAGGTGTGGCCCTAAGGGCAGATAGTGAGAAAACATTTGTTTTTTTTGTGTTTGTGTTCTATTCCTGTAATTAGATTGGACTACATACACCAAGGCTCTGGGTTTTGTTTGTTTGTTTGTTTTTGTTTTTTTTTTTTTTTGAGACAGAGTCTTGATCAGTCGCCCAGGCTGGAGTGCAGTGGCACAATCTCGGCTCACTGCAAGCCCCGCCTCCCGGGTTCATGCCATTCTCCTGCCTCAGCCTCCCGAGTAGCTGGGACTACAGGCGCCCGCCACCACACCCGGCTAAATTTTTGTATTTTTAGTAGACACAGGGTTTCACCATGTTAGCCAGGATGGTCTCAATCTCCTGACCTTGCGATCCACCTGCCTCAGCCTCCCAAAGCGCTGGGATTACAGGTGTCAGCCACCGCGCCCGGCCACACCAAGGCTCTTAATATTCACAATTCTTGAAACTAATGAAGTTTACTACATCTATCTTTTGTAGTTGGCACTCTTGAATTTTTTCCTAAACTATTTCTCCAACTAAATTGATATTTAGAAAAGGCTTGTTACAGCCGGGCGTGGTGGCTCACGCCTGTAATTCCAGTACTTTGGGAGGCCGAGTTGGGTGGATCACAAGGTCAGGAGATTGAGACCATCCTGGCCAACATCGTGAAACCCCACCTCTACTAAAAAATACAAAAAATTAGTCAGGCGTGGTGGTGCACGCCTGTAGTCCCAGCCTGCTCTGGAGGCTGAGGCAGGGGCATCGCTTGAACCCGGGAGGTGGAGGTTGCAGTGAGCCGAGATTGCACCACTGCACTCCAGCAAGACTCTGTCTCAGAAAAAAAAAAAAAAAAAAAAAAGGGAACCATAAAGACTTAAAGCCCACAAAAGGCAGCTCTAGTCAAGCACAGTTGCTTCAGTAATTATTGCGAAAATTCTACTTTTGCTTTAATTATTTGAGTAATTGCTGCAATCATCATTAAATGTTGATTGTTCAAAATAACTACTAATTCAGTTGATAGATGTGTCTTGAAATAAACAATACATCTAATCTCCAAATACTAATGTTTTACTTGAATCTATTTTAATGGCTATAAAAATATGGCCCATTTGAATAGAGCCAGGCATGATGGCTCACACCTGTTAATCCCAGCAACTCTGAAGATTGAGGCAGGAGGATCACTTGAGGCCAGGAGTTTGAGACCAGCCTGGGCAACATAGCGAAATCCCATCTCTTAAAAAATGTACAAAAAATTGGCCGGGCGCAGTGGCTCAGGCCTGTAATCCCAACACTTTGGGAGGCGGAGGCGGGCGGATCACGAGGTCAGGAGATCAAGACCATCCTGGCTAACACGGTGAAACCCCGTCTCTTCTAAAAAATACAAAAAAATTAGCCTGGCGTGGTGGTGGGCGCCTGTAGTCCCAGCTACTCAGGAGGCTGAGGCAGGAGAATGGCGTGAACCCAGGAGGCAGATCTTGCAGTGAGCTGAGATGGCGCCACTGCACTCCAGCCTGGGCGACAGAGCGAGACTGTGTCTCAAAAAAAAAAAATTTACAAAAAAGTACTTGGGCATGATGTTGGATGCCTATAGTCCTAGCTACTCAGAAGGCTGAGGCAGGAGGGTCGCTTGACCCTAGGAGTTAGAGGCTGCATGCAGTGAGCTGTGGTCATGACACCACTGCACTCCAGCCTGGATGACAGTGAGACGAGGACTCTTAAAAAAGAAAAAAAAAGAGACCTATTTGAGATTTTGAGATGATCTGTCGTTTAACCTTTTCTCTGATCTAGATTTATACAACACAGTGTTTCCTCAAAGTGTGTTTTATAGAACACTAGCTCAGGAGGTCAACAGTTACCTGTATTTACTGTGGGACTTCCAAAAGCCAGTCTGCTAACCAAGAGAGAGTGTATACGTGCAACATCACCACAACACATAATCCAAGAACTCTTTTTCTTAGAACAAGGGGCTGTGCAACACTTTGTCAAATACTTATCTAATGAATGTAGGAAGGAAAATAACTGAATGTTAGTTATAGGCATAATACTGTAACTTGCTTCTGCATTTCAAAGAGACCACAAAAGAAAATAAAATTGAGCATTAACTACATGCCAGACGTTGTTTTAAGAACCTCACACACATTGGCTCATTTAATATTCAAATGACTTTATAAGATGGGAACAATCACCCCCATTTTATAGATGGAGAAACTGTCCCAGTTCAGATGGCAGAAGTGGCAGAATAAAAATTCAAACCCAGGTGGCCTCCAACAGAGACTCTTATTAACTGTTCCACTATGCGGCATTTCTAGGCCTACCCTTCTCCTATCTTTTATTCTGTATAGATGGAGGTCTCACTATGTTGCCCAGGCTGGAGTGCAGTAGGCTATTCATAGGCACCATCATAGCACACTACAGCCATGAACTCTTGGGCTCAAGCAATTCTCCCCACTCAGCTCTCTTCCCAAGTAGCTGGAACTACAGGCACACACCACCGCACCCAATCTTCTGTTATCTTTTTTGAGACAGGTTCTCACTTTGTCACCCAGGCTGGAGTGCAGTGGCACAATCTCAGCTCACTGCAGCCTCAACCTCCCAGGCTCAGGTGATTCTCCCACTTCAGCCTCCTGAGTAGCTGGGACCACAGGCAGTTGCCACCACGCCCAGACACATTTTTGTATTTTTTCACAGGGAGGAGGGGTCTTACTCTGTTGCCCAGGTTGGTCTCGAACTCCTGGGCTCAAGCGATCGTCCCTCCTCAGCCTCCCAAAGTGCTAGGATACAGAGGTGAGCCACCACATCTGACCCAGGATTTTTTGAAATCTTGGGTCTTCTTTTATTTCTCAGGCAGTTTTATAGTTTCCTTCAAGTGTATTTTAAATCACTCCCACTTTCTTTAGAGAACCTTTGGGTTAGGGGAACTCCCTCCAAAGCCATCTCAGCCCTTTCTACAATGATATCCCCCCATCCCCAGCATTTGGCCCATCTCCTCATTCCATGATCTAGCCCTAAATTGCACTTTCCCCTCTGTACTTCTTGATTGACTTTTGAAGTCTTAGTCTCCTATTTGATGCTTCTATGTTATTTATGCTGCTGCTACCATCCCCCGAAGTCCTCCAGCAAGGCCAGACCCCTGGACACCTTCTTTTACATCTACCAATACATCCTTCAGAGCCATTCCCCTTGTACCCCTCCATCCACCACCATCTCACAGCCTGGTCCTCCCCCTTGCCCAGACTTAGCTATTACTGGAATGCGACCCCCACTCGCATCCTGGCCCTGCACATCCCCTTTCAGGTTTTTGCTCCTTTTTCCTCCTCTCACCAACTAAGACAAGGGCTGTCCCATAAATAACTCTGTGTCCCTGCCTGACCCACATGGTAGAATCTCAACAAAGGTTTCATCTCTTCCCCTGAAGCCCCATGGACAGAGATGCTGCAATTGGCTTTATGAAATGATACTTTGTGTTCATGCTTTTCCACCCTTAAAAAGATCATGACCTCCATCTCATTTTCATCTCAACATGCGCAAACCACAAGGAGTGCTTTTAGCAATATCTTTTAGGTATTACGAATAATATCACAGGATGTACACACAGGGTATACACACACACTGTGATAAAAGGAGTAATATCTCCCATAGATATTAGCAATAATATCACAGGGTGTACACCCACTGTGATATTAGCAGTAATATCCCCCTTGGATATTATGAATAATATCACTGGGTGTACCCACACTGTGATATTAGGAGTAATATCAATCTTGGATATTAAGAATAAGATCACAGGGTATAAATGCACTGTGATATTAGGAGTAACATCTCCCTTGGATATTTTGAAAATATCACAGGGTGTACAACCACTGTGATATTAGTCCTAATATCTCCCTTGGATATTATGAATAATATCACAGGGTGTACACCCACTGTGACATTACGAATAATATCTAACTTGAATATTCCTAAAAATATTAAAGGGTGTACACCTACTATGACATTAGGAGTAATATCTCCCTTGGATATTGCGAATAATATCACAGGGTGTACACCCACTGTGACATTAGAAGTTGTATCTCCCTTAGATATTACGAATAATATCACAGACTGTCCACCCACTGTGACATTAAAAGAAATATCACACTTAGGCCGGGCACAGTGGCTCACACCTTAATCCCAGCACTTTGGGGGGCCAAGGCAGGCGGATCACGAAGTTGGGAGATTGAGACCATCCTAGCTAACACGGTGAAACCCTGTCTCTACTAAAAATACAAAAAAATTAGCCAGGCGTGGTGGCAGGCACCTGTAGTCCCAGCTACTCGGGAGGCTGAGGCAGGAGAATGGCATGAACCTGGGAGGCGGAGATTGCAGTGAGCTGAGATCACACCACTGCACACCAGCCTGGGTGACAGAGTGAGACTCAGTCTCAAAAAAAAAAAAAAAAAAGAAACATCATAGGGTGTACATCGTAGGGTGTACACCCACTGTGATGCTAGAGTAATATTTCCCTTGTATATTATAAAAAATATCACAGGGTGTACAGCCACTGTGAAATTAGGAGTAATAGCTCCCTTAGCTACTATGAATAATATCACAGAGTATACACCCACTGTGATATTAGGAGTAATGTCTACTTCTAGGTATTATAAATAATATCTTTTAGATATTACAAATAGTATCACAGGGTGTACACCTACCGTGGTATTAAAAGCAATGTCTTCTTCTAGGTATTACAAATAATATCTTCTTTTAGATATTACAAATAGTATCGCAGTGTGTACACTCACCGTGGTATTAGGAGCAATATCTTCTTTTAGATATTATGAATCATATCACAGAGTGTACACCCACAGTGATAATAGGAGTAATATCTTCTTTTAGATATTATGAATAATATCACAGGGTGTACACCCACTGTGATATTAGGAGTAGTATCATCTCCCTTAGATATTATGAATAATATCACTGGTATACACCCACTGTGATATTAGGAGTAAAATCTTTTAGATATTACGAATAATATATCACAGGGTGTATGCACAGGAGGGGCTCACCACCACACCTAACAAGTAAAAAAAACAATTTTGTAGTTGGTACATGTTAGCTCACGCCTGCAATCCCAGCCCTTTGGGAGGCCAAGTGGTGTGGATCAATTGAGGTCAGGAGTTCGAGACCAGCCGGGCCAACATGGTGAAACCCTGTCTCTACTAAAAATACAAAATGTGGGCTGGGCGCATTGGCCCACGCCTGTAATTCCAGCGCTTTGGGAGGCCGAGGGGAGTGGATCTCGAGGTCAGGAGTTCAAGACCAGCCTGATCAACATGGTGAAACCCCGTCTCTACTAAAAAGTTAGCTGGGTGTGGTGGCGCATGCCTGTAATCCCAGCTACTCAAGAGGCCGAGGCAGAAGCATCGCTTGAACCCAGGAGGCGGAGGTTGCAGTGAGCCAAGCTCATGCCACTGCACTCTAGCTTGGGTGACAGAGCCAGACTCTGTCTCAAAAAAAAAAAAAACATACAAAAATACAAAAAGCCAGGCATTGTGGCGGGCACCTGTAATCCCAGCTACTTGTGAGTGTGAGGCTGGAGAATCACTTGAATCCGGGGGTGGAGTTTGCGGTGAGCCGAGATCACGCCGTTGCACTCCAGCCTGGGCAACAAGAGTGAAAGTCCATCTCAAAAAAAAAAAAAAAAGATTATAGAGTGTGTGTCTCCCTATGTTGCTGCTCAGTCTATTCTCCAACTCCTGGGCTCAAGCGATCCTCCTGCCTCAGCCTTCCAAAGTGTTGGGATATAGGTGTGAGCCGCTTCAGCTGGCTAATATGTTATAAGAACATTATAATCTTACTTAAAGGTATGAAGTTTTAAACTTCATATAATCTTTTTTTTTTTTTTTTGAGATGGAGTTTTGCTCTTGTTACCCAGGCTGGAGTGCAATGTGCAATCTTGGCTCACTGCAACCTCCTCCTCCAGGGTTCAAGTGATTCTCCTGCCTCAGCCTCCAGAGTAGCTGGGAATACAGGTATGGGTCACCACGCCCGGCTAATTTTGTATTTTTAGAGACGAGGTTTCTCCATGTTCGTCAGGCTGGTCTCCAACTCCCAACCTCAGGTGATCCACCTGCCTCGGCCTCCAACATGCTGGGATTACAGGTGTGAGCCACCACACCTAGCCCACATACTCTTAAGTATGGTTTTATTTGGTTGTTTCTGAATAGTTCTCGAGATTTTCATTAAATTTATATCCAATAGGATTTCTGTTTTTCTACAATAGAATACCTCTCTCATTTGGTGTTGGAATCCAGCAAACTAAATAAACCATAGTAACACCAGTGTTTCTGGATTCTTCCACGTCCATCTGTCTGTAAAAACACAATCCTCTGTTGACATTTATTGAGTCCCCACTCTCAGCTGTGCACAGCAAAGAGTTTATTAACAAAAAGAGAAGGCGGCTGGGTGCAGAAGCCTGTAATCCCCCGACTCTGGGAGGCCAAGGCGGGAGGATTGCTTCAGCCCAGAGGTTTGAGTCCAGCCTGGGCAACAGGGAAAAACCTTGTCTCTACAAAAAATTAGTCGAGCATTGTGGTGTGCACCTGTAGTACCAGCTACTCCGGAGGCTGAAGTGAGAGGATAACTTGAGCCCCAGAGGCAGAGATGAGGTAAGATTGCATCACTGCACTCTAGCCTGGGCAACATAGCCAGGCTCTGTCATAAGTAAGTAAATAAATAAATAAATAAATAAATAAATAAATAAATAACTGCATGTGGCTCTTGTTCTTCAAATGCTCGCATTTGTGATGTGTTAGGGTGGGACAGACTGCTTCAGAAATCTTAATAATTTTCTCAGCCTCTGCTCTGGGTAAAGACCAAGCCCCTGAGAATGCATTGAAGGGAAGCTTGTCATCCAGATACTTCATAAGGAAACAGAAAACCTCAAGAAAGCTTCCCTCAATCAGTACCACTGTTCATTTTCCTCCCTGATTCATAGGCTGGATGGATGGGAACCAGATCATCACTGGACCATCCGTGTGAACAGCACAGGAACTGAGACTGGAAATGAAGGTTGTTGGTCTCCAGGGAAGAGGGACAGAGGCTTCAGCATCTTTACAGTCTCTGCTGTTTCCTAAAAAAAAAAAAAACCCTTTTCAGGACAAACAGCTATTTCATGCTCTGTTCCACTGTCTGTCCATTATTAAGGCAGTAGGTCTTTGGCTTCATCTCATTCAGGGAAATAAATGTTTATACTGATGGCTCAGAATGCAGTGGTCTAGAATGAAGAAGAATGTGGCACTGTTACTAAAGGTAAAACTGCAGATGTACCACTAGAAGATAGCTCTAAAACGTTGTGGTCTTTTAAGCCAGGCATAGTGGCATGCACCTGTGGTCCCAGCTACTTGAGAGGCTGAGGCTGGAGGATGGCTTGAACCCAGGAGTTTGAGGCTTAGTGAGCTATGATCATGCCTGTGAATAGCCACCGCACTCCAGCACAGGCAACATAGCAAGACCCTGTTTCTAAATAAATAATTAAAATTTTAATAATTGTGGTCTTCTTAGTTGGTTCTAGTGGCTGAGCCACCCATTTCTCCCCCAGGTTACTCTAGTGGCCTCCTCACTAGAGGTCTGGCACCAAATCTGGCCCCTCTGAGTGAATAAGTGAATGTTTGATGTGTCTCTTAAGACTTCAACTCAGTCTGTTGACTATAATAGGTATTAAGTGCAACCTAGTTAAGAAAAGCAAATATGCACCAGGCGCAGTGGCTCATGTCTGTAATCCCAGCATTTTTGGAGGCCCAGGGGGGTGGATCACCTGAAGTCAGGAGTTTGAGACCAGCCTAGCCAACATGGTGGAACCCCTTCTCTACTAAAACTACAAAAATTAGCCAGGTGTGGTGGTGAGCACCTACCCAGCTACTCGGGAGGCTGAGGCAGGAGAATTGCCTCCGGGAGGCGGAGGTGGCAGTGAGCCGAGATTGCACCATTGCACATCAGCCTGGGCGACAAGAGAGAAACTCAAAAAAAAAAAAAAAAGAAAAGAAAAGAAAAGCAAATATGATTCTGATCATTGCCAGACAGAAACATTTTATTTTATTTTACATGTTTTTCTTTTATTAATCAGCTTTCTCAGGTTGAAGGAAACATTTTCATGAATTTGTTTCCATCGATCTGACCACCAGCTTTTTTTTTTTTTTTTTTTTTTGAGATGGAATTTCACCTTGTCACCCAGGCTGGAGTGCAGTGATGAGATCTAGGATCACTGCAACCTCCACCTTCTGGGTTCAGGCAATTCTCCTGCCTCAGCCTCCCGAGGAGCTGGTATTACATACACCCAACACCACGCCTAGCTAATTTTTGTATTTTTAGTAGACGTGGGGTTTCACCATGCTGACCAGGCTGTTCTCGAACTCCTGACCTCAGGTGATCCACCCACCTTGACCTTCCACAGTGCTGAGATTACAGACATGGGCCACCACTCCTGGCCGACCACTAGCTTTTGCTGAGCCTCTACTTCATTCTGTTCTGTTTGCGTCAGGCACCAGACAGCCCTTGGTATGTAGGTAACTTGGTAAGACATGATGTTCTTTGCCTCTGAGGAGCTTACAGAGTGATCAGGACAAGAGATCTGTGAAGAGATCATTACAGTGTGACTCTACAAAGAAAGTGTAATGGGAACATAGCAGAGGGAACAATTACCTGTTCTTTCTTGGGATGGGGGAGGAATAGAACCAGTTTTTCAGAGATAAACAGGATAGTCTCAACCTAAAGAGACGCACATTCCAGGCAGAGGAAGCAATGTGCACAAGCACAGGCCTGGCCAGGGAACAGTGAGCGGTAGGCAGGGGCAGGGGTGAAAGGAGGCTGGGACCCACAGTGGAGGGTCTCATATGTAGGCTAAGGAAGTAATCCTTTATCCTCTAGGAACCAAAGGAGAGTTTTACATAGGCAGATTTAGTAACTCCAGCGGAAGGGTAGGCAATGGTTTGGAGTAGGGAGAGAGCAGAGACAAGAAAACAAATAGGAGGCTGTGGCCAAGGTCCAGGAGATGTTGAGAATCTGAGACAATGTCTTAAATCTTGTGAAGTGCGCCAGGCATGATGACTCAAGCCTCTAATCCCAGCAGTTTGGGAGGCTGAGGTGGGAGGATGTCTTGAGCCCAGGAGTTTGAGACTAGCCTGGACAACGTGGTGAGACCCTGTATCTATAACAACAACAAAAAATTAAACATTAAAAATTAGCCAGGTGTTGTGGACTGTGCCTGTCATTCCAGCTACTGGGGAGGCTGAGGCAGGAGGACTGCTTGAGTCCAGGATGTCAAGGCTGCAGTGAGCAATGATTGTCCCACTGCACTCCAGTCTGGGCAACAGAGCAAAATCCGGTCTCAAAAAAAAAAAAAATCTTGTGAAGTAAAGAGGAAATAACCAGGGCCTTATCAATTCACTGAAAGGGAGATTTATTTCTCTGTAGCTTTCAAGAACACTCTTAGTATTAATGAAGAGGGTTTTTACAAAGGGAAAAAAAGGCCGGGTGTGGTGGCTCCCCCTGTAATCCCCTGTAATCCCAGCACTTTGGGAGGCCAAGGTGGCCAGATCACTTGAGGTCAGGAGTTCGAGACCAGCCTGGCCAACACAGTGAAACCCTGTCTTTACTAAAAATACACAAATTAGCTGGGTGTGGTGGCACACACCTGTAATCCTAGCTACTCAGGAGGTCGAGGCAGGAGAATCGCTTGAACTCCAGAGGTGGAGGTTTCAGGAGCCAAGATCGCAGCTCCACTGCACTCCAGCATGGGTGACAGAATGAGAATCCGTCTCCAAAAAAAGGGCGGAGGGGAACCCTGAGATTCATTAATTCTCATTTCCCTAGTTTATGAAGTGCATTTACTTTCTCTAATGGCTGTCAAAGTGAAGGCTGAACTTTGAGCTAGATCTTAGTGCTCAGGATATCAGGAAAAGGAATAATTATTCTTAGATGCTGCGTCAGAGACTGCTTGTTATCTTTCAATATCTGTTCTGTTTTACTCTTCTTTAGTAATGCAATTTTTTGTTTTTAGCTGACCACGTGGTTATAGGGAATAATGATATTTTTCAGCCTCACTTGCAGCTAGATATACTATGTTATTTATTTCTTCTGGCCCACAGGATGTGAGCAGATGTGATATGTGTAATTTCCAGGAACTATCTTTAAAGGGTTGGATGTGTACTTTCTTCCTAGCTTCCATCTTCTTATGACCAAAATGAGAAGGTAATGGCTACAGCCTCAGCAGCCACTTGAACAACGGAGTGATCTACAGAATGGATGCTAGGCACAGCAAACAATGAAATAGAAGGTTTCTTGGTCCCTTTCATAATATCTAAGGGAGATATTATTCCTAATATCACAGTGGGTATACACCCCGTAATGATATTATTCATAATATATAAGGGAGATATTACTCCTAATATCACAGTGAGGGTACACCTTGTGATGAAATTCTTTGTAATTTCTAAGGGAGGTATTTCTCCAATATCACGGGGGTGTACATTCTTTGATAATATGATTTGTAATATCTAGGGGAGATATTACTCTTAATATCTTCTTTTAGATATTACTGAAGCTTTACGTGGCCTTGTGGCTTCTGCTGTCTTGAATGGCCTTTGACATCCCCTAAGGGAGCTCATTCTAGAGCCCTTCATGAGAGGCCATGTGAAGACAGAGGCTCTGATACCATATTAACCATGTCTTTTTATGTATTCTGACACTTCGACATCTAGGGCCTTGCTGACCTTGGCAGGCCTGTCCCTACCAGGGTTAGCCAATTCCTAGAGACAGTAAACAATCTGCCCATGAGCGTGCTTTTCACACACAAGCTAACCAGTCCAGAGCTCATGCCCCCAGTCACCTATTTCATCAGGCTTCCACAGGACTCACACACTCTAGGCCACATTCCTCTGCCCTAAGCGCCCCAGGGCCAGGTACCAGACAACTAGGGACAGCCCTTATACCCAGAGCCTGCTGAAATTACTCAAATTATAATAGCTAACCTTAACCCTGCTCACCTTGCCTCACTCATTCCTTCCCATGGAAGCCACTGTAAAGGCTCTTGCCCATGTTTTTCCATCACTCCTGCCTTCTCGCTGACCATACTGCCTCCCTATTCAGTGCTGCATGGCATAGTACTTTCCCTTCTGTTGGGATCTGTGAGTAACAAACCATTTTTTCAGTGGTAATCGACACTTGATCTGTTGGTCTCTCCATACCTGAAGAATAATGCAACCTATATATATTTTTTAATCAAGTAAAATTTATTTAATTAAGCATAAAGTTACTTTCACATTTGTCTACAACCACAGTAAATACAGTTCTTGGCATAATGCCATGGCCTTTCAAATGTAAAGCCTCCCCACCTGCAAGATTACATCTATAAATCTCCCACTGTTGTTTATATAATAGTGGATTAGTTAAACAAATTAAAATAGTTATACTATCTAGAATAAAATGATATGGAAATAATTTACTCATAAGATTCATATTTAAATCATCTTTATTTACAAAATACTATCCTGAGAATTATAATTCCATTAAGTTTGAATATGAGCAAAAGTGTAATCACTGAAGTAACAACAGTTACTTCAACTGAAAATGAGAATAGTCAAAATGACTTTTGAAGAGAGCAAAAATATTGTCAAGTTTCTTGCCATGGTTCTGGATCTTCAGCAGCAGGCTCATTTGAAGGCAGACTCAACCCTAAAGGGAACTCACTCTACCTTCAGAATGTGCGGGTAGGGGGGGAAAATCCAGGTCTTGGGGGAAGGTAAGGAGGAAAACCCCTCAGTGGACAGACATTTCTCATTGCAAATGGAGCACGTGGTGGACCTGGGACATCCCTTGGTGGAAAATAATCTGGAGAAGCTCCAAACATGGTTCCTGGAGGAGGTGGAGGGAAAGGAGGTCCTCTTCTCATGAACGGGCCCCTCGTATCCACTGGAAACAACGGACCTCTGATTGGAGCAAGAGGTGGAGGAACAAAGCCAGGGCCAGTTGCTTCACTTTCAGCGGGGAGAGATGAATCAGGCACATTTAAATTACCAAGATTATCTTTGGTATCATTTCCACTGAATTCCATTTCTGAATGCACTGACCCATCCATTTTATCCAAAGAAGGCATATTAAAACTTCTGAGTTCTGCTGGTCCAGAGCGTCTAGCACAATTAGAATAAAATCTGTCTTGCCTTTGTGGAGGAAGAGCTGAATCAGGATATGATTGTCCTGGTGGAGGAAACATCATCCTACGGTCCTGTTCCCACGGAGGTGACAGGGGCCCAGTGTCAGAAGGAGCCTTGTGAGGATCAGTAAACCTATTACAGCTTGATTCTCCTCTTTCACTGGTAATCTGGTGGTCCAGAGGATTCCCTGGGCCTCTTGGGCCTCTTCCTCCTCCCCCTGGAGGGAAAGGTGAGAGTCTGAGTGGACCCTCCGACAAAGTTGGAGGATAGAGAAAAGCTCTCGTTTCAGATGAAGGCCGACCCAATGGTGAGGGACCATATGAGGAATGCTCTCTGCCAAATGCTGTGTTTGGAACATCAAGTGCATAAGGATCTTTTTCTAAAAATTTAATTTTAAAGTCTGTTTCAATTAATTTTTGTCTGTTGTGAGCATTTTCTTTCCTTAAATCATTGAGGTTTCTTTCAGCGGTCTGTGCTGCCAAACAATTATCATGTGCTTTTTTCTCATGGTATATAATCTTCCCTTGATAAAAATGAATAGTTCTCTCAAGTTCTTCTTCAAGATATTTGGCTCGCTTTCTGTAGGTCTCCAGCTCCTCAGTGGCATGGCTGATCATTTCGTCTACTTTAGAAAATTTCTCTTTCTCTAGCCGGTTATTTTCCTCTACTATTAATTTCCTGTAGAGTTTCATTTCATTTTCTTGATATAATTCAGTCATTACCTTAAGTTTCTGTTGAAGCTTCTGATTCTCACTTTCAAAATATGTGTTTTCTGACTGCAAAGATGCTTGTTCCGTCTGAAGATTTTTAATATGCTCTCTAAGCTCTTCCTTGGTTTTATCAACTTCAGATAACTGAATATAGATTTGGTTTCTTACTCCTTCTAAGGTTGTTAAAGAAGCATTTAACTTAGCAGTATGAATCAGTTTCTTCAAAGCTCCTTTTGGAGGATTATCTAAGTAAGCACCATCTTCCGATTCACTGTTCATTTCTAATTCCAAGTTTTCATCATCTGTTATGTCTTCTTCCAGCATAGCAGCCCGATCTTTGATCTTTAGCAAGCGTTCAGTCAGAGTCTCGATGTGATTTTCTTTATCATTTAGAACTTGTTCTGCGTGTACTTTGGAGTCTTCAAATGTTATTTTCTGTTTATTAAGTTCACTCACTTGTTCTTTCCATACTTCAGCTTCTTGCAAAAGCTGTTTCTGGCTTTCCTGAAGTTGAGAATTTTCATTCAAAGCATCTTGTATTGCTATCTTCATTTGTTCTTCATTCATTTGAAATCTCTTGAAGGTCATTTTGGCTTCAGCTAGCAGTGATTTTAGGGATTTTGACTCATCTTCTAGAGACTGTATCCTTTTGGAAA
The DNA here is from genome assembly GCF_000001405.40 of Homo sapiens. NCBI lineage: Eukaryota > Metazoa > Chordata > Mammalia > Primates > Hominidae > Homo > Homo sapiens. The sequence goes on along the minus strand of NC_000013.11, from coordinate 49,891,095 downwards.
TATCCGCCATCACCTCATCTTGTTCAGAATGTTTAGATTTATCTTCTTTTAACTCCTTTTCTAGACAGAGTATTTCATGCTCCAGTTCAGAATTGGACCTGTTCAGCTTTTCACAGTTTGCCTCCAAACTTTGTGCTTCTGTTGCCTCCTTCTCAAAGCTGGCATCCTCTAAAGGTGACTCTGCTTCATAGCCTTCATACTCTTTTTGAACAAGGCTAAATTTTTCAAGTAGTCTACATTTTTCTTCAATTAGTCCAGAAAGCGCTACAGCAAGCTCTTTCTCTCTTCCCACATAAAGCCGACTCCTAACCGATCTAAAACTTCTCCACAAGAAAAAGGGAACAGCAACAAATCCAAGGACAGCTGCACATATCACCAATTCCCATGGAAATCCATAAGGATTCGAATCTGGTCTCCTGCCTTCAGGCAGTGCTGCCACAACCCTGCGTGGCTCCTCCAGGACCAGCCCCCAGTAAGGCTGAGGGGTAGCCCCGGGCTCCTCCATAGCGCCAAGGCTGCTGTGGCGGTGGCCGCAGTAACCCAGGCCTGTCGGGGCCACAGTTAATGGCGAAGAACACTCAGCCTTCAGTTAGGAACAGAATCCGCACCTGGCAACCGGAGCGGACCACTGAGGAGCCGGCTGCGGGGGGAGCTGGGGGACGCGAGAACCCACAGGCCTTACAGGCCCATAGAAAAGATACTGTAAAAATATAGTATAAAATGTTTTTTAAAAGATCTGCTTGTATAGAGTACTTACCATAAATAAATGGAGCTTGCAAGATTGGAAATTGCTGTGGGTGAGTTAGTAAGTGGTGAGTGAATGTGAAGGCCTAGGGCACTACTATACACTACTGCAGACTTCACAAGCACTGCACGCTTAAGCTACACTAATTAATTAAAGTTGTTTTCTTCAATAATAAATTAACCTTAGCTTACTGTAACTTTTTAACTTTATAAATGTTTAAACTTTTTTAATCTTTTTTACTTTTTTGTAATAACACTTCACTTACAACACAAACATATTGTACAGCTGTACAAAAATGTCTTCTTTGTATCCTTATTTTATAAGCTTTTTTCTATTAAATTTTTCTTGTTTTTACGTTTTAATAGTTTTTTGTTAAAAAACCAAGACATAGACACACACATTAGCCTCAGCCTACACAGGGTCAGGATCATCAATATCACTGTCTTCCATCTCCACATCTTGTCCCACTGGAGGGTCTTCAGGGGCAATAACAGGCATGGAGCTGTCACCTCCTGTGATAACAATGCCCTTTTTTGGACACCTCCTGAAGGACCTGCCTGAGGCTGTTTTACGGTTAACTTCTAACAGTACACTCTAAAATAATGACAAAAATTATAGTACAGTTTGGTCCAATGATAGTGGGTTATCAGAACTTACTAACATTTAGTGTCACTAAAGTTGGTATAAAACCCTCCACTGCTAAATTTAAATGGTTTACAGTTTCTTGGTTTTTTTTTTTTTAAATAGGCTGGGTGCGGTGACTCACGATTGTAATCCCAGCACTTTGGGAGGCTGAGGCAGCCAGATCACTTGAGGTCAGGATTTCAAGACCAGCCTGGCCAATATACTGAAACCACAACTCTATTAAAAACACAAAATTAGTCAGGCATGGTGGTGCACACCTGTAGTCCCAGCTACTCAGGGGGCTGAGGCAGGAGAATCACTTGGACCAGGAGGCAGAGGTTACACTGAGCCAAGATGGCACCACAGCATTCCAGCCTGGGTGATAGAGTGAGACCCCATCTTAAAAAAAGAATAATATAGTATATACATAAATATCAATTCCTCATTCATGGGGAATCTTGTTGATCATTCTGGCTGCTTGATATTGATGAGGGGCATCCTGGGCAGCCTCATACCATGGGTGACTCTGTGGCCCCCCAGGAATCAAAGGTTAATCTAATACTATCCTTTTCTTCTGAAACAATCTTTCTTTTTCCAGTCCCCTACTTCCACCAAAGACAAATCTCAGCAAGACAAACCTACCTGCGAAATAAGCTGCAATCCCATAAACGTGGCTTGATTACCCCACAAAGTGCAGCAAGAATTGCTGTCCACATAGGCTCTCCTAAATTGGCCTTGCTGGAACCTCTCACAAGGCCATTTCAGTCAAAGACCTGGGAAAATAGCCAGTTCATCCATCTGTGTCGCAGTATAAAATAAAATAGATTCTTATTGAACTTATGCAAGCAAACACATTGCCATGAATTAAGAATATTCACAAATAATTTACAAATTCTGGATAAATTAGGCATAGAGAGAACTATGCCTCAAATTCTGTTTGAGGAAAGCATACTGTATTCAATATACTTAAAGTATACTCAGAGGCAATAAAAAGCTCCAAAGAAAAAAATTCTCCAGACTCTGAAAAACAAAACAAAAAGAATCAGCAATATTTCAAACAAAAAAACCATAAAAAATTATTTCAGTCTCCATTAATTCAGTCCATGCAATCAACTTCTGGTATGCTTCATATTGAGTTAGCAATCTTTATGAACATATCAGCATTTCAATTAGTGCCCTGGAAGTTTTCTCTCTAATCCAATGGCACAGTCTACAAAGTTATAAGAAACCTGCATTTGAGAGGTTGAATTTTTCATAAACTTCCCCAAAGAAGAAAGCCCTGGACTGTAGCTGATTATAAGTCACTTTTTGAGAAGGATCAAAGCAAAACTACAATTGTGGATGACAAAAGTTTTAAGACAGCCATAGTTAAAGGCACAGTTAACTAGGGTATTTTGTTATTCCTGTGGCATACAAGTTAACATCATAATAATAATTACTGTGACAACATATATTAAGACATATCAGAATTTTAGAACTCTCATATCATCCTGGAACTCCAGGAGGCCAAGGCAGGTGGATCACCTGAGGTCAGGAGTTCAAGACCAGCCTGGCCAACATGGCGAAACCTTATCTCCACTAAAAATACAAAAATTAGCTGGGCATGGTGATACATGCCTGTAATCCCAGCTACTTGGAAGCCTGAGGCACAAAAATCACTTGAATCTGGGAGGCAGAGGCTGCAGTGAGCTGAGATTGTGCCACTGCACTCCAGCCTGGGCAACAGAGCAAGACCCATCTAAAAAATAAATAATAAATAAATAAATAAATAAAACCCAAAGGAAGCTGAACACCACCTCAGATTGACAATGCTTCCTGCATAATTCTAACATAACAAATAAGCCAAATAAACCTAATATGTCTCTCTTGGACGTCAGGGAAACTTATACCCAAAAAAGTTACTTTGAGGTCAAAAAGACTGAATTTAGAGCTTGAAATTTTGCCATTGGAAAGTTTGTCAGAGATCAGTTTTAAGACACTTGACATCACAAAATAGGATTATAGGTCACTATAAAATAGCCATTCGTTTAGCAAAAATGATAATACAAAACAGGTTACCCTTTGATAGTGAGGAGACTCAGCTTCCCAAACAATAAGCCCTAATAAAAACAGCATGAAGCCAACTAGGAGGGAAAGAACCCTCTCTTTTTCTGTAGTTTTACTCAAAAATCTCTTATCTCTTACATGAACATTTTGTTCAAGGGAAACCAAATTTTACCTTTATATGGTATATTATTAATGTTAAAACTAATTTTAATAAAACCTTATAAACAAATCTATCCAATTGTAATCAGTTTGACCATAAGGTAAGATTTCCATAAACTTTTTATAATCTTTTACAATTTTCTATTAAGGAGCAGATTAATGCTCCAGGAAGTCCCAGATGCTGGCCTTGCATCAGTGTGGTTTTGGTGTTAATGTTTAATTTATAGAAAAACTGAAATAATCTTTCTTTTTTTTTTTTTTGAGACAGAGTCTCGCTCTGTCACCCAGGCTGGAGTGCAGTGGCATGATCTTGGCTCACTGCAAGCTCTGCCTCCCAGATTCATGCCATTCTCCTGCCTCAGCCTCCCGAGTAGCTGGGACCACAGGTGCCTGCCACCACGCCCGGCTAATTTTTTTGTATTTTTAGTAGAGATGGGGTTTCATGGTGTTAGCCAGGATGGTATTGATCTCCTGACCTTGTGATCCACCCACCTCAGCCTCCCAAAGTGCTGGGATTGAGGCATGAGCCATGGCACCTGGCCCTGAACTAATCTTATCCCTCAAAACCGGCCATTACAATCTCATGTGCCTACCTCTTCTGCAGTAGTCCCTCAGCCTAGAGGGATTGAGTAGTTTTAATTTCTGGCCCTGTGTCTTTTTTTTTTTTTCTGAGATGGAGTATGGCTCTGTCACCCAGGCTGGAGTGCAATGGCGCAATCTCGCCTCACTGCAACCTCCACCTCCCGGGTCCAAGTGACTCTCCTGCCTCGGCCTCCTGAGTAGCTGGGATTGCAGGCGTCTGCTACCACGCCCAGCTAATTTTTGTGTTTTTAGTAGAGACGGGCCATTTTGGTCAGGCTGGTCTCGAACTCCTGACCTCAGGTGATCCACCCACCTCGGCCTCCCAAAGTGCTGGGATTACAGGCGTGAGCCACCGCGCCCGGCACTTAATGTTAATAATAGTAAACACAATTAAAGTAGTTTGAAAGAAATCTCAATCAATATAATTTCCGTAAGGACAAGGCCAATTTTTCCTGAGCATTAAAATTTTGTACCCATATCACAGTTTTTCCTCATTAAAGAAAAAGATCTGAAACCAACTCAAATTATTGATTTCATTGAATTACCTTGGAAATAGGCTGGACATGGTGGCTCATGCGTGTAATCTCAGCACTTTGGGAGGCCAAAGCAGGTGGACCATTTGAGGTCAGGAGTTCAAGACCAGCCTGGCCAACATGGCAAAACCTCGTCCCTACTAAAAATAAAAAAATTAGAGGGCATGGTGGTGCACGCCTGTAATCCCAGCTACTCAAGAGGCTGAGGCACGAGAATCGATTGAACCTGAGAGGGCAAGTCGCAATGAGCTGAGATTGCACCACTGCAGTCCAGTTCAGCCTGGGAGACTAAGCAAGACAATATCTCTAATAATAATAATAATAATAGTAATAATAATGAAAAGAATCACCTTGGAAATAAACACCATTTAAACATTTTAATTCTCACCTATCTTTTCAAACAACAAAATAAATGTACTATCTGTTCAAACCTTATAAAAAATGTCTTTTATTTATTTATTTATTTGCCAAGAAACTTAAGGCTCTCATAGATCTCAAGATCATCAGCAAAGCCAATCAAAAAAATGTTTTTATACTTTAAATTCTGGGATACATGTGCAGAATATGCAGGTTTGTTACATAGGTATACATGTGCCGTGGTGGCTTGCTATACCCATCAACCCATCATCTACATTAGGTATTTCCCCTAATGCTTTCCCTCCCCTTGCCCCCCATGCCCCAACAGGCCCCAGTGTGTGATATTCCCCTCCCCTTGCCCCCCATCCCCCAACAGGCCCCAGTGTGTGAAAATCTCCTCCCTGTCCCTATATGTTCTTACTGTTCGACTCCCACTTATGAATGAGAACATGCGGTGTTTGGTTTTCTGTTCCTGTGTTAGTTTGCTGAGAATGATGGTTTCCAGGTTCATCCATGTCCCTGCAAAGGACATGAACTCATTATGGCTGCAAAGTATTCCATGGTGTGTATGTGCCACGTTTTCTTTATCCAGTCTATCATTGATGGGCATTTGGGTGGGTTCCAAGTCTTTGCTATTTTGAATAGTGCTGCAATAAACATATGTGTGCATGTGTCTTTATAATAGAATGATTTATAATCCTTTGGGTATATACCCAGTAATGGGATTGCTGGTTCAAATGGTATTTCTGGTTCTAGATCCTTGAGGAATCACCACACCATCTTCCACAATGGCTGAACTAGTTTACACTCCCACCAACAGTGTAAAAGCGTTCCCATTTCTCCACATCCTTTCCAGCATCTGTTGTTTCCTGACTTTTTAATGATCGCCATTCTAACTGGCGTGAGATGGTATCTCATTGTGATTTTGATTTGCGTTTCTCTAATGACCAGTGATTATGAGCTTTTTTTCACGTTTGTTGGCTGCCTAAATGTCTTCTTTTGAAAAGTGTCTGTTCATATCCTTCATCCACTTTTTGATGGGATTGTTTGGTTTTTTTCTTGTAAATTTGTTTACATTCCTTGTAGATTCTGTATATTAGCCCTTTGTCAGATGGATAGATTGCAAAACTTTTCTCCCATTCTGTAGGTTGCCTGTTCACTCTGATGATAGTTTATTTTGCTGTGCAGAAGCTCTTTAGTTTAATTAGATCCCATTTGTCAGTTTTGGCTTTTGTTCCCATTGCTTTTGGCGTTTTAGTCATGAAGTCTTTGCCCATGTCCTGAATGGTATTGCCTAGGTTTTCTTCTAGGGCTTTTATGGTTTTAGGTCTTATGTTTAAATATTTAATCCATCTCGAGTTAATTTTTGTATAAGGTGTTTCAGTTTTCTGCATATGGCTAGCCAGTTTTCCCGATACCATTTATTAAATAGGGAATCCTTTCCCCATTGCTTGTTTTTGTCAGGTTTGTCAAAGATCAGATGAGTGTAGATGTGTAGTGTTATTTTTGAGGCCTCTGTTCTGTTCCATTGGTCTATATATCCGTTTTGGTACCAGTACCATGCTGTTTTGGTTCCTGTAGCCTTGTAGCATAGTTTGAAGTCAGGTAGCATGATGCCTCCAGCTTTGTTCTTTTTGCTTAGGATTGCCTTGCCTTTATGGGCTCTGTTTGATTCCATATGAAATTTAAAGTAGATTTTTCTAATTCTGTGAAGAAAGTCAATGGCAGCTTGATGGGACTAGCATTGAATCTATAGATTACTTTGGGCAGTATGGCCATTGTCACTATATTGATTCTTCCTATCCATGAGCATGGAATGTTTTCCCATTTGTTTGTGTCCTCTCTTATTTCCTTGAGCAGTGGTTTGTAGTTCTTCTTGAAGAGGTCCTTCACATCCCTTGTAAGTTGTATTCCTAGATATTTTATTCTCTTTGTAGCAATTGTGAATGGGAGTTCACTCATGATTTGGCTCTCTGTTTGTCTGTTATTGGTGTATAGGAATGCTTGTGACTTTTGCACATTGATTTTGTATCCTGAGACTTTGCTGAAGTTGCTTATCAGCTTAAGGAGATTTTGGGCTGAGACGATGGGCTTTTCTAAATATACAATCATGTCATCTGCAAACAGAGATAATTTGACTCCCTCTCTTCCTATTTGAATACAATTTCTTTCTTTCTCTTGCCTGATTGCCCTGGCCAGAACTCCCAGTACTACGTTGAATAGGAGTGATCTTGTCTTGTGCCAGTTTTCAAAAAGAATGCTTCCAGCTTTTGCCCATTCAGTATGATATTGGCTGTGAGTTTGTCTTAAATAGCTCTTATTATTTTGAGATACGTTCCATCAATACCTAGTTTATTGAGTTTTTAGCATGAAGGGGTGTTGAATTTTATCAAAGGTCTTTTCTGCATCTATTGAGATAATCATGTGGTTTTTGTCATTGGTTCTGTTTATGTGATGGATTATATATATTGATTAGTATATGTTGAACCAGGCTTGCATCCCAGGGATGAAGCCGACTTCATTGTGGTGGATAAGCTTTTTAATGTGCTGCTGGATTCAGTTTGGCAGTATTTCATTGAGGATTTTCTAATTGATGTTCATCAGGGATATTGGCCTGAAATTTTCTTTTTTTGTTGTGTCTCTGCCAGGTTTTGATATGAGGAAGATGCTGGCCTCATAAAATGAGTTAGGGAGGAGTCCCTCTTTTTCTACTGTTTGGAATAGTTACAGAAGGAATGGTGCCAGCTCCTCTTTGTACCTCTGGTAGAATTTGGCTGTGAATCTGTCTGGTCCTGGGCTTTTTTTGGTTGGTAGGCTATTAATTACAGCCTCAATTTCAGAACTTGTTATTAGTCTATTCAGGGATTCAACTTCTTCCTGGTTTAGTCTTGGGAGGGTGTATGGGTCTAGGAATTTATCCATTTCTAGATTTTCTAGTTTATTTGCATAGAGGTGTTTATAGTATTCTTTGACGGTAGTTTGTATTTCTGTGGGATCAGTGGTGACATCCCCTTTATCAGTTTTTATTGTGTCTATTTGATTCTTCTCTGTTTTCTTCTTTATTAGTCTGGCTAGCGGTCTATCTATTTTGTTAATCTTTTCAAAAAACCAGTTCCTGGATTCATCGATTTTTTGAAGGGTTTTTTGTGTCTCTATCTCCTTCAGTTCTGCTCTGATCTGAGTTATTTCTCATCTTCTGCTAGCTTTTGAATTTGTTTTCTCTTGCTTCTCTAGTTCTTTTCATTGTGATGTTAGGGTGTCCATTTTAGATCCTTCCTACTTTCTCCTGTGGGCATTTAGTGCTATAAATTTTCCTCTAAACACTGTTTTAGCTGTGTCCCAGAGATTCTGGTACATTGTGTCTTTTTTCTCATTAGTTTCAAAGAACTTATTTATTTCTGCCTTAATTTCATTATATACCCAGTAGTCATTCAGGAGCAGCTTGTTCAGTTTCCATGTATTTGTGCAGTTTTGAGTTAGTTTCTTAATCCTGAGTTCTAATTTGATTGCACTGTGGTCTGAGAGATTGTTTGTTATGATTTCTGTACTTTTGCATTTGCTGAAGAGTACTTCACTTCAAATTATGTGGTGAATTTTAGAATAAGTGCTATGTGGTGCTGAGAAGAATGTATAGTCTGTTGATTTGGGGTGGAGAGTTCTGTAGATGTCTATTAGGTCTGCTTGGTCCAGAGCTGAGTTCAAGTCCTGAATATCCTTGTTAATTTTCTGTCTCATTGATCTGTCTAATATTGACGGTGGAGTGTTAGAGTCTCCCACTATTATTGTGTGGGAGTCTAAGTCTCTTTGCAGGTCTCTAAGAACTTGCTTTATGAATCTGGGTGCTCCTGTATTGGGTGCATACATATTTAGGATAGTTAGCTCTTCTTGTTGCATTGATCCCTTTACCGTTATGTAATGCCCTTCTTTGTCTTTTTTGATCTTTGTTGGTTTAAAGTCTGTTTTATCAGAGACTAGGATTGCAATCCTGCTTTTTTTTTTTTTTTTTTTTTGCTTTCTATTTGCTCGGTAAATCTTCCTCCATCCCTTTATTTTGAGCCTATGTGTGTCTTTGCACATGAGATGGGTCTCCTGAATACAGCACATTGATAGGTCTTGACTCTTTATCCAATTTGTCAGTCTGTGTCTTTTAATTGGGGCATTTAGCCAGTTTACATTTAAGGTTAATATTGTTTTGTGTGAATTTGATCCTGTCATTATGTTGCCAGCTTGTTATTTTGCCCATTAGTTGATGCAGTTTCTTCACAGTGTTGATGGCCTTTACATTTTGGTATGTTTTTGGAGTGGCTGGTACTGGTTTTTCCTTTCCATATTTCGTGCTTCCTTCAGGAGCTCTTGTGAGGCAGGCCTGGTGGTGATAAAATCCCTCAGCATTTGCTTCTCTGTAAAGGATTTTATTTCTCCTTCACTTATGAAGCTTAGTTTGGCTGGATATGAAATTCTGGGTTGAAAATTCTTTTCTTTAAAAATGTTCAGTGTTGGCCCTCACTCTCTTCTCACTTCTAGGGTTTCTGCAGAGAGATCCACTATTAGTCTGATGGGCTTCCCTTTGTGTGTAACCCAACCTTTCTCTCTGGCTGCCCTTAACATTTTTTCCTTCATTTCAACCTTGGTGAATCTGACAATTATGTGTCTTGGGGTTGCTCTTCTCAAGGAGTATCTTTGTGGTGTTCTCTGTATTTCCTCAATTTGAACATTGGCCTGTCTTGCTAGGTTGGGGAATTTCTCCTGGATAATATCCTGAAGTGTGTTTTCCAACTTGGTTCCATTCTCCCCATCACTTTCAGTACACCAATCAAACATAGGTTTGGTCTTTTCATATAGCCCCATATTTCTTGGAGACTTTGTTCATTCTTTTTCATTCTTTTTTCTCTAATCTTGTCTTCATGCTTTATTTCATTAAGTTGATCTTCAATCTCTGATATCCTTTCTTCTGCTTGATCGATTTGGCTATTGATACTTGTGTATGCTTCACGAAGTTCTCATGCTGTGTTTTTCAGCTCCATCAGGTCATTTATGTTCTTCTCTAAACTGGTTATTCTATTTTTATTTATTTATTTTTTTGAGATGGAGTCTTGCTCTGTCACACAGGCTGGAGTGCAGTGGCAAGATCTTGGTTCACTGCAACCTCCGCCTCCTGGGTTCAAGCAATTCTCCTGCCTCAGCCTCCTGAGTAGGTGGGACTACAGGCACGTGCCACCACACCCAGCTAATTTTTGTATTTTTAGTAGGGACAGGGTTTCATCGTGTTGGTTAGGCTGATCTCGAACTCCTGACCTCATGATCCACCCACCTCAGCCTCCCTAAGTGCTAGAATTACAGGCGTGAGCCACTGTGCCTAGCCCATAAATTGATTATTCTAGTTAGTAGTTCCTGTAACCTTTTATCAAGGTTCTTAGCTTCCTAGCAAGGTTCTTAGCATTGGGTTAGAACATGCTCCTTTAGCTCAGAGGAGTTTGTTATTACCCACCTTCTGAAGCCTACTTCTGTCACTTCCTCAGACTCATTCTCCATCCACTTTTGTTCCCTTGCTGGTGAGAAGTTGTGATCCTTTGAAGGAGAAGAGACATTCTGGTTTTTGGAATTTTCAGTCTTTTTGCACTGGTTTTTCCTTATCTTCACGGATTTATCTACCTTTCGTCTTTGATGTTGGTGACCTTTGGATGGGGTTTTTGTGTGGTCATCCTTTTTGTTGATGTTGATGCTATTGCTTTCTCTTTATTAGTTTTCCTTCTAACAGTCAGGCCCCTCTTCTGCAGGTTTTTTGGAGTTTGCCGGAGGTCCACTCCAGACCCTGTTTGCCTGGGTATCACCAGCGGAGGCTGCAAAACAGCAAAGATTGCTGCCTGCTTCTGCCTCTGGAAGCTTTGTCCCAGAGGGGCACCTGCCAGATGGCAGCCAGAGCTCTCCTGTATGAGGTGTCTCTCAACCCCTGCTGGGAGGTGTCCCCCCATCAAGAAGCACGGGGGTCAGGGACTCACTTGAGGAGGCAGTCTGTCCCTCAGCAGGAGCTTGAGCACTGTGTCAAGTGATCTGCTGCTTTTTTCAGAGCTGGCAGGCAGGAACATTTAAGTCTGCTGAAGCTGCACGCACAGCTGCCCCTTCCCCCAGGTGCTCTGTCCCAGGGAGATGGGGATTTTATCTATAAGCCCCTGACTAAGGCTGCGGCATTTCTTTCAGAGATGCCCTGCCCAGAGATGAGGAATCTATAGAGGCAGTCTGGCTACAGTGACTTTGTGGCATTGTGGTGGGCTCTGCCCAGTCCAAACTTCCTGGAGGCTTTGTTTACACTGTGAGGGGAAAACCACCTACTCGAGCTTCAATAATGGTGGACATCCCTACCCCCACCAAGCTCGAGCATCCCAGGTCGACTTCAGACTGCTGTGCTGGCAGCAAGAATTTCAAGCCAGTGGATCTTAGCTTGTTGGGCTCTGTGAGGGTGAGATCCGCTGAGCAAGACCACTCAGCTTCCTGGCTTCAGCCCCCTCTTCAGGGGAGTGAACAGTTCTGTCTCACTGGCATTCCACACACCATTGGGATACGAAACAAAACTCCTGCAGCTAGCTCAGTGTCTGCCCAAATGGCCACCCAGTTTTGTGCTTGAAACCCAGGGCCCTGGTGGTGTAGGTACCCAAGGGAATCTCCTGGTCTGTGAGTTGTGAAGAGAGTGGGAAAAGCATAGTATCTGGGCCAAGTAACACCATCCCTCACTCACAGCTTCCCTTGGCTATGGGAGGGAGTTCCCCAACCCCTTGCACTTTCTGGGTGAGGAAATACCTCACCCTGATTCTGCTTGCCCTCCATGCGCTGCTCCCACGTTCTAACCAGTCCCAGTGAGATGAGCTGAGTACCTCAGTTGGAAATGCAGGAATCACCCACCTTCCATGTTGGTCTCGTTGGGAACTGCAGACCAGAGCTGTTCCTATTCGCCCATCTTGCCTGGGAATCGATTTTCTGTCTCTTTACAGAGTTCACAGACTCACAATTGGAAGCACACATGCTTAGAGTGTTGTCTCCAAAACAGCAGCATCAACATCACCCATGGCTGGAGACAGGTGGGAGGGGTGCTGCAGGGGCTTAGGCTCCCTAGGGATGGGCAGAGATGGTGGCTCAAGTTTGGAGGTCTGGTGGGCACATGTTCAGGCCAGGCTCCTGCGGGCCGCGCTGTGCTGTGCTGGACTGGCCTCAAATTTTAAATGGCTAGTATCCTCTATCAATTTTTGGAGGCTTGACAAAGGTAGCTTAGGATAAACAGGGCAAATGGTGAATTGCTGGAAATGCATAGGAAACAAAATGATTGTTCATAGAACCAAATAAAAGCCTTCCACTAGAATTTTAAAAAGTCAATCATTTTATATATATGTATGTATAAGTAAAACCCAAAAGCAAACAAACAGCAAATAAAAATTAGAAGCAAAAGAAATAAACAGGAAACCAACCCAAAATTTTTCTTATACTCAGTTTACCTTGGAGGCTACAGTGTTACTCAGAGCCAAAAAAAAAAAAAAAAAAAAAAATCGCATGACGAATATTTTCTTCCTGATATGCAATTTAATGTCTTTAAGGCCACCAATACTACCATACATTTTGTGCAATTAGGAAATTCACTTTAGGTCAGGTGCAGTGGCTGACGCCTGTAATCCCAGCACTTTGGGAGGCCCAGGCAGGCATTTGAGACCAGCCTAGCCAACATGGTAAAACCCCATCTCTACTGAAAATACAAAAATTAGCCAGGCATGGTGGTGTGCTCCTATAATCCCAGCTACTTGGGATGCTGAGGCAGGAGAATCACATGAATCACAGAGGCAGAGGTTGCAGTGATCTGAGATCTTGCCACTGCACTCCAGCCTAGGTGACAGAGTGAGACTCCGTCTCACAGAAAAAAAAAATAACAAAGAACAGAAATTCATTCTCAGTACATGACCAGTATTATACTTTAGTGCTAGCCCTATCTGCAGAACAGCAAATGTAGTGTGAATCAATGCAAGCATGTATGTGAGATGTGGTTCTACGCTAAATCTGGCTTCATGCTTAACTATATTTTTTAAAATTGCCAAACTACCAATGTATTTCTTTACAATATTTCCTATATTTCTTATTTTACCTTCATCAAGACTACAAGATTTAACTATAAGCAATGTTAATTAGCCAAATTTCTCCAATTTTCTATCAGGTTTTAAAGAATATTTGCATGAAGAGAGACACACAGACAACGTATGACTTACACAGACCATCTGTGACATGCTTGGACTTTCTGTTTTGTTCTACATTTTCCCTTTTTCTTTCTGTTTTGTTTTTTTGTTTTTTTTTTTAAATAACCAGTCATTTTACTTTAGGACAAAAATTTGCCATACAAGATCCTTTTTCATACATAATTATTCTATTTTCTTTGGAATCTTTTCTTTAGAACCTATACCAAAAATACATCTTCATATCCATAACTTTGTTCACATCTCTCTCCTGTACTTACTGGTTACTTTCTACCTTGTTTCATAAATAACATTTTCAAACCCATAATTTGAATTAACCTTTAGATAACTTCTGAACCAGACAAAATGATTCTTTTTCTCAATAAAAACACATCTTTTTTGGCACACTTTATATACAGAATTATATATTAACTAGAATTCTTATTCTTAGTAACCTTAAATTTTAGTGAAAAAACCTAGGAAGTAGGAAATCCTGAGCTGCTTATCAGATATCAGCATTTGATAGATGAGAACTAATCCACAATTTGTAAAATTATTTTTTCCCATATCATAACCATTTATTAATTGGAAATGAATCAGATATCCAATAAGCATCAAAAATAATTTTAAGATTTTAAATTATACAAAATGTTTACCTATAACATGTATCCCATTTACATGTACTCAATCATTTCATTTTTTAAGTTCATCTAGATTACTTCTGAAAACTGAGATATAAGACACAACTAGTCATCAATCAAAGTAATTTCCATTTTTTATTTTTTATTTTTATTTTTTTGAGATAGAGTCTAGCTCTGTCACCCAGGCTGAAGTGCAACCTCCACCTCCTGGGTTTAAGTGATTCTCCTGCCTCAGCCTCCCAAGTATCTGGGATTACAGGCCACTGCCACCATGCCCAGCTAATTTTTGTATTTTTTTTTAAAGATGGGGCTTCACTGTGTTGGCCAGGCTGGTCTCGAACTCCTGACCTCGTGATCTGCCCACCTCAGCCTCCCAAAGTGCTAGGATTACAAGTGTAAGCCACCGCATCCAGCTAACCATTTTTTTAAATAGCCAGGATCTAAGTAAGAAACTTAAAGTTAAATACATAAGTATTTTTTGCCAATAACTCAGAAGATTCAGCTAACAACATTAAATTGATCTCTTTTGTCAAAGAAGGCACACAAACGAAGATTATTTTGTTTATTCCAGCTGGGTTCAGTTTTATAACCTTCTGTGCCAAACCCTGACACCTCAAAACATCTAGCAGAGACAAATATAAAACCTAGACAAAAATGTATGCTGACAATTCTGAAGACCCTTCTACTTTTATTTTATCAGTAATTTTAAAGCCAGCTTCTTTATTAAAGGTTTATGTAAGTCTTGTGAACTTGAAAAAGACTTTGGACTTAATATATGAGTTTTTTGTATTTATAAGCCAATTTGGTAGACACAACATATAACGTACATACATAAACATATATAGACATGTATACACACATATATAAACAAAGATACAATAGCCTTTGCCTTTGAACTGTAGCCATAAGATAGCAATACAAATCACCAGTTTATGTGGCTACACTTTGTTTGACTGGATAGGCAATCCAGTGAAGGCTGTGAACCAAAATTGTGGGTAAAGCAGTTTCCATGGCAATTTGTTTTTTAAAGGCCAAACCTCTCCAGACTCCAAAGAACACTGAAGCCAAACAGCACCATGGGAGAACATCGCATGATAACCAGGCCCAAGGCTGGGCGTGGTGGCTCACACCTGTATTCCCAGCACTGTGGGAGGCTGAGATGAGTGGATCACGAGGTCAGGAGTTTGAGACTAGCCTGACCAACATGGTGAAACCCCATCTCTACTAAAAATACAAAAATAAGCCAGGTGTAGGCCGGGCACAGTGGCTCACGCCTGTAATCCCAGCACTTTGGGAGGCCGAGGCGGGTGGATCACTTGAGGTCAGGAGTTCGAGACCATCCTGGCTAACACAGTGAAACCCCGTCTCTACTGAAAATACAAAAAATTAGCCAGGCATGGTGGCAGGCGCCTGTAGTCCCAGCTACTCGGGAGGCTGAGGCAGAAGAATGGTGTGAACCCAGGAGGCGGAGCTTGCAGTGAGCTGAGATTGCGCCACTGCACTCCAGCCTGGGCGACAGAGCGAGACTCCGTCTCAAAAAAAAAAAAAATAAGCCAGGTGTGGTGGAGCGCAACTGTAATCCCAGCTACTCAGGAGGCTGAGGCAGGAGAATCACTTGAACTCATGAAGTGGAGGTTGCAGTGAGCTGAGATCACACTACTGCACTCCAGCCTGGGTAACACAGCGAGACTCCATCTCAAAAATAAATAAATAAATAACCAGGCCCAACTCTGCTTAGAACAGCAGCACAAAAGCCTGGATACACAGAACTCCATCCCACTTTCCCATTCAACAGCAAACTCCAGATTCCAAACAATATTGGGGTCAAACAGTATTACAAAAGAATTTCAGTTTATTGAATTCTGATTTCCCATGGCACACACACAATCACCAAAACACAATTCAAATGCTACAGCAATAAACAAGCCCCAAGAGTGTCCAAGCTGAAACATTTGGGGTGCTTCCTCTCTCTATTGGTTGGGCTTGATCAACCTGCAAATAAAATTCCTTTGAAATTTTTCAAATTGAGAGGATCCAATCCTGCTGTGTGGTACCTGCAAGACACTCACTTGCCTGGACACACACACATACACACACACACACACACACACACACACACAAAACACACAATTACAAACAAGCCCCCAAGAATGTCTACACTGAAACAGTCAGGGTGCTTCTCTCAAGTCAGTTGGGCTTGTTCAACCTGCAAATGGAAATTTCTATAAATATTTCCCAAATTGAGAGGAGCAGATCCTGCTATCAGGACCCACAAAGGACACTATCCCATGTGGATGCAGATGTCAAATTTCAAAGGATGCTCTTTCTAGGCAATCAGGAACACAGTTGGGGTCAGCAGCAGGGCCAGAGGGAGACCAAAACTCACCTCCAGACAAAATTGGGTGGGCAGCTGCTTAGGATGGCTTCTGAGATTCCTGGCCTGCAGCAGCCAAACCATGAGCAATGTGTTCCTGGTCAGGGAACCAAAATCTGTTACCGAAACAGCAGGGTTTAGTTTAGGTCCTGCTGCTCCCCCTACAGAAAGCCAATGACTGAGATGATGAGTATTGCCAAGGAAGAAGGCTTTAATCGGGTGCTACAGCCAAGGAGATGGGAGGTCAGTCTCAAATCCATTTCCCTGACCAATTAAAATTAGAGGTTTATATGGCAGGGAAGAAATTTAGCAATGTGTGGGAAAACAGGAACTAGGGAGGAGTAAGAAAGCAATCATGATTAATGACGCATGAGATCATCTCACTTTCTGGATGTGGGGATCATCTGGTGAGTTTCAGTTCTTTGAAACTTTTTTTTTTTTTTTTTGAGATGGAGTCTCACTCTGTCACCCAGGCTGGAGTGCAGTGGCGTGATCTCGGCTCACTGCAAGCTCTGCCTCCCGGGTTCATGACATTCTCCTGCCTCAGCCTCCTGAGTAGCTGGGACTACAGGTGTCTGCCACCAAGCCCAGATAATTCTTTGTATTTTTAGTAGAGATGGGGTTTCACTGTGTTGGCGAGGATGGTCTCGATCTCCTGACCTCGTGATTCGCCCGCCTTGGCCTCCCAAAGTGCTGGGATTACAGGCATGAGCCACCGCAGACAGCCAGTTCTTTGATAGTTTTTGAGAGTCCTGGGTGTCCTTTCCTGAAGAAGGAACTCAGATAAAACAAATATAAGTTTAAGACCAGAGGGGTAAATTTCTATGTTTATCCAAAAGGACTGTCTGTGAGACTACTGGGTCACAGATTGTCAGAGAAAACTGGAACACAGACAATGTCTTACCTAAAGAAGAATTGCTGTCGTTGCTATTTTTTAGAATAGAACTTATTTTATTCTGATTATAAAATGTTATAGAATTAGCCATCAGAGAAACACAAATCAAAACCACAATGAAATACCACTTCACACTCACTACGTTGGTTATAATCAAAAAGGCAGATAATAACAATTGTTGGTGAGGATATGGAAAAAGTAGAACCCTCATACACTAATGGTAGGAATACAAAATGGTGCACTGTTTTGAAAACACAGTCTGACAGTTTCTGTATGTTAACAAAGAGTTAACATATGAGCCAGCAATTCTACTCCTAAGTATGCACCCAAGAGAAATAAAAACATATGTCCACACAGAAACTTGTATATGAAATGTACATGACAACATTATTCATGATAGTCAAAACTTTGAAACAATTCAAAGGTGAATGGATAAATAAAGTGTGGTGTATACAAGTCAATTTAATATTTTTTGGCAGTAAAAAGAAATGAAGCACTGATACCTGCTACCACATGGATGGACCTTGAAAACATCATGCTGCCTGAAAGAAGCCAATCGCAAAGAACCACATTCTGTATGATTCTAGTTACATGAAATGTCCCAAACAGACAAATCTATAGAAACAAATAATAGATTAGTTGTTTCTGGCCGGGTGCAGTGTCTCCCACCTGTAATCCCGGCACTTTGAGGGGCCAAGGCAGGTGGATCACTTGAGGTCAGGAGTTTGAGACCAGCCTGGCCAACATGGTGAAACCCCATCTCTACTAAAAATACAAACAAATTAGCCTGGTGTGGTGGTGCATGCCTGTAATCCCAGCTACTAGGGAGGCTGAGACAGCAGAATCACTGGAGCCCAGGAGATGGAGGTTTCAGTGAGCCAAGATGGTGCCACTGCACTCCAGCCTGGGCGACAGAGTGAGACTCCATCTCAAAAAAAAAAAAAAAAAAAAAAAATTAGTGGTTTCCCAGGGCTAGGGAGATTGGAAATGAGAGGTGATTGGAAATGGGTATGGATTTCTTTCTGCTGTGATGCAAATATTCTAAAATTGTGGTGATGGTTGCACAACTCTGTGAATATATTAATACTAAAAACCATGGAATTGTGCTCTTTTTTCTTTTTCTTTTTCTTTTTTTTTTTTTTTTTTGAGACAGGGTCTCACTCTGTTGCCTAGGCTAAAGTGCAATGGTATGATTACACCTTACCATAGCCTCGACCTTCTGGGTTTAAGTGATCCTGCCACCTCAGCCTCTCAAGTAGCTGGGACTACATGTGCACACCACCACCATATTTGGCTAATTTTTATATTTTTTGTAGAGACAGTTTTGCCATGCTGCCCAGGCTGGTCTGGAGCTCCTCGGCTCAAGCGATCCGCCCACCTCTGCTTCCAAAGTGCTGGGATTACAGGCGTGAGCCACCACACCTGGCCAAATTGTAGTCGTTAAGCAAGTAAAATATATGGTATGTAAATTAGATATCAATAAAGCTGTTGCCAAAAACAGCTGTATATTAATTGTGGAAAGAGAGAGAAAATTACATAAAACCAGTATGGCCTTCTTTGTCAATCTGCAATATGTAACAGTCCATCTCTTATTTCTCCAGGTGGTCACTCCACTCCCTTTGAGACCATGCTTCCCACCAAAAAAGCCCTGGGCTTGCACATACAGAAGGGAGCCCTCCTTCCATCACCAGAGCTCCAAGCCACCACCCTTCCCTGCTTCTGCTCCTGAGGCTGGAACCACAGTGTTACATAATGCTGGCCATGGAGATGCAGAGCTGCCCTTGAGGAGGTCACAGTTTAGAGAAACCATTCACATGTCCTTCCACAAAGGACTGCATCATACGAAAGGAAAATTGATACTATAATGTTATTATGCATAATTTGATCCCTTGAAATCATGTCTATATTTATGTATGTTTATGAAGCCATAACATATTCCAGAAGAATGCAAATACTATATGTATTAGTCTTGAAGGGAATGGTGTAACAAATTGAGTGGCTCAAACAACAGAAATTTATTGTCACATTCCCAGAGCTAGACGTACGAAATCAAGGTGTCGACAGGCCCTTCCTGAGGGCTGTGAGAGAAGGGTCTGGTCCAGGCCTCTCTCCCTGATGGTGTAGATGATTTGTCCCTGTCTTTACATTGTCTCCCCTGGACACATGTCTGTCTGTCTCTGTATCAAATTTCACCTTTTTATAAGGACACTTTTCACATTGGATTATGGCTTACCCTAAGGACCTCATTTAACTTGATCATCTACAAAGCCCCTATCTCCAAATGAGGTCACATTTTAAGGAATTGGGGGTTAGGACTCCAACATATCTTTGTGGGAGACTCAAAAGTCAACCCATAACGCTATTCAAGAAAATAATAACACAGGCCAGGCGTAGTGGCTTTCGCCTGTAATCTCATCACTTTGGGAGGCCAAGGTGGGTGCATCACTTGAGGTCAGAAGTTCGAGACCAGCCTGGCCAACATGGCGAAACCCCGTGTCTACTAAAAATACAAAAATCAGCCAGGCGTGATGGCACATGCCTGTAATCCCAGCTACTCAGGAGGCTGAGGTAGGAGAAACGCTTGAACCCAGGAGGTGGAAGTTGCAGTGAGCCAAGATTGCACCACTGTACTCCAGCCTGGGCAACAGAGCAAGATTCCATCTCAAAAAAAAAAAAAAAGAAAGAAAGAAAATTATAAAACAACATTTTTTTCATGGAACCAAAAGAATAGTTTGAGGTGTGTGAGAAAAAGGGATAAGGCAAGAATATGCTAACTTTTCAGACGGCTTTGATTAACACTGAAGGTATGGTTCTTAACCCTGGCTGCCTATAATAGCCCAAAGCCAAGGCCAAATTCTGGACTAGTTAAATTTGAACCCCTGAGGGGACCGGGGGTGGATTCCATGGATCAATGTTTTTTCTTTATAATAAACTTTAAAATTTTATCAGCACCATGCTTTAACCGATTAAGCTAAACAGCCGCTGAGAAAACTTTTAAATTTTAGAATAGCTTTAGATATATAGAGAAATTGCAAAGATGGTACAGAGAGTTTCCCATATACTCCACACCCATTTCCCCCAATTATTAACATCTCACATTAGCATCGCAAATTTGTCACAATTAATCAATGTTGAGACATTACTATTAACTAAAGTCCATACTTTATTCAGACTACTTTAGTTTTTTCCTAACATTCTTTTTCTGTTCCAAGGTCCCATCCAAGAACCCACATGACATTTAGCCATCATGTCTCCTTAGGCCCTTCTTGGCTGTGACAGTTTCTTAGGCTTTTCTTGTTTTTGATGGTCTTGAAATTTTTGAGGAGTATTGGTCGAATATTTTGTAGAATATCCCTCGGTTGGGATCTGTCTGATGTCTCATGATTAGACAGGGCCATGGGCTTTTGGGAGGAAGAGCACAGAGGTAAAGTGCCATTGTCATCACATCATGTCAAGAGTACATACAATCAACATGATTCACCACTACTGATGCTGACTTGAACACCTGGCTAAGATGTCTCCATTGGAAAGTTACTTTTCTCCCCTTTCCATACTGTAATCTTTGGAAGAGAGTCACTGTTTGCTACTCACACTTTAGTTATAGGGAGTTGTGCTCTAGCTCCTTGAGGGTGGAGTATCTACATACATTATTTGGAATTCTTGTGCACATTATTAGGAATTCTCCCACCACAAATTAAATAATTAATTAATTTAATTGTATATTTATGTTAGTATGAACTCATTGATATTTATTTATATGTTGGGTCCAATACTATTTTATTAATTTTGTTGCTTAACTCGTCCCAGCTTTGGCTATCAGTTTCAATCCTTTATAAAGCTAGGTGATTCCAATGTTCAATCAACGCTGAGAACCACTGCTTTAAGTAAAACGTTGTTTATGATTATGCCACCATGAAGGTCCTGATTTCTCTCAAATTAGGACAAATGCTAACTGCAAGTAAAAAAAAAAATCACCCATGTGGCTGCAGATACTAATCTACACCCACAATGGACAGTTGATTGCGGGTTCCTCCCATTCTCCTCCATTTCTAGCATAGACTTCAGGAATACACAAAATAATAATACTTGTTTCTTGATTGGGACAAATTTTAAATAAGAGCCTGTAGACTTTTCAGGTTGAGTGTTCTTGAATCAACAAGCTGAGAGCAGCTTGGTTGCTCAGAAAAAGTTAAAACGGTGAGCCTCTGGTGCCCCCAGTGGCTAGAAGCCCAGATGTGTGTCTGCAGGAACAGGGTGGTCATCTGGGATGCCGTTTTTTCCAGCTTGGGAAAGCAATCTTGGCCTCAGTAGTTTCACTGCCAGGGAAAGCCTCAATACTGACTTCAAGTAGGCCAGGACTTGATAGGGTTTCTCCAAGGATTCTTGAACCATCTCTGCATGCAGAAGTAATGACTCTGGAAGTGACTGCTTCGTTATTCTGAGGTAATTACTTCCCCAAGCCGCAGCCCAGCCAAAGGGATAGCTCATTTCTAGCCCTACAATTATTCAGGTTTGCGATGGAGACAGCCAGTCATTTCAATCTTCCAGTAACATCTAACAGCAATGGCTGCCGTATGGGTCAGGATGATTGGTTAAGGAGAACAAATGAAGGAAAGGGAATATTCTTAGACCAGCCCTGGCATAATTTTCGTGGAACAGTGGATCTCAAAGTGTGTCCCTGGACCAGCAGCATCAGCATCACCTGATAACTTGTTAGAAGTGCCAATTATCAGGCCAGGTGTGGTGGCTCACACCTGTAATCCCAGCTACCTGGGAGGCTGAGGTGGGAGGATCAATAAAACCTGGGAGTTCAAGGTTGCAGTGAGCCATGATTGCACTACTGTACTCAGCCTGGGCAACAGAGGGAGACCCTGCCTCAAAAAAAAAAAAAAAGAAAAAAGAAAAGAAAAAAAGAAATGTCAGTTATTAGGCCCTGAACCAGAGCTACTCAACCAGAAACTGTATTGGTGGTGGGGTTGGGAGGTGGCAGCATCCTATGTCTTAACAAGCCCACCAGGTCATTCTGAAGCCCATTCAGGTTTGAGAACCAGTGCCTTAGAATATAAATCCAAGCAATGTTTGCAGTTCAAGTTTCCATCTTTTTCTAGTGATTTCATGATGAATAAAATAATGACTCAACCAAGCTCAGTGTCTCAAGAGCTCCCAAATCCTCCTGGAACAGAGCAGGAACCATGCTGTGTTCCCAGAGCCTAGCCAAGTGCTTGGTACATGGCAGGTGCTCAATATATGTTGGGTCCAAGAAGTAAGAAATAATCAACTGGTGATCAAGTCAACATCACCCAGTTTTTTTTGTTTTTTTGTTTTGTTTTTTTTTTTGTAGAGACAATGTCTTGCTATGTCTTCCTGTTATTATTATGTCTCACTACTATCACTCCAGTCACTCTAGATTGCAACTCAATGTCCCATCTCCACTGGCTGACAAGGGCTTTCCATGGAGGCCACCAAGGTCCCTTCCCTGGGTTTCTTTCCCTTAATTGCAGGATAGATTGTGTTGGTGCAGGGGAGGATGAAAGTGAAGGAACTAATGAACTATTCCCTGTGGCCTCTACCCTTGCTAATGACAGAGTAGTCGACAGAAGCGCTCTTGTCACAGGCTTAGTTCTTGCACAGAGTGTCTCAAACTCAAAGACCCATGAGGGCAGGGAGACACGATAAACAATGAGGCAGAGGGCACGCGCATTGGCTTAGTCCTGTGAGTTGGGGGAAGTGGGGAGGGTGGGAGGCCACCAGGTCAGACACTGCCCGGACCCCAACCCAACCCTCAAGTGCAGGTGTGCGGGACAGCCAGTGCTGAGCTGAGCTGAGCTGAGCACGTCCCTCTTCACTTCCCCAGTATCCTGTACAATTTCCATGTGTGTCCGGAGGGAAGCACGTGGCCCTTGCCCCCACCTCAAGGGCAACTACCTCTCATTCACAGGTTCAAGAATGTGGGCTCAGAGTTTCCATATGATTTTCCAAAAGAAGCCAGCTCCTGCTTGCTCACTCTCTCTCTCTCTCCCTGTAAAATATGCTGGTTTCAAAGTATTGGCTCCTACGTATAAAACTATTCAAGGCCAAACAAAAGGTATCGGCCAACGGCCAGGTTGCAGCATCTGTTGGAAAAAATGGAATTTTTTTTTCTACTTCATACCCATTAGGAAGGCTATTATCAAAAAGTTGGAAAATAACAAGGAATGGCCAGGACTCCGAGAAGCTGGAATCCCTGTGTGTTGTTGTGGGAGTGTAGTATAGCCACTTTGGAAACAGTTTGGCAGTTCCATAAAAGAGTTAAAAATAGAATTACCGGCCAGGTGTGGTGGCTCATGCCTGTAATCCCAACACTTTGGGATGCTGAGGCAGGCAGATCATCTGAGGTTGGGAGTTCGAGACCAGCCTGGCCAACATGGAGAAACCCCGTCTCTACTAAAAATACAAAAAGTGGCTGGGCGTGGTGGTGCACTCCTGAAATCCCAGCTACTTGGAAGGCTGAGGTAGGAGAATTGTGTGAACCTGGGAGGCAGAGGTTGCAGTGAGCCAAGATCATGCCACTGCACTCCAGCTTGAGCAACAGAGCAAAACTCCATCTCAAAAAAATAAATAGAATTACTATATAACCCAGCAATTTCACTAAGTATATACCCCCAAAGAATTGAAAGCAGGGGCTTAAAGGGATATTTGTACACCCATGTTCATAGTAGCATTATTCACAATACTCAAAAGGTGGAAGCAACCTTAATGTCCATCAACTGATGAATGAATAAACAAAGTGTGGTGTCTACATACAAGGAATTTTATTCAGCCTGAAAAAGGAAGGAAACTCTAATTCACACAACAACCTGGATGAACCTTGAAGACATACGCTAAGTGAAATAAACCAGACTCAAAAGAACACATATTGTATGATTCCATTTATATGAGGTGCCTAGGGTAGTGAAATTCATAAAGACAAAAGTAGAATAGAGGTTGCCAGGGGCTGGGAGGAGGGACAATGGGAAGTTAGTGTCTAATGGCTTTGAAGTTTCAGTTTGGGAAGATGAAACAGTTCTGGAAATAGGTAGTTGTGATGATTGGACAACATCGTGAATGTATTAATGCCACTGCATTATACACTTAAAATGGTTGAAATGATATTTTACCACATATAAAATGGTAAGTTTTATGTTATGTATATTTTGCCAGAAATATTTTTCTAAAATTAGCTAACATTTATTGACTGTCTATACGTGCCAGAGACTATTCTGAATGCTTTCTGTTCTCACCACAAGCCTCTGACGTAGTTACTACTATCATCCCAATTGTGTGTATGTGTGGAGGTGTGTGTGTGTGTGTGAGAGAGAGAGAGAGAGAGAGAGAGAGAGAGAGGGTCTCAATCTGTCACCTGGGCCGAAGTGCAGCGGCCCTATTACAGCTCACTGCAGCATTGAACTTCTGGGCTCAAGCAATCCTCCCACCTCCAGAGTAGCTGGGACTATAAATGTGTGCCACCACACCTGGCTAATTTTTTAAACTTTTTGTTGAGATGGGGTCTTGCTTTGATACCTAGGCTGGTCTTGAACTCCTAGCCTCAAGCAATCCTTCTGCCTCAGCCCCCCAAGTGTTGGGATCACAGGTATGAGCCACCATGCCTGGCAAAATAATTTTAGAGACAGAGTCTCACTCTGTTATCCAGGCTGGAGTGAAGTGGCACAGTCATAGCCCATGGCAGCCTTAAACTCCTGGCCTCAAGTAATCCTGCTGCTTCTGCCTCCCAAAGCCCCAGGTTTACAGGCTTGAGTCACCATGCCGGACCTTTGATAAGTTCTGACATATGTATAAATCATGAAACCATCACCACACTCAAGACAAAACATACCCATCTCACCCCAAAAACTTTCCTCCTGCCCCTTGGTAACCCCCGTCTCTGCCTCTTTCTATCCCACCTCCTTTGTCTCTTCGTCACTACAGATTAAATCTAATCTTCTAGAATTTTATATAAATAAAATCATACTGTATATACTTCTTTTTAATGGAGGGGATCTGGCTGTTTTCACTCTACATAACTATTTTGAGATTCACCCATGTTGTGGTATGTATCAACCATTCATTCCTTTTCACTGCTGAGTAGTATTTCATTGCATGGATGTATCGCAATTTGTTTATTCACCTGTTAATGGATATTTGGGCTATTCCCAGTTTAGTTATGTTACAAATAAAGCTGCTATGAACATTGGCACACAAGTCTTTGTGTGGACGTATGTTTTCATTTCTCAGGATAAATACTAGGAGTGGAAGGGCTGGATCATGCAGTAGGTGTACATTTAGCTCTTACCAAACTGCCAAACTGTTTTCCAACATTTAACCATTTAATATTTACACCAGAAGTGTATGAGAGTCCCAGTTCTTCCATGTCCCTGCCATAGCTAATCATGGTCAGTCTTTTTAATTTTCACAGTTTCTGTGTGTGGTTTCAGTTTGCATTTTCCCAATGACTGATGACGTTGAGATTTTTTCATGTACTTGTTTGCCATTTGTGTATCTTCTTTGGTGGAGTGTTTGTTCAAATTTTTTCCCCATTATTAGGTTGTTGTTCTCTTACTGTTGAGTTTTGAGTGTTCTTTATGTAGTCTGAATTCAAGTGTTTTATCACATATATGCTTTACAAAGTACTTTTCAATGTCAAAAAAATCTTAAGGACCATGATAATAATTGTGATCTCACTATCTTTGTAGTTGAGAAAATTTATTTTATTTTATTTTATTTTTGATACAGAGTCTCGCTCTGTCACCCAGGCTGGAGTGCAGTGGTGCTACCTCAGCTCACTGCAAGCTCCGCCTCCTAGGCTCACGCCATTCTCCTGCCTCAGCCTCCCAAGTAGCTGGGACTACAGGCACTCACCACCACACCCAGCTAATTTTTTGTATTTTTAGTAGAGACAGGGTTTCACTGTGTTAGCCAGGATGCTCTCGATCTCCTGACCTCGTGATCCACCCACCTTGGCCTCCCAAAGTGCTGGGATTATAGGTGTGAGCCACCGCTCCTGGCCAAAGAAAATCAATTTTTAAAAGGTCTTCAGTGATTTAATAATCTTTCTAAATTAATCTCTAATATATCCACCACAGCAGCATGTATCTCCCTCTTAAGGTGTCTCAGTCCATTTTTGTGCTGCTATAACAACATGTGAGACTGGGTCATTTACAATAAACAGGAACTTATTAGCTCACAGTTCTGGAGGCTGAGAAGTCCAGTGTCAAAGTGCTGGCATCTGGTGAGGGCCTTCTTGTTGCATCATCACATGACAAAAGGCAGAAGGGCAAGAGAGGACAAAAGAGGGTCAAACTCTCCCTTTTATAACAACATCAATCCACTCATGAAGATGGAGCCTTCATAGTCTTATCACTTCTTAAAAGTTCTACCTCTTGATACTGTTATAATGGCAAATAAATTTTAACATGAGTTTTGCAGGGGACTAGCACTCAAACCATAGCAGGAGGTAATCCAACATGGTGATTAAGGACCAGCGTTGATCAGAAGAAAAAAAAGTCACACATAGCCATTTATAAGCTGTTAACACTACATATCAGGAAGGTGCTCAACCCCCAAGCACCTAAAGCACTGCTTCATCACTAGTGGTTTCTTGGAGAGAAATTGCCAGGACACACGTCGTCGGGTCTGGTTGCCACCCTCACCCTGAGTGTATCTTCAGGCTGAATCCAGTCCAGCCTCCATCCTGTTTTCCAGTCACCCCCAACCTACCTGTCTTTGTGTTGCCATGTCTGTCCTCCAATATGATGCAAGCACTGCCTCTCCCACACCTCGCTGTGTTCTCAGAAGCTCCTCTCTGTGATCTTAAACTCTCCCACATCCTCCATCTCTTCTCCTGCCCTACCTGAAACATGGCTGTCCCCAAGGCCACTGTGGCATTATTAGGCAGTGTCCTCATGGCCTGCAGTTGCAGTTTCCAATTCCTATTCCCTCCTCCAAAATCCTCAGCTCTTCTGAAGGTCAGGTCATCTAACTCCCTTGACCTCCTCCTTGAAGCTGTGAGCTACTTCTTGGCGATGCCCCTCCATGCAGGAGAGACTTGCACTTAGCTTCCTGCTTTTCCCCTCCTCCCCAACTCCTGCCATGTCATTTTTACCCATTTTTGTGACCTCAGCATTGATTGGTTGGAACCACCTAACGCCATGTAGTTGAACCATTCAATGCTCTGGCTTCTTAGGTCTTTAACAGATGTGTCCTCAATGATCTTTTTCACCATTCCACCTCAGCTACACACTCACACGGTCACTTCCTTGGGATCAACAGAAATGAACGCATTTGTGAAATCTTTATTTAAGCATCCTACCCTCTGACCACTACCTCTTTCCTTTCAATTCACTTACTCAAGTGCGTCCACTACCATACTTCTTCAACCTTTTCAAAATCTTCAACCCAGTGGCCCACCCCACCATGGCTTGACATTCATCAGCTCCTATATGACTTCATTCTCCTCCTCGTCTTGCCTAGATTTCATGGGCTAAAGTTTAAATTGAAGTAAAACATGCTTGTAGAAAAGTGTAGAAAAGTAACAGCTCAGAAGAATGAGGAGCAATTGCTTGATGGGTATGGGTGGGGTTCCCTTTTGGGGTGAGGAAAATATCTTGGGACTAGACAGAGGTGGTGGTTGCACAACGTTGTGAATACACTAAATCCCACTGAATTGTCCACTTTAAAATGGCTGATAGTCAATTACATGTTATGTGGGTTTTACCTAAATTTTTTTTTAAAAGTTGGCCGGGCGCAGTGGCTCACGCCTGTAATCCCAGCATTTTGAGAGCCCGAGGCTGGTGGATCACAGGGTCAAGAGATTGATACCATCCTGGCCAACATGGTGAAACCCCGTCTCTACTAAAAATACAAAAAAATTAGCTGGGTGTGGTGGCGTACGCCTGTAATCCCAGCTACTCAGGAGGCTGAGGCAGGAGAATCACTTGAACCCAGGAGGCAGAGGTTGCAGTGAGCCCACATCAAGCCACTGCACTCCAGCCTGGCGATAGAGCGAGACTCAGTCTCAAAAAAAAAAAAAGTAAACAGTTTGATTAATTACCACACAGTGAATACACATATTTAATCACCACATAGTTTAGAAAATAGAACCTTACCAGCACCCCAGAAAACTTCTTGAGGCTACTTCCACTTGCACCCTTCTATATTGCCCAAAGGCAACCACTATTTTGTGTCTGGATTCTTTTGTCCAATGTTTATGAAATTCATCCATGCTATACATAAATCGTAGTTCATTCATTTTCAGTGTTGTAAATATTCTTTTCTTTTTTTAGATTAAGGCAGTTACTTCATTTTGAACAAGGAAGTAGCATAAGCAACTCAGTGTGTGCCCCTTAAGATGGGAGCTCTTCCCCCATATCACTCCCCACTCCAAGGAATAATTTTGGGAGAAAAAAATGTCTTCTATCTGGCTACCTGTGATACCTATGATTGCACCTTCTTATATGGCGGGCACGTCATCACGTCCAGACGAGCATCTAAGGAACTGCATTTTGGGAGTTGAAACTTTCATTTGGGTCTGAGATGAATGCATGAACTAACACAGGGCCATGGACCCACTAGTCTTGATCAAGTTAGAGAAAATGAAGGTGACTATTTACACTTCCAAGTTGCTTTCTAGATCCTTTCATTAAAAAATGTTCTGATCAGGCCGGGCGCTGTGGCTCATGCCTATAATCCCAGCACTTCAGAAGGCCGAGGCAGGTGGATCATGAGGCCGGGAGATCAAGACCATCCTGGCTAACACAGTGAAACCCCGTCTCTACTAAAAATACAAAAAGAAAAAAATTAGCTGGGCATGGTGGCAAGCACCTGTAGTCCCAGCTACTCGGGAGGCTGAGGCAGGAGAATGGCGTGAACCCAGGAGGCAGAGCTTGCAGTGAGCAAGATAACAGGATTAAGAGATTAAAGTTTAAAGAGATTAAAGACAGACATAAGAAATTATAATAGTATTATTTGGGAACTGATAAATGTCCATATTAAGAAGAAATCTCCACAATTTATGTTCCTCTGCCGTAGCTCCAGTCAGTCTCTCCATTCAGGGTCCCTGACTTCCCGCAACACCAAGTAAGCTTTTCTTTTCTTTTCTTTTCTTTTCTTTCTTTCTCTTTTTTATCCCCTCTCTCTCTCTTTCTCTTTCAGATGGGGTCTTGCTTTGTTGCCCAGGTTGGGGTACAGTGGCACAATCACAGCTCACTGCAGCCTCAACCTCCCTGGCTCAAGCAATCCTCCCTCCTCAGCCTCCCAAGTAGCTGAGACTATGGGCACACACCACCATGCCCAGCTAATTTTTGTATTTTTTGTAGAGACAGGGTCTCATCATGTTGCCCAGGCTGGTCTTGAACTTCTGGGCTCAAGCAATCCTTCCTCGGCCTCCCAGAGTGCTGGGATTACAGGTGTGAGCCACTGTGCCTGGCCTAAACTTCTTTTCTTTATGAGTGACCCAATCTGTGGTCCTTTGTTATAGCAGCAGAAAAAAAAAAAATGACAGGTACTATGGGGGAAAATGGACAAGGAAGATCCTCTCATATGGGCGAGAGGGTGGTTATTTTGGCTGACCAAGGAACTCAGCATACTTCTGGAAAATGAGAAAAGGTGATATGGTTCATGCTGTTGACTCACACCAGTATTTGTTGCTTCCCCGCTCCCATTTTCACAACTTTATTGAAGTATAATTTTGAATAATAAACTGCATATATTTGAAGTTCACTATTTGATAAGTTTTGGTAAACATATGTAACTATGAAACCATCTCCACAAACAAGATGCTGAACATTTCCATTGCCATTGAAGGTTTTCTCATACCTGTCTGCAGTTCATTGCACTTTTTAACCTGTCCCCAGGCAACCACTGATCTGCAGTCTAGCTACATAAGTTAGTTTTTATTTTCAAGAATTTCATATAAGTGAAATAATACAATATATATCTTTGTTTGGTTTCTTTCAGTCAACAGATTACTTTGAGATTTAATGAAAATCAGTTTTGATTTTGCTCAAGTGATCCTCCCACCTCAGCCTTCCAAATAGCTACGACTATAGGCACGCACAACCCTGCCTGGCTAATTTTTAAAATTTTTTCTAGAGGTGGGGTCTTGCTCTGTTGCGTAGGATGGTCTCGAAATCCTGAGCTCAAGTGATCCTCCTGCCTTGGCCTTCCAAAGTGCTGGGATTATAGGCGTAAGCCACCACACCTAGCTGACTTTCATTTTCTTAACTGACTTTCAAAGAGAAATGTTTTAAATGTTGATGAAGCCCAACTGATTACCTATTTCTTTTTCTTTTTTTTCTTTTTTTTTTTTTTAGATGGAATTTTCTTCTGTGGCCCAGGCTGGAGTTCAGTGGTGTGATCTCGGCTCACTGCAACCTCCACCTCCCAGCTTCAGGCAATTCTCCTGCCTCAGCCTCCTGAGTAGCTGGAATTACAGGCATGTGCCACCATGCCCGGCTAATTTTTTTTTAGTAGAGATGGGGTTTCACCATGTTGGCCAGGCTGGTCTCGAATTCCTGACCTCAGGTGGTCAGCCCACCTTGGCCTCCCAAAGTGCTGGGATTACACATGTTAGCCACCATGCCAAGCCCCATCTATTTCTTTTATATCTTCTTTTGTGTTCTACTTAAGAAAACTTTGCTTATGCCAGGGTCCCACAGATTTTGTCCTATATTTTTTCTAGTAGATTTATAATTCTAGGTTTACATTTAGATCTATGATCCATTTTAGATTTTTTTTTTTTTTTTTTTTTTTTGAGATGGTGTCTCCCTCTGTAGCCCAGGCTGGAGTGCAGTGGTGCAATCTTGGCTCACTGCAACCTCCGCCTCCCGGGTCCCAGTTCAAGCAATTATCCTGCCTCAGCCTCCCAAGTGGCTGGGATTACATGCACATGCCACCATCCCCAGCTAATTTTTGTATTTTTAGAGAGACAGGGTTTCACCATGTTGGCCAGGCTGGTCTTAAACTCCTGACCTTGTGATCTGCCCACCTGTGCCTCCCAAAGTGCTCGGATTAGAGGCATGGGCCACCGCGCCCCGACATTTTAGATTAATTTTTTCGTAGGGTCTGAGGTCAAACTCCTGGCTTCAAGCAATCAATCCTCTTGCTTCAGCCTCCTGACTCACTGGGATGGCATGGGCCACTGTGCCTGGCTCCCAGCCTCCTCTTTAATCAAGGAGCTTTGGCTCTGTGAATTGACTTAGATCTCAACACAAGAGGCCATGACTGTCCACTGCAGTGACTCATCAGGTTTTTAGCTACCAGACCTAGAATTTTTCCCTCTGTTACAGATCAAGCAATACAATGGTAGATTGCCCATCTATTTCATTCCTAAGAACACCATAACTTAACCACCATCAAATATGTCTGCAGGCCAAAGCATTCTGATTGCCCTTTACAGTGGATGCATTTACTTTGTCCTTGGAGATTCAGTGCCACCCCTACCTATGCCACTCTGAGATCCCATCATCCCATCATTGAAATTGGGGAGACCATGTCAATGGCATATTTTCCACCTACCCTATAGAAGAGAGCAACCACAGAGCTCTCCTTTGAAAGAGGTTGCAGGTGCTCCATTTATTAATGCATTTCTCAATGCTTTAGTGAGGGAGATGTCTTCTGGGTTTTCTCATGGGACATTGTTTGGAGGTAGGACTGAACAATGACATGATGAGAACAGTAAGGTAATGTTTTATACCATATTCTGGGCTCTGTTCATGATTACTTTTTTCTGATAATAAGGACTGTTTCAATATTTTAGACATTTTAGAACATGACAGAAGATTACAGAAAGATATTAGGGTATTTTATGATTTGAAGTCTCACAAGGGACAGAAACCAGGGAAGTCTCCAGGTTCCTCAGCTGCATTTATTTGTGTATCTTCTTTTGAGGATTCTGCCATTATTATGACAGATTTTCCGTTCTTAGTTTTGGGTCTCTCCCTTCCAATTCTGGCAGGAGAAAAGCCCAATTTCTTTTTCTCTTATTTTATCAACATTCTTGGAGCCTTTACTGATAAAGGCAAAATTCAGTACAAAGCATACTTTTAACTGGCCTATTTAACAAGTATTTTAAAGAGCAAAAATCTTTCCTATCAACTTCCACAAAGGTGTCCAAAGTCATCCTTTTAAATTGGAAAGAGTTCTTAGGGAATTACGCAATGGTATGTACAAACCTGAACAGGCTGTACTCATGAGGACAAATATGTGATTTATCTAAGCATAGTAAATACTTCAGAGTTTAGTTTTCAGGGTTGGAATGTCTACTGTAAACAGTAGCAATGACTATCTCTATAGCAAAATTTCCAAGCATAAGAAGAAATCAAGTTTTTCAAGAGAACATTTGCTCAGTAATACCTTTGCTCTTTTATTTATAGGGTAAAAGAGGGAAGAAATATGAGAAACATGCTTATAATACTTTTTTCTTCCCATATCCTTTTCCTTACCATAAAAAAAAGTTCTGTGGACTGGAATTAAAGATCAATGATGTATCACTGAAGCCATGAAGTCCTGCAAGTTTACATCATGATGATTCAGTGCTCCTGGATTAGCAAACCTTCCTCTCTGTGCATAAGCATCCCTCAACAATCCCAGGCCCCCGTGTCAGTACTGCTTCTGAACAACTCGCTAGTAAGCCCTTGAAAGAATGCAAACCTCTTTAATGTAGTCAAATGAAACAGATTTGTGCTCTGTCAACTCAGTCTTGACTTTTGCCTCCAGATTGTGGATTACTTGAGATGCCTGAAATATATTGTTTTTAAAACTGAAAGGTAGCTCCATCATTTCAAAAGCAGATAGTAGAGATGTTTACCAAGAAAAACATAGCCAAGGCCGGGCGCGGTGGCTCACGCCTGTAATCCCAGCACTTTGGGGGGCCGAGGTGGGCAGATCACGAGGTCAGGAGATCGAGACCATCCTGGATAACACGGTGAAATCCCATTTCTACTAAAAATACAAAAAACTAGCCGGGCGTGTTGGCGGACGCCTGTAGTCCCAGCTACTCGGGAGGCTGAGGCAGGAGAATGGCGTGAACCCAGGAGGCGGAGCTTGCAGTGAGCCAAGATCGCGCCACTGCACTCCAGCCTGGGTGACAGAGCGAAACTCCGTCTCAAAAAAAAAAAAAAAAAAAAGAAGAAGAAAAACATAGCCAAAACATTACATTCCAGCCCATGGGCAGTGAAGATTAGATTTTCCTGTTATCTTCCACCTGTTTTTGTTGTTGCTGTGGCTTTTTGGCTTGTTTGTTTTCATCCCTGCTGTAATCCCTGATTAACTCTTATTTTTTCAGGTTGTTGTTTCATGTATTTTGGCCACCACTTCCTGCCAAAACTATCTAATATCTGTACATCTCTAGAGGGTTCTAGCAACTATGCTGTCCTTTTTTATAGGAACTGATTCTTTTTTCTTTTTCCCACCCATTGAGCTGATTCTACTTGAACTCAATGAACTTTTGGTCTCTGTGCTTCTTTATTTTAATTAATTGAGCTTTCTATCTAAATTGGCACACTAAATCCTGAACAATCCAGAGCTGCATGTTTGGTCTAGATTGGTTAGCCACACTGCAGGTCATAGAGTTAGCGTGGAAAAAATATTCCAATTTCCAGACCCTTGTGAAAATCAGAATTAGCCAGAAGCACCAGTTTGTAGAATCATGGACAAATCTGGGAAAGCCCAACAATTTGGGGGATGTTTAGCCCCAGATGCACAGGATTGGATTAGAATTAGTTCTAATCTACCAGATGCGTTGGCACACACCTGTAATCCCAGCACTTTGAGAGGCCAAGGCGGGTGGATCACCTGAGGTCAGGAGTTCAAGACCAGCCTGGCCAACATAGTGAAACCCCATCTCTACTAAAAATACAAAAATTAGCTGGGTGTGGTGGCAGGCACCAGTAATCATAGCTACTTGGGAGGCTGAGGCAGGAGAATCACTTGAACCCAGGAGGCGGAGGTTACAGTGAGCCAAGATCGCGGCATTGCACTCCAGCCTGGGCAACAAGAGTGAAACTCTGTCTCAAGACAAAAAAAAAAAAGAATTAGTTCTAATCCTATTTATGGCATACTTTCCTCTGTGGTCCTTAAGTGGCCTCCTCCATTAAATATTGTTATGTTAATATACATATAAACATAGCTGTAGACATAGATAAATACTCATGAACCCACCATCTCAAGCAAAAACTAAGACCTTGACAACAACCTACATCTAACCATATGGTTGCTTTTCCCATCGTGTCCCTCTGCCTTTGTCTACTCAAGGTAGCCATATTGCTGAATTCCATGTTAACAATTTCCTTGCCTTTAAGTCACCATAGTGTTTGCAAAAAAATAAAAAAACAATTTCCTTGCCTTCCATTTCATATAGTTGAATTGCACGTATTTGCATTCATAAAAAGGAACTATTATCTTGGTCATAAATTTTATTAAAAATGCATTGCAGAATATGTAAACTCTTTAGATTCATTTATTATTATTATATTGTTAAGATTCCTCATATTTTTGTGTGTTGTTATGTGGGAGTTCAATCAGGCTGGTGGGAAAAATATTAAAGATAGTTATAAAAATAAACACAAACTTTCTTGGAAGGCCTGAAGGTTTTTACAGAAGTCTCAGGATAAGACAATGGCTGAAGGCAACCTAATCCTTACCTTGAGTAAAAAGCTTCAAGTGGGTAAGGAAGAAGGCAGAGTAGTGTATCTAGCTAGGTTGTTTAAGACTAACCTTTGATCTACCACCGGTGCTTAATTACTTTCTACAGGAAGTCCACAATGTCAATTACCCTCTGGTGGTGTTGACTCAAGCCTTTGTCAATTCATCTTTACTAAATAAATGCGAGTCTCACTAGTTGGTCAGGGCCATGGTCGTGACTGTTTACAGCACTCTGCTTGGAGTCTGTAAGTGGCCCAGACACTCAGCTGGACTGGCATAGCAGAATATCTGTGTGTCAGTGTACTTCATTCATCCATCGTTTGGGTCAGGGTCTGCAGATAGACCCCCTCATTGCTATAGTTCATTCATGTTGACTGCTGAATAACATTCCATTGCGTGGATTTACTACAATTTATTTATTCTGTCTTTTATAGTTAGGCTTTTAGGTTCTTTGCAGGTTTTTGCTGTTGTGAACTGAAATCCTGTGAACTTCCTTATGCAGTCACTTGTACACATGAAATGGTTTATGTTGGGTCTATACCTAGGAGTAGAATTGTTGGGTCATTGAGTATGTGTATTAGTTTCATAGAGCTGCTCTAACAAATTACCATAAACTGGGTGCCTCAAAAAAACAGAAATGTGTTATCTCACAGTAAGTGTCCTCAGGGCTGGTTCCCTATGGGAGCCTCTGAGGGAAAATCTGTCCCATGTCTCTCTCGGCTTCTGATGGTTGCCAGCATCCCTGGACACCCCGTGGCTTGTAGATGCATCACTCCAATTTCTATCTCTGTCTTTACATGGTCTTCTCCTCTGTGTGTTTCTGTCTCTGTCTCTCCTCTTCTTCTTTTTTTTTTTTTTGAGATGAAGTCTCACTCTTGTCCCCCAGGCTGGAGTGCAATGGTGCAATCTCAGCTCACTGCAACCTCCGCCTCCCAGTTTCAAGCAATTCTCCTGCCTCAGCCTCCCAAGTAGCTGGGATTACAGGCGTCCGCCACCACACCTGGCAAATTTTTGTATTTTTAGTAGAGATGGGGTTTCACCATGTTGGCCAGGCTGGTCTTGAACTCCTAACCTCAGGTGATCCACCCACCTCAGCCTCCCGAAGTGCTAAGATTACAGGCATGAGACCCGTGCCTGGCCTCTTCTTTTCTTATAAGGATGCCAGTCCTATTGAATTTAGGGCCCAGTATGACATCATTATAACCTAGCTACTCACATCTGCAAAGTTCAAATAAGATCACATTGAAGGTTCCAGGAGTTAGAATTTTAACATTTTATTCTAGGGGACAAAATTCAACCCATAATAGTATATGAATGCCCAAATTTAGGAGAAAATGTCAAACTTTTCCAAAGTAGTTATACAATTTTACATTCTCACCAGCATTGATAAGATTTGGTGTTATCAGACCATTCAAATTTTTACCAGATGAATGAGTATAAAATTGTGTGCCATTGTAGCCTCAATTTTTTTTTTTTTTTTTTTTGAGACGGAATCTCGCTCTGTTGCCCAGGCTGGAGTGCAGTGGCGCCACCTCAGCTCACTGCAAGCTCCGCCTCCCGGGTTCACACCATTCTCCTGCCTCAGCCTCCTGAGTAGCTGGGACTACAGGTGCGTGCCACCACACCCAGCTAATTTTTTTGTATTTTTAGTAGAATCGGGGTTTCACCATGTTAGCCAGGATGGTCTCAATCTCCTGACCTCGTGATCCGCCCACCTAGGCCTCCCAAAGTGCTGGGATTATAGGTGTGAGCCACCACACCCGGACTGTAGTCTCAATTTATACTTCCCAATTACTAATTATGTTAAACATCTCTTCATATGTTTATTGATCATGTGTTTTCTCTTCTGTGAAAACAGTTCTTTTTTTGGCCCATTTTCCTATTGGGCTGCTTATGTGTTTTTTCTTTTACTGATTTGCAGAAGTTCTTTATGATACCAGTCCTTTGCCAGTTTTATGTGTTTTGAATATCTTCTATATATAACTTTTTACTTTCTCTAACAAAGCAACATTTATCAATCTTTTTCTTTTATCACCAACTGGAGTGCAGTGGCATGATCATGGCTCACTGCAACTTCCCCAGGCTCAGATGATCCTCTCATGTTAGCCTTCCAAGTAGCTGGGACTACAGGCATGCACCACTACACCTGGCTAAGTTTTGCATTTTTTTTTTTTTTCAGAGATGGGGTTCTCGCCATGTTGCCCAGGCTGGTCTCAAACTCCTGAACTCAAGTGATCTACCTGCCTCAACCTCCCAGAGTGCTGGGATGACAGGGGTGAGCCATCACCCTGGGCCACCTTTTGCTTTATTAAATGCATACATGCTATGTATCTTTTTGCCTTTAAGTCCATTTTATCTAATATTGCTGTAGATAAACCAGCTTTATTTTGATTAGTATTTTACTGATATCTTTTTTATTCATTTACTTAGAGTCTTTGCAATTCCTTATGCTTTAGTTTTATCTCTTGTTAATAGCACATACCTGAATTTTTGTTATATCACATTTTTCCATCTTTGTCTTTAACTGATGAGTTTAGTTCATTTATATTTATTGTAATTATTTATTCGGACCTGTTTCTACCACTTTATTTTTTTTCAGTCTGACTCACTTTTTCTATATATATTATTAACCATTTCTTTAAATTGGTAACTATCTCTTCCCCCATAAGAACAAAACTTTATACACTCATCTCTTCATCTCTGTGCCCCCAATCCACATCATGTTATTATCTACACTTTGATGCCAGATTATTGTGTCTATGAGTTCTCTTTTTCTTTAGTCTTGGCTATTCTTTTAAGTCAAAGAAATTTTACCGGTGTACTTGGTCATCTTTACTTTACATATCTCTGGCAGTATCTACTAGATTTACTCTCCCTTTATTTAAGCCTTTCATCTAAAATAGTTTTCAGCATAGCCTTTGTGTGGTAAATCTTCTGAGAACTTCTGTGCCTGATAATATTTTTTTTTATCATGCCCTTATCTTTGAATGGCCAACTGGATATAAAAATAGAGGATGGGCAGGGCATGGTGGCTCACGCCTGTAATCCCAGCATTTTGGGAGGCCAAGGCAGGTGGATCACCTGAGGTCAGGAGTTCGAGACCAGCCTGGCCAACATGGTGAAACCCCATCTCTACTAAAATTACAAAAATTAGTCGGGCCTGGTGGCACACACCTGTGGTCCCATTTACTTGGGAGGCTAATCCAGGAGAATTGCTTGAACTCAGGAGGTGGAGGTTGCAGTGAGTGGAGATTGCACCACCAGGCTCCAGCCTGGGCAACAGAGCGAGACTCTTATCTCAAAAAAATAAATAGGCCAGGCGCAGTGGCTCACACCTGTAATCCCAGCACTTTGGGAGGCCGAGGTGGGAGGATCACGAAGTCAAGAGATCAAGACCATTCTAGTCAATATAGTGAAACCCTGTCTCTACTAAAAATACAAAAATCAGCTGGTCGTGGTGGTGCACACCTGTAGTCTCAGCTACTCAGGAGGCTGAGGCAGCAGAATTGCTTAAACCCAAGAGGCAGAGGTTGCAGTGAGCCAAGATCGTGCCGCTGCACTCCAGCCTGGCAACAGAGCGAGACACTGTCTCAAAAATAAATAAATAAATAAATAAATAAATAAATAAATAAATAAATAAAATTGAGGATGGTTTCTTTGCCTTTATTATTTTGAGAATACCATACCATTCCTCCACCATTTTTTTCTTTTCTTTTTTCTTTTTTTTTTTCCCTTTTTCTTTCTCTTATTTTTTTTTTTTAGAAATGGAGTCTCATGCTATTGCCCAGGCTGGAATGCAATACTATAATCATAGCTCTCTACAGCCGCAAACTCCTGGGCTCAAGAGATCCTCCCACCTGAGCATCCTGAGTAAGCTAGGCCTATAGGAGTGCACTATTGTGCCCGGCTAATTTAAAATATTTTTTTAGAGATGGGGTCTCACTATGTTGCTCAGGCTGGTCTCAAACTCCTAGTCTCAAGCAATCTTCCCATCTCACCCTCTGGAGTAGCTGGGATTACAGGTGTGAGCCACTATGCCCAGCTCATTCCACTGTTTTCTTACATCAGTTGTTGCTGTTAAAAAATCTGATGTCAGGCCGGGCCTGGTGGCTCACGCCTGTAATCCCAGCACTTTGGGAGGCCAAGGTGGGCAGATCACCTGAGGCCAGCAGTTCAAGACCAGCCTGACCAATATGGTGAAACCCTGTCTCTACTAAAAATACAAAAAAAAATTAGCCAGGCATGGTGGCAGGTGCCTGTAGTCCCAGCTGCTCAGGAGGCTGAGACAGGAGAATTGCTTGAACCTGGCAAGTGGAGGTTGCAGTGAGCAGAGATTGTGCCACTGAACTCCAGCCTGGGTGACAGAGTGAGACTCTGTCTCAAAAAAAAAAAAAAATCTGATGTCAATCTGACTTCAGTCCTCTTTTTGTGATGTTCTCTTTCTCTTTATAATCTTTTAGAATTTTCCTTGAATTCTTTTTTTTGTTGTTGTTGGGTTTTTTTGTTTGTTTGTTTGAGATGATGTCTTGTTCTGTCACCCAGGCTGGAATGCAGTGGTGAAATCACAGTTTACTGCAGCCCCACCCTCCTGGGCTCAAATGATCCTCCCACCTCAGCCTTTTGAGTAGCTGAGACTACAGGCATGCATCACCATGCCTAATTTTTAAAACTTTTTGTAGAGATGGGATCTCACTTTGTTGCCTATGCTGGTCTTGAACTCCTGGGCTCAAGTGATCCTCCTGCCTCAGCCTCCCAAAGTGCTGGGATTAAAGGTGTGAGCCACCATGTCCAGCCTTGAAATTCTTAATTTTACTATAAAATGTTCTGGTGTGGATTTTTTCTTATCTTTTTTCTATAACCTTTTTTATCTTTCTTTCATCTTTTTACAGTTATGGAAGATTATCTCATTTTTCTTCAAACATTTCTTTCTGTTCATTTTTCTTCTTTCTAGAATTCTTATTACCTAGATGTTAGTACTTCTGTCTTCCACATAACCTAGTTTTTTCTTTATATTTTATACGTCTTTGTTATTTTCTTATCTCTTCTGAAAGATTTCCTCCGCCTGGTCTTCCAAGTTGACAATTAGTTTTGCAGCTCTATCCATTTTGTTGTTTATCCATGTGATGTGTTCACTTCAACTATGATATTTTACTTATCTAATATTGCTTTTTTATGTTTTCTTGTTCTTATCTACATTGTCATTATCTTCTTTTATCTCTTTTTGTATATTTATTAGGCCAATATCACATTATCTATGCAACTGTTTTTATATATATAGTTGGATTCTGTAATCTAAAATGCTATGTTTCATTTCACATAGTTGTGATTCTGAAATCTGCTACTTTGACCTGTGAATTCATGTTTTCCTGAAGGTATATGCTCCTTTTCTGGGGAACACATATAGGGAAAGGCCAGTCCTAATTAGCTCATTCCCAGTCAGCCCCAGTTAGCTCTGAGGGTGAGAATGGATGAAGCCCAAGGGGGAGAAACAAGCCAGGGCACAAGGAAACCACTGTCATTTACTCTCCACCTCACAACACAATGGGGTCAGAGCTTCACTCTGCCTTCCAGGGCACTCAGCATTCGGAGGAGACCTTGTTGGACTGTCATGTGCCAGCTCTGGGGGTTTGGTGGGAAGGGGAACTGATACCCCAAGGTAATTCGTCCTCACCTCATGCACAACTATTAAATTTAAGGTTGTGAATGTGATTTGATGCCCTTATGTGGTATCACTGGAAGGCAAATCCCTGGATGATTATCCATCATTGGGCACTATTTGCACTAATATTCTCCCCCAGTGGGTACCATGAAATCCTCCTTTTCCAGAAACATCACTTTTTCAAGAGTTCCCCTATTCCAATCCCATCCCTTTGCACTTCTTCCCTTGTGATTCTTCTCCCTCCTTTTCTTCTTCAGATATTTGTTAAGGGCCTAATGTGTGTCATGTACTAGGCTGTGAGTCTGACATGTGTGAAGAGCAGATGTGCTTGAAGAATAAGAAAAATAGGCCTGTTGTGGTGGCTCACGCCTGTAATCCCAGCACTTTGTGGGGCTGAGGCAGGCGGATCACGAGGTCAGGAGTTTGAGACCAGCCTGGTCAATATAGTGAAACCCATGTCTACTAAAAATACAAAAATTAGCCAGGTGTGGTGGCAGGCGCCTGTAATCCCAGCTGCTCAGGAGGCTGAGGCAGAAGACTCACTTTAACCCAGGAGGCAGAGGTTGCAGTGAGCCAAGATCATGCCACTGCACTCCGGCCTGGGCAAAAGAGCGAGACTCCATCTCAAAAAAAAAAAAAAAAGAATAAGAAAAATAGAAACCGAAATGGAGCCAAGATTGCAGAACTAAAGACAAATTGGGCCTCCTTTCCCTGGCAGCGAAGCAAGGAGAGGG
The DNA here is from genome assembly GCF_000001405.40 of Homo sapiens. Lineage (NCBI taxonomy): Eukaryota > Metazoa > Chordata > Mammalia > Primates > Hominidae > Homo > Homo sapiens. The sequence continues at coordinate 49,849,884 of NC_000013.11, read as the reverse complement.
CTTATCCTTCCTCTGAGGTGGAGCCTATCAAATGGTGATGGGAAGGTGCTCTAAGTCAATGGTTCTAATCTTGACCTCTCCTTAGAACCACCTGAGGAGTTTTTTTTTTTTAATCCAGTGTCTATACACATTTAATTGGCACAACTATGTCAACTATGTGCCAATTAAATCGTAATCTCTTGAGGTGAACTCAAAACCATATATACATACACACTTTTTTTTTTTTTTTTGAGACGGAGTCTCACTGTATCGCCCAGGCTGCAGTTCAGTGGCACCATCTCAGATCATTGCAACCTCCACCTCCTGAGCTCAAGCAATTCTCATGCCTCAGCCTCCTGAGTAGGTGGGATTACAGGCGTGTGGCACCACACCTGGCTAATTTTTGTATTTTTAGTAGAGAAGGGGTTTCACTATGTTGGCCAGGCTGGTCTCGAACTCCTAACCTCAGGTGATCCACCCGCCTCGGCCTCCCAAAGTGCTGGGATTACAGGCATGAGCCACCACGCCTGGCCCATCAATATATTTTTTAAAATTCTCCAGGAAATCCAATATACATCCACGTTTAAGAAGCACTGCTTGAATATACAGGTAACCATCAGGCTTGGGATCAGGAGTTATGGGTTAAATCCTGTTATAGGGCCAGGTGCAGTGGCTAATGCCTGTAATCCTAGCATGTTTGAGGGCCGAGGTGGGAGGATCACTTGAGCTCAGGAGTTCAAGATCAGCCTGGGCAACATAGCGAGACCTCATCTCTAAAAAAAAGAAATTAAAAAAAATCCTGTTATGAGTTGAATTACTTTCCTGAAATTTTATATGTAGAGGTTCTAACCCCTACACCTCAGAATGTGACCTTATTTAGAGCAGAATCTTTACAGAGGTAATCCAATTAAAGTGAGGTTATTAGGATGGGCCATAAGCCACCCATGTTTAGGTCATTACAGCAGCCCTAAGTGTACTAATACAAATCCTGAGGTAGCCACGTAGCCATGATTCCACTGTGTGCAATAACTTTCCTGAGAGTGCTTCACCATCTTATCAGAAAAACAATATTTAAACTCTCACTCACAGGTTACCGAGAGGTTTTTTGTTTTTGTTTTTGTTTTTTTGAAACAGTCTCGCTCTGTTGCCCAGGTTGGAGTGCAATGGCACAATCGTGGCTCACTGCAGCCTCAAATCTCCTGGGCTCAAGCAATCCTCCCACTTCAGCATCCCTAGTAGCTGGGGCCACATGGGGCCACAGGCGTGTGCCACCATGCCCAGCTAACTTTTTAATTTTTGTAGAGAGGGGTCTCACTGTTGCCTAGTTGGTCTTGAACTCCTGAACTCAAGCGGTCCTCCCTCCTCAGCCTCCCAAAGTGCTGGGATTACAGGCGTGAGCCACCGTGCCCGGTCTTACTGAGAGGTTTAAATGGGTAAAGTAAGTGAAAGCATCCTGCACAGAGATAGGAACGTAGTAGGTGCTCAGTAAATGTTTGTTAAATCTGAGTCTTTCCTGCCCAAAGAAACTTTTCCAGTTTAGCCCACCGTGGTCAGTTCAGCAGCCTGAGGATGCAGGCTAGTGCAACCGGATCCCCTCTATGGCTCCCAAAAAAGATGGAACAGCCTTTGTCCGCTCTAGTAAAGGGAAAGGGAAAGGTAGCCCCCTTTCCATGCAGTGCATCGGCTTAGGGCGCCCCAACGCTTTTCATTCAGCCTTGTCTTTGAAGCAACTTTTGAAGCCGACCACTAGAGGGCGGACAGTCTCCACAACCCGCAGCGGCGCTCGGCCGCGCTGTCAAGGAAAAAACGCGAGGGCTACTCCGGCTGCGGGCGGTGCTCGCCCCCTGTTATCCTCCACCGTCCCCGCAAGCCGTTTCCAGACAGTAATGCCGAGCGGGCGAGGTTCTCTGCGTGCCGGCGCGGCCCCGAACGTGCCCTGACGCCCAGTGTGCTACTTCACTTACTCTGAACAGTCCTATTGTTCCTCCCAGGTGAGTAAATTAAGGCTCAGAGACATTAAGCAAACGGCCGAGGGTCACACAGCTATGGGAATTAAATCCAGGCAGTGACACATGTCTGCCTGACTCCAAAACCAGCAAACACTTGTGGTCAAAATGAGCCCCGATGCCCAGCCCTACTTGCAGACCTACTCAGAGGCCCAGCAAGAGACCCCAGAAGCAAGGAGGATCAGAAGAGCCTCTGTTACCCTCCCTTCTCTCTCCGGAACCCCACTGCCGCTGCCACAGCCCTAAACCAGTGTTTGCCTCCACTGGTCATCTTTTTTACTGCCCTAACCTAGTCTGAAAATGAAGATGTTAAAGTAATTCCTTTTGTTTTTCTTTTCTCCCCCTTTGTATCCGTGAGGATGATCGATTTTTGCAGCCACTCCAAAGGAGTACTTAGGATGGTTTAGAAGCGGGTTTTAATTGCTTACTGCCTCTCCATTGAAGGAGCCAGGACCCATAAAAAAAAACAAAAACAGTGGTAACTACATGTACTCGGCTGCTGGTATCTACACTGCGGGGCAGTGGGAGAGGTGTTCCCCCAAGACATAGCCTTTCATGCCAGAAAAACTAACCAATTTGAAGTTCTATATCACTGAACTTGTATTTGGAGGCAGTCCAGGGGATATTCTGCATCTTCTTCCGGCAATCACCCATCCATCCCTCCCTCCCTCCCTCTCATGCAAGGCTCTGTGCTGTGGCTGTGGAGAGATGGCCCCAGCTAGATGTCTTTCCACCGGACATTTGTGATCCAGCACAGTGAAGCTCACTCTCAGGAGAACTGGTACCAAGAGCACGATCAGAAAACCCTTTTTTTTTTTTTTTTTTTTTTTTTCGACAGAGTCTTGCTCTATAGGCGCCCGCCACCACACCCAGCTAATTTTTTGTATTTTTAGTAGAGAAGGGGTTTCACCATTAGCCAGGATGCTCTCGATCTCCTCACCTCGTGATCCACCCGCCTCGGCCTCCCAAAGTGCTGGGATTACAGGCGTGAGCCACCGCGCCCGGCCGGCAATTCTTTTTAAGAGGATTAAAGCGATTGAGTAACACATGGGGAGGCTGGGATTCTGTTGTGCTAAACAATCCTGGGCCTGGGGACAAGGCCCTTGGTTTCTGTGTATATGAGATAAGGAACATGGGCTCCTTCCTGGCTCGGCCGATCTCTCATGTCACATGCTGGTATCATCGACTACCAGTCTTGAAACTCCTCTAATCGCTCTCCCGCCTGCACCAAAGTTCACAAGGCATAATGCTGTTCGTGTGCAAAATGAACTGTATTAAGACCCCTGGGCCGGGCGCGGTGGCTCACGCCTGTAATCCCAGCACTTTGGGAGGCTGAGGCGGATGGATCATGAGATCAGAAGATCGAGACCGTCCTGGCTAACACGGTGAAACCCCGTTTCTACTAAAAATACAAAAACAAAATTAGCCGGGTGTGGTGGCCGGCGCCTGTAGTCTCAGCTACTCGGGAGGCTGAGGCAGGAGAATCGCGTGAACCCAGGAGGCGGAGCTTGCAGTGAGCCGAAATTGCGCCACTGCACTCCAGCCTGGGAGACAGAGCGAGACCCCGTCTCCAAAAAAAAAAAAAAAAAAAAATACCCCTGGAAAAGAGACCCCAGGGCTGTGGCAGCCTCCTTCCCCTCCCCTCTGTGCATTTGTTCTTTTGTTTTGTTTTGCTTTTTTGAGACCGAGTCTCACTCTGTTACTCAGGCTGGACTACAGTGGCATGATCCTGGCTCACTGCAAGCTCTGCCTTCCAGGTTCAAGCAATTCTCCTGCCTCAGCCTCCCAAGTAGCTGGGATTATAGGTGCCTGCCACCACACCCGGCTAATTTTTGTATTTTCAGTAGACATAGGGTTTCACCATGTTAGCCAGGCTGGTCTTGAACTCCTGACCTCAGGTGATCTGCCTGCCTCAGCCTCCCAAAGTGCTGGGATTACAGGCGTGAGCCACTGCGCCCAGCCCCTCTGTGCATTTGTTCTATAGGTTAGAGGACGCAAGGAGTCCACCTTCCTCTGGAGCCCTCCCTGGGCCCTTAGTTCTTCCATCATTTCTGTTGAAAGATTTCACCACCAAATATCTAAGCAAATAGTATTGGGTGCCATGGAAGGTTGAGACATTAGAAAGCTGCTTGTGAATAAAAGTCATAAGAGCAGAGCAGAAAGTCCATAGAACAATTCCTGTGCCTTGGGTAGGGTCAACTGAATCTGATCCTTAAGCCCCAGCCTTTGGCATCCTTCCCTTGTCCAGCTAAGCTCCCTTTTCCCAGGCTTGATGACCGGTGCCCTAACCCTGCCCATCCAAAGCTGCTTGCAAGAGCAGGGAGACTACAGCATCACAGGCAGGCACAAACAGTCAGGTGCTGGCTCTGCCCTCCACGAGCTCTATGAATTTGGGTAAGTCCCCTGGTCTCTGAGCCCAATGTCCTCATCTATAAAGTGAGCATAGCAATATCTAGTGCACAAGACTCCTTCAAGGCATATGAAATAGTGGATATGAAACACCAGCACGTAGTACACAGTAAATAAAAGGTAGGTATTTTTTGTAGTGTTACCATTCCAGGTGTACTGCAATTTTATAGGCAAAAGTTTCAGTCAAAGGATTGACCTCATACAGTGAATTGAAGGCCATAACCAGGAAGGAAAGTGTGTTTAAAGAGATTGGTCGTCTTTCTACTGCCATCACATGATAGCAGGTGGGCAGCTACCAGCAAAAAAAGCAGTTTTGATAATAGAATATTAGAATAATTATTAGATTATTTGGAATACTGCTGCACTTACATTGAAACAATTTTAGAATTATCAATAAATTTGGATTTGCATTGGCTCATTTGGCTCTAACAGTGTACCCTGTAAGTAGTTCAGGCAGATATCATAATCCCTGTTAAGACATGCAGAAACGGCTGGGTGCGGTGGCTCACGCCTGTAATCCCAGCACTTTGGGAGGCAGAGGTGGGTGTATCACAAGGTCAGGAGTTTAAGTCCAGCCTGGCCAAGATGGTGAAACCCCATCTCTACTAAAAATACGAAAAAATTAGCCGGGCAGGGTGGCAGGTGCCTGTAATCCCAGCTACACAGGAGGCTGAGGCAGAGAATTGCTTGAAGCCAGGAGGCAGAGGTTGCAATGAGCGGAGATCATGCCACTGCACTCCAGCCTGGGCAACAGAGTGAGACTCTGTCTCAAAAAAAAAAAAAAAAATCAGAAACAAAATAAATAAGTAATAAAATAAAATAAAAACAAAGAAATGTAGAAACAGGCTCACAGAGGTGAAATGACTGGTGGGAAAAGACTTAACCCCAGGGGCTGATTCCTCTGGATTCCAAGCTCAGTGTGCTTTCCACCATGCCCTCAATTGCAAGTGTGTAATATTGGCAAGCTTAACTGGACCACAGAGAGCCACTGTGTGTCATTGTCACGACATGTCCCAGAGCCATCAGCGCAGCTTTCCTCCAGGAGCATGTCTTGCATTTCTCCTGGGAACTACGGCGGAATATAGTTCTTGCCCACAGCGTTACTTTCCAGCCAGCTTCTCTGGAACACATGTGCCCCATGCTGCGGACAGAACCAAACTCTTGATCTTGCCCTGCCCCTCGGCTCCTCCTCCAGCCTTCCCCGTGCCTTTGGGGTACAGGAAACTCCCAACAGTCCACTTCCTCCTCCCAGAAACCTGGTGCTTCCCACTCCTTCCCTGCTACACTTTGCTACCCTGTCCTTATTCTTCCCCTAACAAGCTGTAGCTTCATCCACTCCCTCTCGACTGCCATAATTCTGTGACCATTTTCGTTTGACTTCAGCTTGCATCAGAATCACTGGGGGAGCTTGTTAAAACTCCAATGGCAGGGCCCCCACCCCGAGTTTCTGACTCAGTAGATCTGAGGTGGGACCCCAAAATGTACATTTCTAGCAAGTTCTCAGTGATGCTGATGCTGCTGGTCTGGGGTCCACCCTTTGACAACCTCAGTCTAAGTAACTGTAATAGCCTCCTAATGCCACCGAACCTCCCTCCAATCCATTCTCTATACAGTAGTCCAAGAGATCTTTTCAAAATCTAGCTGGATCATGTAACTTCCTTGCCTAGAACCCTTCCTTGCCTAACCCACTTCACTTAGGAGGGAGACTATGTCTGTCTTCTGTCCCAGTGCCTTGTAGATGCTGCACAAAGCTCTCTTGAAATTCATGTCATCAGACTAAAATCCTGCCTCCCTCCTGGTTACTGTCACCTGCCAGTACCCTGGTCATTCCTCCTTGTCCCTTACAGACTTGAGCATTGGGCTCACTGCTTTCATTTTGACCATCTACTAGTGTCACTCTTTGGAGAGTGATCCGTCTGACACCTTGGCCTCTCCGTTCCTTGACCTTTGTGCCTCAAATGATCTTGAGCCTCCTACTCTGGAGGTCACTTGCTTGACCTTGTCATCGCCAATGACCGTGTCGCCCCTTATTCTCACTTTCAAGCGCCTCACTTCCTGACCACCTTGTCCTCTCTTTCCAGTTTAGTGGCTCTAATGCTTCCACACCAGCAATTATTTAATCTTATGAAGAACCATGATTCATTGGCCTTGTGAACAGGTCTCAGTCAATTTAGGAAGTTAATTTTGCCAGAGTTAAGGATGCACACATGGACACAGCCTCAGGAGGTCCTGATGACATGTGCTTAAGGTGGTCTGAGCACAAACTGGTTTTATACATTTTAGGGAGGCATGAGACATCGATCAACATACATAAGATGAACATTGGTTTGGTTCAGAAAGGCAGGACAACTCGAAGCAAAGGCAGCACAACTCAAAGTGGGGAGAGGGCTTCCAAGCCATAGGTAGATAAGAGACAAATGGTTGCATTCTTTTGAGTTTCTGATTAGATCAGATATGCATTCATCTCAGTGAGCAGAGGGGTGACTTTGAATAAAATGGGAGGCAGGATTGCCCTAAACAGTTCCCAGCTTGACTTTCTCCTTTAGCTTAGTGATTTGGGGGCCCCAAGATTTGTTTTCCTTTCACAGCCCCTATCATCATCCATCATCTCTTAGTTTTTCACTTCATTCCTGACCCAGCTCAGATTACATGGCACATCATTAAAAACACTTCCTTTCAAATATTACTATCTCTTTGGCTCTCCCTTTATCCTTGATTAGACCCATTTACTCCATCTCTGTGCCCAAGCAGCAAGAGAAAAACACCAGCTGGGTGAATGTACTCACTTTAAATTGAGGCCACAAACCTCCAAGGTCCATGCTCGCAAATCCTATCCACCTCTTGTGTTAGTCTGTTTGTGCTGCTATAAAAAAATACCACAGACTGGGTGATTGATAAGTCATAGGAATTTATCTCACGGTTCTGAAGGCTGCGAAGTCCAAGATCAAGGCATCGGCAAGTTCAGTGTCTGGTGAAAGCAGCTGTCTCTGCTTCCAACATCACCATCCCTCGTTGCTGCATCGTTTAGAGGGGATGAATGCTGTGTCCTCACATGGAGAAGGCAGAAGGGCAAAAGGACCCAGCTAGTTCCCTCCAGCCCTTTTATAAGGCTATGAATCTCATCCATATGAGGGCTGAGCCCCCATGACTTAACCACCTCCTGTAGGCCTCACCTCAATACTGTTGCACTGGGGATTAAATTTTAACATGAATTTTGGAGAAGACACATTCAAACCATAGCACTTCCCTTCCTAACCAAAACGTGGTGCTGGACCAACAGCACAGGCATCACTGGGGAGTTTGTTACAAATGCAGGAGGCCAGGCCCCACCCAGACCTACTGAATCTGAATCTGCATTGTAACAAGGTCCCCAGGCGTCCAGATGATTCATTTCCACAATTAAAGTTTAGAAGCACTGCCCTAGTGGTTTGTTTTTTGGATCATCAGGACAGTCATTCATTCTCATCTTTTTCTTTCCCCCTCAAATCTTCTGAACCCCTGTGGCCATCACCCTGAGCCTCACACTCCATTGAGAAACCAGAAGCAGTCACACGAAACCCCTTCGCCTTCCAGTCACCACATCTCCAACCTGCTTCCATCTGCATCCACATCCTGCCTTCCCTCCTGTTATTTATTTCTTTTTTTTTTTTTTGAGACAGAGTCTCACTCTGTCACCCAGGCTGGAGTGTAGTGGCACAATCTCGGCTCACTGCAACCTTGTCTCCCTGATTCAGGCAATTCTCCTTCCTCAGCCCCCTGAGTAGCTGGGTGCCCACCATCACACCCGGCTAATTTTTGTATTTTTAGTAGAGACAGGGTTTCACCATGTTGGCCGGGGTGGTCTTGAACTCCTGACCTCAAGTAATCCACCTGCCTTGGCCTCCCAAAGTGCTAGGATTACAGGCGTGAGCCACCGTGCCCAGCCCCCTCCTGCTATTAATACAATGGGAGATGGGGCTCAGCTCTAGTCAGAGGCCATTTCGTTTCATTGGTCTCTGGATTTCACCTCTCTTCTGCTTCCCTGAATCACGAGTTGCTCCTTGGCTATAGACACGTTCTAGTCCCATCTTGTTCTAGTCCTGTCTTGAAAGACTCTCTCCTGATCTTGCATTCAGTCCTCCTGTCCATTTCTTCACTGTGAAATTCCTGCAGACTTTTTTCCTTCCATATGGAAGGAAATATATATGACTACATGTATAAATATATATATGACTACAGACACATGCCACCATGCCTGGCGAATTTTTTGTATTTTTAGTAGAGATGGGGTCACCCTATGTTGGCCAAGCTGGCCTTGAACTCCCAACCTCAGGCGATCCACCTGCCTCGGCCTCCCAAAGTGCTGGGATTACAGGCGTGAGCCACTGCACCTGGCCCTCCTCCCATATTCTTATGGTTCACTTCCTCTCTTCATTTAGGTCTTGGTGCAAATGTCACCTCTGCAGAGGGGCCTTCCCTCACACCTTCTGTAAAATAGCACACACATACTTATTCAGCTTTAATTATGTTTATAACACCACCATCTGGTACGCCCTGTGTTTCTTTGGTGTCTGTCTCTCCTTACTGAGGGAAAGTTCCAGGGAGCAGGGACTTTGTTCTGTCTGGGGCCATATCCCTGAGGCCTGATGCTCACTCTTGTTGTGCAGATGAGTGGGGGCCAGCTTGGAATGCCACATACCAGGAAGAAACACCAGGCTACCAAGAAGACAAGGCCACAGAGACCCCTGTATTTGCTAACAGGCGATGGGACCAATAATAGTGTCTTTTTCTCCCTTCATCGCTTTCTTAGGGTCTGTCTGCTCCAAGGACATAGAAATGCACTTAATAGACACAAGTAAAAAAGAGGGGGGCCACTCTTCTAAGAGCAAGGAGGGTCTCACTGAATCCCACACAGGAAGTTCACAGGGGCCTCCCAGACATTAGAAAGTCACCAGATGGCCTTCAGTGATTCTCCCCTCCCTATATTCATGCCTGGCGTGGGGCCCTCCTACACAGGATGGGCTTGGCCTGTGTGTCACCAATAGGATTGTGGAAACAATGGCATGTGGCTTCTGAAGTTAGATCATCAAGGACATTGCAGCTTCTGCCTGCTCCCTCTTGGAGCCATGAAAGCAACTAGAAAGGTCACTTAGCAGAGGGAACTAGTTCTCCCAATAGCGGCCCTCTCCTTCTCACATTGCGATACACTTTTTATTTGGGCACACGACAATCCAAAATAAAGACAGCATTTTCAGCCTCCTCTATAGGTGGGTGTGGCCATGAGATTAAGGTTCAGACAATGGGTTGAGTGGAAAAATAGTATGTGCAACTCCCAAATTAAACCCTTAAAGAGAAATGTCCTATCCCCTCCTTCCTTGTTCTCTCCCTCCATTGTACTGCTGAGCCAGCGTGGACCACATAGATGAGAGTAACCACCCAGGGCTGCATGATGACTTTCTTTTTGAGACGGAGTCTTGCTCTGTCGCCCAGTAGGCTGGAGTGCTGTGATGAGATCTCAGCTCACTGCAACCTTTGCCTCCCAGGTTCAAGTGATACTCCTGCCTTAGCCTCCTAAACAGCTGGGATTATAGGCGCGTGCCACCATACCCAGATAATTTTTGTAATTGTATTAGAGACGGGATCTCACCGTGTTGCCCAGGCTGGTCTGGAACTCCTGACCTAAAGTGATCCACCCACCATTGCCTCCCAAAGTGTTGGGATTATAGGTGTGAGCCACCGTGCCTGGCCTGCATTATGACTTTTGGGAACCCTAAGCACCTTTGCCTTTGTGGGCCCCTTCTTCTGTTAAATTATATTTTACTACTGTATTAGTAAAACGGCAAAAATAATTCAGGCTGGATTTATCATTATATTCTTTTTTTCCTCCTGATTCTAAATGAAATTAAAACATTTTCGTGGGTCCTAGGCACTGTGTCTGCTGTGCCTCACGGATAGGTCGGCACATAGAAGAGTCCAGGCACTGGGAGGGCCTTCACTGGGCAGGACTCTCCCTTGAAAAAGAATTAAAGGTCTGCCTTTTTTTTAAGTTGCTGTTACTTTGGGTCTCTCTGACATCCATCTGAACCTTCACTGGGGGGCCGGGAGGCTTCCTGTAGAGGTGACATCATGAAGGTTGAATAGAACGTGACCAGGTGGGCAGGGGACAGTAGAGGAGCGTGTTTCTGGCAGATAAAACAGCTTGAGCAAAGGCTGAGAGGAGACAAGGTGAGAGGAACTGGGGGAACTTCACTGTGGATGGAGCTTAGATGCAAAGCTGTGTGTGTGTGTGTGTGTGTGTGTGTGTGTATGTGTGTGTCCTTTGATCTGTTCTTAGAGCCACTCTGGAATTTGGCCACACCCTCTGATCTCTTTACCACCAATGTCTGCAGGAGCCAGCCCAGGCATGAATAAGTGAAATGGCCACAAGACAGTGACAGTGACTCTCCTCTCCAAAAAGAGAGTGAGCGTGTATGAGGTCTAAGGGGCCACCACTGCCCGGCTGCTGCCATTGGCATGTGAAATTGCCGGTCCAGGGGTGAAAGAAAGAGCTATCCATTTTTTCTAGAGAAGCCAGAAGTTTACTTATGAAACTCCTTTTAAGTGTAGGCCATTAATTAAAATAAATAACAAACACTGTCTGCCCCGTGAGTCCCTGAGCCACCACCTGGCACCTTGGCTTGTTGAACCCCTTGGGCCCCTGTGCTGGGCCCCACCCTTTTCTCTCCACAGTCTCCAGCGTCAGCAGCTTCCATTTGGGATGGGGAACAAGGCCAGATTTGGAATCTTTAAAGGGCTAAAACAGCCGTTGCCCAAGCTGTTTTATCTGCTTTGATTCAATTCGGGTTAATACCGTTGATCGATCTTATGCCACAAGTTTCAGTGACACTTAACGAGAAACTCTGAGTGAAAAAAGAAAACCAAAACACAACCGCTTTGAGGATCCAAAGCGATGACTGTGCACGTGGAGATGAAGGGGGAAGGTTAGCGAATATTTATGTATTGCTTACCATAATATTTAAGTTAAGTCTGTACTCTTTCTGTAGTTGGACATCATGTAGTTGGGTTTCTGGTACTTAGAAGGGCAAAAAGCCTTCTTGTCATAGAGTTTAATTTCAATAGTTCTCTTCCAAGGACAGTTGACTTGTAATCTTGAAACTATGCATATTTGTTAGAGAAAATTGCATTTGTTGAAATGTTTGTGGTAAAGAATGTATTTCTTGGCCGGGCACGGTGGCTCACGCCTGTAATCACAGCACTTTGGGAGGCCGAGGCTGGCAGATCATGAGGTCAGGAGATTGAGACCATCCTGGCTAACATGGTGAAACCCCGTCTCTACTAAAAATACAAAAAATTAGCCGGGCGTGCTGGCAGGCGCCTGTGGTCCCAGCTACTCAGAAGGCTGAGGCAGGAGAATCACTTTAACCCGAGAGTTGCAGTGAGCCGAGGTCCCGCCACTGCACTCCAGCCTGGGTGACAGAGTGAGACTCCATCTCAAAAAAAAAAAAAAAAAAATGTATTTCTTAGGCCAGGCATGGCAGCTCACGCCTGTAATCCCAGAATTTTGGGAGGCTGAGGTGGGCGGATCGCTTGAGCTCAGGAGCTCGAGACCAGCCTGAGCAACATAGTGAGACCCACCCCTGTCTCAAAAACGAAACAAAACAAAACAAAGAATGTGTTTCTTCACTTAAAATGACCACCACTGTGGTTTTTCTAGAAGGTTGCATTTGCTCCCCAGCCTTGTCATACATACCTGCTGAGAATGACCTCATTAATGTAATTCAATTATTATATAAACTGTCCATTTTCTTATTTAGTTAGGCAAAGTGTCTGGAAGCCTCTCTTTTCTGCAAAGGGAATTTCTGCAAGTAAAGCCAGTCAGGGGCTTCAATAGATTTATTTTTAAAGCACAAAGCAAACTCTGATCCTCCCATATCATGTAGATAGTTGTTGAAACCCCGGGGTGTGTAAGAGATTGCTCAGAAAGAGTGAAGACTGAGAGGAAAAGAGAGCCATGAGAAAGGCCCCAGCAGAGGGGAGCTCAGCATCCCAGACACCTCTGGGCCTGTCTCCCACCCCCTGCCCATCCTTTTTCATTTTGTTTAAACTTCAGTTATTGCTGTGGCAGTGGGTTCGGCTGATACCCCATCCATCCCTCCCCTCAGCCTCCTGTCGAATCTCTAGCATCTATCGGGGCCTGGGGATCCCTGTGGGGTCCCATTGAGCCATTCAGATTTGTGTGAAAACCTGGAAGTACTAGGGAGTTCCTCACCTTTGGGCACGTCTCGAGCAGTTGGGGCTGTCAGACAATGCTGAGGGCTGTTCTCCCCAGTGACTCAGAGTCCCCAGTGGGGTGGCTTCCTAGGGCCCACAGCAGTGACTGGCTTGAGAATACTGCCTTGGACTCACTCTCCCTCCATCCTGCTTTTACTCAGACACCACTGCCATTCCTGGAGTCCCTTCCTAATGAAACTCCCTACCGACAGTTCTGTCCAAGGCCCACCGGGGAAGTAGGTAGCACTGTTTTAAACAAAGGGAATTTATTCAGAGAAATGGTTACATATGTGACAGAAGAAGTTGAGAAGCCCATGAGGGGCAGGGAGACCCCAGTCAGAAGTCATTGACACCTCCAGGCAGGAGGGACAAAGGACAGGGGTGATGTCACTACAGCCTAGAAGAAGGCAGAATCACAGGGGGCCTGTCCAGCAGGCCCTGGAGCTGCATCTGGAAGTGCTGCCCCCACCTCCAACTGGTGCACCGCTGGCCTGGCCAGAGTCCAGCCAGCAGCCAGCTGACCTGGGAACCTAGGAGACGTCAGGGATCAGCTCCCTGCAGGAGGCCGTGGAGCAGAGGAAGGGCAAGGAAGGGATGCGAGGACAAACCGGTCTGGACTTGCACAAAGGAACAGGCACTGGGAAAAGGAAAACAAAAGAGATTGAGACTGAGCAGCCAGAGAACTCTAAATTGGTCCAATTTTTCAAAGTGTGCTTTGTAAGATTAAAGGAACCTTCCTGACTATTACACACACATATATTTTCCTGCTCTGTCAGCTGAGAGGGCCTGGAATTAATGACACCCCAGTGGTAATGACACACCTAGAGCCCAGCTCTTGGTTTGTAATACCATTCTTCACGAAAAGGAACTAAGTCTTATTGGAGAAATGGCTGACTCTAGGACTGGGTCAGGAAATACACAAGGTGAGCCTGGAACATCTTTAGTGCCAGAAAGTAATAAAGTGTTAAAAAACCCAAACAAACCCAAACCCCCCCACAATGATTGGGGTATGCCAAAGGGACACAGAAACCAACTGACAGAGCTCCCAATGGCCAGAGCTGGGAACATTTGAGCAACAAAATAAAGCAGTACTAGGCCGGGTGCAGTGACTCACGCCTGTAATCCCCGCACTTTGGGAGACCAAGATGGGTGGATTACCTGAGGTCAGGAGTTCAAGACCTGCCTGGCCAACATGGCGAAACCCTGTCTCTTCTAAAAATACAAAAATTAGCCAGGCATGGTGGCATGCACCTGTAGTCCCAGCTACTCAGGAGGTTGAGGCAGGAGAATCGCTTGACCCTGGGAGGCAGAGGTTGCAGTGAGCCGAGATTGTGCCACTGCACTCCAGCGTGGGTGACAGAGCGAGACTCCATCTCAAAAATTAAAACAAAATAAAATGAAGCAGTACTAGATGATGACCCAAAGTATAAAGCAAATATCCATGAGTCCATACTGATATAAATAAATGGCTGAATACATGGGAAAGGATAGACGAATCCCCAGGGCAGAAGAATACCAAACAATGTATGTTGATACTCCACCCTAAAGGAAATAGAATATAAACCACCATTCCTAAAATGTGGGCTGCACACAGTGACTTTCTTCCAAAGCCTACAATATGGAAAGGGGGAAAATGAGCAACTTTACAGTGGAGAAACCTGACAGACACTACCTCAGCCAGGTGATCAAGGTCAACATCATCATGGTAAGTGATATTGACAGTACGTACCCTTGATAGGATGTGACCCCAGTGGCACTTTAACTATCTGGTCTTACTCCCCAGATCAACCCCAGTCAAATCAGAACAAGAACATCAGAAAAATCACAATTGAAGAACACCCTACAAAATGCCTAACCAGCATTACTCAAAACTATCAAGATCATTAAACAGAAGGAAAGTCTGAGAAACCATCACAGCCAAGAGGGGTCTCAGGAGACATGGCAAGTAAATGTAGTGTGGGATCCTGGAACAGAAGAAAGGACATTAGGTAAAAACCAAGAAAACCTGACTTAGTGTGGACTTTAATTAATTATAATGTACAAATATTGGCTTATGAATTGTGCCAAATGTGCCATACTAATGTTAGATACGAATCATACGGGCACTGGGTGCAGAGCACATAGGAACTCTTTGTGCTATCTTTGCAATTTTTCTGTAAATCTAAAACTGTTCTAAAATTTAAACTTTTTTTTTTAAACCTACACAAATGTAATTTTTTTTTTTTTTTTGAGACAGAGTCTCGCTCTGTCACTCAGGCAGGAGTGCAGTGACGTGATTTCAGCTCACCGCAACCTCCACCTCCTGGGTTCAAGTGATTCTCCCCACCTCAGCCTCCCCAGTAGCTGGGATTACAGGCTCCCACAACAACACCCGGCTAATCTTTGTATTTTTAGTAGAGATGGGGTTTTGTCATGTCGGCCAGGTTGGTCTCAAACTCCTGACCTCAGGAGATCCGCCCACCTCAGCCTCCCAAAGCGCTGGGATTATAAGCGTAAACCACTGCACCTGGCCACAAATGTAAAATTGTCTATCATTCAGCTCTGCAGGCACATACCAAAGGCTCTCTCTAGGCAGACATGGGTTACAGGATCTGAAAACACAATAGGGTTCCTGCCGTTAGTAAACATACAGCCTGCTCTAATATAGGCTACAATAAATATCATGTATGCAAGAAGAGAAATATGCACAAGGTGCCAAAACAATTGAGAGAATGGAGTGATTGAGTCTTAAAGGCTTGGAGATAAATTGTTATCCAAATAGGATTTGAGAAAGGAATAGGATTTCACTAGGAAGATAACAGAGGGGATATTATTATTGAAGACTTGAACACTGAGAAAACAAGGACTGGGCCTGTATGTACCTGACCATAAACATTCTTCTGGCAGGCACAGTGACTCACACCTGTAATTCCAACACTTTGGAAGGCTGAGACAGGAAGATCGCTTGAACTCAGGAGTTCGAGACCACCCTGGAAAATATAGCAAGACTCCATCACTACAAAAAATTAAAAAGATCAGCCAGGCATGCTGGTACATGCCTGTAGTCCACTTGAGCCCAGAGGTCGAAGCTGCAGTGAGCTGTGATCGTACCACTGCACTCCGCCTGGGCAACAAAGTGAGATCCTGTCTCAAAAAATAATAATAATATTTTTTCTATACCTAAGGGCTCTCAGAGATGTGCAGCATATTGCTAGTGGTCTGGCCCTAGAGTCCAGTTGTCTGCAATTTTTTTTTTTTTTTTTTTTTGAGATGGAGCCTTGCTCTGTTGCCCAGGCTGGAGGGCAGTGGCTTGATCTTGGCTCACTGCAGCCTCCTCCTCCTGGGTTCAAGTGATTTTCCTGCCTCAGCCTCCTGAGTAGTGGGATTACAGGCGCACGCCACCATGCCAGGCTAATTTTTGCATTTTTAGTAGAGATGAGGTTTCACCATGTTGCCCAGGCTGGTTGCGAACTCTTGACCTCAAGTGATCCGCTTGCCTCGGCCTCCTAAAGTGCTGGGATTACAGGTGTGGGCCACCATGCCCAGCCCAGTTGTCTGCATTTCAATGACTACTCACCACACCCATCCATGAATATCAGACTTCTCTCAGCCTTATCTGCCTCCTCAGCTGCCTGTTTTGCCTCAGCTACTGTGTGTGGCCCACACACCTGCTCCCTATCTGGGGTTATGGCTCCTCCAACCACTTCCAGACTCAGATGAACAGCCAACCCACAAGGCCTGGGAACTAACTTCCCCAGCGCCTGCTAAAGAGGCTGCATGACACCACCCAGGAGGAAGGCATTCTCGACTCCCTATGGGACAAACTTGGGCCAGTAGAGACAAGAGACAGGGGAGAGATGGCAGCAAACTCCCTCTCCCCTTTCCTCTCCCATGGATCATTCTGAGGTGTGGTTTTTCCACGCAGCCAGTGTTCCCTAAGGCCAAGAAGCCATTCCTGCCATGAGACCAGGTGTGCTGCTTCATGGCTCACAGTAAAGTGGTAGCCAGTGTGGAAACTCATCGCCTTGCATTTGCTTCCCATCTTCCCTGCCTCACTCCCCCTACCCCTCACTCCCACATCCCTAGAATTGCACCTCCCAAGAGCATTGACTTAGATTCTATTTTTTCAGGAAACATCAGCAAGTTTTCTGGGCCTCAGTTTCCTCATCTGTAAAATGAAAGAAATAATAGTACCTAATTCATAGAGATTAAATGAAATTATTCATGTAAAGCACTTAGGTCAGTATTTAGTACACAGTAAGCAGTTGATAAATTTTAGCTATTGTTATCTAGAGCAACCTCTCAATCTTGCAGCTTATAAGGTTCAGAGAGCCTGAGGAACTTGCCCAGGATCACTTAGCAGTCAGTGGCAGAAATAGGATGAGAACCCAAAGGGATGCACTTTTTATACTTGAATGAACATCAAGAACATAATTGTATTAGTCGGTTCTCACACTGCTATGAAGAAATACCCCAGACTGGGTAATTTATAAAAGAAAGGAGGTTTAATCTCACCGTTCTACATGGCTGGGGAGGCCTCACAATCATGGTGGAAGGTGAAGGAGAAGCAAAGGCACGTCTTACATGGTGGCAGGCAAGAGAGCATGTGTAGGAGAACTGCCCTTTGTAAAACCGTCAGATCTTATGAGACTTATTCACTATCACTAGAACAGCATGGGAAAACCCGCCCCCGTGATTCAATTACCTCCCACTGAGTCCCCCTCCCTCCCATGACATGTGGAAATTATGAGACCTACAGTTCAAGATGAGATTTGGGTGAGGACACAGCCAAACCTATCAATAATACTTACAAACATTATATGTTATAAACATAATACATTATAAGTGATATAATGAACATATAACAATGAAGGCTGGGTGCAGTGGCTCACGCCTGTAATCCCAGCACTTTGGGAGGCTGAGGCGGGTGGATCACCTGGTGGTCAGGAGTTTGAGACCAGTCTGACCAATATGGTGAAACCCCGTCTCTACTAAAAATACAAAAATTAGCTGGGCATGGTGGTGGGCACCTGTAAAATAAAAATAAAAATAATTAAATAAAAAATTTTGAAACAAAACAAGTAACAAAAAAAGAACATGAAACTCTGACCAGTCTCTAAGTAGATAATTTAATAGGCAATATCTACTTCTTCAAAAAGCAATTAATAATAAAACTATTTCAGGATAATTAAAAGAGATAAAATATGAAGCCCCTCGAGAATTTGCATATTTTTGCATCTCCAGTGACTAGAATAATACTGACCTTTCCTGGTTGCACTCTAATCTTTTTGCATCTTTTCTCAATCTTTTTTTACTGCATGTTCCTCTATTTACTCCTGAGGATCCAAAACAGATATGGAAGAGATAAAGAGAACTAAAAGAAACTATTCTGTGCAACTCTAGAAATGTATCTGAAAATAGAGGAAATTGATAGCTTTCTAGTAAAATATAACTTAGCAAAATTGAGCCAAGTAAAGGAAGAAAATCTAAACAGATCAATGCCCACGGAAGAGACTAGAAAGGCAATTTAAATCTAACAGTTGAAAAAGCACCAGTCTCTGGTGGTTTTGTATCTGTATTCTGTTACCCTTTACCGCAGTGCTACTCAGCTGGTTACAGAACTGTTTGCTACCAGCCCGCAAAAAGTTAAGGAGCTTGCACTGGAACATAAATCAGTATATTGCTTCCTTCATCAACAAAGTCTTTGCTAAAAAACAAAAAACAAAACTCAGCTAAATAGTACATTCGAGCTAAATAGTATGTTTGATTTATACTTTAGTGCCTGCAGAACACATTTTGAGTAGCATTGCTTTATGAATAGATAATTTCTGTTATGTAAACTCTTTCAGGCTATAGGAAAAAAACCACTAAAAATCTCTAAAACATTGTATGAAGGCATCTCAATCTACAAATCTAAATAAGATACTAACAGAAAAAAAAGAAAGAAGAGAAGAGAAAAGGAAGGAAAATAAATACTCTAGATATTAGAGATTTCATAGAGAACAAGTCAGAGTATTGGCTGGAGGAGATTATGGTTTAGTGGAGGGAGACTGGGCACAGTATAAAAACAATATGCTGGCAAGTACTACTAAGAAGATAAAATAGGGAAATGTGGTGAGTTACTGGGGTGGGGAAAATCCACTTTAGCTGCTGTAACAGAGATCATCGTTTTTTGAAAATATAAAAATTTAAATAGTTAACACATGCACTTTGTACAAAATTCAAAAGCTATAAAAGTCAGGAGAGGCTGCCAATTTGGGGGAATAGGTGGAAATTCCAAATAGTTCAAAACGATTGTGACACTTGAGAGAAGGAAGAGCTGGGGGTATGGGTTATGACACTTCTGCCCAGCAGCCTTCCAGGTGTGCAGTCCCTAAGAGCCTACAGCCAGGACCTAATGACACTGCATTCAGAAACAATTTAAATTGCAGGAAACAGTTCATTGCCAGTTGTTAATTTATTGCTAGATGTTACTGTTTTTTTAAAAGTGTTTGGGGGAATTGTTCTTCCTCAAAGTGAGAGACGAGCATGTGTACAGGGTATAGAACTATAGCTTTTCTGGGCCCATCACTGAAAAGGGAGCAGTGGGAGAAAGAGAAGAGGACCCATAGGCATTGCACACCTACTGTGTCCCATGCATTTTGCTTGTGTTACTTCCGTTCATGCATATTTGGAAGCCTCTATTCTGAACAAGAGCCCCTTACCCCACTGAAGATCCAAACTAAAGCCGCCTTTCACAGGAACCACAGCAAGAGGCAGCCAGTCAACTGCTCCTGTGGGAGAGAGGGAGGGAAGGGGCAAAACAGGGGCAACAGCATGGGCTGAGAACTTCTCCAGCCTCAGTTCTCCCATGCTGCCACTCACTACATTGCCTCCTTGTTGAACCATCTAAAATTCCCCTCCACACCATTTAATTTCCCCCTCCAACAAAGACCCTCTCCTTGACCAAACCTGACTCATGCTCCTCTGAGCCTTCTTCTCCACTTAGACTCCACTAAGACCTTGGCACCTGTCCTGTCTTTGGCCTGCCTAGCCCAGTATGAACAAGAATATTGCTAAGTCAGTTTAGGGAGAATTCCCTCCATTTTGTGGTCTGATCACCACTGATACCTGAGCAAGTTCCTCATCCTCCACCTTTGATGTCTAAGTCCTTGGCTTTCCTTCAGTGAGAATCCTGCTAGTTCAGTTTAGCAAGAATCTCTCTACCCTTGATGTCTCCTCCTAGTAATTTTTCACCCACCAACCCCGTCACTCTGCTCCTTGACTATAAGTATCCATTTGTCCAAGCTGTGTTCAGAGTTGAGCCTGATCTCTCTCTCCTATTGCAATAGTCTTAAATAAAGTCTTCCTTATAGCATTTCAACAAGTGTCAGAATGACTTTTTTGTAGTGCCCCTACACCTTTGTATACCAGAAGCCCCTAAAATGAGCCTTTGTCATTGTCCTACCTTCAGGCCAGGAAACTGATCAAACTTGATCTTCTCTGCAAATTTACCATCTTCTTTTCCCCTTACTGTTAGTCCATAGCGTAGCATTTACCTCTCAGATTGTCTCTGACACCCTTTAGCACAAGGATTCCCTTATCCATTTTTTTCTTTTCCTTTTTTTTTTTTTTTTTTTTTTTTTTTTTTTGTTTGTTTTTGAGATGGAGTCTCGCTCTTGTTGCCCAGGCTGGAGTGCAATGAAACGATATAGGCTCACTGCAACCTCCACCACCCGGGTTCAAGCAATTCTCCTGCCTCAACCTCCTGAATAGCTGAGATTACAGGCACATGTTACCACGCCCGGCTAATTTTTGTACTTTTAGTAGAGATGGGGTTTAGTCATGTTGGCCAGGCTGGTCTTGAACCCTAACCTCAGGTGATCTGCCCGCCTCAGCCTCCCAAAGTCCTGGGATTACAGGTTTGAGCCACCCTGCCCGGCCACTTTTTTTTTTTTTTTTTTTTTTGAGACAGCATCTCACTCCGTCGCCCAGGCTGGAGTGCAGTGGCACGATCATGGCTCACTGCAGCTTCGACCCTCCTGTAGTCAGGTGATCCTCCTGCCTCAGCCTCCCAAGTAGCTGGGACTACAGGCATGCACCACCACACTTGGCTAGTTTTTGTATTTTTTTTGTAGAGATGGGGCTTCGCCATGTGGTCCATGCTGGTGTCAAACTGCTGGGCTCAATGATCCACCAAACAGCCCCTAGACTGGGGCTTAGCCTTGGAGAATTATTGACCTCACCCAGGAAAAAATTCAAAGATGAGCTGGTGGTGTTAGACAGCAATCTTTTATTGAATGGTACTGCTTCTTGCAGAGCAGGGCGAATTCATAGGCAGTGCACCCAGAGTCAGCAACATATGGGCACTTGGAAACTGTATTTATACTCACTTATGCCCACTTTTAAGTATATGCAAATTAAGGAAAGGTTAATGCAAAATGAGATGGGTTATTTAGAACTTCTTGGAAAGGGATGGTAACTTCTGGGTCATTGCCATGGTATTTATAAACTGTCATGGCACTAGTGGGAGTGTCTCACACTAATAAGCAAGGAGGGCAGGTAGGGAGCACTTTTGTTGCCATCTGCTGGTTTTGGCCAGTTTCTTCACATTATCCTGTCTGAACTAGATCCTATTTTCGTCAGCAGGGTTGTGACCAGAAAACAAGTCCTATCAGTCTCCTACCTCACTTCCCCCTTAGAAATTAGATACACTTCCTGATTTTTTTTTTTTTTTTTTTTTTGAGATGGAGTTTTGCTCTTGTTGCCCAGGCTGGAGTGCAGTGGTACAATCTCGGCTCACTGCAACCTCTGCCTCCTGGGTTCAAGCAATTCTCCTGCCTCAGCCTCCCAAGTAGCTGGGATTACAGGCGAGCACCACTACACCCGGCTGATTTTTGTACTTTTAGTAGAGATGGGGTTTTGCCATCTTGGCCAGGCTGGTCTCGAACTCCTGGCCTCAGTTGATCCACCTGCCTCAGCCTCCCAAAGTGCTGGGATTACAGGCATGAGCCACTGTGTCTGGCCAAAGCCTCCTAATCTTAAGGGGGCTGCAGAGGGGTGAAGGTCCATCTTCTGTAACTACTTCTTGCTGATTTTATGGGCATAGACCCCGCCTAGTATTGGCAGTGTAAAAGTCTCTGGATACCTGACCTAAGAGGCCCAATGGCAGGATGTTTTTCTTTTCCAGGTCCAAAGACCGGATGAGTTGGAAGCCTTGTGCTGGCATCATCTTTATGTGGAATCTAGAAGATACAAAGTTTACGAGGGAGGCTAAACAAGAAAATTACAATTAGGAGGAAGAGAAAAATTAATGCTCCTACCCCCACCCACAGCATCCTGTTATTTATCTATGTGCTTGCAAAACAACAGCCTTAAGTTTCTAGGTTCATAAATGTAGGTTGTGGTGTGCTCCTTTTATGCCCATGGGGAACTCATAAGACACAGGTTTAATCCTGGACAGGTGTACACAGCTAGTGACTCTCTGAAGCTTAACAGCAGTGACAGTATTTATCAATACCTGAAGGGGCCCTTCCATTTTGGTTTTAACTGATGATCAGGGGATCTTTTTTTGAAGTTTTTAGTAACACTAAGTCTTCTGATTGAACCGAGGAGCTATTTATTTTTCTCTGTGGGAAAGGCCAATACTTTATTTTCAAAATTTTTAAAGACCTTTTGAACCTGGCCTAAATTCCAAGGGAAAGGCATAGTGAGGCAGCTGACTCCCTGTTTCCTGTCATGGCCTGAGTTACTTTTTCCATTTTTTTGGCAGGGGGAGGGATTCTCTTTGGCCAGCAGACTTAGAGTCCAATGACTTGTAGCCAATTAAACATTCTAGGCCAGATAGAAGTGGAGGTGGGCATGTATTCATTAGCCCTCAAAGCCCTTTTAAGCAATATAAGAGTCAAAAACTGGCCAGGCGTGGTGGTTCACTCCTGTAATCCCAGCACTTTGGGAGGCCGAGGCGGGTGGATCACGAGGTCAGGAGATTGAGACCATCCTGATCAACATGGTGAAACCCCATCTCTACTAAAAATACAAAAATTAGCCGGGCGTGGTGGCATGCGCATGTAATCCCAGCTACTCGGGAGGCTGAGGCAGGAGAATTGCTTGAACCAGGGAGTCAGAGATTGCAGTGAGCCGAGATCAAGCCACTGTACTCCAGCCTGGTGACAAAGTGAGACTCCGTCTCAAAAAAAAAAAAAAAGAAAAGAAAAAGAGAGTCAAAAACTAAAAGCCAAAAATAAAGTTATATTCAAGGAAAACCACGAGCATAGAATTAAGCTGTATTCAGGAAAAACACTGGTCCCGCAGACCTCTAAGAAAACACTTTAGCATCAGATCACAGCAACTGTCAGAACTGCAGGAGAAAAAGTCACAGGAGCTGATGAAAAAGCTGAAGGAGAGAGTTACACAAATTTGAAAAGCTTTCAAAAGAAATATATCACAGAATGGAAAAGCAAAAGTTCTGGTAATTTAGCAAATGAACACCTAAAGAAAACCCAGTTTCAACACATAGGCTTTTTTTTTTTTTTTTCTTTTCCTTTTCTTGAGACAGAGTCTTACTCTTGTCACACAGGCTGGAGTGCAATGGCA
Organism: Homo sapiens; assembly: GCF_000001405.40. NCBI lineage: Eukaryota > Metazoa > Chordata > Mammalia > Primates > Hominidae > Homo > Homo sapiens. The sequence goes on along the minus strand of NC_000013.11, from coordinate 49,826,686 downwards.
CGATCTTGGCTCACTGCTCGAACCTCTGCCTTCCTGGTTCAAGCGATTCTCCTCCTCAGTCTCCCGAGTAGCTGGGATTACAGGCTCACACCACCACGCCCAGCTAATTTTTGTGTTTTTAGTAGATACGGGGTTTCACCATATTGGCCAGGCTGGTCTGGAACTCCTGACCTCAGGTGATCTGCCCACCTTGGCCTCCCAAAGTACTGGCATTACAGGTGTCAGCCACTGCGCTTGGCACATAGATCATTTTCTAGAAAGTCTACCACAAACAATTTCCCATCAATCATAGCCAGCTTAGTCAAACACTTAACTCCCCTCACAAATTCCCCTTCATGAGCCCCTCACAGCCCACACAGACCGTCCATGACATGTCTGGACCCTCTGACCCATCCTACGTCACCTCCCTCCCAAACACCAGTGACTTTATTCTAGTACAAGAATCTACCACACAAGATTTCTCGTTACACAAGATCATTTAAAAATATATATATTCCACCCCACCAAAAAAAAAAAGTCTTCTATCCATAACTCACCACATATCTCTCTTTTTTATTCGCAGATTCCTTTATATTTTGAACCTCCCTTTTAATAATTTCTGAATTGAACAAGTTATTCTTTTTCACAATAAAGAATATATATCTTCCCTGGTACATTATATATAAATTTAGAAAGCAAAGAATCCTGAACTATCAGATATTGACATTCTATAGATGAGAACCACTCTATAATTTTAAGATTGATTGATTGATTGATTGATTGATTGATTGATTGATTTTGAGACAGGGTCTCACTGTCACCCAGGCTGGGGTGGAGTGGTACAGTCTCAGCTCACTGCAATCTCCACTTCCTGGGCTCAAGCGATCCTCCCATGTCAGCCTCCCAAGTATCTGGGATTACAGGTGCATGCCACCATATCCAGCTAATTTTTGTATTTTTTGTAGAGATGGGATTTCATCATGTTACTCAGGCTGGTCTCAAACTCCTGCTCAAGCAATCTGCCTGCGTTGGCCTCCCAAAGTGCTGGGATTACAGGTGTTAGCCACCATGCCCAGCCAATCTTAAGATTTTAAACTACACAAAAAGTTCAACATTTAAAGCCATTTTAACCATTCTAAAGCCTATGAAAATTAGTATTTTATCTAAGTAAAAAGCTTAAAGTTAAATTTTAGAAGTCACAATATTCCCTTCAAACTAACAAATTTAGTCCTATTTGTTTAATTTATGAGTGCTCTTTTATTTATAAGCCAATGTTTTGGTTTTGTTTTGTTTTGTTTTGTCTTATTTTTGTTTCCGAGATGGAGTTTCACTCTTGTTCCCCAGGCTGGAGTGCAACGGGATGATCTCTGCTCACTGGAACCTCTGCCTCCCAGGTTCAAGTGATTCTCCTGCCTCAGCCTCCAGAGTAGCTGGGATTACAGGTGCACGCCACCACACCCAGCTAATTTCCGTGCTTTTAGTAGAGGTGAGGTTTCACCATGTTGGCCAGGCTGGTCTCGAACTCCTGATCTGAGGTAATCCACCTGCCTCAGCCTCCTAAAATGCTGGGATTACAGGCCTGAGCCACTGTGCCCAGCCTATGAACCAATTTGATAGCATGCTAGACACAACACACATCACACAAATGAAGTGACCTATACAAGACAGCTGGATCTGTTATTTACAAAATTGGGACCTGTCTACCTGGCCAAATATCGTTTGCTCCAATAGGTATGGAAGACAGGAAGAGGCAGGGAAGGGGATCTTGTAGCATCAAATAAGGAAAGGAAGGGGCAAAGCCCATTGCTAAAGGGGAGACCTCAGAGTCCCTGAGCTGCTAGAGAGGTCACCCAGCAGCAGAGACACGGAAGAAGAATGTTTGGGTGGCTACTTGTCTGCCACTGTGGGAAGCTAACCATTGGATCAAGGGTCCGGGATTTGATCCAAAGGTTCTTTTCAGGACCATCATCTTTCCTGGCAGATGGTGGAGCTGAGTGGATAGATGAGCAGCCATAGCGCAGGGTTTCAAAGCTCTGGCTTACTTGAGCAAGGCAGCTTGTTGGGGCTAGTGGAAGAAGGTTAGTTCTAACATGGACAGGGAGCTTTTTCATCTCAGGAGGGATGATTAAGACATTCTTATTGCTGATTACCCTTTTGCTTATAGTAGGCATACTGATTCTGTCCTGGGGGCTAGCAAGTTGGGGCTCTTGTCTAGGTATCCCAGACACCAATGTCGAGACACTTTCTGGGGATGGGTAACCCTGAGGTTGAAGGGTGCTTACAGCATCACCAATAATTGTTCTTTTTGGTTATTTCTTTTGGTCTTTTCCATTTTTGCCCTGTCTCTATTGTTATAAATTTTAAAGGCCATGTTTAAGGCTTGGTTCATAGCGGATTGAGGTCTCACTGCTACTTTGTGTAGCTTCCTCCTAATGTCAGAGCAAATTGAATAATAAAATGCCTACCCAGGAGAGCTTGCCCTTCCAGGCAGTCTGAGTCTGTATTAGTATATTTCTTGAGTTCCTCCACCAAACTACCCAGAAAGAGTGAGATTTTCATCTTTACCCTGAATTACATCTCTAACCTTTTCATAACTGAGAGGCTTAGCCACACACTTTCCTCTGCTTTTTCTCTATGGCATAGCAAGTGGGCAACAATGCTTGCAAGTCATACCAAGCTAAAGAACATGGTCAATTTAACAAACTCTTCTATAAACTTTAATGAATTCTCTGAAAACTGGCAGAATTTTTCCTTGCATAGAGCCAAATCAGACATAGAAAATGGCATGTGTATTCTAAGTGTCCCCCCATCTCCATCAACTACCTCCCACAATGGACACAGCTTTGACTTCAGGGGCTGATATGGAGCCCCATTTCTAGGGATACTGGTTGGGCTACTTTTTCCGACAGCAGAGGGTTTAGGCTGGGGCTAGCTGAATAACAGGGAGGAGTGCCTGATGACCTTGGGTGGAGTCCTGTGTTAGAGAACTGGCAGGAACCCCTCCAAATTGGGAGACTGAGGAGGCTCTGGGGAGGGAGTAGGCCTTCTAAGAGAAGCAGCTAGGAGGGGATCCCTTAGGCGTGGCTTCCTGGTGCCTTGAAGTAACATTGAGTCAGTAAAGGGCCATAAAAGCCTGTACATAAGGGACCTCGTCCCATTTTCCTTCTTTTTAATGTTAATTGTAAAATAGCATTATAATGCATAGAACCATGTTTAGGCTAAATGTCTTGGTCTTCTCATTTGTATTGGACCCAAGTGGTGTTGCAATAGGAAATGAGTTTCTTTTTCTTTAAGCCAAAATTGAATTTGCTCCAATAGCCTGAAAGGCATCCTAACGGTGAGTCCTCAGGTATGCTTATCATTGTCTCCATGTCTAACGATGATTTCTACTGGACATAGAAGTTCTTCTGAGTCTAGTGAGAGGGAAAGCAACGGGGCCCTTTCTATTTTCCTTTCCAATTTCCACTTCCTGCAGAGAAGGAGTAAGTATAGGTAGCAACGTGTTATGAAAGTGGCTTATAAAGTGAATGAAATGTGACAAAAGAAGTATTTTCATTAAGCAAGTTATAGTGGGAAAAGTGTAAATAAAGTGGCAATAACAAAAGGAAATGCTGTTATGGGAAACGATAACTTTAGGGTAGAAAATGAGAAAAGGCAAGACCAAGATTCCCCTTAGGTAGGCTCCTACCCCACAATCCTAGTGAATGCCAATGCCAAAAACCCGGGAGTGCCTGGGGCGGCCAACAATACCAAATGCTGAAAACCCACAGTAACCGAGTAGTGGCCAATGAGAGTCCCCACACCCAATGCCAAAAATCCCAGAGCATCCAGGGGGCGGCCAAAGACCAAGTTGGGGCCACAGAACAACATGACTCTGGCATCCCAGGGTCAACACAACAGGGTACCTCTCATAACCAAGTGTTCAGCCTTAAACAATTGCCCAAATAGAGTTAGCAGGAAGCCAAAGCAAAAACTGCAAAGAAAACATATATTTCAAGGTGAGAAATAAAATAAAATGGCTGACAGAAAAATAAAATCGTGTTAGAGGAGAAACGACCTAGAAAAGGGGCAATAGGGATGTAATTAGGGATGCTATGGCAGACTTTGAATTGACTGTCTAAGCCAAAGGCCTTATTTTCCTGGCTCACCTGATATTTGGGGGATGAGTCAAAAGGGATACTTACCTGTCCACAGGAGCCAAAATAGGGCCAACTGGTCTCTGATGTACAGTGCAGGTGAAGGTTTGCTCCCCAGGTTTCCCCGGCTTGGGCAGGCTTGGTTGCTGCGAGGGAATTGGCATGTGATCCTGCAGCCTCCCAGCCAGAGCTTTGAATCCCTGCACTATGGCTACTCACCTATCCACTCAGCTCAACCATCTGCCAGGAAAGATGATGGTCCTGAAAAGAACCTTTGGTTAGTGTTCCAGCTCTCTGCAGCTTTGATCCTTACAGCACTGACTGACTGCCACATCACCACCTCTCTCTGATTGCCGCCTCTCACCATCTCACTGGTCACTGTCTTGCCATCTTGCTGTCTCACCATTTCTCCATCTCTCAAGTATTTCTTATCATTTGGCCTCTTTGCTAATTGCTATTGTCTTGCCATCTTGCCGCTGATGACTGCCATTTCTGCTGTCTCGACGCCACATTGGTCACTTCCTCCCACTCACTATCTTCATCCCTTTGTGGCCACCAGATGATGCAGAACAGGTGAGCCCCAAGATTGAGGCTTAGCCCAGAAGGGTTCTTGGCTTTGCCCAGGAAAGAATTCAAGGGCAAGCCAGTGGTTTTAGACAGCAACCTTTTCCTGAACAGTACTGCTTCTTGTGGAGCAGGGCTAACTCACAGGCAGTGCGCCTAGAATCAGCAAGGTATGGGCTGTCAGCAACTGTACTTATACTCACTTATATTCACTTTCAACTATTTGAAAAATTAAGGGGAGGGTTAATGCAAATTGAGGGGTGGGTTATTTAAAGCTTTCTAGGAAAGAGTCAGTGACTTCTGGGGCATTGCCAGAGAAAAGGGTGGTAACTTCGGGGTTGTTGGCATGGCATTTGTAACTTGTCACGGCACTGGTGGGAGTGTCTTATGCTAATGAGCAATGAGGGCAGCTAGGGATTGCTTTTGTCACCATCTGCTGGTTTTGGCCAGGCTCTTCACTTTATCTTGTCTGGACTAGATTCTGTTTTGGTCAGCGGGATTGTGACCAGAAAGCAAGTTCTGCTGGTCTTCTATCTCACTATCACATGATAGGCACTCAAAAAATGCTTATTGTATTGTATAAATGCTCTCACTTGATCCTAACTTAAGACTAAAGTAGCCACCAGTGTCCCACATTACCAAAGAGGACATTGGTTCAGAGCATTTATGTAATTTGCCCGAGGTTATTCCACTAATATGGCAGAGCTGGGATTCAAACCTAGGTCTTTCCCACTCCAAAATGCCACCTCACTAGAAGTGCTGTTGATAGGGAAGGTGGATGAAAGGAGAGATAAAGTGAAGGGCCTGCCATAAGTGATCAGTGATTTGGCTTTAACTAAAGATCATCTTTCTCTTTTTCTCTTTATCTCTTTTCTTCCATTCTAAGCTCTTTTTATTGGAAGTCATTGGTAAGCTTGGCTTTAATATGGTAAGCTTGGCTTTCATATGGATTCTAGACTGGACAACCAGAAGTCTTAACAACTAGAGGGAGGTTGCATCCCAGAATAAAATTTTATTAGAACTAAATCCTAAATTCAGGGTGACCTGAGGCCATGGGGCAGTCTCCAGACATTTCCCTGAGAATAAACCAAGCTCTTCTCTGTTCCCCACTCCCCAGTAAGATGGCAAAAACAGAGATAAGGTGTCAAAGTCCAAAAGCCTCCTGACTCCGCCCCCACCTTTGCCTGGCTTTGAATATTTGCCCTTTCTCCCCATCCCCCATTAGAAAAAGACAGTCATTGTTGAGAATGTGCATGAATTTGACACAACCCTTCCAGACAGAGAGAGGAGACTCTTTGGCTGGCTCCAGAACCTGAAGTCAAGTTCCGGTGCTTTCTAAACAAGCACACTCTCACATCTCATAATGGTATCACAGCTAGGGTATAATTCTCTAAGTGTCAGAGAACTTAAGCATTTCACAAGTTCTTTCAAGTGCAGTTGTTTCTGGGTATCTGTTCAAACTCTCTTTATCGTCATCCCCTCTGGCTTTCAAGCCTTCCCTAAGACATAAATATACTCCTGTAAAAGCATACCCTTCTTCACTTTCCATCTACAATAACTCCTTGGAAAGCTGAGGCCGATCAATCAATCAATCAGACAGTATTGATTCTCTACTAAAGTGCTTTCTTCAGGTTTTTTAAAATAAATTTTTTGAATAGATGATTCGTGCACATTATTAAAATGCCAAAACTACAACCAAAAGGTATATGGTGAAATGTGAGTCTCCTTTCTATCTCTATACCAATCTGTTATAGATTCAAACATGTTCTGTGCATATTCAAGCTCTTTTTCCCTTTTACACAAATGATAATGTAATAAATACTGTTTTCCACCTAATCTATCTAGGAGATAGGTCCACATCCATTCAGGTAGATCTAAAGATTTTGGTGACTACAGAGCATTGTTATTTTGTGATGTACCAGTTGGGTTTGAAGTCAGGGACTCATCAAACCACAACTTAGAAATATCCCCCAGTCTTACACTAGACTTATAGATAAAACTTGAAGGGTAAAAATGCTTGATGAGAAACCATACAATCAAACAACTGTTTGATTACCAGAGTGCAAAAGACACCTGTAGAGAAAGGATGCGCTCTCCTTGTATTATATATAAAACTTCAGGCCGGGCGCAGTGGCTCACGCCTGTAATCCCAGCACTTTGGGAGGCCAAGGCGGGCAGATCACGTGGTCAGGAGACCGAGACCATCCTGGCTAACACGGTGAAACCCCGTCTCTACTAAAAATATTTAAAAAATTAGCCAGGCATGGTGGCGGGAGCCTGTAATCCCAGCTACTTGGGAGGCTGAGGCAGGAGAATGGCATGAACCCGGGAGGCAGAGCTTGCAGTGAGCCAAGATCGCGCCACTGCACTCTAGCCTGGGCGACAGAGCAAGACTCCGTCTCAAAAAAAAAAAAAAACCTTCATTAGGCAAAGGTAAATGTCCCTCAACCCCCTACCTCCTTGGTTTTGGGGACTCAGTAGTTTTGGAGCCCTTATAACCAAGGGAAAGAGTGTAGGCTATTCATGTGAGGGAATTAGACACGTTCCACTAAAGAAGAGATTTGTCTCAATCTTCACCTGTATCAAGGTGATAACTGTTTTCAGTTACAGTCGTGCACCTCATAAAGACATTTCAGTCAATGATGGACCGCATATAGGAGAGTGATCTCATGAAATTATAACACTGAATTTTTACCGTACCTTTTCTTTCTTTCGGTTTTTTAAATTAATTTTTTTTTCGGAATTTTGCTCTTGTTACCCAGGCTGGAGTGCAGTGGTGCAATCTCAGCTCACTGCAACCTCTGCCTCCTGGGTTCAAGTGATCCTCCTGCCTCAGCCTCCCTAGTAGCTGGGACTACAGGCGCATGCCATCACGCCCAGCTAATTTTTGTATTTTTAGTAGAGACGGGTTTCACCATGTTGGCCAGGCTGGTCTTGATTTCTTGACCTTGTGATCCGCCCGTCTCGGCCTCCCAAAGTGCTGGGATTACAGGCATGAGCCACTGCACCCAGCCACCTTTTCTATATTTAGATATGTTTAGATAGACATACACGTACGATTGTGCTACAATTGCCTACAATATTCAGTACAGTAATATGCTGTACAGGTTTGTGACCTAGGAGGGATAGGTTATAGCATTAGCCTAGGCATGCAGCATGCTGTACAATCTAGGTTTGTGTGAGAACATGACGGGGTTCATACAATGACGAAAACTCCTAATGATGCATATCTCAGAACACATCTCTGTTATTAGGTGACACATGACTATATCATGAGTTTCCTTTAGCTATTAATCTTTTGTTCCCTTGTGGAAAAGCTGGGACAGTCAAGGATTGGGGAAAAAAAGTAGGATCAAATGAAGATGTGAGGGACCTGAGGGAGAGGGCTCCTAGGTAGGGAGGTGGCCAGCTCTGTGACTGTGGTTTCTAAATCCAATTTGTCACTAAAGGGAACCAGGGCGTCCTTGGATAATCACTGATTCCAGAGCTGAGGCAAGAAACGGACATTTTGGGCCGGGCCTGGTGGCTCACGCCCATAATCAAAACACTGGGAGGCTAAGGTAGGCGGATTGCTTGAGCCCCAGAGTTTGAGACCGGCCTGGGAAACGTGGCGAAACCCTGTCTCTACAAAAAAAGAACTGCACTGGGAGGCCGAGGCGGGCGGATCACGAGGTCAGGAGATTGAGACCATCCTGGCTAACACCGTGAAACCCCGTTTCTACTAAAAATACAAAAAAATTAGCCGGTCATGGTGGTGGGCGCCTGTAGTCCCAGCTACTCGGGAGGCTGAGGCAGGAGAATGGTGTGAAACTGGGAGGCGGAGCTTGCAGTGAGCCCAAGCTTGCAGTGAGCCGAGACTGCACCACTGCACTCCAGCCTGGGCAACAGAGGGAGACTCCGTCTCAAAAAAAAAAAAAAAAGAACTGCAAAAATTAGCTGGGCATGGTGGTAAGTGCCTATAGTCCCAGCTACTTGGGAGGCTAAGGCAGGAGGATTGCTTCTGCCCAGGAGGCGGAGGTTGCAGTGAGCTGAGATTGTGTCACTGCACTCCAGCCTGGATGACAGAGGGAGACTCTCTGTCTCTCTCTCTCAAAAAGAAAGAAAAGAAAAGAAATAGACATTTTGACATGCTGGAAAGTAACGAAGCTTTCAGAGATGACTTGGTTGTGTCCTAAATGCTTAGGTTAGGAACCAATAGAAAGAAACTCACTGTTCAAAGATGGAATAATTCAAGCATCCACACTGGATTGAAATACATCAAATATGTTAAAATCCATGAGTTTATAATTATACCAGAAAAAAAATTCTCATAGGTCACCTTTACGGGTTGCTAGGGAACCAACTCATTACTCTGAAAACTGATTTAAAAAGGGAAAGAATTGAGCATTTGTCTTTTGTATATGAACTGTATTTCAGGGTAACTAAATTGTTGTTGAGGGAAAGGTCTTCTTTTAGAAGCATTTCAGCTAATAGATGAAGGAGGAATGATAGAATTAGAATACCATAATTTTGCAATCATAGAAATAATGTATCCAAGCACTGGTCATCAATGGCTGTTAAAACTATTAGGGGAAATGCTGATGGGGAACTCTCTAATGGATGGACTAAGCTGGCAATACCCGAATCCTCTAATTAATCTTAACATTACAAAAATGGGAGGGAAGCAGACATGTGCCCCTGATGAGATGCAAAAGCTCGCAACACCACCTATGAAATAACCTTGTCAAAATATCAAGCTGGAATTGTTCAAGGCTGTAGATCTAGCAGACACTTTTCAGGAAATACAGGGCTTAGGGAAACAGGTGGAATGACACCACAGGGATGCAATCAGCAAAATTCAGAATGTGGGAAACTCAACAGGACAAATGGCCCAGTTTCTCCAACAAATAAATTGGAAGAAAAAAAAGAAAAGAAAAGAAAAGAAGACAGGGCAGCTTGTTACTGAAAAGAGAGCCAGTAGACATATTAGCCAACTGCAGGTGTGAATCATGTTTGAATACTAATTTAAACAAATTGTAGAAAAAAATTATGAGAAAATTGGAGACATTTGAACTCTGAATATTTGTCAATATTAACGAAGTTTCTTAGGTGTGATAAGGACGTCATGGTTATGCTTTTTAAAAAAACAGAATCCTTTTTTTTTTGGAGCTACATACTAAAATATGTATGAATGAAATGATATGAAGTCTGGGATGCATCTCAAAATAATCCAGAAAAGTGGTAGAAAATAGGGGAGAGAATAAGGGTTAGAGAGAAATAGATGAAATGGAATTTCCACACGTTGATAATTGTTGAAGCCTAATGATGGTCCATTACATTATTTTACCTATTTTGTATATCTTTGAAGTGTTCTATAATATAAAGTGTTTTAAAAGTGGGTGTGAGGGTGGCTGGGCATGGTGGCTCACGCCTGTAATCCCAGCACTTTGGGAGGCTGAGGTGGGCGGATCACTTAAGCTCAGGAGTTCGAGATTAGCCTGGGCAACATGATTTAACCCCGTCTCTACCAAAAATACAAAAAAAAAAAAAAAATTAGCCGAGTGTGGTGGCAGGCACCTGTAATCCCAGCTATTCGGGAGGCTGAGGCAAGAGAATCTCTTGAACCCGGGAGGTGGAGGTTGCAGTGAGCCAAGATCGCACCACTGCACTTCAGCCTGGGCGACAAGGCCAGACTCTGTCAAAAAAAAGAAAGAAAGAAAGAAAGAGAGAAGGAAAGGAAAGGAAAGGAAAGGAAAGGAAAGGAAAGGAAAGGAAAGGAAAGGAATGGAAGAAGGAAGGAAGGAAGGAAAGAAAGAAAAAAAGAAAGAAAGAAGAAAGAAAGGTTTTCTGTGACAAATGGGAATAATAATCCCTATTTTCTAACTGCAGGGCCAACATACAGGTTACCCTTTGTACTATTTTTCCTTTAGTAACCAATAATTTAAGGTAGACCCTCAAGAACTAGTTCAGGGGAGATATGCTTCTTTTCATAGACAAAAAGGCCCCCAAACCAAGGCTGGTCCTAGAATCTGATTAGCTGAGGTGTGGGTGGACTTTTCAGGTATCTCAGCAATGAGCAGGGCCAGCACTTGACTGGGTGATGAGGTCATGAGAGAGGCATAGCAGGCTCCCATGTCACCCTTCCTCTCTCTCTTTTATTTCTTCCTGCCTCTTTTGTGCTGCTTTGCCACTACCAGTAGCAGGGCTACTTTGTACAGTTGTGCAGGCAGTGCACTGTACAACTCCAGGGAACTACAGAATCTGGGTGAATGGAGCCTCCTGGACTTGTGCAGCATGACTGCCTCCAGCAGAAGCCTAGTCTTCTCCTGCGGTCTCTGAGTTTGGAGTTCTTAGTCCTAAACATAGCTACTTCCTCAGGACCCAGGCTTTAGTCTCTGCTAAGGTCAATGGGTAATAATGGCTTAGGTCATATTAGAATCTTTTTTTTTTTTTTGAGACAGAGTCTTGCTCTGTCACCCAGGCTGGAGTGCAGTGGTGCGATCTTGGCTCACTGCAACCTCCGCCTCCTGGGTTCAAGTGATTCTCCTGCCTTAGCCTCCCGATTAGCTGGGAGTACAGGTGCGTGCTACCATGCCCGGCTAATTTTTTGTATTTTTAGTAGAAACGGGCTTTCAGCATGTTGGCCAGGCTGGTCTCGAACTCCTGACCTCGTGATCCACCCGCCTTGGCCTCCCAAAGTCCTGGGATTACAGGCGTGAGCCACTGCACCCAGCCTAGATCATATTAGAATTTTTAAGTTGGTATTTGTCTAATATTTTTACTGTCTTTCTCATAATGGTAAAATTCCTGTATGCATTAGTCAGGATAAGCTAACAAACAAGGTCCAGATCTCAGTCATTTAACATAAGTAACATAAATAAAGGATGATCTTTTGCTTGTGTCACAATCCAGTGTGGAGTGCAGGAGAAAGAGGATCTGGCCCCTTGGCCATCTGAGGCCTCTGTCAATACCTCAGAGAAGTCCTTCACTGAGTCTGGTGAAAGCGGGGAAAGGTCATGAAAGGCATCCCCATCTGCATGGCCTCTGACTGGAGGTGACACACATCACCTTCACTCACAGTCCATCAGCAAGGACGAGGAGATAAGGAGAATGTCAAGGAAGGCAGTGCTGATGTTTAAGCTTAAGAACAACCAGCTAGGCTCAGCCATACCATGGGTAGTAACAATGCCTTATTCTAGTTAAGTGAACAAACGTCCACCCCAGAGTGCTGATGCTAACGTAGAAATTCCTGGCCTCCCAGAGAGGTGAGGGAGAGAGAGTTATGTGGCCGGACGCCTTCCTGGTCCTTTTGTAGCTGTGGGCAGGTAGACTCCTTACTTCACCCACCAGGTGGTAACTGCTTTCAGAGCAGGAATATTTGGATGGGGAAATATTCAGCCACGTCTCCTTTATATAAAAGGCTGGAGGCCCAGGAGTTTTTAAATGAAGGGAGGGAGTCCATGGATGTGCTTCAAGGGTTTGGTGATTCCCTGGAAACCGTAAGTAAAATTTTGTGTTCATGTGCAATTTTCTGGGATCAGAGTCCATAATTAGGCACATAGAAGACATTCAATAAATATTCCTTCTAAAAACTCACAAAAGGGTCTGTGTTAGTCAGTGTTCTCCAGAGAAACAGAACTAATAGGATGTGTCTATAAAGAGATTTATTTTAAAGAATTGGCTCATGACTGTGGAGGCTGGCAAGTCTCAAACCTGCAGGGTGGGCTGGCAGGCTGGAGACCAGGAGGAGCCAAGGCTTCAGTTAAGGTCTGAAGGTCGTCAGGCCAGAGAATCCCCTCTTGCTCAGGGGGAGTCAGTCTTTTGTTCTTTTCAGGCCCTCAGTGGAGTCAATGAGACCCACCCATATCAGGGAGGGCCATCTGCTATACTCAGAGTCCACCAATTGAAAAGTTAGTCTCACCCAAAAACACCCTCACAGAAATGTCCACAATAAGGTTTGACCATATACATCTGGGCACTATCACTTAGCCAAAGTGAGACATAAAATTAACCATCACAGAGTCCTTGACCCAGACAAAAGGCAAAGGTTAGGAACTACTGTTTTAAGAAGTTTCTGCCATTCTCCCTACCTCTCATCAGCTAGTTTCTATGCCTGGTCCAGCTTGCTTACTCTGGTGGCATGTAACCACTCCCTTCTAGCAACTTTCCATCTATTCCACACTGAGAAAATTGGAGCAGGAATACCCAATTGAACTTTTGTAAATGTTAAAGAAAGGATTACTGTTTTCCAGGATTTTTTGTTTGTTTGTTTAAGTTTTGACAGAATCTCTAGAAATGTTGCTTAATCAAAACATTTTAATCTTCCTTTTCTGTATGTGTCAGTGATGGTATAATTGGCTAAGATATGTATCTTTCAGTTTATATTTTACATCCTTGCTTCTAGTCATTTGTGTTGAAGAAATCCTCCAGCAAAATGAAGTTCCTTGAAATCACAGATTATACCTTATTCCTTTGCAATTCTCTACAGCGTTAAAAATGCTACCGGCACAGACACAAACACTCATTAACTGGTGGTGTTGTCACATTCTGTTTTATTTGACTCCACTAACATTAATCCACCAGCTAGCCCTGGTATTAAAAATAGTCCATATTTATCTTTCAGATTGTCACTTAACTTGGACATCTCTACCTTGATTTCACAGAAAGAGCTGCACATACAGAAGACAGAGGCAAGGCTGGGGCAAGAATCTTCTTACTTTCTGGTTATTTCTTTGCATAGGTAAAGTCCAGGGATTTAATGCAGATATTCTCTTCCATCTCCTTTAGCTTAACTTAATCCTCATCTGAAAAAGTCCAGTGAGGTGGGTTTGCAAGAAAAAACTCTTTCTGTTCATTCTTCTTCAGGGCCCCTACTCATGCTGTAATGTGGTATGGCTGAGACTTCCCTTCCTTGCCCTGGGAAAGAAAGGATGTTCTGTTTCGTGAAGTATTAAGGGACCTGGATAGGTCAGTGCTGCTCTATTAATATAAAATGAGATTATTCACCAGCTGTTGTTTCCTGGCTTTCAGCAGAGCCATTGAAACGTTTGCAAAATAGCAGAGGGTTCCAGATGGGAGGAGCCATTGTTCAAAGTCCAGACCACCCAGCGGGCATGTCAGGTAATGGGCTTCACATCTGACCCCTGTAGAAATTTGATAACACATTAAGGGTGTCATATGATTGGTCTGCGCCATTGGGGAAAATACCCTCCTTTTCCTTCCTGCTGACTTCTTTTTCCCCATTATCTTCCCTCTCCTCTTGTAGGACCACAAATCCTCCCAAAAACCTATTCAAAAGAAGTTACTAGATTAAGTTAAAATTAAACTTAGTTAAAAAAGATAGCAAATGTTGCTTTGTTGTCAAATTTGTCTTCTGCAGCTCACAACATGACCTGCTCATGTGTTTGATTTTCATAGACTCGTAAGACATTATCTGCAATGGACGAAACAATGGCAGAGAAAGGTATCTATGTAGAGCAGCAAGCCCCTCAGATTTAATGTGCATGCAAATCAACTGGGGTTCCTGTTCAATTGATTCAGTAGGCCTGGAAGGGGCCCAAGAATCTGCATTTCTAACAAGCAACCAGGGGATGAGGAACTCTGAGTGGCAATGGTCTGGATTGGATGTTGTTTAACTGCTTCCATTTTGTAGCACGTCTGTCAATTTGCCCAAGCTATAGAAAATACAGGGTGACAAACTTTTCTCCTTAAAACTTTGAATTCCTTAATTCTTTGTTACAGAAATATATGAGGATAGAGCATTGTCCATTATCCATTTTTTAAAAAAAGTTTCTTTCTACTGATGATCATTCAACCTTCATTACCATTTTTGTTGCTTTTCCACTGTGAGCACAGAACACCTATTTTCTATCTGGATCCAGTATACTAAGCTATAACCACCTCTCCCAGGAAATCATGTGTTTGCTGGGAGTGAATTTTTCAGAAGGCACCTTGGCCTCATGACAGGGAGGGTCTGATTCCAACTCTGCCAATGAAGAACTGACAGACCCTGGACAAGCTGTCTTGCCTCTCTGATCAATTGCTGTACCTAAAATAGTGTGCACTGTGTTGGGGGAAGCAACTAAAATTTTTGAAAAAAATTTAATTTTTTATTTAGTATTTTTTATAGGGATGGGGTCTCACTATGGTGCCCAAGTTGGTTCAAACTCCTGGACTCAAGCGATCTTTCCTTGACGGCCTCCCATAGTGCTGGAATTATAGGCATGAGTTACCACTCCACACCGAAAATAAAAAAAAAATTTTTTGAGTGGGAAAATAGAACTATCAACTTCACAGGATTATTTTAAGCTTTAAATGAGATAGTGTATGCAAATTACTTACTATATTACATGAAGTAAGAACTAATCCTCATAAAGCCATGTGTAATGCTCCATAAAGTAAGCTTAAAAACAAACAAACAAACCCCTGAAATTTACATTCAGAATTGCTAAAATGTTTTCCTGTAAACCATATTGGAAGGAAATCGTTCCAAGACATCTCCCATCCCCTGCCTTGTTTAATGGTGTCTACTGAATTTACTTTAGCTCTTTCCTCATGACTCAGGGTCCCTGTTTTGCAATGAGTGACTGCACTGTCCTGGAACACAGGGATGACCTCAGTCAGGGGTTTTTCTACCGTCCACCCTCCCCGCCCCTCTCCCCCACCCACACTCTCACAGACCTGTTCATAGTTCCATAATAGCACTTACCACACTGTGGCAAAAATATCTGTTTACTCAGCTTTTTGGCCTGGGACCCCCTTTCTTGGGGCAGGGGCCAGATCCTCAGTAAATGTCTCCCCAGGCCTCATTTAAAGTGTTGGGTGTCCAGGACTCAGCAGCATGGCTTGTGTTCAATCATTCCAACACTTTAAAATGCCCCCATGTCCTCGGCCAAGTACTGAAAGCACGGCTCTGTTTTATCTTTTCCAGATAACCAAGGACAGAAATTACATTCCTCTGTAGAAACTTGTAATGGTTTTAAGTTACTAAAGGACCAAGAAGATATTTACTCTTCTGCTAAAATTTAAGCCTAGTCTGTCTTCTTTGCTTTTTCTTTTGGGTCTTTGTTCTGCTTTCAGTGACAGCAAGGACATTGGAACCAGAGAGCCCTGGGTTCAAATATTGATCTACCATTTAGTAGTTATCTGACTCTGAGTGAGTCACTTAAATTCTCTGCTACTCAGCTTCCATATCTGAAAAAATGAGATAATTCTCAGACTGCAGAATTGCTGTGCATGTGGAGAAGCAGTAAAGGTATAAAGATGAGTAAAACTCCTCTAAGGAAGGAGTTTTGATATCCCTGGCTTTAATAACCTTGCTAGGGTTGGGGCAGAGGTCGGACTCTAAAGGCCTTCCTGAGTAATGTTAGATGGCTCTTACCCAGGCTTCAAGAGCATGGCCTAGTCATAGTTGGGCGTTGTACTTTGCAGAGCACACAGGTGAGTAGGACACCAAGCTACTCAGGGTGGGTGAGTCTGGTGGTTTTCTTCCCAACAGCCATTCTCTCCTCATCTTTCATCCTTGCTGTCAGAATCCACTTTCCAACTCCAGAGGCTAAAAATGTCAATAAAGGTTGAACATCCCTTAATCTCAAAATCTGAAATCCGAAATGCCTCAAAATCCAACATTTTTTGAGTGTCAACATGGTGCTCAAAGGAAATGCTCATCAGAACATTCAGGTTTTGGGTTTTTGGATTAGGGATGCTCAACTGGTAAGTATAATGCAAATATTTCAAAATCGGGAGGGAAAAAAATCTGAATTCTGAAACACTTCTGGTCCCAAGCATTTTGGGATACTCAACCTGAATAACTTTTTTTTTTTGAGAAGGAGTCATGCACTGCCGCCCAGGCTGGATGCAGTGGCGCAATCTCAGCTCACTGCAACCTCCACCTCCTGGGTTCAAGCGATTCTCCTGTCTCAGCTGAATAACTTTTATTATTAGGGCATGAGCATGTAACCCAACCCCAGTGGAGGAGTTTAAAGGTAAGTCTTCTGAGATGTTTCTGTGAAAGTTTTTCCTTTATGATGTGGGGAGGAGGAATAATGGTCCTCTTCCTATCTTTAGATATAGTTATGTGTGGACGTAATTCCTGGAGCTGTGGCAGCCTTCTTGTGACCATGAGGGAAACTCTGAGGATGAAAACCAACAGGCTGGGGATGGCACAGAGGGAAGTAGAAAACACATGGGTTGAGTGCTTGATGATGTTGTTGGGTCCCTGAATTAACAAAGCCTGAAAATGATACCCCCAGAGATAATAAACCCTATTATTTAAGCTTTATGTAGTTACATATTCCATTATCTGTTACTTCAGTATGCATTCAGCATACGACTGAGAAGGCTAAGCTTCGAGATGTGGGGAGAAGGAGGAGCCTTGATGGTAGCACAGCAGAAAAGGAAATTAGAGAAAAGCTGCTTCTGTTGGGTGTGCCCTATAAATCTCTACTCCACTGTTTTGGGGAAGCCTCAGTCAATTACACATGGCTCGTGAACACTTTTGGTGTTCATGGATTGTTCTGGGGGACTTGAAGAAGGGTTGAGATCTATATTAAGAATGATGCCTAATGAAAACAGAGGCCCAGCTGGAAATAGCTGCACTTCTGGGATACATAAGAATTTGAGACTATATGCAATAAATGGTAGATGCTATTATTACTATATGCAATAAATGACAGATGCTATTATTACTATATTATCAGAATTATCTTAGCTCCTGACTGGTAGGCAGAAAGGAGGTGGAAACTAGATGCTCATGGGTGGGGATGTACCTGGGGCAGACCCTGTAGTTGTCCTCGAGAAGAAGCTTGTGACCAAGGCTCTATGAAGACAGCAAGGGACTGAGCAGCAATTGGCAGTAGCCCCAGCGGATGAGCAGCAGCAGAGCTGCTGTGACTCTACAGATGGGGCCAAAGGCTGGATCCCTGTTAGCAGAACGAAGGTCTGAAATCAGAGCAGGCTCAACAGAAGTCTGACTTACTGTTTTGGAACGTGGCTTCCTGAATTCTCCCTGACTAGAAAAGAACTGGTCCTATATCTCAGGTTGGGACTGACCTTCAACCTTCCACACAGAAATGAAGTTGCCTTAAGAACGTTATACACCAGCCGGGTGCAGTGGCTCATGCCTGTAATCCCAGCACTTTGGGAGGCCGAGGCAGGTGGACCTGAGGTCAGGAGTTCGAGACCAGCCTGGCCAACATAGTAAAACCCCGTCTCTACTAAAAATACAGAAAATTAGCTGTGCGTGGTCATGGGCGCCTGTAAGCCCAGCTACTTGGAAGGCTGAGGCAGGAGAATCACTTGAACCCGAGAGGTGGAGGTTGCAGTGAGCTGAGATCATGCCATTGCACTCCAGCCTGGGCAACAAGAGCGAAACTCCATCTCAAAAAAAAAAAAAAAGTCATACACACACCATGCATGTAGAAATACACATAAATTCTCTTTCTTTGCCTCGGTCTCTCTTTTTCTCTGTATGTGCATATCTCCTTATTTTAAACTCTCACAAAGGGCCTCGGGTGCTAACCTAATTTACCCAGACAGCTACAGGGAGTCCTCAAAGTCAGGGATTTGCTTTGGTCAATGGGGTATCAAAGGACATAACATACACCGTATTTGAACTGAGGCTTTAAAGGGCCATCGGGTATTTTGCTCTTTTCATTCTGCCAAGGGGATGACAGGTCTTGCTTGAATGGGGGCTCCTCCTGCAGCCTTGGTCCCCGAACGTGAAAACACATGGAGCAGAATCAGAGCCTTCACTGATGTGATCGCAGACGTGTAACGGCAGAGTGAGGAACATGGGTTGTTACAAGCCCCTGGGATTTAGGAAGTCATTTGTTACTGTGGTAAAGCTGACTAGTAAATCCAGACAATCACTCAGATTGCCAAGCTGAGAGACATCATAAATTTTTGTTGTTTTAAGCCACTACATTTAGGGTCTTTGTAAGGCAGGAATAGATAGCTGGAGGTTGAGTGGCTTCCGACACTAAAAAGTTCAGGACTCAAATGATGCCTGCAGGGTTCAATGTCCCTGCTTCTCTTAACTCCACTTTCACCCTCGATGGGCTATTACCCCAGCTCTGTGCAGCAGACTCCAGCAGCCTTAGATGATGCCGTATTTCCAGGCTCACGTCTTTCCAGGTTCAAGTCCAATGGAAAGAGAGCTTCTTTTCTGGCCATGTCTACAAAAGCCCTGAGGTTCACTCTGAATAAACAGACCGGCTGAGGTCATGGTCCCACCTGTGAGACACTCACTGTGCGGGTGGGGATGGCAGTGGCTGGAGAAGGGGGTGTATCTGTTATGAGTCTTTCAGTTGAAACTCAAACAGCCATTTTAAAAAGGGAATTTATTTAGCCACATAACTAAAAAGAAGAAAAATTCATGGATGGCTCCAACTTCAGGTGTGCTATGATTTGGAGCTGAAGTAATGTCACTAGGACTCACCTCTTGACTTTTCAAAATTCCTGACAGACAAAATTGCTGAGATACACTTCCCACTGGGAATTATGAAAACCAAGGAGAAGTGGGTTTTGATGACAGTAATAGGTTCCAATCAAATGTTTGGGTTCCTCATTTAATTTGGTTTCTACAAGTAACCATAAACTATAAGATGTTAGTCTTGACATATGGTTGCAGGTTTGTGTGTAGCAAGGAATCAATGTCCATGTAAGTGCATCTTTGTTTCAACTGCCAACAGAGACAAGAGTGTAAAATGGAGCCGGATTGCCCAAGCTCAGATTCTGGCTCTAATACTTATTAGCTGGGTGACCCTGGGCAAATTGTTTAACCTCTCCATGCCTCGGTGTATTCCTCTGTAAAACGAAAGATGATATTCTCTACCTACCACATAGGGCTGTTGTTAATACATGCGAATTACTTAAAATAGTGCTTTAAACATATTAAATGCTCAATGAATGCTAGCTATTATTATTCCCATTTCTACAGAAAACAAATGATTACTAATAAAGACATTTTTCAAAAATGACCATTTTAGATAGCAGGGGTTGGCTTGGGTCAGATTTTTTGCTTAGCAGAAAGAGAGTGACTAGAACCGTATTTGCTCATATTGTGCATCAGAAAACATTCTTATATTGTTGTCCTGTGTGTTTTCACCTGCCCTTGCATGTTCCCATCAGTTACTGAGCTGTAGTCTTCCAAGAGAGATATTTGTGCTTCTTTGTATAAAAGAAAGAAACCCTACATAAAGCTCAACTAAAGCTATAGGGAGGAGAAAAACTAAAGATTTCTTAGATTAGTATATTTTGCAATCTAGCTTTGAATAATAAGGATGAAGCATTGATTTCTTTTTTTCTTTCTTTTTTTTTTTTTGAGATGGAGTCTTACTCTGCCGCCCACGCTGGAGTGCAGTAGTGCGATCTCAGCTCACTGCAACCTCTACCTCCCGGGTTCAAGCAATTCTCTGTCTCAGCCTCCCAATTAGCTGGGATTACAGGCGCCCACCACCATGCCTGGCTAATTTTTTTTTTATTTTTAGTAGAGACAGGCTTTCACCATCTTGGCCAGGCTGGTCTTGAACTCCTGACCTCGTGATCCAACTGCCTCTGCCTCCCTAAGTGCTGGGATTACAGGTGTGAGCCACCACGCCTGGCCCTGGAGCATTGTCTTCTATCTCCTTTATCTTCTCATTGCATAATCTTGTCTATTTTTGGGGGCAGGGGGAGCAGGGGGAAGCTTGAAAAACTTGACTGTCCAAGTGTGGCATTAGCAATTATTTGAACTTCATATCATGATGAGTTGTAGGTTACTCATTGCTTCTCAAGGTTATTTTTGTTTTAGTTGTATTGTGTAATTGTGGTTGATAAAACAATCGTTTGATGAGTCTGAACTTATCCTGGCTCTGGTTGCACACATTCCTAACTGTAAGGTGCCCCTCTGTGAGATTGGCAGGGATTAAGCTCTGCAGGCACATAATCCACAGCTCTGTCTTTCAGCTTTGGATGCTTTTACACAAAGTTCCATATTGAGATGAAAAGGGGAAGAGTGTGGGGCTAGAGAGATGCTTAGATAAGTTGAAGGGCTTTTGAAAGTACTGGTATGTATAACTTGAGTAGGTTTTATCTCCAAGTTAAAGTGGGGTAGGAAGATGGGAATTTTGCCTCATTGCTCTCCAAGTCAAACTTAGATCGCTGAGAGACTTCGTGTACAAACACAAACATTTGCCGAACGTGTTCCTGAATTAAATGTGAGGGACGGTTTGATGGTTTGGGAATTAGAAATCTTCTGGGACAATTTATGAGTTTAAACAGCTACCAGAGTCTAAGGTTTCTCCACGGCAATTCAAGTTGTTTTTCTCCTAGAGAAGGAACAAAAACGTGTAAGTATTCTATGACATTTTTAATCTAAATTTTTGGTAGTCTGCAAGGTTTATTGAGTACTCAAGGTATGAAGAAAATATTGATATCTACTTTGAATCTTAAAAGCTTCTTTTTTTTTTTGGAGAGACGGAGTCTCGCTCTGTTGCCCAGGCTGGAGTGCAATGGCACGAGCTCCACTCCCTGCAACCTCCACCTCCCAGGTTCAAGCGATTCTCATGCCTCAGCCTCCCAAGTAGCTGAGACTACAGGGGTGCACCACCACGCACAGCTAATTTTTGTATTTTAAGTAGAGACAGGGTTTCACCATGTTGGCCAGGCTGGCCTCAAACTCCCGACCTCAGGTGATCCGCCTGCCTCGGCCTCCCAAAGTGCTGGGATTACGGGCATGAGCCACCACACCTGGCCTCAAAAGCTTTTTTACTTTGGATCAAAAAGGGAATGTTTGATCCCTAAGCACTAATAATAATAGTTTTATTAAGCAATAAAGTGTGTTGGGCATTACTGACTACCACCACACAGGTGTAGGTATGTTTGTGTTTCTTTCTTTTTTCTTTTTCTTTTTTTTTCTTTTCTTTTCTTTCTTTTTTTTTTTTTTTTTTGAGACAGAGTCTCATTCTGTCACCCAGGCTGGAGTGCAGTGATGTGATCTTGGCTTACCGCAACCGCTGCCTCCCGTGTTCAAGCGATTCTCCTGCCTCAGCCTCCTGAGTAGCTGGGATCACAGGCACCTGCCACCATGCCCGGCTAATTTTTTGTATTTTTAGTAGAGATGAGGTTTCACCATATTGGCCAGGCTGGTCTCGAACTCCTGACCTCAGGTGATCCACCTGCCTTGGCCTCCCAAAGTGCTGAGATTACAGGCATGAGCCACTGCACCCAGCTGTATTTCTATTTTATAGTTTAAATATCTGAAACTTTGAAAGTTTAAGAAACTTCCCATGGTCACAAGTCTAGTAAAAGATTAAGGTGGAAATTGAAAAGATGAAGGTCTGTCTGTTGCTAAACGTGTGTTGTGTTCTTTCTGGGGTAGCCACAGAATTTTCTGTGATAAGGTTCTATATCTCTGTTACCAATACAGTCCCCACAATATGGTGACTATTGCGCACATAAAATGAAACTAGTGTGAAGAAAAACTCAATTTTTTTTTTTTTGAGACAGGTCTTGCTCTCTGTTGCCCAGGGTGCAGTGCAGTGGCACAATCATAGCTCACTGCAGCCTTGAACTCCTGGGCTCGAGCAATCCTCCCACCTCAGCCTTCTGAGTAGCTAGGAGTGGCTTAAATTTAAAAATTTAAAAGAAATTTTTAAAAGAATTTTTGTAGAGACGGGGGTCTCATAATATTGCCCAGGCTGGTCTCAAACTCCTGGTCTCAAGAGATTCCCTGCTTAGGCCTCCCAAAATGCTGGGATTATAGGCATGAGCCACTGTGCTGGCCCTAGAAACTTAATTTTTAGTTACATTTAATTTTCATTAATTTAAATTTAAAGTTAAATAGCCACATGTAGCTAGTGGCAGCTGTACTGGAGAGCATAACTATAGGACATCACACTGCCTTGTCTATAAATGCTTAAGCTACTATGATCTCATGGATAGAACATCTGCGTATCAAAGAGAGAAAATGTGAAAGTGTAGTTGGAGGAAAAAACACATTTTATCCAAAGCAAAGTTACTTTTCTTTTCTGTTTTTTGAGACAGAGTCTCGCTCTGTCGCCCAGGCTGGAGTGCAGTGGCACGATCTTGGTGCACTGAAACCTCCGCCTCCCGGGTTTAAGCAATTCTCTGCCTCAGCCTCCCGAGTAGCTGGGATTACAGGCACCTGCCACCATGCCCAGCTAATTTTTGTATTTTTAGTATAGATAAGGTTTCACCATCTTCGCCAGGCTGGTCTTGAACTCCTGACCTCATGATCCACCCGCCTTGGCCTCTTAACGTGCTGGGATTACAGGCCTGAGCCACCGCACCTGGCCAAAGCAAAGTTATTTAAACTGCAGGATTTAAAGGGAAATAGACCTAAAAGTTAAAAGACTCATACAAGTTAGGTAAGAAAAATTTCTTTTAGAAAATTTCTATTGGCCATTCACTAAGGATTATTAATGTATTGGCAATGTTGATTATAAGGGACATAGAAATTTGAAATAGGGGGGAAACAGTGTGCCCAGAACTGTATTGTTCATTTTGGGAGACCGAGGCGGGCAGATCACCTGAAGCTAGGAGTTTGAGACCAGCCTGGCCAACACGGCGAAACCCCATCTCTACTAAAAATACAAAAATTAGCCAGGCATGATGGCACACACCTGTAATCCCAGCTACTCGGGAGGCTGAGGCATGAGAATTGCTTGAACCTGGGAGGCGGAGGTTGCAGTGAGCTGAGATTGCGCCACTGCACTCCCACCTGGGCAACAGAACGAGCCGTTGTCTCAAAAAAAAAAAAAAATGCTGGGTGCGATAGCTCACGCCTGTAATTCCAGCACTTTGGGAGGCCAAGGCAGGCAGATCACCTGAGGTCAAGAGTTTGAGACCAGCCTGGTGAAACCTTGTCTCTACTGAAAATACAAAATTAGCTGGGCGTGGTGGCACATGCCTGTAATTCCAGCTACTTGGGAGGCTGATGCAGGAGAATCACTTGAACCCGGGAGGCGGAGGTTGCAGTGAGCTGAGATCACACCATTGCACTCCAGCCTGGGCAAAAAAAAGGAAACTCCGTCTCAAAAAAAAAAAAAAAAAAAAGCATTGTTACTGCACATTTCAGTTCTCTAGGTATTTTCCAACCTAGGGAATCATAAATTCCTCAAATAGTAGGGACAGAGGAGAATGTTTACAATCAAACTAATGAACCAGTCTTTTGGATGGCTACTTTCAGGTGTCTCCTGCCTCCCGTTACCTTGTTTTCCAGGAATGACTTTAGAGCTGAATATTTACAGACTGGAGTCTTTAACGCTCCATAATTAGTAAGCAGAGTATGTCTCCTCCAAATGGCAATATGCAAAGGATAAAAAGTTATCTACTTAATACAACTCTAGATGACAAGCCCTTTTTTGTCCGACTTGTGGATTTAGTGGTTTGTCTGAGTCCTCTCCTAGTCCTGCTGACTTGACGATAAAAATCTCTTTTCAGTAGAGACTAGCTTTTCACACTTGTTTAATTCTTCCTCTTTTGGTAACCAGTTTACCTAGACCTTTTTTTGTTTGTTTGTTTTGCAACTAAATATAACATTATTGTCCTGTGGAAACCGTTTTGTTTGTGCTGGATCAAGGAGGTATCTCTAGGTATTGTGACCCAGACAGGACACATGGCTCTCCCCCATCTCTCTGCGTGCTTGCCTGCAGAAAACCAAATTACAGACATGGGCCCTGCAATCAAGTTGCATGGACCCTCTCTCCTCCTGACTGTGCAAGAGTTACTTAGCATTTTTTGGCCTCAGTTTCTTCCTCTATAAAATAGGAGTAAAAATAGTTTCTACCTGATAATACTGTTGTGAGAATTAAAAGAAGTAATCCCAGAAAAGGCTTAACGTGGTTCCTGGCACATGGTGCACACTCAGTAGTTGTCATTGATCATTTTTTTTTCCTATTTACGTCTCTACATGTTGGTGATTTTTAAAAATCATTATTTTATTTTATTTTTTTCAGTTCCAGGGTTCACGTGGAGGATGTACAGGTTTGTTACATAGGTAAACATGTGCCACAGTGGTTTGCTGCTCCTATCAACCCATCACCTAGGTATTAAGCCCTGCATCCATTAGCTCTTTTCCCTAATGCTCTCCCCTGCTCCCTGCCATCCCCCGATTATTTTTTATTTTTATTTATGTATTTATTTACTTATTTATTTATTTTGAGACGGAGTCTCCCTCTGTCACCTAGGCTGGAGTGCAATGGCATGATCCCAGCTCACAGTAACGTCCGCCTCCTGGGTTCAAGAGATTCTCTAGCCTCAGCCTCCCGAGTAGCGGGGATTACAGGCACCCACCACCATGCCCGGCTAATTTTTTCGAACTGCTGGCCTCAAGTGATCTGCCTGCCTCAGCCTCCCAAAGTGCTGGAATTACAGGCATGAGCCACCACAGCCTATTATTATTTTATAACCATAATCCCCATCTTCACCAGACTATGACTTTTTTATGCAAAAAAGAAATGTGCTCCTCTTTTTTCTTTTCCTTTTTTTTTTTTTTTTTTTGACAGAGTATCACTCTGTCGCCAGGCTGGAGTGCAGTTGCGCGATCTTGGCTCACTGCAACCTCCGCCTCCTGGGTTCAAGCGATTCTCCTGCCTCAGCCTCCTGAGTAGCGTGCGCCACCACAACTAATTTTTGTATTTTTAGTAGAGACGGGGTTTCACCATGTTGGCCAGGATGGTCTTGATCTCTTGACCTCGTGAACTACCCGCCTCAGCCCCGCACAGGGCTGGGATTGCAGGCATGAGCCACCGCGCCCGGTTGCTCCTCATTTTTATTATACCAAACATTTTATGGATTCCCCTCCAATGGGTAAGGTTAATTTTTTTTTCTACTTGAGTTTATTTATTAATCCACCTAGCATTTGTTGAGGCCCCATCATGTGCTATGTACCATATTAGACACAGGGAACCCAAAAATGAGTAAGACATAAATGCTTTCCTCCAGGTACTCGTGTTTACTGGAGAAGATGATGCAGAAACAGATAACAAATCTGGTATTCGTTCAAAGAGGTCACTTCCCAGTAGCCCTAGTATTATCAAAATAACTTCCAGCAGGGATCAGCTGAAATTGGATGCCAAAGGATTGCTTTTTGTTTTCTTGTGTGGGGAGGGGAGGGTGGATGTTAATAATAGGTTAGATATATCAGACATTCCATCTGCTGGAGTTCACATGGTTTAATAAGGTCATTCATACCTTACCGTGAGTGAATTATTTCTTATCTGAGATAATGATTTATCTTAATAACTTTTAATTTAATTTTTTTTTTCAGCTATGGGATCTCATTCTGTCGCCCAGGCTGGAGTGCAGTGGTGCATTCACAGTATACTGCAGCCTCAAACTCCTGGGCTCAAGCGATCCTCTTGCCTTAGCCTCCTAAGTCTCTGGGATTACAGGCACGAGCCACTGCACCCAGCCTATCTCAACTATTTTGAGAGCGAAAACTTTGGTTTGAGGGTGATTTGGTGGCCTAATGCATTTGAGACAGGGAAGATCTGGTGGGTTGAGCACAGTGGCAGCTTCTGGAAAATCAGAAGGCCCATGAAGGACTGGACATGAGTGGAAAAAAATCAGAACACTCAACTTTCGGTCCGTTTGACAATTATGATCATTTACTGTCTTTGTATTTCTCATCTATAAAATAGGGAGAGACAGGAGAAGAGATGCTGCTGGACTGGAGTGGTGGGCTCACAGGTTCAAAGCATTATGCCTGTGAGAGGAGGCTTCAAGATCACCCAGTCCAACGTGCTCATTTCACAAGTGAGCAACTTGCTACTTATATGAAATAACCTGTTCAAGGACACACTGCTTGTTATTTAAAGAACCAGCAAGTTACTAAACTTCCAGGACTGTGTTCATCTCTAAGGTACCATTTGGTTCTATATCTAGTATTGTAAAATTATATTTTTACATATATGTACTATAATATCTAGTATTTTAAAATTATATCTATATATGTGTCCTATAATATCTAGTAGTATAAAATTATATTTTTACATATGTGTAAAATCATGCAGATTTCACATATGTGTAAAATCATGCAGATTTCACTTATGTGTAAAATCATGCAGATTTCACATATGTGTAAAATCATGCAGATTTCACATATGTGTAAAATCATGCAGATTTCACATATGTGTAAAATCATGCAGATTTCACATATGTGTAAAATCATGCAGATTTCACTTATGTGTAAAATCATGCAGATTTCACATATGTGTAAAATCATGCAGATTTCACATATGTGTAAAATCATGCAGATTTCACATATGTGTAAAATCATGCAGATTTCACATATGTGTAAAATCATGCAGATTTCACATATGTGTAAAATCATGCAGATTTCACATATGTGTAAAATCATGCAGATTTCACATATGTGTAAAATCATGCAGATTTCACATATGTGTAAAATCATGCAGATTTCACATATGTGTAAAATCATGCAGATTTCACATATGTGTAAAATCATGCAGATTTCACATATGTGTAAAATCATGCAGATTTCACATATGTGTAAAATCATGCAGATTTCACATATGTGTAAAATCATGCAGATTTCACATATGTGTAAAATCATGCAGATTTCACATATGTGTAAAATCATGCAGATTTCACATATGTGTAAAATCATGCAGAATCATGACCTTGAGACGGTAAGTATATTCTAAATTATGCCCACTACAATTTTAACATTGTTTATTTTATTGTAGTCTAATTATTTGAAAATGATATTGGGGGACAATGTGTGTGTCCCAGGCCCATTAGCCCATTATTATGCATTGAGGTTATCTTATTTGTGTTATCCACATAATTATGTATCAGTGCTTACTGGCCAGACACTAGCCTCGCTTGAGGTGTCCCCAATTATTTCTGGGGATTTATCTGGTTCTTCCTCTCTGACTTTTCACCTTACTGCTACAATGCTGTCTGCTGCTACTGACTATCATGGATCACGAGATGGTTGCCCTGCTAGGCACACCCATTTCCATGACTGATGCTCCCCGCACAGGGGACACCCCTTGGAGAGGAGACCTTACTTTCCTAGAGTCTAAGGACTGTATTTGTTCTTTGGGGAGAGTGGAGGTCTTCATTACTGCTATTCTAGACATTGGCCACAAGAGAAACCACTTGTCTTTCTGTGTCTTTTTGCTTCCGTTGTTCCTGCCAACACCACAGACTCTCACCATGCCTTGGAACCAGAGCTCCAAGCTCCGCCTGCCCCAGAGAGAGATGGAGATGATAATTTCAACCATGCAGGGCTTTCACAGGGATTAGAGATGATGTATATAAATTCCTGGCAGGAATTCAGTAAATGAAAACACTTATTATTTTACATTTCTTTACCACTGAGGTAAGAGCACTGCTAGGTAGCTGGGTTGATGCATTTGGATGTCATTTTCTTCAATTTTCAGTATTTGCTCTTTGCTTCAGGTGTGCTTAAAGTGTGGTGAATTAGCCAAAAGGTGATCATGAGGGAAGAAAGGAGTTTATTCATTCACTCATTAATTCATTTGTTCATTCAGCAAACATGCATGATAGAACATGCTGATAGAACAAAACACCTGAGACCTGATAATTTATAAACAACAGAAACTTATTTTATTTTATTTTATTTTATTTATTTATTTTTTTGAGACGAGTCTCTCTCTCTCACCCAGGCTGGAGTGCAGCGGTGCGATCTCGGCTCACTGCAAGCTCCGCCTCCCGGGTTCACGCCATTCTCCTGCCTCAGCCTCCCGAGTAGCTGGGACTATAGGCGCCCGCCACCGCACCCAGCTAATTTTTTGTATTTTTAATAGAGACGGGGTTTCACCATGTTAGCCAGGATGGTCTCGATCTCCTGACCTTGTGATCCGCCCGCCTCAGCTTCCCAAAGTGCTGGGATTACAGGCGTGAGCCACCCCGCCCGGCCAACAGAAACTTATTTCTTACAGTTCTGGAGTCCAAGACCAAGGTCCCAGCAGATTCTGTGTTTGGTGAAGGCTGCTCTCTGCTTGTTGCTGTGTCCTCACATGGCAGGAGGGATGAACACTGTGTCCTCACATGGCAGGAGGGATGAACACTGTGTCCTCACATGGTGGAAGAGACAGAAGGGCAACAGGCACTACGGCGCTCCCTTCAACATTTTTTTTTTTTTGGAGATGGGGTCCTGCTATGTTGCCCAGACTGGAGTGCAGTGGCTGGTCACAAGTGTGATCAGAGCCCACTATAGCCTTGAACTCCTGGCCTCAAATGATCCTCCTACTTCAGTCTCCCAAGTAGCTGGGACCACAGGTACACACTGGCTGCAGCCTCTTTTATAAGAGCACTAATCCATTCATGAGGGCAGAGCTATGAAAACTTCATTACTTCCCAAAAGACTCCACGTGTTAATACTAGCACATTGGGTATCAGCTTCCAACATATGAATTTTGGAGGGACATAGATGTTTACACCATAGCAATAGGTAAGAGAGAGATAAGACTACACAAATTGCAGCAATACAAAACCATAAGTAAAGTTCTTCTGAGGTTCAGAGGGAAACATATTACTCCTGGCTAGGAAGATAGTAACAACTAATATTAATAGAGCAATTTCAAAGCACTTCCACATGCATTTTAGAATTTGATTCTCACAAAACCCCAGTGATTCAGGATCCTTACTTGTAGATGAAAAGAGGATTGAGGGCAGATAATTGACTTACCTGGGCTTGATCTGATAGGATCAGCCCTGGGACCTGAATTTTCAGGTTCTGAAGATCCTTCCACAGTACCACGCTGGGAAAGCTTCATAGAGAAGGTGACCATGTGGGATGAGTATTCAAAGAGGAAGCGATGTTGACAGGCAGAGACAGAGGCAGGGCCATCTGAGCAAGTCAAATGGCAAAGATGTAAAAACTGGAAAGGTTAAGATATACTTGGAAAAAGGTGAGCAGAACATGTTAGCTGAAGCATGAGCAATGTGCAGGGGAACCAAAAATAAGAAAAAAGTATCTTGCACTGTGGCTGCATCACATATGATCTTAACCACTAGACAAGTTTATTTATTTTAATATGTATATTTTTTGAGGTGGAGTTTTGCTCTTGTTGCCCAGGCTGGAGTGCAGTGGTGCGATCTCGGCTCACTGTAACCTCCCTTTTCCAGGTTCAAGCGATTCTCCTGCCTCAGCGTTCCAAGTAGCTGGGATTACAGGCGTTGGCACCGTGCCTGGCTAACTTTTTGTATTTTTTTTAGTAGAGACGGGGTTTCACCATGTTGGTCAGGCTGGTCTTGAACTCCTTTTTTTTTTTTTTTTTTTTGATGGAGTCTTGCTCAGTTGCCCAGGCTGGAGTGCAGTGGCCTGATCTCGGCTCACTGCAAGCTCCGCCTCCTGGGTTCAGGCCATTCTCCTGCCTCAGCCTCCCGAGTAGCTGGGACTACAGGTACCCGCCACCACGCCTGGCTAATTTTTTTGTATTTTTAGTAGAGACGGGGTTTCACCATGTTGGCCAGGATGGTCTCGATCTCCTGACCTCGTGATCCACCTGCCTCGGCCTCCCAAAGCGCTGGGATTACAGGCATGAGCCACTGCGCCTGGCCTGGTCTTGAACTCTTGACCTCAGGTGATCCACCCGCCTCGGCCTCCTAAAGTGCTGAGATTACAGGCGTGAGCCACGGAGCCTGGCCCTAGACTGAGTTTATAAATGATTTGACAGACAATGGCAGAGGAGAAGGGTATGCTGATTGGGAGCAGAGATGAAGTCAGGAAGATCTGGAGAAGTGAGTCAGATTGCTGTGGAGGGATTGGGGAGGCAGGTGGACTGCTTAGGAGGTGTTAAGGTAGTCTCGTGGGTGGCATGGGAAGAAGAGAGAGATGCCAGAAACACTGAGTGGTGAATTAACATGGTGACTAGGTGAGGGAGTTGAGGGAGAGAGACAAGAAGTAAAGACGGCTCTTAGCTTGGAGAGGTGTCCCTGGAAGAATGGTTATGCCAGTAATAGAGGGGTGAGTTTGCAGAAAGAAGCTGACTTAGGAGGCAAATCATGAAGTCCTTTTCCCATCTGTTATGCTTGTGTTGCCTACGGCATACTGCTACCTGACTGACTGCTGGCATGACTCCCCATGCCTTGGGAAGGTGGAGAGTGAGTCAGAGGATTTGATTGACCCCTGGGCTGAGGGCCCTTCCTTCCTGTCTCCCCCGAGACCCCCTAGTCCTTCATACATGTGCCCGATGAATACAATGCTTGGTATACAGTAGACACTCACAATATGTGTGGAAAATAAATCCATTTAAAAGAAGAGCTGTCCAGAGAAGTTTCAGGCCAAGGATGATGATTAGAGTGAGGCAAAAGAGAAGGAGATAGTTTCTAACAATGAGAAGCACCAAATTTGAGTCCCTGGAGGTGGTCATTTCCCAGAGATTAAGGTCTCCAAGGTCTGGTGCAGGCTTGCACTTTTTACCACTTGAGTGGTAAAAAACTTGGTGAAGTTAAGGATGTAGAAAGACTGTGGTGTCAGGGTGCCACATTTGTGAATGCTGAAGTTACCAGGGGTACTGGCAAAGAATAAAAATGAGTAAACTAGATCCAGGCAAAAGGGCAGCCCTGCTTTGGACTGGGTGTGAAGAAAGGTGGCATAAAGTAACCTGAAAAGGGAATACCTACTAAATTATAATAGAGACTGAGCAACAGTCTGAAAATTTCTCTTCCATTTAGCCAAGGAGAATGGCAAACACACAAGTTCTGTTTCCTTAAAACCCAGAGTTGAGCTAATGTATTCTTTCTTTTTTCTTTTTTTTGAGACAGAGTCTCATTCTGTTACCCAGGCTGGAGTGCAGTGGCGCAATCTCAACTCACTGCAACCTCCGCCTCCCAGGTTCAAGCGATTCTCCTGCCTCAGCTTCCTGAGCACCTGTGACTACAGGCATGCACCACCATGCCTGCCTAATTTTTGTATTTTTGTAGAGAAAGGGTTTCACTATGTGGGCCATGGTTGGCCAGACTGGTCTCAAACTCCTGACCTCAGGTGATCCTCCCACCTCAGCCTCCCAAAGTGCTGGGATTACAGGCATGAGCCACTGTGCCCTGCCTAATGTATTCCTTCTAAATTCATAGCTGGTGTGTGTGTGTGTGTTTCCCTTCAAATGAGTGGTTAGACTAAGATCAGGTGTTGCAAACTGAGGACCTGATATTCTGAAGTGACTGAAATGCTTAAGTCCATTAACAAAATGTGAATTAACATTTAAAAATAAAGAGAAAAAGAATCTACCTTTTTGGTTTTCCTTGAAAAGTGGAATCTTCTGGCAACACTGGGCCACAGTCCAGTATGACCAGAGGATCTGAAGCCTGTGTTTATCAATAGGCCACACCCCACCACTCACAAGACGAATGCCCCTGGACATAGCTTGGCCACCAAAGGCTTCTGAATTCCTGACTTCTGGGCCTCAGGTTCTTTAAGGCCCTTTCGCTTTTTTTTTTTTTTTTTTTTCTGTATCTCCTCATATATTTATTCTTTTTCTGTGATCAGTGTCCTTTGCATGTTTTTGTTGGGTTGTTTGAATTTTTTATTTTTATTTTTTGGGGATGGAGTCTCACTCTGTCGCCTAGGCTGGAGTGCAGTGACACGATCTCAGCTCACTGCAACCTCCGCCTCCCAGGTTCAAGCAATTCTCCTGCCTCAGGCTCCCAAGTAGCTGAGATTACAGGTATGCGCCATATGCCCGTCTAATTTTTGTATTTTTTTTAGTAGAGGTGGGGTTTCACCATGTTGGCCAGGCTGGTCTCGACCTCCTGACCTTGTGATCCACCCACCTCGACCTCCCAAAGTGCTGGGATTACAGGCATGAGCCACCGCGCCCAGCCAAGGCCCTTTCGCTTTAAAGATTGTCCTTTTTGATCTCTTCATGGTATAGTCCTACCAACTTTTGACCTCAGTTCAATTATAAGTACTACAACATTACATACCTGCTCATGTCTACCATAGATTCTGAAAATTAACATACAAGCAAATGAAGCCCACCTGCTCCAGAAAGTAGCTTTTTGTTTTTGTTGTTGTTGTTTTTGTTGTTTTGTTTGAGACAGAGTCTCCCTCTGTCGCCAGGCTGGAGTGCAGTGGCGCCATCTCGGCTCGCTGCAACCTCCGCCTACCGGGTTCAAGCGATTCTCCTGCCTCAGCCTCCAGGCATGCGCCACCACGCCCAGCTAATTTTTGTATATTTAGTAAAGAAGGGGTTTCACCATGCGGGCCATGGTTGGCCAGACTGGTCTCGGTCTCTTGACCTTGTGATCTGCCCTCCTCGGCCTCCCAAAGTGCTGGGATTACAGGCGTGAGCCACCACACCCGGCCGAAAGCAGCTCTTTATCAGTGTAATCCATCCAAATTTCCCTCTTTCATTCTTTCGATGCCCCCAGAGGGAGTGGGAGTGCTACACAGGAGAGTCTGCGGACCAGGGCTGGGCTGCTGCCTGAAGGCTAAGATTCTGTGTGGTGGTAGAACAAGAAGTGTTGGGGGGCATGTAAATACAGGGACTGCCAGAGTGAAGGTTGCAGAACCGGGCTTGGAAGGATGATGAAGAAACTGGGCGACACTAAAGCGCCAGTTCAACAAGTATTGCGTATCTACGACGTGGTAGGCATTGTTTTGACACTAGAGATTCAGCAGTAATTCAACCAAAGTACCTGCTCTCATTGAGCTGAATTTCCGCGCGGGCACCTAGGTAACGCATATAAACACTCGTATCACATACATACACATGTACATGTCAGGTAGAAATGCTATTTATAAAACTGAAGCAGAGCATGGGAAGAGCGAATGAAGGTGGCTATTTGAGAAGACCCCCAAAAAAGCGAGACTGCAAAGCACTCGCGGTTGTTCCTTTTCTGATCTTCTAGCTACAGGCAGCGAGGTGCGCTCCCAGGAAGGCCCGCCCTCTTCCTCCTGATAGGGCGCAAGGTGCCAGGGACGCTCCCCCGCTCTTCCCCGCCCAGAGGCGGCCTTGTGGGGGCGGAGCTTTGTGCCCAGCAACATGAGCGCGGCGCGCAAAGAGCCGCGCGCGGAAGGGTCCCGGCATTCTCCTCGTTCTCACTAGGCGTGGAGAATTACTCCAGGCGGATCGTGGCATGATGGGAACTGTAGTTGACGACCGCCGCCCCGCGCCTGAGGGGCAGTAAAAGTCGCCAGGTCCGGCTCCATTTCTGGCACAAAACTTGCAGCACCGAGGGGTTGTGGAGAGCCCTTGCAGGGGAAGAGGGCAGGGTCATCCCGAGAACCAACGGGCACGTATAGCCCGGCGAACGCCCAAGCCGGTCACCGCCCCCGGTCACGTGTCGCCAGCCTCCGCGGCCGCGCGCCGCTCTCAGCACCGTTCCCGCCCCACCCGGCCCGGCAGTCGGCCCGCGCCTCCCCCGGCGCTACTGCCACCTCGCGCTCGGAGGCGTCACAGAACGTGCTCTTCTCTCCCCTCCCCCCTCCCGCTCTCCCCCTCCTCCCCCTCCCGCTCCAAGATTCGCCGCCGCCGCCGCCGCAGCCGCAGGAGTAGCCGCCGCCGGAGCCGCGCGCAGCCATGGCCGAGAACCCCAGCTTGGAGAACCACCGCATCAAGAGCTTCAAGAACAAGGGCCGCGATGTGGAAGTGAGTGTGCTTCCGCGGTCTGGGCCCGCCTGGCCGCGCCGGCCCGGCGACGCGGGGAGGGGCGGGGGGCCGGCGCCGGGCTGGTTCTCGTCGGCTTGTGGTCGGCCGGAGTTGGCCGCCGCCTCCCGTCACCGCGGCCCCGGGCTGGGCGGAGCGGGCGGCGAGACGCCGGCCGGGCTGCAGTCACCCCCCGGAGCTGCCGGCGCGGCGACCGGGAAATGCCGGCGTTTTCGGCCCCGTCACGCGGGCGCGGCCTGGTGTCGGCGAGGAGGGGATGTGGAGCTGAGGCGGGGTCCGCGGGCCAGGGCCGCCCGGATGAACGGGGATGCTGCCGCCCGGGCCCTCCGACCGCACAGCCGAGGGGGCGGCCGCTGCTTGCGCCCGCCACCGGTGCAACCTTCCGTCCGGTGCAGCCCCCTCTGCGCCTCCCGCGCGGCTCACATGGAGCCTCGGCTCTGCCGGTCCGGGCTCCTACCTTCTGCGAGCCGGGCCCAGGCGGGCGGTGGCGGCCCGCAGAGGGGGGTGGGGACCAGCCGGGTAACTGACTTGTTTGAGGGTGATCGATGGGGGAGGGTAGGATGCGCCAGGACCATTTTCTTATATTCCAGTGCTCGTCTTTGGACTAGTCGTGCCGAGCTGTTGCAGCTCATACTCCTGCAACTGCTGGCATTTGGAGCGAGCTGAAGGTGGACAATAGTTTGCCATCTATTGTGTTCAGGCTTCGGAAAAGAGGTTGCTCCGACCTCCGCTCATAGGACTTGTTTTCTTAGCCTTTCTTGGAGTGGGGTGTGCATAGGGTGATAATTTCTTTGACACGTTTTACTAAAATAAATTGGATACACAGGTTCATAATTCTCTTACATACCTCTTGCTCCAAGCTAGTAGAATTTCCAAGTGGTTGCAAAACTAAACATTCATCGCGGTCACTCAGTTAGTTGCTACTCAGCATGTTGCCATTGTCTCATTAAGGTGACATTAGCAGGTACTATTTGCAAACTCGGCTTATTGAGGCAGCGCTAGAGGTCTCTCTGCAGCTACTGAAAACAGTAAGTATAATGCACAAACTTCACTGGGACCGTGACCTTTGGATTTGTTAGGGGGAAAATGGTTTTAAGGCCGCAGCCTTCTTTGCTAATACTAGGCGACATGATTTGCAGTTTTGTAATTTTTGATAAGCTAGTGTGATTAAGAGGTGTGTTTTATCCTGTCTTAAGGAAGGTTGTGGGGTAAATATACCATTCAGTGTTCTATTTTGTAGAGAAACAGACAAACTCAGGCCGTTTTTCAGAGCTACAAAATTAAATACTAGTAGGAAAGAACCTAGGGAGATATCCGTGGAATTCCCATTTAAATGAGTCAAATAAAGATCATATATTCTTTCCTGGTCATGGTTAAATACCCTTTGTAAGAAATACATCTAAGCGAA
Organism: Homo sapiens; assembly: GCF_000001405.40. Taxonomy (NCBI): domain Eukaryota; kingdom Metazoa; phylum Chordata; class Mammalia; order Primates; family Hominidae; genus Homo; species Homo sapiens. Next base: position 49,791,011 of record NC_000013.11, on the reverse strand, counting down.
AGTAAAACTTGGGAATAGGAACAAGAAATTTTGGAACTGCCTCCTGTTATTGGTCCACTTGATGACAAGTGTTAATTTTGAACTTTTCCCATTAGGAATTTTTCTTGAAGCCTATCCTGTTCCAAATAAAAATTTATTGAAAAATACTCATTGTTTGTACAGAAAAACCAGTAACATTCTTCTCTCGGATATTGGTACAGGTTTTTGTTTCATTGTTTACCTCTATTGTGTTCTGGTAGCTCAGTGATACTTAGTAAGGACTCCTGCACATAATAGGTACACAACAAATATTTGCTGATAAGAATGTAACCCGTGACTTTTAGATGCATGAAAAAGAGCATGGTTGCTAAGCCATTCAGCCTGGTATTGGTCACAACATTACATTTCTCGGGATTCTATAGTGTAACTAAAACATGAAATAGACATTCAAATGGTAGTTCTAATGTGGCAGACACTGTTACGAGCTTCATGATACCTTATTTAATCTGTGTAACAAGTATATGAAGTGTGGCATTATCCCCACTTTACATGAGTAAAGTATTTTTTGAGACGGAGTCTTGCTCCTTTACCCAAGTTGGAGTGCTCAGGCACTCATAGCTCAGCTGCAAGCTCAAACTTCTAGGTTCAAGGAATCTTCCCACCATGGCCTCCCAAGTAGCTGGGACTACAGGCGGACACCACCACACCTGGCTAATTTTTTAATCTTTTTTAGAGACGGGGTCTCGCTTTGTTGCCCAAGCTTGTCTTGAACTCCTGGGCTCCAGTGATTCTCCCGCCTCGGCCTTCCAAAGTGTTCGAACTACAGATGCTAGTCGTCACACCCAGCTGGAACTTTAGATAAAAAACCTCAGTGTGCTTATGTAGCCTGTGCATGTCACTCAGTGGATATGGGTATTATTTATTCACTAATTGTCTATTGGGTATCTATCAATGTTAGGTCTTGGGGATAAGGAATAAGATGCAGTCTGTACTTCAGGGAGTTTACAGTCCAGTGGGGGTGATAATTACAATGCAGAACAACAATTGTTACAGTATAGTATTCCGAAAATGCATGCCAAAAAAACTACTTGGAGGTGAGCAGAAAGGGAAGATACTCTGGTTGATTTCTAATGGATGAATGGGAGTGAGCTGATTGTGAAGGATGAAAGAAAGGTGGCCAGGCAAAGGGCGGGAGAAGGCTGGTGGAAGAAAGGGGCATTCCAGACTAGAGGGAGCAGTAATTGAAGAGTCCTGAGAGAAATGTAGGAGAGAGAGAGACTAAAGGGTAAACTGGGGTCAAATCTGATGAAGGGCCTTTATTGGGGATTTAGGCATATCTAAGAGTAGATAACCATGCTTAGTCTTGTCCATTAGAAACAGTACAACTTAGCTCTGTAACTGAGTAGTTGTGGTTATCAGGCTGTTCCAAAACAGTGAGATGCACTTTGATAAGCTATGATGCCTATTTTTTCACATATAGGATAGACAAAAACTAAAACATGTTATAAATTATAGAAGCAGCTGATACACAAGATGTTAGGTGCAAGAATAAGATCCATACTTGTTAAAGAAAATAAAAGGATAGAGTTATGCCAGGGGATTTGAGTAGAGAGAGGGTTGAGGAAGAAAATTTCTTTGTCATTCAATCGAGAGAGACTTTAAGAGATCTTTGGAGAGGAAAAAAAAAATGAGGTTAGTGAATCTTATAGGAAATATGTACCAAACTTAAAAGGGGCATGTTAACTGGTGAATAAATATCCAGGTAAAAAAGAAGAGTGATTATATTAAAGAGAGGAGACTTCCAGGTGGCCTGTGTTGATGCAAGAATATCTTGTGGCAAAGAGTTGCTTGGAAGCTTTTTCTTAATAGGGAGATGTGAAGGAATTTATTCCAGAGCAAAGAGGAGATGTAACATGATTAGAGCAATGGAAAGGGTGACAGGGCAGTAATACCTAGAATTCATTTTGGAGAAATAGCGCTGTTGTCTGATCTGCAAAGAAGAGTTTTCCAAAAAATTGAGACTGGGAATGGCTACAACCTGGAATGAGGATTTGATGATGCTGTTCTTCCTCCCTCTTCCTCCTCCTTCAAATTCTCTTTATAAAGATCACTGAAGAGAAAGGGAGTAAAGGTTATTCTGAGGTTTATAAATGGAGGAAGGGAGGGAGTAATTATCATCACTGATAGAAATTTGGAGCTTGGGTAGGGGATGCATTTTGTAGCAAAAACTAGGAAGTACATATTGAAAGGGAAACATTTCCTTTTATTTGTTCTGGAATGTGCTTTTTTTTTTTAAAAAAAAAAAAAAAAAAAAAGAGGGTCTGGCTCTGTCGCCAAGGGTGGAGTGCAGTGGCCCAATCTCGGCTCACTATAACCTTCGCCTCCTCCCAGGCTCAAGCCGTCCTTCCATCTCAGCCTCTTGAGTAGCTGGGACTACAGGCACATGCCACCACACCTGGCTAATTTTTGTGTTTTTTGTAGAGACGGGGTTTTGCCATGTTGCCCAGGCTGGTTTCAAACTGCTAGCTCAAGTTATCCTCCTGCCTTGGCCTCTAAAAGTGTTGGGATTAGGGGCATGAGTCACCATGCCCGGTCCTGGAATGTGCATTTTAATGCTAGACCTTTTCATGTAAGGCATTGATTCTTAAAAACTTTTCCTGTTTTCAAAGATAACTTATAGAAAAGTGTGCAAAACAGAAATGTTCTGTTTAATGAATAATTACAAAACAAATGCTCAGGTAACTGCAATCCAGGTCAACTCATTTTCTTGCTGCTGTATACCTCAAGGGTGTGACATTTTCATTAGTAACAGTAATTAATTATTTTAAAAACCTTAACATTTATTGTTTACAGTATATCAGTGCTAAGTACTTTATATAGATTATCTATTTAATCTTCACAACAGTCCTATATCAAGTAAGTACTATTATTATCCCCATTTACTGCTGAGGCAACTTGAGGCCTACAACCCTTAAGTAAGTGGCCTTAAGTCTTCCATCGGGTGTTAAGTGGCAAAGCCTGGACTTACAATATATCAAAGCTTTATGCTAAGCGGCTGGGCGCAATGGCTAACGCCTGTAATCCCAGCACTTTGGGAGGCCGAGGCAGGTGGATCACCCGAGGTCAGGAGTTCGAGACCAGCCTGGCCAACATGGTGAAACCCCGTCTCTACTAAAAATACAAAAATTAGCCGGGCATGGTGGCGCGTGCCTGTAGTCCCAGCTACACGGGAGGCTGAGGCAGGAGAATGGCGTGAACCCGGGAGGCGGAGCTTGCAGTGAGTCAAGATCGCACCACTGCACTCCAGCCTGGGCGACAGAGCGAAACTCCGTCTCAAAAAAAAAAAAAAAATACAAAAATTAGCCGGTCCTGGTGGCTCATGCCTGTAATCCCAGCTACAAGGGAGGCTGAGGCGAGAGAATCACTTGAACCGGGGAGGCAGAGGTTACAATGAGCTGTGGTCATGCCACTGCACTCAAGTCTGGGCGACAGAGTGAAACTCTGTCTCAAAAACAAACAAATAAAGCTTGATGCTAAAGCTAGAACTCTTGCTTACTGTGCTGTACTCCACCGAAGGGAGTCTAAGACTTGACATGTACAAACCACGCCTGAAAGTTAGTGAATGGGGAAAATATTGAAGAAATATCGACTATATCACAGAAATTGCTATTTCTATACTTTAAAACCTTGCAAATTTTTGATGAACTTTACTATTAGATTTATTTGCCTTTTTATCTTTTTACTCTTGCAAAGTTTCCTTCTTATCAGCAAGGAGCCAGTTGGTTGGTTTTACCAAAAAATGATAATCCGTATCTTTGGGCTTAACACTTAAGCTTTATGCTTTAGTTTCTGATACCAGGGCTAATATATATTTTCTCACCTGCAAAATTCAGTTAGCTCTACCAGACTTGCTTCTGTCTCTGGAACCTCCAGTGCTAAGTGGCACTATCTGATTGTCCAAGTTTAAGATTCTATCCTTGACTCCCTTCTCTTCCCCTCCTTCACCCTTCTTTGTATTAGTTATCTGAAGAACCCTCATGTTTGTACCTGTTACCAACCTTACTTCCTCTGCCCCTAGTTTAGACCCTTATCTTTGTTGCCTGAACAAGTATAATAGTGTACCTAGCTCTTCTGTGTTCAGTATCTTCTCTCCCCAGTGTATCTTGTGGATTGATCTTTCTCATATCTTTCTGTGTTACTTTCCTGTTTATGATCCTTCCCATTGACTTCAGGATAAAAGTCCTTAGCATGCCACACATAGTTGTAAGACCTTACCTTTTTTACCTCACCTTGCACTTTTCCTTATATCTCCTTTGTGCCAGCTGTGATAAAGTACTGGAGATGCTTGAGTAACCAGTAGTTTCTTCTTCATGCCTTTGTATATGCTGTTCTGTGTGCCTTCTTTTGACTATCTGTTGAGTTGGGGTTCACTCTGGCAACCTATCTCTTCAGTGAGACTCCTTCATATATCTCTGGAACACCAAGATTACAATTCTGCCACACCATGTCATTCTAGTTAAAAACCAAAAACAAAAAAAAACTTTAAAAGTTCTCCATGAGCCTTTCCTGACTTACAGTATACTTGGTACTATCAGTCCCTATTCTTTTCCTCCTCTCTAGTGTTTTCCTAGGTGAATTTTCCTTCACCTATTTGGGATAAATTGCTGTGATGTACAACAAATTCTGTGTTTGTATAGCTATTAAAGTATTTGGGCTCTGTTGAGAAGCTCAGTGAGAATAGATACCTTGGATGTAACTTGAAACATGAAACTTAATGAGAAGAGAGACTAGATGATATACCTGAAAAAAGTCTACATTTGGGAATGAAAGGTTCAGTATTATTCTAAGACATTAATTTTCTTTTGGTGTTGACTCCATGGCATTGATACTGTTGCCTAGCCCTCCTTGAACAGCCTGTTCTCCTATAATGTATTTCTGTAACATGAACTCGCTCATACTTGAATGGTTAATAAAAAAATGTTAAGGCAAAGTTCATATTGGTTCATATGTGATTTTTAGTATCACATTAATGTTTAGCACTCTTAAATAACAACAGTTGAACATAAAGTACAGAAACAGTTGAACGGATCAAGCCCAGGAGTATGCATATTGGCCATGCACCCATGTTCTGCCTCTTGGCTCTGTTTAACCATATGCAGTGTCTAAAGGTGCTTAACGACCATCCATCCTGTGCATTTCCCTCTTCTTCCTAAGTTTGGAGAGTGTAAAGTGTTTCAGGAATCTATATGCCATATAGCAAACAAACTTTTTTTTTTTCATGAATTCACTAATGGGGCATATACTGCTTCCTGGTTCTCTTGGAGTACTCTTTTTCAGTCAGCTTTGGTAAGTCTTCTTCCTACCCTTTGAATGTAGTAGGCATGGCTTGGGATTCTGTCTACGATTCTTTTATCTGTAGACTGTTTTTCTTGCTCATATCAGCAACTCCCTTGGCTTTAATCATCATTTCAATGTGCGGGGACTTAAATTTCATAAAATCATCTGCTGGAAATTATTCACATGAGCATCTTTTTAGCTTCTCAAGCTCAAAGTGTTTAAAGCCATGTTCTGCCTTTGTTTTTTCTTTTTTCTGTTTATGGCATCATCACCCTCACTGTGACCTGAATTTGAAACTTGAGAGGCTTCTTGGACTTCTCCTCTTCCACATTCAGTCAGATGCCAGTTATGTAGCTCGAATCTCTGTGCTGTCTCTGGATTTTGGCCCTGCCTCTATATTCTGCTGCCTCCAGCCTACTTTAGGCCTTATTACCTGTCACCTTCCTGTTTAAAAACTATCTCCAAAGTGGTTTTCTTCCTTTAGTTTATGAGATTTTTCAGTGAGCCTGATGCCTGATTATTTCTCCAGATTCAGCCTTCCTCCCCCACCCCCTTAAGCCCTAGCAACACTGAACTTCTTATATGCTTATACATAATCTGGAATCCCGCCTGCCCCTCCTCGCCAGTGCTATTTCTATTCTCAGGGCCATCTTGCTGACTGGAATATCCTTCTCTGCCTCCTGTTGCCTGGCTAATTCCTACCACTTTTAAATACTCAACTCTGGGTAGGTACCATTCTTTGCTCCTGGAAGAAGTCTGAGTGTATCTTTCTCGTTGCAATTATGATAATGTATTTTAATTAGATTTTATTTTTCCTACTAGATTGTGAGCTTTTTGAGGGCACAGACTATGTATCTTCATTGCCTACCACTTAGTACAGTGGCTAGAACCAAGCAAGCACTAAAATATTCCTTGAATAAATACATCGTAGGCACCGCAGACACAATAATTTTTCCCATGTGTATTTTTGAACTGAAATGTTTACTCTTTTAGTGCCTTTTCCTACTGCTTCCCAAATCAACTCCAAGCTTTTTATTATGACAGGTAAAGTTCTGGGAGATTAAGGTATATACATAGTGAATGAATTAGTGATTAAGGCTAATTTGTATGGCTAAGTAACATTCTATTGTATGTATATACCACATTTTGTTTACCCATTCATCTATAGATGAATACTTGGATTGTTTCCAACTTTAGTCTGTTGTCTCCCAACCATTTAAAAATGCCACTAATTTGTTCGGGTCAGTTTTCTTTTATTAAATTGCACTATATGAAATTGCTTTTTTCCAGGTTTGTAACAACAGCCAAGTATTGGCAATTTCATATTTAGCCTAATAGACTGTCCTAATTACTGGGTTTGTCTGTTTCCTTCTGGTGGTGCTTAACTGGTTCCTCTTATTTGTTTTTTTACCACCCTTCAGATTTTTTGTAATCTGGAAGTTTTTTTAAAAAAAAATTTTTAAACATTATTTTTGAGACAGAATCTTGCTGTTACCTGGGCTGGAGTGCAGTGACACGATCATGGCTCAAGCGATCCTCCTGCCTCAGCGTCTTGAGTAGCTAGGACTACAGGTGCACACTACCATGTCCAGCTTATTTACTTTTTGTAGCGATGGGGTCTTGCTGTGTTGCCCAGGCTGGTCTTGAACTCCTGTCCTCAAGCAGTCCTCCCTCCTCAATCTCCCAAAATGCTGGGATTATAGCCATGAGCCACTGAGCCCAGTCTAAACTGGAAGTTTGATTTAAAGTCTTGATTAGCTTCAAGTTAAGCTTCTATTAATTTATTTAAACTTCAGTTGGTGGTAGTGTGTACCTTAGAATATATCTCAGTAATGATAATAAGAATGATCGTAGGGTTCAGGTGATAAAGAACAAATAGTTTAATGCCATCAATGTGAAAGTTACTTAACAGTTTGTGAAGTGAATTTTAGTTATTTGGGGGAAATGGGACATGAAATTGATGACATTTCAAGAAGTGGAAAAAAAAGTAACTTCTTGGTATCCAGTAAAGGAGTTACAAAGTGTATATCTAGAACTTCTAACTTCAGAGTCAGTAGGATTTTCTTTCTATGACTGACACCACTCCTCAGTTGACCTTTTGTTTAGTTAGCATACGGTTTGGCTGTACAGCTGGCCCTTTGTAACCTGTGGATTCGTAGGGCTGACTGTACTGTGCCATTTTATAGAAGAGATTTGAGCATCTGCAGATTTTAGTATCTTCGGGGGAGGGAGCATCTGGAGCCAACCCCCCCGAGGATACAGAGGGAGGACTGTATTCTCATTTTCAAGTGGAGGTGAAGGAATATTAAAAGTATAAGGAGGATGTAGCTATCCTTTCTTGCAGTTTTGCTGTTAAGAAAAATTTTCTTACAGCATAGCCAACATCAGCAGTTAAAATATGGTAAAATAAATCATGACTATATTTACTTGGAATTAATCATTCTTGGTTTTCTGGGTTAGGGAGGTTGTATACATACTAGATTTTACTTTATTTTGACACTTGCCTTAAATAGAATATAATTTAGTTGTTTTCTTGGTTCTTGAGAATCACCATTATGCATATGGATATTGGGTTTTGCTTTTACATAAGTGATGCCTTCAGGTTGTTAAATTAACAGAATTTTCTTCTTGATTTTTACGCTTGTGGAGTTTTTGCTCTTCTTAATTTTTTTGGCTTGTCCTTCCCTTGCTTTTGGTCTATCAGCTTTCTTTTGATACTGTCAGCATATTTACTTGTGGTAGCCCCTATGTTTCTTTTTATTTGATGCTTTACATATTCTAGTGACTTGGGAAACAGATTTATTAAACATTTATTTAGCTTTTTTTTTTTCTTTGAGACAGGGTCTTGCTCTGTCACCCAGGCTGGAGTACAGTGGCACAATCACGGCTCACTGCATCCTTAACTTCCCAGGCTCGAGTGATCCTCTCAAGTAGCTGGACAGGTGCACGCCACCACGCCCAGCTAATTTTTTTATTTTTTGTAGAGACAGGGTTTCGCCGTGTTGTCCAAGCTGGTCTCAAACTCTTAGGCTCAAGTGATTCACCTACCTCAGCCTCCCAAAGTGCTGGGATTACAGGCATGAGCCACCGCGCGCAGCCTATTTAGTATTTTCTACATGCTATGTAGACATCATTAGGTGCCAAAGATTATAAATATGAAAATATTCCCTGATCTAAGGAAGTTCAGTTTAGTGGGAGAGACTGATACTTAAGCATATGGCTAGTGTACAGTGTGGTAAGTTCTATGATACAGGTAGATAATTTGTAAAGTACTATAAGAGTATAGAAAAAGTGTGATTGTACCTGGGGAAATTAGTAAGGTTACACAGAAGGTCATACTTGAGGTAGGTCTTGAAGGATGAGTTTGCCAACTCAGAAAGAAAAATAGTATGAATAACAGTGACTGTGTCATGGAGTCTAAAGGCTTGGCATGTTTAAGCTGCAGCTGATATGAGGGGCATTGTATCCATTCCCCCTGCTTTTGGAAACAACCTTCTGATTTGGCCTTTGGAAGCTACTTTTCTGCCATTGGCTATCTTATGGTGGGATTTTTAATGTAGGTGCTCCTGCCTCTGATTAATTAATGTGCCTCACATTTTTCTGGCTAACACAAATTAGGCTAATTTGTCCCTGGCATTTAAATCTTGAGTGAGCTGATACTGAGACCTAATTGATTCATCTTGACAGAAGTACTGTGAAGGTAACCATCCGTTAATTCCTGCCGGCTAGATATGTGGGAGTTGCTTTCGTAGGCTTGATTCTTCAGCTTTGTCTTGGTTTTGTGAATTACTCTATACATTCTACCAATAAATTCACTCTTCCCTTTATTTCTTCTTAAATTTACCCAAGTCAGTTGCTGTTGTTTGCAACATAACTCTAAGGTGATCAACTGTCTTGGTTTGCCTGGAACTGAGGTAGTTCCCAGTATACAGGACTTTCAGTGTTCAAACAGAGAAAGTCCTGGACAAACCTTAACAAGTTGATTGCTCTAATTGAAACAGTTTGGGCATAAAAATAATGAGTTCTCGGGATCCAAGTGTTGTTCAGATGAAAATATTCAGTATGCAGCTGAAAACAGTGCAGAACTAGCTTGCTTCAGTTATGTCACTCAGCAGCTATTCGAATTCTTTACTGAGTGTGAGGGATAAAACAATGAAAATAATGATAACCAGTAATTGTTGAGCACTTAACTATGTGTAAGGCACTGTGTTTATAAGAATAACCTTAAATAATCCTCACAAAGTTTACATTATACAGAGGAAGAAAATGAGTTCTTCATTTCTTCATTTTCTTCTTAATTTGTTAAGAACATACAGTTAGGAAGGGGCAGAACTGGCACTGAGTCCCAGATTTCCAACTTTAAAACTCCATGCCCTTAATAGCCATTTTCCTACTCTACCTCAGGGTTCCTGCTCAAGGAATGTATAGACTAGTAGGCAGATTATGTGAAAGCAAGTAAATATTTCCTGTAATGGAAGTGTGTACCTAGTGGAGCGGGCACATGGGGAAAGAATCACCTGAGTTGGCCTGGGTAAGTCACTGAAGGCTTCATGGAGGTGATTGTGCCTGAGCTGAAAGTAGAAAAATGTGTAGGTATTTATGGTAAATCTTGGGCAAGCCTGGAAGTAAGAGATAGTGTGATAGATTCTGGGGAACTAAAGTAACAGTATTTCTGGCTGGACGCGGTGGCCTTACACCTGTAATCCCAGCACTTTGGGAGGTTGAGGCAGGTGGATCACCTGAGGTCAGGAGTTTGAGACCAGCCTGGCCAACATGGTGAAACGCTGTCTCTACTAAAAATACAATAATTAGCCGGGTGTGGTGGCGTGCACCTGTAGTCCCAGCTGCTTCAGAGGCTGAGGCAGGAGAATCGCTTGAACCTGGGAGGCAGAGGTTGCAGTGAGCCGAGATTGCACCACTGCACTCCAGCCTGGGCAATGGAGTGAGACTCCATCTTAAAAAAAAAAAAAAAAAAAGAAATATTTTTCAATATTCAGGTGTGGAGTAATTTGAAATTTGGGTAGGACAGACAAGAGCCAGATTGTGAAAAACCTTTTCGCTGGGGAACATTTTAAACAGTGAAATAGATTTGTGCATTTAGAAGCATTGCTTTGGTTATACCATAGGGGATGGATTGGTGAAGATGAGAAGAGAGTTTGGGAGTAACAGAAAACCCTCAAGGTCTCAGATGGGGAGTTTGGGAGTAACAGAAAACCCTCAAGGTCTCAGATGGGTGGCCTGACTATAGTGTTGGCACTGAGATTGAAAAGCAGAAAAAGTTATTAGGACTAATCTTTTGGCATATTTTACCTTATAGAATAGAGGTTGGCAAGTTTTTTGTAAAGAGCCATAATATTTTTTAAAAGCCTAAATATTAGGGCTTTGAGGGCCATTCTGCTTGTATTGCAGCTATTCACCTGTGTCTTGAGCGCAAAAGCAGCCATAGACTGTAGGCAAACAAATGAGTGTGGTTGTATTCTAATAAAGCTTTATTTATGAAATCAGTTGGGGGTCTAGATTTTGCTCACAGGCCCTTCTAGGCTAGCGTATCCAGTGGTGAAGATTAATAGCTCAAGCAATGGCTAGAGTAAGATGATAATATAGGTGAGGGATTGTAGGGATAAGAAGGAAAGAGGAGCAGGGGAGGAAAGAACCCTGAGGAACCAAATCATATTAGGAGAAGAGGTGAAAATGGTACTGAGGGAGTCTGTAGGAAGCTTAGCAGGAAAATGGTGTATAAGAACTTAGGGAGGAGAGTTTCCTGAAGGAGGGGCAGTAATTGCAGTATCAAATGCTACAGAGAGGAGAGGCATGATGAGACCTTACAATAAGCCATTCATTGTATTTGCTCTTTGGGGGCCAGTGAGAAGGGAAAACTGAGGGTGGTGGAGGCTGGAAGCTAGATCATGATGAGCTAAGGAGTGAGTTGGAGTTGAGCTATTTAGACTAGTTAGAGCTTTGATTTAAATATTTGGTAGTCATGGGAAGGAGGAATCACAGGTTAGCTTGAGGAAGACGTAGGGTGGAAAGAAGGCTGTTCGTTTGTTTTTTATTTGTTAAGAAGGGTGGTGTTGACTAGGCTAAACTGAAGAAGCCAGAGCAAAAGAGACCTGAGGACTTGGTTAGAAAAGGAACAAACGACTGAGCCTAGATAGAGTAAGTAGGGAGTTGTTGGGGAAGGGAATAAGAAATATAAGAGATGTGTGAGATGTGGAGAGATCTTGAAGCAGCCTCAGGTGGAAAGGACTTGAAGTACAGGCAGAAATGAGGATGGGCTGCATTAGGGGTAGGGAAACTGGAACAAATTATACTTAGTGGCCTCTATTTTCTTTGACAACGTTAACTATAGAGAATGAAGGGTCTAAGAGGTAATACTTGAAGGAAAGGTGTTTCAGGGTAAGCAAAATAGGATTTATATAGGAATGAAGGCCCAGCTGAGGTAAGTACTGTACTAGATTGTTATTTTGGTAACAGTAATGAACAATTTTCAGTTAATTATATAAGATTTAGCTATGAATGCATTCTGGATTTTAGTTAGAATTGTTAAACCAAATTCAAAGTGTGGAAGTCATTCAGTTGAATTGTTAAAAAAAAAAAATGGAACTAGCAGGAACGTTGGAATTTAATGAGTCCAACTCCTTTTTCACAGATGTGAAAATTTAAGGCGTAGAAAAATAATGAATGTTGTCCACTCATCTAGTTGGTAACCAGGTTTTCTGATTTCAGAAAATCAAAAATCACTTGTTTTTAATTATGTGTTTTATCATAACACACTTAACAAAAATTCTGGCTGGGCACAGTGGCTCACACCTGTAATCCCAGCACTTTGGAAGACAGAGGAGGGAGGATTGCTTGAGACTAGGAGTTCAAGACCAGCCTAGGCAATACAGTGAGACCTCATCTCTACACAAAATTTAAAAAGTAGGCAAGCATGGTGGTTCACAACCGTAGTCCCAGCTTGGGAGGCTGAGGTGGGAGGATCTCTTTAGTCCATGAGGTGGAGGCCACAGTGAGCTGAGATTGTACTGTCTCAGAAAAAACAACAACAAAAAAACAAAAGCTCTCTTTTATAAAACTTTCAAACATATGTAAAAGTAGAGAGAATAATATATTGAACTCCCATGTGGCATTTTAAAACAATTATAATTTATGGTCGTTTGTGTAATTTATATCTTGTTAAAAGAAAGTCCTTAGTCAAATTAAAGAGTTCAACTGAGCAAAGAATGATTCGTGAATAGGGCAGCCTCCTGAGCCACAGTATGTTCAGAGAGACTCCAGCACAGCCAGGTGGTGGAAGAAGATGTATAGACAGAGGTACAGAAACAGTCAGATTGGTTACAGCTCGGCATTTGCCTTATTTGAACATGGTTTGAACAGTTGGCCCCTTTTAACTGGCCAAAACTTGGTGATTGGCACAAAAGTAGGTTACAGTCTGTTTACACCTCCATTTAGATACATTTATAGTTCACTATGTACAGAGAAACCTTTAGACTGAACTTCAAATATGTAAGGAGACTGCTTTAGACTAAACTTGATTTAACAATCTCTACCCACTTCTACTCTTCCCTGCATTATTTTGAAGCGTCATCTATCAGTATTATGTTTCATCTGCCAAAATTTTAACATGTATGCCTAAAAGGTAAGACATATGGTAGTTTCAGTGTTTTTTCTCCTTTTAAAACATAAACCACAATATGGGTTAATGTGGATTATGTGGGCTAAGCAGGTTGATGTGGGTTAATGTGGGTTATGTGGGCTAAGCAGGTTGATGTGGTTAATTTTTAACTTCCAAAGATGTTTATAAGTTATTATGAGTAGACTTTTTGGAATAAAGGTTTCCTCATATTGCAGTATTTTGGAAAGTGATTTTACTAAAAAATAATACGGGCCAGGCATGTGGCTCATGCCCGTAATCTCAGCACTTTGAGAGGCCTAGGTGGGAGGACTGCTTGAAGCCAGGAGTTCTAGACCAGCCTGGGCAACAAAGTGAGACCCTACCTCTACAAAAAATACAAAAAAAAAAAAAAATCATCTGGGTGCATTGTCGTGTGCCTGTAGTCCAAGCTCCTTGGGAGGCTGAGGCACAAGGATTGTTTGACCTGAGGAGGTCAAGGCTTCACCAAGCACTGCACTACTGCACTCCAGCCCACGTGACAGAGTGAGACCCTGTCTCAAATAAAGAAAAAAATAAATAGTGTAACAACTGTTTATGTGGCATTTATATAATATTAGGTATTATAAGTAATCTAGAGATGATTTTAAAATATGTGGGAGGAGTGCATAGGTTATATGCAAATACTATGCCATTTTATATAAAGGGACTTATGCATCCTTGGATTTTGGTATTAGGAGGTCCTGGAACCTGTATACTTTCTTTGCATTTCCTGTTTCAGAAACACAAAAGGGGTACAGATCCAACTCTTCAGCATATCTTTGTGGTGTTTACAGAGGGTGTTAAGACAGATACTGTTGTTATTTTTCTTTATGCAAAATGATAATAATAGGGACTGAAAGGTAGAAAGCTGAATAGAGTATGGAGGAAGGTAGCTGAACAGGCATTGAAATAATTAGAGGGATTGGATATTGCATGTGCATTCCTCAACATTTGAATCAGCAGGAAAAAAGGAATTCAGTAGACTGAGAAGGATGATCATGTTGGCTAAGTATTGGGCTACAGATTGTAGAGATGCATATATGGGTGGTAGAGAAAAAGTAGAAACCAGCTTTTATACAGTGTTAACCTCAGCTAGCAGAGAGCAATGGACTATACAGTTAGTATCTTTTTATAAATTTGAACTGACTGTAAATTTGAAACTACTTCCATGACTATATGTATCTTGGTTTTGAAATAATATATACTTGGGAATGCTTATTGAGGTGCTTTTTTTGTCTTTTTAGATTATGCATAAATAAATTTTAGTTAACTTCAGCATCTGGTATTTTAAACAAGGGTCAGAAAAACATCAGAAATGGATAGAAGCATTTTTCAATAAATATTTTGGGAATGATCCTTGTATAACTTAATTTGTGTACTAATTCATATTAAGTATTCACTTATAGTTATTTTTCTATTTATTCTACTTACTAGTAGTTAAAAATTAACTATTTTTTAAAGGGAAGGGGAAGATGAAAATAAAAATTGTGATTCTAAATAAAATCTTAGCATTCAGATAGATTCACAGATATTACAGAGAAAATTTATAAGCTGATAATTCCTAGTTAGGATTATCATACTATTTAATGATAAAATGCGTATTTACTCCTGTATAATAAGAATAAATTCTCTTGGCTGGAATCCTTCAATAGATGTGAAAATAATTTAAAATGCTTCCTCACTGCTCTTGGGCAATTTAAAGTTACTGTCAGGGACTATGGCTGGTAACAACAGTGTGGTTTTCAGTTATCTGTTGAGTTCTGGAAACCTTGTTTTTGCTTGGAAGAAAGAATTGATACTTGGATGTTAAAGTTCTGTAGGGGTACAGCCTGGCGTGGTAGCTCATGCATATAATCCCAGCACTTTGGGAGGCTGAGGTGGGTGGATCTCTTGAGGCCAGGAGTTCGAGACCAGCCTGGTCAACATGGCGAAACTCTTGTCTCTACTAACAATACAAAAATAAAAAATAAAAAAGTTCGATAGGGGCTGGATATTTGCTTTTGTTTTCTAAATTTTGTGGATGTGGGGCTAGTGCAAACAAACATTTTTGTGTATCCTGTTGAACTCTTGAAACTGGAAAATTTGGGATATTTGAGAGGCTTGGAACTAAATAAATCCAATTTCGGAATACAGAGGGAGAAAGTACATGGGCTATTGTAGTACAAAAAGCATTGTCACTGAATATGACCCACCCCAAGTCCGATTGAACAAACAGGTTGTACAAACTCTTTTTTCAATATTGTGGAGCAAGAAGGAAATAAAAATGAATGAAACAAGATCCTTCTATTCAAGGGACATATTTAATAAGGTAAATAATAGCTAAAGGCAACTATAAAACAGAACAGGATAGTTTAGTAAGAGTAAAGGAAGTTTGGGAACACAGAGAAAAGATAGGTGTGAATTACAGCCTTAGAGATTTGCGAGGGCTTCTTGGTGGGGATGAACTGGGCCTTGAATGTTTCATGGTTTGATGAAGATGTATAAGTTAGAAAAGCAGAAACAAATATTTTTTAAAGCTGGTTTGTTTGTGACAGTGTACAGCCATATGGATGAACTTCTCCCTAGTTTGTCACAGTGACCCAGGGTATTAGCATGAGAGCCTGTTTGGTCAGTGTTTCCCATGTGGTGTGCTGCCCTAGGGGTGGCCACCCGGGGATTTGGGTGGTGGAGCCTATGTAGCCTTGTCCTTTTATCTCAGTATGCTGTATAAATATTTTCTGTGCATGCCATGATATGAAAGTGGTTGGGAAGCACTATTTTAACTTACTAAATATTTCTCTCCTGGTAATAAATTCTTTAGTATATTGCTTAGTGTTTGTCAAAAATAGCTAGAATATATTCTTTTTTCTTTTTTCTTTTTTTTTTTTTTTTTTTTTTTTGAGACAGAGTCTCACTCTGTCGTCTGAGTGCACTCACTCTGGAGTGCAATGGCATGATCTCCGCTCACTGCAACCTCCGCCTCCCAGTTCAAGGGATGCTCCTGCCTCAGCCTCCCAAGGAGCTGGGATTACAGGTGTGTGCCACCATAAGTGGCAAATTTTTGTATTTTTAGTAGAGGCAGGGTTTCACCAGGTTGGTCAGGCTAGTCTTGAACTGTTGACCTCAGGTAATCCACCTGCCTTGGCCTCCCAAGTGCTGGGATTACAGGCATGAGCCACCATGCCTGGCCGAATATTTTCATAATGAGAACACATTCCTAATTAGTTGTATTAGTTACCAGTGCAGGAGTCTTCTGATAACGTTAGACATAGCTCCATGCAGCAGTTAGGGGGCATAGCCAGGTTTATCACCTTCATTCTAAGTTTTTGTATTTGTGAATGTGATGACATTATGTGAGGACATGATATGCTTGTGGTCATGGCTAAACTTTAAATATAATTTAACCAACATATCCCTCCCTATGCTTTTCTTTTGTTTTGGTAACATAGTAAATATTGGACCTATTTCTGAGAGAACTGTATAGTGTTTACAGCAGTGCAGGTATTAGGGAGGAAGGGATGTTGGGCAGATCTGCTTAGGGTAAAGATAGCCTTGAGAGGAGGTCCAGAGCTCTCTTGTCTAAAAGGCAGAGAAGGGAGAATGAGCAAAAGAGAAATCTAAAAGTTCTGAATTTATAAACCAGAGGAAACCAGGCAGCTGGACATCCAGGCCTAGGTGTTATAGGAGACCCCTAGTTATGACTGCTGCCAGGTGTTGAATTCGGGGTATAACTGTAGATTGTTGGGGCTGTGGCTCATGTGGCTTTAATTAATCTTTTTCTCTTTTTAAAGAATCCATTAATTTATTGAAGTGGAGAAATTGGAGTCTCTGCTGACTTGTATCAAGAAAAAGAACTAAGACCTGGTGTGGTGGGTCACACCTGTAATCCTAGCACTTTGGGAGGCTGAGGCAGGGGGATCACTTGAGCGCAGGAGTTTGAGACTAGCCTGGGCAATATGGCAGAACCCCATCCCTTAAAAAAAAAAAAATTAGCCTGGGTTTAGTGGCACACACCTGTGGTCCCAGCTACTTGGGAGGTTGAGGTGGGAGGATCACCTGAGCCTGGGAGGTTGAGGCTGCAGCGAGCCATGATCACACTACTGCATTCCAGACTGGGTGACAGAGCAAGAGCTGTCTCAAAAAGATGACTATGAATGGGATAGTATTGGTGCTATAGACTTTCAGAATATGGTTACTTCTTCCTTTCTTTTTTCTTTTGGTGAGGTAGGAGTTATCTGGTGCCTAGAGTTGTTTTAGGGACCTTCAGAAAATATATAACACCTTCCTGCTCTTGTTCAGTTCTTCTGCCTAGTAGACTTCAGCAGTGTGAGTTTGGTTTTATAACTACTGTAAAGTCATTTTTACATGAACTGCTCACCACTTAGTCCTAATTATCATTGGAACATAAAATGGACAAAACATTAAAATAGGTGTCATGTAAATGTTATTGTAAATTTTATTTATTTATAACACTCTTGAAGGTTTATTAGTTTTTGACTGCTTACAATTTTTTTTAATTACAGGGAATATTTATCAGCCGCCCCAAGTGTTGATAAGCAACACAGATCCAAGTGCATAATATGGTATTAATAGGATAAAAAATTAGGACATTGGTAATTATATCATCGAAAAAATCTTTGAGGCAGATTAATTTAGAAAGGACTTCAAATAATTTAAGTACTTCTCAGAATAATTAACATTAAAAAATTACAGAAGTAATACACATCAGTATTTAGCTTGATGAGTTTTGACAAATGATTACCTCCTTGTAACCACCATTGCAATCAAAATGTAAATATTTCTGTCTTCCCAAAAGTTCCTCCATATCCCTTTGCAGTAACCCCTTCCTGTCCCTAACCCTTAGGCAAATATTAATCTGCTTTCTTTCATTGATCAGCTTGCCTTTTCCAGAATTTCGTTTAAATGTGATGACAATACATACTCCTTTTGTGTCTGATTTTTTTAAAACTTAATATTAACATTAATATTTTGTGTACCTAAAGTTCATTCTTCTTAATTGCTGACTCATATTCATTATATGAATATACCACAACAGTAGGCCATTTACCTACCGTTGGCCATTTGAGTTGTTACTAGTTTTTGGCAATTGTAAGTAAGACTGCTATGAATATTTGTTTATAAAGCTATGTGTATGTCTTTTGGATCAGTACAAGTCTATGTGTTTCTCTGTTGTATCAATACCTAGGAACAGAGTGGCTGGGTCATATAAGTGTGTATTTAACTGTCTTTATTTATTTTGAGACAGAGTCTTGCTTTTGTCACCCAGGCTGAAGTGCAATGGCATGATCTCAGCTCATTGCAGCCTCTGCCTCTTGGGTTCAAGCAATTCTCCTGCCTCAGCCTCCTGAGTAGCTGGGATTACAGACGTGCGCCACCATGCCCTGCTAATTTTGGTATTTTTAGTAGAGATGGGGTTTCACCACGTTGGCCAGGCTGGTCTGGAACTCCTGACCTCAGGTGATCCACCTGCCTCAGCCTCCCAAAGTGATGGGATTACAGGTGTGAGCCACTGTGCCCAGCCCAACAGTATTTAGAAACTTTGAAATTCTTTTCCAAGGTGGTTGTCCTATTTTACATTCACCAACAGTGCGAGAATTCTAATTGTTCCACATGCTCACCAATACTTTGTTTTGCCAGTCTTTTAAATTTTCATTATTTTACCAAGTGTGTAGAGATGTCTTATTATGGTTTTATTTTGCATTCTTCACATTCTCTTGATGAAGAGCATCTGAAAAATCCACAGCTTATGTCATATTAATGGTGTAAATGTAAAGCTTTCCCCCTAAGATCAGGAATAAGACAACCGTATTCATTGTTGTTCTTCCTATTCAGTATTGTACCAGATTTTCTAGCCAACACAATTAGGCAAGAAAACAAGATGAAAGATAACCAGGTTGGAAAATAAGAATTAAAACTCTTTATTTGCAAATGATATGATCTTCTGGATAGAAAATTCTAAAGAACTCACTTAAAAACTATTAGAGCTAATAAATGATTTCAACAAGGTTGCAGGATACAAGATCAGTATACAAAATCAATTGTATTTTAGTATACCAGCAATGGGCAATCTAAAATTAAAACAGGCCAGGTGTGGTGGCCTATACATGCCTATACTTCCCAAAATTTAGGAGGCTGAGACAGGTGGGTTGCCTGAGCCCAGGAATTCAAGACCAGCCTGGGCAACATGGCTAGATCCCGTCACTACAAAAAAAATACCAAAATTAGCTAGGTCTGATGGTGTGTACCTGTAGTCCCAGCTACTCTAGAGGCTAAGGTGGGAGGATCACTTGAGCTTGGGAAGTCAAGACCACAGTGAACTGTAATTGTGTTACTATGATGAGCAGTAGAGCCTCCAGCCTGGGTGAGACTAAATAAGCAACAGAGTGAGACCCTGTCTCAAAAATAAATAAAATCAAAAATTTAAAAAGCTGGGTGTGGTAGCATATGCCTGTAGTCCCAGCTACTTGGGTGCAGAGGAGGGAGCCTTGAGCTGGAGAGGTTGAGGCTGCAGTGAATGGTGATTGCGCCACTGGCACTCCAGCGGGGGTGACAGAGTGAGACCCCGTCTTAAAAAACAAAATAACAATTTTGTTACAACAGCATTACAAAGAATAAAATGCTCAGGAATAAATTCAGCAAAAGTGTAAGACTTATTTTCTTTATCAGGAATTCATTGTTTACTGAAAGTTTAAGACTTGTATGCTGAAAACTACAACTTCATTGAAAGAAAGATCTAAGTAAATGGAAATATATTTCATGTTCATGGATTGGAAGAGTTAATGTTAAGCTGCAGTAATCTCCAAATGAACTAAGAGATTCAATGCAATTTCCCATAAAATCCAAGCTGACTTGCCTTTTTTCTTTTTTTCTATTCTTTTCTTTTGGCTTCTTTTTCTCTTCCTCTTCTTTTTTTTTTTTTTTTGAAATATCAACAAGTTGATTCTGAAATTTGTATGGAATTGCAAAGGACCCTGAATAACCAAAGCAAAACTTGAAAAATAAGAACTAAGTTGAAGGACTCATATTTATATTTAGCAATTTCAGAATTTACAGAACAAGCAAACCTATAGTAATTAAGACTGTGTGATACTGGCATAAGGATAGACATATGGACCAATGGAATAGAATTGAGAGTCCAGAAAGAAACTTTCACATTTACCAGTTATATTTTCGGGGGTTTTTTCTTTTCTTTTTTTTTTTTTTTTTTGGTAGGTGGGTAGGTCAATTGATTTTCAGCAAGGGTGGCAAAACAGTATTACAAGGAAGGAATAGTTTTTTTTTTTCAACAAATGGAACAAATGACTATCCACATACAAGAGAATACTGGAGCCTTACACAGTATGCAAAAACCAACTCAAAGTTGATTAAAGATATACATGTAAAAACTAAAATGTGTAAACTTCTCAGAAGAAAACATCTGTGTAGATCTTTGTAACCTTGGCACTGGTTTCATAGTACCACCTTAAAAGCACAAGTGACAAGAGGAAATATAGGTAAATTGGACTTTATCAAAATTAAAATATTTTGTACTTCAAAATACGCCATCAAGGAAGTAGAAAAGTGGCCAGGCATAGTGGCTCGCTCACACCTGTAATCCCAGCACTTTGGGAGGCCAAGGTGGGAGAATCACCTGAGCCTAGGATTTCGAGACCAGCCTAAACAGTGTAGTGAGACCTCGTCTTTATAAAGAATTTAAAAATTTGCCTGGTGTGGTGGTGCACATCTGTAGTCCAAGCTGCTTGGGAGGCTGAGGTGGGAGGATCACTGGTGCCCAGGAGGTTGAGGCTGCAGCAAGTGGTAATCATGCCTACCTGGGCATCAGAGTGAGACCCTGTCTCCAAAAAAAAAAAAAAAAAAAAAAAGCAGCCCACAAATGGGAGGAAAAAATTGCACATCATACATCCATTAAAGGTACTACTTAACATCCAGAATTTGTAAAGAACTACAGCTGAACAATACAAAGACAGTCTAGTTTAAAAAGGGGCAAGGACTTGGACAGTTCCCTGAAGGAGGCATACAAATGACCAACAAACACATGAAAAGATGCTTAATGTTATTAGTCATTAGGGAAGTGCAAATCAAAAGCAAGAGATATCATTTCACGTACACTAAAATGGCTAAAATCAAACAAATAATAGCATTGGGAAGGATAAGTAGAAATTGGAATTCTAATACGCTTCTGGTAGGATGTGCAGCAACTTTAGAAAATAGCAGTTCGAGATGTTAATCATAGAGTTCCCATATCACCTAGCAATTTTATTCTTAGGTATGTGTCCAAAAGATGAAAAACACGTACATGAATGCTTGTTATAGCATTATCATAATATCCCCAAAGTGGAAACAACCCAAATGTCCTTGAATGGAAGAATAGGTAGATAAAATGGGGTATGTCCATACAGTAGAATATTATTCAGCAATAAAAAGGAGTAAAGTATTTATACATGCTACAGCATGGATGAATCTCAAAAACATGCTAAGTGAAGAAGCCAGACATGAAAGTCCACATATTATATGATTCCATTTGTATGAAATGTCCAGGCAATCAAATCCATTGATACAGAAAGTAGATTAGTGATTGCCAGGGGTTGTGGGAAGGAGCATGGGGAACAAATGCTAAAGGGTATGTGATTTCTTTTTGTGGTGATGAGAATGTTCTAAAATTAGGTAGTGGTGATGGTTATACAACTCTGTACTAGAAACCACGGAACTTATCCTTTTAGGATAAATTTTATGGCGTGGGCATTATATCTGAATAAAGCTGCTACTAAAATAAAAAGGAAAAATACACCTAATAGTAGCATAAATTACCTAGTTAAGTCATTTTCAGAATGGAGTTTATGTAGTAAAAGTAACGTGGCATTCTGGCTTCTAGTAATGGTGCAATACTGTAGAGTTACCTTCCTATAGATAACAATGATAATATCTGGACAAAATACATTAATTTTTCTTTAAAGGTACTGGAGAGTGATCAAAAGCAGACAAACTGGAGGAGAGCCTATTCTTAAAACATAACTATCTTGTGAAATTCATGAGTTGGTGGGTTTTTGTCTGAGGGTGCTCTGTAATCCTCCTGCTACTTGGTGAAGAATACCACAACCTTATTTGCATGAAATGTAAGGATACAGAGTTCTGGGCTAACAGAACAGCAAGAAACTTAGTGGGTAAATCCTGGAAGAGAGGCAGCTACAAAGAAAGTGAGTCCAAAAAAATTCGCATATAAGATCTGTCCAAATTCTTGGCAGTTTTTAAATACTATGCATGCAGTGGTGGCATGTGTAGTACATGTATGTGTGGCACACAAGTTGGGTTCTTGACATTTAGTAGGTAGAACATTAACTCTGAATAGATTGTTTTAAGTTAAAGTCACAGTTGTGATCCCTAGTGAGAAATCTCAAAATTAAAAGATGAACCTAAATGCCAGGAGAGGAATATCTAATGGAATGCTAAAAAAAAAAAAAAAAAAAAAAAAAAAAATTGATTAACCCAAATGAAGACAGGCCGGCAGGAAGAGAAATAAAAAACAAACGAGATGATCAAAAACAAAAATACCATAATGAAATGCCTGATTTCAACAATATCAGTCATTATGATACATTTAAATTGACTAAAGCATCCCGATTAAAAGGCAGAGATTGTCAGACTGGATTAAGAAGCAAGACCCAACTGCATACTGTCCATTTTAAATACATTTTGCACTATGTAGTGCATTTTGGCTACAGTGCATATTGGCTTCTATGTAGCAGCTTTTTTTTTTTTTTTTTTTGAGACAGAGTCTCGCACTGTTGCCCAGGCTGGAGTGCAGTGGCGCGATCTTGGCTCACTGCAGCTTCAGCCTCCCAGGTTCAAGCGATTTTCCTGCCTCACCCTCCTGAGTAGCTGGGATTACAGGCACCTGCCACCACGCCCGGCTAATTTTTTGTATTTTTAGTAGAGACGGGGTTTCATTATGTTGGGCAGGCTGATCTCAAACTCCAGACCTTGTGATATGCCTGCTTTGGCCTCCCAAAGTGCTGGGATTGTGTAGCAGCATTTTAAATACAAAGACACAGTTTGAAAGTAGAAAGATGAAAAAATATAATAGTGATATGTACATTTTGGACTATGTAAGGTAGGTTTGTTGTTGGTACTCACATTGTAACTTAGTAATAAAGCACAAGTTTTAATGAATGCTTTATATAGGTATACTTTACTTTGTACAGTAAACAAGTCATATTTTGTAGATGTTCAGTAAGGACTTGTTATGGAAGGTACTTTCACTGTACTGTCCCAGAGATAGATTGTGATATCCTCGTTTCCTAAGTGGGGACTCTGGGGTTCAGAGAGGTTAAGTAATAGGTTCAGGATCACATAGCTAGTTAGTGACAGAGCCACTCTTATGGTCTTTCCATTGTGTAGCTCTTGTGGCTTTAATACCTAAGAAGGTACATAGGAATAGATTTTTTTGCAATTTGAGTCACATTTTTTAAAGCAGCTTTAAACTGTACACAATTTGATACTCTTTCACACACGTACATACACTGATGAAACCATCACCACAATCAAGATAATGAAAATATAATTTGTAATAGTTCTTTTTATTCTAATTTAATTGATATTATTCTTTTTTTCTTCTTTTTTTTTTTTTTATTGAGACAGAGTCTTGGCTCTGTCGCCAGGCTGGAGTGCAGTGGCGTGATCTCGGCTCACTGCAACCTCCACCTCCTGGGTTCAAGCAATTCTGCCTCAGCCTCCTGAGTAGCTGCGACTACAGGCGCCTGCCACCACGCCTGGCTAGTTTTTGTGTTTTTAGTAGAGACGGGGTTTCACCATGTTGGCCAGGCTGGTCTCGAACTCCTGACCTCAAGTGATCCGCCCACCTCGGCCTCCCAAAATGCTGGGATTACAGGCGTGAGCCACTGCACAGGCCTAATTGATATTATTCTTGTATTAAATTATTTCATGGTATTGCTCTAAAATTTTAAACTCTTAGGACATAATGTCCTGTGTTTAGTCCTAAACCTATACTTTCAGTCAGAACTTAAAATTATAAAAAAAAAAAAAAAAATCCTAACTTGATTACCTCTGTGAAGAGGAAAAAAAAAAAAAAAGGAATCCCATTTCAGTTATTTGTAAAGTGAAAAATCTCACTCCCTTCTTAATTTTTTAAAAAAATTCTAGTTGATATCTTGTAATATTAACGCAGTGGAATTTTCTGTCTGCAGTGGAGTAGGAATAGGCTTTTTTGGAAGGGTAAAACAAGCTTTAATTTTTGATGTTAGGTTTATTAATAAACTTCTCCACCCCCTGCTATATTTTTTTAATCTGTAACTGGCAGACCAGTGGAACTGGATAGAGAAGGAAGTTTGAAGTTTCCGATTTATTCTTAATTTCACATACTAGAAAAGACTTTTTAGATCAAAATAATGCTTGTCT
Source organism: Homo sapiens (assembly GCF_000001405.40). Classification (NCBI taxonomy): domain Eukaryota; kingdom Metazoa; phylum Chordata; class Mammalia; order Primates; family Hominidae; genus Homo; species Homo sapiens. The sequence goes on along the minus strand of NC_000013.11, from coordinate 49,766,629 downwards.
TCCAGAGAGGATGCCATTCAAATAGCAAATTTAATATAATTTCTGCTATTTAGATTCTAAGTTATTTGATTTTTAGTTACTCTTATAGAGAGGCTAAATGTTTCAAATTTTGGATGGTCTCACTAGCACAGGAAGAGAACAGGTTCATAATCCAAAATTATAAAACACAGGAAGAAATATATCACAGATAATACAGACACCAAAAACGTCAGTCTTATGTCTCCTAAGAAATTCAGCAATAGAGGTAATCAGAGAAAGACTGTAAAATAAATATTTTTAAGATGATTGAATCATTTTAAGAAGGACCTAAAAACATTAAGAAGTACTACAAAAATAAACTTGCTAGAAATGAAAAATAAATCATTGATGTTAAAACCTCAATGGACAGGAAAAGTAATGGCATTTAATATTGGAAATGGAGATTACAACCTGTAGACAGAAAAGGGAAACAAACATTGATGACTGCCTGCTTCGTGACACGAGCTGCTTTTATTAATGTTTATTTTATTTAATTCTTGGAACTACTTTTTGAGGTAGTTGAATATCCCACTTTTAGAGAGTGCTGTTATCTACAGATAAGGTGAAAACAGTAAATTAAGTAAGACCAGTGAGGAAAATGATGAACTCAGTTTTGAATGTCTTAAGGAACATGTGGGGTTTTCTAGGGAGTGATCCAGGAGATACTTTAGTTCAGGAGAGAGATCCGGGCTTAAAATTTTAAGCTGCTTAAATTCCCAAGGTTATGGGACTTGCAGAACACACCAAAATCTGTTTACTTAGAAATACAGCAGTTTACTTAAAGGATGCTAGCTAAAGGGAGCTATAATTGGAGGGGTGATTGACGTCTGACATCTGACATTTTATGTCAGCATTTTCAAATCTATAGAGACAAAAAGTAGATAAATGGTTTTGTAAGACTGAGATGGGGAGCTTGGTAGAATGGTAAGTGTCTGCTAAAGGATAAAAGGTTTCTTTATGTAGTGATGAAAATATAGGCCAGGCGCGGTGGCTCATGCCTGTAACCCAGCACTTTGGGAGGCATAGATGGGAGGATCACTTGAGCCCAGGAGTTTGAGACCAGCTTGGGCAATATAGTGAGACCTCCTCTCAGAAAATATGATAAAATTGATTGTGTTAATAGTTTTATAACTCAGTGAAATACACTAAAAACCATTGAATTGTATGTATACTTTAGGTGAATTGTTGGTAAGTGAATTATATCTCAAAGCTGTTATGACAAAAAAGGTAATGGTTCCACATTGCTGTATTGATTAATCATAACCTAGAATATATACAGGTGAGCAAAATAATAAATAGTACGTTTTAGATGCCAGATACAAATATTTTTCTGTATTTAAAGATTAACTAGATTTTCCCTTACATGTATTCTATTTATAACATTGAAAAGTTACATATTACTGCCCAATTCAGAATTCATCAGGAAACAAATCTGGATTATCCAGAGTTATTAATACTTAATTGATAATTGAAGCCATGGAGATATATATGATAACCTAGAAAGGGTTTGTAGAGTAACTAGATGAATAGGCAAAACCTTGGGAAGAGCAACATGGATGGATGAAGGAGGAAGACCAAAGAGGAGGAAAACCAGGAATGTGGTGTTATGGAAGTCAAGGAGATGAGAATGAATGAAGTGTTCTCCCGCAAAGGTACCATGTAATTAAGGATTGTGTTCCATGAATAGAAGGTTGCTGATAATGTTGGCAAGAGCAGAGCCAATGGAATTTTGGATGGAGTGGACTAAATAAGTAGAAGTGAAGACAGTCTAGACTACTTTTTCAAAAATTTTGGCAAAAGAGAACAGGAACTAGTTAAAAGAAAATGTAGATTGAGAAAGGTTCTTTTTTTTTTTTTTAAGTGAAAGACATGGTCATGCTCATGATATGGGAAATAGAATACTTGAAAGATGGGAGAGAGGAGATGGATAATTGATGAAGCAAGGGGACAGTTGATGAGAGAATAATTAGATTCAGTGCACAGCTAGCCACCTCTTGCACTGTCATTGTGATAGGATGAAAGGAGACAGGGATCTTGGGATTGGGGAGGAGATTTGGACGTGCACGTTAGGAAGTTGAGGGAGTTGCTACTATCTGATAGTTTCTGTTTTCTCAATAAATATGAGGCCTGGTCTTCTGCTGAGAGGAAGGACGATTTGGAAGGGGGCTTGAGCAGTAGCTTTTTGTGCAAAATCTAACTAGGAAAGCCTGGAAAGATTTCCAGACAGTAAGCATTGAGAGCTTAATTGAGGTTAGAGACCTAGAATTTGTTATACCTATAATGGAGGTTGAGTAATTTATTTTTTCTGTTGCACACTTAGCAACTCAGCTTTTGGAGTGAGAATTGAAACAACCCAGAGTTAACTTTTCACCAGGGCAACAGGATAGAAGTACAAGAGTTAGAGTTGATGAAGTATGAGGACTATATAAGAAGGAAACAAAAACAGAGCGAGATTCTGTCTCAAAAAAACAAAACAAAACAAAACAAAACAAACCCAACAGACTAAAAACTGACAAACTGACTCTTTTTTTTTTTTTTTTTTTTTGAGACAGGGTCTCTCTCTGTTACCCAGGCTGGAGTGCAGTGGGACAATCACAGCTCACCACAGCCTCAACCTCTTGGGCTCAGGCGATCCTTCCATCTCAGTCTCCCGAATAGCTGAGACTCCAGGTGCACAGCACCACACCCAGCTAATTTTTAAAAATCTTTTTGTAGAGATGTCTCATTATGTTGCCCAGCCTGTTCTTGAACTCCTGGGCTGAAACACTCCTCCCACCTCAGCCTCCCAAAGTGCTGGGATTGCTGGTGCCCACCACCTCACCCAGCTAATTTTTGTAGTTTTAGTAGATGGGGTTTCACCAAGTTGGCCAGGCTGGTCTTGAACTCCTGACCTCAGATGATCTGCCCACCTAGGCCTCCAAAGTGCTGGGATTACAGGTGTGAGGCACTGCACCTGGCCAGTTTTTAGTCTGTTGCTTTTTGAAGATAATCTGTTTTTCTCTGGCTCCTTCTAGGATATTTTCCTCCTGGGAAAAGAAATCTTTTTATTTTCCCACTTGGAGTTTGTTGGGTGTCTTGAATCTGTGGTTTATTGTTTTTTATCAATTCTGGAAAATTCTTAGCTATTATCTCCTAACAGTTGCTTCTGTCCAGAGGAACCCAAACAAACACTGTTTTGTATTTTTTATTGTATCCTTTATGTTTCTTACCCTCTTTTCTATATTTGTCATCTTTGGCCCTCTTTTATTTCATAATTGACGGTTTCTTCTGACCTGTCTTAAAGTTCACAGAATCTCTTAAACTACTTTAAATTTGCTGTAAAACCCATCTGTTCAGTTCTTAATTTTGGTTATGTGTCTAACTTAATAATTATTTTTTCATATCTCAGAGTTCTGTTTGGTTCTTTTCATTTTTCAGATCTGGTCATTTCTGATCATTTCTTCTGGCTTGCTGATATATTTTACTTCCATTTTTCTGTTCCTGAAATATTTGCTGTAGTTATTTTATGTTGTATAACCTAAGTGTTAATTTAGGTTTAACTCTCCAACCTGGCATCAGGGGTCAGGACTTAATTTGTTCCCAGTATGAAATAGGCAGCTACCTTCATAGTTTTCATTTCACTTAATTACTTTTTATGACTTCCCTCTTAGGTTCAACTTGACCGACCTCTCCTCTTCTTTTTTTGTTTTTTAAGCCAGCCTTGGTGTAAACTTTATTTATTTATTTTTTTAATTTAATTTTATTTTTTTTATTGATCATTCTTGGGTGTTTCTCGCAGAGGGGGATTTGGCAGGGTCATAGGACAATAGTGGAGGGAAGGTCAGCAGATAAACAAGTGAACAAAGGTCTCTGGTTTTCCTAGGCAGAGGACCCTGCGGCCTACCGCAGTGTTTGTGTCCCTGGGTACTTGAGATTAGGGAGTGGTGATGACTCTTAACGAGCATGCAGCCTTCAAGCATCTGTTTAACAAAGCACATCTTGCACCGCCCTTAATCCATTTAACCCTGAGTGGACACAGCACATGTTTCAGAGAGCACAGGGTTGGGGGCAAGGTCATAGATCAACAGCATCCCAAGGCAGAAGAATCTTTCTTAGTACAGAACAAAAATGGAGTCTCCTATGTCTACTTCTTTCTACACAGACACAGCAACAATCTGATTTCTCTATCTTTTCCCCACATTTCCCCCTTTTCTATTCCACAAAACCGCCATCATCATCATGGCCCGTTCTCGATGAGCTGTTGGGTACACTTCCCAGACGGAGTGGTGGCCGGGCAGAGGGGCTCCTCACTTCCCAGCAGGGGCGGCTGGGCAGAGGCACCCCCCACCTCCCGGACGGGGCGATGGCCGGGCGGAGGCGCCCCCCCTCCTCCCTCCGCGACGGGGCGGCTGGCCGGGCGGGGGCTGCCCTCCACCTCCCTCCCGGACGAGGCGGCTGGCCGGGCGGGGGCTGCCCCCCACCTCCCTCCCGGACGGGGAGGCTGGCCGGGCGGGGGCTGCCCCCCACCTCCCTCCCGGATGGGGCGTCTGCCGGGCGGAGATGCTCCTGACTTCCCAGACGGGGCGGCTGCCGGGCGGAGGGGCTCCTCACTTCACAGACGGGGCGGCTGCTGGGCGGAGGGGCTCCTCACTTCTCAGATGGGGCGGCTGCCGGGTGGAGGGGCTCCTCACTTCTCAGACGGGGTGGCTGGGCAGAGACGCTCCTCACCTCACAGACGGAGTCGTGGCTGGGCAGAGGCGCTCCTCACATCCCAGACGGGGCGTCTGGGCAGAGGCGCTCCCCACATCTCAGACGATGGGCGGCCGGGCAGAGATGCTCCTCGCTTCCTAGACGGGATGGCAGCCGGGAAGAGGCGCTCCTCACTTCCCAGACTGGGCAGCCGGGCAGAGGGGCTCCTCACATCCCAGACGATGGGCGGCCAGGCAGAGACGCTCCTCACTTCCCAGACGGGGTGGCGGCTGGGCAGAGGCTGCAATCTCGGCACTTTGGGAGGCCAAGGCAGGCGGCTGGGAGGTGGAGGTTGTAGCTAGCCGAGATCATGCCACTGCACTCCAGCCTGGGCAACATTGAGCACTGAGTGAACGAGACTCCGTCTGCAATCCTGGCACCTCGGGAGGCCGAGGCTGGCAGATCACTCGCGGTTAGGAGCTGGAGACCAGCCCGGCCAACACAGCGAAACCCCGTCTCCACCAAAAAAATACGAAAACCAGTCAGGCGTGGCGGTGTGCGCCTGCAATCGCAGGCACTCGGCAGGCTGAGGCGGGAGAATCAGGCAGGGAGGTTGCAGTGAGCCGAGATGGCAGCAGTACAGTCCAGCTTCGGCTCGCCATTAGAGGGAGACCGTGGGGAGAGGGAGAGGGAGACTGTGGGGAGAGGGAGAGGGAGACCGTGGGGAGAGGGAGAGGGAGAGGGACCCTCTTCTCTACTACTTATATGACATCAGCACTGCATTAAAAAATATTTTTTTCTGTTAATAGCCAGGATCCAGTTGTTGTAGAACAGGTGACCTCCCAAAGTATGACGTCTTTCAGAAGTAACATATACTGTTTTTGTCCTACTTTTTTGTTATTAAGAATATGTATGTTATTTAAAATATAGGAATTCTTTTTAAAAACACGATACCATTATCACACTTGCCAACGTGATCATGGGGGGAAAGGGCAGCAGTGCTGGTGCAAGTCCTGGAATCCGAAGACCATAGAATCTGGAGTTCTGACAGCAAGAATTACTCTTGCCTCCTCTTTTTGTTCCATCTGGGCCCCAGCTTATTGAATGCTGCCCACCCACATTGAGAGTGAAACTTCCCCTATCAGTCTACTAACTCAAATGCCAGTCTCTTCAGGAAATACCCTCACAGGCACTGGGACAGCCCAGTCATTCTAATCAAATGCCTGACCGCCCGGGTTTTCCTTTCAGCAGAAGAGGGACGAGCTCAGTGCTGTCTGAACCACTGAGGATAATTAATGCTTTCACCAGCTATCTGGGTATCCCTTAATCCAGTCAGGTTGACACCTGGAATCAACTATTACAAGGTCCACACATTGCGATTGATTGATTGATGTGAACTCAAAGTCTCCTTTTTAATTTATGGTCTCTTAATCTCACCATCTTTGTCTTTTTTATGCACTTTATTGTTGGAGAAACTGGGTTCATGGAGGTTCTCATAATCTGAATTTTGCTTTTTTTTTTTTTTTTTTGAGATGGGATCTCACTCTGTCACCCAGGCTGGAGTGCAGTGGTGTGATCTTGGCTCACTGCAACCTCTGCCTCCTGGGCTCAAGCAGTCCTCCCACCTCAGTCTCCTGGGTAGTTGGAATCACAGGCATGTACCACCATTCCTGGCTGAGTTGTTTTTTGTATTTTTGGTAGAGATGGGATTTCATCATGTTGCCCAGGCTGGTCTTGAACTCCTGAGCTCAAGCAGTCTTCTTGGATTGCTGGGTTTACAGGCATGAGCCACCGTGCCCGGCTGGATTTTACATCTTATCATGTCACTTGACATGTGTATTGGCCCTCTGTATTTCCTGTAAATTCAAAGTTGAAGCTGGAGGCTTTATCAGATTCAGATGATTTGGGGGAATTGGGAACATGACTGCATCATATGTGATGGTTTTCTCTTCCATCAGAAAGGCACGTAGTGTCTGGCTGTCTCTTTCTGTTATGTTGACATCACCACTGAGGAACATTGTCTAAGTCTGTTATTTACTAGGATTTGTAAAATGGTGATAATCTATCACTCCTTCTTTAAGCTAGACCAGGGATCCCCAACCCTGGACCACTACCAGTCCGTGGCCCATTAGGAACTGGGCTGCACAGTAGGAGGTAGGCAGCAGGCAAGCAAGTGAAGCTTCATCTGTATTTACAGCTGCTCCTCATTGCTTGTATTACCACCCGAGCTCCACTTCCTGTCAGATCAGCAGCTGCATTTGATTCTCAAAGGAGCACAAACCCTGCTGTGAACTGTGCATGCGAGTGATCTAGGTGCATGTTCCTTATGAGAATCTAATGCCTGATGATCTGTCACCATCTCCCATCATCCCCAGATGGGACCTCTAGTTGCAGGAAAACAAGCTCAGGCCTCCCATTGATTCTACATTATGGTGAGTTGTGTAATTATTTCATATTACAATATAATAATAATGGAAATAAAGTGCACAATAAATGTCATGCACTTGAATCATCCTGAAACCACTCCTTCTACTTCCTAGTCCATGGAAAAATTGTCTTCTGTGAAACTAGTCCCTGGTGCCAAAAAGTTTGGGAACAGCTGAGCTAGACTACATCTATTAAGAGAAACCTTCCTCTCATTTATTAATTGGTTAGATTACCCCATGATAAAATTTGTTTAGAAACAGTAAAATAAATGCTTGATTCTTTTCCTTTATCAGTTTTCAAAATAATGAGGTAGTTCATTATCATCCTTCAGTGATGACAATTTAGTTGTTTGGGTTTTTATTTCCATTTCCTGGATTTACAGATTGAAATCTATGTGTGTTTGAATTCATTGTCTTATTGATAATTGATAATAATTGTATTGTCTTTGAACATTTGGAGCCTCTTCATGTTAGCTCTTGAGTAGTTTTTACAAGACTCTAGTCTCGTAAATATCTTTGATATTTGGTATGTTAAGATATTGCAGGCTTACCTTGTACCTTTTCTGCCCATTAGTTGGAATGAACCAGTTCTGTTTGCTATTGGTGGTATTTTTGAGAGTATTGTCTATGCACTCACTGATTTGGTCACTGTTTCTAGGCGTTGGAGATACACATCTCCAAGTAGACATCTTGGGGTGGATAGATATAGGATTAAAACAAAATTTTGTGTGTGTGTGTATGTATATAAACATATGTGTGTGTGTATATTTATATGTATACATATTTATATGCATATTTATATACATACATACACACATAAACACACACATATAATGCATATATTGATATTCCAATTCAAATTCAGGACTATGGGATTTTACTAAACAACTTCTATCATATATCCGTCTTTCTCCTAGGCCAAACTTCCTGTTTTTTTCTGACACCAGGAATAATAGAATATGACATTTTTACTCATTTGCTTTATTCCACATAGACACATAACAGTCTCAGAATAACAACACCAGCAGCGCTGCACCCAGTAATAGGGTTACCGAGAACAGTTTGGAGTTTTCCTGGTAGTTCTCTTTAGGGTTAACTGGAGATGCAGGGTTAAATTGCTGTGTTGAAAAGTTACACAGGATAGTGTGATTATGCTACCAAATGGATACACGTTTAGGTTCATTTCTTTATTTTTAGGGATTGCTTTTCTTGTTAAATTTGATTTTGTCATATTCATACGCAGTTTATTTTCATGGTTTTAAAGTCAAGTCCTAGTTTCCTTGTCATCACCTATATATTTATGTGTAAAATAATCATTGTATGTGATCTGTTTTATTTTTTGTTTTAGTATACTTTTGGCCTCTAGTTTGTGGTTTTGTTTTTGTTTTCTTTAGTCCTCTCTTTCTTAGTTATTTTCTATTGATTCCCCATCATGTACATTATTGAAATTAGTTGTGACCTTCTCTTTTCCTTCCCCCTCAGCATCTGATGTATATCCTTTAAAATTTTTATTAAAAACTGACCTTTATTTTGAGGTGATTGTAGATTGACATGCAGTTGTAAAATATAACACAGAGATCCTGTTTATCCTTTCTCCAGTTTCCCCAGTGGTAACATCTTGCAAGATGCTCGTACAGTATTTATGTTCATCCAAGTCATTGTTTGTATCAGCAGTTTGTTTCTTTTAATTGCTATATGGTGTTCCATGGTATGGATGTACCACAGTTTAAGCGTGAAGGATACCTGGGTTGTTTCCAGGTTGTAGCTATTAAGAATAAAGCTGTTGTAAACATTTGCGTACAGGTTGTGTGTGTGTGTGTGTGTGTAGATGAGTTTTCATTTATCTCATATAAATGTCCAATGTGTAGTTGCTGGGTCCTGTGGTTGTTACATGTGTACTTTAAGAAATGGCCAAAGGTGCTGTCATTTTACATTCCCACAAGCAATGTATGAAAACTCTCCATACTCACCAGCATTTGAAAGTATCACAATTTTAAATTTTAGATGTATAATAAGATTTCATGGTGGTTTTAATTTGCATTTCCCTAATGGCTAATAGTATTGAACATCTTTTCATGTGCTTATTTGCCATGTGTATATCCTCTTCCATGAAATATTTTTTCATTTCTTTTGCCCATTTTCTAGTTCCATTGGTTGGTTGGTTACCTGTTGAGCTTTGAGAGGTTTTTTGTTTTTGTTTTTTAATTCTAGATACTAGTCCTTTCTTGGATATGTGGTTGCAAATTTTTTTTTTTTAGTCTCTAGCTTCTCTTTTTATCTTCTTTACATGGGTGTTCAAAGAGCAAAATAGTTTTTTATTTTGATGAGGTCTAGTTTACCAACTATTTCTGTTATGGATCATGCTTTTTACGGTCAAGTTTAAGAACTCTTTGCCTAGCCCCAGATCCCAAAGAATTATCTCCTGTGGTTTTTCCTAAAAGTTTATAGTTTCACATTTATTTTGAATTAAATTTTTTTTAAGGTGTGAGGCTTAAGTCAGGGTTAATATTTTTGTCTGTCAATATCTATCTGGTCCAGCACTGTTTGCTGAAAAGTCTATTGATGTCCTCCATTTAATTGCTTTTGCACCTTTGTAAAAAATCAGTTGGATATATTTGTGTAGGCTTATATTGGGTTCTCTGTTCTTTTCAATGTGTATATTCTTCCACTGATATCACACAATGTTTATTACTGTAACTATGTAATATATCTTGAAATTGGCTAGATTGATTCCTTCCACTTCGTTTTTCATTTTCAGAATTGTTTTAACTATTCTACTTACTTTGCCTTTCCGTATAAATTTTAGAATAATTCTGTATCTGCAAAATATATTGCTGGGATTTTGATAGGAATTGCATTAAACCTGTATATCAGTATGAGGAGAATCAACATCTTTACCAAGTTGAGTCTACCAATCTATGAACACAATATGCCCCTCCATTTTTTCTCTTTTTTAAGCTAGAAACAGGATCTTGCTCTGTCACTGAGGCTGGAGTGCAGTGGTGTAATCATAGTTCACTGCAGCCTTGAACTCCTGGACACAAGCGGTCCTCCTGCCTCAGCCTCCCAAGTAACTAGGACAATAAACACTTGCCTCCATACCTGGCTAATTTTTAAATTTTCTGTAGAAGCTGAGTCTCGCTATGTATGGTCTTGACCTCCTGGGCTCAAGCAGTCCTCCCTCCTTGGCCTCCCAAAGCACTGGGATTACTTGAGCCATCATCCAGCATTGTTTGTTTGTTTTGAGGCAGGGTCTATCTCTGTCGCTGTGGCTGGAGTGCAGTGGCACAGTCTCCACTTACTGCAGCCTCCGTCTCCCGAGCTCAAGAGATCCTGCTACCTCACCCTCCCCAGTAGCTGAGACTACAGGCATATACCACGATGCCCAGCTAAATTTTTTTTTGCTTTTTTTTGTAGAGATGAGGTTTTGCCATTTTGCCCAGGCTAATCTCAAATTCCTTGGCTCAAGCAATCCACCTGCCTCGGCCTCCCGAAGTGCTGGGATTACAGATGTGAGCCACCACACCCGGCTGTTGTTTGTATTTTTAATTTCAGTGTCTATGTGTTCATTGCTAGTATATAGAAATATAATTGATTTTTATGTTGTATTCTGTGACATTGTTGAACTCACTTAATAGATCTGGAAAGTTTTTGGTATATTCCTTGGAATTTTTAAATCATCTTTTCTGCAAATAATTGATTGTTTTCTTTATTTTATTTTTTATTTTGAGATGGAGTCTCCCTCTGTCGCCAGGCTGGAGTGCAGTGGCACGATCTCGGCTCACTGCAACCTCCGCCTCCTGGGTTCAAGCGATTCCTCTGCCTCAGCCTCCCGAGTAGCTGGGACTACAGGTGTGCACCACCACGCCCAGCTAATTGTGTTTTTAGTTGAGATGGGGTTTCACTATGTTGACCAGATGGTCTTGATCTCTTGACCTCGTGATCCGCCCTCCTCAGTCTCCCAAAGTGCTGGGATTACAGGAGTGAGCCACAGCACCTGGCTGGGATTATTTTCTTTCTTTTGCATCTATATGCCTTTTACTTTATTTTCTTGCCTTATTTTACTGGCTGGAACTTCTTATACTATGTTGAATAATAGTGGTGAGAGTGGACACCATTTTCTTGTTCTCAATCTAGGGAAACATAGTATTCAGACTTTTCACCACTAGAATGTTAACTCTAGGCTTTTATTTTTCTGAGTGTTTTTACTATAAATGGATGTTGAATTTTGTCATTTTTTTCTGCATTGAATAATATAATCATTGATTTGTCTTCATTAGTCTATTAGTATGGTTTATATTGATTGATTTTCAAATACAGAACCAGCCTTGTATCACTAGAATGAAGCCTGCTAGTATAGTGACTTCTAGTTGGTAACATTTTGATAAGGATTTTTGTATCTGCAGTCATTGAGAATATTGGCCTGCAGTTTCTTTTTCTTCTTTTTTTTTTAATGCTGTCTTTTCTGGTTTTGTTATTCAGGTAATTTTGTAATTAGCTTCATAAAGTGAATTGAGAAGTGTACCCATCTGTTTTTTGTAGAGATTATATAAAATTGGTGTTAGTTCTTCTTTAGGCATTTGGAAGAATTCTCTAGTTAAACCATCCAAACCCTGAAGGGAAGTTTTAAAATTACAAATATAATCATCTTAATAGTTAACAGCGTTATTCAAATTAGGTATTTCATATTGAGTGAGGTGTGATAGTTCTTGCTTTTTGAGTCATTGGTCCATTTCATCTAAATTGTCAAATTTGTGTGTGTAGAGTTGTTTGTAGTTTTCCCTTGTTCTTTTGATGTCTGCAAAGTCTGTAGTGATAGTACCTTTTTCATTTCTAATATTATAACTCTGCATTTTCTCTTTTTTTTTGGCCAGTCTGCTGATTTTTTTTTTTTTTTGAAAGAACTAGCTTTTCATTAATTTTCTCTACTTTTTGTTTTCAATTTCATTGATTTCTGTTTATTCCTTCTGCTTGTTTTGGGTTTGTTTTGCTTTTTATGTTGTAGGGTGTCGAAGCTGGGAGTTTTGATTATTGGTTTGAGACTTTCTCTCTTTCTTAATGTTTGCATTAGGTGCTTTAAATTTCTCTCTCAGCACTGCTTTAACCTCTTTTCTGCTCTACTTCAGCATCTGATGTGATGCAATTTCCTTTTCTCACCAGTTAATAGTTAATAAGGCAATCAATACACTTAGTTGTTTTTTTGTTTTTATTCTTCTTGAGATGGAGTCTTGTTCTGTCACCCAGGCTGGAGTGCAGTGACGTGATCTCAGTTCATTGCAGCCTCCACCTCCCAGGTTCAAGCAATTCTCTGCCTCAGCCTCCGGGAATAGCTGGGATTGGATTACAGGTGCAACCACCACACCCGGCTATTTTTTGTATTTTTAGTAGAGATGAGGCTTCACCCTGTTGGCCAAGCTGGTCTTGAACTCCTGGCCTCAAATGCTCCACCCGCCTCAGTTTCCCAAATTGCTGGGATTACAGGCGAGAGCCACTGCACCTGGCCCACTTACTCAGTATTTCATATGCATGTTTTGTCTTCCTTTCAATTTTGTGTCTACATTGTCAGGGCATGTAGCAGTTAAATACTGTATTTTTTCCCTTATAACAGTGGTCCCCAACCTTTATGGCACCAGGGGCCAGTTTTGTGGAAGACAGTTTTTCCATGAATGGCGGGTCGGGGAGGATGGTTTCGGGTTGAAACTGTTGCACCACAGATCATCAGGCATTAGTTAGATTCTCATAAGGAGCACACAACCTAGATCCCTCACGTGCTCAGTTCACAACAAGGTTTGTGTTTCTATGAGAATCTAATGCCAACCGTGATCTGACAGGAAATGGAGCTGAGGCCATAATGCTCACCTCCTGCTGCTGTGCAGCCTGGCTCCTAACAGGCTATATGGACTGGCACCAGTTCACGGCCCAGGGATTGGGCCTACCTTATAAGGACTATTTAATCTTAGTTCTACAGGTAAATAAATTCATTGCTCACGGTCACCTTTTATCAGTGTCTCTCCAGTTATTTTGGTTGTGTGGTGACCATTCTCTATTAGATTCTTCAGAAAGTGCTCATATAAACAGTAGTCCTTGAGTTGTGTTTATAACAGTTGTTTTGCCACTTGTATACTTTAAATTTAGTGGTTCTGACTGGATATAAAGTCCTTGATTCACATTTTCAATATTTTTTGCCTAATGTCCAGATGCAATTTTCTCTTCTTTTCTTTTTGGAAGTCCGTTAGTTTCACTTGTATATTTCTCAGTGTTGGTTTTTCTGGATGGATTCCCCAGGTACTTGGGTGTACTTTCAGTATTTCAGTTCAAGTCTTCTAATTTCAGGAAGTTTTTTTTGATTTATAGTTTTAAGTATTTGCTCTATTTCATTGCTTCGGTTTTCTTATTTGAGGAGTCTTTATTATATGAATTTAAAATCTAAGTGCCTTTATTGTCACTTCCTTCTGATAATTTTCTTTTTTTTTTTTTTTTTTTTTTTTTTTGAGACAGAGTCTCGCTCTGTCACCCAGGCTGGAGTGCAATGGCGCAATCTCGGCTCACCGCAAGCTCCACCTCCCGGGTTCATGCCATTCTCCTGCCTCAGCCTCCCGAGTAGCTGGGACTACAGGCGCCCGCCACCATGCCCGGCTAATTTTTGTATTTTTAGTAGAGATGGGGTTTCACTGTGTTAGCCAGGATGGTCTCGATCTCCTGACCTCATGATCCGCCCGCCTCGGCCTCCCAAAGTGCTGGGATTACAGACGTAAGCCACCGTGCCCAGCCCTTCTGATAATTTTCACCTTCATTTCTGATTACAGTTTTTTTCTTTACATATTCTGTTTCTCTTAAGCATTATCTGTTGTTTACTGGCTCTTAAGATTGCTCTTGGCTAGGTTCCTTTCTGAAATAATTTTTTGCTTTATTTCTAATTCTTTTTTGATTGCTAGGACCTCATTTCTGAGTTTTTCTAATTCTGATTGATAATGTTATTTCACATTTTCTATCATTTTCTAGGATAGTTTTTATCACTTTTGTGTATATGTCTTTTCAGTAGGCTTTCAATAGCAACACTCTGTTTCCTATTCTCTCATTTCTTACAGCATGGGCTTCAACGCCAATCCTTTCCTGTCCATTTTTTGATAGATTTTCCTGAACTTTTAAGAGCAAGAAGTGGGTCAGAGTAGCCTTTCTAGTTTCACCACTCAAGATCTTTTTCTTCTGTTGTTTGTTACAAGATGATTTTTTTTTTAAGGGGGTGGCATTGGCATCCTATTTTCTGAGGTCTGGCTCTGTTCATTGTAGGACATTGTCCAGGAAGAGGATTTTAGTTCTTTGATTTTGTGTCTAGCTCCATCATACTTAACAATGTTGATGTGTGCAAAAGATCCCTTCCATTTGCAACTGTTCTCAAGTTGCCTTTCCAAAGTCTCTAGTCATTCATGATTTGGGAGTTCTCTTGTTCTCAGGGTCTTCAATCGCCCCATAACTTCTGCCCTTCCATTTTCTTCTGCATATATGCATATGAATCCTGTAGCTGGTGATTTAACCAGACCCTGCTTGTATTTGAGAATTCGTTAGAATACTTTGTCTCCCAACCTTGTAGGTGTCGTTTGTTTGCTTGTTTTGGGGACAGGGTCTCTATCACCCAGGCTGGAGTGTAGTGGTATGATCATGGCTCACTGCAGCCTTGACCTCCTGGGCTGAAGCCATCTTCCTGCCTCAGCCTCCTGAAGAGCTGGGACCACAGGTGCACGCCACCACACCTGGCTAATTTTTAATTTTTTTGTAGAGACAGGTCTCACTGTGTTGCACAGGCTGGTCTCAAATTTCTGGGCTCAAGCAATCCTCCCGCCTCGGCCTCCCAAAGTTCTGGGATTACAAGCATGAGCCACTGTGCCTGGCCCTCTTGTAGGTTTTGTCTGTGGAGTTTAAGTTTGGCTATTCTGATGACATTTTTTGTGTGGGGCAGGGGATGCCAAGAGATGAAAAAAATCATTGACACATTTTATTCAAGAGAAAGATGACACAGATTTTGCATTTTAAAAAGAACCCCCCCGGCTGCATTGTGGAAAATTGATTCAGTGCATGGAAGGAGACTAGTTAGGCTATTTTAGTAGTCCAGATTAGATGATGGTGGCTTACTCTTAGATAGTGGCCGTGGAGCTGGGAGGTTTGAATCCTGTTCTGGTTGACTTGTTTGATTTCAGAGGATTGAAAGTGAGTAGACAGGGATAGTCTTCCAGGATTGGTCTCTTGAAACTATTTGGATGGTTGTACAGTTTCCTAACATTAGGAGTATTGACAGGAGAGGAGATGTGGGGGATCTTTTTGGTGAGGGTGTTAGGAAGGGAACAAGTATATTAGTTTTAAGCATACTGAGTTTGAAGCCTTTAAACCATCTCTCTTCCAGCCCTTAACACACATATGCACATATTTTAATTCTTTTGGGAGCTTTTTTCTGTCCCTCTGATTATATCTCCTCTTGATACAGATCTTAACATTTACTTTCCTATCTCAAGCTTAACACTTTTTTTTTTCGAGACAGAATCTCACTCTGTTGCCCAGGCTGGAATGCAGTGGCCCACTCGTGGCTCATGGCAACCTCCGCCTCCCAGGTTCAAGCAATTCTTGTGCCTCAGCCTACTGAGTAGCTGGGATTACAGGCGTGCGCCACCATGCCCAGCTAATTTTGATATTTTTAGTAGAGATGGGGTTTCACCATGTTGGCCAGGCTGGTCTTGAACTCCTGACCTCAGGTGATCTGCCTGCCTTGGCCTCCCAAAGTTCTGGGATTACAGGCATGAGCCACTGTGCCCGGCCAGCTTAACACATTTTTATCACTCATTATTACTCTCATTTCCACTAGACCAGGTGCTGGCAAACCTTTTTTTTTTTTCCAAGGCAGGGTTTCACTCTGTTACCTAGGCTGAAATGCAGTGGCACCATCATGGCTCCTTGCACCCTTGACTTCCTGTGCTTAAGCAATCCTCCATCTCAGCTCCCCCAAGTAGCTGGAACTGTAGGTGCACACATGAGCACAATGAGATACTACCTCTACAAAAAATGAAAAATCAGCTGAGCATGGCTGTGCTCAAGTGATCCTCCCGCCTCGACCTCCGAAAGTGTTGGGATTACAGGCGTGAGCCACTGCACCTAGTCTGCTAACTTTTCCTTAAAAGGACAAATAGTAAATATTTTAGCATTTGAGGGCAAAGAGGCAAAAATAAGAGCATGATGTAGGTACTTAATATCATTTATAATGTAACCACTTAAAAAATGTAAAAACCATTCCTGTTGGGACCTACAGAAACAGATAGCCTGCCAGATTTGATACACAGGTTATAGTTTGCCGATCCCTGTGCTAGACTGTGAATTCTGTACTTGCTTCCCGGTTGGCAAATGTATTGCCCAATGTATTTTAAATGTATTGAGTAAATTTTTGTTGAATGGGTGAATGACTTATAGATTAGGAGCTTAAGAGACAGAGTGGACTAAAAATAGATACTTGGGAGTGGTCATGAAGCAGTAATTGCAGACATGAGGGTAGATGAGATCACTTGGGAAGAATATAAGGGAGAATATAAGGGAGTCCATCTTTTTCTGTAATTTAAACAAAGAGCATAGTAAGTCATGACTAACTCAGAGGTACTTAGGTATGGTAGTCAGTACCTCCTCTTCTTAACTGACCTAAGTGAGTTTGGCCATTTACATTTATATGATTCTTTCGGGTGAATAAGTGGTCTTTAATTATTAGAGATAGGTGAGGGTAACAGATACTTTCGCCTTTGAAGTTTTGCTACTAGTGAGTTATATACACAAATCTTAGAATTATGCTGCATATATAAATATGTATTAGTAAGCAGTCACAAAAGTCATATGGTTCGTTTCATGGGTATAGTACTTTTAGACTGGAGATTACCACCTTGTAAGAAAACTTCAACCCTAAGCAGATACCACAATGTTCTGACTAGGATTAGGTGATACAGTTCTCTAAGAAGGGATGGAACACAGGATCAAGGGGGTTTCTAGACACAGAAACTTCTCTGAAGTTGTGCTGTAGGGCCTGCCGGATTCTTAGACCCCAAACAAGTAAGAATCGAGGTGCCTGTATTTCTAGTCAATTCGTATATCTTGAATAACTGTTCTACTTTAGCAGTAAAAATCTATTTCCAACTTTCCTTATGCAGAGTATCAAACCAGTGTCTATAAATTGAGATGTTCATATTCGAAGCACTTACTACCTGGGAGCTAACTCCTGTTTAGGGGTGTTTAAAACATTAAATTAATCACCTCTTAAGTGTGGTTTCCTAATTTAGTGTGGTTCTTCAGAATTTAACTCACTAATTCTGTCTATACAGAAATATCTTAGTGTGAATTAAGATGATAGAGCAGAAAATCATATTTTGGAGCAGATATGCTGCCTGGATCTTTTTGTTATGCATCATCTTTTAATAATTCATAAATAGTTAAGTGTTGCAAATATTGCAATGAAAATATTTTTCTTTTCAGTTATAGGAAAAATTGAAGTAAATATTCATTTAGGTAAAATTTTTAACAGTGGTAGAGTTCTAATCTTCCAGTGAATAAAGATAGCTTATAGAGTTGTCAAATAACACTTCATTAATGTTGGTATTTGAAGATTGTTCAACATTTGTCATTTTTATGAACTTATGCGTAAGACATTCTCTGTATTAATAGTACTAAAGTCACAATATAGAAACATACTAAATATAGAATTAAATTCAAGGTTCTTTCTAGTGTCGAACCTTATCAGGGATAATAGTTTTTATCAGTATATAATTCCATCACATGAAATGAATATGACTAATTTGAATTTTGTTTGGCAGTTTTGTTTCTATTTAATATATATCTGTATTTAAGTTTAAGTTTATATCTAGATTATTTCAGTATAGTTAGCAAACTTTATAATTTGGATTTTATGAGATTTTTTTTCTTAAGAAGATCACTGTGGTTTAAGAAAGAGATATCACAAGAATTATTAAATAAAATATAGCACACTGAACCTTGGCAGTATATTAAAATAATAATATACCATGATCATATAGCCTTTATTCCAATAATATAAAGATGTAACCATGCTTATATGTGTAATAAAAGAATCCATTATATCAGTATGTTAGAGGGGAGATATATATTATTTCAGTGTTTCCCCATAAGGCATGCCTGATAGATCCTCTTAAACTCAGAAGGATACCTTACCTTTTGATACAAAACATCTATCTCAAACTTATTTTTATTTTCATGTTTTTAAGGCCATGGCAATGAATTTACTTTTTAAAAATATGAATCATTAGAGATATAATTCATTGATTGCAGACATCAGAAACCATCCCTGGCTGACTTAAGCAAAACCATAATTTATTGGAAGAATGTAAGGTAGTTCATAAGATGAGTAGAGAAATGGAAGAACTGGGAATTGAGCAAGTCAAGGATATAGGCATTATTTACTACCTTGTCCAAAATTCTTCCTTTGGAATTTAATGTGCCTTTTTTTCCCTTTCTCCTTAAGATTCAGAGTTATAGAGGAGATAATTCTGATAGTGTAGTTGAGTCTTGTGACCTACTTAAGCTAGGAGAGAGTGAGCCACTTTAGGTCTCATTAAGACTACAGGATGGGAAGGATGTAATTCCCCAAAGATGACTGGGTACAGTTAGGGCAGGGAAATGGGTCCTAGGCAGCCAAGTCCCACCTTCCACAAAATTAACCAACAGATATCCAGTAAATACAGAATTTGGCTTTTTAACTAATTGTAGCTCATCATTTAAAGTATAAGATGTATCAGTCATTGAGATTATAAATTTCTTCTTATTTATTTATTTTTTGAGACAGAGTCTCGCTCTGTCACTCAAGCTAAAGTGCAGTGGCATGATCTCAGCTCACTTCAACCTCCGTCTCCCAGGTTCAAGCGATTCTTGAGCGTCAGCCTCCAGGAGTAGCTGGGAGTACAGGGGCGTGCTACTGCACCCAGCTAATTTTGGTATTTTTAGTAGAGATGGGGTTTTGCCATGTTGGCCAGGCTGATCTCGAACTCCTGGCCCCAAGTGATCCTCCAGCCTTCTAAAGTGCTGGGATTACAGGTGTGAGCCACTGCACCCAGCCAATATTAAATGACTTCTAACTCAAATACCTGAGTTTTTTTTTTTCTTCTTCTTCTTTTTTTTGAGATGCAGTCTCGCTCTGTCGCCCAGGCCTGGAGTGCACTGGCGCCACCTCGGCTTGCTGCATCCCCCCGCCTCCCGGGTTCAAGCAGTTCTCCTGCCTCAGTCTCCCATGTAGCTGAGATTACAGGTGCCTGCCACCAAGCCCGGCTAATTTTTTTTGTATTTTTAGTAGAGACTAGGTTTCGCCATGTTGGCCAAGCTGGTTTTGAACTCCTGACCTCAAGTGATCTGCCCGCCTCGGCCTCCCAAAGTGCTAGGATTATAGGCATGAGCCACTGCACCCAGCTGAGATCTTTATATACTAGCAGTGTCCGTATTTTGATACATCTGTAATCTTTGTTTTTCTTTTCTAGACAATGCGAAGACATAGAAATGAAGTGACAGTGGAACTGCGGAAGGTAAGGTTGATTTACATTTAAAGAAAAGTAATTAGATTTTTCTGATGTTAAAATTCTGTGTATCTTGAATAATGAAAATACTGTGGCAAATTAGTGGTCATCCCTAAAACCACACATCACTGGATACTTTATCATGGTACTTATTCATAATAGCTTTCATTTACTGAGGGTACTAGGCCCTGTGTGAAGCACTTTACCATCACTGAAATTCTCATAACATCTGATGAAGTTAGATACATTTTCTTTGACATCCTCTTTCTGTGGGCTTCCTCTCCCTTTGCTTATGTAAAAGTTACACATCCTTGTTAAAGATACTTTACAGAAGTAAATAAAAGTAGAAAAGTAGAAAAACCTTGTGTTTTCCCAACTGAAAGCAACTGCTATTAAAATTTATTGTATTTTCTTCCATTATTTTTGGAGGATTTTAGAGTTACCTTCATCAGATTGTGTTTTCTTTTTTCTCTTTCTTTTTTTGAGACAGCGTTTCACTCTGTCCAGGTTGGAGTGAAGTGGTGTGATCTTGGCTCACTGCAGCCTTGACCTCCCGGGCTCAAGTGATCCTCCCACCTCAGCTGGCTGAGTAGCTATGAATGCAGGCACACCACCACACCCAGCTGTGAATACAGGCACACCACCACACCCAGCTAATTTTTGTTTATTTTTTGTAGAGACTAGGTCTCACTATGTTGCCCAGGCTGGCCTTGAATTCCTGGACTCAAACAATCGTCCTTCTGTTGGGATTACGGGCGTGAGCTGCCATGCCTGGCCCAAATTGTGTTTTCATGTGAACACATTTTATTTGAAACAAATATTTAAATTGCTAATCCAGAAAATAATAGTGAATTCTCTTTCTTTACACGTTTCTTTTTTTTTTTTTTTTTTTTCTGATGCAGAGTCTCGCTCTGTCGCCCAAGCTGGAGTGCAGTACTGTGATCTCGACTCACTGCAACCTCCGCCTCCCGGGTTCATGCCATTCTTCTGCCTCAGCCTCCCAAGTAGCTGGGACTACAGGCGTCCACCACCTCGTCCGGCTAATTTTTTGTATTTTTAGTAGAGATGGGGTTTCACCGTGTTAGCCAGGATGGTCTCGATCTCCTGACCTCGTGATCTGCCCGCCTCAGCCTCCCAAAGTGCTGGGATTACAGGCGTGAGCCACCGTGCCCGGCCTATACATATATCTTTTAAAAAATAAATTTAAAACTTATTTCAGATCTTTGGTGTTTGTCTTAGGTTAGACTTTTCCTCATGTAATTCACTCCTAAAACTCCTTCCTATATTGAATTACCATCTTGGGCTGGGTGCGGTGGCTCATGCCGTCATTCCAGCACTTTGGGAGGCCAAGGTGGACAGATCACCTGAGGTCAAGAGTTCGAGACCAGCCTGGCCAACATGGTGAAACCCTGTCTACTAAAAATACAAAAATTAGTTGGGTGTGGTGGCACACACCTGTAGTTCCAGCTACTCGGGAGGCTGAGGCTGGAGAATTGCTTGAACCCTGGAGGCAGGGGCTGCAGTGAGCCAGGGTCACGCCACTACACTCCAGCCTAGGTGACAGAGCGAGACTCTGTCTCAAAAAAAAAAAAAAATTACCGTCTTGAAACTTTTCAGTTGTAGGGAGAAGGAAGGAGGTCTTGATTCTGAAAGTACACATTTTCTTAGAGTCACTAGAAATAGACTTGTGCATTTATTATTTAAGAATTATTTTAAATACACACTTTGTTTCATACACGGGCTAGGTAGCTCTTCAAATCTGTAGTTTTACAACAATATTGCCAGAAGCTCATTTTAACTACATTCATAAGGTCTTCATCAGAAATGCATTTAGTTATTCAACCAAGCATTACCATTTGAGCAATTGTCTCATGGAGGTGAACACTAGATAAATAATCACATAACCAAATATATCCTTACAAATTGTGGATGATGCTATGGAGGAAAAATAGCCATGAAAGTTAACAGAGTGAGGTTTTTTTTAAAATTGGGCATTCAAAGGTGACTTGTCTGAAGAAATAACATTTAAGCTGAAACCTGAAGGATAAATTGAAATTAGCTTATTTTTTCTAAGTGTTTAAATAACCATATTTTGAATTTTTGCAAATCAGTGTCATGCTCATTGGTATAGTATATAGTTCCTGACATCCATTCTCCTGTACCCTTTCCCCGCCCCCTTTTTAAAAGTAAATTTTGAAAATACTTGCTAAGAGTTGTAGTATATATTTACTAAATTTCAAAAAATTCACCTGAGGTCAAGAGTTCGAGACCATCCTGGCCAACATGGTGAATCCCTGTCTCTACTAAAAATACAAAAATTAGTTGGGTGTGGTGGCACGCACCTGTAGTTCCAGCTACTCACAACATAGAATATTTTCTATGTAATTAGTCCAGTAGCTCCAAAATTAGGAAATTAACAAGGAAGATCATTTTTTTGTTTCAATCATCAATGGATTAACAACTAATGATAGAATTATTTTGTCTATTATCTATTAATCATCAATCATTTTGTATATTAATAAACATTAGCATAATAAACATTAACATAAGCATAAAAATACTTGCTAATTCCCATTCCCTGTCAACTCCTTTATGGACACAACAATACTTTGGTAATCATATTTGCAAGTTCTTTCAGATCTTTGGGTCATTTAGACCAGAGAAATGAGCTAAGCCTTAGCTTAATAAAGTAAGGTGTTTTTTCCAGTCTTAACACTTTAAACTTTTTTTCTTTTTCACATTTTGTTGACATACACCATACATACAAAAAGTCCACACGTCGTAAGTATCCAGCTTGATGAATATTTGTAATGTGAACACATTTGTGTAACCACCAGCTCCTGGATCAAAAAAGAGAATACCCCAGGGCCTCTTTCTAGGTATTGGTTATCCCCAAAGGTAACCATTATTCTGATTTCTAACAGATTATTTTGCATATTTAGAACTCTATATAGGTAGAATAGTGTGCGTCCTTTTTTGTCTGGATTTTCATTCACCAAATGAAGATTACTTTCTTTAATAGATGCAATAGAAGTAAAATTGGAATTAAGTAATTAGTAATTATTGCCATCTGTTAACATTACACCATCTGCCACCAGATATGGGCCCTTACTTTTCCTTAACTTTTCACGCTTGCAATTCAACTTTAAAACTTTTGTATTAGTTCAGAAGCCTCCTCTTGTTTAATCATTTTAGCCCTTCTAATGTGCTTATAAATCTAAGCTACTAATTTATATATTATATTTGGTTACTTGATCCTCCTCCTGTTGTTGTGCTGCCTTCTCTAATTTATAGAACTAAAAATTCTTGCATGTCACAGCATATCTTTTTAAATATTCACCTTAGTTGCCTTAGAGACCCCTTTCTTTTTTTTTTTTTTGGCTAACATTATTTCCTTTCCAGTTACTAAGGTTCAATTTCTGAAAATACTTGTAGTAGGACCAAAAATGAAATTAACTAAAGAAATCTCAAGCAATTTCTTATTTCAAGTTTAAGAATTCCCCAAGTAAGCAGTAGAAAGCAAACTTTTCCTGAAACAACGCCTGAAGTTTATTCAGACAAAACTTAATTGATTTTGATGTGATTTTACAGAGATGTGGAGAGCTCTTCAAGAGAAGATTCTTCCACTCTTTATGGTCAGAGTATCTGTCCCTGATTCCAGGCCTTGCTCTCTCTATTGCTCCATTGAGGAGAGAATCACATTGTTTTTATTTAGTGACATTGAGATTCTTGAAAACAAAAGAGAGCTAGTCCCCAGAGTTTCACTGAGAAATTAAACTAGTGGATATCATCTGTCAATTGTAACTCACTTTACTCCATGGGATTTTGCTTTGAATATTTCATTTTCCCTTAGATTGTAAGCTTCTAAAGTGCAGATAATAACCACATTCACTATCCATCTACATCCCTCCACCCCAGCCTCCCAAATAACTCCTAAGTCTCTTTCTTAGCCCATCTCAAAATGCCTAATCACATTGTGGCTATGTAGTCGATTAAGTGCTGATATTCACGAATTAAATTTAATTATGATCTCTAAAAATATGCACTTATATTTAAGTCATGTATTGAAGTTTTAAGACAAATACTTCAGATATAGGCCGTGCTACTCAAAAGTCCTGATCTGTGACAAGTTAGGGAGCTTGTGCCAAAATGTAAAAGAAGGCACTGCTTCCTTCAAGAGAGTCTTTCTGACAGAAGTAAATTGAAAGATATCCCATGTTCACGGATTTGGAAGAATTAGTATTATTAAAATATCAGTACTACCCAAAGTGATGTACAGATTCAGTGCAATCTCTATCAAACCTCTAATGTCATTTTTCACAGAAATAGAAAAAAAAAAACTAAAATTTATATGAAACCACAGAAGACCCCAAATAGCCAAAGCAATCTTAAAAGAATGAACCCAGAAGCATCACACTACCTGATATGAAAATCTACTGCAAAGCCATAATAATCAAAACAGCATGATAGAGACATAAAAACACACACACAGAACAGTGGAACAGAAAAGTTTGCTTTCTACGGCTTACTTGGGGAATGCTTAAATTTGAAATAAGAAATTACTTGAGATTTCTTTAGTTAATTTCATTTTTGGTCCTACTACAAGTATTTTCAGAAATCGAACCATAGTAACTGGAAAGGAAATAATGTTATACAGAAAAAAAGAAAGGGGTGTCTAAGGCAACTAAGGTGAATATTTGAAAAGATATGCTCTGACACGCAAGAATTTATTTCACCAGAAATAAATCCACAAATTTGTAGTTGGTTGATTTTTGACAAAGGTGCCAAGAACATGCCACAGGAAAGGACAGTCTTTTCAATAAATGGTCTTGGAAAAACTGGCTATCTACATGCAGATGAATGAGACCAGGCCCTTATTTCACACCATATACAAAAATCAACTCAAAATAGATTAAAATGCAAACATAAGATGTGAAACTGTAAAACTACTGGAAGAAAACACAGGGGAAAATCTCCATGATACTGGTCTGGGCAATGTTTTCCTGGATATGACCCCAAAAACACAGCCAACAAAACAAAAATAGACAGATGCAATTATATCAAATTTAAAAGGTTCTGCACAGCAAAAGAGACTATTAATAAAGAGAGAACCTATAGAAAATATTTGCAAACCATACATCTGATAAGGGGTTATATATAATGAACTCAATAGCAAGAAAACTAACAATTAAAAAATGGGCAAGGATTGGGCACGGTGGCTCACGCCTATAATCCCAGCACTTTGGGAGGCCGAGGCGGGCGGATCACAAGGTCAGGAAATCAAGACCATCCTGGGTAACACGGGTGAAACCCCATCTCTACCAAAAATACAAAAAATTAGCTGGGCGTGGTGGCATTTGCCTGTAGTCCCAGCTACTCGGGAGGCTGAGGCAGGAGAATGGCGTGAACCTGGGAGGCGGAGTTTGCAGTGAGCCGAGATCACGCCACTGCACTCCAGCCTGGGTGACAGAACAAGACTCCATCTCAAAAAAAAAAAAAAAGGGCAAAAGAGCAGAATAAACATTCTCAAAACATAGAACTGGCTAATAGGTATACTAAAAATTGTTCAACATTACTAATCAGAGAAATAAAATTAAAACTACTGTGAGATATCATCTTACACCTGTTAGAATAACCATTATCAAAAAGATGAAAGATAACGCATGTTGGTGAGGATGTGGAGAAAAGGAAACTCTTGTACACTCTTGGTCAGAATGTAAATTAGTATAGACATTATAGAAAGCAGTATGGGGAAGTTCCTAAAAATAGAACTACCATGTGATCAAGCAATCCCACTACTGTGTATATATCCAAAGGAAAAATGAAGCCAGTATGTTGAAGAGATACCTGCACTCCCATGTTTATTGCATCACAATACCCGAGATAAGGAATCAGCCCAAATGTCCACCAGTAGACAAATAGAAAAAGAAAATGTGGTATGTATACATAGTGGAATACTTTTTAGCCTTAAAAGAAAGAAACCCTCTCTTTTGCAACAACGTGGATGAACTTGGAGGACATTACATTACCAGAAATAAGCCAGGCAAACAAGGCAAGTATCACATGCTCTCACTTATGCATGGAGTCTAAAAAAGCTAGACTCATGTAGGATGGTGGTTACCAGGGGCTGGGGCCAGGGGTGGGGGGTACAGGGATTTGGGGAGATATTGATTCAAAGTATAAAAAATTTCAGTTAGATAGGAGGGATAAGTTCAAGACCTTTACTGTAGAACATGGTATATTGGTCAGTTTTCACGTTGCTGATAAAGACATACCTGAAACTGGGCAATTTACAAAAGAAAGAGGTTTATTGGACTCACACTTCCATGTGGCTGGGGAGGTCTCACAATCATGGCAGAAGGTGAAAGGCACATCCCATATGACAGCAGACAAGAGAGCTTGTGCAGGCAAACTTGTTTTTAAAGCCATCAGATCTTGTGACACTCATTCACTATCATGAGAACAGCGCAGGAAAGACCCACCCCCATAATTTAATCACCTCCCACGGCACACGGGAATTGTGGGAGTTACAATTCAAGATGAGATTTGGGTGGGAATACAGCCAAACCATATCACATGGTTATGAACTATAGTTAATAACAATGTGTTATATTCTTGAAAAATCACTGACAGTAGATTTTAAGTGTTTTCACCACACACACAAAAATGAAATGTAAGGTAATGCATGTGTTAATTTTTTTTTTTTTTTCTGAGATGGGGTCTCATTCTGTCACCCAAGTTGGAGTGCAGTGGCACAATCTTGGCTCGCTGCAACTTCTGCCTCCCAGGCTCAAGCAATTCTCCTACCCTCCTGGGTAGCTGAGACCACAGGTGCTCACCAGTTTGCTCAGCTAATTTTTTGTATTTTTGGTAGATACGGGATTTCGCCATGTTGCCCAGGCTGGTCTTGAACTTCTGAGCTCAAGCAATCTGCCCGCCTCAGCCTCCCAAAGTTCTGGGATTACAGGCATGAGCCACTGCACTCAGCTGTGTTTATTAACTCATAGCTATTATTCCACAGCTTATACATATTTCAGATCATCATGTTTTACTCAATACATATATAGAATTTTTGTCAACTTTTTAAAAATAATATGTTTAAAGCAGGTCTTTCTGTCTAAATAAAGAGCTGAACTAAACAGTGTGCTTAGTTTCACAGTTGGTTTACATTCTGGCACAAGCTCACCTCCCCACCTTTTTTTGTTACTTTAGAGGCTTATCACCCTGAAGGTAAAAGCTCCTTATCTTGTAGCAGAACTGTAACAAACAGTTTGAGAATTATTAACTAGTGTAAGGATCACACTTCAAATAACAGATACTGATCCGTCAAAATTGAGGATGACAGATGACATCTGTTTATTAATAGGTACTGTTTACCTGGCCTCTGACTCCTTTCGTGTGAATTGTTTTTTCTTTTACCTCCTTGCTCTCTTTCTTCCCAATTTAGAGAGGCTTTTATGCATCAACACTTAAACACACATCTGTACCTCTTTTTTTTCATCACATTGTAGACAGAGTTATGTAGGAATTAAGTAACTTGCATAGTCACAAGCTAATAAATGGCAGAGCTCTTACCATTATGCTATAATGCCTCTCAAAATACATGTGTGTTGGTTGAATAATGCTTCGTGGGTTGAGAATGAGCCCAAAACCTGTTACTTATATTTTCAACTTTTGGCACATTATATTAAATTTGACCTAATCTTTTCTTGATGATTGGTCAGTCAGGCCATAGGCCCTTATTTTCAGTAGATTTGGAGGTGAGGCAAGTTTAAGATCCTACATAAAGAAAAAATCCACCCAAGTGCCCCACTTGCTTGATAAGATCCAGTACTTGTTTAGTTAATTGTTTGAAAGATCTTTTAAAAATACTCTAAATTCCCCCATATTAATAAGCCAAAAAAGAAAAATATGATCATATCAGTTACTCATTTCTGATAAAAGGAATAGAAAGGAATTGCCTCATCTTGGTAAAGAGCACCACAAAAACCTCACAGCTAACATCACACTTAATGGTGAAAGACTAAATGCTTTCCCCTGAGATTCAGAAGCAAGGTGAGGAAGTCCATCATAACTGCTCTTATTCAGTATAATGCTGGAAGTTCTAGCCAGTGCCATATAAGGCAAGAAAAAGAAATGAAAGGTATGTAGTTTGTAAAGGAAGAACTAAAACTGTCCGTATTTGCAGATAATGTGATTATCTATGTAGAACATCCCAAGGAATCTATCAGAAAGCTCCTGGAACTAACAGGTGAGTTTAGCAAGGTCACAGAATAAAGAAATCAGTCGCATTTATATATGCTGAACATGCAGAAACCAAAATTAAAAACAATACAATTTTTAGACAATTCAAAGAAAATAAAATACTTCAGTATATATTAACAAACATGTACAGGATTTATACAGTGAATATTACAAAATGCTGGTGAAAGACATGAAACAAGACAAGTAAATGGAGAGATGTATACTGTGTTCTTGGATTGGAAGCCTCAACGTAATAATGACATTGATTCTCCCTAAATTGATCTGTTGGTTTAATGCATTTCCTATTGAAATTCAACCAAGATATTTTGTGGACATAGATAGACATTTAAAAATGTGTATGGAAAGACACAGTCTCTAGAATAGCTAAAACAATCTTGACAAGAAAAAAGGGGAAATTACTTCACGCAATATGAAAGCTTATAGTATATAGCCATAGTAATCAATACTGTGTGTTATTGGTAGAAGGAAAGACATAGACCATGGAACAGAAAATATAACCCAGAAATACACCTGCACAAATACCTCCAGCTGATTTTTAGCAGTTACAAAACCAATTCAATGGAGGGAAGGACAGCTTTTTCAAAAATGATGAGCCTAAACTTCACACCTTATGCAAAAATACAAAATGGATTATAGAATTAAATGTAAAGCACAAAGCTATAAAAGTTTTAGGAAAAAACATAGAGAATTTTCTGGATCTGGAGACAAAGAGCTATATTTGGCCACGAAAGCCTAATCCATAAAAGAAACAATTGATAAATTGGACCTGATTAAATTAAAAATTTTGCTGTGTGAGAGCCCATATGAAAAGATAGAAAAGACAAGTTAGATATTGGAAGAAAATATCTGTTAAACCACGTATTCAGTAAAAGACTAGTATCCAGCACATACAATGAACTCTCAGAACTCAGCAGTAAGAGCCAGGTGCAGTGGCATAACACCTGTATTCCCAGCTACTCAGGAGGCTGAGGCAAAAACAACTCTTGAGCCCGGGAGTTGGAGGCTGCAGTATGCTATGATGTTGCCTATGGACAGTCACTGCACTCTAGCCTGGGCAACATAGTGAGACCCCTGGCTCTTACACACACACACACACACACACACACACACACACACACACACACACACACAGACACACACACTTAATAGTAAGAAAAAACAAAACAGTCTAATTTAAAAAGATGTGAAGAGTCATTTCATTGAAAGGAGGACATACAGATATTAAATAAGCACATGAAAAGATGTTCAGCATCGTTAGCTATTAGGGAAATAGAGATTAAAGCCACAACTACACATCTATCAGAACAGCTAAAATAAACAGTAGTGACAACACCAAATGCTGGCGAAGATGTGGAGAAACTGATCACTCATGTTAGTGGTGGAAATGTAAAATGGTACAGTCACTCCGGAAAACAGTTTGTCAGTTTTTTGTCTAAACATGCAACCTCTGTATAACCCAGTGCTTACAATCCTGGACATTGATCTCAGAGAAAGGAAGATTTGTATTCATATGAAATCTGTACATGCATGTCTATATAGCAACTTTATTTTTTAATAGCCAAAACTTAGAAACAACACAGATGGCCTTTAATGGGTAAATAGACATACTGTAATATGTCTACAGTATATCTATATGATGAAATACTATTTGGCAATAAAAATGAACAATTATATAAGCAACAATTGTTGATACAAGCAACAATTTATATAAATCTCCAGACAATTATACTGAGCCTATAATTCTGTCATAAAAAGGTTATATACCATACGATCCCATTTATATAAAATTTTTGAAATGATAAAATTTTAGAAATGGAAGACAGGTTAGTAGTTGCCAAGGGTTATATACGGTGTCAGATGAGAAGGAGTTGATTTTGCTTATAAAAGGAGGAATGCATCTTGTGTTTTTGGAAGTGTTTACCATCTTGACTGTGGTGGTAGATAACATGAATCTATACAGGTGATAAAATTGTATGGGATGTAATACACACACACACATGCAAATACATGTAAAACGAGAAGTCTGAATAAAATAAGTGGATTGTATCAATGTCAGTATCCCAGTTGTGATACTGTACTATAGTTTTGCAAAGTGTTACCTTTGGGGTAACCTGGGCAAAGCATACAAGGGATCTCTCCATATTCTTATAACTGCATGTGAATATACAATTATCTCAATAAAAATTTCAGTTACCAAAAAAAGTCTAAGTTAGTATCGAAAAAAGCAGCTATTTGATAAGATGAATTAAATGATCCTGCAGGGAAAAAAGAAACATGCATTAGATTGTCAGTTCTTAACATGATTCATGAACCAGTAGTGTTATTTTAAAAAATTTGTTTTAATCAAAGCATAACACACTGAACAGAGTGCCCAAAACATAAATATAACTTATAAAACTTGTGGGTGAATATCCATGTAGTCACCCAGCAGTAATATCATTTCATAAATGTTAATATTGAGGGGAATTTTCATTGAGTATATTTTCCTACCTCATTAAAAGCATTTAGATGCAACCAGGGTTGGACTATTTCTTAAAAAACAAAACAAAACCCAAGGAACTAAAACCTAAACTAGATGAAGATTTAAAGTGAGGGTATTATTGGATAAAAACAGATTTAATTACTTATTTCAAGCTTGAAAGGGGGCTGATAAATAATGTAATTATCCTTTTCATAAGATTTAAAAGAATTGGCATCAAACTTGCTCCACAAGTTTAGGTATAGAATTGCAAGCCAGTTTTTCAAGGTGGAAAGAGGAATTTGGGAATGAAAAGGAAGTACTTTATATAGAGTTTAATAACATACAGAACTTACTAACTCAAACAATATATTAAGTTGGGTTATAAGAAATCGCCCATAGTTAACTGCTTTGACCTACAAAGCAGTTCATGTGGTTCAACCTAGTAAAAAACAGAAGATCCAAAAGGGCTAGGTAGATACATGCATACGTGGATAATAGATTAATAATGGATTTTTAAAGGAATTTAAGAAATCCATTTAATCCATATGTGTGTTTAAGGATTGGTTGGGTGTTGAAATTAGGTAAGTTCCCATAACCCCTGAGCTGCTTTCTCACCTGACAAAAGAAAAGTATACCCTTTACGGATGCTGAATTTATTGTAGTGCAGTTTTCAGGAGGGTAAAAATCTCTAGGTATCAACTGAAGGGACAGTTTAAGTTACTGGTTTTAATGATTAATCTGACCATTAGAAACCTGCCCAGTGATTATTTTTCCTTGGCTTGTACATATTTTTGTTAAGAGTAAAGTATGGGGCGGGCGCGGTGGCTCACGACTGTAACCCTACCACTTTTGGAGGCTGAGGTGGGCGGATCACCTGAGGTCAGGAGTTCGAGACCAGCCTGACCAACATGGAGAAACCCCGTCTCTACTAAAAATACAAAATTAGCCGGGTATGGAGGCGCATGCCTGTAATCCCAGCTATTCAGGAGGCTGAGGCAGGAGAATCACTTGAACCCGGGAGGTGGAGGTTGCAGTGAGCTGAGATCGCACCATTGCACTGCAGCCTGGGCAACAAGAGCAAAAACTCCATCTAAAAAATAAAAAATAAGTAAATATGGTTCTTGTGCCATAGATATTTTGGTCTATGTTAGGATGTTTTCAATTTAAATGCAGGGGTTGTTACCCAATGTTTGATAAAAGAAATAATTTACAAAGAAGCTATAATAGCTCTAAACTAGTATATGCCTAATAGAATGTCTCTCTCTCTCTCTCTCTCTATCTATCTCTCTCTCTATATATATATATATATGTGTGTGTATATATATATATATAAAGTCAAAATTTGCAAAATTAGAAGGGGAAATTCATCAAAGATATAATCATTGTGGGAGATTTTCTTAGTAATGAATAAACACAAGAAGAGATAGAAAATTTGAATAATTTAATTCACAAATTTTAACTAATAGACACATGTAAAACCACATATGTGTTTGGAAACTGGTTTTATGATAGAATAAGATGTAGTTTCCAAACTCTGCGCTGAGGTAACATGGGGCTCCACAGTGACCTGAAAGGGTCTTTGGGATATTTCAGTTTTGAGAGAAATACAGTGACATCTTTCAGACACCACAGAACTATTAGATCTCGAGGTAGTCCACAGTTTAAACACTTAAATAACACTACATTCCTTTCTACAATTATTTTATCTAAGAGTGAAATAATTTTTTCTTTTAGTTTATTTGTTTTTCTTTTCTTTTTCCCAAATGACTACTTTGGCGTACACTGTGGACTGAGAAAGTTTGGGAACTTCTGGTATAAAGCAGATGTCAGCTAATTTCAGTGTATTGTACATACATGTTCTCTGACTTCAATGTAATTAAATTAGAAATCACTGAATAAGACAGTTACAAAAACCTCATAGTTGTGAACGTTTTAAAGTATGTCTGAATATATTGAATATATTGAGTATAAAAGAAATCTTAATGGATTCTAGGAATACCTAAAAATGAACAGTAGGAAAACTATTATATGTCAGAACCTGTAGAATACAGTTAAAGTGGTAATTCAGGAGACAAATTTATAGCAAGTAGAGAGAAGGAACAACAACAAAATACCAGGAATTTTAGAAGTCTTATTAATTTAAATACAGCATAAATTTAAAAACATGAGTGCATCATCTAGTTTTTTGCTTCATAATACACCACTCCAAACTATGTAGCTTAAAACAATAGCCATTTTATTGAGCTAACAATTTTGTGGGTTGGCAGAGTGGGTTTTCTGGCACAGGCCAGTTCAACTGTTTTCTGCAGGCTTCCCTTACTGTCTCTGGTCAGCTGACAGGGTTGGTTGGTGACTAGATGATCTAACATGGTCTCAGGTAACTTGGCTGGGACTTGTTTGTTGTCCACACAGTCTTATTCTCCATGGCTCAGTGTTCACAAGGTGATTTCAGGAAAAAAGTTGCAAAAGAGAACCTGTCCCTGATGTGTAAGCACTTTTCAAGTCTGTTTGCTTAATGTCCCATTGCCAAAGCAAGTCACACAGCCATGCCTACAGTCAGTGCGGGACTGGATATGGGAAGGGGAATTACTGCCATTTTTGCAAACAATCTACAATTTAAGTATGAGCAAACTTACGCAAATAGGCAAGGCGCAGTGGCTCACGCTTGTAATCCCAGCACTTTGGGAGGCCGCGGCAAGCGGATCACTTGAGGCCAGGAGTTTGAGATCAGCCTGGCCAACACGGCAAAAACACATCTCTACTAAAAATATAAAAATTAGCCAGGTGTGGTGGCGCACGACTGTAATCCCAGCTACTCAGGAGTTTGAGGCACGAGAATCACCTGAACCCAGGAAGCAGAGGTTGGAAGTGAGCTGAGATTGTGCCACTGCACTCCAGACTGGGTGACAGAGCAAGACTCTTGTCTCCAAAAAAAAAAAAAAAAAAAAACACCACAGTGGGTGCTTAATGAAGTGTGTGTGTGTAAAAGCCAGCCAGGAAATTTTGTTACCGAAGCCAGAATGTGACCCTTGTCATTGGTTTGCAGTATGCACATTTAATTCATATTATCCTTATGTGTTCAGTATTTGTTTCATAATTGCCTAATAAAGTTGAAGTAGTTTTAATGGATTTTTCATTAACAGTAGTCCTTATGACTTCTTAAGCATTTATTGGTTGCCTTTCAGAACAAAAGAGATGAACACTTATTGAAAAAGAGAAATGTTCCCCAAGAAGAAAGTCTAGAAGATTCAGATGTTGATGCTGATTTTAAAGCAGTAAGTTACCATGTTTTAATAGTGATTTTAAAATAATTTTTATAGTAACTGTGAGAACTTCATTTTTAATATAAGACCAACTTTATAATGATAATGAAAGTATATTAACTCAGGTACACTGTTTAATGAATGTAATTTTGTTAATAAACTCTGCTGAACTATTTTTTTTTTCTTTTTAAGCAAAATGTAACCCTAGAAGCTATATTGCAGGTATGTTACTAAATTAATACTCTCGTTTTGAAGTATTTTGAAATTGATTTTTTTTTTTTCATTTCTGAAATTTACATTTGGTATTGCAGAATGCCACAAGTGATAACCCAGTGGTCCAATTGAGTGCTGTCCAGGCAGCAAGGTAAATACTAATTTGTCTAGAGAGAGAATTATGTCATTCCTCAGTTGTGTTACCTGGTAGTCTAGAAGTTAATATGTTGTTATTTCTTTTCACAGTTTGAAAATTATAGCAATTAATTTCTCATATTTATTTTCCTAGAAAACTGTTATCCAGTGACAGAAATCCACCGATTGATGACTTAATAAAATCTGGGATTTTACCAATTCTAGTCAAATGTCTAGAAAGGGATGATAAGTAAGTATGGATTTTACTCCCTATTCAGTTTTTTTCAGTTAACTTAAAAGTTTGGATTATTACTTAACCAGTGAGTTCAGTTTGGTTTTGTACTTATGATGTTTTTCAATCGTCATATATTTTAATTTAATTTTCTTATTCTGTGATCATATTTAGCAGACCCAGAGTGCTTCTCGTTTTCATTTCTGAAGGATGTGTATGTTTTCTAGGAAATTTTTATCTCCTGTTTATTGCCTGTTTTAACTTATCTCAAATATTTATAGTCTTTATTAGGATTTTTTATTACTAATATTTTAAAACAACCCAAATAATGTTTGAGTCACTCTTTGCTTATGAGCCTATATATAGATTAACCTCATGACTAAGTCAACATGGATGGTTTCCAGAACTAAGTGGCTCTTTCTTACCCTGGGAATCTTCCAGCTGATTACTGATCCTCTGTGTTGTCTTTAACAGAACTTCATCCATGATAAGTTGTCCAATGTCAGACTTTTTGTTTGCTGCAAATTAAGAATAAGGGGACAGGTTATATTTACCCAGGAGAGAAGGAGTAAAACTCCACTGGATATCTTTTGAGGAACTGGCCCTATTTCCATTTTTGTTTAGTGATATCTCAGTGCTGTGCCTTAAACTTTGTTAATTTGGATTAACTGGGGAGAATATAAGTTTGAACTCCAAAACATATTAAAACAAATGCTTTTTTTTTGCATTTAAGAGCATCTAGACTGAAACTTGGGATATTTTGCTAAATGTTGTCCAAGGAATTTTCAGTTGGCTAGATAAGAATAGTGGTATATAAATGTTGCCACTAAGGGTTTTTAGTATTTAAAAATACCATTTGCTTTCGTTGTGTGCCACAACCTCTCCCACTTTCCACCCCCAGGCCTGTAACACTTTTTAAAATACTATCATGTTTGTTTTCTGTAACAGTGTTACTTAAGTAAAGGTAAGTTTTATTTTAGCTGTTGAAAAAATAAATTCTGGCTGGACGCAGTGGCTCACGCCTGTAATCCCAGCACTTTGGGAGGCCGAGGTAGGTGGATCGCTTGAGTCCAGGAGTTCGAGAGCAGCCTGGGCAACATGGTAACATCCCAGCTCTACAAAAAAAAAAAAAAAAAAAACACGAAAATTAGCCAGGCATGGTGGCACATGCCTATAGTCCCAGCTACTTGGGAGGCTGAGGTAGGAGGATCGTTTGAGCCTGGAATGTGGAGGTTGTCCTGAGCCAATATCATGCCATTGCACTCCAGCCTGGGTAACAGAGCAAGACCCTGACTCAAAAAATAAATTCGGCTGGGTGCAGTGGCTCACACCTGTAGTCTCAGCACTTTGGGAGGCTGAGGCAGGTGGGTCATGAGGTCAGGAGATCGAGACCATCCTGGCTAACGTGGTGAAACCCTGTCTCTATTAAAAAATATTAAAAAAAATCAGCCGGGCGTGGTGGCAGGCGCATGTAGTCCCAGCTACTTGGGAGGCTGAGGCAGGAGAATGGTGTGAACCTGGGAGGCGGAGGTTGCGGTGAGCCGAGATCGCACCACTGCACTCCAGCCTGGGCGACAGAGCAAGACTCCGTCTCAAAATAAATGAATAAATAGGGGGGAGGGGGGAGGGATAGCATTAGGAGATATACCTAATGCTGAATGACGAGTTAATGGGTGCAGCACACCAGCATGGCACATGTATACATATGTAACTAACCTGCACATTGTGCACATGTACCCTAAAACTTAAAGTATAATAATAATAAAAATAAAATAAAATAAATAAATAAATAAGTTCTATTCTACTTCTACCTTTAGGACCCTCCAGTTGTTCTTTTTTTTTTTTTTTTTTTTTTTTTTTTTTTTTTTTGAGACAGAGTCTCGCTCTGTTGCCCAGGGTAGAGTGCAGTGGTGCAATCTTGGCTCACTGCAATGTCTGCCTCCCGGGTTCAAGCGATTCTCATGCCTCAGCCTCTTTGAGTAGCTGGGATTACAGGTGTGGCTAATTTTTGTATTTTTAGTATAGATGGGGTTTCACCATGTTGGCCAGGCTGGTCTTGAACTCTTGACATCAGGTGATCCTCCTGCCTTAGCCTCCCAAAGTGCAGACATTACAGGCATGAGCCACTGGGCCCGGCCTAGGGCCCCTTGTTTGTGGCCAACTTCTCTTCTTCTTTTTTTCCTTTTCTTTCCAGTCTTTTATATGTAGACTCATTTGTGTGTCTGTGTCTATGAAACATAACATATAATACAGAAAAATATGCTAAAATATATACAGCTTAATGAATAATTATGAAACTCAGACCTCTGTAACCACCACCCAAAGCAAAAACAGAAAATTTTCCGTGATTTGGATCTGACTTTATGGATTTGTCATGGGAAGTTGTGTTATAATGTAAAAGGCCATATACTTTGGAGCCAGATTGACTGTGGTTCAAATCCAGGGTTTGCTGTTGATAAAAATCCACGTGGCTTTTGAACCTCAGCTATCTCATCTATAAAAATTAGGTGATGGTAAGGAATGGAAATAATACATACAAAGCACTCTACACAATGTCAAACTTATGATAAATGTCCATTTATTTTTTATTTTTATTTATTTATTTTTTTGAGACCGAGTCTCGCTCTGTTGCCCAGGCTGGAGTGCAGTGGCACAATCTTGGCTCACTGCAAGCTCCGCTTCCTGGGTTCACGCCATTCTCCTGCCTCAGCCTCCCGAGTAGCTGGGGCTACAGGCGCCTGCCACCACGCCCAGCTAATTTTTTTATTTCTAGTAGAGATGGGGTTTCACCATTCACAGGATGGTCTCGATCTCCTGACCTTGTGATCCACCCACCTCGGCCTCTCAAAGTGCTGGGATTACAGGCGTGAGCCACCGCACTCGGCCATAAATGTCCATTTGTTATTGCACTCGTTTTTTCTATATCTTTTCTCATTTTTTTTTATTTTTCCACATGACATCTTGAAAGACTTTCTTTGGCTTTATAATTTTATTTTTTACATTTATCCATTTTCTCATTTAAGTCCCCCATTCCCAGTATTTTGCCAAACCACCTAACCAGCTTAATAACTTTCTCCTTCCAGTCTGAGGCAACATATACTGTCTTACTGTTTTTGATCTTACTGTTTTTTTTACTTCTTCCCTGCCTCTGATATACCATCTTATTTCCTGCCTTCTGCTAGAATTCATCATATACAGGGGAAATTTTAAAAGTTTGTGGAAAAGTGGAATCAAAAGACAATAAAATATATGAAAGATAATAAATATATAAACTTGATTTCTCAACATAAGCTCCATCAAGGTCAAGACACTTTTGTAAGTGATACTACCAGCCATTGTCTATCCCTAAAGAACTGAGGGTCCTGGGAATTTAACCATGTCAGCGCAGTCTTTTTCATGATATTAACTGAAGAAAACTAGATGCCCTTTACAGGTTGTTTTTTTAAGATTAGGAAACAAAAAGAAGTCACAAGATGGCCAAATCAGAACTGTAAGGTGGATACCTAATGATTTCCTATTGATTCTCTTGCAAAATTGCTCTTGTTTGATGAGCAGAATGAACAGAAACATTGTGGTGGAGAAAGACTCTCTGGTAAAGCTCTCTCAGGCTTTTTTCTGCTAAAGCTTTGGCTGACTTTCTCAAAACACTCTCATAATAAGCAGGTGTTATCATTCTTTGGCCCTCTAGAAGGTCAACAAGAATAATACCTTGAGCATCCCCAAAAACTTTTTAGTCATTACCTTTCCTCCTGACCAGTCCACTTTTGCTTCGATTGTACTTTGTCTTTAGGATCATACTGGGAAAGCCATGTTTCATCTCCTTTTACAATTCCTTGAAGAAATACTTCAGGATCTTGATCCCTCTGGTTTAAAATTTTCATTGGAAGCTCTGCTGTTGTCTACGGCTTATCTGGGCACAATGGTTTTGACACCTATCAAGGGGAAAGTTTGCTCAACTTTAATTTTTCAGTCATAATTTTGTAAGCTGAACCAATCAAGATGTCTGGTATTGGTTATTGTTTCTGCTGTTAATCAGCAATCATCTTCTGTTAGGGCACGACCAAGATTAATCTTTTCCTCAGATATTGTTGTTGATTGTTTGCCGCTGTGGATTTCATCTTCAACATCGACTTGTCCTTTTTTTTTTTTTTTTTGAGACAGAGTCTCGCTCTGTCGCCCAGGCTGGAGTGCAGTGGCACGATATCAGCTCACTGCAAGCTCCGCCTCCTGGGTTCACACCATTCTCCTGCCTCAGCCTCCCGAGTAGCTGGGTCTACAGGTGCCTGCCACCACGCCCGGCTGACTTTTTGTATTTTTAATAGAGATGGGGTTTCACCGTGTTAGCCAGGATGGTCTCGATCTCCTTACCTCGTGATCCGCCTGCCTCAGCCTCCTAAAGTGCTGGGATTACAGGCGTGAGCCACCATGCCCGGCCGACTTGTCCCTTCTTAAAAGGAGTTAACCATTTGTAAACCGCTGATTTCTTTGGGGGCATTTTCCCCGTAAAGTTTTAAGTACATCAGTGAGTTCACCATTATTTCACCCAAGCTTCACCATAAATTTGATGTTTGTTTTTGCTTTAATTTTAGCAGGATTCATGTTGCTCTTCTAGGGGCTCTTTTCAGATTGATGACTTACCCCTTACCCCTCTTAGTGCCTCAAACTAGATCATGTTCAGACGTGTATAGAAAGTTAGTATGAGTTTATTTTGGTGCAAAAAAATTGAAATCCATGGAGTTTTTTTCATAATACACATTTTTAATGAGTTTTTTAAAGTCCCCTCATAGTTCTTCTCTGCTACTTCATTTTCTCATATGTTCCATCTTTTTAACCTGTATATCACTATTTGCTATATCTCTGACATCTATTCTCCTTAAAACCTTTTGTTCTTGGATCTCTTCAACCTTTTTTCTCTTTTTTCTTTCTTTTTTTTTTTTTTTTGAGATGGAATCTCTCTCTGTCGCCCAGGCTGGAGTGCAGTGGTGCAATCTCAGCTCACCACAACCTCCGCCTCCTGGGTTCAAGGGATTCTCCTGCCTCAGCCTCCCGAGCAGCTGGGATTATAGGCACGCACCATCATGTCCAGCTAATTTTTGTATTTTTAGTAGAGAGGGGGTTTTGCCATGTTGGCCAGGCTGGTTTCAAACTCCCGACCTCAGGTGATCCATCTGCCTTGGCCTCCCAAAGTGCTGGGGTTACAGGTGTGAACCACCTTGCCCGGACTTCTTTAACCTTTTGATACTAACAACCTTGCTTGCTCTCTTCCCTGTTTATAGGCTTTTCTTCAAACTCCCTAACCTTTGTCTAATCTTAATTTTTGCTGACTAAATCCCCCCAATCCTTGGTATTCCACTTAAGGGAATTTGTACTCTTTCAGCTATCCTAACTTAATATCTATCATTTCCTTTTAACAGGTCTTTCCTTTATGTCTTTTTTGTGACAGGGTTTCACTCTGTCACCCAGGCTGGAGTGCAGTGACACAATCACAGCTCATTGAATCCTCAAACTCCTAGGCTCAAGCAATCCCCCCATCCCACCCCCGCCCAGCATCCCAAGTAGCTGGGACTACAGGTGTGTACCACCACATCTGGCTGATTTTTTTATTTTTTGTAAAAATGGGGTCTCACCGTGTTGCCCAGGCTGGTTTCGAACTTTTTGGCTCAAGCGATCTGCCTGCCTCAGCCTCCCAAAGTGCTGGGACTACAGGTGTAAGCCCCAACATGTCTTTTAATAGGTCTCTCCTATATCAGCCTTTAACCTTTTTTAGCCATTCTGCATACCATTGATTTGAACATTATTTTCTTTCCTCCCTTTTTCAATGCCCCATCCTTAGCATATCTGTAGAATACACTCCTCACTCCCATCCTGAAACACACACACACATGCACAAACACCCTGTTACTTGCTTCTTAGTTAGTTTCAGCTCTCTTGATCTAATCCTTGTCGTTCCTACACATCATGATCCTTCCATGCATGATACCTGTTTTATTTCCCACTGTCACTGCCTTTCTTTTTAAATCCATCTTTGAAAAGCTAGTTCAGTTGTCACTTTCTTTGTGAGGTCTTCCATTACTATTCGAAAATATAATGATCTTGTTTTTTCAACAAAATTATACAGCCTTGTAATATCCCTAGTATGTAAAGCAGATGGTGTAATGGAGACAGATGGGGTTCTAGCTTTAAGACCAGCCTAGAGCGTGTGATAGTGGTTAAAGTGAGATGATGAGGGCCTCAACTAGCACTTGATATTAGGGGTGATTATATAAATGTAAGAAATGTTTAAGAGGTAAAATCGACATGATATATTGATTAGATGTGTCTGTGGAGAGGAAGTCGAAGTCAAGGGAAATAATGACTGGCTAAATGTTGTAATACCAGTGGACATAAAGAAGCAGGTTCATAGTGACTGGCTTTGGGAGCCAAAGAGATTTTTTAAGTAGAGATGGCTGCTGGGTGCAGTGGCTCATGCCTATAATCCCAGCACTTTGGGAAGCCGAGGTGGGCAGATCACCTGAAGTCAGGGGTTCAGGACCAGCCTGGCCAACATAGTGAAACCCTATCTCTACTAAAAGTACAAAAATGAGCCAGGTGTGGTGATGTGCACCTGTAATCCCAGCTACTTGGGAGGTGGAGACGAGAATCACTTGAACCCCAGAGGCAGAGATTGCAATGAGTCAAGATGGCGCCACTGCACTCCCGCCTGGGTGATGGAGGGAGACTCCATCTCAAAAAAAAAAAAAAAGTAGGGTTGGCTAGCAGGCAATTGGATTATAACAAGGTGAAATTCAAGGACAAGGCAAAGAATAGCCATATCTTATCAGTCTTAAGATTCATTAATTTAAGTGGTAGTTATGTGTCTAAAAAGATGTGTTATTGTTTTTTTACAGTCCTTCATTACAGTTTGAAGCTGCTTGGGCATTAACTAACATAG
Source organism: Homo sapiens (assembly GCF_000001405.40). Taxonomy (NCBI): domain Eukaryota; kingdom Metazoa; phylum Chordata; class Mammalia; order Primates; family Hominidae; genus Homo; species Homo sapiens. The sequence continues at coordinate 49,725,457 of NC_000013.11, read as the reverse complement.
CATCAGGAACTTCTGCACAGACTCAAGCTGTTGTGCAGTCTAGTAAGTAAATTCCTTACTGTCTGAACTTTTTGTGTTTTAATGATGGCAAGGAAGTAGAGTTTTGTAATAAAGAAATTTTATCTTGTAACATTTTTTAAATGATGACTTTTATAAGTTACTTTTGATGACCGATATCTTTTTCATAGCCGTCATTAATTTATCATGAAAAATTTTTAATTGTGGTTATTAAAAGAAGAGTAGAGTTTTATCTTTTGGAGTAGACATCATGCTGTGATAACAGGATTTTAAATTCCGTTTCTGATATCTTCAAGATGCTGAATGGCTTCTGCCTTTTAGCTTATGACATATTTTAAATTTTACTTTCCTCAAGATGGGCTAATAATTATTGTTAAATGACACTGACACAAGCTCTTTAGAAAAGTACTAGATATCACCACGTACGTTATTATAGTATGGGACACTTAGCTAATTTTAGGTGTGGTAATCAAGGTGATTTTAAGTAGCATGTGATATGGCAGTAAGTTACATTGAATCATGTATTGAGAATACTATTCTCACCAGACCCACAGGTGGCTCATGCCTCTAATCCCAGCACTTTGGGAGGCTAAGGCAAGCAGATCACTTGAGTTCAGGAGTTCAAGAACAGCCTAGGTGACATGACAAAATCGTGTCTCTACAAAATATTTAAAAATTAGCATTGCATGGTGGCGCATGCCTATAGTCGCACCTACTCAGGAGACAGAGGCGAGAGGATCGCTTGAGCCAGGGAGGCAGAGGTTGCAGTGAGCCGAGACTGCACACTGCATTCCAGCCCCGGCGACAGAGTGAGACCCTATCTCAAAAACAAAGGCTGGGTGCAGTGGCTCAAGCCTGTAATCCCAGCACTTTGGGAGGCCGAGGCGGGTGGATCACGAGGTCAGGAGATCAAGACCATCCTTGCTAACATGGTGAAACCCTGTCTCTACTAAAAATACAAAAACAAAATTAGCCGGGCATGGTGGCGGGCGCCTGTAGTCCCAGCTGCTTGGGAGGCTGAGGCGGGAGAATGGCGTGAACCCGGGAGGCGGAGCTTGCAGTGAGCCGAGATCGTGCCGCTGCACTCCAGCCTGGGTGACAAAGCGAGACTCCACCTCAAAAAAAAAAAAAAAGTTATCATGTGACCCAGCAGTTCTACTCCTAGGTGAAACCAAGAGATATGAAAACATATTCATACAAACACTTGTACATAAATATTCACAGCAATGTTATTCATAACTAACCCAAATGTTCATTAACCGAGGAGTGGATAAAGTGAATGTGGTGTATACAATGGAATACAATTCAGCAGTAAAAAAGAATGAAGTACCAATACCTGTTACCACATGGATGAACCTGAAGAATGTTAAGTGAAGTCAGACCCCCCAAAAAACACAGTATGATTTCATTTGTATGAAATGTCCAGAATAGGCAAATCTGTAAAGACAGAAAGCAGATATTTAATGGTTGCCTGCCGCTTGGGGAATGTGTGGCAGAGGAACAAATGTGGAATGACTGCCTTAAGTATGAGATTTCTTTTTTCTTTTTTCTTTTCTTTTTTTTTTTTTTTTAAGACGGAGTCTCGCTCTGTCGCCAGGCTGGAGTGCAGTGGCGTGATCTCAGCTCACTGCAACTTCCGTCTCCTGGGTTCAAGCAATTCTCCTGCCTCACCCTCCCAAGTAGCTGGGACTACAGGCACACACCACCATGTCCAGCTAATTTTTGTATTTTTAGTAGAGACGGGGTTTCACTATGTTGGCCAGGATGGTCTCAACCTCTTGACCTCGTGATCTGCCCGCCTCGCTTCCCAAAGTGCTGAGATTATAGGTGTGAGCCACTGTGCCCGGCTGAGTATGATATTTTTTTTTTTTGAGACAGAGTCTTGCTCTGTCACCCAGGCTGGAGTGCAGTGGCACGATCTTGGCTCACTGCAACCTCCGTCTCCCTGGTTCAAGCAGTTCTCTGCCTCAGCCTCCAAAGTAGCTGGGATTACAGGCGCCCACCACCACGCCCGGCTAATTTTTATATTTTTAGTAGAGACAGGGTTTCACCATCTTGGCCAGGCTGGTCTTGAACTCCTGACCTGGTGATCCATCTGCCTCGGCCTCCCAGAGTGTTAGGATTACAGGCATGAGCCATCATACCCAGCCAAGATTTCTTTTGAGGTCCTGGAAATGTTATAAAATTAGATTGTGGCGATGTCCTCACAACTCTGTATAAATATGAAATGTCATTGAATTACACACTTAAATGTAAATTTATTGTAATTATATCTCCGTAAAGTTGTTAAAACTGAATTAATTTAAATTTTAAGTAAATAATACAAGTAATACACAGATACAGCAAAAAAAAAAAAATGAGGTAGTGCACAGTTGATTGAAATTTTTAAAAAGTGATCTAGCTTATGCTGGAAATGGGTATAATGTATACATTCTGTAAAGAGTAAGGATTATGAGAAATTATTTTAAAGTATAAGATAGACCTGATATGAGATTAATCAGTTCTTTGGTTAATCCCCGTATCAGGAATTGAGATTTTGTAGACTAAAGCATTACATTTTAAGGTTACATGTTTGGGGTAGGAACTCTTTTTTTTTTTTTTTTTTTTTTAATGGATTATAGGAAGGATTTCATGCTGTTGCTTTCTTTTAGTTAATGGTATGATAGCAACCTTTAGATACTGCCAGTTGGTTACGGTACTTGACTATTACTAGGGGAAAATACTGAAATTGATTCTTTTTAGGGTAAAGATATTTGCCACATTTGTTCTTCCAGCTACAATATGCCAGGCTGTGTATTTGATCAATTTCTTTGATCTGAAATCTGTAAACTCTTCAACATGTTGCTAGTATAAATATTAGTTTTTCTTTATTACAGATGCAGTACCTCTTTTTCTGAGACTTCTTCGTTCACCACATCAGAATGTTTGTGAACAAGCAGTATGGGCTTTGGGAAACATTATAGGTAAGTGGTTTGAAAGGAATCCTCTTAAGAATCTAAATTAACTTTTTTCCTACATTGGCATAGCCATTACATACTATGTTTCCTCTGAATTTAATGTGTGTTGACTCTCTTCTTGCCTCATAAGTACTGACTTAAGATGATGCTCTTTGAAAAGGATATACAGTTTGCTGTTAGCATTGGTAGGTTAAATTTACGTTCCCCAGATCAAAATCTGGAGAAACAACACTTGATGCCTTTGACTAATGGTGAGGAAACATAGAACGTCAGTGTTCCCACATGAGCCATTGCATACATTTCAGACTTTCTCATCCTGAATGTAAGTTTTTTTTAAATATAATTTTCATTTCTGTAGGTGATGGTCCTCAATGTAGAGATTATGTCATATCACTGGGAGTTGTCAAACCTCTTCTGTCCTTCATCAGTCCCTCCATCCCCATCACCTTCCTTCGGAACGTCACATGGGTCATTGTCAATCTCTGCAGGAATAAGGATCCCCCGCCGCCTATGGAGACAGTTCAGGAGGTAAATGAAGAATTGTAAAGGCCAGATGGTATATTTTCCCTATGTTTGTACTTCAGGAATTCATATACAGGGGACAAAATAATACATATACTGATTTCATTGCAGGTGTGAGTTTTTTGTTTGTTTGTTTGTTTGATAACGGAGTCTTGCTCTGTCGCCCAGGCTGGAGTGCAGTGGCGCGATCTTGGCTCACGGCAAGCTCCACTTCCTGGGTTCACGCCATTCTCCTGCCTCAGCCTCCTGAGTAGCTGGGACTACAGGCACCCGCCACCACGCCTGGCTAATTTTTTTGTATTTTTAGTACAGACGGGGTTTCACCATGTTAGCCAGGATGGTCTCGACCTCCTGACCTCGTGATCTGCCCGCCTCGGCCTCCCAAAGTGCTGGGATGACAGGCCTGAGCCACCACGCCCAGCCACAGGTGTAAGATTTTAAAAGTAACGTACCATATTTAATTACTCCTATGAAATAAAAGTTGAGTGTCTTACTGTACCTGAAAGAATGTCAGTTCATCCTAATGCCTATTTTTTTGATTATCTGCATAAAAAGAAAATATAAAAATTCAGAGAGAAAAATACAAAAGGAAAACAATCTCAAAGTTTTATTACTGTATTGCATTGTTGGTTTAAAGCTATAAAAGGGGGTTGCTACAGGCAAAACTAGTATACTTACATGCAAATGTTCTTGAATGAGTTTGCTTTAAGTCCAATTGATTTTTTTTCTTCTTCTTCTTCTTTTGAGACAGTCTTGTTCTATTGCCCAGGCTGGAGTGCAGTGGCATGATCTCAGCTCACTGCAGCCTCTGCCTCCTGGGTTCAAGCGAGTCTCGTGCCTCAGCCTCCTGAGTAGCTGGGATTACAGGCCAGCGCCACCACACCCGGCTAGTTTTTGTATTTTTAGTAGAGATGGGGTTTCACTGTGTAGGCCAGGCTGGTCTCAAACTCCTGACCTGAAGTGATCTGCTCACCTCAGTATCCCAAAGTGCTGGGATTACAGGTGTGAGCCACTGCCCCCACGGCCTAACTCCAATTTATTACTGACAAAATTGGAGTTCTTAAAAGTGTGACATATTTTTTGTTAAATCTACTAATTAAAACAAAGTAAAAACTTTTTTATTTACATTTGATATGTAAATAGATCCTTGTGCTTTGCATTTTAAAAAAAAATCCTACATAACCTTTATTCACTGTTGACTGTGTTATCTCTTTTTTTTTTTTTTTTTTTTGAGACAGTCTCGCTCTGTTTCCCAGGCTGGAGTGCAGTGGCACAATCTTTGCCCACTGCAGCCTCCACATCCGGGGTTCAAGCGATTCTCATGTCTCAGGCATGTGCCACCATGCCAGGCTAATTTTTGTATTTTTAGTAGAAATGGGTTTTCACCATGTTGGCCAGCTGGTCTTGAACTCCTGGCATCAAGCAGTCCACCCACCTCACCCTCCCAAAGTGGTGGGATTACAAGCATGAGCCACCACACTTGGCCAACTGTGTATCTTTATAATGGACATCTTTCTCTAGTACCTGCTACTTTTTGTTGCTATGCAAAGGTATTTTGTGTGATTTCCTACAACCCCCTGCTCCCTTTCTCCCATATTTTAAAAAGAGATCTCTGGGGCCTGAATTTAACAAGCAAAGCTTTGTACTTTGTACTGGTTCGAATTTTCTTGACTAAAGGTGAAGTTGAAAACTTTAATTTGACTTAAGTAGCTTATTAAGTAAAATCGTATTTTTACGTTAAGCAGGTAAGTGAGACAATTACGGCAGTTTTAAGTGTAGCTTTTCTTAAATAGCTGTAACTGTATATTTGCATCTCCATTTTTTCCACTTGACATTTTATGCCATAAAGAAGGTTATTAAAAACAAATGTTTTTATTTTAAGGTACATTAACTTCTGCCAGATTTATTTGGATATTTTAACTTGTTAATTGAACATATTTCAGTTTAACATTTGAGATATGTTTTTGGTTTTTTTAGATTGAATTTATCAGGTTTTCATTTTCCTAAAAGATATTCAGACAAATTTAACATTGTCTTTCTCGCCCTACAAACCATATTTACCGCTTTTTATGTCAAAGTTGTTCATTTTTACAGACATATTAATTAACTAATGTTAAGTATTGTTTATTTTCTTTCCTCAGATTTTGCCAGCTTTATGTGTCCTCATATACCATACAGATATAAACGTAAGTTAAGAAGCAGCTTAAATGTGGGATTTTGCTCTTGATGGGACAGAAAGGGTTTTTATGTAAGTGTCAGCATACATTTTATCAACTTGTCAAGTTTCTACAACGTATTTACAGTTTTCAGAAATAGGATTAAGCTTAAATTAGGTTTATAGCTTAAATCTGTAAGCAGTAACAGCCAGACAGCAAAAATGCTCACTTTTGAGAAATTACTGCATATGTAGTTTATTTCTGTCATTATTAAGTAGTGTTTTTAAACCTTAATATTTGTAAAGCGGTAAAACCTCATGAAACACCTTACTTTTTAAAAAAAATCTCACTGGTTCTTACAACAGATAGGCTAGATATTATTCCCCCCATTTTATAGAATAAGAAGAAACGGACTCTCAGAGAGAGATTAAATGACTTATCTAAAGTGGAAGAGCTAGTAAGGGTCAGAGTCAATATTCAAATTAAAGTCTTCTCATAACAGGTCTTGGGTACTTGTCACAAAACCATGCTGCCTTTTTATGCTACAGTCTTTTTAGATATAGTATAGAAGAATATATAGTTTTAAATGCAAGGCATTTTTAGGTGATTTTTTTTCATTATATTCAGATTTAGTGAAGCATTTACTGTCAACGTTCTGGCAAGTTTGATACTATCTAGGCAATCTGAAAATTCTCCTAAATGCAGTAAGGTAAATTGTTACTTTTCCATGGAGTAAAACAGTGGATAAATTTCGGTGACTAGTGTTGATCCAGTTTCTTTTATTCTAACTAACATCTCTTTCTGATTTGTTGTATATTTGTGTTTTTGTAATCTTTATCTACATACACATAACATGTACATACATATGTGTATATGTGTGGCAGAATTGTGAATTGTGTGTAATTTATCATTGGGACAAAGAAATACATCTTTGCTTACCTTTCTCACAAGGCAATATAATTTGTATATAAAAATTGTATCACATTACTCTAGCTCATTTGCAGATTTTAAGCTCTCAGGATGGAATCTTTTAAAGGTAGCTAAAGTCACTTCGTGTTTGACACAGCCTAAAATGTCATTAAAATGAAGTAAAACATGTTTATATGCCGTCTTATTTCCAAAATGGATATAAAGTGACTTAACAAAAGACATATAAGATAATATCTGTAAAGGAAAAAGTAAAATTTATACAGAAGTTTAGTTGTTGCTGTTGAAAGGTAAGTTTAGTTGTAAGCTTTCTGACAGCAAAGATTAAAAGGGGAATAAGCAAAATATCTGCTGTTTGCCTCAGGACTTTCCCCCAGAACATTATAGAATTAATTATAGGCAAATAAAAGCTTTCACCATCTGTTGGTTGTGTTTATGTGAAAGCTGGGGTATTAAAGTGGCAGTGTACTGTAGTTACAGGTATATTAGTCAAGTTTAGCAAACACTCACAAATTATTCCACTTAAAGCCAGAATTGTGCCATGAATTGTACACTCAGTGATAAGACATAAAGAGACCATGCCTTCTAAGACCTTAACATTAAAGATGTAAAAAGAGTTAAAAGGAAAGAACTTATGTCAAGAAATTGCTGTGCTGGATCTCTCTGTAGACTCCTTTTATCTTACCAGTATCCTTGTAAGATAAGTTTTATTCTTCTATTTTACAAATACAGAGATTGAAACTCGGTAAAGTTAAATAATCTTTCTAAGGTCATGCAATGAATGAGAGCCATACCTGAGAACTGAAGCCAGGTCCAAGGCCTGTGCTTTTTCATACCATGATCACATATTCAGTATAATCCATAGGCTCACAGTGAAAAAAAAAATCATACCATAAGCACATAAACATAAAACATGGTATGAAAGCCAACAAGAAAAAAGGTAAGATAGAGCAGTGACCAAAGTGCTTTATTATGGAAGCACAGATAATTTTGCTAGCGAAGCAGAAAGCTTCGTTGACAAAGTAACATTTGAGACGAGCATTATAAGGAGACAGAAGTGGGGACAGAGTCAAAGATTATAGTGTTCATAGTTACCATTTATTGAGTTTAAAATCTGCCAGGCACTGTTTTAAGCACTTTTGCTATGTTAACCCATTTAATTCTTACAAAATTCTTGTGAGATTGGTACTCTCATTATCTCCATCATCTACAAACGTTGTAAAAGAAGCAGAGGTACTTAAGTAATTTGTCTCATGTCATATAACTAGGATGAATAGGATTTTCACAGGTTGAGAGAAAGTCATTTCAAGAACACGGGGGAAGATATTAAGAACTCAAGAATACATGGAGGTTTAAGAGAATACATGTAGATAATAACCTAATACGTTCGCTAAGGAGTTAATTTGCAGAGTCTTTGATTCTTTTTTTTTTTTTTTTCTTTTTTTTCCGAGATGGAGTCTTGCTCTGTCACCCAGGCTGGAGTGCAGTGGCGCGATCTAGGCTCACTGCAACCTCCGCCTCCCGAGTTGAAGGAATTCTCCTGCCTCAGCCTCTCCAGTAGCTGGGATTACAGTGCATGCCACCACTCCCTGCTAATTTTTTATATGAGTTTTTGATTCTATATTAAAGAGTTTTAAGTTTATCTTGTAATGACTGCAGAGTCATTGTAGATTTTTTAAATCGAGAAATGATATTTGTTTTATACAGATAAAATTATCTGTAACAGACAAATAACACAAATATGGAAGGTTTGAAGTAGGGAAAGTTTGACTGTAGGTAGATGTATTTTGCTATCATAATAGGTTTAGGGAAGTTGATGAAGGCATGGACTATTACTAAATTGCAATAATAGGAATCGTTAAGGGAGAAAAAACTTTGAGTGTTAGGAAATAAAGTGAGTAGAACTTGGAACTTGTTGTTCCTCAGTGGCGGTATTTTCCAAAAGCAAAAGACAATACAGATTTTGGATTCGTCAGTATTTAAGGGATTGATGAAAACCTGGGCATTGAATGAGATCACCTGGAGGAGGCTGTATTTCGGAAGGAGGGCTAAAAATGTAACTTAGGAATTCCTGGCGTTTCAGGAATGGCAGCAAGGGAAGAAGAACCAACAAAGGAGTTTTTAAAAGTAGTATGATGATGGCTGGGCACGGTGGCTCATATTTGTAATCCTAGCACTTTGGAAGGCTGAGGACAGTGGATCACTTGAGGTCAGGAGTTGAGACCAGCCTGGCCAACATAGCAAAACCCCGTCTCTACTAAAAATACAAAAATTAGCTGGGCATCATGATGCGTGCCTGTAATCCCAGCTACTTGGGAGGCTGGGGCAGGAGAATCGCTTGAGTCGGGGAGGTGGAGGTTGCAATGAACCGAGATCACGCCACTGCACTCCCACGTGGGCAACAGAGCGAGATGCTGTGTTAAAAAAAAATAATTAAATAAAATTAAAGTGTGATAGAAGCATAAAATGTGGAACAAATAGTGGGGAAAAAATAAGGCAGAGATTTAATAGGTTCTAGATCATATAGTCTTGTCTAAAGAACTACATACCCTTTTTATGTAGTAGATAAGGAGCCAGAGAATAAATGGTCAAATTTTTTTTTTAGGTTGATAGCTCAAAGGCTAATATAGATCAAAGGCAAGAAAATCGCTTGAGCCCAGGAGTTCAAGCCCAGCCTAGGCAACATACTGGGACCTCATCTCTAAAAATAAAAAATTAGAGACTACAAGTATTTGCAGTTTCAGGGTGCCTAACACCCAGCTGTAGCTTATCTTCTCCCAGCCTTTGAGATATTGTCATGGAGACCCCACTGAAAACCATTAGTTGAGCTCAGTCTACAATTTCATTATTATATTAGTTAGAAAAAAAAATAGTTTTCTGCTAATAGTAGTGACCATGTAATGGAGAAACATCTTAAGGCATCATGTTGTTTTGCACAGGATTCTGTTTTGTGGACACAGTTTATTTAAACACACTATTATGGATAGGCATTTAGGCCATTTCCTGAATTTTGCAAATGTAAAAGTATTATACCAATGACTATTGTGTGTTTTCATATTATTGGAGGTATATCTTCAGGGTATATTCTTAGAAGCAGGATTGCTGGGTCAAAGAGTAAATGCATTTGTAATTTCGTTGCATACTGCCAAATTCCCTGCTGTAAGGGTTGTGCCATTTTGCCTTGGTATCTGGGAAGGTTTGTATTCTTGTTCTAGTGGTTGCCTTTATTGTGGTTGCCCTTATTCTTATATCTTTTCTTTTTTACTGTTTTGATAGTTTTAAATGACATTTTTCGACTCCTTTATCTATTATGTAGTGTATGCAGTATGCATTCAAAAGTGAAAGTGACTTTCTCAGTATCCTTGCCAATAGAGTGTGTTGTCACATTTAAAATTTTTGCTCATCTGATAGGTGAGAAACAGTATCTCAGTTTTAATTTGCATTTTACTTTTTATGAATGACGTTGAACATTATTTCATTTGTTTAAGGGCCATTTTAATTTGTATCTTTGCGAACAGACTAGTCATATTTAATGTCTGTTTTTCTGTAGGATTTTTGGTCTTTTTCTTAGGTTTTAAGAGTTCTTTATATATTAAGGATATTAGTTCTGCCATACTTAAAATACTTCCCTAGTTTGTCTTTTGTCTTTGACTATGATGTTTTGCCATGTGAACTTTTTGTATATAATCAAATTCATCAATTTTTTTTAATTGTATCTACATTTTGTCTGAACTATAGATGTTTTATGTTAGAGAAATATCTATACATTCCTTTTTTGGGTGTTCTATCAAGGACACTGAAAAAATGTAATGAATTTTTCAGTGTCTGTAGAGAAAATTCTATTATTTTCTCCTTAAATCTATTAATAAAACTTATATTAATGATATTTTTAAAAATTGAACCATCCTTGCATTCTTTGAATCATCTCACTTGATCATTATATGTTAGTTTCTCAATGTAGTATGTGATTCTGTTAATAATATTTTATTTCAGATTTTTACATCAGCATTCACGTAAGTGATATTGGTTTGCAGTTTAGCTTTTGTTCAATTTATTAGGCAATAATTTACATTAATTACAAATATTAATATTAAATTTAATTATGTTAATACCATTAGTTAATGGTGCTATAATCATGATGTATTAAGTTTTATACTTCTATTGTTTTATTAAAGTTGAGGTGTTAATGTTATGCTTCCTTCATTTTCTGTACTCTGGAACAATTTATATAGCATCAAGTCTGTCTGACCTTTGAAGATTTGATAGTTTCCCTCTTAAATCCTTTGGGGATTTGGTACTTTTTTGTGGAGTTAGTTTCATGATAATTTTCTTTATTTTTGATATGGAAGTTGGCTTGTTTAAGCACTCTTTCTAAAGAAGGTCAGTTTTTATAAACTATTGTTCTAGTAAATTATTCATTGCATCTATGTTTACTTGCATTAAAGTGTGCAGGGTAGTTTTTTGTTCTAATTTATTATTTTAAGGGTTATTTTATCATTTCTGATTTTGTGTATTTGTGCCCCCTCCCTGCTCTTTTCTAATTAAGTTAGGTAGGACTTTTTCTTAGTTGTTTTTTTGTTTGTTTTTTGTTTTTTTCAGAGAACCAGGGTTTCAGTTTATTAGTTAGATCTATGATTTTTCTATTCTTTATCTCATTACTTTTGTATTTTTCATTGACTCATCATAATCACCCAAAATCCGTAGTTTACACTGTTGTTCACTCACTCTTGCTGTTGTGCATTCTATGGGTTCAGACAAATTTGTATAAATTTTTAAGGCTATGAATTTTCCTTTAATCACTGTTTTAAATAAATGTCATAGATTCTGATGTGTGGCATTTTTGTTTTAACTTTTTAGAAATTTTGTTGAGTTTAGGCCAGGCGTTTTGGCTCATGCCTGTAATCCCAGCACTTTGGGAGGCTGAGGCGGGTGGATCACCTGAGGTCAGGAGTTTGAGACCAGCCTGGCCAACATGGTGAAACCCCATTTCTACTAAAAACACAAAAATTAGCTGACTGTGATGGCACGCGCCTGTAATCCCAGCTACATGGGGCACTGAGGCAGGAGAATCACTTGAACTTAGGAGGCAGAGATTGCAGAGAGCCAAGATTGTGCTACTACACCCCAGCCGGGGTGACAGAGTGAGACTCTGTCTCAAAAAGAAAAGAAAAATAGAAATTTTGTTGTTGGGTTTTTCTGTTTTGTGTGTGTGTGTGTGTGTGTGTGTGTGTGTGTGTGTGTGTTTCACCTAAGAGCTGTTTAATATAAGGCTATTAAATTTCTATATAGAAAAGCCTTTTTGGTTTTCATTTTATTAATGTATAAGTTTTTTGCCTTGTGATAGGCTTATAATGTTTCTGACTTAGGTAATTTATTGATGTTTTCTTTGAACCTAATATGATATTTGTACATGTGCAAGTTGTAGTTGCCATTATCAGGGTATAAAGTTCAATATATATTCATAAGAGTTATACCTTTATTTTTTGCCTATTTGACTTCCCTCATATGACAGTAGTATGTTAAAACCTCCTATTATTAGTATGTTTTTACATATATTTGTGTGTGTGTGTGTGTGTGTGTTTATTCTCTGCTTTAAAACAGTGATTGCAGGGCTATTTGGTTAATAGATGTTTATAACTGTTGTATTTTCATGATAAATTGTGGGATTTAACTTTGTAAAGTATCCTTTTTTCTTTGTAATTCTTTTTAGATTAAATTCTACTGGTCGTCTTTTAACAGGGTTACAACCTCAGCTTTCTTTTTATCATTTACTTGGCATACTTTTGCTCATCCCTTTATTTTTAGCCTTTCCAAATTCTTTGTTTTATGTGTGTCTCTTGTATACAGCGTGGAATTGGGTTTTGTTTTGAGAGCCAGGGCCAATTTGAAAATCTTTTTTTTTTTTTAATAGGTTAGTTAGGCCCATTCACATAGGTTGATAGATTGATTTGAACTGTCATTTTGTGAAATAATGTCCCTGTGTTTTTTTTTTTCTCTGCTAAGCATACTTTTGTCTTTCTCAATTTTCTTTTGGTATTTGGGGAAGTTTGTATTTTTGTTCTAGTGGTTACCTTTATTCTTACACCTTTTTAATGCTCTCTTACTATCTGTTTTGACAGTTTTAAATGATATATTTTTTTACTTCTGTCTCTTACCTGTGCAATGATGCATGAGCTTATTCTATTTTCTCTTCTTGCCTCAACCTCCCATTTTTTAATCTGATTCTAGACTTATCTATTTTGCCAAATTTGGAACATATTTCTTCATATTTTTTTCAGCTCCGCCTTTCCTTGTAGGGTCTCTGAAGACACAAATATTAGATCTATTGTTATTGTGCTGGAAGTTCCTGAGAGTTAATTTCTGTTTAATCTTTTTTTTTTTCTGTTATTCAGTTTGGATGATTTCTATTGATGTATCTTTGGGTTCATTTATTTTTTTTTCCCCCTTCTATCATGTCGGGTTTTTTTGCTGAGAATTCCCACTTTAAATTTGTTTCAAATGTGTTCATAATTGTTCACCAGTGCATTTTTATGATAGTTACTTTAAAATCTTATCAAGTCCTTGTCAGATAATTCCAATATGTGTGTCATCTCAATATTGGCATCTGTTGACTGTCTTTTCTCTTTTGAGAATTTCCTGGATCTTGGTATGAAGGGTTATTTTCCATTGTAGCCTACACATATTGGTGTTATGCTTTGAGACCCCTGTTTCTAGGTAAATCTAGTTACTGTTACTGCCAGGGTGGGCAGTAGCCAGACTTTGTTCTCAGACCCAGCATCTGCAGACACCTCCAGCAGGGAGGCCTCCTCACTTCCAGAGTGGGAAATGGGCTGGTAGGTGGGCTCAGCTCTTAGGCCCAGCTTCTGTCCTCTCTTTTACACAGTCTTGAGGCAAGAGGTCCAGACAAAAGCTAGAATTTAATTTTTTCTCCTCTTACAGATAATGGAAATTTTTAGTGTTCTCTGACTCTTAGTAATGCTGAAGGGGTGTGGGTTATATGTGTAGTTCTATTTTATTTATTCATCTATATCCTTTTTTGAAGGGTATGTGAATTCAGGTGCCTGCTATTATTTTAGGGCAAAAAGATGTGATGTCTTCAATTTGGATGACCTAATAGGAAACATCTTGATTTTGCATAAGCTACAACCAGTGCTTATATTCCTCTGTGACGACACCAAGCAATGCCACATACAAGATCTTTGACCTTGAATGAATCACCAGATCGCTAAGCCTGTTTTCTTCTATGTAGTTGCAAAGTTAGGATAGGCCTAGGGCATGGTTTATACTCCAGGTTTATACTTCAGTTGGGGACACATTTCAGGAGATTTTCAAACAGTTTTTTCCCCAGATGAAGTTAAAGTGCCAAGTCATTTCTTTTATTGGTTTACTTTAGTAGCCTGAAAAATTGTATTGCTAAATATGTTGGAAAACCAGTAGAGTAAATAGATGACCTTTCTGTTCTCTTCTGAACTTGAAACAGTATGGTGTGTTGGCCTCATTCTTGTAAATAGTGTTTTTCTGTGGGATTATTAGGTAGCTAATTTGTGAGGGCAGGGAGAATTACTTTTCTGCCTGTTTTTAAATTCATCTGTCTGATACATAAATGCAGAAGTTGGAATAGAAGTTTTCCCAGACTTCTGTGTCTCATTTTCTGTGAAGAATGATCTGAGGTAGGCACTGAAAGAAAGATAAGGTACTTTCTACTTAATAGATTAATCAGCTAAGCAGATATTTTTGCCACTAAGCTAAAACTTGAAATTTGGTTACTTTTTCTGTCACTACTCCTGAGGTGTGTTGAACAAGTAAAGCATTCAAACAAATATGTAAAATGGTTTTTCTTTTGTGTTTCCTGTAGATTCTTGTAGACACTGTTTGGGCTCTGTCATACTTGACAGATGGAGGTAATGAACAGATACAGATGGTTATTGATTCAGGAGTTGTGCCCTTTCTTGTGCCCCTTCTGAGCCATCAGGAAGTCAAAGTTCAAGTAAGTATTTTTAAATTTTTCTTATTTGTATACAGTTGTGTTTGCTATAACCAGTTAACTTGTACAGCTAGGCTTTAATTCTATCTGTAAGTGCTTATCTTCCACATTTCTTCTGCTAGTCCCTGAGCCTGATTTTGTTGATTTCCAAATCTTTATCTCACCCAGTTTCTTTGCTGAGTTCCACACTTGTATAGCCAATTGTTCTTGACCCTTTATACATATCATCTAAGAACTCCTTCAAGCTTTCCGTGGTTAACTAGACAGAAATGAAACGATCATCTCCCACAAACCTGCTCTTCTTCCTTGTCTACCTTCAGTGAACAGCATGGCCTAAGCTAGAAATTTTGATTCCTCCTTGCAATTCCCATTCCATTACAAAATCATTTCAATTCTTCTTATATAGGTTCAAATCTGTCTCTCCTTATCTATCTAGAACAACAGATTTAGTTCAAGACTCTATCTTTCCCCCAAATAATTGCAATAACCTAATTGCATTTCTTCTTTCTCTCTCCCACTCTAATTAGGGGTAGGCACTTATTAGATCTGTTCATCCTGCTTTACCAAAGTGACTTTCTAGGTGGAAGTGTGTGCCCATTCCAGGCGTTTATTAAAATATTATATATATTTTTGAGATGGAGTCTTGTTCTGTCGCCCAAGCTGGAGTATGGTGGCGCGATCTCTGCTCACCGCAGCCTCTGCCTCTCAGGTTCAAGTGATTCTCCTGCCTCAGCCTTCAGAGTAGCTGGGATTACAGGCATGCACCATCACACCAGCTAATTTTTGTATTTCTAGTAGAGATGGAGTTTCACTATGTTGCCCAGGCTGGTCTTAAACTCCTGACCTCAGGTGATCCCCCCCGCCTCGGCCTCCCAAAATGCTGGGATTATAGGCATGAGCCACCATGCCCAGCCTTAAGAAACTGGACTTCTTCTAAAATTTTAATTTCCTTTTATTTTTTGAATCTTTTTCCAACCAATTTTCACACAATTTTTTTTTTTCATAAAGTTTCAGTTTTTCACAAGAGACTATTTAAAATTCAGAATAGCTCTCAGACTGCTTGGTGCTTTGTGAAAGGATGAAATAAGTGTTATTTATGCCTTGCATTTTTACTTTTTCTCAGGATTATGAAAAATATAGAATTAGTCTTATAAGCAAATAAATTTATAGAAAACATTTTATCCCCACCCTAGACAGCAGCCCTCAGAGCAGTTGGCAACATAGTGACTGGCACCGACGAGCAGACCCAGGTTGTTCTCAATTGTGATGTCCTGTCACACTTCCCAAATCTCTTATCACACCCAAAAGAGAAGATAAATAAGGTAAGGCATATAATGTCCTCATTATGCTATTTCTTTCTGTGTCTCATTTTTAACTGTCTCCTTGTTTCTATTGCTACTTGTATGTTTTTCTTAAAAGCCACTGCAGCGAAGATGAGAATTATTTTAAATCACCTCTGCAAATGTTTTTCTTCAACTTTTTTTTTTTTTTTTTTGAGACAGAGTCTGTCTGTTGCCTAGGCTGGAGTGCAGTGGCACGATCTCGGCTCACTGCAACCTCTGCCTCCTGGGTTCAAGCGATTCTCCTGCCTCAGCCTCCCGAGAAGCTGGGACTACAGGTGCCCGCCACCACGCCCAGCTAATTTTTGTATTTTTAGTAGAGATGGGGTTTCACCATATTGGCCAGGCTGGTCTCGAACTCCTGACCTTGTGATCCGCCTGCTTCAGCCCCACAAAGTGCTGAGATTACAGGCGTGAGCCACCGCGCCCAGCCTTTTTCAACTTTTAATCGCTTCTGGTAGGTGCTGCCCTGGTCATCACAGAGTAAAAAACATTTTTAGACTACCTGTGTTTCTATTTAAGTAGACTGAGCATAGCAACAATCATTAAATTAGTAGCCGCTTGAAAGTGCAGACAAAATCTGCCATTTGAATGGGCTGGTATTTTTTTAAACAAACCGATCATAAAAATTTTGATCTCCCAGCAAAATTAGTTTGGACCCAAAGACGAGGTGCCTAAATTCAAGGATCATAAAAAATTACTCTTTTTAAGATTTCAAGCTTCATAGACAAGTTTATTATTAATTGTGTAATATGTACTTACTAGTATGTAATAAGTCTTCATGCCTGGCTTATTTCATCTAGCATGTTTTCAAGGTTCATTCATTTTGCAGCATGTGTCAGAACTTTATTCTTTCTATGGCTGAATAAATATTCCATTGTATGTATACACCACATTTTGTTTTTACATTCTTCTGTTGATGGACACTTCGGTTGTTTCCACCTTTTCACTATTACGAAGAATGCTGCAGTGAACATTGGCATACAAATACCTATTTGAGTTCCCGCTTTCAATTTCTTTGGATATATAACTGCAAGTAGAATTGCTCGATCATATGTTAATTCTGGGTTTAGCTTTTTGAGGAACCACCAAACCGTTTTCCATTGCAGCTGCACTGTTTTACATTCCCACCAGCAGTGTTACTAGAATTCTAATTTCTCCACATCCTAGCCAACGTTTATTTTCTGTTAAAAAAAATTACTGACAATCCTAGTAGATGTGAAGTGGTGTCTCATTGTGGTTTAAATTTACGTTTAGTTGGCCAGGCATGGTGGCTCATGCCTGTAATCCCAGCACTTTGGGAGGCCGAGGCGGGCAGATCACGAGGTCAGGAGATTGAGACCATCCTGGCTAACACAGTGAAACCCCGTCTCTACTAAAATTACAAAAAATTAGCCGGGTGTGGTAGCAGACGCCTGTAGTCCCAACTACTCAGGAGGCTGAGGCAGGAGAATGGCATGAACCCAGGAGGTGGAGTTTGCAGTGAGCCAAGTTTGTGCCACTGCACTCCAGCCTGGGCGACAGAGCAAGACTCTGTCTCAAAAAAAAAAAAAAAGGAAAAAAGAAAAAGAAATAAATTTACATTTAGTTTACTAAAGTTTTATCTGCCTAATATACTACCATCACCCAAACCCAGCAGAACTGATCATTTCTTCTTCGTCATCATAACTATATTTGTATAGTTGCTTGAGTATAATTTGACTGTTGGGTTCTTATAGAAAAGTATGGTGTCAAAAAACACATTTTATAGATACATTTGTTCCAGTGAAGACAAAGAAGCCAGAGACTTTCAGACTCTGGGCCAGTTACTTTTACTAAAGAAATTTTTAACAATATAGGTGATTTTTTTTTTTTTAGCTAAATGAATATATTCCATAATTGGAAACAACTGAGAAGTGAGGAAGCTGGGCAGAAGTCAGCAGAGAAAGGTTCCGGCCTGTGATGTAGTATGCTTTTAAGTGAGGGTATCGTGGGGGGTAGAGGAAAATTTCATAGAAATGCCATCTCAACTTCAGCAAGCAATTAGTTACTTCAAAAATTTTTTGCCTTGAAAATTTGTTACTTGCATTTTGAGACTATCATAGGACCCTGGAAGTAGAAGTTACCAACTTGATTTTCTTCCCTCAGCATTTCTGTTTGAAACTTTTTAAATCTACAAAAAATGTGCAAGAATAGTATAGTGAACACCCATGTACTCTAAACACAGATTCAGCAATTATTAACAACTTACCACAGTTGGATGGCAAAACAAATTCATTTGTGGAAGAGGAAGATACACATGTGATACTAACCTGTAAACAGCTCACAGACGTGTTTATGACTTATAAATCCCTTAGTTTTAGAATATTTATGTTATATAGACCCATGCTAGACTAGTTAGATGGTTAATTTTTATGGAATACTTGAATGACTATATCTTGTGAGTAAATATTTTTTAAAATTAAAAAAGAAATCACCTTTATTAGAAGTAGTTTTTAAGTAGTTTTAGAAATTCAGTTGTATAGTGGCTGGGCGCGGTGGCTCATGCCTGTAATCTCAGCACTTTGGGAGGCCTAGGCGGGTGGATCACGAGGTCAGGAGATCGAGACCATCCTGGCTAACACGGTGAAACCCCGTCTCTACTAAAAATAGAAGAAAATTAGCTGGGCGTGGTGACAGGTGCCTGTAGTCCCAGCTACTCGGGAGACTGAGGCAGGAGAATGGCGTGAACCCGGGAGGCGGAGCTTGCAGTGAGCCGAGATCACGCCACTGCACTCCAACCTGGGCGACAGAGCAAGACTCCGTCTCAAAAAAAAAAAGAAAAGAAAAAAGAAATTCAGTTGTATATTTATTTCTGTCTTTTAGAGGAAGCTAATGCACAGACATGTAAGCTCCATGAATAAAGATTTCTGTTTTGTTCATTTCTATAAAATCACCATTTCCTAGAATAATGCCTAGCTTATAGTAGGCCTATATATTAATGAATGGATAAATGCCAGGTTATTGGAGCCCAAATATAATTAATGGAAATTTCCTTATAACTTGTTTAAAATGGAAGATTTTGTATACCTAATCACTTTTTAGGTGCAGTCTCTTTAACGTAATTCAGGTGATTTTGTTATTGTCTATATAAAATATATTAGAAAGACATTAAAGGTATTATTTTTCAAATAAAGGTGCCCTATATTTTGTTCAATTATAGGAAGCAGTGTGGTTCCTTTCCAACATAACAGCAGGCAACCAGCAACAAGTTCAAGCTGTAATAGATGCTGGATTAATTCCTATGATAATTCATCAGCTTGCTAAGGTTGGTCATATTATGAGTTCACCGTGTCTGTTAATCTGTTAATAACCAAGACTTTTTGGATAAAGAGTCCATTTTATGATCTCATTTTTAACCTTCAGGGGGACTTTGGAACACAAAAAGAAGCTGCTTGGGCAATCAGCAACTTAACAATAAGTGGCAGAAAAGATCAGGTGAGTTTGAAAACCTGTAACTGTCATGATTGTTAATACTGGAAAGCATGCTGCTCTCTTATGTTTCGTAGTTGCTGACTGTATTGTGTTCTTTTTGGGGAAAAGATAATTATTATTATTTTAAGAGATGGAGTCTCACTATGTTGCCCAGGCTAGAGTGCAGTTGCTATTCACAGGCATGACCATAACGCACTACAGCCTCCAACTCCTGGGCTCAAGATAGCCTCCTGCCTCAGCCTTCCATGTAGCACGACACCCTACTGGGAAATAGATAATTATATAAATAAAAATATTTCTTCTCTTTTGTTGTCTAGGTTGAGTACCTTGTACAGCAGAATGTAATACCACCGTTCTGTAATTTACTGTCAGTGAAAGATTCTCAAGTGGTTCAGGTGGTTCTAGATGGTCTAAAAAACATTCTGATAATGGCCGGTGATGAAGCAAGCACAATAGCTGAAATAATAGAGGAATGTGGAGGTAAGAGTGGATTGATGGAAGAAGAGTATTTGAGCACTGGAACTCTGAAACATAAGTTCTTTAAAGTCAACTTACTAGACAGAAAATTACTAGGATACGTTGTTTTTAAATGATCACAGTATGTTGCTTTTCTTTATTCACTATATTTGCATTCCAAGAGGATTTTCCAGAAGACAGTAGTCCATACTTTGCAAAATCAGGTTGTGAAAGTCACTGTATAGCCTTCTAGAGATTGACAACATAGCTTTTTTTTTTTTTTTTGGAGACAGAATCTTGCTCTGTCGCCCAGGCTGGAGTGCAGTGGCACAATCTCAGCTCATTGCAACCTCTGCCTCCCGAGTTCAAGCAATTCTCACACCTCAGCCTCCCAGGTAGCCGGGATTACAGGCGCACACCACCACACCCAGTGGATTTTTGTGTTTTTAATAGAGACGAGGTTTCACCATGTTGGCCAGGCTGGTCTCGAACTCCTGACCTCAAGTGATCCACCTGCCTCAGCGTCCCAAAGTGCTGGGATTACAGGCATGAGCCACTGCGCCTGGCCTGACATTGCATTTTAGGAAACACTAATACTTCTCTTGAAGTCACAGTGCATGACAGCAAATTTAAGAGCCCTTACAACACTACATAAATTTTAAAGCTTTATTTAATCCAGCATTTCTTAAACTTCTTAACAATGAAACACTTTTTTTGTGTGTTATTACCATGTAATTCTGTGGACCCCACTTTAGGAAATATTATTTCATATAGTTGGAAAAGGTTACTGACTTCTGAGTCACCTAGATATTTTGTTTCAATCTTGTAATGATTCTTAGGATTTCCACAACTACATCCTGAAGTTATTACTGTGGCAGTTACTTTGAAATTTTAATGAGAAATAATTGTGATTTGACATACTGTATTATTCTTTAATGACATGTGAAACATATGTTAAAATTCTGTTTTTAAATGTACATGTTCAATATGTACTAACATGTTTAAACCTTAAATTAGTTTATCATAATGTCATGTTTTAGATTTTACATTTCATTGACTACTTTATATGAATATTCTATTGTTTATTTATTTATTTATTTTAAGAGAAAACAAATGCAGTAGTACCGTAGAATATTCAGACTGGGAGGATTTCTTTCTTTCTATTTATTTATTTATTTATTTATTTATTTATTTATTTATTTATTTATTTTTTATTTATTTATTTTTTTTTTGAGACAGAGTTTCGCTCTTGTTGCCCAGGCTGGAGTGTAATGGCTCACCGCAACCTCCGTCTCCCGGGTTTAAGCAATTCTCCTACCTCAGCCTCCCTAGTAGCTGGGATTATAGGCATGCACCACCACGCCCGGCTAAATTTTTGTATTTTTAGTAGAGGCAGGGTTTCTCCGTGTTGGTCAGGCTGGTCTTAAACTCCCAACCTCGGGTGATCTGCCCGCCTCGGCTTCCCAAAGTGCTGGGATTACAGGCGTGAGCCACTGCACCCAGCCGGGAGGGTTTCTTGAGAAGAAATTATCCCACAGATTTTAAGGAGTCTTGTCCAAGGTGACAGAAGTAGGTTGTGATAGAAGCAAAGTTAAAATCCAGATCTTCTTACTATTAAGATAATTAAAAATTGTAGTCAGGTTCATAACACAGTAAGTTTGAGCAACTTAGAGAATTACTACTCTTCAGCTTTTTATCAATATAGTTACTTTTGTCTATAGGAGTAATAGGATACATATTAATATTTTATAATTGTATAAAGCACTTTGGCAACGATTTCCCCCATTCTTTTGGTTTATTAGTATATAAGAAAAAATTGCAACTATTTTAAAATAACCTTCAAAAAGACATTTCAAGGAAGAATATTAAGGTGTGAAATTGATAAACATGTATATGATGTGTGGAGTAAATATATTGGAAATATAAATGAAGGCATTCTATGATATCTGTTCTGGAAATATTTTCTCCCAGGTTCATTGTGGCTATAGGACATAAGACCTCTATTCATTTTTTAAAGAAAGTTTTTCAAAATTTAAATCTTTATATCTTTTATACCAATTATAAGGTTCTAAAAACTCATTTTGTGGTTATATAAAGGTAATAACATTTGGAAAACAAAGAGAAAGATACAAATTACTTTATGAGGCAGTAAGATTAATAAGATTGGCCGGGTGCAGTGGCTCACTCCTGTAATCCCAGCACTTTGGGAGGCCAAGGCGGGCGAATCACGAGGTCAGGAGTTCGAGACCAGCCTGGCCAACATGGTGAAACCCCGTCTCTACTAAAAACACAAAAAATTAGCTGGGCATAGTGGTGGGCACCTGTAATCCCAGCTACTTGGGAGGCTGAGGCAGGAGACACTTGAACCCAGGAGGTGGAGGTTGCAGTGAGCCGAGACGTGCCACTGCACTCCAGCCCTGGCTACAGAGTGAGACTCCGTCTCAAAAAAAAAAAAAAAAAAGAAAGAAAGAAAAAATGCCCAGGCGCAGTGGCTCACGCCTGTAATCCCAGCACTTTGGGAGGCCGAGGTGGGCAGATCACGAGGTCAGGAGATCAAGATCATCCTGGCTAACATAGTGAAACCCCGTCTCTGCTAAAAATAGAAAAACTTAGCCGGGTGTGGTGGCGGGCGCCTGTAGTCCCAGCTACTTGGGAGGCTTAGGCGGGAGAATGGCATGAACCCAGGAGGCGGAGCTTGCAGTGAGCCGAGATCACACCTCTGCACTCTGCACTCCAGCCTGGGTGACAGAGCGAGACTCCGTCTCAAAAAAAAAATAGATTAGTAAATTTATATTAAAGCACTGTGGGGGAGTTGGTTCTAGTACTGTCACAAACTTGCCATATAACTTGAAATAAGTCTCTTTACATATTTATGCCACAGCTTCCCTCTGTCAAATGGATTGTTTGGGTGTTTTTTTAGACTGTCTGCCTCAGGGATCCGGGTACCTCAAGGGCTTCTAAGAAGGAAAAAATTAGTGGGATTCTGGTCCTCCAACTAGAAGCAGCCCCGTGTTTTGTCTGTTTTTTAGACAAACCACTATCTTAGATGGGGGAGCAGTGTGTTCTGAGTTCCTTAGGATTTCTCCATGATTAAAATGAGTGTGGTTTTGATTAGTATCTCCTTATCAATTAACCAGTTATTTTGATTATTTTATTTTTACCAGGTTTGGAGAAAATTGAAGTTTTACAGCAACATGAAAATGAAGACATATATAAATTAGCATTTGAAATCATAGATCAGTATTTCTCTGGTGATGATGTAAGTAGATATTAAAATAGCGTGTATCTTCATGTAAATGAAAACCTATACATGATGTAAATTTACTAAGAGTTTTCCTTTTATTATTAGGATGACATAAGTTTGTACTGTATTTCTATTAGACATTCCATCAGTCACTTTCTCTTAAATACTTTGAAACTTCATTATAAGGTAAAGTTGTAAAAACAGTTCTTGTTTCATTTCTAATCTATTAACTAGGAAGAAATAGTAATTATATAAGTGATATATGTTCAGATAGGTTAAATAAATCTAGGTCCCAGATACAGAAACTTAACAATGCAGTTTCGAAACGTGTTAAATTTTAAATTGTTAAATTTCTTAATAAAATTATTGATTTACTCGAATATTTTTAGTTGGTTAAAGCATTCACATAGAATTATTTGCTAAGAGGTAAAAAGTCAATTCCACTTACATCATAATGTATAGTATCATAACCTAATAAGGATTTTTTTCTTGTTTTTTACAGATTGATGAAGATCCCTGCCTCATTCCTGAAGCAACACAAGGAGGTACCTACAATTTTGATCCAACAGCCAACCTTCAAACAAAAGAATTTAATTTTTAAATTCAGTTGAGTGCAGCATCTTTCCCACATTCAATATGAAGCACCACCAGATGGCTACCAAATGATAAGAACAACAGCAACAAAAGGCTCCAAAACACACATGCCTCTTTGTTTTGATGCTTCTAAAGCAAGCCATGTCTCAGTCACTTTGCAGTTGCCAAAAGTCACTATCACATGGACTGTAAATGCATATGCATGATTTCCTAAACTGTTTTAGAACTCTCCTTAACAATCTCAACTACCCTATTTTTCCCTGTTCCCTGGTGCCACAGGCTGACAACTGCAGTCTCCAGTTTAGAATAAATATTCCATAGTGGTGACATGTCAGCTGCCCACTGATACTCCTTTGGAAAATGGTGCGCTGTGGATCAAGACACTTTGGTATGATGCATATACAAGTTGGAAGACTAAAGAGGTGCAGTGTGATCTGAGCCTCCATCATTGTCCTCCACAAACATATTTTCATATTCTTTATGTGGAAGAATAGATTTTAAAGTACAAGCCAAATGATTTTCATTGGTGGAACTGACACAAAAAAAGTAACTTAAAAACAAGAAACTTGGTTATTGAATAAACAGATAAGTTTAAAAAAAAAAAAAAACTACTTCATCTACCAGTAATTGATGTGTTTATTATCTGCCTCAGAAGCCAGGGTTGGAGGAAGAACTTTAGATATGGATATTAATGCTTTTGCCATTATACCTAATTTTTGAGAACAGCAAGCCCTATTTGACCACTCTCTTCAGCCTGTGTGTTCCTGCTGTTTTGAAGTAATCAAATGCTGTGCATGGTATTTTACCTGAGCTGCAACCTGTTATGGACTTGAACTTCTGTTTAAGTTGAAAGCAAGAGTCCCTGAGTATAAAGGAAAAACAGCAAAACAAAAAGCAAACAAAAAAAAACTGCAAAAGTCTAAAATACCCATTGGTGATGTTTTTTAAAAAAATCTTGCTTTCAGCTTTCAGGAGTTAATATTCTTTGTTTTAATTTGATAATTGGATATGGTTGATTTATATTGGGTTTAAACTGTGGAGCTTTCATGTTTACTGTAATTTAGTCTTAAAATATTTTTTACTTAGTAACCAGTGCTTTTGATAATGTGGTTGGCAACAAACCAGCAACTATTTAGAAGTGTCATAAGAGTTCATTCTTTGAGTATTGGGAAAGTTAATTCAGATCCTACTCAAAAAGCATCTTCACATATTAAAAGATTCAGACAGGGATCTGTGTAGAGGAGTAATTTGCAGTTATTTAACATAAACCTGATTTGCAGTGATCTCTAAGTAATTCTGCAAAATCCGGTATTACTATGTCAAGTTATTGCTTTTGGTAAATTGTCTGACCCAGTTATTAATGAAAGAATATGGATTTAAAAATTTTTAAACTAAATAATTTGTGCTGTCACAGAAATGGTATTGTTGCTCTTGTTTACTGGGTATAATTTCCCAATGCATTGATGTGAAGGGATAGAAAATCTAAACTAATTTAGTTATCCATTGGGGGGTGTATTTACTGTGATGAAGATGAGACAGATGCCATCAGAGCTTTGTGAATCAGCTGGGGTGTTTTCACTGATAAACAACACATAGCAGGTGTGCATTCATTACAAATATATGTATCTGCCAAGGTGGAGCCACTTTAAAGAGTGAGTTTTGTCTTGTATCTAAAGTGGATACAAGCGTATGTTTAAACTGCAAGATTTTTACTTGCTAGAGAATCTGTTTTAATATAGTGGTTTGGCCTCTGATTATTTATAGGTTTTATAAATTTTAGAATCAATTTCTCTTTAAGGTGGCTCAGATTTTTCAACTCTTGTGCACATAAAATTGAGTTGAAGTTCATTGTGCCTTTTTTTCTTTATCCAAATTTTGAGTTAAAGCTTCATATGGTAACTGCATCCTGTTCGGACACTATAGTCTAAATTTTTGAAACTGTGTGGTGTTCGCTAAAAGTAGGAATAACAACGTAAAAGCTAATTAAGGTCACAAACTTCGGTGAAACCCTTAAAAGTCCAAATCTTCTTGATATTGTGAACCGTACCCCTTCCAGTTTAGTTTCTTCTGGACTTTCCTTACTTAACTGACAGTTACCTTTTAAAATTTGCACACATTATGATTAAAATTGGGCCTCTACTGTGATGATTCCTATTTCCTCTCATGTTTTAAAGTGCAAACTAACATTTAAGTGAACATTAGCATCAAGTAGTGCAGACACTTGTATGCATTTCCTTGATTCAATTTGTGACCTTACCAGTTTTGAATTGGAATTGCACCATTTCGTAGATAAAGGAAACTAAGTATATTGCTGCACTTTTAAGTTTTCAAAACAGTGTTTAAAAATTGCATTGTTATTTTTTTTTAAACTCAGTTTAAAAAGACTAAAACGTTCTTTCAAAAGAGGCATCTAAATGTGTTCCTAATTTTGTATATGGGCTTAGGTTTTGTAACCAATAAAAAAAGCTGCTATCAAATATGATAAAACATTGAAAACTTATTTCTGAAAATAACTTGTTTGTTTTCTGTATGGTTAAATTTAAATTTGGAATTATTTTTTTAAAAATCACAATGGAGGTAAATCATGAATTACTCTTTTACTGTATTTTAATATCTCCTTCACACCATATTACTGAACTAAACTGGAGTCTGTTCACCTGGCACAGTTAGGCCAAACATTCATAGCAAGGTTTTGCAGCAGGAAAAAGGAGGGCATTTATCTGCAGGCAGGGCACCAAACAAGAAAAATGAGGCAGCTCACACTTAAGACCCAACTTCCCTCATGGCTTTACAAGCAAGGGTTTTTAAAGGCAGGGGTGAATTTCAGGAAAGCATAAATTACAGGCAGAATTGTACATCAGTACACAATGGTTTGGCCTAGAAAGGTGGGCTGTCTTGAAGCCGAGGGTGGCAGGGGGTGACTTATAGGTCATAGGTGAATTCACAGATTTTCTTATTTGCAGTTGATTAAGGAATCAAAGCTTTGTCAAAAAACTTGGGGTCAGCAGAAAAGAATGCTAAGTCTGCCCCATGGGCGTGACTTCCTATAGGCCCCTCAGGAAGACATTTAGAACAAAGAATGGCAGTCAGAGCTCAGTCCTCAGTTCCCCCTTCCCTGGCCAGTGGACCATTTGGTGGGGGTCCAGGTGTCTGAAGAACAACTCAGGGACATATGTTAAGATGTTATCTTTAGTTTCTATAAGGAACCAAACATCCTGTGACTTCCTTGGCTGTTGTTTTAAGCTACTATTACTCTCTTGCTTATCAAGTTTCTTATTTATTCATAGGGCTAGCTAGGTGCCTGGAATTTCCCTTGAAGGAACTCAAAATTTTCCTTTATTTCCATGCTTGGTGGGGCACCTGGCAGGCCCTTAAGAGGGGTTCCTCTTCCATCTCAACTCTAACAAACCAGGATGATCGATAATAATGCTAGATTTGAGACTATTCTGTGACAAATAAGAATTGCCAAAATCTATATTAGTTTCCTAAGCTGCCATTACAAAGTACCACAAACCAGGTGGTTTCAGACAATAGAAATGTATTGTCATCCACTTCTGGAGACCAGAAGTCTGAAATCAAGGTGATGACTGAGCCATGCTCTGTCTGGGGACTTCGATGGGGATGATCCTTCCTTGCCTCTTCCTAGCTTCTGGTGGTTCCTGGCAATCCTTGGCATTCCTTGGCTTGTAGCTGCATCACTCCAGTCTCTGCCTCCGTCATCACATGGCATTCTCCCTATGTGTCTCAGGTTTAAATACTATAACTTAGAAAAAGTCCATTTATTTGAGATGATGGTATGATTGTGACTGATGAAACAAAAACTCAAACTTTAAGACCTGGCTACCCCTTGAAAACATGTAACTATGGAAAATAGTAATCAGAGCAAACCTAAAAGTTTTAACCTGTTAGGTAAAGTTTATGGCACTAAATGAAATCTTGCATTAACTAAAAGAACAAAGGAGCAGCCAAACTTTTGAGTATAGAAATGTTTACTTTTGTATAATGCCACTGCAAATTACTTTTAAAAGAAGTTGGTGTATAAGTAAATGTGATAGTACTCATACAATCTTGCCATCATTTCTTTCAGAAGGGTCATCCTGAAGGGCGTGGTTGGTGGCAGACACCTGTAGCTCCAGCTACTTGGGAGGCTGAGTCAGGAGGATCACTTGAGCCCAGGAGTTTGGGAGCAGCCTGGGCAACATAGCAAGACCCCATCTTTAAAAAAATTCTATTTTTATATGAAAAGAAAATTTTTTAAGAAGCGTCATTCATCCTTTTCAGGGGATTAGTTAATGCGGATAAACAAGTAAACAAGAGCACCTGACATTCATGAATGTCCGTTGTCTTACAGTGATGGTTAATTTTTTAAACCCTAGTTAAACTGGGAAAGTTTACTTAACTCTTTTTGGGGGAAAGGAAATATAATTTCTGTATATGAAGCTGTGAGTATAAATGTTGTTTAGATAGCTAAAAAACAGTGATAGAATGATTCTCCAAAAGTGCTATATACAATGTGTGGGAAAAGGGATGTGGGA
The DNA here is from genome assembly GCF_000001405.40 of Homo sapiens. NCBI lineage: Eukaryota > Metazoa > Chordata > Mammalia > Primates > Hominidae > Homo > Homo sapiens. The sequence goes on along the minus strand of NC_000013.11, from coordinate 49,697,271 downwards.
ATGCAACCTAATGCCACTGTTTGCCCATAAAATCCCTCAACTAACTTAGGCCTAAATTGTTTTTTTGTTTTTTGAGATGGAGTTTCGCTCTTTAGCCCAGGTTGGAGTGCAGTGGCATGACCCACTGCAACCTCTGCCTTCCAGTTTCAAGCGATTTTCCTGCCTCAGCCTCCCGAGTAGCTAGGATTACAGGCGCCTGCCACCACACCTAATTTTTGTATTTTTAGTAGAGACAAGTTTCACTATGTTGGCCAGGCTGGTCTCAAACTCTTGACCTCAAGTGATCCGCCTGCCTCGGCCTCCCAAAATGCTAGGATTACAGGCGGGAGCCACAGCGCCTGGCCTAAATTGGGGTTTTTTAAACCCTGCACTATTGACATTTTTGGCTGGATAATTCTTTGTTGTGTGTCATCTGCCCTGTGCAATGTAGGATGTTTAGTAGTATCCCTGGGCTCTACTCACTAGATAGCAGTAGCACCTCTCTCCTCTCCCCAAGTTAAGACAACCAAAAATGTCTCCAGACATTGCCAAACATCTGGGGGCCCAAAACCATCCCTGATTGTAAACCACTGTCCTAAATCAATTCCTATAGAAAACTCCACTCAAATGAGACAGCCTAAATCATGACTTTTTTGTTGTATGAACAGTCCCAGGCTTTCCTCAGATGCATAAGATGAAGAAAGGAGACACAAATGTGCCTTTTCTTCATTCTGAGTTTTAGGAAAAATTGAAGGCAGGCCTAACCTAATTTCCCAAATCATCTGTAGGAAACTCCAGGTAGTACTGAACATCTATTTCAAGGGACTTGGGATAAAGAAATAGAAATATGGAGCAACTAGTTACCTCTTAAATTTATCCTGTGGCTAAAAAACAGGGTTGTAAAACAATCAAATGTGTTAATTGCCCAAATCTCAACACCCTATGGCAGTGTTTTTCAAACACTTGTAGTTGAAAATCTTTAAGTTATCTAGGGAAAACTGGAGTTGTACTAGAAAATCATAGCATAGTTTGAAGATCACTTGAAGCATTGTTGAGAGATTGGCCTCATCAGAAAACTTACAATCATCTATTAAATTATTAAAAACAGAAACTATGGCCGAGCCATGCCATAAAGAAAGTATTCTCTGCAGGGAATTTCTTCTACAGCATCCCCCTTCCCTACCCTAGCAAATTGCCATACACCTTCTTGAGGAATTCCCTTAAACTGTGGTACCCAAAGATGCATGGGGCCTTGTGCCAAATAGTGTGAGAAACCATAAGATAAGGAACACTTTCGTGGGACAGCAACTTTACTAGGTGGTAAGTAAAAGTTTTATTGGTAATACAAGCCAAAGTGTTATAAAGTATACATTTTACATATTTTAAACATAAAATCTGATTTTTGAGGCAGGGTATTTTATGGAAACATTCCTGCAGGAGTAAGTTAGAAGAGCTTGAGAAACAAGGTACTCATTTTGAGGGAGCTTGTATTTATTGGCTAGCTTTGCTTGCTACAAGATCCTTTCTTAACCTGGGTGCAGTGGCCCACACCTGTAATGCCAGCACTTTGGGAGGCCCAGGTCAGTGGATCACTTGAGCCCAGGAGTTTGACACCAGCCTGGGCAATATAGTGAGACCTCATCTCTACAAAAAAAATAAATAAATAAAATAGCTGGGCCTGGCGGTACATGCCTGTAGTCCCAGCTACTTTGGAGGCTGAGGCTGCCATACACTGGACCCGAGATCGTGCCACTGCACTTCAGCCTGGGCCACAGAGTTGAGACCCTGTCTCAAAAGAGAAAGAAACTTAAATTTCCATCATTGTAAATTAACTGTTTTTGATTGGGAGTAGACTTTGTTATTTCCAGATAGCAGAGGAGACTCATCCATTTTTTAAATCAGCTTTCTTTTACTCGAACACCCCTTGCATTTCATCCATTCTCATTATAAAGTCATTGCTGGACCTGGTTCCTGTCAGCGTGATGTACTCCAAGGATTCCAACAATAAGGAGTGTGGTGTGACTGGTTTCTGAGTACTTTGGAATGAATGGGAACATTCCATTATCTGGACTTTTGATTCTATTAATGTGGGGGGAGTCTTTCAGTTATTTTACCAGCTTCATCATAATTAGGTTTGTGATCAAGTCACACCCTCTTTATCATCAGCTCTCTTTAACCCAAATCGTTGGGCATCTACCCTTTTCAACTCTAAACATAAGAATAAATTTCATATTTACTTCAGCCTAGTTTTTCTCATGAGATCACATTCTACATATGTATCCTTTCGATGTCTTCAGTCTTATATAAATAAGAATTCTGACTAAGCCTTTAGAAACATTCGAATACTGAATACTCTGTCCCGTGCCAGGTACTGTGCTATGGCACAGGATACTTGTAAAAATAACAGGAATAAAAAAAAAGACAAGTTTTGACAAATGTTAGAAAAAAAGAGGTATACAATGATACACATACTAGAGGAAATTGGCTACTGAGAAAGGTGATAACCAGGCTAATGTTGAGCCCTTAAAAAGTGCCAGCCAAAATTTCACTGATCGTGGTGAAAAGGCAGGAGTTTATTGGGCACATTGACTGGAAAAGCTTTCCAGCAGTGGGAAGAGTCTGTACAAAGCCTTGTGGGAAGCACCATGGGGTATTTGAGGAAGTGAAAGAAAGCAAGTATAGCTAGATGAAAGATTATAATGGAGAGGAGGATTAATAGGGGAATGGGAAAGGGCTAAAGAGATAGGGAGGGGCCAGACCCCACAGTCTAGTAAGTCATAAAAAGGATTTTGGTATTCTATATGAAGATCATCATTAAGCAAGAGGGATAATAGATTAATAAAGATCACTAGTTGGTAAGGCTAAGGACAGAAAACGTCCTTTGGATTTAGTGATGTAGAGGTCGCTGGTCACATTAGTGAGTGAAGCACAGACGAGATGGTGAACAGGTCCATGAAATGCATGGAATCAAGAAATACTTGGCTGCTGAGGAGGAGTTGGTGATGCCTTAGATGCCAAGTTTGGGGAGAGAGAAGTATCGGGGATGATTTCTAGGTTTCCGGGTTGTAGTAACTGATGAGTGGAAGTAACATGAGATAGGAAGGAGAATCAGACATTGGGGTGGAAAGTGATGAGCTCAGTTTGGGTTATATTGAGACATCCAAGTGACTGTCAAGTAGGGCAGTTGGAAATACTGGTCTGGAGTCCAGAGAATAGGACCAGGCTAGAGATTTGAGTTCTCTGCAGGTTTTGCTGGTCATTAAAGCAGAGGGTAAGGATGAGACTGCCTGGATTTGGGGTCTGGAGTGAGAACAGGGCCGAGGACTGGGTTGTGGAGCTGCAGCATTCACTAGGCATTTGTAGTGGAAGATGCACTTGCAAAGGAAACAGAATGGCTAAGGAGGCTGTATTCTCAGAAAACCAAAGGAAAAATATTTCAGTGCTGGGATGCTGCTGAGAAGTAAACTACACTAAGAAAATGAACTGTTCTTGGGGTTCAGTGATGTGGAGGCCAGTAGTCACCTTAGTGAGAGCTATATCAGTGTGATAAGGCAGAAACCAGAGTAGAAAGGACTGAGGAGCAGGGTCAAGACATGAAGACAGGGGATCTGATCAGTTTTTTCATTAAGTTTCTATTTTGCTCTGAAGGGGAGGTGGGCCGAGTGGTCCCTAAAGGATGATAAGTTAGTTACAGGACAGGATCCAGAGCATAGGTGGCTAGATTGACCATACTCAGTCGCCAGTTATTTAACTGAGCAGCTAATATATGCCAAACTCTGTAATAGGTGCCAGGGATACAGCAATAAAAAAGCTAGCCACAACCCCTGGCCTTGAAGACTTACATTATAGTGGCAGGAGATTAGCAATAAGTGTGTAAACAAGGATCATTCTATCTGGTGTTAACTGCTATAAAAAATGGTATAGGAAGTGACTAAGGGAAAAATTTCTTGTGTTCAGTGCCAGCATTTTTTTTAATAACTGTAAAATACACATAAAATTTGCCATCTTAACCATTTTTAAGTGTGCAGCTCAGTAAAGTATGTTCACGTTGTTGTGCAACCAATCTCCAGAACATCATCTTGCAAATCAAACTATCCGAATAAATAACACTCCACTTTTCCCCGCGCCCCCCCCCCACTCCCGCCCCGCCCCACCCCTGGTAACCATCATTCTATTTTGTTTCTGCAAATTGATTATTTTAGATATTTCCTGTAAGTGGAATCATAAGTATGTTTTTGTGACTGGCTTATTTCACCGACCTCATAGGGTTGTTGTGATGTTAAATAATGTAGGTTTGTTCCCGGACCAAACTGGGGGTTGGGCAGCCCAATAATGAGGTGCAGATGAACTGGGGAAGAAGAGTTTTTATTTCTGCAACCGGTTACAGGGAGAAGGTCTGGAAATTATTGCCAGACCAACTCATAATTACAAAGTTTTTCCAGAGCGTATATACCTTCTAAGCTATATGTCTACGTGTAAGAGTGCATTCATCTAAAGACGTAAGTGATTAACAACTTCTAATCCTGAAGACCTTCCTCTGGAGCCTCAGTAAATTTACTTAATCTAAATAGGTCTGGGTGCTGGGATGATTACCCTTATTTTGTCTCTTGCTAAATCATGGAGGCTTGTGGAATTCCTCCAGACTCCCAATAAACTTGTTTTTGGAGGCCTGGGGAGTTTCTTCAGACCCCCAATAAAACTTGTTTAATCCTAAACGGGTCCTGTTAAAAATTCCTTAGTTATCTTGTCATGCTTCAAGGCCCAAGAAAGGCCTAGGCAAAACTCTTGGTGGGCTTTTGTTACATTCCAGACTTTGGTATATGGGCACTGACTCTTTCAGCTTTTAATTTTTTTTTTGTTTTTTGAGACGGAGTCTCGCTCTGTTGCCCAGGCTGGAGTGCAGTGGCGCGATCTCGGCTCACTGCAAGCTCCGCCTCCCGGGTTCACGCCATTCTCCTGCCTCAGCCTCCGGAGTAGCTGGGACTACAGGCGCCCGTCACCACGCCCGGCTAATTTTTTGTATTTTTAGTAGAGACGTGGTTTCGCCGTGTTAGCCAGGATGGTCTCGATTTCCTGACCTCGTGATCCGCCCGCCTTGGCAAAAAGTGCTGGGATTACAGGCGTGAGCCACCGCGCCCGGCCTCAGCTTTTAATATTTAATTTAACCACTCAGTGCTGAAGCAGTTGTGATGGAGGCCTGCGATAGTGAAACCTGGCCTGCCACAGGTTAAACGCATCTATCGCCAAGCCAATAGGACTTACCGCTCCTCTCACCCACCCTTCTACTTTTCTGGATTTTTAAGAAATGGAAAGATTGTCAGAGTAGGCCATAAAGGCTTTAAGCCGGCTGGTGGCTGAAAACTCCCTTGGCCCCCAGCCTCCCTGGTAAGGCTTGCTGCAGCCTAATTAAAACCTTTTGCCCCTAAAATTCTGCCCCGGTCTACTGGCAAAATTTCCACTACCTAGGCTTCACTTTGTGGCTTAAAGTTTGAGCCTTGTTAAAAGCGAAACAACATCAAAAGGTGTGGCCCTATTACCAATCCTTTGGGCTCGGTTTGGGAACAGGTTTGGTCGAGGCGGTTGCGCAAGTTGGTGAGCACGTTCCTTCTACGGAACCTCCATGGGCGGCACCTGGCAAAACCACCGGACTCAGCAGGCTGGCCAGGGTGCGAGGCGGGCACGGAATCCTCGCTCTGGCCCCGACCCGGCCGGGGAGCCCCGTCCCTCCCCGGACCGCCTTGGCCAATCAGCTCCGCTCCTCCTTGGCCATCCGGCTCCGCCCCTTCCCGGCCAGCCCCGCCCCGTCGTTTCTCTCCCTGCTTTCCTCTGCCGCATGGTCCTGGGCCGTTGGCGTCGGAAGCCTGAAGCATGGGCGCTGAGTGGGAGCTGGGGGCCGAGGCTGGCGGTTCGCTGCTGCTGTGCGCCGCGCTGCTGGCGGCGGGCTGCGCCCTGGGCCTGCGCCTGGGCCGCGGGCAGGGGGCGGCGGACCGCGGGGCGCTCATCTGGCTCTGCTACGACGCGCTGGTGCACTTCGCGCTGGTAAGTGCCATCGCCTAGACCCTGCACTCCCCATCCCAGAGAGTGGGAGCGGGGGCGGCAAGGCGGGGTGAGGGGGTCCTGCGGCTTTTTGCAGCGAGCTGGCCGCCCCTCCCCCTGCTGCAGGAAGTCTGTTAGCTGAGAGGCGCCTGGAGGCCGCGGCGGCCGGAGTTCTGATTCCCAGGTCTGTGAACAGAGCGCAGCTTACCTTGTGCTGCCGATTCCTCCACCAAACTTTAAAAAAATTCTGTACGTGCTATGTTAGTTTAGAAGATACCTCAGCTTCCTCGGCTTTGTAACCTGCACGTAACTGTTGAACTGGACATAATTGAGAGTAGAATTGAGGTCATTTTTAAATGCCCCAGAGGGGGCAAGGAGAGATGCTTGCTCCGGAGGCAGCAAGGCTATTGTCGCAAAACCCGAAGCCTTTGCCAAGACAAACGAAACACCCGTGTCTAATGTGTGCCAGGCGCATTACTGAGTTTAAAATTTCAGATCTTTACAGCATCCATAAATTAGTTATTATTGTTCCCCATTTTACAGAGGTGAAGGTAGGCGCTGCAAAATTAGGTGACTTTCCAGTGCCACACAGCTGGCATGATTCTGAGGCAGTCTAGTCTGGCTCCCAAGTTTGCACTCTGTGTATCAGTCGAGGTCTTAGGAAATATGTGTCCTTAGAGATTCAACCCATTTTATAAAATAGCCAGGAAGGTTGTGTTTAAGGCATTTATATTGAAATGCCCCGCCCCCCACCACACACGCGCACGCACACACACACACACACTTTTAAGTTTTTTTTAAACTATGCCCAAGTATCAGTTTGTTTTTTTTTTTTTTTGTAAAGTTGACCTTGTTTAACTCTAGACACACCTGTGGCTAATGTGAAGCCAAAGTCAGTAGTATTGAGAAAGCAAGCCGAGTTTTGGGTAATCATCGAGTTCTGTAAATGTTTACGGGTTGGCTTTGTGCCCATGACTGATGTTGCTGGAATTCTTTTTATTCTGATAATCAACATGTAGAGATAAGGGACAGTGAATGTTTCTCTCAACTCCTTTATTTATAGAATTCTTTTTTTTTTTTTTTGTCTTTTTTTTTGTTGTTGTTCTTGAGACAGAGTCTAACACTGTTGCCCAGGCTGGAGTGTAGTGGCACTATCTCGGCTCACTGCAACCTCCGCCCCTTGGGTTAAAGCTATTCTCCTGCCTCAGCCTCCCGAGTAGCTGGGATTACGGGCGCCCGTCACCACGCCCAGCTAATTTTTGTGTTTTTAGTAGAGATGAGGTTTCACTATGTTGGCCAGACTGGTCTCAAACCCCTAACATCAGATGATCTGCCCACCTTGGCCTCCCAAAGTGCTGGGATGACAGGCGTGAGCCACCGCCACCGCCACCAGCCGAGAATTGATTTTTAAGCTATCACTTGAACACAAGGTTTCCCACAGAACAAGGGAGATAAAGCAGATTGCTAGGCCCGGTTAGAAAAAATGTATAACAAAATGTATAACATAACAAAAATGTTGCTAGGCCCAGTGAGAGAAAACTGTGTAACATATTGGCTGGGTATAACTGTATATAGCATATCAGAATGTATATATATAAAAATGTATAACATATCGGACACAGTGGCTCATGCCTGTAATCCCAGCATTTTGGGAGGCTGAGGCGGGTGGATCACGAGGTCAGGAGTTCAAGACCAGCCTGGCCAACATGGTGAAACCCCGTCTGTACTAAATATACAAAAATTAGCCAGGTGTGGTGACGGTGCCCATAATCTCAGCTACCCGGGTGGCTGAGGCAGGAGAATTGCTTGAACCTGGAAGGTGGAGGTTGTAGTGAGCCATGATCAAGCCACTGCACTCCAGCCTGGGCAACAGAGCAAGACTCTATCTTGGGAAAAAAAAGAAAAATGTTTAACATACCTTAGACAAACAAAAAGCTGTAAAAATACTTAAACTATATGCGTGTGTTCACCACTTGGTTTAAGACTGTTTACTTTTCAAGCTCAGGTTGTTACAGGTAACACGACACACACCTCCTTTTGTGCCATTACCTACCCCAGCTGCAAAGTAGTCCACTGTGTGAATACACCATACCTTAGTTCTCCAAGTCTAAGACCCACATTTTTTCACATATTAGAAGAATCAACTACATCATGTAACTACTGTAGGCCATTTGATTGATATTTTAATGTCTCTAAATTGGGATGTATCTTATATTTGATGAATACGATCACTTAACCAGCCCATATTAGTGGACACATTTTTCTGTCATTACAAACAATGCATCTACCAACGTCTTTGTACATGTGTCTCAGAGATCAGTGGGGAGAGCACTTGAATTAAGCAGTTGAGGCTGCAAGAAAATACATGCCCATGTTGTCTTTGCTTGGGAGTTTATTGCAAGAATACCCAGAAGTGTGGGACAAGCTAAGACTAAGATGTAGAGCTTAGGGGAGAACCAAAATTAAAACTCACTTGTTCACTAGAAGATGAGTTGCCTCTCCTTAACCCGACACTTCTTTTTTTTTTTTTTTTTTTTTGAGACGGAGTCTCGCTCTATTACCCAGACTGGAGTGCAGTGGCGCAATCTCGGCTCGCTGCAAGCTCCGCCTCTCGGGTTCACGCCATTCTCCTGCCTCAGCCTCCTGAGTAGCTGGGACTACAGGCACCCGCCACCACGCCCGGCTAATTTTTTGTATTTTTTGTAGAGACGGGGTTTCACCATATTAGCCAGGATGGTCTCGATCTCCTGACCTCGTGATCTACCTGCCTCGGCCTTCCAAAGTGCTGGGATTACAGGCGTGAGCCACTGCGCCTGGCCACCCCCTGACACTTCTTAAAGAGAGGAGCTCTGTAGGTTTTTTGGCTGCCATCAAATTGAAAGCTATCCTGTTGGACAGTTTCAAGCCAAGCATTCCCAGGGGCAGTTCATTTCCCAGATGTCCAACCAGAGTGCAGTCACCTTGGGCCCCAGCACTGGTCATCAGTTCAGCTCGTTATGACTACAGCAGAGGGCAGGCTGACTTCCCATCAGCCTACCTGGAAGGAGCCATGGCAACATACTAGAAGAAGGAAATGGTGGGGTCACCATTCTGAGGTCGCTGTGGGCAGCCTAGGCACTGGTGCTTCATGGATAAAATTTTATCTCTTCTGCAATCTATGTATAGCATTCAGGCATGGCCAGAAACATGAGGCAAGATATGAATGCCTGTGTATGGAACACATCCTGTAGTCCAGATTGACAGGAGCACAGGGTTTACATAAGAAGTGGGAGGACCAGCTGGAAAGGTGACAGGTAAGAATTGTATTCTGTAGTGAGAAGCCACTGAAGGATTTCAAGCAGGGAAGTCACGTGGCCAAAGCAGATCTTCATAAAGATAATTTAGTGGTGATGTGTTAAGTCAGAAACTCTAGCGTCCGAGATTTTACCCAACTTAGAAGTTAACAAGGTAGTCCAGTTTGATTCCCCAAGGCCCAAACCCCACAGGACAACATAATGAAGGCCAGATGTTACTGCCTGTACATGCAGTGGGATGCGTTACAAGAAAGGAACTCCAGAACTACGCGTCCATCTTATTGTGAGCTGGTGGTGGCCTGTCCATACTTCTCTCTGGAGAGACCTTATCTTAGGAATGTAAACCTCTGAGGAGGAGAAGGTGAGGTCTTGATCTTTACCACCCTAGAACCTCTCTGGAGGGAGCTGTCTCCCAGGTTTACTACTCTGGAAAGGCTCATTATAGAAACATTCTTAAAATTGATATAAATGTCTTTGCTCAGAGACCCAGACAGTGCAGGATGTGAGATATTCATGGAGAATTGTCTCTCAACATGGTGCAGGTTGGATTGGAAAGGATGGAGTTGAGGGGCAAGAAGAGCAACAAAAAGCAACTGCTGTAGTGTGGGGAGTCATTTAAAAAAAAGAGAGAGGCAAGCTGAGGTGGTGTTGGAACTTAAAATGGGGAGGAAAGCTAACTGTGAGAGACTTTCCAGGGGAGAATGTGGTAAGTCAAAGTGGCCACTTGTAGATTGGGGGTGGACATGATCTTGGGGCTTAGGCCCTGAGCAACATGGGTAATGGTGATCATGTTAACTAAGACAGCAAAATCTGGCTTTAGAACTATGAGTCGGGGGTCCTCGTGTGCAGTTAAGAGAGAATAGTGCTGGGCAGTGGCTCACACCTGTAATAAGCACTTTGGGAGGCCGAGGCAGGATTGCTTGAGGCTAGGAGTTGCGAGACCAGCCTTGCTAACATAGTGAGGCCTTGCTAACATAGTGAAGCCTCATCTCTACGAAAAATTAGCTGGGTGTGGTGCTGCATGCCTGTGATCCCAGCTACTCAGAAGGCTGAAGTAGGAGGATCACTTGAACCCAGGAGATTGAGGCTGCAGTGAGATATGATTACGCCACTGCACTCCAGCCTAGGTGACAGAGTGAGACCCCATCTCAAAAAGAAGAGAGAGAGAATGGCCAGAAGGCAATTGAAAAATGTAAATTGAGTTGGAGAGACAGAGTCAGGGCAGAAGAGAGAGTGCTGGGAATTCTTTTCTGAGTTGGGGGAGATAGCACGAAGCCCCAGGTATGACTGCTTTTGCTGAGCTAGAGAGAACAGAAGGGTGAAAGAGCTGAGGAATAAGAGCAGAATCTTTTAAAATATCTATCCTAGGAGAGAGTGGGAAAGACCACGAACCAGGAGAGTGCTGGGGTCCTGGGATCCACAGAATGGAATTTCAAGAACACTGATAAATTGCTGTAGCACCATTAAAAAAAAAGAAAGAAAATAAAAGGTGAGGCACCTGGCAACCAGGAAGTCAATGGTGAGAGTGGGATTGATGGGAGGGAGGCTCCAGAAGCCAAAGGCTTATAGGCCAGGTAGAGGAGAAGCTGGGCAGTAGATGAAAGCCCTGCAGGAGGTTTGGTGGTGGGCGGAGGAAGAGCAGGAGGGTAGCTCCAGAGGCACCTCAGGGCAGGCTGGGGGCTCTTGGTTCTTTTGAAGATGAAGGTCTGGGCGAGAGGATGGCCGAAGAAGGGTAAAAGTGCAGACGCGGCAGGCAGCTCTCGCTGTCTGATGTGTGCTTGGCCATGGAGGTTGACCTGTTTCCTAATAAACCTCTGCCTGGTTGTTGCTTCCACACTTTTGTCATGGTGTAGTCTGATTAGCCTTGTCCTGCAGGGTGAAGCACAGCTGTCACAGAAAACCTGGGCCTTGGCTGGCTCTCCATGCATCCCACCTAACACCTGTGAATGGTTTTTCGTTGAGAAATCTTGAGGCCCAGTGGCTGTGCCACGCCCTCTCTGAAGCTGGGCATTACCCTTCTCCAGTTCACATCACCGTCTGTTCCTCACTGCCCACTGCCACAATTCCAGTCTCTAATTCTTGTCCCTTTTTTTTTTTTTCTCTCTCTCTCTCGCCCAGGCTGGAGTGCAGTAGCGTGATCTTGGCTCACTGCAACCTCTGCCTCCCAGATTCAAGCAATTCTTCTGCTTCAGCCTCCCGAGTAGCTGGTACTACAGGCACGTGCCACCATGCCCAGCTAATTTTTGTATTTTTAGTAGAGACACGGTTTCACCATGTTGGTCAGGCTGGTTTCGAACTCCTGACCTCGTGATCCGCCTGTCTCAGCCTCCCAAAGTGCTGAGATTACAGGCGTGAGCCACCATGACCAGCTGCCTTCAGTTTTCTTGAAGGAGGACTGCTTTGCTGTTTTGGTGCTAGGCTTTGGGACGAGATTCTGGGGCGTAGATCTTGGGATCCTCCTTCTATAGCCTGTTTTTCAATGGGGATGTTTGTCTTTTCCTTAATGATCTATAAAAGGTGTTCATATATTAGTACAAACAATTTCACCCACACTTTATTACGCTTTTGGGGAGAAAGGGCAAGAAAGTGTTGTCAGCCCCATTTATTGACTAATCCATTCTTTCCCCACTTATTTGAGATGCCAGCTTTATCATATACTAAAGTATTTTATATGTATGGATATGTTTGGGGATTTTTGAATTTAGTTCTGTTTCAGGAATCTTTTGGTTCCAGTTCTAGCCACTGTTTTAATAATTTCAGCACTATAATGTAGTTCAATATCTGATAAAGCAAACTTCTCCCCACTATTCTTTTTCAAACACTTTAAAATTATGATCTATCCTTCCAGATGTACTTTTAAATTCACTTTGCTGACCAGGTGCGTACAAAAATTAGCCAGGCGTGGTAGCATGCACCTGCAGTCCCAGCTATTCAGGAGGCTGAGGCAGGAGAATCGTTTGAGCCCCGGAGGCAGAGTTTGCAGTGAGCTGAGATCACACCACTGCACTCCAGCCTGGGCGACAGAGCAAGATCCTGTCTCAAAAATAAAAAATAATTTCACTTTGCCAAGTTCTAATACTCGGTATTTTGATTGTGGTTTTCTTAACTTTATAGATTAGTTTGAGATTAAATGATATCTTTATAATACAGTCTGCCTTCTAAGAACTGGGTAGGTCTCAATTTGTTTAAATCTTCTGTTACAGTCTCTTAAAGTTTATTTCAAAACATTTTATATTTTCATTGCTACTGTATTTCTCCTTTGTATTTTGTTTAATTTAATTTTATTTTTTGAGACAGTCTCACTCTGTTCGCCCAGGCTGGAGTGCAGTGGCGCGATCTCAGCTCGCCACAGCCTCTGCCTCCTGGGTTCAAGCAGTTCTCCTGCCTCAGCCTCCCAAATAGCTGGGATGACAGGCACGTGCCACCGTGCTCAGCTATTTTTAGTGTGTGTTTCTAGTAGAGATGGGGTTTCACCATGTTGCCCAGGCTGGTCTCAAACTCCTGGCCTCAAGTGATCCAGCTGCCTCGGCCTCCCGGAGTGCTGGGATTACAGGCATGAGCCACTACGCCTGGCCTCTCTCCTTTGTATTTGGACTGATTATTGTTATTATAGTGAAAGCTGTTGAGATATACCTATATTTGTATGGTTATCAGCCACTTTTCTAAATTCCCCTTTTCCTCCCTCCAGCTTTATTGTTATAATTTATGTATAATAAAACCCATTCTGTGTACAGTTTGGTGAATTTGGGTGATTGTGTAGAGTTGTGTAACCACCCTTGCAATCGTAGTATAGAACGTTTCCATCACGCTTCTAGTAAAAGTTTTCTCATGTCCCTTTGAAGATGATCCCAGTGCCCATCACCAGCCCCAACAAACACCCGTCTGCCTTCTGTCTTTAAAGTTTTGCTGTCCTATAATTTCATAAAAATGAAATCATACATACATAGTCTTCATTTAACGTAAGTTGCTGAGTAGTATTCCAGTCATGGATGTATTTCAATTCATTTATCCATTTATCAGTTAATGAACAAATGGGTTATTCCTAGTTTTTTACTATTACAAATAATGCTGCTAATAGATATCTGCATCCAAGTCTGTGTGGGCATATTTTTCTTTCTCCTAGGCCGAGGCCTTGGAATGGGATTCTTTCAGTTTAGTAGAAACTGCCATCCTGCTTTCCACGGCGGCTGTACTGTTGTGCATTCCCACTAGCATTGTGTGCGAGTTCCTGTTGCCCCACAGCCTCACCAAAACTTAGCATTTTTGTGTTTTTTACTTTTGTTTTTAGTCATTCTGATAGATGTATATGACTAAAACTTGTCACCCTCATACATGCCACAGGTTGCATTTTCAAATGCAGTACCAGATCGGGTGCAGTGGCTCAGGCTTGTTTTTTGTTTTTGTTTTTGTTTTTTTTGTTTGTTTGTTTGTTTTTGAGACAGAGTCTCGCTCTCTGGTCCAGGCTGGAGTGCAGTGGTGCGATCGGCTCACTGCAAGCTCCGCCTCCCGGGTTCACACCATTCTCCTGCCTCAGCCTCCCAAGTAGCTGGGACTATACAGGTGCCTGCCCCCATGCCCAGCTAATTTTTTTTGTATTTTTAGTAGAGACGAGGTTTCACCGTGTTAGCCAGGGATGGTCTCCATCTCCTGACCTCATGATCTGCCCGCCTCGGCCTCCCAAGGTGCTGGGATTACAGGCGTGAGCTCAGGCTTGTAATCTCAGCACTTTGGGAGGCTGAGGCGGGCGGATCACCTGAGGTTGGGAGTTCGAGACCAGCCTGGCCAACATGATGAAACCCCGTCTCTACTAAAAATGCAAAAAATTAGCCAGGCGTGGCAGTGCACACCTGTAATCCCAGCTACTTGGGAGGCTGAGGCGTGAGAATAGCTTGAACCTGGGAGGTGGAGGTTGCAGTGAGCCAAGATGGCGCCACTGCACTCCAGCCTGGGTGACAGAGGGAGACTCTAGCTCAATAAATTCATGGATGAATGAATGAAAGAATGAATGCAGTATCAGTTCCTAAACACGGTTCTAGGTGGAGTCTGACCATCATCCAAGGAGCCTGGGGCGGTGGGGGAAGGTGGAAAGAACAAGGGCCTTTGGGATGCAGCAGATGCACCCTTGAATGCCAGCTTTCCCGATGACCAGCTCAGAAACTTGGGCATGCCCCTTTCCCCTGCAAATCCTTTCTGTAATGAGGAGGAAAAGAAGGAAGGAAATTTTCTTAGTTTTCTTACCTGTGAAGTATGGAAATAATGTTTTCTTCAAACGGCTGTGAGAATTAAATAAAGCCTTATAACTTAGCGTAGTGCTTCTCAAGCTTGGCCATGCACACAAATCATCCAGGGATCATCCAAGATTCTGTATTGGTAACCAGCTCCCAAGTGAGTGCCAGGCTGTGGTTCATGAACCGTGTTTGAATGGCAAAGATGTAAGGCACCTGGCACTTGCCAGAGTTCAGTAAATGTAATTCTCTTCTCTGTCCTCTTAGTGTGAATCCTCCTTGCCATATTCCATACCCGGATTAGCATTTGTCATCCCATCCCTGTATACTAAAGTGATGATGTATATGTCCAATTAAGATGAGCCTTGGAAGGTTTCCTTTCACATCTTTAATCTGAGAAGTAACAACCTTCTGGCAGAGAAGGGTATATTCTTAAAAAGGGAGAAATATGATTCAAGTCCTAAATCAAACAGTATACTGCCATGTTGTAGGAACCATAGAACTCGTGTGACTGTTTGATCCTGGTAGTTCTGAAAGAGACCAGTGTGGTCTCCTGTGAATGTTAGGTGACAACTGGCTGCTGGGCAGGTTCAATCAAGTGGAAATCATCGTCTAATTAAGCGGGCAGCAGCTGGGCAGCATACATTTATGGAGTCATTAAAGCCTTGTCACCAAAGGACAGTAGGAGGCTGCCGCAGCTGATCCCTCCAGAAACAATGTTGTATGCTGTTGTCATGACATGCAAAAATCCAGTCTGATTAGGCTGAGGTTTTGTGAGTCAGATTTGCAAATGCTAATAAATGTTGACAGGATTTATGTACTGATTCTATTCCTGCTCCACTTCATTCTCTCACTCTTGAAAGTGAATGTTGCCATGTTTTCTCTAGGTCTTCATTCAAACATACAACAAAAAAACAGATACATTCAAATATAAACTCAGCCTCAGTATGTGTTCTTTTTATTTCTTTAAGGACTTTTTCTGCTAAATTTTTCTTTAAGGATTAAAATGAGTAAATTGAGCATGCTCTTTAAATTGGATATTATCAATGGAAATAGCTGGCATAACTTAATCATTTGTTTGATCTGAGCTTTGACTTATAGCTGTCTTTAAGTCTATAAAATACGTTGTTAAAACCCTTATATGCCTGGGCTGGGTGTGGTGGCTCACGCCTGTAATCCCTGCATTTTGGGAGGCTGAGGTGAGCAGATCACCTGAGGTCAGGAGTTCAAGACCAGCCTGGCCAACATGGTGAAAACCTGTCTCTACTAAAAATACCAAAATTAGCCAGGCGTGGTGGCGTGTGCCTGTAATCTCAGCTACTCAGGAGGCTGAGGCAGAAGAATTGCTTGAACCTGGGAGGCAGAGGTTGTAGTGAGCCGAGATCGCACCACTGCATTCCAGCCTGAGCGACAGAGCGAGACCATCTTAAAAAAAGAAAAAAATTTCATGCCTGGGACATCTTAAGAGAAAAATGAGACTGGCCTTTCTTTATTTGCTATAATACATTTTAATTTTTAAGCTGATTTTGTTAGCAGCTCAATTAAATATAGTTCAGTTATATTTTATAACATATGTCCAGTAGGAACTTTACTGTATTTTTTAAACCAAATTTTTTGATATACAGAACTTAAATAAGTATTATGAAATTTTCCTCATCACCCTCTGGGTTAATAATAGAAAAATTCATAGCAGGGAGAAAATATTTTAAATATTTATAACTGCTTATTAATATAAACCTGAAAAATTCTTGAAGGCTACCATGGAACTTAACAGTGGTCATCTCTGGGAAACGTGATTGGGAGTCAGGAGGGAGAGAGGCTTTTATCCTTTGCTTTGTACCTTTTTATAATTTTTTTTTAACTTTAACATGTATCACATATATTTTTTTTGTTTGTTTTGTATTTTGTTTTGTTTTTTGAGACGGAATCTCGCTCTGTCACCAGGCTGGAGTGCAATGGCACAATCTTGGCACACTGCAACCTCCGCCTCCCTGGTTCAAGCAATTCTCCTGCCTCAGCCTCCTGAGTAGCTGGGACTACAGTCGCGTGCCACCACGCGCAGCTAATTTTTGTATTTTTAGTAGAGTGGGGGTTTCACCATGATGGCCAGGATGGTCTCGATCTCCTGACATTGTGATCTGTCCACCTCGGCCTCCCAAAGTGCTGGGATTACAGGCATAAGCCTATGTATCTTTTTAAAATTAAGTTTTACAGTGAACAATTTCAAACATTCACAAATGTAGAGAGACTAGTACAGTATCAGTGAGCAGATTCAGCATTTTCAAGTTTTGCTGCACTTGCCCATCTGTCACTTTTTCTTCTGTTTTTGTCCTTCTCTCCCTCCCTTTTTCATTGTTACTGCTGAAGTACTGGAAAGTGATCTGGACCTCATGTCACTTTACGTTTATGTACTGAGTAAGTCTGTCTCTAAAAAGTCAGGTCTTCTTCAGGGACAGGTGCCTGCCTTTCATGTTATCATAGAAATGACAGTACAGGAGTCCTCGAAGACCTCATCATGTCCAGTCAGGGATCTACCCTGGTGGTCGCTGTGAGCTTGACTTCCCTGTGGCTCGTGGGTCTTGGCAGGTGTAGAACTCATGGCTCATGCCCACTGGAAGTGCTGGTGCTGAAGCAGGCCCCTCCCACCAACCTGGCCCTCTGCTGACAGACACTACCTGGGCCTCCGCTTAGGGTCCTCACCATCCTCTCAGTAAGCAACATGCATCTTCCAAGTGCTGTGCTCAAGGCTGGAAATTGGTGAGCGACTCTGTCAAAAGGTGGAGATGCAGATCCAGCCTGCCTCTCCTTATTACTTATTCATTCACTAGACATATATTGACTAATATATATATATAGCTTGACTCTATTTTTTTCTTGGTTAGGAAATTTAAGCCCGGAGAGGTGAAAGTAGCCATGAATGTCAGAAATACAATCTCGGCCAGGCATGGTGGCTCACACCTGTAATCCTGGCACTTTGGGAAGCTGAGGGAGGAGGCGCTTGAGCCAAGGAGTTCTAGACCAACCTCAACCACATAACGAGACCCCGTCTCTACAATTAAAAAAAGAAAAATCAGCCTGGCATGATGGTGCACACCTATGGTCCCAGCTACTTTGGAGGCTGAGACAGGAGGATTGCTTGAACCCAGGAGTCTGAGAGGCTGCAGTGAGCCGTGATAACACCACTGGATTCCAGCCTGGGTGACAGAACAAGAAAAAAAGAAAGAAATACAATCTGTTGTACTTGCTTTTGCTCAAGCTTAACCATATCACGCCTGACACCTAGTGGAGCCCTGCCTTCCCAATTACAGCAACATCCTGCATGTGGCCCTTTGCTGTTGACCAGGCACCTTTCATCTGATCCTTAGATCCTCAGTGCTTGTTGAGCTCAAACATGAATCTTAGTTCCAGATGGCTGGATCTCTATCATACGTTGTGGTTAAAGACTTTGGAGCTGATAACCTTCCATGTTTATTTGGTTATTTAACATAAACTTCATGCCCCAGAGTCTAAAAACAATTTTAAGGGAGAAGAAAGAAAGTACTGTACAGTTCATTTAATATAAAGCATGAATTCACAGGAGGAACTATAACTGTCTCCATTCTCTACAATTCCACAGATAATTTTGGTGCCTGGCAAATAGTAAGTAGTGTTTTCAGTGGCTTTGATCTTCGGTCTTTGTGTGGTTAGAGCAGATTTTATTCAAAAGCCCCTGAATAGTCTTTTTTTTTTTTTAGACGGAGTCTCACTCTGTCACCCAGGCACAGACACACACGATCTTGACTCACTGCAACCTCCGCCTGCCAGGTTCAGGCGATTCTTGTGCCTCAGCCTCCTGAGTAGCTGGGAATACAGGCGCGTGCCACCCATGCCTGACTAATTTTTATTTTTTTGTATTTTTTAATATTGAGAGGTGACAACGTGCTAACAGGCCTCACTCGCTCTCGGTGCCTCCTCAGCCTCGGCATCCACTCTGGCCATGCTTGAGGAGCCCTTCAGCCCGCGGCTGCACTGTGGGAGCCCCTCTCTGGGCTGGCCGCGGCCAGAGCGGCTCCCTTTGCTTGTGGAGAGGTGTGGAGGGAGAGGCGCCGGCGAGAACCCGGGCTGCGCACGGCGCTCCCGGGCAGAGTTCTGGGTGGGCGCTGGCTTGGTGGGTGCTGCCGGCCCCAGTTAAGGAGGGGCTTAGCACCCGGGCCAGCAGCTGTGGAGGGTGAGCTGGGTTCCCCATCACTGCTGGCCCGTCCGCGCTGCGCTCGAATTCTCGCCGGGCCTGAGCCGCTTCCCCACGGGGCAGGGCTCGGAACTTGCAGCCCGCCATGCCCGAGCCGGCACCACCCCCGCTCCTGAAGGGCACTGCCCCCTGCTCCGCAGCGACCTGTCCGATTGACCGCCCAAGGGCTGAGGAGTGCCGGCGCGCGGCGCAGGACTGGCGGGTAGCTCTGCCCACGGCCCTGGTGCGGGATCCACTAGGGGAAGCCAGCTGGGCTTCTGAGTCCAGTGGGGACTTGGAGAACTGTTGTGTCTAGCTAAAGGATTGTAAATGTACTAATCAGCATTCTGTGTCTAGCTCAAGGTTCGTAAACGCACCAAACAGCACCCTGTCAAAACGGACCAATCAG
Organism: Homo sapiens; assembly: GCF_000001405.40. Classification (NCBI taxonomy): domain Eukaryota; kingdom Metazoa; phylum Chordata; class Mammalia; order Primates; family Hominidae; genus Homo; species Homo sapiens. Next base: position 49,678,122 of record NC_000013.11, on the reverse strand, counting down.
CTCTCTGTAAAATGGACCAATCAGCAGGATGTGGGTGGGGTCAGATAAGGGAATAAAAGCAGGCTGCCCAAGCCAGCCCCGGCAACCGGCTTGGGTCCCCTTCCACGCTGTGGAGTCTTTGTTCTTTAGCTCTTTGCAATAAATTTTGCTGCTGCTCAGTCTTTGGGTCCGCATTGCCTTTGTGAGCTGTAACACTGCGAAGGTCTGCAGCTTCACTCCTGAGGCCAGTGAGACCACGAACCCACCAGAAGGAGCAAACTTCTGACACACCATCTTTAAGAACTAACACTCACCGCGAGGGTCCACGGCTTCATTCTTGAAGTCATTGAGACCAAGAACCCACCAATTCCAGACACAATATTTGTATTTTGTGTTTTTAGTAGAGAAGGAGTTTCACTGTTGGCCAGGCTGATCTTGAACTCCTGACCTCAGGTGATCTGCTTGCCCCAGCCTCCCAAAGTGCTGGGATTACAGGCGTGAGCCATCACGTCCAGCCCTTACAATCTTTAAAACCATAATAGCAGGTCTCATTCTGAAGCTGGGGCCTCTGCCTCCCACACCTAGTTTGTTTGTTTTTGCATGGCGTCTTTATTGATGAGAATCAGCTGTGGATGGTGCAGCCTAAAGTGGTGGGCCTGTGTTTGCTGATTTATATTTGTGAGTTCTGTTAGGGTAAGAGCCAGCCAGTCTCAGAATCACAGAATGTTCAGAGATGTCACTTGGAACTCTGATATTGGCAGGCTCACCTCCTTTTCACCATGTGCTTTTTCTGACTTTGATCTGAATGACCTTCCTGGGGTGGGATGCAGCAGGATTGACGTGGGCTGCAGTGGGAGTGGACAAGTGTGATGATACAGGGAAGGGATACCAGCTCTTAGCATTGTTTCAGGGAAGAATCAGGGAGTTGCTACTGGTGTATTACCTACTTCATGAAGAAAAGACAAGTGTTTGTTGGTCTATTTGGCTTCCTTTTTACATAAAACACAAGGGCAGTGTCCTCATGTAGAACCACTGCCCCTTCCCGGAAAAGGATGACCTGCTATTTAGACAGTGCCAGTGCACACTGACCCACCAGACCTGCCCATGTCTGCAATGGTCCTATTTTTTAAATCAAACGAGAGCATTTTTTTAATATACTGAATGTTTCAACAAAGGACTTTTGCAAGTCACACCTCTGGACCCATGTCATCTCTGCTATCACTAAAAAAAAATTAGGAAGGACTAAGGAATTAGGTGGCCCGGCTAATACCACATGATTCAGGGATAGCTGTGGAAAGTCTGGAGAATCAGCCTGGGATTATCTATAAAATCTCACTGTATGTGTATTTGGTGTTTATTGCATGTAATCAACCTTGCCCCGCCCTTAAGGAGCTTTAATAGTAGGGAAAGCAGAGAGGGAAACAAATCATTGTCATGCAGTCTGGTGAGTGATAAGACTGTCCAGGCCTAGAGGTGGCACCGAGGAAGGAAGGATTCACCGGGGTTTCTTTCTTATTTATTTATTTATTTATTTATTTATTTTATTTTTTTTGAGACATAGTCTTGCTCTGTCGCCCAGGCTGGAGTGCAGTGGTATGATCTGGGCTCACTGGAAGCTCCGCCTCCCGGGTTCACACCATTCTCCTGCCTCAGCCTCCCCAGCAGCTGGGACTACAGGTGCCCGCCACCACGCCCGGCTAATTTTTTTGTATTTTTAGTAGAGACGGGGTTTCGCCGTGTTAACCAGGATGGTCTCGATCTCCTGACCTTGTGGTCCGTCCGCCTCAGCCTCCCAAAGTGCTGGGATTACAGGCGTGAGCCACTGCACCCGGCCTCACTAGGGTTTTAAAGACCGAAGAGGAGGTTACCAGGCAGCAGGGGAGGGGGGCTCAAGATTCACTGCAGACCCCTTGCCCTCATGATGAGTGGGCAGATCTTGTTCTCAGATTCTTATGAAAATGGCCCCTGCTCTGCTTTACCAAATGCTTTGAGAATTATTGGTTCATCTTGCCCATGGGGCAGTCTAGCCCAGTGGTTTCAAATTCCAAGTGATGATATCTCCATTTTAAAACTTACATTCTTAACAATTAAAAAAAACCTCAAAGGTAGGCAAAGGATTTGAATAGAAATTCCTCCAAAGAGCTCAATATGTACATGAAAATATGTTCAGCATCACTAGTCAGTCATTAGGGGAAATGCAAATCAAAACCACAGTGAGATACTCCTTCACACCCGTTAGGATGAGTACTATTAAAAAAAAAAAAACAATAACAACAAAGGAAAATAACAAGTGTTGGCCAAGAATGTGGAGAAGTTTGAACTGTGGTGCACTGTTGGTGGGAATGCAAAATGGTGCCAGCGCTGCAGAAAGCAGTGTGGGAACTCCTCAGAAAGCTGAACATTTATCTTAAGATCCAGCAATTCCACTTCTACATATACACCCAAAGGAATTGAAACCAGGCACTCCAACAGATCCTTGCAAACCAGTGTTCATAGCAGCAGACTTATGAGCCACAATAACCCCAAAATGGAAACAACATAAATGTCCACCAGCAAATGAATAAACAAAATGCAGTGCCTGCATACAGTGGAATATTATTCAGCCTTAAAAAGAAACGAAATTCTGACACATGCTACAACATGGATGAACCTAGAAGACACTATGCTAAGTGAAATAACCCAGACATGAAAGGACAAATACAGTCATCACTGCATAAGGACATTTCAGTCAATAAGGGACTGAATATACCATGGTTGTCCCATAAGATTATGATGGAGCTGAAAAATTCCTATTGTCTAGAGACATCATAGCTGTCATAATGTTGTAGTGCAGTGCATTACCTTTTCTGTGTTTAGGTGCACAAATACCATTGTGTTATAATTTCCTACAGTATTCAGTACAGTAATGCCGTACAGGTTTGTAACGCAGGAGCAAAAGGCTATCCATATAGCCTACGTGTGAGGTAAGTGTTACACAACCTAGGTTTGTGTGAATACACTCTATGATGTCCACACAATGACAAAACTGTCTAATGATGCATTTCTCAGAGCGTATCACCGTTGTGAGGCTTAGCATGACTGGTCTCATTTCACTTACACGAGGTACCTAAAATACATTCATAGATGCACAAAATAGAGTGCTGGGTGTTGGGCTGAGAGAGGGAAGAAATGGAGAATCAGTGTTTAGTGGGCACATTGTTTTAGTTTTAGAAGATGAAGAGTTCTGGAAATGGATGGTGGCGATGGTTGCACACATTGTTAATGTACACAGTACCCCTGAGCACTACTGTTTGTGCCACAGGGCTGAGCAGGGCAAAAGCTGGACCCACGGGCCTCACACCATCCTCTGGGCTCCATCCCTGTCCTCCTACCTCTCAGCCTGCCTCCCTCTGAAATTTTTCCTCACTGCCTCAGCTACAGCTCCCTCATCTTCCTCCATCCTTTATTGAATTGGAAGTCATTGTTATCCAACTAGACAATAAGCTCTCTGAGGCCAGAGCCTGGCCTATTCTAAATTTTTTTTTTTAAGTCCTGACAGTTGCCAAAAAAAAAAAAAGCCCATTCATTTAGTCATGGTACTCTTTCTCCCATGTCTTTCTCTGTTTCTTTAATTAACTTTTTATTTTGAGGTAATTGTAGATTCACATACAGTTGTAAGAAATAATACAGAGGTCCCTTGTTTACTTTTCCCAGGTTTCCACGATGCTAACATTTTGGTGGGTTTTTAAAAAATTATTTTCAGCCAGGTGCAGTGGCTCACACTTGTAATCCCAGCACTTTGGGAGGCCAAGGCAGGTGGATCACCTGAGGTCAGGAGTTCAAGACCAGCCTGGCCAACATGGCGAAACCCCATCTCTACTAAAAATACAAAAAATTAGCCAGGCATGGTGGCGGGCACCTGTAACCCCAGCTACTTGGGAGGCTGAGGCAGGAGAATTGCTTGAACCCAGGAGGCGGAGGTTGAATGAGCCAAGGTCGCACCACTGCACTCCTGCCTGGGGAGCAAGACTCTGTCTAAAAAAAGAAAAAGTTATTTTCTATTTTGATAATTTTGGTACCAAAAATTTTGTAAAACTATAGTATAATATAACCATCATATGGACATTGATACAGTCCACTGATCTTTTTCAGACTGTCAGTTTCTTTGTGTGGTGTGTGTGTGTGTGTGTGTGTGTGTGTGTATTAAGTTCCATATAATTGTATCAACTGGGTAGATTCATATATCAACCACAACAGCCCAGGTATTGAATAGTTCCAGCACTAACAAGGATCCCTAGTGTTTTCCTTTTATAACTACACATCCCCCCACCCCACACCTCCATCCCTTAACCCCTGGCAACCACTAACAATGTCCTCCATTTCTAAAATCTATCATTTCAGAAAAATGTTATATAAATGTAACCACAGGGTTGGCCATGGTGGCTCAAGCCTGTAATCCCAGCACTTGGGGAGGCTGAGGCGAGTGGATCGCTTGAGGTCAGGAGTTCGAGACCAGCCTGGCCAACATGGTGAAACCCCATCTCTACTAAAAATACAAAAATTAGGTGGGCGTGGTGGTGCATTCCTGTAATCCCAGCTACTTGGGAGGCTAAGGCAAGAGAATCCCTTAACATGGGAGGTGGAGGTTGCAGTGAGCCAAGATCGAGCCACTGCACTCCTGCCTGGGCAACAGAGTGAAACTGTGTCTCAAAAAATAAATACAGAAATAAAAATAAATGTAACCATTATGTAAGCTTTTGGGATTGGCTTTTTGAAGGACATCAGTTTTTAGTTACCACAAATAAAGCTGCTATGAACATTCGTGTAGTTGTTTTTGTATAAAGATGATAAGTTTTTATTTTTCTGGGAGAAATACCCAACTGTGGAATTGCTGGGTCGTATGGTCATTGCATATTTAGTTTTAGAAGAAACTGCCAAACTCTGGTTTTTTTTAGTGGCTGTATCGCTTCTATCCCTTCAGAAATCTGTGTTTGTTTCAGTTTTTCCACATCCTCACCAGTATTCGATGTTGCCAGTATTTTTTTATGTTGCCACTATTTTTTATTTTAGCCTTTCTTTTCCTTTCCTTTCCTTTTCTTTCTTTTTGAGACACAGTTTCACTCTGTCGCCAAGGTTGGAGTGCAGTGGCACAATCACGGCTCACTGCAATCTCTGCCTCCCGGTTCAAGCGATTCTCCTGCCTCAGCCTCCTAAGTAGCCGGGACTCCAGGCACACACCACCACACCCGGCTAATTGTTTTGTATTATTAGTAGAGGTGGGGTTTCACCATGTTGGCCAGGCTGGTCTCAAACTCCTGACCTCGTGATTCGCCCGCCCAGGCCTCCCAAAGTGCTGGGATTACAGGCGTGAACCACCACACCCAACCTTATTTTAGCCATTCTGATAGTTTATACAGTCATACCTCACTGTGGCTTGAAGGTGTGTTTCCTTGGTGGCTAATGAGGTTGAACATCTTTCCATGTGCTTATTTGCCATCTTTATGTACTTTCCGGTGAGATGTCTATTCATTTCTTTTGCCCATCTTCTAACCAGATTATTATTATTGTTATTATTATTTTTAACTGTCTTGTTTTCTATTATCCCTTTTATTTCTTACTCTTTTAGGAAACGCTTATTAGCATGTTCTATGTGTTAGCCATTTGCAATACAGAGATAAAAGAGAAAGAATTGGCCCTCAGAGAACTGGCAGTTTTGGGAAGAGACAAGTGAGCAAGTTTCTGTGTAGGAGGGCACTGACCTCCCAGCAGGAGAATAGTAAAATCTTGCTTCCTGGAGGAGGTGACACCTGATCAGCATTTGAAGGCATGAATATTCGTTACACTTGATATGTATTATACTATCTTTACATTTAGGACATTAATACAGTAAGAGATAGGGCAGTCTAAAAGCCTCTTCAGGGCATCCTTCTTTATAAGTAATTTGTTGTATGAACTTAATTCAAGGTTAGCAAACACGGAACACAAATGTCATGTTTCTTGGGGATTCTAAGGTAGAGATGACAGTATTCCAGATCCCAATGATGTGTGATCCAATGGGAGCTGGGGGTCCATAGCGAGCAGATAGCTGCTGGTTACAGAAACAAACTTAGCCACATGGGAGATTTAGGAGAGTGAGATATTAATTCTCACTAGGAGGTCAAAGAAGGTTTCTTGAAGAAGGGGGTTAGGGCTGGGATTTGAAAAATGAGTAGAGCTTCAACAAGTAGATGTAAAAGGAAACGGATTTGTTATAGACTCATAGGTTCCTGCATGTTACTGATTTCCAGTTCCCCATCTTGCTCTTACCCAGAGTTGCTTCTGTGGAAAGGTCTGCAACCTGGTGTCAGACTCCACATCTTACTAATGGGTCCAGTGAAAGAGGTCGCCAGTGGAGGTTGCATTTCGTTTTAGGATGAGATTTACAATCTATAGGAAGGAAGTCCTTCATCTTACAGATAGATGGCCTGAGGCCTAGAGAGGGTCAAATCCAGTCCAGCCCCATTGCCCCACTGGCCAGCCCAGTGGATGTGCTTTGTGTAGAAAGTTCTCAGGCCAGAGCAAGGAAGTGGTATGGATTTCACCCTATGGCTCTGCTAAAAATAAAAAATTGGCTGGTAAAAATAAAGTGTTGCAAAGTAAGTGGACTGGGGAGTACTTATTTGTTAAAAACACAGCTATTTTTCTCATATGATTTTTTTAATGTCCTTTAAGGGATATGATTTTTGGAGCCTGGCACGGTGACTCACACCTGTAATCCCAGCACTTTGGGAGGCCGAGGTGGGGAAATCACTTGAGGCCAGGAGTTTAAGACCAGCCTGGCCCACATGGTGAAATCCCATCTCTACTAAAAATAACAAAAATTAGCTGAATGTGGTGTCACACGCCTGTGGTCCCAGCTACTTGAGAGTCTGAGGCACTGGAATCGCTTGAACCCGGGAGGCGTAGGTTGCAGTGAGCTGAGGTTGCACCACCACACTCCAGCCTATCTTCAGCTTCAGAGTGAGACTATCTCAGAAAAAGAAAACAAAGGATACTTCATTTGCAGCATTATCCTTAAATGACACAGGAGTCAGGATACGGGATCCCTAAGGAAAGAAATTGTGGCCCATTACAGTGAACGCTGTTTCCATAATCACAACATTGTAAATGCTGTTAATTGGCTTTTTCAGCTTTTAGAATCCAGTTACAGATAAAACAGGGAAAACAAATATGTTTAGAGAACAAGAAAGGACATGTAATCAGTCTCAACAATGCACAAGCAAACTGGACAGAAATTGAGAGTTGGGAACAGGGTGCGGGGAGCCTGGTAGAGGCTGTCATACTCTTTCGTGGTTTAGAAGCCCAGAGACTGCACAAAATTGATGAGTGAGTGAGCTGAGGTTTTCAGTTTTTTTACTTAAGTTACAAATTTGTGTAAGTAATAGAATAATATATCAGAAACTCGAAGGACTGGAAACGGGAGAGGAAGGAGTATCAATCAAACAATAGCTTTTCCTGCTAGTAGTCGAAGGAAATAGCAGTGTAAGTATATTATGAAATCACCGCGGGAACTGCAAAGAGATGTGATTGAGAGTGGTGACCTCTGGGGTGGCAGGACCCAGTTTTAATGTCATACAAATGATTGTTTAAAAGGAATGAGAAAAAAGTTTTATTGACCAGCAGCAAAATTTGTTCAAAGGAGCAACATGACAATTACATATCCCAGTGGCTTCTAGCTGTTTAGTTTTAGAAATCTTAGGCAAAGAAGCACTTCAGTGATGGGAAAATACTAACTGTAATTGCAGATATTTTATTACCTGAATGTTAAATGTAGCCTGTAACTGTTTTAAATCTTCCTAAACTTGCCCTTATATAGGAGAAGGGGGGAGGATTGCTCAATGCTGGTATAAACTTGATTGCCTTTCTCTTTAAGATCTTAGATTTTTTTGAGTTAAAAAAAAGTGAACTTCTGTGGGGTTCTCCGCAAAGACTTAAGATCCCTGGAATAATCTAGAGCTTACTCTATTTAATACAGTAGTTAAACTCTTATGCAAAAATTTCACTTTTTCCACATAAGAACACATCTCTGCTTTTACAGTGCCAATCATTGAAAAACAACATTAATTGTACATTAGGGTGAGACATACCCATTTCCAAGGTCCAGGTAACCAGGTCCCAAGATTGTATCCCACAAGGTTGTATGGATGTTTCCAGGCTGTGGCCAGGATGTGAGCCATGGAGAAGGGTGGGGGATGGAGCCAGGCAATGCCATGTGTCTACAGTGCCATCCTGTGGTTGTGATGCTGTATTAGAGCATGTCTTCATTTTCTCCTCTCTAGGAAGGCCCTTTTGTCTACTTGTCTTTAGTAGGAAACGTTGCAAATTCCGATGGCTTGATTGCTTCTTTATGTAAGTAATTAAAAACGTTTGCGTTTGAAATGTTGGAGGAGGTTTATTGCAAGTGTGACTGTCAAACGCCTCTATTATATACTGTATGACTTCATTTATATGAAATGTCCAGAATAGGTGAGTCTGTAGAGATACTGTAGATTACTGGTTGCGTGGGAATGAGGGTAGGGGTGGGGGTGTTGGGGGGAAATGAGGAGTGACTGCTAATGGGCACGGATTTCTTTTTGGGGTAATGAAATGTTCTAAAATTAGATTGTGGTGATTCAAACCTGTGATTCTACTAAAACCAATTATTTAAATAGGTAGATTGTGTGGCATGTGAATTACATCTTAATAAAGCTATTATATTAAACAATATTTGAGCCTGGGCAACATAGCAAGACCCTATCTTTAAAAAAAGTTTTTTAAATGAGCCAGGTGTGGTGGTGCACACCTGTAGTCCCAGCTACTCAGGAGGCTGAGGCGGGAGAATCTTTTGAGCCCAGGAGTTCAAGGCTGCATTGAGTCACAGTTGCACCACTGCACTCCAGCCCGGGCGACAGAGCAAGAGTCCATCTCTAAAAAACAATACATAAAATAAAAAATGTTGGTAGTGAATGGCCGGGCATGGTGGCTCACGCCTGTAATCCCAGCACTTTGGGAGGCTGAGGCAGGTAGATCACCAGGTCAGGAGATGGAGACTATCCTGGCTAACACGGTGAAATCCTGTCTGTGCTAAAAATATAAAAAATTGGCTGGGCGTGGTGGCGGGCCCCTGTAGTCCCAGGTACTTGGGAGGCTGAGGCAAGAGAATGGCGTGAACCCAGGAGGTGGAGCTTGCAGTGAGCCGAGATCACGCCACTGCACTCCAGTCTGGGTGACAGAGCAAGACTCCCTCTCAAAAAAAAAAAAAAAATGTTGGTAGTGAGTGCAGATGGAAGAGCTTGTGGGGTTTAAACTGGGTGGTTTTCCCATACTTTTAATATCAACTTTCTTTTTATTGTACATATATATTTGTGGTCTTGTAGATCCTTTCCAAAAGTCTTCATGCTCATTGTCAGTCAATATTCAATTAGCATTGATATTCTACCATGTACTGTGTCAATACCAACAGGTATTTTTTTTTACCACTTTATAAAACTGCCTTTCTCAGGATAACTGCTTTCAGGTTTTGCTTCTGAAACTTTGCATCATTTATCTCATTTCTTTTTTTTCTTTTTTTTTTCAGGCGAGTCTCGCTCTGTCCCCCAGGCTGGAGCACAGTGGCACCATCTCGGCTCACTGCAAGCTCCGCCTCCCAGGTTCACGCCATTCTCCTGCCTCAGCCTCCCGAGTAGCTGGGACTACAGGCGCCCGCCACCACGCCTAGCTAATTTTTTTGTATTTTTAGTAGAGACGGGGTTTCACCATGTTAGCCAGGATGGTCTCGATCTCCTGACCTCGTGATCTGCCCACCTCGGCCTCCCAAAGTGCTGGGGTTATAGGCATGAGCCACCGCGCCTGGCCCATATATCTCATTTCTTTGTGACTCTAAAATCATCTCCAGCTAGGATCTGTGTGGGGGACTCCTGTTTACCACTAGTGTTAGGAAACATCTAGAGAATTGAGTAGGCTCATTAGTACTTCCCAAAGGAAAAGGTGTCATCTTTGATGCCTCAAGTCCTAGCCAAGGAGTTTGAGCCCCCTTGACCAGAGTAGAGCCACTTCAGATCCAGGGCTCAGCTGAATGCAGCTATGCACTTTTGATTGGCTGCATTAAACTCTGCCTGGGGATTGCTGGTGAAGCCCAGAGGCTGACGGACCCCAGCCTGAGTCATGGCTCCTCCCTGCTGAGTGTCCTCTTCTCCCCTTTGCCAGATGCCATGCTGACACCTCCTCCCCTGGCTGCCCTGCCTGGCATGAGAGAAAGCAAACAGCCCAGATTTGGCTCAATCCCATGAAATGCAAATGTCTAACACAGGCTTTCTCTATCATCTTCACGTTTACATTATGCACCTTAAAGAAGTGAAAACTAGCTGGGTGCAGTGGCACGAGCCTGGAGCCCCAGCTACTTGGGAGGCTGAGGCAGGAGGATTATTTGAGCCCAGGAGTTTGAATTTAGCCAGGGCAACACAGTAAGACCGTATTTCTAAAAACCAAAACGCAGTAAAAACTCATTTATTGAAGGTGTCCTTTATTTTCATGAAAGTAAAAATCCAGTAGATAATGTAAAGCAAGTAGTACTTCCCAGACTCCAAAGTGCCCCAGATCACCTGGGAATCTTACTCAAATGCAGATTCTGATACCGTGTGTCTAGGGCAGGACCTTCTGATGATGACCTGTGTTCTGACCTTGGCTTCACTGGGATGCAGGGCCAGCCATAAACCTCATGAATACTCAGCATCTCCTGGTCTCCACTGTCTGGTTGAGGACACAACAATGGCTCTGGTTGAGGAAATCTACCCCGACCCTTAGTTTGCATCTTTTCCTTGTAAACCTCACCTAAGTCCAGTTATCAGTCACAGAATCAATGGAAATGATCACATCGTCAGGCTTTTTAATGCTCCTGTTTGCCTTTTTATTGTTTCAGTGTTTAATAAGCAAAGAGATGGTTAAAGTTTAGCAGTAGAGGAGATGCCAGAGGGACTGCCAGAGGGAGATGCCACAGGGAGATGCGCTGGGACTGGTGGATTCCAGGGCCCCTTACTATCCGTCCCCTACCTTCCTCTCACGCATTAACCTTCCCCCACCATCAGCTCTGCTAAACTGTCTGTAGATTCAGACACGCTACCTCTCAGCTCCAGGCCTTTGCACATGCTCCTCCCTGAAACACCCTTATTTTCCACTCAGATCTGGAGTCATCTCTTGTGGTATAAGGCCTGAAATTAGGATTCAGTATTATGTCTGCCTTTTTTTTTTTTCTTTTTTTTTTAACAGAGTCTCGCTCTGTCTCCCAGGCTGGAGTGCAGTGGCGCAATGTCAGTTCACTGCAACCTCTGCCTCCCAGTTCAAGTGATGCTCTTGCCTCAGCCTCCCAAGTAGCTGGAACTACAGGTGTGCGCCACCACGCCCAGCTAATTTTTGTTTTTTTTTTTTTTTTTTTTTTTGAGACGGAGTCTCACTCTTTCGCCCAAGCTGGACTGCAGTGGTGCTATCCCGGCTCACTGCAAGCTCCGCCTCTTGGGTTCATGCCATTCTCCTGCCTCAGCCTCCCGAGTAGCTGGGATTACAGGCGCCCACCACCACGCCTGGCTAATTTTTTGTATTTTTAGTAGAGACAGGGTTTCACCATGTTAGCCAAGCTGGTCTCAAACTCCTGACCTCAACTGATCCACCCGCCTCGGCCTCTCAAAATGCTGGGATTACAGGTGTGAGCCACCCTCCCTGGCTGGGATTCAGTATTATGTCTGCTTTGATACCTGGTAAGATCCAGGGGGGCCTCAGATGGCCAAACTGCAAGTCTCCCTCCCCACTCTGCTTCCACATATAAGGTTCCCTAACCAGATAGCTCTCCCTATCAAGGGGAGCAGGCACAGATTTGGAGGGGACAAATGCTTGTCCCCTCAGTAGCAGGCTTCAGTTCCCACCAGTCTGCCTGTGGAATTATCCAGACAAGCCAATCACATCCTCTGTGGGGAACCAGGGCTCATCCCACCCCCTCCTCTTGTTACTGCAAAGCCTGCCTGCGTGGCCCCTGCCCGAACACTGTTCCCAGGTGCAACCCCTATGTGGCCCTGCATGGCGAGATGTCCTCCTTTCCCGGGCCACAGTGTGTGCAACTAATAAACCTCCTCCATCTCATCTGCCCAGTGTCGGGTCTTGTGTGTTCAGCCATCACCATAGCCCTCAGGCAGAAGTCCATCCCTCACCAACAGGGAAGAGAGGCAGTGATCAAAACACCTCCTCCAGGAAGTCTTCCCTGAAGTTCGTAGTCTGGCTTCAGTGCCACTTCTTCCCTGCCCTCATATTCGCTAACCGCCACTTACTGCCTGGTTTTCAGCCTCACTAGGATGTGGGCCACTAAGGGCCAACATGGTCCTACTTGCAGCTGCATTATCAGGGCCTACCATAACACCTTCCAAATGCTTAAAAAAAAAAAAAAAGACTTGTTGAAGGCTGGACACGGTGGCCCACGCCTGTAATCCCAGCATTTTGGGAAGCCAAAACAGATGGATCACTTGAGGTTAAGTTTGAGACCAGCCTTGCCAACATTGTGAAACCCTGTCTCTACCAAAAATACAAAAATTAGGCCAGGTGCAGTGACTCAAGCCTGTAATCCCAGCACTTTAGGAGGCCAAAGCAGGTGGATCACCTGAGGTCAGGAGTTCAAGACCAGCCTGACCAACATGGTGAAACCCCATCTCTATTAAAAATACAAAATTAGCCGGGCATGGTGGTGAGTGCCTATAATCCTAGCTACTTGGGAGGCTGAGGCAGGAGAATTGCTTGAACACGGGAGGCGGAGGTTGCAGCGAGCCAAGATCTGGCCATTGCACTCCAGCCTGGGTGACAAAGTGAGACTCCGTCTCAGTCAGTCAGTATTAGCTGAGTGTGGTGGTGGGTGCCTGTAGTCCCAGCTATTTGGGAGGCTGAGGCTGGAGAATCACTTGAACCTGGGAGGCAGAGGTTGCAGTGAGCCGAGATCATGCCATTGCACTCCAGGCTGGGTAACAGTGAGACTCCTTCTCAAAAAAAAAAAAAAAAAGACTTGGTCAATATCTCTTTTTGTTCCTAAAGAACTGACATTTTACTTAGGTGATATTTTATTAGATTTTAGGTGCACTAACTGGTACATTTCACCTATTGTATGTATATTTAAATTTAGAGGAGAAACGTTTCAATATGACATTGTTTTCCAGTTAGTTATTGGAGGGCACAGGAGACTGCAGACAGTCAGCTAAGGACAGGCTGATGACTCTCGGTGGCCTCTCACAGAACATTCCCTCAGCATGTGCCTTGTGTGTTATCCCATTAAATAGCTAATCCTCTTATTGTCCTTTCTCTTAGGACAGCCTTTTGTTAGAAACCTTTGTCCCAGGCCCTGAGGGATCCTTCCTCTGGTCTTTATGAGACAAGAGCTGTGTGCTGCTCAGTAGCAGATCACAGGCTCCTCTGTGGACTTCACACCTTTTCTGAATAATGCGAGGCAGTATTAAAGGGGGAGACGAGGTGTGATCACTTCCATTTTTTCACTGTAATCATTTGAGATCTTAGGACCAGCATGTATTACTTTTACAAATTAAGAAAGTAATTAAATAATTTTTAATGGCCTCCATAATACCTGGCCATCATTCCAGCCCTGAAAAGACTTTCTGAGTCATGGTGTTCCTGAGAAGAAACCACTCTGATAATGGGTCTGGATGGATCTCTGAGAGCACACTGGCTCCCCAAGCAGCACAGCTGAGACTGTGTGAGAGCCATTGTGAGTTCCCTGTCCCTGTGGGCGGAGATGCCCCTCTGCCCACTCCGATTCATTCTGCAGTCTGGGCTCTCTCCTCCCCTCCCTGCCCACTGTCCCTTCAGCACCTAGTTTCTCTTCTGTTATTAATAAACGTGTTGTTGTATTGAGATAGAGTCTAGCTCTTGTTGCCCAGGCCGGAGTGCAGTGGTGCGATCTCGGTTCACTGCAACCTCCGCCTCCTGGGTTCAAGCGATTCTCTTGCCTCAGCCTCCCAAGTAGCTGAGATTACAGGCATGCGCCACCACGCCCAGCTACTTTTTGTATTTTTAGTAGAGACACGGTTTCGCCATGTTGGCTGAGCTGGTCCCAAACTCCTGACTTCAAGTGATCCGCCCACCTTGGCCTCCCAAAGTGCTGGGATTACAGGCGTGAGCCACCGTGCCTGGCCAAGAAACAAGTTTTTGGTTGTTTGTTTTTTTGTTTTTTTTTTTTTGAGACGGAGTCTCGCTCTGTCACCCAGGCTGGAGTGCAGTGGCGCAATCTCGGCTCACTGCAAGCTCCGCCTCCTGGGTTCATGCCATTCTCCTGCCTCAGCTGGGACTGCAGGTGCCCGCCACCATGCCTGGCTAATTTTTTGTATTTTTAGTAGAGACAGGGTTTCACCATGTTGGCCAGGATGGTCTCGATCTCCTGACCTCGTGATCTGCCCGCCTTGGCCTCCCAAAGTGTTGGGATTACAGGTGTGAGCCACCGTGCCTGGCCATAAACGTGTTTTTTATAAACATGTCCTTCATAACAAATTTCCCACATCTCCATTATACTTACAGAATTTATATGGAAATTTTGAAGTAAGGAATTACAATGTATTTACCAAGATCATGACTGGAGATTGTCTTTGCAAAATCTGACCATGTTGAATTCTTTTAAAATTCTGCTACTTATGTTGAAGAGGGTGGGGCTGAGGAGGGCGTGTATGTGAAAGCATGCTGGAAACTGAATGATTGGACACCTGTAAACCTGCTGCTGTTCTCAGTGCTTGTGTCAGGTGGTAAACGCATTTTGGTCCCAGGGCTTCTCCTGCCTTCCACTAAGGCATCGTGAAGAATGCAGAGAGAGTGGCGATTACTCATTTTATCTCCACCTTAAAGGAAAGAAAGGTCATTTCCATGAACTGTCATAAAAATTGTTGCCATTTGAGTAACAACATGGATTTTGTCTTTAGGGAAAGAATATGGCAAAGCTGATGCAAGATGGGTTTATTTTGATCCAACCATTGTGTCTGTGGAAATTCTGACCGTCGCCCTGGATGGGTCTCTGGCATTGTTCCTCATTTATGCCATAGTCAAAGAAAAATATTACCGGTAGGTGCCCTTCTTCTGTCCTGCTGGAAGGAGGGGAGACATTACATGTCCCAACACTTAGGTGACCTTTGGAGTAGGTTGTGACCACATATATTTGTTAGATAAAAGGTGGAAGAATAGAGGCTGGGCGCGGTGGCTCCCACCTGTAATCCCAGCACTTTGGGAGGCTGAGGCGGGAGGATCACCTGATCCCAGGAGTTTGAGACCAGCCTAGGCAATACAATGAGACCCTGTCTCTACAAGGAATAAAAAATTTAAAAATTAGGCGTGGTGGCACACGCCTGTAGTCCCAGATACTTAAGAGGCAGAGGTGGGAGGATCACTTGGGCTTAGGAGGTCAAGGCTGCAGTAAGCCATGATCACGCCACTGCACTCCAACCTGGGTGACATAGACCCTGTCTCCAAAAAAAAAAAGCAGAAGAGAAATGAAAATTATTTTATGTGAGATAAGGGTGATGGTGCTACTAGGATCATTTCAGACTTTTCAGAATCAAAAATATGAGAAATATTATTTTAATAACAACCTAGACTCTGTAGAGGCAAGAATGGTGCTAACGCTCTTGGATGATTTGCCACCAATACTTTGGAGAATAAAACCATAATACGTCCATCCTTTTCCCCCCAAATCATTCAAGAAAACTCCTGTCCCACTTGACAAAAAGTAAATTATCTTATATAATTTGGAGTCAGACTTGCAAGATAAATAGGAAATCTTCTCAGAAGCAGATTGTGAAGGATATGGGGCAGGCGGAGTGCAGAGAGACCAGGTGCGGTGGCTCATGCCTATAATCCCAGCACTTTGGGAGGCCGAGGCAGGTGGATCACGAGATCAGAAGTTCAGGACCAGCCTGGCCAACATGGTGAAACCCCGTCTCTACTCAAAATACAAAAATTAGCTAGCCAGGCACGGTGGCGGGTGCCTGTAAGTCCCAGCTATCGGGAGGCTGAGGCAGGAGAATTGCTTGAACCTGGGAAGTGGAGGTTGCAGTGAGCCACGTTCGTGCCACTGCACTCCAGCCTAGGTGACAGAGCGAGACTCTGTCTCAAAAAAAAAGGATGAAAAAATTATCCATCCTATCAGACTCAGAGACTATAAACTCTCCTCCCTTCCTTCCTTTTCTTTCCTTAGGGACAGAGTGGCCTGGGGTGAATAGATTGCTATCCTGAGATGAATCCCTAAAACAATTTCAAGTAGGCACAGCTGCATTCCATTTTCCACCATCTTGTAATGAAGAAGTCTTATTTAAAGCTTCCTTCCCCACCCAATTTTAGAGAGATAGTTGGCAATAAAAATTAAATTTTTCCTTGGTACCTTGACGTATTTTTCACTCCATGACGCTGGTTGCAAACTTACTACGTGTGCCCATGTGTTTATTATTTTAAACATTTGTGATATTTGCATTATTGAGCCTTTTACTTGCCCATCGCTTGGCCCTTTATCCTCATATCTCATTTAGTCTGCACTACACTGTTTGAGGAAGGGGTTATTACTCACTCTCCCCTTTTATAATGGCTCATGGTGAGATTCAGAGTCAGGCCTCTCTGTGTTAAGTCAGGTGTGATCTCACCAAATTTCCCCAAGAATGGGTCAGGATCCCTGAGGGTCCTTACTTAACTCTGAGAATAATCTAGAAAGGGCAGTGTTGCTCCTCTAAGGAAAGAATGAGCCTTCATTAATTAGATTGACTTGCCCCCATCAAAATAGCACCACCCAACATCTGAGGCCCAACTTAGGACGGTTTTCATAGCGAAGACTGTTGATGCCGCCATTACAGACAAGATGTCATGACTCTGATGCCAAACTGTGCCAAGCTGGTGGTTCATCCCGGGCTTCTTTCTCTCCAACAGGCATTTCCTGCAGATCACCCTGTGCGTGTGCGAGCTGTATGGCTGCTGGATGACCTTCCTCCCAGAGTGGCTCACCAGAAGCCCCAACCTCAACACCAGCAACTGGCTGTACTGTTGGCTTTACCTGTTTTTTTTTAACGGTGTGTGGGTTCTGATCCCAGGACTGCTACTGTGGCAGTCATGGCTAGAACTCAAGAAAATGCATCAGAAAGAAACCAGTTCAGTGAAGAAGTTTCAGTGAACTTTCAAAACCATAAACACCATTATCTAACTTCATGAACCAGAATGAATCAAATCTTTTTGTTTGGCCAAAATGTAATACATTCCAGTCTACACTTTGTTTTTGTATTGTTGCTCCTGAACAACCTGTTTCAAATTGGTTTTAAGGCGACCAGTTTTCGTTGTATTGTTGTTCAATTAAATGGTGATATAGGGAAAAGAGAACAAATTTGAATTTGTAATAATAAAATGTTTAATTATACATTTTATGGCTGGCATTAATTGTTCCACATTAGTAAAACCAATTATCTTAGAATACTGCAGTGTTATATTAATTTTTTATTCCAAAGGAAATGTTCTTGCCTCATCTTTTAATCTTCTCACCAGTCTTTTTTGGTTACCAATGTGAAACCAGAAATGAATTGAAAGCTTCTGTTTTTATATTTATACTATTTAAAGTTTGTGAACCCAAATAGGAGCTGGTGAGTGAGCTGACTCCTCCTGAGTAAATGGGTAAACACTGGGGCCCCATGCAGAGAGATGATTGATTTATATTTGTCCTTTTTCAAGGAGGAAGATTGGAGATGCCTTGCAGAAATACATAATACATTATGATGAAAAGTAAATCAGGAAATAGGAACACAGGGAGAGTGAGAGAGAAATAAGATGAGCATGAAATAAATATGCAAAATGTATGCCCTAACCTTCTACAGAATTGAGAGAAGGAAAGCACCAATTTGGCACTTACCCTCAGCACCAAGAGGGACTCGTGATTACATTGCGTTTCAGAAAACACTCGTCTGGGAGATGAATTAGCAGTTCTGTGGTGGCTGGGGAGCAGGTACTTACGTTAACTTGTTCAGTGCTTGCCTTTCTTACTAGACTCTTGAGCTCACAGATCTGATCTCTGCCTTGCCCAGCACATAGACCAGGCCCTTGGTATGTTGTGGCGGATGCTGTAGCTCTGATAGCTCAGTCTGTGTTCCACTCTCCTTCTAGGTTGGCTTCCTACCCTGCAGAGGCTGCAGGCCCTGGTCCCAGATGCCAAATTGGTTTTACCTTTCAGAAGTACTTGAGAGATTTGGAGGGTGAAAATATAGAGGCCATTTTCTACTGTTTCTCTCTCTCTCTGTCTCCCTCTCTCTCTCCTGTCTTCTTCCCTCCCTCTCTCTCTGTCTCTCTCCCTCTTTTCTGTTTTGTGCAGACAAGTAAGGTCATGGAAATGTGAGAGTTTGGCATTACTATACCAAGTGTCCAACTCCCTGGGTATCAAGAGGCAGTCATGGCGGGAGCAGCAGGTCTGTGGTCTGAGTAGCCCCAGTGGTGGCCTCACTGGTAGTGCTGCCCTTGGGGGTGGTCCATTCTGTGGTCATCCCGTAGTCACCCCCAAGAGCTTAGCCAAGCATCTATATCCTGTAACCCGGCAGTTTGACTCCTAGGTATGTACCTCACAGAAATGCTTAATATATGCACCAGAATGGCAGCATTATTCATAATAATCCCAAATTGGAAACAATCTAAATGAATAAGTTATACGTAAATGGATTACTGTACAGCAATGAAAACCAACAACCAGCTAGGCATGATGGCTCATGCCTGTAATCCCAATACTTTGGGAGGCCAAGGCGGGAGGATCACTTGAGCCCAGGAGTTCAAGACTAGCCTTGAGCAGCATAGTGAGACCCTCACACCACAAATGAAAAAAAAAAAATAGCTAGGTTTGGTGGCGCCTCTGGTCCCAGCTACTCAGGACGCTGAGTGGGGAGGATTGCCTGAGCCTGGGAAGTCAAGGCTGCAGTGAGCCGTGATTACCCCACTGCACTCCAGCCTGGGCGACAGAGCAAGATCCTGTCTCAAAAAATGAACAACCTTCTGCTACTCATAACAACATGGAGAAATTTTGCAGACATAATGAGGAGCAAAAGGAGCCAGACCAGAAGAATACATGTTCGGTGATCCTATTGATGTAAAGTTTAAAAACATAAAACTAATCGATGGTGTTAGAAATCAGGATGGCCAGGCACAATGGCTCACACTTGTAATCCCAGCACTTTGGGAGGTTGAGGAGGGAGGATCGCTTGAGTCCAGGAGTTCAAGGCCAGCCTGGGCAATATAGTGAGACCTTTCTGTATAAAAAACCAAAAATAAAAAATGAAAAATCAAGAAATCCGGATGGAAATTGCCTTTGGGGGACAAGATGGGTGCAGTGATGGGGAGAAGTCATAGGGGCTTCTGGTAATGTCCTATTTTTTTCATTTGGGGTAGTTATAATTTGTGATATTTGGCTGTACATTTATAAATTATGTACTTTTCTGTATATATGTTATACTTTTTTATTTATATTGAGACAGGGTTTCACTCTGTCACTGGAGTGCAGCGGCAAGATCATGGCTCACTGCAGCCTCAACCTCTCAGGCTCAAGCTCTCCTCCCACCTCAGCCTCTCAAGCAGCTGGGACTATAGGCATGTGCTACCACGCCCAGGTAATTTAAATTTTTAATAGAAACAAGGTATCACTATGTTGCTCAAGGTGTGTTTTATTTTTGTTCATAATATCATTTTATTTGGTAATTTATTCAGTCAGATTTCCTGGTTCATTATCAGTAGTTATTCTTTACTTCCCCATGGGCCAAACTCAGGCTGATGTGTTTTAACCATAGTCAGAAACCTTTGTAAGGAAGTGAATTTTACATCACCTAATATGGTTCTGTGTCCCCACCCAGATCCCATGTTGAATTGTAGGTCCCAGTGTTGGAAGAGGGGCCTGGTGGGAGGTGACTGGATCATGGGGGTGGTTTCTCATGGTTTAGCACCATTCCCCTAGTGCTGTCCCATGATAGAGCTCTCACGAGATCTGTTGTAAAGTGTGTAGCGATGTCCCTT